>NC_000006.12:110070790-111320790 GCF_000001405.40 Homo sapiens | reverse complement strand
GTACTCCTAGCTGCTTGGGAGGCTGTGAGGTGGGAAGATCGCTTGAACCCAGGAGTTCAAGGCTGTAGTCAACCATGATCATGCCACTGCACTCCAGCCTGGATGACAGAATGAGACCCTGTCTCAAAAACAAGAAACCCAAACGTTTAGTGACATCTGTATGAGAGCAATTCACAACAGTGTCACCCTGGCAGAATACAAGTAAGTTCTTGAAGGAGGACACAAAAAAGTCAGTACCATAGTTTTTGGCCCCACAGTGCCCAGACCTACCCAACAATATTTTACTTCTTAGTAATTACTTTGCCTTGTTAAATATAATTTAAATTTGTGTTTTTTTTTCCTTGGAAGGACAATAATGATAAAAGGTTGAGAAACACTGCTCTTGGGATAATAGGTAATGCCTGGTGGAGTGAAAAAGAGTTCCTGGCTGGGCGCAGTGGCTCATGCCTGTAATCCCAGCACTTTGGGAGGCCAAGGCAGGCAGATCACCTGAGGTCAGGAGTTCGAGACCAGCCTGACCATATGGAGAACGCCATCTCTACTAAAAATACAAAATTAGCTGGGCGTGATGGCGCATGCCTGTAATCCCAGTTACTTGGGAGGCTGAGGCAGGAGAATAGCTAGAACCCGGGAGGCAGAGGTTGCAGTGAGCCAAGATTGCGCCATTGCACTCCAGCCTGGGCAACAAGAGCGAAACTCCATCTCAAAAAAAAAAGGCCAGGTGCAGTGGCTCACACCTGTAATCCCTGCACTTTGGGAGGCCGAGGCAGGTGGATCACTAAAAATTAAAAAAATTAGCTGGGTGTGGTGGTGCATGCCTATAATCCCAGCTACTCAGGAGGCTGAGGCAGGAGAATCACTTGAACGCAGGAATTGGAGGTTGCAGTGAGCCAAAATCGCGCCACTGCACTCCAGCCTGGGCAACAAGAGCAAAACTCCATCTCAGAGAAAAAAAAAAAAAGGAGTTCCCAACTGAGAGTGAGGAGACCTGGATTCTCTTTCTAGCTATACTCCTAGATGATGGCATAACCATTAATAAGTCATTTTGCCTCTCTGAGGCTTAGTTGCCTCATCATCAAAATGAAGGAAATCTGATAGACGAAGGTAAATGACCTTCCAATTATGATGACATTCCAATTAAACGTTTAGTTATTTTTAAATGTACAATAAGTTATCGTTGACTGTAATCTCTCTGCTGTGCTATCAAATACTAGGTCTTATTCTAACTACATTTTTGTACCCATTAACCATCTCCACTTCCCCACACATACACAGTACCTTTCCCAGCCGTGGCAACCTAGCAGAAACTTTTTTTTTTTTTTCCTGAGACAGAATCTCGCTCTGCCGCCCAGGCTGGAGTCCAGTGCAGTGGCGCAATCTCAGCTCACTGCATGCTCTGCCTCCCAGGTTCACGCCATTCTCCTGCCTCAGCCTCCTGAGTAGCTGGGACTACAGGCATGCGCCACCATGCCCAGCTAATTTTTGTATTTTTAGTAGAGATGGGGTTTCACTATGTTGGCCAGGCTGGTCTTGAACTCCTGACCTCGTGATCCACCCACCTTGGCCTCCCAAAGTGCTGGGATTACAGGCATGAGCCACCGCACCCAGCCAATAATAACTTTTAAGATGTAAAGTATATGTACCTTTATTTCTTTATCATTTTTATGGAATTATAATTTTTAACAACATGTATAGTATGTAATAAAATATTAAAATATATAGGCCCAAGTTACCAGCTATCATGCCCGTCAAGATATAGAACACTTTTTATCACCCTAAAAAGTTATCTTATTCTCCCTTTACAGTGAATCCCTCGCCCTCACTCCATGCCCTAGACAACCACTTATCTGATTTTTATTACTGTAGCTTAGTTTTGCCTATTATAAAACCGTACAGAAATATGTGTATGTGCACTTATTTTAAATGTTGCATACGGCCGGGCGCGGTGGCTCATGCCTGTAATCCCAGCACTTTGGGCAGATCACCTGAGGTCGGGAGTTCGAGACCAGCCTGACCAACATGGAGAAACCCCGTCTCTACTAAAAATACAAAATTAGCCGGGCGTGGTCGTGCATGCCTGTAATCCCAGCTACTCGGGAAGCTGAGGCAGGAGAATCGCTTGACTTGGGAGGCAGAGGTTGCGGTGAGCTGAGATCACGCCATTGCACTCCAGCCTGGGCAACAAGAGCAAAACTCCATCTCAAAAAACAAACAAAAAAAATGTTGCATTCATCATTGCATCTGAACATTTTAAGAATAATCTTTCATAAAAAGTTGGCAGTTGCACATGAAGTTCAACATACACTTAGCATATGACCCAGTGATTCCACTCCTTTATGCTTATCTTAGAAAAAAGAAAACCTGGCCGGGCACGGTCACACCTGTAATCCTAGCACTTTGGGAGGTTCAGGCGGGCAGATGGAGACCATCCTGGCTAACACGGTGAAACCCCGTCTCTACTAAAAATACAGGCGGGCAGATGGAGACCATCCTGGCTAACACGGTGAAACCCCGTCTCTACTAAAAATACAAAAAATTAGCCGGGCGTGGTGGTAGGCCCCTGTAGTCCCAGCTACTCAGGAGGCTGAGGCAGGAGAATGGCGTGAACTCAGGAGTTGGAGCTTGCAGTGAGCCGAGATCGCGCCACTGCACCCCAGCCTGGGTGACAGAGCAAGACTCCGTCTCAAAAAAAAAAAAGAAAAAAGAAAAAGGAAAACCTATGTCCACACAAAAACTTGTGTATGATTCTTCATTGGAGCTTTGTTCGTAATAGTCCAAAACTGCAAAATATCTAAACGTCTATCAGTGAGTGATTGGACAAGCAAATTGTGGTATATCCATACAGTGGAATACTGCTCAACAATGGAAACCAACCAGTTGCTGTTATTCTGACACCATGGATGAATCTCAAAATATGCTGAGTGAAAGAAGACAGATATAAAAGAGTACATACTATATAGTTTCATTTATATAAAATTTTTATTTATTTACTTAGAGACAGGGTCTAACTATATTGCCCAGGCCATCTCAAACTCCTGGCCTCAAGCAGTCCTCCACTTCAGCCTCCAGAGTTGCTGGGATTACAGGCAAAAGCTACTGTACCCAGCTCATTTATATAAAATTCTTGGAAAAAACCTATATAACAGAAAGCAAGTCTTATGTATTGAACCTGGGGCCAGGAATAGACTGAAAAATTATTGTGAAGGAGTACAAGGAGGTTGAGGCGCAGTGAGCCATGATTATGCCACTGCACTCCAGCCTCGGTAACAGAGTGAGACCCTGCCTCTTAAATAAAATAAAGTAAGGTAGTATTGGTATAAATGAGCATCAGATGGCCTATAAAGAAACTAAAAAAAACCTTCAGATGGTTCGAAGTATAGCCTAGATTGAAGGTCTAATTAACTAAGGCATTTTTATTCTACCTTAGTGAATGTTAAAATTAATTCAGATTGAGACAATATTTATTTTAAAGACTTTTAGTAGAGTTGAATAAACTACTTTTTTCCTTTCTTTTAATTTTTCATATTAGGCTGTCAGGCAAGTACTGTCTCCATTATTAGCAGGGACTTTTTCCAAAGAAACCATCCAAAATGGGATTTAAAAATCCAGTATAAAAACACTTCAGAAATATGAGATTGGTTTATATGGCTAGAAAAAAGAATCTTAAAGTCATGTTTCAAGATATCATCCATTTCCACTATTTAATGTCTTTTCACTAGAAATATAAGTGAAGATGAACTTTATAATCTATCTTACTTAAATATTTATTAACCATTACTTCTGTTGGTGGTCAGGTTGTAGAATATACTGAAATAGAAAAAAAGATGCCCAATGCATTTTATCAGTTATTTTTGAGTATATTTTGTATTGGTATTTTGAGTATATTTTATATTGGTGTTTTTTATTCATGTAATTCAATATTATTCATTACCAAGTAACATGATCCATTATAGCATATGAAAAGATTTACAGATATACACAAAGTGTTTGTAATGTCTTTTTTGTATATGATATGATTACAGATGTTGATTTTCTTCCGTGTGTCTTTTTATGTTTTCTAACTATTTTTCAGTTAACATACATTACAGAATATATGTCTGTCTTTTTTTTTTCTTTTTTTTTTTTGAGACGGAGTCTTGCTCTGTCACCCAGACTGGAGTGCAATGGCGCAATCTCAGCTCACTGTAACCTCTGCCTCCTGGGTTCAAGCGATTCTCCCACCTCAGCCTCCCAAGTAACTGGGACTACAGGCACACGCCACCTCCCCTGGCTAATTTTTGTATTTTTTTAGTAGAGACGGGATTTTGCCATGTTGGCCAGGCTGGTCTCAAAATCCTGACCTCAGGTGATACACCCGCCTCAGCCTCCCAAAGTGCTGGGATTACAGGTGTGAGCCACCGCACCCAGCCAATGTCTTTCTTTTTTAAGTTGAGTGATTCTAGCCTTAAGGGAACTTCTCCCATATCACAAGTACATCTTCCATTTTCTTATAATCATATAGTCTCTTATTTTGTGATGTACTTAACTGTGTACCACAGTGGTCCCCAACCTTTTTTTTTTTTTTTTAGATGGAGTCCTAAGCTGCAGTGCAGTAGTATAATCTCAGTTCACTGCAACCTCTGCCTCCCAGGCTCAAGCGATTCTCCTGCCTCAGCCTCCCAAGTTGCTGGGATTATAGGCACATGCCACCAGGCCTGGCTAATTTTTATATTTTAGTAGGGATGGGGTTTCACCATGTTGGTCAGACTGGTCTCAAACTCCTGACCTCAGATGATCCACCGCCTTGGCCTCCCAAAATGCTGGGATTATAGGCGTGAGCCACTGTGCCTGGACCACAGCAGTCCCCAACCTTTTTAGCACCAGGGATCGGTTTCATGGAAGACAATTTTTCCGCAGACCAGGTGGTTTGGAGATGAAACTATTCCACCTCAGATCATCAAGCATTAGATTCTCATAAGGTGCACACAACCTAGATCCTTCACTTGTGCGCAGTTCACAATAGGGTTCATGCTCCTATGAGAATCTAATGCTGCCACTGATCTGACTGATCTGCCACTGATCACAGACTGACTGGTATCAGTCTGTAGCCTTGGGGTTAGTGACCCCTTGTGTACCATACAAAGCCTTAAATGTCCAGGGATGATCCAGGACTTTCTTGACTACTGGGATATCTGAGCTGATCTGTGTGTTAGAAATATTGGATGTCTTAAAAGATTTGTAACAAGATATAAGTACATAAGGAAAGTAATAAAACAGGAGAGCTTACATAGAAAGCATCTTAAAGAGTAAATAGGAGAAAGGGAGTTTTCTTTGGCATTAGACAAGAGTCATAGCCAGGAAAGTTACTCTTGATAAAATTTTTGTTATAATGACTTCCTCATTACCTTACTTTATTTTTAATCCCCTTAGTATGTTTGTGCTACTGAAAGGAGCCACTAAGGAGCAGTCTTTTAAGATTGGTCAGGAAATTGCCGAAGCTGTAACTGCTACCAATCCTAAACCAGTGAAATTGAAGTTTGAAAAGGTAAGAGGAATGTAATATTAGTAATTACATATAAAATTCATATACCTTCTAGAGACCTCTGATTTGTTCAGTACATTTTCAGAATCACTAACAGTATACGGGTCTATTAAAGTGTTAAATTTGGGTCACTGGCTCATGTCTGTAATCCTGGCACTTCGGGAGGCCAAAGCAGGAGGGTTGCTTGAGACCAGGAGTTTGAGATCAGCCTGGACAACATAGCCAGACCCCATCTCTACAAAAATTAAAAAGTTAACCAGGCATAGTGGCACACGCCTGTAGTCCCAGCTGTTCCAGAGGCTGAAGTAGGAGGACCACTTGAGCCCAGGTATTCAAGGTTACAGTGAACTGTGATTGACCGGTGCACTCCAGCCTGGGGAACAAAGTAAGACCCTGTCTCTAAAAAAAAAAAAAAAAAAAGTATTTAAATATTTTCTCTTTTGTATAATTTTCTCAAAATTTGTTTAGTAATGTATATATGTAAGGAAATGAAAACTTTGTTCCAGTAACTATTATTGTGTAACAGATCACCCCAAACTTAATGGTGTAAAACAGCCAGCATTTCATTCTGCTCACAGATTTTCTGGCTCAGGAATGCAGACAGGGTGCAACTGGAATGGCTTTTCTCTGCTGCACGATGTCTAGTTCCTCAGCTGAGAAGACTGTTAGGGGTTAGGGGTAACCCAACCAGCAGCTAAGGGTTGAAACCATCTGAAGCTTGCTTACCATCATGTCTGGTGGTTGATGCTGGCTACTAGTTGGAACATCAGCCAGAACACCTACCAGTGGCCTTTCACCGGGGCTGCTTGTTCTCCCTCACAACATGAGGGTTGGGTTCTAGGTGTGAACATCCCAAAGAAACACAAAAGCTGCTTTGTTTTGTATGACCCAGGCTCAAAGTAACACAGTGTCCCACGCCTCTCTAGATTTAAAGGGAGTGAACTTAGACCCCACTATTAATAGGAAGAATGTCAAAGTCACATTGTAAGAAGACCATGTAGGATGGAAGATATATTCTTTCTTTGCAAAACAAAGTCTACCACAAGGACTTTGAACTCTTTTTCACTTACCTTTAGATATCAAATATGTATTTCTTTCTTTCTGTATAAAAGATACTTAGCCTAGGAACTGTGTGGAATACGAAGAAGCATAAGACACAGTCCTGCCCTCTAAGAGCCAGTAATCTAAAAGGAAAGGTTAGGAATGTATATAAGCAGTCTCTTGTTGTAAACATAACGGAAAGCAAGATGAGAATAGCCCGCTTAAACACTGTGAGAGCACAAAGGAAAGGAGGAATTGCGTCCTCCTGGGCTGGATAGGGAGACTCCATATAGGAAGTAACAATGAACTATGTCTTGAAAAATTGTTAGAATTTCAGTAGGCAGACATGGGGCTGCAATCATTCTGCACAGAAGAAAATGGCATGTATGGAATTGGAAAAGGACAGTATGGAAATACGGGGAAGCAGGAGATAGATCCGGAAAAATAAAGTTGAGACCAGACTGTAGACTGTCTTGAATGCCAAGCTAAAGTGTTTATACTTTATTCAGTAAATAAACAAAACTGGTAGCGCAAGAAAAGGAGTGAGCAAGTGGTAACAACTTAAAGACAATTCATTTTGCTCCCACGTGTTATATCATGAATTTGTTGGGCCCAAAGTCATATATAGAATTTTTTAAATAATTGATACTTGATTAAAGAAAGCACAAAGACATAA
Organism: Homo sapiens; assembly: GCF_000001405.40. Lineage (NCBI taxonomy): Eukaryota > Metazoa > Chordata > Mammalia > Primates > Hominidae > Homo > Homo sapiens. Next base: position 111,313,552 of record NC_000006.12, on the reverse strand, counting down.
AAATAAAACATTCTTGGTGGGGGGAAATGGTTTTTAAGAGGCATTTTATTAATTTTACCACAGGTATATTTGCCCTGTGTTTTACAAACAAAAAAGAGGTATGTGGGTTACATGTATGAAACACTGGATCAGAAGGACCCAGTATTTGATGCAAAAGGAATAGAAACAGTCAGAAGAGATTCCTGCCCTGCTGTTTCTAAGGTAAGGTTTATCTATCTTGTCTTCATCTGTAAGAAATAAGTGGCTAAAGTGTCTGGTGAAAATGTAACTACCCTTAAACATGCATCTAGGTGAAGGAACTATAGCCTATATAATTAATATAACTATAGGAGTAACTACATGAATTTTGAGAATTTTATTTGTAGTGTCTTATTTTGTTTTTGTTTGTTTGAGACAGGGTCTCACTTTGTCACCCAGGCTGGAGTGCAGTAGTCCAATCCTGGCTCACTGCAGCCTTGACCTCCTGAGCTCAAGCAATCTTTCTGCCTCAGCCTCCTGAGTAGCTAGAATTTTATTTCTAATAAAAACAATTTATTTGATTTTAGTCCTTAAGTTTCTGACTTCCTCCCATACCTTACGTTTTATCAAAAATTACTAAAAAGCAATACATGAGAGTTTCCTGCCTATTGCCTGGAGATCATATATGTCATAGTGTAACAACTCCTGAAAGCAGAGCAGGATAAACAAGACAAACAGACCCGGTGTGGTGGCTCACGCCTGTAATCCCAGCACTTTGGGAGGCCAAGGCAGGCAGATCACTTGAGATCAGGAGTTCGAGACCAGCCTGGCCAACGTAGTGAAACCCCATCTCTACTAGAAATACAAAAATTATCTGGGTGTGGTGGCGCATGCCTGTAATCCCAGCTACTCGGGAGACTGAGGTGTGAGAATCACTTGAACCCGGGAGGAGGAGGCTGCAGACAGCCAAGATCACAACACTGCACTCAGCCTGGGCAAGAGAGTGAGACTCCATCAAAATAAAAAGAGAGAAACATAATCCATTCCAGATTAACTGAACTTTCATTTATTTGGATTATCAAATACAAATTAGGAAGATTTCCAAACAATTAGCTATAAATTACTCAAATTTCTCAACCATAATAACCCTGATATTTTTTGGCTTTTTCTTTATTCGGGCCTAGACTCCTTCTATAGCAAAACAAAAATAAATGGTATAAATGGGAATAGCATTCTATATACTGTTTGATGAGAGCATTAAAAGCATAGTGGATTGAATATTATCAATATATTATGTCATATATATAATATTATGTGAATTTGGGATTTTTTTCAGCACTATTTCTGGAAGAGATATAATCCAGTACCTTCTTTCTCTGTAGGCAGAATTGTACTCAAGCTAAATTAATAAGCTTATTGTATAAATATCCATTGGTTCCAGTATTCAGAATAAGACACAGAGCTTTCACCTAGAACTAACTTAATCTACTTGGCCGGGCACGGTGGCTCACGCCTATAATCCCAGCACTTTGGGAGGCCGAGGCGGGCGGATCATGAGGTCAGGAGATCGAGACCATCCTGGCTAACACGGTGAAACCCCATCTCTACTAAAACAAAAAATTAGCCGGGCGTGGTGGCACACGCCTGTAGTCCCAGCTACTCGGGAGGCTGAGGCAGGAGAGTCGCTTGAACCCGGGAGGCAGAGGTTGCAGTGAGCCGAGATCACGCCATTGCACTCCAGCCTGAGCGACAGAGCAAGACTCCGTCTCAAAAAAAAAAAAAAAATTAATCTTACATAAATCCACTGCATGCTGGTTATTTCCTAGTAGAAATTTCCAACACAGAAAATTCTGTCATAGTTATTTATCAACATTTTTATAAAAAGTCAAAAAGGCTGATTTTGATTTGACTGCCTGGTGATCTTTAAACTTCTCTGTGTTTCCTGTGACTGAATCAGGACCCTTTCTATACTGGTAAATAAAAAAACAATACATGAAATCGTGTCTGGTTTCTTGTACCTAGAGGCTTTGACTATTAAAAAAAAAAAACTTAACGTGTTTTATGTTGCTTATCACATGACAAATGTTAATTTGCATGTCATTCCACATGGTTTTCCTTAAACTACATGATATTCTATTTTTAGAAATAGCAAGCTCTCTAAAGTCTCAAATAACTTTCAATTTTTAATAATTTTATTATCCCATCATTGTAAGTAACAGATTATTTAGGTAGGTTAGCAGGTTACCCAGTAGTTACATAATTGAAAGTGTAATAACAATGGTGAAACATACTAGGAGATATTTTATCTTTACTTGCATATCTTTTTTGTTTTAAGATACTTGAGCGTTCTCTAAAGCTGCTATTTGAAACGAGAGATATAAGTCTAATTAAACAGTATGTTCAGCGACAATGTATGAAGCTTCTGGAAGGAAAGGCCAGCATACAAGACTTTATCTTTGCCAAGGAATACAGAGGAAGTTTTTCTTATAAACCAGGAGCTTGTGTGCCAGCCCTTGAACTTACAAGGTAATGATACCCTCAGTACCTTGCCAGGATAGTCCTGAGATTCTGCACAGGTCTAGAAGACCCAAATGAAAAGACAGTCCATAGACACAGACACAAAATTGTTTCTTTACCTGCGCACATGAAGCCTCACTGAAAGTTAGTGAATATTCCCTCATACTTCGTAAGATGTGAAGAGGAAATCCTCTTTTGGGCTTTCCTTCAGAAACTTATGCAAAGAAATTGTGACACAGTCCTTGATTCATTTGTTTTTCCCACATCAAAATCACTAGGTAGTCCTTAATATTGTTCTACCAAAGCATTTAGATGGTATCATTCTGGAATCAGATAGTTTAACCAGGTAAATTTTCTCTTATCTTTCATGATAGATTTAATGATAGTTAGTTCTCATTCTTAGGGGATAAAATACATCTTTTTCCTGCCCCTGGAGGCAGGGTCTCACTCTGTCGCCCAGACTGGAAAGCAGTGGTGCAATCACAGCTCACTGCAGCCTTGACCTCCCAGGCTCAAGCGAACCTCCCACATCAGCCTCCCAAGTAGCTGGGATAACAGGTGTGCACCATTATGGTGGCTAATTTTTTTGTGGAGATGGGGGTCTCGCTATGTTGCCCAAGCTGGTCTCAAACTCCTGGGCTCAGGTGATCCTTGGCCTCCCAAAGTGCTGGAATTACAGGCATGAGCCACCACTCCCACCTAAAATACATCTTAAGCTAGTTGATATCTGCCAACTCATTATTTTCCAGGTAACAGTGATTTACAGAGTAATTTTTAAACTCTTGTAGGATATCTACACTTGGTGTCAACTAAGCAAAATGTATATATATTATTCTCAAAGAAATAGTAATTCTGTTTTGAAATTGTCTTTTGTAGTTTTTTCATTGTTTTATTATTGTTTAATTCTGACTTAATTTGTGAGAAAGATGGCTTCCATAACAGTATTTGGGTGTGGTTTTTTTCTTTGAATTCGAATAGGAAAATGCTGACTTATGACCGGCGCTCTGAGCCTCAGGTTGGGGAGCGAGTGCCATACGTCATCATTTATGGGACCCCCGGAGTACCACTTATCCAGCTTGTAAGGCGCCCAGTGGAAGTCCTGCAGGACCCAACTCTGAGACTGAATGCTACTTACTATATTACCAAGCAAATCCTTCCACCCTTGGCAAGAATCTTCTCACTTATTGGTATTGATGTCTTCAGCTGGTATCATGAATTACCAAGGGTAAGCTTACCAAATAGTACATGTGCTCTAACTATGGAGAGATTTCACTCCAAATTTTCAGTAGAACTAAAGGTTTTATGTGCTATTGATATGGGAGTGCTGGGAAGGGAAGAGTGTGGTCCCGTAAAATGATACGGAAAGCGGGAGGGGAAGTGCTGGGTAGAGAAAGGTGGGTCCCTGGCTAGGGCTCCACCCCCACAGATCTAGGTGAGGATAGGCACTCCTGCTTTCATGCCCAAATGTTACCATTTTCCAAGACCACCTTGGCCTGCCATGCCCCAATCCTGGGCCTATAAAAACCCGAGACCCTAGTGGGCAGACACACGAGCGGCTGGACATTGTGAGGAACACTTCGGTGGAAGACCCAAGCAGCTGGTCGTCAAGAGGAGCACGCCAGCAGAACAGCACACCGAGAGGCACTGGCATGCTGGCAGGCCATTGACCGGCAGGACAAGGTGGAGTTTGGCCAGGGCAGTCAGAGAAGAGACGGGGCCACCTAGAAGCCCAACTCCAGGGGAAAACCATCTCCCTGCTGATTCCACCATCAGATGAGAGCTACTTCCACTCAATAAAACGTTGCACTCATTCTCCTAGCCCACGGGTGATCGGATTCTTCTGGTACACCAAGGCAAGAACCCGGAATACAGAAAGCCCTCCATCCTTGAGACAAGCTAGAGGGTCTAATTGAGCTGGTTAACACAAGCCGCCTATAGACAGCAAACTAAAAGAATACCCTGTAACACACACCCACTGGGGCTTCAGCTGTAAACATTCACCCCTAGACACTGCCATGGGGCCAGAGCTCCACAACCTGCCCGTCTGTGTGCTCCCCTAGAGGTTTGAGCAGCGGGGCACTGAAGAAGCGAGCCATTGTCCCTCTCGCACACCCTGCAAGGGGAACAAGGGAACCTTTCCTGTTTCACTGTGAGAGCAAAGCAGATCCTCTGTCCTAAACTGGCAAAGATGCCATGCTCTCCTGGTTTCCTAAAAGATAAACGTTTTAAGTATTCTACAAACACATTCCTAGCTTCTATCAAGTTGGCCAAATTATAGAAATATTAAAATAAATCCCACAACAATTTCAATGGTAGCCGCAAATAACGTAGAATAAGCCAGTTAATAGAAAATAAATGTACAGCAAAAATTCCTTCGAAATGAATGTCTAAGAAAGGTGTAGGATTTAGTATCTAGACACACTAGACACAGCCCTGAAGAAACCAGAGTAAAGAATTACTGCAATGGTAAAATAGCATTATAGTTGTTCCCCAACTTATGATGGTTCAACTTAAGATTTTTCTACTTAACGATGGTGCGAAAATGATATGCCTTCTGTAGAAACCGTAGTTCAAGTACCCATACAACCATTCTGTTTTTCATTTTTGGTACAGTATTCAATAAATTCCATGAGATATTCAACACTTTATTATAAAATAGGCTTTGTGTTAGATGATCTTGCCCACCTATATGTTACTAAGTGTTCTGAGCACATATCCTGGCTCTAAGGCAGGAAACTCAGATTCTTTATTACTAATGTTCATTTCATCATCGGCAAGAATGTTAACCCAATGACATTTGTAAGAGGCTAACCTAATAACTTTTTTACAAAGGGATTTATTGCGGCACTATTCACAATAGCAAAGACTTGGAACCAACCCAAATGTCCATCAATGATAGACTGGATTAAGAAAATGTGGCACATATACACCATGGAATACTATGCAGCCATAAAAAAGGATGAGTTCATGTCCTTTGCAGGGACATGGATGAAGCTGGAAACCATCATTCTCAGCAAACTATCACAAGGACAGAAAACCAAACACCGCCTGTTCTCACTCATAGGTGGGAATTGAACAACAAGAACACTTGGACACAGGGCGGGGAACATCACACACCAGGGCCTGTCGGGGGGTGGGGAGCTGGGGGAGGGATAGCATTAGGAGAAATACCTAATGTAAATGATGAGTTGATGGGTGCAGCAAACCAACATGGCACATGTATACATATGTAACAAACCTGCACATACCCTAGAACTTAAATTATAATAATAAAAAAAAAATGTATCTGATAATATTAAGATGTAAGTTCCATGAAGGCAAGGACTTCATTCATTTCTGTAGCTCCAGTGTCTGGAACAGTGCCTGGCACATAGTAGCTACTCAACATTTGTTGAATGAGTGAATGAACGAATGAATGAATGCCTGAGTAAACCTGTAATTAGCATGAAAATAGCAGCTTTGCTGTGAAGCTGACTCAGGCTTACTTCTGAATGGATGTTTTTATAGATCCATAAAGCTACCAGCTCCTCGCGAAGTGAACCTGAAGGGCGGAAAGGCACTATTTCACAATATTTTACTACCTTACACTGTCCTGTGTGTGATGACCTAACTCAGCATGGCATCTGTAGTAAATGTCGGAGCCAACCTCAGCATGTTGCAGTCATCCTCAACCAAGAAATCCGGGAGTTGGAACGTCAACAGGAGCAACTTGTAAAGGTACAGTTTTGTTCCATGGGCCCAGAATCACAAGCAGTCTGATCTTACAGGAAGATATAGTCACTCTTGAATTATAGTGTGAGATACAAAACTGGTGTGAAAAGTGAAATGAAGAGTCTAAATGATAAACTTCCTAAAAATCTCAAAAATATCATAAACTATTAATAATGGTTTGTTTTATAATTTATTTTTTGTTTTTTTTATGGAATAGTGTGTTGTGTTTCTTAATAGCTACAACAAGAATGGCCATCCATCCAATTTCTTTTATAATACAGGTTGAGCATCCCTAATTGAGAAAAATCAAAATTCAAAATGCTCCAAAACTGAAAGTTTTTGAGCACCAACGTGACTCTCAAAGGGAATGCTCATGAGAGCATTTCAGAGTTCAGATTTTCAGATTAATGATACTCAACCAGTAAGTATAATGCACTTATTCCAAAATCTGAAAAAATTTGAAATCTGAAACACTTCTGGTCTTAAGCGTTTCAAATAAGGGATACTCAATCTACAGTATTAAAAAGAAGAAAGGAAAAGTCTCAATTGCTCTACTAGTGCTTACCATTCTTTAAAGAAAAATACCTAGTTGTCTTAGAGAATTGCTTGCTAGTAAACTTGGAAGGTTTATAATTCTGTGAGTCCAGGTAGATGATTAATGGCATGATTGAGTCATACTGTGTGCCACAGACTGTTCTAGGCACCTTTACAGGTGAGTAAACTGATACAGAGAGTTTAAGTGATTTGCATGTTACACTGCTAAGTGGCCGAGCTGGGATATAGACATAAAATGCAAGGATGATTTTTCAAGTATGAGAATTCTAGCAGAAATAAACAACAAACATCTCAAAGTAAGTTGAAGAATGAAATCTAAAGAAAAATTTGCCACCTCGCACCCCCCAATAAAATCATTACTCCTTATTGTTGATAAGTCATCTCCGTTCTGTCCCTACCTGCTATCCCTCTGTCACGATTTCTTGCTCTTCTCTGTCACACTCTACCTCGACCCATACCATATTGAACTTCTCTTAGGTCTGTGAATGCCCCTCGCCGCCTCCTCCTGGCCTTTAAACACCCTGCTCCTTCTGCCAGGAACACTTTCCTCTACCTATCCCACCCCACCCCCCATCTTCTGAGGAATCAGCTGAAACCTCTGGACTGGGTGAAGCCTTCCTTGCAGTAGGCTCCTGCCATAATCTCCTCTGCTTTACTGTGATTTGGGGTTTGTCTGTCTTCCTCACTAAATAGCAAATGAACCAGTGAGGACAGAGGCCCAGTTCTTTGACTGTCAAGTCAGTTATGCCTAGCATATAGCCAAGCCCATGGGGCTGGTCTGTAAATATTTATTGAATAAATGAACAAGTTCCTGGTTAATGCATGATTAAAGAAGGAATATATCACTGGAGTTATTACCAACCAACTTTCAGCCATTTTTTACCAGTTTTGTGGTTCTAGTCAGTACAACCACTGAAGTCACTGGGTGCTCCCAGCTTCTATTTATTTAATAGACTTCTGTCCTGATGGCAGCAGCCAACTCTCATAGAAAATTCCCTTGCTGGATCCTAGTATGACGCCTAAATGAGAGCAGGACCTCCAGGGCTCTGCTAAGGTCAGGCTGTTAAATGGTCCTTTCCTAGACTTTCTTATGTTTTTTCTGCACTCAATGACAAACACATCACTACTTGGTGCCATCAATTTACCCAGAGCCCATCCTCCTTCAACATTAGGTGTTCATTCTTTTTTTCTTTTTATTTATTTATTTTTATTTTATTTTATTTTTGAGGTAGGGTCTCACTTTGTCACCCAGACTGAAATGCAGTGGCATGATTACAGCTCATTGCAGCCTCAACCTCCTGGGCTCAAGTGATCCTCTCAGCTCAGCCTCCCATGTAGCTGGGACTACAGGCATATCCCACCATGTTTTACTAATTATTTTTTTTTAGACATCGGGTCTCACTATGTTGCCCAGGCTGGTCTCAAACTGTTGGACTCAAGCAATCCTCCCACTTCAGCTGCCTAAGGGCTGGGATTACAGGCATGAACCATGATGCCCGGCCATCTTATTTCTTATAAAAATACAGTTTAAAAGAAAGTGATGCCACAGCCATAAAAAAAGAATAAAATCGGCCGGGCGTGGTGGCTCATGCCTACAAATCCCAGCACTTTCGGAGGCCGAGGCGGGCGGATCACGTGAGGTCGGGAGTTCGAGACCAGCCTGACCAATATGGAGAAATTCCATCTCTACTAAAAATACAAAATTAGCCAGGCGTGGTGGCACATGCCTGTAATCCCAGCTACTCAGGAGGCTGAGGCAGGAGAATCGCTTGAACCTGGGAGGCAGAGGTTGCAGTGAGCTGAGATTGCAGCATTGCACTCCAGCCTGGGGAACAAGAGCGAAACTCTGTCTCAAAAAAAAAAAAAAAAGAACAAAGAACAAAATCATGTCCTTTGTAACAACATGGATGCAGCTGGGGCTATTATCCTAAGCAAATTAACGCAGAAACAGAAAACCAAATACTGCATGTTCTCACATATAATGAACATTGGGTACTCATGGACATAAAGATGGGAATGATGAACACTAGGGATTCCAAAAGGGGGGTGAGGAGAGGAAAAGTTGAAAAACCACCTGTCAGATACTACATTTACTGCATGGGCAACAGGATCATTAGAAGCTCAAACCTCAACATCATACAGTATACCCATGTAACAAACCTACATGTATACCCTTGGATCGAAAAAAAAAAAAAAAAGAAAAAGCGATGCTATTTATAAATAATGATGGTTTGTCATCTTTCAAGAGCTATTTTAATTTGAGGTGTTTTTCAAGAACGTTCAAATGAATGTCTCCCATACACTAATTTGTAGAAATTTTTAATGAAGCAGAAATTACTAGAGATGTAATGAGAATTAGAAACACATCCAAACAGGAGATTTTACATCATTCTCAATCCAAGACCAATCAAGTGATCAGAAATAAGTGAAATTATGGAAATTGTAAACATTATAAGTCAGACCTTGTGATTATATATCAAACTCTGTAACCCAGTACCAAAAAATGTACTTCTTAAGTGTTTCTAGAATGTTTTAAATGTCTCCCATGCACTAATTTGTAGAAATTTTTAATGAAGCAGAAATTACTAGAGATGTAATGAGAATTAGAAACACATCCAAACAGGAGATTTTACATCATTCTCAATCCAAGACCAATCAAGTGATCAGAAATAAGTGAAATTATGGAAATTGTAAACATTATAAGTCAGACCTTGTGATTATATATCAAACTCTGTAACCCAGTACCAAAAAATATACTTCTTAAGTGTTTCTAGAATGTTTTAAAAATATCTGGCCAGGTGTGGTGACTCATGCCTGTAATCCCAACACTTTGGGAGGCCAAGGCAGGTAGATCACCTGGGGTCAGGAGTTTGAAACGTTTGGCCAACATGGAGAAACCCCAGCTCTACTAAAAAATACAAAAATTAGCCAGGCATGGTGGCATGAGCCTTGTACTCCCAACTACTCAGGAGGCTGAGGCAGGAAAATCACTTGAACCCAGGAGGCAGAGGCTGCAGTGAGCCGAGATCACACCACTGAACTCCAGCCTGGGTGACAGAGCAAGACTCCATCTTAAAAAAAAAAAAAAAAAAAAAAAAAAAAAAAAAAAAGTCATAGTCTGTTAAAAAAAAAAAAAAAAAGCCTCGGCTGGGGATCATGGCTCACGCCTATAATCCCAGCACTTTGGGAGGCTGAGGCAGGAGGATCACTTGAGGGCAGGAGTTTGAGACCAGCCTGGCCAACATGGCAAAACCCCATCTCTACTAAAAATACAAAAATTAGCAGGGTATGGTGGCAGGCACCTATAATCCCAGCTACTTGGGAGGCTGAGGTAGGACAATCGCTTGAGCCAGGGAGGCAGAGGTTACAGTGAGCTGAGATTGTGCCACTGCACTCCAGCCTGGGCAACAGAGTGAGACTCCATTTCAAAAATAATAAATTAAAAATAAAATAATAAAAATTAAAATTTAAAATTAGCCAGGCATGGTGGCGGGCACCCGCAATCCCAGCTACTAAGGAGGCTGAGGCAGGAGAATCACTTGAACCTAGGAGGCAGAGGTTGCAGTGAACTGAGATCATGCCACTGCACTCCAGCCTGGGCAACAGAATGAGACGCTCTCTCTCATCTCAAAAAAAAAAAAAAAAAGAAAGAAAAGAAAGCCTCAGTACATTTCAAAAAGTAGAAATATTACAAATGAATGTAATACAATGCTATAAAATGGTAATTAATTACAAACTAAAAAAAAAAGTGATCCTTCCACTTGTAAATTCTGTTAAACAAAATGAAAACACTGCAAATCAGATTCTAGATGGCAGACCTCAGAGAAAAATTCATCACCTTAACACTGTTAATCATAAACATGAAAGAATGAAAGCAAATGAAGCAAGCATCTGACTGAAAAATTTTTTTTGAGACGGAGTCTCACTGTTGCCCAGGCTGGAGTGTAGTTGGTGCAATCTTGGCTCACTGCAACCTCTGCCTTCCAGGTTCAAGCAATTCTCCTGCCTCAGCCTCCCGAGTAGCTGGGATTACAGGCATGCACCACCACGCCCAGCTAATTTTCGTATTTTTAGTGGAGACAGTTTCACCATGTTGGCCAGGTGGTCTCAAACTCCTGACCTCAGGTGATCCACCTGCCTCTGCCTCCCAGAGTACTAGGATTACAGGCATGAGCCACTGTGCCCAGCCTTGACTAAATTTTTTTTGAACAAGAAAGCCAAAGGATAGTAAAAAGAATAAAGATTAAAGCAGATATTTTTTAAGTGCCTGCCTCCCTATGTGCTACAAAGTAGATGTCCGGGTTGGGGCACTAAAGTTTTAAATGTAAGCCTGAATCAAGCTATAATGCTCAGGGTTTAAACCAGTAAAGGATCTTGAAACTAAACACTGAGTTAAATTTAGTGAGTCAAGTAATTCCATCCTGGCTTATTTATCAGACAAGCACAGAAAGAGCTTAAATATTTATCAGTTTGTCCTGGCACCTGAATGTAACTGCAATTCATAGAGCTGTAATACAGAAATTCTATATTTGGGAATAGATTTGAGTCTCTTGGCAGAGATCTAATTAGCAAAGGCTTCATCATAGAACAGCATACTCAGTCTTCATGGAGCATACTGAAGCACATGTTTGTAAGCAGTCTGCTTGTGACAATATCATAATATTGGATACAGTAACCAGTCTACTTAGAAAAAGTGTGCCCTTCGGTTAACTGGAAGATAACTGGGGCAAAGAACAAAACTTCACTGGCCTGTGAGCCATCTCTGAAACTGAAACCCTTTGATAAATATAGATCAAAGAATTCACTAGAGCGTATTTGATTTCTCTTAAAAGACAATCCAGAGTAGTTGTTGCCATTTGGTATGGCTTTTTTAAAATCACTTGTCTACACTATTCAGGTGAAAGTCGGCCTGCATTTTCTTAACCTTTGGAGTCTTCATTGGCATCCTTTTTAATTTTTTTATGTTCTTCATGTTTTATAACCTTTTTTTTAACTATATATGCAACTTGAGACTTTAAAGTATTTTTAAAAATTGATCATTGTGTAAAACATTATAGTGCTTCTCTTTTTAAAAATTGCCTTATGATTTATTATTTTCCTTAAGATCAGATCTTATTATACATCCAAATCATCTGGGAAGCCTTAAGAAGTACAGATTCTTAGGCTTTCATGCCTGGAGATTCTGACTCATTATGGGTCTGGGATGGGGCACTTGTTTATTTTTAAGCTCATTGTTAGCCAGGGTTAAGAACCACTGGTCTGCACCACTACTTTCAAATTCACATTATTTGATTTTTTTTTTTTTTGAAATTTTACAGCTGGGTCTCTGGGGGTGACATCACATGTTGGCAGGTTCCTTGATGCCCCTTGAGCCACAAAACCAGCAAGTTTTTATTAGGGGTTTCAAAAGGGGAGGGGTGTACGAATAGGGAGTGGGTCACATGCTTCAAAGGCAGTAAAATATCACAACAGCAAAGAGGCAGAGTGAGATCACAAGGCCAGGGTGAAACTAGAATTACTGATGAAGGTCCATGTCGTGCTGGGCACACATTGTCATTGATAAACATCTTAACAGGAAACAGGGTTCGTGATCAGACAACCAGTCTGACTAGAATTCGCCAGGCTGGAATTTCCTAATCCTAGCAAGCCTGGGGGTGCTGCAGGAGGCCAGGGCATATTTCATCCCGTGTCTACAACTGCATAAGACAGACACTCCCAGAGTGGCCATTTTAGAGACCTACCCCTGAGAATGCATTCGTTTTCCCGGGGTTATTCCTTGCTGAGAAAAGAATTCAGCGATATTTCTCCTATTCGCTTTCTGAAAGAAGAGAAATATGACTCTGTTCTGCCAGGCCCTGCAGGCAGTCAGATTTTATGGTTATCTCCCTTATTCCCTGCAAATCGCTGTTATCCTGTTCTTTTCAAGGTGCTCAGATTTCATATTGTTCAAACACACATGCTTTACAAACAATTTGTGCAGATAACGCAATCACCACAGGGTCCTGAGGCGATATACATCCTCAGCTTACGGAGATGACGGAATTAAAAGATTAAAGACAGGCATAGGAAATTATAAGAGTATTGATTGGGGAAGTGATAAATGTTCATGAAATCTTCACAATTCATGTTCAGAGATTGCAGTAAAGACAGGCATAAGAAATTATGAAAGTATTAATTTGGGGAACTAACAAATGTCCATGAAATCTTCACAATTTATGTTTTTCTGCTGTGGCTTCAGCAGGTTGCTTTTCTCTTCTGGAATACGAAAAAGAGTAACTTTTTTATGATTGGCATATGAGAATATAGTCTAAGTACTTTGAAAACGTGTTTATAGTTCATGTAAGAGACATTCTTTGGTAATTGGGTAGCTTATGTAGATTTTAATAGGATTCCATTGTAAATGAAAGTTAATCTTAGGAATTAAATGAATCCTTAGGGAAATTTGTACTCTATCTTTACAAAATAATATCCTTTAGAAATGTCTCAACATAGGGTAGTCTAGGCTTCCAAGAGATTAAAATTAATGAAAGTTTCTGTAATGTATGTCTGCCAGTAATCTGTGGTAGTCTAGAAAGTAGGGATTATAAAAATTTGTTGTTTGCATACACGCATAAAAACTTTCCTATTATTTTTTGTATTTCTCTTATGCTTTCAGATATGCAAGAACTGTACAGGTTGCTTTGATCGACACATCCCATGTGTTTCTCTGAACTGCCCAGTACTTTTCAAACTCTCCCGAGTAAATAGAGAATTGTCCAAGGCACCATATCTCCGGCAGTTATTAGACCAGTTTTAAATTGTCAATATCACAGTATTACAGGTGCTATTTTTTTCAGTGCTTACCACTAAACTGTTGTGCATGGTGCTTTTTAACTTTCATCGAGTCAAGGATGTTCACTGTCTGTTATCTGAAGACTATGAAGACTTCTATGCTAACCGAATTAAAATGTACTTGTTGATCTCTGAATAGCTCACTTCTTACAATGTACAAATTCCTCATTCTGTCACCTTTTAAACATTGTTTTATAATGCAGGTGTTGGATTTGCTCCAGTATGTGTACCATCTTGTAAATTCATTTGAGTAGATCATGTTTACTTCCCAGTGGAAGGAGCACTGAAAACCTCTTAAAGAAAAAGCATTTGTGTGTTTTCCTTGAACTGTCTGTATCAAGACGTGTTACTTCGAGATATCCATTCACTTTATAATTTTGACTGCAAAATATTTTGTAAATACACTTTTTTACTTTTCAAACGAGCAAAATAATGTGCAATGATTTTTATACAAATGATTTTCAAGTTGTTTGGTATATTTCCTCTAGGTTTTGCTTGACTCAAAGTAGATCGTTATTTTGATCAAACTGTGCAAACAGTAGTACCACGTGTAGCATTTTGAAACATTATTTTTTTTTAAAAAATGCTGTCTTGCTTTAGCTATTAATGGGGCATTGTGAGGAACTGTGCAAAGACATTTTTGTTACAAACCTGTGGGCCTGTTGCAATACTTTAAAAATAAAAAATTTTATTCCATTTGCTTGTTTTGTATAGACATTTCTATTGCTTCTAAATATACTTAAAATATTTTCTTTCCTTATGTACTGTACAGTTAATCTTATTTGCCATCATCTTGAACACAAAATGTGTATTTAGAATATTTGTATAACTGTGTAAAATAAAAAAGGAATTATGTGGTCAGTGCATTGTTTTTTAAACTGGAAATCATTTTGTTTTAAAAGTTAATAATGGAAACCATATTAAAATTGAATAAAATATAAAATAATATAGCAGTGTGACTTCATCTTTTTTATAAGCCTGTATTGGTTACATCTTTCTTACCCTACCCTTTTCTGAGTTTTAATGAAGTAAATTATTTAACATATTTTTATATCCTGTTTGATATTGCAATTTCCTTACCAAAACTTCTTCAGGGTTAAAACAAAAAAAAAAATAAAAAAAGGGCAGCAAAAATGGGAAAATTTAATTTAGCACTCATCCTTTTAGAGAGTTTTAAGAGTGTACTTGTTTGTTAGTAGATCTTCAGTGTTCATTTTCATTTTGATATAATTATTAATTAAATTACAGAGAAAGCAAAAACTACATTACTTCTTAAAAACTTAAATGCCAATTTTTATATGCCTATTTTTTTCAATAGAAAAAAGTTAGTTATTATTTTAACAGAAATAACTCACCTGGTTATTTAACAGAAATAGGTCTTCCATTGCCAGAATATGTACTTGCAAATGTTGGGAGGATTCTTTTTCTGAAAATTACATGGTAAATATGGAACCAAAGAGATACATAGCCTGTGTCTGAACATAATTTATTTCAAGTCTTGTTAAGACATAATGAATTTCCACTTCTGGGGATTTTTTTTTGTTTGGGAGGCTGGGGCTAGTCCTCAGCATTGGGGTTTTTTCCCCCTTTTATATGTGTAGATTGATGAAATTCTGTTACTTACAAGTTCTGTGCTGTCAGGACTTCCACACACATCATCTCTTTCTCATCATAGTAACTTGACACAATATTTTCAACACAATAACCATTTTTAACCTGATTGATTGATTATAATTGGATACAGCCATATTAACAAATGGTTATTCAACATGAATGCCTAAAACTAGCTCACACTCAGCCTGTCTCTGGTTCTGTTTTCTGCAGGAAAGCTCCTCCTTTGTAACTGTCCTCAGAGTCTGTAGCTTAACTGCCTTTTAGTGAGGTCCATTTGCTGTTTCACTAACTCATCGGGGAGGGTGCTGAAATTTGGAACTATTTTACCAAGAAATTTTCTTGTAAGGATCTTCCTGTGTTCCATAATTTTCCCTCCTTTTTAGATGATTGGCTATTAATAAAGTTTTGTCTCTCAGATCACAGAAAAAAAAAATTTAAGTATGGCTGAAGAAACAGTTTCATTCTTTAGGATGTTTTCATTTACCTGAAAAGGAGCCAGAAGCTCAGAGACATCAAATAACTTCATTAAACATTTCCTTAATGTTTAATGAATTAAGTGAAACATTAATATTTGTTAAAGTTGTTTAACATTGTTTTCTCTCATTTTTCTCACTTTCTACTCAAGCTTTTCCCTAGATGAATCATGTAATAATCAATTCTATATGGACACAACATAGTGTCTTTGAGGAAGGACAATAAATTTGGAAAAAACATAAAAATGTGAAGAGCAGTTTTAAAGATATGAAGAATTCTTAGAGGAGGTGGCCCTCATCTTGCCAATGGAGCAGGCCACCCAGAGAGCTTGTGGACTCCGTTCAACCCCACTGACTGTCATGGGTTATACCCTCAGTCTCAGATGATGCACCCTACCTGCCATCAAGTGTGCCACCCTGATCACCTAAACATCTTTTCCGGATCTTACATTAGTTAAGTCTTGTAGCTGTGTAGTCGATCTTTTCATCTACTCTCTTTTATTTTCATAACAGTTGGAGTACAGGAATATTCCTTAAGGCCCATCAAATAAGCTTGTTTTGTCTTGAGGGGTCTTGCATTGTTGCCCAGGCTGGAGTGCAGTGGGGCGATCTTGGCTCACTGCAACCTCCACCCCGAGTTCAAGCAGTCCTCTCACTTCAGCCTCCCAAGTAGCTGGGGCTACAGGCATACACCACCACGCTTGGCTAATTTTTGTATTTTTGGTTGAGATGGGGTCTCGCCCTGTTGGCCAGGCTGGTCTCGAACTCCTGAACTCAACGATCTGGCTACCTCAGGCTCCCAAAGTACTGGGATTACAGGCTACTGGGAGCCACCACGCCCAGCCCAAATAAGCTTTTAAATTGACTTCTCTATTGTAGACTAGTATTTCTTAAAATAGTCACATTTAATTTTATAAAGTAAAAATAAATCTGGCTATAAATGACATTGTTAGGGCTCTGCCATCAGCTGTGGAGGTTGGGGGAGATGGCAATGCACAAGTAGCTACTTTTAGGCTGGATATGCCAGACCTCTATTAGTGAACTCTGTACCTCTGGGAGGATGGTTGGCATTCACACCCTACTGATTTTTAATCCCATAATACCATGTGCCCTTTTCCCATGATGTGATGAGAATTGTTACCTTTAACCATTTGAGGTTTTGTTTTGTTTCAGACAGGGTCTTGCTCTGTCACCGAGGCTGGAGTGCAGTGGCATGATCTCGGCTCACTGCAACCTCTGCCTCCTGCCTCAAGCGATTCTCCTGCCTCAGCAACCTGAGTAGCTGGGATTACAGGCATGCACCACCATGCCCGGCTAATTTTTGTATTTTCAGTAAAGATGGGGTTTCTCCATGTTGGCCAGGCTGGTCTTGAACTCCTGATGTCAGGTGACCCACCATCTTGGCCTCCCAAAGTGCTGGGATTACAGGCATGAGCCGCCATGCCCAGCCCATTTGAGTTGTATAATAGTGGATAAAATTCAGAAACATTAATGCCCCAGTTCTGCTTAATAACTAGCTTTGCACAGGCAAATAGTCACAGATTATGTCTATACTTGAAATCCAAGGAGGAAATCAAAACACATGCACCACCTAATCTACTTCTCTGTCTACTTTCCTCAACCTACCCAATAGCTGCATTTTGGCACTTTGGCCAACCTCCAAGAGTGGTTTACAAAGCAAAATATCTTGTGGAGGAGTTCTCATATTCATAAGATCAGGTTTCTTTGTATATCTGGTGAGAAGAGAGTGTAACCAGGAAGGCAGATGAAGCCATTTTTTAAATCAAAAGAACATCTTACTGCCTATGAGTCTTTACCTGTCTTGCTACTGATGCCACCACAAGTGTCTTGAAGGGAAGGACAGGAAAGTTTTGGGGAAAGTGATAGAGTAAGGAGCTTTCATGCTCTAGGCTTCCCCATGATCACTAATGGCAATGCAACTCTTTGGAAGAGTAACTCATTTGGTCATAGATACCAAGTTTAAAAATATTCACACTCTGAAAACAGGATAATACCACCTGCCCCCTGATTACCCGACAGAGGCTTTGCAAATATGAATATGAATATAAAAAGTTACACAGATTTTAAGTATTTGCCATTCAATAAATATTTACTAACCATCAAGATGTGCATGGCATTTCACTCATCTGGAGATACCGAGGTAATCCCCTGCCCTTGTGTATTTCATAGCTGTTTGGGAGACACACATAAGTAAATGGGCATTAGATACAAGATGATGTGAAGATGTCTTTGCTGCCGCCTCCTCCCCTATTGGAAGAACCCAAAGTTAAGAAAGACAAGGTCAGGCCAGGAACTATGGCTCACGCCTGTAATCCCAGCACTTTGGGAGTCCAAGGCGGGCAGATCACAAGGTCAGGAGACCGAGACCATCCTGGCTAACATGGTGAAACCCCGTCTCTACTAAAAATACAAAAAAAAATTAGCTGGGCGTGGTGGAGGCACCTGTAGTCCCAGCTACTCGGGAGGCTGAGGCAGGAGAATGGCATGAACCCAGGAGGCGGAGCTTGCAGTGAGCCGATTGCGCCACTGCACTCCAGCCTGGGCAACAGAGCGAGACTCCATCTCAAAAAAAAAAAAAAAAAAACAGAAAAGAAAAATATAAAAATTTAGCCAGACGTGGTGGGGGGTGCCTGTAATCCTAGCTACTCAGGAGGCTGAGGCAGGAGAATCGCTTGAATCTGGGGGGTGGAGGTTGCAGTGAGCTGAGATCGTGCCACTGCACTCCAGCCTGGGTGACAGAGTGAGATTCCGTCTCAAAAAAAAAAAAAAAGAGAAAAAGAAAAAGACAAAAAATTAGCCAGACATGGTCGGGGGTGCCTGTAATCCTAGCTACTCAGGAGGCTGAGGCAGGAGAATCGTTTGAACCCAGGAGACAGAGGTTGTAGTGAGCAGAAATCGCGCCATTGCACTCCAGCCTGGGGGATAAAGTGAGACTCCATCTCAAAAAAGAAATGAAAAAAGAAGGTCAAAACTGATAATTGCTAGAGAACTCAAGAAAGGCTTAGGAACAGAAGGCCCCAGGTAGGAACGGATTGTTTAAAAGGAAGAGTTAGACTTCACAGGCCACCTTGATTCCACATTTTTAGGTGACCACATCCTGTCTACCGCCCAACAACACACACACACACTTTAGGTTTATTTTATAGAGAAAAAGAACCAGAGAGGCACTGAACTGGGGGACACTAGGCACTGAGGAGAGAATGAGGTATCACTGAGCGCAGGGAGAGGAAGTGGAGTCGGCATGCTCAACGGCAAAGTGAGACCTGCTCACCCTTTCCCAAGGTGTGAGATGCCACGGTCAGGGCCATAGTCCCATCATCACCGTGTGCTGCTGTGACTCACAGCACATTACAATTGATTATCTGCACCAACATTTAATATCAATCCCTCTATTAGACTGCAAATACCACAAGGTCAGAAATCATGCCTGATTTGTGTCCCAACATTACCCAGCACCAGCACAGTGCCTGGATCTTGCTATAGAAGCAATGGTACCTGAGCACCTCAGACAGATCAAAAATACTGGCTAGAGGGAAGCATAGGGATTGTAGCTATATAAAAGCTTAGATTCTTTTTAAAATATGCTTTTATTTTTTCAAGACGGAATTTTGCTCTTGTCACCCAGGCTAGAGTGCAGTGACGCGATGTTGGCTCACTGCAACCTCCGCCTCCTGGGTTCAAGTGATTCTCCTGCCTCAGCCTCCCGAGAAGCTGGGATTGCAGGCACACACCACCACACCCGGCTAATTTTTGTAATTTTAGTAGAGACAGGGTTTCACCATGGTGGCCAGGCTGGTCTCGAACTCTTGAACTCAGGTGATCCACCCACCTCGGCCTCCCAAAGTGATGGGATTACAGGCATGAGCTACTGCGCCTGCCCTAAAATATGCTCTTCTTTTATATGTACTGCTACCAATAATCTACATTTAAAAATAAAGCGGAGGTAATGCACATGTTAATTAGGTCAATTTCACCTTCCACAATGAATACATATTTCAAAACATCATGTTGTACACAACAAATACAATTTTGTCAACTAAAATAAATTTAAAATAAAGCAGACGAGATGTATATTATACACACACACACATATAAGCACACTTCTGTATATGCACTGATATCTGTGGAAGGTGCACAAAAGGGAGTGGTTACCTTGGTGGCGGTTAAGGCTGGGGGGTCAAAAGTGAGATCACTTTTCAATTCACCTTTGTACTATTTGATTTTATTACTAAATGAATATATTACCCCCCATTAAAAGAAAAAACTTTGTGTCTGTTTCTATTGCTACTGGACTGCAGCTATCAAGGCTACTTGATTAGAGTCCTTTTGGAGGTCATTCTTTGCATGGAGCCCCAACAGAGTTCCCCAGGCAGAGTGTGGTGAGCTCCCAGCTGCATTATCTTCCCAGACTTGCCAGGACAACTAAGTGTTTTCATGGCCCATAACCTCATTAGCTTAGTTAGGGTGTCCCACCTGGTTTTCCCAGCCATAACAATTATGGAAAATGTTTATTATTTCCCTTTTGTGGATAGTCTCTTTTACTAAAATTGTGAGCATCAGTTTCTGATTAAAATTCCTCCTTTTGTGGTTGTTTTATTTTTTCTTTGATTGAGTGCCTTGGGAATAATAATAATAGCTGGGTTTTTTTTTTTTTTTTTTTTTTTTTTTTGGAGATTTGCTCTGCTCTGTCGCCCAGGCTGGAGTGCAGTGGCACAATCTCGGCTCACTGCAAGCTCCACCTCCTGGGTTCACGCCATTCTCCTCCTGAGTAGCTGGGACTACAGGCGCCTGCCACCACGCCCGGCTAATTTTCTGTATTTTTAGTAGAGATGAAATTTCACTGTGTTAGCCAGGATGCTCTCAATCTCCTGACCTCATGATCCACCTGCCTCGGGCCTCCCAAAGTGCTGGGATTACAGGCTTGAGCCACCAGGCCTGGCCTTTTTTTTTTTTTTTTTTTGAGACAGGGTCTTGCTCTGTCGCCCAGGCTGGAGTGCAGTGGTGCAATCTCTGCTCACTGCAACCTCTGCCCCCAGAGTTCTAGCGATTCTCCTGCCTCAGCCTCCCAGGTAGCTGGGATTACAAATGCCTGCCACCACGCCCAGCTAATTTTTTTGTATTTTTAGTAGAGACGGGGTTTCGCCATGTTGGCCAGTCTGGTCTCGAACTCCTGACCTTAGGTGATCCACCCACCTTGGCCTCCCAAAGTGCTAGGATTACAGACGTGAGCCACCACACCTGGCCAATAATGATAATAGTTATAGTAGCTAATATTGTTTGCTTAGTAAGTATATTAGTTTATAAGGCTCCCATAACAAAGCACCACAGACTGGGTGGCTTAAACAAAAGAAATCTATTTTCTCACAGTTCTGGAGGCTAGAAGTCTAAGATGAAGGTGTTGGCAGCATTGGTTTCTTCTGAGGCCTCTCTCCTTGGCTTGTAGATGGCCGTCTTCTCCCTGTACCATCACTTTTGGTCTCCTTCTGTGTCTGTCTGGGTCCAAATTTCCTCCTCTTATCAAGGACACCAGTCCTACTGAATCAGAGCCCACCCTAAAAACCTCATTTTTAATTTAACTGCCTCTTTGAAGACACTATCTGCAAATACAGTCACATTCTGAGATACATAGGATTAGAGCTTCAACATATGAATTTGAGGGGGTCAAAATTCAGCCCATAATAATATGTATAAGGCAATACGCTAATTGCTTTACAAATATCTCATTTATATCTGACAGCCAATTGCATGCAAGAACGCTGATGCATGGAGAGATTAAGCAATAAGATTAGGTAGTAGGCGGTAGAGTCATAATTCAAATCCAGGCAGACAGACTCCAGATCCCGCACTCTCCACCACCACCCACACTACATATGGGCTTTCTTCATTCATTCTACCAGATCCATTCAAATTTCCCAAAGGAGGGAAAATGAAGTGCCTGCTGTCACAAGCAAATAGAAAAACACCATTCTCCAAGCCAGTGAGAGGTAGCAGAGGGGCCCCAGCTAGTCCTCAAGTCTGTCCTTGTGAACCATAGTCTCTTACTCCATCCTTACCGCCCCAGGGAGCCTCTAGCAGTGAGTGGTGTGGTCAGAGGTTGGCCACTAAGTCTATGCTCATGCCTGACCAAATCCATGAAGATGAAGTAGGAGTGGGATGACAGAGTCAGCCCCTAATTCCTCATGGAAAGCACAGGGGGCAAAACTTGAATATCACATAGTCATACTTAGGAGCTTGAAATCCAATCCTCTCCTGCCCAGTGGCAAGACTTCTAGAGTGCTGTTTTAGGAGCCAGAAAAGGTCAAGGTTTGCCCAGCATATCTGGCATGAGGCAAAGTATCTAGAGGAAGATCTCTGCCAGAGCAGAGTGCAAAGCTGTAAACTCAAGTCACTGAAAGCAGAGATGGCAGCAGTCAAGGACACCTGGAGTGTCATTTATTATAATTGCTTAGATAAGACAAAGGAGAGTGTGGTCATTTAGTCTCTCTCCACTAAGTTCAGCTTCAACTTCCCCACTTACAAAATATCCTTTCCTAAGTGATATGGTTTGGCTGTGTCTCCACCCAAATTTCATCTTGAATTGAAGCTCCCACAATTCCCACGTGTTGTGGAAGGAACCCAGTGGGAGGCAACTGAATCATGGGGGCAGGTCTTTCCTGTGCTGTTCTCTGGCAGTGAGCAAACCTCACAAGATCTGATGGCTTTATAAGGGATTTCCCCTTTCGCTTGGCTCTCATTCTCTCTTGCTGCAGCCACTTAAGATGTGCCTTTCACAGGGCCTTTCCGCCGTGATTGTGAGGCCTCCCCAGCCACGTGGAACTGAGTCCATTAAACCTCTTTTTCTTTACAAATTACCCAGTCTCAGGTATGTCTTTATCAGCAGTGTGAAAACAGACTAATACAGTGAGTTGGTACTAGAGTGGGGTGCTGCTGTAAAGATACCCAAAACCTGGAACTGGATAACAGGCAGAGAGGGTGGAGCAGTTTAGAGAGCTCAGAAGACAGGAATATGTGGGAAAGTTTGGAACTTCCTAGAGACTTGTTGAATGGCTTTGACCAAAATGCTGATAATGATATGGAAATCCAGGCTGAGGTGGTCTCAGATGGAAATGAGGAACTTGTTGGGAACTACAGTGAAGGTGATTCTTGCTATGTTTTAGCAAAGAGACTAGTGGGATTTTGCACCTGCCCTAGAGATTTGTGGAACTTTGAATTAAGGGAGATAGTTTAGGGTATCTGGTGGAAGTGAGGGAAGAGAGAGACCCTCTCATATTGTTTTATATTCAGTACCTGTTTTAAAAAAAATAATAAATAAACAAAAAAAAACAAGGAAATAAAATCAAAGACAGCCCAGCGCCAGGCCCAAAACTGGACCTGGGCCTGCCTGGCCTAAACCTAGTAGATAAAAATCAACTCATGACTTAGAAACCGATGTTATTCATAGATTCCAGACATTGTATAGAAGAACATTGTGAAACTCCCTGCCCTGTTCTGTTTCTCTCTGACCACCGGTGCATGCAGCCCCTGTCACGTACCCCTTGCTTGCTCAAATCAATCATGACCCTTTCATGTGAAATCTTCAGTGTTGTGGGCCCTTAAAAGGGATAGAAATTGTGCACTCGAGGAGCTCGGATTTTAAGGCAGTAGCTTGCCGATGCTCCCAGCTGAATAAAGCCCTTCCTTCTACAACCTGGTGTCTGAGAGGTTTTGTCTGCAGCTCATCCTGCTACATTTTTTGGTTCCCTGACTGGGAAACGAGGTGACTGATGGATGGCTGAGGCAGCCCCTTAGGCGGCTTAAGCCTGCCCTGTGGAGCATCCCTGCGGGGGACTCCGGCCAGCCTGAGTGCCGCGATCCAAAGAGGGCTCCCGGGTAGGAAATTTCCACAGTGGAACGCCTCACCAGAGCAGCCCGTAGCAGGCCCCCATGGAGGATTAACACAGTGGCTGAACACCAGGAAGGAACTGGCATTTGGAGTCTGGATATCTGAAACTTGGTAAGACTAGTCTTTGGAACTTGCCCCACTCCATCTGAGTGGAAGCGTGGCCTGATCACCCACGGTGTGCCTGTATTGGCACCTTTGTTCTGGTTTTGACTTGGCTTGACTTGGTAGGACTAGTCTTTGGAACTTACCCCACTCCACCTGAGTGGAAGCGTGGCCTGATCACCCACGGTGTGCCTGTATTGGCACCTTTGTTCTAGTTTTGACTTGACTTGAATTGCTGGATACTTTGGTTTTGGTTTTGACCTGGCTTGGATTTCTGGAAACTCTGATTTTGGTTTTGATTTTGGTTTGGTGTAAACTGCAAAAGTGTGTGTGTGCCCTTTTTAACTGTTCTTTGTTTTGTGGTGTGTGTGTGGTGTGAGCGTGTTGTTTTGTCTCAAAGAAGCATGGGCCAGGCACAAATAAGCCCAACCCACTAGGAACTATGTTGAAAAATTTCAAGAAAGAATTTAAGGGAGATTATGGTGTTACTGTGACACCAGGAAAACTTAGAACTTTGTGTGAAATAGGCTGGCCAGCATTAGAGGTGGGTTGGCCATCAGAAGGAAGCCTGGACAGGTCCCTTGTTTCAAAGGTATGACACAAGGTAACCTGTAAGCCAAGGCACCGAGACCAGTTTCCGTACATAGACAGTTATAGCTGGTTTTAGACCCCCTTCCCCGCAACAGTAGTTAAGAGAACAGCAGCATAAGTGGCTGGCAGAGGCAAGGAAAGACCAGCAGAGAGAAAAAAAGGCCATCTATACCAATTCTAAGTTAATTTATACTAAACAAGGTCTTATTAATAGCAAAGGATAATTGAAATCTCAAACTTACAAGGTTTTCAACAAAAGTGAAGTTTGCTAAAAGTTAACAGTGTAACATGTATTATGGTAACTTCTAATCTTGTGGCCTTAGACAGTCTAGTCCAAAGACATAAAGAAAGTTTGCTTTAAAAAAAGGAAAAAAAAAAGGGAAGAGGCAGAATTTATATAAAAAAAAAGTTATATGGTAAATTCTTGTCCTGAAATAAATTAACTGGTTGTTTAAAGAAAAAAATGTTTGCAATAAGTCAAAAAGTTGAGACATGTTAAAAAAATTGCGAAAGTCATGAAAAAAAGTTATAAAAAATTTTATGCAAAAAATGTCGTATAATTTAAAAGTAATAAGGCCTCCTGAGTACCATTGAAAAAACAGTTTATGTGCAAGGTGTATAAAAAAAGTAAAATATACCTTTAGTAAAAAGATTATAAAGAGGCATAAGAATGTGGATTTTTACCTACATTAAAAGGTTAAAAAAATTATTGTTTTGAAAGTTTAAGCAAGTTTTAAAATGTTAATTGTAAAGAAAATTCTGTGTGTAAATATTAGCTAAAGTTAAAAAGGTATCACCCAGTTTTTCTGTGAACTGGACACTAAAGTAAAAATGCAACAGGTTTTTCTTAAAGCATCAACCTGCTCTTTAACAAAAATTATAAAAGGTTAAAAAGAGTCTATAAAATCTTACCTAATGGTCAAACATGAAAAATTGGATAAATATGTCTACAAGGTTTTATTAAAATTAATTTTAACATTAATAACACACTAATATAAAGGTAAAATTTAACCTATCTGGTATAAAAATCATACAAGAAGCATTATTACATATAAAATGGTGTTTAGCTTTCTTTAGTCTAAAAACTAATAAAAATTGGTGCTAAAGAAAACATTCATTTTACTAGAGGATCATAAAAGTTAAAGACTTAAACTTTAGCAATTAAGACAGCATACCAAGATGCAAATGCCTGGTTGAAACGGATCAAATATTCCATCTGCACGTTAAACAAAAGCAATTGTTATGCTTGTGCACATGGCAGCCCAGAGGCCCTGATTGTCCCCCTTCCACTAAGGTGGTCCTCCAGTCGACCAGGCGTGGGCTGCATGGTAGCTCTTTTCCAGGATTCTACAGCCTGGAGTAATAAGTCATGCCAAGCTCTCTCTGCTATATCCCAAAGTCCCTGCGGGTCAGCTCCCGAGGGCCATCCAGCTTCCGTCTCCCAACACTAAGTTCACTTCGTGTCTCTCACGGCTGGGAGGAGACTTAGCATTCCTTGGAGACCTGAAGGGATGCAGTGAGCTTAAGAATTTTCAAGAGCTTATCAATCAGTCAGTCCTTGTTCATCCCTGAGTGGATGTGTGGCAGTATTGTGGTGGACCTTTACTAGGCACTCTGCTGAATAACTAGAGTGGCACTTGTGCTTTAGTCCATTTGGCTATCCCTTTCACCCTGGCATTTCATCAACCAGAGGAAGGAAAAAATAATAATAATAATAATAAGACATCGTAAAGCAAGAGAAGCCCCTTATAGGTCTTTCAACTCTCACATCTATTTAGATGCAATTGGAGCCCCGCAAGGAATACCAGATCAATTTAAAACTTGAAATCAAATAGTTACAGGATTTAAGTCAATATTTTGGTAGATGACAGTCAATAAAAATGTAGATTAGATAAACTACATCTATTACACCCAACAGCAATGAACTTTTCATGAGTTAAAAAAAAAAAAACTCATGTCGGCCCCAGCCCTGAGGCTACCTGACCTGACAAAACTCTTTGCACTCTATGTGTCAAAGAGAAAAAATGGCAGTTGGAGTTTTAACCCAGACTGTAGGGCCCTGGCCAAGGCCTATCTCTCAAAACAACTAGATGAGGTTTCCAAAGGCTGGCCCCCATGTCCAAGGGCCCTGGTAGCAATGGCCCTGTTAGCACAAAAAGCAGATAAGCTAACTCTTAGACAAAACCTAAACATAAAGTCCCCCCATGCTGTGGTGATTTTAATAAATACCAAAGGACACCATTAGCTAATGAATGCTAGACTAACTAGATAGCAAAGCTTGCTCTGTGAAAATCCCCGCATAACCATTGAAGTTTGCAACACCCTAAACCCCGCCACCTTACTCCTGGTATCAGAGAGCCCAGTTAAACATAACTGTGTAGAAGTATTGGACTCAGTTTATTCTAGCAGGCCCAACCACCGAGACCACCCCTAAACATCAGTAGACTGGGAGTTGCACGTAGATAGGAGCAGCTTTGCCAACCCCTGCAAAGTGACTCTGAAGAAGACGACAAGCCCCGCCCCAGTCACACCTGGAAGCTGACTGGTCCACGCACGGCCGAAACATGAGGAAATTCATCGCGGGACCCAATTTCCTTAAAATTTGGACTTGAACAGTAAGGACTTCCACTGACCTTCCTCAGACTGATAACTGTTTCCAGTATATACATCAAGTCACTGAGGTAGGACAAAAGATTGCTACAGTCCTATTATTTTATGGTTATTATAAGTGTACCGGGACTCTAAAAGAAACTTGTTTGTATAATGCTATTCTATCCAAGGTATGCAGCCCAGGGAATAACCAACCTGATGCGTATTATGACCCATTTTAAGCCTCCCATGTTCACAGTTTTTAAAATAAAATTAAGGACTGGTCCTTTTCTAGGTGACACAAGTAAGGTAATAGCTAGAACAGAAGAAAGAAAGGTCCCCAAAAATGTAACCTTAAAATTTGACGCCTGTGCCGCTATTAATAGTAAACAGCATGGGATAGGATGCGGTTCTCTAGATTGAAAAAAAAGTTACACAGCAGAAAATAAGTACATCTGTCAAAAATCATATTTATGTGAGATGTGTCAATACTAGTCTTGTGTCATTTAGGCTACTTAGAAAGAAGATAAAAAATATCCTGTTTGGCTCCAAAAAAAAGAAAAGTCAGCCCCTCCTGCACGAGTAGGAGCTGCAACCCTTTAGAATTGATAATCACAAACCCCTCAGACCCAAAGTAAAATAAAAAAAAGATATGTAACATTAGGCATTGATGGAAAAGGACTAGATCCTAGTATAAGCATCCTAATAAAAGGAGAGGTTCAAAGACGCTCTCCAGAACCAGTATTTCAGACTTTCTATGATAAACTAAATGTGCCAGTACCTGAGATTCCAGGAAAAACTAAAAATTTGTTTTTGCAATTAGCCGAACACGTAGCCCAGTCTCTACAAGTCACCTCATGTTATGTTTGCGGAGGAACCGTAACAGGAGATCAATGGCCATAGGAAGCCCGAGAATTAGTTCCCACAGACCCAGTTCCTGATGAATTCCCAGCCCAAAAGAACCACCCTGACAATTTTTAGGTTCTAAAAGTCTCAATTATTAGACAGTATTGCACAGCTATTGAAGGAAAACAATTCACTCATTCTATAGGGCGGCTTAGTTGTCTTGGGCAAAAGCTGTATAATGGTACCACAAAAACAGTTACATGGTGGAGTTCCAATTACACAGAAAGAAATCCATTCAGTAAATTTCCAAAGTTGCAGACTGTTTAGGCCCACCCAGAATTCCACCAGGACTGGACAGCCCCCACCAGGTTATACTGGATATGTGGACACAGAGCTTATTCTAAGCTGTCTGATCAGTGGACAGGGAGCTGTGTAATTGGCACCATTAAGCCATCTTTCTTCTTACTGCCCATAAAAACAGGTGAACTTCTAGGCTTCCCAGTCTATGCTTCCCATGAAAAACGAAGCATAGCCATAGGTGATTAGAAAAATAATGAATGGCCCCCTGAAAGAATCATACAATACTACCGACCCACCACTTAGGCACAAGATGGCTCATGAGGATTTCGAACCCCCATCTACATGCTCAACCGAATCATATGGTTGCAAGCTGTTTTAGAAATTATTACTAATAAAACCGGTCAAGCCTTGACTGTTCTTGCCCAGCAAGAAACTCTGATGAGAAATGCTATCTATCAAAATAGACTAGCTCTTGACTACTTAGTAGCAGCTGAAAGAAAAGTCTGTAGAAAATTTAACCTTACTAATTGTTGTCTACACATAGATGATCAGGGGCAAGTAGTTGAGGACATAGTTAAAGATATAACAAAACTGGCACATGTACCCGTGCAAGTGTAGCACGGATTCAACCCTGAAGCTATGTTTAAAAGGTAGTTCCCAGCACTAGGAAAATTTAAAACTCTTATAAATAGGAGTTATAATAATACTAAAACCCTGCTTACTGCTCCCTTGTTTGCTACCTGTACTTCTTCAAATGATAAGAAGCTTCATCGCTACCTTAGTTCACCAAAATGCTTCAGCACAAGTGTACTATATGAATCACTATCAATCTATTGCACAAAAAGACATAAGTAACAAAAATAAGAGTGAGAACTCCCACTAATAAAAAGTGAGAGTCTCAAAAGGGGGGAATGAGGAAAGAGAGAGGCCCTCTCATATTGTTTTATATTGTTTTATACTCAGTTCCTGTTTTTAAAGAAAAAAAAGGAAATAAAATCAAAGACAGGCAGCCCAGCGCCAGGCCCAAAACCGGACCTGGGCCTGCCTGGCCTAAACCTAGTAGTTAAAAATCAACTCATGACTTAGAAACCGACGTTATTCATAGATTCCAGACATTGTATAGAAGAACATTGTGAAACTCCCTGCCCTGTTCTGTTTCTCTCTGACCACCGGTGCATGCAGCCCCTGTCACATACCCCTTGCTTGCTCAAATCAATCACGACCCTTTCATGTGAAATCTTCAGTGCCATGAGCCCTTAAAAGGGACAGAAATTGTGCACTCGAGGAGCTCGGATTTTAAGGCAGTAGCTTGCCGATGCTCCCAGCTGAATAAAGCCCTTCCTTCTACAACTTGGTGTCTCAGAGGTTTTGTCTGCAGCTTGTCCTGCTACAGAAGAAATTTCTAAGCAGCAATGCATTCAAGAGATGACTTGGGTGCTGTTAAAAGCATTCAGTTTTAAATGGGAAACACAGCACAAAAGTTTGGAAAATTTGCAGACTGATGGTGCAAGAGAAAAGAAAAAAAACATTTTCTGAGGAGAAATTCAAGCTGGCTGCAGACATTTGCATAAGTAACGAGGAGCCAAATGTTAATCCCCAACACAATGGGGAAAATGTCTCCAGGGCATGTCAGACCTTTGCGACAACCCCTCTCAACACAGGCCTGGAAGTCTAGGAAGAAAAAATGGTTTCATGGGCCAGGCCCAGGGCCCTCCTGCTGTGTGCAGTCTAGGGACTTGGTGCCCTGCTTCTCAGCCACTCTAGCCATGGCTAAAAGGGGTCAAGGTACAGCTCCAGCCATGGCTTCAGAGGGTGAAAACCCCAAGCCTTGACAACTTCCACATGGTATTGAGTCTGCGGGTAAACAGAAGTCAGAATTGAGCTTTAGGAACCTCTGCCTAGATTTCAGAGGGTATGTGGAAATGCCTGGATGCCCAGGTGGAAGTTTGCTGCGGGGGCGGGGCCCTCATGAAGAACCTCTGCTAGGGCAGTGTGGAAGGGAAATGTGGGGTGGGAGCCCCCACACAGAGTCCCTACTGGGGCACTGCCTAGTGGAGCTGTGAGAAGAGGGCCACCATCCTCCAGCCCCAGAACGGTAGATCCACCGACAGCTTGCACCACGCACCTGGAAAAGCCACACTCAACGCCAGCCTGTGAAAGCAGCCACGAGGGAGGCTATACCTTGCAAAGTCACAGAGGTGGAGCTGCCCCAGGTCATGGGAGCCCACCTCTTGCAGCAGAGTGACCTGGATGTGAGACATGGAGTCAAAGGAGATCACTTTGGAGCTTTAAGATTTGACTGCCCTGCTGGATTTCAGACTTGCATGGGGTCTTTTGCCCCTTTGTTTTGGCCAATTTCTCCCAATTGGAATGGCTGTATTTACCCAATGCCTGAACCCCCATGGTATCTAGGAAGTAACTAACTTGCTTTTTATTTTACAGGTTCATAGGCAGAAGAGACTTGCCTTGTCTCAGATGAGACTTTGGACTGTGGACTTCTGAGTTAATGCTGAAATGAGTTAAGACTTTGGGGGGCTGTTGGGAAGCCATGATTGGTTTCAAAATGTGAGGACATGAGATTTGGGAGGGTTCAGGGGTGGAATGACATGGTTTGGCTGTGTCCCCACCCAAATTTCATCTTGAATTGTAGCTCCCACAATTCCCACATCATGGGAGGGACCCAGTGGGAGGTAATTGAAATTATGGGGTTGGATCTTTCTCGTGATGTTCTCATGGTAGTAAATAAGGGGTTTCCCCTTTCACTTGGCTCTCATACACCAAGACTCAGAAAGTATAAAGGTGGGTAGGGAGGTTTTATGGGAACATGGGGAAACAACTGAATCATGCTCCAAGTTAGAACTGTTTAACCAGATTATCACTACAGTTGTTTTAAACAAGATAAAAATAAGGCTGTGGCCACTAAGTGCAGGCTTTCAGCTGCTGGGACCTGCAGGGAAGGGAAGTCAGGAGAAGGATCTCAATTTCTGCCTGACATGCAATTTTCCACTCTAAAACAGAAACATCTATAATCATCTCAATTAGGAAATTATTATTCAAGTAAAACATTTACTAAGACATGCAGTGAGTAACAGCTCTTTGGTAGACTGGATTTTACCAAAGATGTTAGATATCACTAGAGAACTTATATATCATTTTCAAAATGTCTATGTGAAGTACAAATACTATTCCTATTTTAGGAACCCAATACAACCATCACATAAATTTTGGAGCACTCATATTCTAAACTCTGGACAGATTCTTGACTAATTTCTGAAGTAGAGATGCCAAACTCATTTTTAAACATGACTGAAACTGGCATAAAAACAGATACATAGACCAATGGAACAGGATAGAGAACCTAGAAATAAATCTAGACATTTACAGCCAACTCATTTTCAACAAAGGTGCCAGGAATATTCAATGGTGAAAGGACAATCTCCGAAAAAAACAGTGCTGGGAAAACTGGGGATCTATATGCAGAATAGTGAAACTAGACCCCCACCTCTCACTCTATACAAAAATCAAGGCAAAATGGATGTAATACTAAAATATAAGACCTAAAACTATGAAACTACTAGAAGAAAACATGGGTAAACACTTCAAGACATTGGTCTGGGCAAAGACTTTTTGAGGGTAAGTCCTCAAAAACACAGGTGACAAAAGCAAAAATTGATAAATGGAATTACATCAAGCTAAAAAGCTTCTGCACAGCAAAGGAAGCAATCAACAAAGAAACAACCCACAGAATGGGAGAAAATACTTGCAAACTACCCATCTGGCCAGGCACGATGGCTCACGCCTGTAATCCCAACACTTTGGGAGGCCGAGGTGGGCAGATCACTTGAGGTCAGGAGTTTGAGACCAGGCTGGCCAACATGGTAAAACCCCGTCTCTACTAAAAATACAAAAATTAGCCGGGCGTGGTGGCACATGTCTATAGTCCCAGCCACTAGGGAAGCTGAGGCAGGAGAATCGCTTGAACCTGGGAGGCAGAGGTTGCAGTGAGCTGAAATCGTGCCACTGCACACCAACCTGGGTGACACTGAGACCCCGTCTCAAAAGCAAACAAAAGCAAACAAAAAAAACATACCCATCTCACAAGGGATTAACAATCAGAATACATTTGGAATTCAACAATTCAATAGCAAAAACACACAACAACAAACCAAGTAATCTGATTTTTACGTAAGCAAAAGATCTGAATAGATCTTTTTTTTTTTTGAGATGGAGTTTCACTCTTGTTACCCAGGCTGGAGTGCAATGGCGTGATCTAGGCTCACTGCAACCTCTGCCTCCCGGGTTCAAGCACTTCTCCTGCCTCAGCCTCCCTAGTAGCTGGGATTACAGGCGACCACCACCACACCCAGCTGATTTTTTTTATTTTTAGTAGAGATGGGGTTTCACTACGTTGGCCAGGCTGGTCTCAAATCTCTGACCTTAGGCGATACACCCGCCTCAGCCTCCCAAAATGCCTGGATTACAGGCGCGAGCCACCACGGCCGGCTGAATAAACATTTGTCAAAAGAAGACATACTAGTGGCCAACATGTAAATGAAAAATGTTCTGGATAAACAGAAACTGATTATAAAACAAAAAACAAAAAAAAAAAAAGAAAAAAGAAAATGCCTGACATCACTCATCATCGGTAAAATGCAATCAAAACCACGAGATATCACCTCACCCCCATTAGAATGGCTATAATCAAAAGAACAGAAAATAAAGAGATGCTGGCCAGGATGTGGAGAAAGTGGAATGCTCCTACACTGTTGGAGAAATGTAAATTAGTACAGCCACCACATAAAACAGTATGGAGATTCCTCAAAAAACTAAAAATAGAACTACCATATGATACAGCAATTCCACTGCTGGGTGTATATCCAAAGGAAAGGAGATTGGTGTATCAGAGAGACAGCTGCACTCCCATGTTTATTGCAGCAATTCACAATGACCACATATGGAATCAACCTAAGTGTTCTTCAACGGATGAATGGATAAAGAAAGTGTGGTATATACACTATGAAATATTATTCAGCCATAATAAAATGAAATCCTATCATCTGCAGCAACACGGATGAAACTGAAGGACACTATGTTAAGGGAGTTATTTCACTTAACAGAAAGACAAATATTCCATGTTCTCACTTAGATGTGGGAGCTAAAAAATTAATCTCATGGAGGTAGTGAGTAGAATAATAATTACCAGAGGCTGGGAAGGGTAGGGGACAGAGCAGAGGGCAGCAGGTTGGTTAGCAAATACAAAAATACAGTTAGACAGAAGGAATAAGTTCTAGTGTTTGATAGCACAGTAGAGTGACTACAGTTAACACTAGTTTATTGTATATTTCAAAATAGCTACAGGAGAAGATGTGAAATGTTCCCAACACAAAGAAATGATAAACATTTGAGGTGATGGATATCCCAACTACCCTGATTTGCTCATTACACACTGTATGCATGTATCGAATTATCACAGGGAACCCATAATTATGCATAGCTATTATGTATCAATTCAAAAATCAGTGAAACAACTGAAACATGAATCTTAAACCAACATCACTATTGTTATCAATATTTTATTCAAACAAGTTTTTATATGGTACAAAGCTATGTAAACAGTGAGTAGTCTATTTTTTTTGTTTGAGATGGAGTCTCACTCATGCAGTGGTGTGATCATGGCTCACTGCAGTGTTGAACTCCTCGGCTCAAGGTATCCTCCCGCCTTGGCCTCCCAAAGCACTGAGATTACAGGTGTGAGCCACCACGCCCAGCCTAGGTGAGTAGTCTTAAATTCAGATGTAATAAACCTGCAAGATCATTCCTACTCTGTTAAGCCCCCCAAATCAAAATTGACTGGTGAAAACCTGCCTAGAAGGGCAACCTCCAAAAGATCTGAGCTTTTGTTTTAGGAAGGACTTCAAATAACAGCAATATTTCCTGCACTGGACCAAGCAGCAGTGGAGTGAATAGAAAACATGAGATCTCTTCCTCTCCAGTTTTCCTTTAAGAAAGTGCACAGGCTAGGCGCGGTGGCTCATGCCTGTAATCTCAGCACTTTGGGAGGCCGAGGTGGGCGGATCACGAGGTCAAGAGATCAAGACCATCCTGGCTAACGTGGTGAAACCCCGTCTCTACTAGAAATACAAAAAATTAGCTGGGCACAGTGGTGGGCGCCTGTAGTCCCAGCTACTCAGGAGAATGGCGTGAACCCGGGAGGTGAAGTTTGCAGTGAGCTGAGATAGCGCCACTGCACTCCAGCCTGGGCAATAGAGCGAGACTCTGTCTCAAAAAAAAAAAAAAGAAAGAAAGAAAGTGCACAGAATTTCAAGGATCTACAAAAGTGGCATAACTTAATCAATCTGTAAGTAAGCCTAAGAAAAAACCACGGTCATTAGTAGAGGATCCAGTTTTGTGCACTGATCAAAGCAGTGGTTCTCAATCTTGGCTGCACATTACAATTACGGGGGATTGGGGAGGAGGAGTTACTTTTTTAAATATCCATACTCAGGCTCCACTCCAGACCAAATTGGTATTTAAGTTAAAATGCTGGGCATCAGTCATTTTTAAACACTGCCAGGTGATTCTAACAGCAGCCAGGTTTGAAAACCACTGGAGCAAAGGTTAATCACTTGGGCAGAGGACAAGAACACATTTTGCAATCACGTTTTTCCCTTGGGTCCTCTTTCCTTCTGGAGCTTATGAATTCTGGAGGGTGTAGAAGCAAAATGTCACTTTCCCTTGCTTCAGTAAGACTAAGAACTTCCTATATCATTCTATTAGTCTGTTTTCATGCTGTTGATAAAGACAGACCTGAGATTAGGTAATTTACAAAAGAGGTTTATTGGACTTACAGTTCCACATGGCTGGGGAGGCTTCACAATCATGGCGGAAGGCAAGGAGCAGCAAATCACATCTTATATAGATGGCAGCAGGCAAAATGAGGGCTTGTGCAGGAAAACTCCCTCTTATAATAACCAAAAGATCTCGTGAGACTTCCTCACTATCACAAGAACAGCACGGGAAAGACTTGCCCCCATGATTTAGTTACCTC
This sequence comes from Homo sapiens, assembly GCF_000001405.40. NCBI lineage: Eukaryota > Metazoa > Chordata > Mammalia > Primates > Hominidae > Homo > Homo sapiens. The sequence goes on along the minus strand of NC_000006.12, from coordinate 111,278,514 downwards.
CCACCAGGTCCCTCCAACAACACATGGGAATTCAAGATGAGATTTGGGTGGGGACACAGCCAAACTATATCAATCACCATCAGAAAAGAAAGACGTTGCACCCTGAGACAAAACAAAAATGATAGGGTCATCTAACTGTTGATGATCTAAAAAACAATAAAACCTTGAATGTTTCCCATAAACCTGGACTCCCTAAGAAATTTTATCCTTGGTTTTTCCTGTACTACATCTGAAGATTTGCCATAACCTTTATGAATACAATAATTACATGAGGCAGTTACTGTTTTTCACCGTGAACAGTCTAATGCAAACTCAGAAACCTTGGCAGTTTTTAATTTTTTCCTTCAAATACTTACGTTTTTTATTAGGCAAGCCAGTCATTCTCTTGCTCTCTTTGCAGGTAAACTTTTCCTTTTCTAAATGCTTCTGTCTCTGAGTATTTCTTCAACAAGGGTAAAGATTCATAGAGTGCTTGGACACAGAACTGGATACTCTGCTCCTGGGGGCAGAGTTCACTGCAAGTGATAAGGGAAAGAGCTGAGAAATGAGAACCTGCTCTGTCAGCCCAAGGGTCTTTGGAGCTGTAATCCAAGATCTAGTTTGACCATAAATATATTCTCTTGGCTGGACTGAATAAATCTCAAAAGTTGGTGTCAGATTCCTTTGTTGTAGGCTTCCTAAGCCTTCTTGCCTATATTCACCTCAACTACACTGTGCCGAGTAATTTCTACAAAATTCTAAATCAAAAATTACCCCAAAGACATAGACAAGTACTAGAAATGAACAAACAAAAACACACACCAAGGAACCAAGAGTTTAGCTACTTTCCTTTTCTAAAACTGGGTAAAACCTATTACAATAAGAGTTACTGGCTCTTCCGCTGATAGAAATTTTGTCATGGCAAATTTTACTTAAAATAGAAAAACATAAGCTTGGTGAAGGCAAGGATCTCATCTGCCTTCTCCTATTATATTCCCAGGGCCCTGGTTACTGAACATGGTAAATGCTCAGTAAATATCTGTTAGATAACTGAAATGCATGAATTTGGAAAACTTTCTGGTCCGCACAGATGAGAACTGTAATAATATCTCTTGCAAACTGGGACTCCTCTTAGAGCTCACTCAAGTAGAAATCTTACCCTCTTAGGAGAAAGCTTTCTTTCTTGGTAAAAATCAAACAATCCACAAACCTTGTCTAACACGCTCTTCCAAAAAAGTCTGCAATTTGGTGTGATTTTGTTTTTCCAGTTCTGATGCAGATGAACCAGGCCATCCATCCCAGGACCTGCCAATTTTCATCCCATTCAGGTATCGATTACCAATATTTATGAAGCCTAGCACTTCTCTGGTACAGAGCAGACAGTGGACATTCCCTTTTGATGATAACAGCTCCTGCATGCAGAGTGGTGGGAGTAGGAGGGTAGAAGTAGCCACTTTCTGGATGGGAGCAATGTCATCAACCCAAAGGGAACCCCTTCATAGGCTAACCAGCAACTCCTGAGGCAAGGCCCAATAAGGGCAATGGCATCTACTCAAGTCAAACAGGTTTCCTCCGGAATCTGGACCAGAGATACACAGAGGAACTCCTGAGGCAAGGCCCAATAAGGGCAATGGCATCTATTCAAGTCAAACAGGTTTCCTCTGGAATCTGGACCAGAGATATATAGAAGATGGGCCAGGAATGCAGAAAACGAGTGGTCCCAAGGAGGGGCAGAACTGCTGTGAGAGAGGCAGAGAGCAGCCCATTTATCGTTCTCAGACCACACACCTTCTGGTTCCAAGGTGGTTCAGAGGGATCTCTGTAAACGAATGAGCACAAAACACAGAACCATTCATTTGGCAGAAAACTGAGATCAAAGCTGTACCTGCTACTGCAAGGACAAAAAAGAAAGTTCATTAATACTTAGTCTACAGAGCCTCACATGCAGTAAGCCCTCAAGCACTTGTGCAATGACTGAACAAAAATTGCAAGCAGAGATAACAAAACTTTGAGGTAGTTGCCCAACATAACTTTTCTTTGAGTTCACTTATTCAGTACATGGGTGCTACTGATATGATCATAATGCGCCTAAAGTCTGAGATAATACCTTAAAAGTATGTGTTTATTCTCTTCCTAAAGCTACTCTCTTCTGGAAAAACTTGATTAAGAAAAAAATCTAAGACAAAAAACACAAACACAACAAAATATTAAAAATAGAATTACCATAAGATCCAGCAATTCCACTTATGGGTATATATCTCAAAAGAACTGAAAACAAGATCTCAAAGACACAGTTGTACACCCACATTCACAGCAGCGTATTAACAACAGCCAAAATGTAGAAGCAACACAAATGTCCACTGACAGATGAATAAACAAAATATAGTATGTATATACAATGGTGTATCATAGACTTAAAAAGGAAAGAAATTCTAACACATGCTACAACAAGGATGATCCTTGAAGACATTATGTTAAGGGAAAGAAGCTAGTAATGAAAGGACAAAAACTGTATGATCCCACTTATATGAAGTACTCTGAGCAGTCAAATTCATAGACAAAGTAGAATGGTGGTTGACAAGGGCTGGGATGGGGGCGTAGAATGGCAGTTACTGTTTAACAGCACAGAGTTTCAGTTTTGCAAGGTAAAAAACGTTCTGTGGATGAGTGGAAGTGATGGTTGTAAGACAATGTGAATATACTTAATGCCACTGAACTGTACAATTTAAAATGTTAAAAGATACATTTTTCCATTAAGTATATTTTATCAAAATTAAATAATTTTTATTGGAAAAGCATCGTATAATCTCAACAAGTTGTTCTGAGCTGACCGGGCACAGTGGCTCACACCTGTAATCGCAGCACTTTGGGAGGCCGAGGTGGGTGGATCACAAGGTCAGCAGTTCAAGACCAGCCTGACCAACATTGTGAAACCCTGTTTTTACTAAAAATACAAAAATTAGCTGGGCGTGGTGGTGCACACCTGTAATCCCAGCTACTCGGGAGGCTGGGGCAGGAGAATCACTTAAACCCAGGAGCTGGAGGTTGCAGTGAGCCAAGATCATGCCATTGCACTCCAGCCTGGGTGACAGAGCAAGACTCCATATTAAAAAAAAAAAAAAAAAAGTTGTTCTGAGCTAAAAGCCAGCCCCTTATGCTACTCATGTCATCTAACTTCAAAACATTCCTCCAGGACACTGGTTAACTAACTCATAACCAAATGTATCAAAACCAAGCTGCAATAAATTTACAGAATCTATTAAACACATTCTGCAATTAAAAATCAAAGCAAACGAAGACATAAAAGCAATATATAAGAATAGTCACAGAGTGGGGTATCGTGGCTTACACCTGTAATCCTAGCTGAGGTGGAAGGATTGCTTGAAGCCAGGAATTTAAGACTAGCCTGGGCAACGAAATGAGACCCTGTCTCTGAAAAAAAAAAAAAAGCCAGGTAAGGTGGCATGCAACTGTAGTCCCAGCTACTCAAGAGACTGAGGTGAGTGGATTGCTTGAGCCCAGGAGTCCGAAGCTGCAATGAGCTATGATCACACCACTGCACTCCATGATGGGCAATAGAGGGAGATCCTGTCTCTAAAAAAATTAAAATGAAATAAATAAACAGAAAAGGATAGTCACAGTGTAAGAACCAATCTTCTCTGAAATAATTTTAAAAAATAACACAAAAAACAGAGAATAAGACAAGACATAATTAAAATAAACACAGATCCCAGACAAAAACTGATGGAATTCATCACAACTAGACCAGCCTTACAAGAAATGCTTAATACATCTGAAGGCAAAAAGATGATAATCACCATCATGAAAACATACAAAAGCATAAAATGTACTAGTGTTATAGATACACAAAGGAGGAAGATAAAGAAAACTTATCTCCACAGAAAATCACAAAATCACAGTGATAAACATTGAGAGGAAAAAACAAAGGATATACAAAGCAATCAGAAAACAACTCACAAAATGACAAGAGCAAGTCTTCACCTGTCAATAACAGCCTTGAATGTAAACGGATTAAATTCCCCACCTAAAAGTTATAGAAAGACTGAATGGATTAAAATAAACAAAAAAACAAAAAACCCCATTACCCAACTGTATGCTGCCTGCAAAAAACTCACTTCACCCGTAAACACACATATGGACTGAAAGTGTAGGTATGGAAAAAGATACTCCACACAAAGCAAAACCAAAACCAGGCAAGAATAGCTATGCTTAGATAAAATAGACTATATCCAAAACTGTAAAAAGAGACAAAGAAAATCATTATATAATGATAAAGAGATCAATTCAAAAGGCTAAAACAACTGTAAATATATATGCACCGAACACCAGAGCACCAAAATAAATAAAGCCAATATTCTTATATTTCAAGGGGCTCTCACACCTGTAATCCCAGTACTTTGGGAGGCCAAAGTGGGAGGAATGCTTGAGCCCAGGAGTTTGAGACCAGCCTGCGCAACATAGTGAGACCTTGTCTCTAGAAATAATTTAAAAATTAGGCTAGGTACAGTGGCTCATGCCTGTAATTTCAGCACTTTGGGAGGTCAAGGTGGGAAGATCACTTGAGTGCAGTTCAAGACCTGCCTGGGAAACATACTGAGGCCCCACCTCTATTAAAGAAATAACAAATTAGCCATGGTGACACACACCTGTAGTTCCAACTACTCAAAAGGCTGAAGCAAGAGAATCACTTGAGCTCAGGAGGTCAAAACTACAGTGAGCCGTAATTGTGCCACTGCACTCCAGCCTGGGTAACAGAGTGAGACTCTGTCTCAAAAAACTAAAAAAATAAATGGGCACATAGACTCCAACTACAATAGTAGTTGGGGACTTCAGTCATCCAGTCTCAGCACTGGACAGATCATCTAGACAGAAAATCAACAAAGAAACATTAGATTTAGACCAACTGGGCCTAACAGACATTTACAGGACATTTCACCCAACAGCTACAGAATAAACATTCTTCTCATCAGCACATTCTCCAGGATAGACCACATGTTAAACAAAAAAAAAAAAAAAAACACAAATCTCAACTAATTTACAAGAATTAAAATCATATCAAGAATCTTTTCTGGCTGGACACAGTACCTCATACCTGTAATCCCAGCAGTTTGGGAGGCTGAGACGGGAGGATCGCCTGAGGCCAGGAATTCAAAACCAGCCTAGTCAACACAGTGAGACCCCATCTCTACAATAGAAAATAATAATAATAAGCATAGTGACACCTGTAATCCTAGTTGCTCAGAAGGCTGAGGCAGGGGACTGCTTGAGCCTAAAAGCTTGAGACTGCAGTGAGCCATGATTAGGCGACTGCACTCCAGCCTGAGCAACAGAGCAAGACCCTAACTCAAAAAACATATAATCTTTTCTGACCACAATATAATCTTTTCTGACCAAAATATAATCATTTCTGATCAAAATATCTTCTCTGACCCGAGGCAAGTGGATCACCTGAGGTCGGGAGTTCGAGACCAGCCTGGCTGACATGGTGAAACCCCGTCTCTACTAAAAACACAAAAATTGGCTGGGCATGGTGGTGGATGCCTGTAATCCCAGCTACTTGGGAGGCTGAGGCAGGAGAATCGCTTGAACCCAGGAGACAGAGGTTGCAGTGAGCCGGAATTGTGCCACTGCACTCCAGCCTGGGTGACAAGAGCAAGACTCTGTCTTAAAAAATATACACATATATATATACAGTTAGATAGAGATCGGGTGCGGTGGCTCACACCTGTAATCCCAGAACTTTGAGAGGTCAAGGTGGGTGGATCACTTGAGGTCAGGAGTTCGAGACCAGCCTGACCAACATGGTAAAACCCCATCTCTACTAAAAATACAAAAATTAGCCAGGAATGGTGACACATGCCTGTAATCCCAGCTACTTGGGTGGCTGAGGAATGAGAATGGCTTGAACCTGGGAGACAGAGGTTGCAGTGAGCAGAGATCGTGCCATTACACTGCAGCCTGGGCAACAAGAGTGAAACTTCATCTCAAAAAAAAAAAAAAAAAAATACAGTTAGAAGGAAGAAGTTCTAGTGTTCAACAGCACAGTAGGGTCACTATAGTTCAATAATCCAGTATATAACTGAAAACAGCTATAGCACAAGATGTGGAATTTTCCTAACACAAAGAAATTATAACACTTGAGATAATTAATATCCTAATTACCCTGCTTTGATCACTACACATTGTATGCATGTATCAAAATATCACAGGTGGGCTGGGCATGGTGGCTCACGCATGTAATCCCAGCACTTTGGGAGGCCTAGACAGGTGGATCACTTGAGGTCAGGAGTTTGAGACCAGCCTGGCCAACATGGCAAAACCCTGTCTCTACAAAAAATACAAAAATTAGCCAGGCATGGTTGCACAAGCCTGTAGTCCCAGCTACTTGGGAGGCTGAGGTAGGAGGACTGCTTGAGCCTGGGAGGTCAGGGCTGCAGTGAGCTGCGATCAGGCCACTTAAAAAATAAAAATAACTTTTAAGTAGCAGGATTGGGGACTGAGTGACACATTGCCATGATAAATCAGAAGTTCTGGTTATTTTAAATTTTTTAGACAGTCTCACTTTGTAACCCAGGCTGAAGTGCAGTAGCGTGATCTCAGCTTACTGTAAACTCTGCCTCCCAAGTTCAAGTGATTCTCGTGCCTCAGCCTCCCCAGAAGTGGGATTACAAATGCCTGCCACCACCACACCTGGCTAACTATTTGTACTTTTTTTTTTTTTTTTTTTTTTTTTTTTTTTAGTAGAGATGGGGTTTTGCCATGTTGGCCAGACTGGTCTCAAACTCCTGACCTCAAGTGATCCACCCACCTCAGCCTCCCAAAGTGCTGTGATTACAGGTGTGAGCCACCATGCCCAGCCAAAAGTTCTGGACATGAGAAAGCTATCCTGATTACTCAAGGAATCTACTGATCATCTCCCAATTAGGTTTTTTTAAAAAAATAAACTATAATTCTTCAAACTAATAACCAGTTCACCAACTGTAATGTCAATATACTTTAGACACAAAATTCAAGTTATTTCTGATACTTTATCTGATGGAGAATTTTTCTTTCCTTTTACCCTTTACTTAGGAAATTTGAGAAATGTAAGAACTTTTCTAGGTGCTTAGGATTATGGATTATACTTGTTCCTTATATTTTTGTGCCAAAATTTTATGTCTTTATTGTTTTTATAATAAAAAGTAATTTTTCAAAAGATTTTTCTTTTAAAAATAACAGAGTAATTGAAAAATACTCTCAAAATGTCCCTGGATTCTATTATAAAATACAAATAAACTCAAGCTGAAATTTACTTATTTCCCTCATATTCAACTGTATTTCCTTTTTTTTTTTTTTTTTTTTTTTTTTGAGATGGAGTCTCCCTCTGTTGCCCAGGCTGGAGTGTAGTGGCGCCATCTTGGCGTGAGCCACCGCACCCGGCCTCAACTGCATTTCAGTAGGTTAAAGGCACAGTGATAAGGGACATAAAATAGTGACAGAAAAAAAAGGCATAACTCTGCGATAACTCACCCACTGTCCAACAAACATAAAACAGATTCTCCTATATGAGATCTGTTGGCCTGGCTAATGGGGCATATTCCATCCCCATACTAGCTGTACCTGTAAGCACTTTCAGTGACCGCTGAAGCTTTTTTCCCCAGCTCATAGTTGAATATTTTTGTTTTTTTTTTTTGAGACAGTCTCGCTCTGTCACCCAGGCTGGAGTGCAGTGGCACCATCTCGGCTCACTGCAAGCTCCGCCTCCTGGGTTCACGCCATTCTCCTGCCTCAGCCTCCCGAGTAGCTGGGACTACAGGCACCCGCCACCACGCCCGCCCGGCTAATTTTTTGTATTTTTAGTAGAGATGGGGTTTCACCGTGTTAGCCAGGATGGTCTTGATCTCCTGACCTTGTGATCCGCCCACCTCGGCCTCCCAAAGTGCTGGGATTACAGGTGTGAGCCACCGCGCCCAGCCTTCCTGTTTTTTAGAGAAGGGGTCTCTTTTAAAAATTTTTTAGAGACAGAGGTCTCACTATATTGCCCAGGCTGGTCTCAAACTCCTGACCTCAGGAGATACTTCCACCCCAGCTTCCTGAGTAGCTGGGATTACAGGTGTGAGCCATCATGTCCTGCTCTTAGCTCAGTTTTTAGAACTTTTGAGAATCTCTATTCTGCAGGTACCCGAGTGTGGCAGGCATGCTCTAAGGTGATCCGCAATGAGTCACATCCCTGTTCTAGCCTCTACCCTTGAGTTTTGTTGGAACTCATACCTTGCTTCTAGACGCTAGAATATGGCAAAGGTGATGGGATGTTATTCCCATAATGACGTAATGTCATACAAGACTCATTTAGAGATTCTCCTGCTTGCTTTGAAGAAACTGCCATGTTGTGAGAGGCATCTGTGAGAAGGCCACATGGCAAGAACTGTGGGAGGCCTCTCGAAGCTGAGTGGTGCCCAGCTGACAGTCAGCAAGAAACACGTACCTCAGTCTACATAGGTAAGGTCCTGTACTGAAGCGGCCCTGTACAGGCCGCTTCAGTACAGCCTGTACAGACATTACCAAATGTCTATTGTTTTAAGGTGTTCAATGTGTGGTACTGTGTTACCCAGCAATAGAACACTTGGGTATATTGGTTACTTAGGTATCAGCAGACACTTAGCTAAGAACTGATCAGCAGGATAAATGCTAATTCTTAGAATTGTACTAAGTCTTTTCCTTCCAATATGGAACTTTAACAATGCCCTATGATCTCATGACGATTCACATGTTGGTGTGTGGAAACATAGTGAATTTTCCAGAGTAGATTTTGAGATTTTCTGCCATGTTCTTATCATCATCCTTCTCTCCCTGAGCTGCATCTTCTACCCTGTAACAGTAAATGCTGAAGGTGGAATTCCTATTCTAGCAAGCCTCCTAGCTGCCAAGTAACTGCTACTGCCTAGATTCCAACAACCTGAGAAAAGGCAGTAAGTGAAGCAGAAGTAATTTCCAAGTTCTAACTGAGGGAAATTTACACTATAAAAAGAGCAAAAGGGCTGGGCACAGTGGCTCATGCCTGTAATCTCAACACTTTGGGAGGCTGAGGTGGGCAGATCACTTGAGATCAGGAGTTTGAGATCAGCCTAGGTAACATGATGAAACCCCCTCTCTACTAAAAACACAAAAATTAGCTGGGCATGGTGGCGCATGCCTGTAATCCCAGCTACTCAGGAGGCCGAGGCAGAAGAATCGCTTGAACCAGGGAGGCAGAGGTTGCAGTGAGCTGAGATCACGTCATTGCACTCCAGCCTGAGTGACAGAGTGAGACACCATCCCCCACCCCTAATAAATAAATAAAAATAAAAAGAGCAAGAAGGTTTTTACCATTAACTTCTCCACCGCCATCTCCAAAGCTGTTAGGTTATTACATGAACCAAGACTGTGGCAGGCATATAAGGTGAATGGGCGGGCAGTGGTCAAGAAAGACACTGTATTTTACTTGAGACAAAACAATGGCAAATTTATAGAAATTAAGTAAGAGAAAGCAAGCCTACTCCAATCAGGTAGAAAGGAGATGTTATTCAGCAAAAAATTGGAGGAAGTAAACAAAATTTCATCAATTCTTGTCATTTTTCAAAGGATCACCTGCACCAATTCTGCCACATATATATGAAGTACCCTTTCTGATCCTTGACTCCTAGGCTACCCAGTCACCTTCTAACTGGTTTCCCAGGTATTTCAGACTCAGGAAAGAGAAACCCTGGATCGGTGACACAAGTATTCCAATCACTGGAAAAGACTATGCCTCACTGTAAATTACACTTGCAGCGTGACCTACGGTAACTACGATATGATTACCACACAGACCTGGTGAAGAGCTAATCTCGAGCAAGGCTCAGACCCAGCCTCTGTTACTGAGGTAGGCAAAGGACCTCGAAAGACCCCATCTACAGCCCTACTACTAATCTAATAACACTGAAACAGTTCTTAAAATTAGAACATAGTGTCTCCAAATTCCACTTGAACATAGAATATTAGCATATAAAAATAACTTATTTTTAAAATGTCTGTAAAGATACTATCATAATTGAATGAATTACTGTATTTCACTGAATCTAAGCCACTGATTGTAAAACACATTATTTTATATATACATATGGGAAAAAACTGTCCATTAAACTTTGTCACAATGTTAAACGATCACTGATTGTAAGACACATTCTGATTTCAGATATGTTAACAGTATGGGGGTAAAAAGTGCAACTTAGAATCAATGAAATGCAGTACTAAAAAATATATTCTTCAGGTAATTATTCAAATAAGGTATTAAACATTAAGTACATTAAATTGACATGTAATCATTTATCATTAGCACATTCTTAAAGCTATTTATCATTTTGGTTTCACTTCTCATTTGAAATGAAGAACATGCTGTCACTTGTACTAATTTCTAGCAGACATTTTGCACAAACTTTAAAACTTACAGATTCCCAATTTGGAAATCATCTCATTTTCATTTCTAGAATCACAGATCAGGAGGCGAGATAAACAAGGCCTACGTTAAGTGACAGAGTGCAGGGCTAGAAGAAGTCAAGGCTTGAAGCCCGACCCCTTGGGCCCTGTTCTGTGTTCTCTTCATTGAAATTAGAAATCAAATGAGTCATTACATTCTTTGATCCAACCCTACAGATAAGGTAAAGCAATTAATAAAAATACCTCTCCATTTCTTTTTTGAGACGGAGTCTAGATGTCGCCCAGGCTGGAGTACGGTGTGGCATGATCTCGGCTCACTGCAAGCTCCACCTCCCGGGTTCACGCCATTCTCCTGCCTCAGCCTCCCAAGTAGCTGGGACTACAGGTGCCTGCCACCACGCCTGGCTAATTTTTTGTATTTTTAGTAGAGACAGGGTTTCACTGTGTTAGCCAGGATGGTCTCGATCTCCTGACCTCGTGATCTGCCCGTCTCGGCCTCCCAAAGTGCTGGGATTACAGGCTTTAGCCACTGCACCCGGCCCATTTCTCTTTTATGAAACTATTCTCCTCAACTTTCCTGGAAAAATATTGATACCTGATAATTTGTTCAACCAATCAATTCAACTCCTACATGGTCTCATTCTGAGAATACCCCCCTTCTCAAAAACAATGCCTTCTTTGGGTGCTCTGAGGGGTGGAGACCATAAAATATTTCCTAATCAGTCACATGTCAAATGATAGCGTTATAACAAGATCCTATTGTACGTGTATGAGACCATTTGGTTATTTATGGAAGACTCTGGGAATTACAGAACATTTCAAAAATTTTTAGCATTTGCTATAATATGGACCTAAAAATTTTAATCCCCAAAGCATGGTGAAATTCTGCTAATGCTCTGCTCTGAATGGCGTCCTTAGAAGTGGCAGTTATTCAAAGATGTCAGTGAGTAATCCATCTTCTCTAAACGTTAGTCCCTTTTGTCCTGGTTTCTGGCAAGTGCTTCACATGGGCACTGCCAGTATTAAAAGGAGAAGACTCAAACACCAGTGCATTTGATGGGTATTGATTATAGACTTCAGCTGTGGGCTCCGTCAGACTACTTCTAGATGTCTCTATTATAGAATGCCTCATTGTATCATTCGTTTCAATCATTTCAAAATCCATTTCATTCCATTTTTCTGCATCCTCCTCTTCATTCTCTTCCTCATATTCATTTAGCCCGGAGCTAGAGAGCAGAGCTTTCTGGTCCTCACTCTTTCTGTCTTCTTTTCGCTGGCGATCAAGAGGTGAAGTGGCTAATTTATATAGCACAGGAAATAAAATACCAGTAGCTATTGATGCTCCCAAAGAGGTATACAGAACTACAGGCAAATCAGGGTATTTTCCTTGAAGAATTCCAATGACTGCAGGAATAGCCATTTCTCCCAGGGAAGCACCAATTACAAAAAATGCTGCAGATTTCCCATGGATGGTCGTGTACTGCTCAATCCAAGAAACACCACTCGGAAATGTGGTTGCCATTGAAGCCCCATACACTGAAGTTGCTATCCAGAGACAAATTGGGTTCTTGTCAAAAAGCACCAGAAATAAAGATGAAGTCAGGCTGCCAATGTTGCTCAACACAATCATGGTTCCAGGCTGTAAACAGGTAGCAAAAAAGATTGCCAGGCCCCTGCAGGCTGCAAATGTCCCCCAGAAGATGGAGTTCAACCCAGCAGCTTCACTTTCTTTCATGCCAGCATGGGTGGTTGCAAATGAGAAAACATAAGAGCCATATGTTACCTCAGCTCCAACATAAAAAAAGAAGAACAGAAAAAGGAGACAAAGAAGGGCGTTGTGATATTTTGCTCTTCGAAATGTCTCAGCAGATGCTCTTGCTTTTTCTTGCTTTGAGCTATTCTTTAAAAACAGACAAAAAAAAATGACAGAAACTAAGAACATGTAAGTACCGATAACAGCATAAGCCCACAGTAAATTCTTATCATTAGGTACTCCAAACAGAGCTTCTGAGTCAGCATCAGATGATTGGTTGAGTGCAGGATGGAAGTCAGACTCTGTGTGGTTTTCAGCAGACGCTGTCGGACCCAAAGCCAGTTTAGCTAGCAGTGGAGCCAAAAAGGCACCCAAGGCAAAAGAGAAGTGTAAGGCCTGCATATGTGGGGCTCCTTTGTCCCCCCAAATAGCCAAGATAAGGACGTTACCACCTGTCGATGAAAGATGGGAAAAATTATTTAAGTTAAACAGTTACTTACTTATTAAAAAAAAAAGTTCACTTATCAGAAAGGGGGTGAGTCTATTTTACATAGCACAAGCATTATAATATTCTAATTATCAAACATTGCAACTAAATCAATTCTGAGAAAGGAATTCTAACCCACTACCACCAGACAACTCTAAGCATTATAACATCACATACTCACAAATCGAATTCTACAGTCTAGTAGACTACTACCTCCTAGAACCAAGCACATTAGCAAGACGCTTTTTATAATACAGTTCTAACATCAGACTGCAGAAGAAATATTTATATATTAATATTTTAAATATATATTTAAAAGGCAAAATTTTATCATCAGATAGTAGCCAAATTACCAAAGCTTTCTGTACTTGCTGTTGGTAGCCACTTGAGGAAAATTACTTACTTATGTATGTAACAGATGCAAAACACACGTCCAGGAACCTGAATAGCCAGGATTCTGGTATGCCCATTAGAGGAAACAAGGACACCGTTTAGCATCTGAATTTATACTGTCTAAACGTCTAGGAGGAGAAAGGCAAGAAGCAGCACATCTTGAGCTATCTTCTTTTTTTTCAACAGATATTTTCAGATAAATATATAATTCTACCCTATAATTTCATAACAAAATTAACCCTAAAGTAAAATAAAATATTTCCTCAACAGATCACGTAACAGCAAAGCAGGGAAGGGAGGGGTAGAAAGCTGGTTTTAGGAGTAAACAGATGTCATCTATGTTATTTAGTAGGTTTTCTGTTTGTTTGTTTTTGAGACCCTGGCTGGAGTGCAATGGCACAATCGTGGCTCTCTGCAACCTCCACCTCCTGGGTTCAAGCAATTCTCCAGCCTCAGCCTCCTGAGTAGCTGGGATTACAGGCACGCGCCACCATGCCTGGCTCATTTTATATTTTTAGTAGAGACGCGGTTTCTCCATATTGGTCAGGCTGGTCTTGAACTCCTGACCTCAGGTGATCTGCCCGACACAGCCTCCCAAAGTGCTAGGATTATAGGCGTAAGCCACCCCGCCGTTATTTAGTAGGTTTTTTTTTTTTTTTTGAGATGGAGTCTCACTCTGTCACCCAGGCTGAAGTGCAGTGGTGTGATCTCTGCTCACTGCAAGCTCCGCCTCCTGGGTTCATGCCATTCTCCTGCCTCAGCCTCCCGAGTAATTGGGACTACAGGCGCCCACCACCACACCCGGCTAATTTTTTGTATTTTTAGTAGAGATGAGGTTTCATTGTGTTAGCCAGGATGGTCTCGATCTCCTGACCTCGTGATCCACCCATCTCGGCCTCCCAAAGTGCTGGATTACAGGTGTGAGCCACCGCACCCGGCCTATTTAGTAAGTTTTAAAAGACATGATGATGATACGGGAAAGAATCTACTGCAGGAGGCCAGGAACTTTGAGGACAGAAAGAAAAAGAAAGAGCCTAGTCCACACTATGGATCTCTCTTGGCTTGGAAGTCAGGGTAAATGTCAAGTTGGATTGCTGCTTCTATGCTTTCTCAGCCAAATAACAGTTCCAAACTTGGTTTAACCTATTAAACCACCAATTCCTCCCATACTAGAGCAATAAAGTTCTACCCCAAGATGAAGGCCTATTCACCTGCACTGTAATTACCCACACAGGGGCCCTTCCCTGTTTGGACAATGTAAATCAATTATCTCTCATAGAACAAAATTCTTTAAGTTCATTTCAGAGTTGGCTGCTCAGAAACAGGCCCCCTAATTGGCAAGAATAGCTGCTAGAAGGGTGATTCATTCTGAGTGACTCACAACCAACTCAGTAGGTCTGTGTCATTTTAGGGGGCATTGCAAGTGACAGTTTAGTATCATCTGCTGTACTTCTTCTAGCAAGTCCCTACTCCCAGAGATGACGTTGAAGAGCTCACTAACCTGTATCCAGAATGCCAATTGAAACACCGAAGATAGACATCATGACAGTGAGTAATATTGCTGTCTTGCAAAAAGGAACAAGATAAAGACCAACGGTGGTAGCCGACATTGAGATTCCTGGGAAGGTAGAAACTCAGCTATAAAAAATAATATCCATGCAGTCATGGATCAAGTCAATATCATAAATGTCCAAACATGCAAAATCAGGTCAAATTTAAATTAGATAATGAGTAGATGAGAGTTTTTGCTTCTAAAAGTGATTATTTCATTTGAATCTTTTATAATCTTTATGGATTATGAAATATAAATAATTATAACACAAATACATTTAAAGCACTGCTAGTAATCAAACTGTAAATTATACCATAAGGCAAAGTTTTATACCAAAAGAGACAAGCCAAAACTAATTTAAATGATTCACATTTAAGAACCTAACAGGAATTTTTAGACATGAGGCAAAAAATTAAATAGACAAAAATAAAATGCAATTACTAGAGTAGTTTGTAATAAAATTTACTAAATAAATTAGTTTGGGAAATAGGGAGGAAAATACAAGAAATATGTTATTTCAACCCACTTTGGAAATAAGAGGGATTATTTATTAATTCCTTAACAATAACAAATTATTCTTGCTTCCAAAACAATTTTATCATATTAATCTAAATTTTCTCTAAATATTTCAATTTATTCAAAAAAAGTATATGCTAAAAGCTTTGCCAGCCCAGGCGTGGTGGCTCACACCTGTAATCCCAATACTCTGGGAGGCTGATCCTTTGAGCTCAGGAGTTCCAGACCAACCTGGGCAACATGGTGAAACCCCGGCTCTACTAAAAACACAAAAATTAATCAGGCATGGTGGCTCACACCTGTGGTCCCAGTTAATTGGAAGGCTGAGATGGGAGGATCGCTTGAGCCCAGGAGGGGGAGGTTGCAGTGAGCAGAGATCGCATCACTGCACTCCAGCCTGGGCAATAGAGGGAGAGGAGACCCTGTCTCAAAAAAAAAAAGCAGCTTTGCCATCTATTTCCAGGGTGAGACAGAGCACTCTGGGGTTGTCCAACGACAACATGGGGCAGCAGGAACAAAAACATAGCCTACATCAGTCCACCCAACCTCGCTTCCCCTCTTCATTCCCAATCCAGGGTGTAGCCTGGGCAGGTTCAAAGAGCTCATTCTGATCTGTGGTGACCCCAGGAAATCTGCCCTAAACCCTCTAAGCAGAGTTTTTTGGACAACCAGTGTGTGATCCAGGAGTGGTAGCTAAATTATAGTGGTTGGAAAGGCTAAGGATTGCTAAGACACTCTAGAGCTAATCTAAATTTCCAGAGGGACCCAGCACAGATACCCTCTAACTGTCAAGATGAAAGCAGGTACCAGGGAAACTCAACTGCCATTGAGGACACCTAAACACTACCCATTTCAGTGGCCAACCATTCTGCATGCTAGTATTTTCATATTTTCAAAGACAACTTGTAAATTCACTTGACAGTCATAAAGAAGCTAAAATTAGCATTTACTTACCCAAAAGTAAAAAATAATTCATGACATCGACAAGAAATCCACCAATCACAGAGCCACTCAAATATCCCAAGGCACGACCCACAAAAATGAAAGACAGACTACTGATATTTCGGTTCACGTTTGTTGCCAAATCTTGAAACGTGGGTCCCACTATAGCAACACTCAATCCCTAAAATTTAAAAAGACAAAAGTTTTTACTTATAATCATTAAAATAATGTCTAACTATGTGGTAGTTTCTTCCACTATAAAAAAAAAGGGGGGCGGAGGGTCTGGGATTTACAATGTAATGTAGGGAATTAGACTACTGTTTTTTTAGTTTTGACTAAAACTCTTATTTTTTTTTTGTTTTGACACCTCTCAGTTTTTAAAAAATTATTTTTTTGTTGCAATCCTGTTTCCTTTCTGAACAATACCTTTAAAAGACTATTCTGTATTAATAAAATGTAATATTAAAACTATTTTTGAAATGGTTTCGTACATTTTGAAATATATTACATGCACAAATAAGAATTTGGGTATTAAAAATTTAAATTGGCCGGGCACAGTAGCTCACGCCTGTAATCTCAGCACTTTGGGAGGCCGAAGCAGGCGGATCACGAGGTCAGGAGTTTGAGACCAGCGTGGCCAACACAGTGAAACCCCATCTCTACTAAAAATACAAAAATTAGCTGGGCATGGTGGTGGGCGCCTGTAGTCCCAGCTACTCGGGAGGCTGAGGCAGGAGAATCGCTTGAACACGGGATGCGGAGGTTGCAGTGAGCCGAGACTGCACCATTGCACTCCAGCCTGGGCGACAGAGCGAGACTCTGTCTCAGAAAGAATAAATTAATTAATTAAATTAAGTCAGGTGTGGTTGCTTACACCTGTAATCCCAGCAATCTGGAAGGGAGAGATGGTAGGACTGCTTGAGCTCAGGGTTTTGAGATCAACCTAGGCAACCCCATCTCTACAAAAATAAAAATGAAAAAAATCAGCCAGGCGTGGTGGCGCATGCCTGTAGTCCCAGTTACTAGGGAGGCTGAGATGGAAGGATCGCTTAAGCCCTGAGGTCGAGACTGTAGTGAGTTCTGACTGAGCCACTGGAAAACGTCAAAACCTTGATCAAAACATCAAAATATGATTCCTGTTTTTTATGTTGTTAAACAGCAATATTTCTGGATGCACATGGAGTCCTTCCCCTGAACTATACATATAAAACATACAGGAGATAAACAATTTAAATGTTTCTAAATCTACACTTTTCTTCCACGCCATCAGAATTAGTCAGTAAAGGTTGCTTAAAAAATATTACACGCCCAAGTACAGAATGACTTTAACAATAAAACTTTACTCAATGCAGTGTCAGCAAGAGGTAAGGATTACAATTGACTTTCAGAGGAAATTCATTGGACATTTAAAGAAAAAAATGTTTCCAATCAGTCTACATTTCCAGAATAACTGATTCTAATTGCCCTGCTCTGCTCTAAATGCATGGGGTGCGCCCCCTGCCCAACTCGTAACAGTCCAAGACCACGGACCACTATGGGCCCAGGTGCACAGCAAGCACCTCGTACTTCGAGAGAAGCCTGAGCACAGAATCTAATCAAATTAGTTCATGTCTTCAAAGGATTTACAACAGGACCGGACAAGTCAGTGACGACTCACCAAAAGTCTGAAGTGATTTCTTTCTTCACCCCTCCCCACCGCCCCCAATCAAAATACTCTAAGAAACAACTGTGGCTCAGAGTCCCTGAGATGGTAAGTGACCACACATGACTCTTGGGAGGACTCATCCTCTCAACTCCCCCAGGATCATAATTATCAAGTGATAAGGAGGAGGTTTCCGAAAAGTGAATTGAGTGGCGACCCAGGGGTTTGGCAAAAGGCGCCTCTAGGCTTGCCCTTTGCTCCAAGAAAAACATTTAAGAATCTAAAGGTTGGTTTTATTAATAAATAGGATGGTGGGCAGAGTAAAAGACATATTTCTGGCTCTATCACTTAACCAGCTGTGTGATCCAGAAAGTCACTTTCCCCTCCGGGCCTATTTCCTTATCTGCAAAATTAAGCGGTTGGCTGAATTTGGTCAGATCACCAGGAAGAAATTCCAGAAAAGTAGTTTTTCTGTGTAATAATTTGGGGGTTGAGTGGGTGGGTGCGGAGAGCAGCGGCCAAAGACCTGGTGAACCCCTCTTGCAACCTTCCCATCCGACGAAGGAGACGTAGGAAGGCTTGCCGGGCCGGGCGCCGTGGCTCACGCCGGTAATCCCAATACTTTGGGAGGCCGAGGTGGGCGGATCACCTGAGGTCAGGAGTTTGAAACCAGCCTGGCCAACATGGCGAAGCCCCGTCTCTACTAAAAATACAAAAATTAGCCGGGCTTAGTGGCAGGCGCCTGTAATCCCAGCTACTCGGGAGGCTGACGCAGGAGAATCGCTTGAACCCTGGGGGCAGAGGTTGCAGTGAGCCGAGATCGCACCACTGCACTCCAGCCTGGGCAACAGAGCGAGACTCCGTCAAAAAAAAAAAAAAAAAAAGCTTGCTGGAGCTGAAAGACGTATTCAGAAAATCTATTTCCTCCAAGATTAGAATTGTGCCCATTTTCTAGATGATGAAACTGAGGCCCAGTCAGATTAGGTAACGCGCCCAAGGTCAGTTTGCAAGTGGCGAAGGCAAGACTCGAACGCCCCGGCCTGGGAGTGTTGCAGCCCCGGCTCTCACCAGCCCCAGGAAGGAGGCACACAGCATCAAGGTGGTGAACCACCGCAGCTTGCTCCCGGTCCCACCGCTCTGCCAGGAGACCACCACCACCTCCGGCTCCGGCTCATTCTCCGCCGGGGCCTCCGCCTGCAGGAGCCGCTGCCCCGCAGCCGGGGGCCCGGCCCCACGGAGCTCCACCTCTAACTCCAGCTCGGCGGCTCCGGAGAAGTCGTCTTGCTGCCGCCGCGCTTCTCAGCAGAACTTCTGGAGCTCCGAGAAGAGCACTGGCCCCGACCCCAGGCACGGGTGTCCCTCCGGGCGCCACCTCCCAGCGGACCGCCCGGAACCGGGGCAGAGAAGAGGAACTTCGGCACGCCGCAGGTGTTCGTGGCAAAAGACGCTCGCTCTCCAGCAAGCAGGCGCATGCGCGGGTCACGTGGCGGAAATGTGGCCTCTCGCCAACCGCTATCGTGCCTCAAGCCGGAAGTTGATATGGTTGCCTAGGAGACCGGACGTAGCTCTCTAGCCTAGGCATCATACTTAGCTGAGCTCACAGAGGCTGGCGGACGTGCGCCCCATGGCGGAGCGAGCTGAAGTTGCAGCCTGGGACCAGGGAAATCAAGAGGTAAAAATGCGGCCAAACCATTATGAGGAAAAGGGGCCAAGAATTACACTGTAGCGCCTCGCGCCGGCTCCCCGGTCTCCTGGGGAGCGAAGGGAGCCTGAAGAGCTGGTCCTTATACAGCTTTCTGAAATCCCTGAGATCTGTCAATGAATCGCGCATCTTTCACTCCACAAGTATTTGTTGAACGTCATTGTGTAAGTTATCACGTATATTATCTCAACCCTCACAACACTCCAAATTCCACGTTATCCCCGTTGTACAGATAGAAAGATTAAGTCATAGAAAATAATTAACAATCTGCCCAAGCTCAGTCATCGAATTAGTGGCCGTATATAAACAGTGTAACAGTAGCTCAAGAAAGAAATCGGGATCCAAAGCTGTGGTTTCAAACACAATTCCTGAAATAATTCCAATTCCTGAAATAATTCCATCGTTGTAAAGAAGTGGAGCGTGGCATCGATTTGAGGAATTTTTTTTATATACTTTAAGTTTTAGGGTACATGTGCACAACGTGCAGGTTAGTTACATATGTATACATGTGCCATGTTGGTGTGCTGCACCCATTAACTCGTCATTTAACATTAGGTATATCTCCTAATGCTATCCCTCCCCCCTGATTTGAGGAATTGTTTTCCTTTTGCTCTTTAACAAAGCGTACCACAGCCTCAAAATGTTATATACTTTTCTTTGTGGTCTATTTGAAATGTTCTTTTCCACCTGATTCTTCCAACTTTCATCCACTTAGGCTCCCAGACTACAAACCTTAGTCTCATCATCCCTTGCAACCCGTCTCTCCAGACTTATTCGTTTAGTCATTAAGTCTTCCCCCCACCCGCACCCCCACTTTTTTTTTTGTTTGTTTGTTTTCTTTTTTGAGACAGAGCCTATGTCGCCCGGGCTGGAGTGTTGTGGCGCTTTTTGGTAGAGACGAGTTTTCACCATGTCGGCCAGGCTGGTCTCGAACTCCTGACCTCAAGTGATTCGCCTGCCTTTGGCCTTCCAAAGTGCTGAGATTACAGGTATGAGCCACCATGCCCCGCCAAGCATTTCTTTTTTATTTATTTATTTATTTATTTATTTATTTATTTATTTATTTATTTGAGACGGAATCTCGCTCTGTCGCCCAGGCTGGAGTGCAATGGTGCGATCTCGGCTCACTGCAACCTCTGCCTCCTAGGTTCAAGCGATTCTCCTGCGTCAGCCTCCTGAGTAGCCGGGATTACAGGCGCGTGCCACCACGCACGGCTAATTTTTTTATTTAGTAGAGACGGGGTTTCACCATGTTGGTCAGGCTGGTCTCGAACTCCTGACCTCATGATCCGACCGCCTCGGCCTCCCAAAGTGCTGGGATTACAGGCGTGGGCCACCGCGCCCGGCCCGCCAAGCATTTATTTTAGAGCAGGTCAGCTGGCATTCCTTCATATGAGAATGTCTTTATTTCACTTTGATTCCTGAAAATATTTTCACTGAAAATAGAGTTCTGGGCTAACCGTTATTTCCTTTCAGCACAGAAAGATGAGATTTCTATTCGAGTTTTAGCTACCCATGCCACCCAACAGTTCCCAGCTGGGGTCTCTCCTCAGGACAAACCACAAGAAAAGAAGAAAAAAGCCAGGAAATTCATCCCCTTGCAGGTTTCTAAGTTTTGACTCCCTACCTCAATTCTTTATTTACTTTTCAGAGGCGGCAGGTAGTTGCCATTTGTATTTTGTCATGAGTCTTTCAGTCGTAATCAGTGAGAGAGGGGCTGAAGTAGACTAATGACGCCAAACCAGGACTTTTCTACCTATCTTTGGAGAATCCATGTTAAAACAAACAAACAAACAAACAAACAAACAAAACCTACTTTGGTAGGTAGTCTTTTCTCACCTGCCTTTCAGCCTTGAGGCTGGTTTAGTTTCACAACTATATAGTTGTGCTGCTCCTAAATCTTGTCACAGGTTTTACCTCGTGTTACAGTTCTTTTAGCACTTATCTTCAGTTCCTTAGTAGATTATAAACTCAATGAGATTGAAACTATGGATGTTATATGTCTCTCCCCTAACATTGTATTACATACTTAGTAGCTATTACCTAACTGAATTGATTAATTACCTAACTGAATTGAGGTTCAGTAAAGCCATTTTTAAATTAAATATTTTAATTCACCCTGATTAAATGTAAAAAAAAAAAAAAGAAAAAGCCTTCTCTAAATGGAAAGATCTACTTTCTGATTCTTCATTCCCCACTTCACTCTTGAAAGCAGCAGTATATTTTTTCCAGTTGCCTCCAGAGGTCACCCACCACCTTTGAGAAAAAAAAAAAAAAAAAAAAAAGCATAAACTACAGCATTGCTTCATGCAGATTTCTCTTAGATCAATAGTGAGGATCAAGTTTTTTCTTGAGAGGCAATTTCAGAGAAATAAAGTGTCTATGAGCCACATTTTCTACTGAAAATAAATATAGCTTTATTGATTCTCTTAAAAAATAAGTATTTTACAATGTATATGGCTTAATTTATCTAAAAGGAAAATATCTGGATTTTAGTCACTAATCTGGTACTATCTGGGTGTATTTGTGAAATAGTAACAAGAAGGCAGGTTTTAATCTTTCAACTTAACTTTTTACTTTGGGTGAGAGAGAGAAATTAGACAGATCATGTTTGGAGACTGCATATCACTGTGAGGACCTATTTAATTTTTATTTGCCAGAAGGACCATCCTTTTTACTTATCATGTGATGTCCAATTTGTGCTTACAGTGCATCATGAAGAACTAAGTGTCACCATAACTGTTTCTTTCTGTATACTAAACTATCATTCTTTAACTTCACTGCTAAAAACCCAGTCTATTAAAACTATCTCTCACGAAGATTTAATTTCAGTTAGACAACTTTTATGGTTTATGCTATGTACTTTGAAAAGTTAGAAATAATGTTGAAATGATCTGACATTGGTGATGTTTGATAGAATAAATTATTTATCTTATTAAAAATTAAAACTTACTGATTTTTAAGTTTCCTTTTTTAAAAGGTATAAACTTAAAATTTTCTTCTTTCTTTCTTTATTCTTTCTTCCTTTCTTCTTTCTCTGTGGGGAAAAGCAAGAGAGATCAGATTGTTACTGTGTCTGTGTAGAAAGAAGTAGACATAGGAGACTCCATTTTGTTCTGTACTAAGAAAAATTCTTCTGCCTTGAGATTCTGTTAATCTATAACCTTACCCCCAACCCCGTGCTCTCTGAAACATGTGCTGTGTCAACTCAGAGTTAAATGGATTAAGGTCGGTGCAAGATGTGCTTTGTTAAACAGATGCTTGAAGGCAGCACGCTCCTTGAGAGTCATCACCACTCCCTAATCTCAAGTACCCAGGGACACAAAAACTGCGGAAGGCCGCAGGGACCTCTGCCTAGGAAAGCCAGGTATTGTCCAAGGTTTCTCCCCATGTGATAGTCTGAAATATGGCCTCGTGGGAAGGGAAAGACCCCAGCCCGACACCCGTAAAGGGTCTGTGCTGAGGAGGATTAGTATAAGAGGAAGGCATGCCTCTTGCAGTTGAGACAAGAGGAAGGCATCTGTCTCCTGCCTGTCCCTGGGCAATGGAATGTCTCGGTATAAAACCCGATTGTATGTTCCGTCTACTGAGATAGGGAAAAACCGCCTTAGGGCTGGAGGTGGGAACTGCGGGCAGCAATACTGCTTTGTAAAGCATTGAGATGTTTATGTGTATGCATATCTAAAAGCACAGCACTTAATCCTTTACATTGTCTACGATGCAAAGACCTTTGTTCACGTGTTTGTCTGCTGACCCTCTCCCGACAATTGTCTTGTGACCCTGACACATCCCCCTCTCGGAGAAACACCCACGAATGATCAATAAATACTAAGGGAACTCAGAGGCTGGCGGGATCCTCCATAATGCTGAACGCTGGTTCCCCGGGTCCCCTTATTTCTTTCTCTATACATTGTCTCTGTGTCTTTTTCTTTCTTAAGTCTCTCGTTCCACCTTACGAGAAACACCCACAGGTGTGGAGGGGCAACCCACCCCTACATTTCTCTCCCTCTCTCTTTTTTTTTTTTTTTTTTTTGACAGTCTTGATCAGTCACCCAGGCTGGAGTGCAGTGACATGATCATAGCTTACTGCAGCCTCGACCTCCGGGGCTCAATCAATCCTCCGGCCTCAGCCTCCCAGTAGCTGGGACTACAGGCATGTGCCTCATGCCTGGCTAATTTTTGTATTTTTTGTAGAGATGGGGTTTTGCCATGTTGCCCAGACTGGTAGAATTTTAACTGGATTCACTGTAACATTTAGGTCTACAGCATTCTTTGACTCTACCAACATACGGGTATCCTATGCTGTATTGATCAGATAAAATCTTTGCTGACTGTCCTATTAATAACCAAGATCAGAGATTAAGAAAATAAAAACAATGCAACCAAAAGTGAGAACATGGCAAGTGTAGGTGCTATGAGAACAAAAACGGACTCATGTTTCTTTTAAGAGTGCTTCAGAAGCAATTAGGATCATCTGCATAAAAAAGGAAACCACTTTAGGGTTTTCAGTGCCCTCTAAGCAGAATGATCTTCCTCTGTCTGTATGTAGAGGAGGCCACTTACTCAAAGGGCTGAATACTTGGTCATGTATTTAGTCACTAGTTATTGAATACTTAAGATGTGCAAGGCATTGCTCTAACAGTGAAAAAACAGACAAAATTCCTGCCCTTGTGGATAGACAATGAAGACATACATTTGTAATACGATGTCAGATAGTAGTAAATTCTCTAAAGAAAAATAAAGCAGGATAAACGGGATAGAAAGTGATGACAGGGGTTTATTTTAGATCAAGGTAGTGCTGGGGGAAGGCTCCTGTGAGGGTGAGTGACATGTGAACAGAAGCCTAACAAGTGAGGGAACCAGCCATGCAAGAAAAGCATTCTGGAGAGAACAGCAGGTGCGGGGGTCCCATCACAAGAATGAACTTGGTGCGTGGGAAAAATCGAAAAGACGAGAGCGGCTGGAGCAGCATGAAGAGAGTTGGTAGAAAATGACACAGGAGAGCAAGTAAGGTCCTGATCGTGCAAGGCCTTATGTTAAAGACTTTCTGGATGCATGTGGAAGAGTACTCCAGGGGAGAAGGGCAAGATGAAGAGCAGAGAGAACAGAGATCTAATCAGGAAGTTAATTGATTAGGCTAGATTTGTGTAGGTGGTCAGAGTGGTCAGATTTGGGAAATCGATTGAAGATTAAAAAAAACCAGCATTTGCTAATGGGCTGGGTGCATGACAGAAGATATCAAGGATGACTGCAAGGATTTTGTCCCGAGCAACTGGTGAGCAGTGGATCAGATGGAAAAGATTATGGAATGAGCATGAATTGTCCTGGACATGGAAGAAAATCAGGAATTCAGGTTGAACATGTTAAGATTCAGGTATTTATTAGATAAATAAAGGTATCGAGTGAACAGCTGGATATCCAGTTCAGTAGAAGGATCAGAGCAATAGATACAAACTGGGAGCTATCAGCATGTAGATGATATTTAGTACCATGAGACCAGTTAAGATCACCTAAAGTGTAAGTATAGATATTAATAGAAGAGGATCAAGGACTAAGCCCTGAACGCATCTCATATATACAGATGCGAAAGATGAGGAGTATCCTGCAAAGAAGACTAAGATAAGAGGAAAATCAGGAGAGTGTGTATGGTGTAAACAAAAATTCAAGAAGGCAGGGGTGACCAACTATAACTTCCTATGGAGAAGACATTGGATATATAGAATCAAGCACATATTCTTGAATAATTATGTCATTTAGCCAGGACTTTCCAAATGCATGGGTTGAACTACATGATCTTTGAGGTTGCTTATAATTCTAAGTTTGATAAGAGCAGCAAATAACTTAATAATTTAAAACTATCTCTTAAAACAAACAAACAAACAAAAGCTGTCCCTTACTCTCATTTTTGTCCTGAAGGTAAAAAAGCAACTCAAAACTGGTGTTGTAGTACAATTTTTCCCTTTTCCCCAGATTGGGGTTATCGTTCAAAGTTACATTTTACATAATTATTTGAAAGGTTATAGGTAAATAAGATGTCTTAATAATCCTCTTTCTTTTTTTTCTTTTTGAGACAGGGTCTCACTCTGTCTCCCAGGCTGGAAAGCAGTGTGCAGTCATAGCTCACTGCAACCTCAAACTCCTGGGCTCAAGCAGTCCTCCCACGTCAGCTTCCTGAGTAGCTAGGATTACAGGTGTGAGCCACTGTGCCCAGCTTTTGTTTTATTAATTCCTTAACAAAACTGTCATATCCAAATAGGACATAAAAAGATTTACTGCAAATTCCGTTGTAGACATCTAAGAATAATTTATTTAGAATGGCTGAGGGGAGGGGACTAGTGGAGATTTTGTGAGGTTTTTCTTTGGTGGGGGGACAGGGTCTCATTCTGTCACCCAGGCTAGAGTGCAGTGGCGTGATCATGGCTCACTGCAGCCTTGACCTCCCAGGCCTAATTGATCCTTCCAGCTCAGCTTCCTGAGTAGCTAGGATTACAGGCGCGCACCACCATGCCTGGCTGATTGTGTGTGTGTGTGTAGACGAGGTTTCACTGTGTTTCCCAGGCTTGTCCCCAACCCCTGGGCTTGAACGATCCACCTGCCTTGGCCTTGAAAAGTGCTGGGATTATAGGTGTGAGCCACTGTGCCCAGCCTGAATGGAGATTTAGGATGAGCTAAACTACCCCACCATCCGCAGTCCAAGCCGCCCCTTGGTACTATCCTTGATATTGCAAGGGCCCAAAATAAAGTGAAAACTATAGCCCTAAGAACTTAGATCTAGCTTTCAGGCCTCTTCAGAGAAATTATGTGCAGCAGAAAGTGTTTACCCAATCCAGCTCTTGGGAAGCTGAGCAGAAGTCAGCTCCCTTGTTCTTGACTTGAGATACAAATGCTTTTTATCTATTGTCTCAGTGGGTAGACCTACTGGGAGCCCAGTGAGAGGGAGCTGAAGCAGTCAGTAGATAAGAATGAGTCAAACTGAGTTGTTAAAGGGGCCTGATGAAGAATAGAAGCAGAAATGAGAAACCAAAACAAGGGGCTTGAGAAACAAGAATGAGTAGTGGCCAGGCAATGTGGCTCACGCCTGTAATCCCAGCACTTTGGGAGGCCAAGGCGAGTGGATCACTTGAGGCCAGGAGTTCGAGACCAGCCTGGCCAACATGAGAAGACCCCATCTCTACTAAAAATACAAAATGAAAATCACTTGAACCCAGGAAGGGGAGGTTACAGTGAGCCGAGAACGCACCACTGCACTCCAGCTTGGGCGACAGAGTGACACTATCTCCAGAAAAAAAAAGAATGAGGCACGGTGGTTAAAGTTAAGGCAGGGACATGGACCTCGCATGCAAAATAGCATGTTCATAAATTCAAACTTATATATGGTTTGTATTATGTCAGTTGTCACTAGATAGTTTATAATATTACTATGTTTCTTGACAATTAGAGAACATTAATTATATAATCTAAAAAATTACTGAATAATTTTATTGCATCTCCCTTTTAACGTTCCCAACTGTTTCCTGGCTTCTTTGATGATAATTTCATTAGGAAGCAAAATAATCTTTCACAATATTGTTTTGTGTTTTTAATGCAGGTAACAAGTTTTCATGATAGTTACTTGTTATAACTGAATATTTTCTCTCATTCTTATATTCAAATATTTTAAACAGAGACCATAGTTATTAAACCTAAACAAGCTCTGTTTGTGATGAGTAGTACATATTAAATTCTATTAATAAAAGTAGAAGTCTGTATATTGGTGCTGTCATTTAGAGATGACAAAAAGAGGAAGAGAGATTAAGGGGAAAAGAATGATGAATGAATGAGACATATCAGCTAGCTACTCAGGCTAGACGCCGAGGCTAGATCCCTTTAGAGCTCAGCTTTCCAAGGTCAGGAACTCAGTTACTAGTTCTTTTTAGCTCATCCAGAACTGATTAGCTCCCAGAGAACTGACTGTTATGACCAGGCCTACAAGATAGGAATTAAACAGAGTGACATGCCCCATGTCTAATATTCCCAAGGCACCCCTTCCTGGTGAGTCTGACCAGTCTGGAAGCCAAATGATAAGTTAGACAAGGGTCAGCAAACTATCACCTACAGGCGATATCTAGCCACATCCTGATCTTGTAAATAAAGTTTTATTGGAACATAGCCATGCCTGCTTATGTACACATTATCTATGGCTGAGTTTACACTATAAAGACAGAGTTGGGTAACAGTGACAGAGACCTCACGGCCCAAAAAGCCTAAGCTATTTACCATCTGTCCCTTTCCAGAAATAGTTTGCCAACAACTGTATTAAAAGATCCTCTATGAAAGCAAAATTCAAGAAGAAGGGATTATGTATGTCCTTAGAAGTTTTGAAACCAGATAAATTGTTCTTTTCCACTGTCAAGCTAATTTTTTAGCTATGTTAAAAAAAATCAGAATCTTAGAAGTTTTGGGGAATATACTGATGAATTCTTACCATCTAATACTCTTTAAAAAACATATATCCCCAACACAAAGAAAGAACAAAAAATAAATAAAAAGAAAAAACGTATATCCTTGACTTTTGTATTGCAAGTCTTCCCATTAGTTTATCTTCCATTATTGTGATTTTAAGTCACTGTCTTTCCTTCCAGGGAGCTAATTTAGGTCTGTGCTAAGATTTAGATAGCACCCTAGTTTTATGACCAATATTCTTACAAATCATTTCTTTCTGTGTTATTTTCTCAGATTTCCATAGGTAGTTAATTCTATGCATTTAAAGTTGGTTTTTGTTAGTTTAAAAATGTGACATTTGCCCCGCATTTCAGGAGTGATGTTTTCTGACTTTGTCTACAAATTCTTGAGTGTACTGTGTCTGTGGTTATCAGATCAAGAGTGTCCCATAACATGCAATGACCATCCCAATTTCTCAATATTCAATCATATAAAGAGGTAAATTTTACTGTAGGTCAAAGAGGTTCAAATGAGCTATTGTTAGTAACTTTTAGGCTTCATGTCAGCTAGCTATCAATTTATTGCCTCTCAGCTCCAAATTCAGCCTTAAGTACCTGCTCTGCCATAATGGAGTGGACTCCCTTCCAGAGAGCACAATGTTACACTTCTCACTATAGGATGCTAGAGGGACATTATAGGAGGAAGGGGCTTCTTGTCTTGGTTCTCATGTGCTGCATTTTTCATTTTCTTACTCCTGCTGCACAGTCCAACAGCCAAAAGTATAAGGGGCTGGTGGGGAGGGAGGGATGCATCCCGTGGTGCTCTGCCACATCTGTGCTCAATTCAGCCTGAAGGCTTCTTGCTGGCAGTAGTTCCCTAATTCCATCTGCACACCTGCCCACCAGCCTCAACACACCTCTGCTCCAAAGGTTGTTTTCCATAGCCCTTCTGACACACACTCACACACCCCTGGCCACAGCACCCTGCCAGAAAGCAGACCCTGATACTCTGACTCTACACATACCTACCCTCGAGTTTATCAGCAAAGATGGAATTGTAATTATGAAAAATATCTAAGTCATTGACATTTATTTATAATTTGATAAAAATGCACACATTTGCATCACATCTTTGTATCCATTTCTTAGATTGAAAATCTTAGAAACCATATGTGCACTAAAAAAACATAAAAGTATTCATTTGTCTTACTTTAGTAATTCCATTCTAGGAAATCCAGCTTAAGGAGATTATCACAAATGTACAAGAAAATGTTTACTAAAATGATCGTAGCAGCATTCTTTTTGATAGAAACATCTAAAGCAGTGCAAATGTCTAAAATGTAAAAATGGGTCAGGTGTGGTGGCTCATGCGTGTAATCCCAGAGCTTTGGGAAGTGAGGCAGGAGGATCTCATGAGGCCAGGAGTGTGAGACCAGCCTGGGCAACATGGCCAGACCCTGTCTGTATTTTAAAAACACTAAAAAAAACAATTTTTTTAATGTAACAATGATAAAATTTTAAAAAAGGATAGTAATGGTTCTATAACATTGCAAATGTACTTAATGCCACTGAACTGTACAGTTAAAAATGGTTAAAATGGGCCAGGCACAGTGGCTCACACCTGCAATCTCAGCACTTTGGGAGGCTGAAGCAGGAGGATTGCTTGAGCCCAGCCTGGGCAACATGGCAAGACCTCATCTCTACAAATAATAAGTTACTGAATATCTGGGACAACAAGCTGAGGCCAACTGCCCAGCTCTCAAGGTCATTTTTTGAAGTTCAGTAACTCTTCATGTTCTTTGGCTAACATCCTTAACTTTAGTTTCAAATGGATTAGTCACCCAATCTGGTAAAGTTCCTCTAAATCTTTAAATCTAATCATCACATCTTTTAAAATAGCACTCAAATAAGAACAATATATTTCAAAATTGACATCTTCATTTTTTTCTTGTTGTTGAGACAGTGTCTCACTCTGTCACCCAGGCTGGAGTGCAGTGGTGGGATCATAGCTCACTACAGCCTCAACCTCCTGGGCTCAAGTGATCCTCCCACCTCATCCTCCTGAGTAGCTGGGACCACAGGCACACACCACCATGCTCAGCTAATTTTGTATTTTTTGTAGAGAAAGGGTCTCACCATGTTGTCCAGGCTGGTCTTGAACTCCTGGGCTCAAGTGATCCATCTGTCTTGGCCTCCCAAAGTGCTGGGATTACAGGCATGAGCCACCGTGCCTGGCCAAAATTGACCTCATTAAGCCTGTCCTTGCCTAACTGCTACAAAGATGGAAATTATTAAAATTCTCAGGAAATCAAGTATTTTAAATAATGTAAGTTTATTGACAATTTTTTCATTTGAATGAGAGTGCAGTATAAGAAGGAACCTCATTAACTTTTCCCATGCATCTGGAATATATGTCAGATTACTTCAAAATATTTTAATTTTTATGTTTAAATTTTCGTGATGGAAGAAAAACATCAGTGGTGTTCATAGTGAACAAAATAGTTTTAAACATTATGCTCTGGAGAGCCATTTTACTTATGTGTATAGGATAAGGCATTGAAACTTCTTTATTCTCATTGCAGTTTATGAAATAATTTATGTTTCAGCAATCACTCAATTTTATTCCTTGTTTATTAGCCACTGACAATACTCAGTGATTTTGAAGTGTTTTAAGATTCTTAAAGACTAAGTATTGTTGATGAATAATGCAGTGAATTGCGAAAACACTTGATGCTACTTTAAGTTGGTTATAAACCCATGTTGCCACCAAGCATGGCTATTGTTTCATATGTTACAAAACAATGACATTAAAAGATAATTTTTTCATAATTTTTTTGAGTTTGTTATTATACCCATTGTTACTATGTTTGAAAATAAATTTTCTTTTATGATTTTTTTTTTGAGACAGGGTCTTACTCTGTCACCCAGGCTGGGGTGCGGTAGCGCAATCTCAGGTCACTGCAACCTCTGCCTCCCAGGTTCAAGCGATTCTCTTGCCTCAGCCTCCCGAGTAGCTGGGTTTACAGGCACCTACTACCACGCCAGGCTAATTTTGGTATTTTTAGTAGAGACGGGGTTTCACCATGTTGGCCAGGCTGGTCCCAAACTCCCGACCTCAGGTGATCTGCCTGCCTCGGCCTCCCAAAGTGCTGGGATTATGGCCTTTATGATTTTTAAATTCCTGCTGGGCACGGTGGCTCACGCCTCTAATCCCAGCACTTTGGGAGGCCGAGGTAGGAGGATCATGAGGTCAGGATTTCGAGACCAGCTTGGCCAACATGATGAAACCCCATCTCCACTAAAAATACAAAAATTAGCCAGGCAATTTTTGATTAGCAGGCACTTGTAATCCCCGCTACTCAGGAGGCTGAGGCAGGAGAATCACTTGAACCTGGGAGGTGGAGGTTGCAGTGAGCCAAGATCGCACCACTGCACTCCAGCCTGAGTGACAGAGCAAGACTCCATCTCAGAAAAAAAAAAAAAAAATCCTTATGAATATTACATATGCATGTAATAAATATTAATTTAATTATCATGCAGAATGCTTTCATCCATTTGTAATGAAACTGACTTGCCTGCAAGTCATAACATGCCTAATTTTCCAAAATCTTTTTCGCCATCTCAATTATTGAAACAGTAACATTGCTCAATGACATAGGATAAATCATTTCAATTTGATTTCTTTTTATCTTCATACTAATAACCTCTTACACAGCCGGCAAAATCAATTTTGCCTTAACATTGTGTGGCTTACCACATTTTTCAATCATTGTGCTATTCTGAAAGAAACAATAAAACCATCTTTCTGATTAGGAAAAATTTGTTAAACATTCCAATGATAGTAAGACAGCTTTCAAAGTTCTCAGGATGCTGTATCTCTGCCAACTTATTGCTCTGTTTCTTTGTAAAGTGGTCACTTAATCTTCATGGTTTCATTGCTTCCTGAGAGAAAAACATGTTAACAAAATGGAAATATTGGTAACTGTTCATTTGTGGACAAAGATATAAGACCTAATTTGAAATATCCAACTGAATATTGATACTTTTCTTCATAATTAGTGAAATAAGGACTGAATAAATATATTAATATAGGTAGAGAACAATCACTGTAAGTGCAACGTTATACATACAGACTGAGTTGTAGTAGGTGAGTATCAACTACTCAAATACC
Source organism: Homo sapiens (assembly GCF_000001405.40). NCBI lineage: Eukaryota > Metazoa > Chordata > Mammalia > Primates > Hominidae > Homo > Homo sapiens. The sequence continues at coordinate 111,246,502 of NC_000006.12, read as the reverse complement.
ACGAGTGACGTTATTGCCCTTGATGATTTTCCAAAATGGAGAACCTAAAACAAAACGCAACCTTCCCTTGTGTTACATGATATTTTACTTTCTTGGAAAACTCATTTATTGAAACTATGCTAAAAATACTTGGTGCCTATATGTACAAGAGAGAGTCTGGGCTCAGATAATCAAAAAGAAATATTTTTCCTTCATATGAATATTTGGCAGGACATTCAAAAATTGGACAGTATGTGGGACTATCCCACACATGTGGAGCTCTAGCATGTTGAGCCTCTGCCCACTAAATGCTAATAGCAGAGTTACTATGACACCCTCACACATTTTCAAAGCACCCCCTGCAGCCTGCAGGACTTCATGTTTTTTATTTATTTATTGAAGACAGAGTCTCGCTCTGTCAACAGGCTGGAGTGCAGTGGTGCGACCTTGGCTCCCTGAAACCTCCACCTCCTAGGTTCAAGCGATTCTCCTGCCTCAGCCTTCCAAGTAGCAGGGACTGCAGGTGCGCGCCACCACGCCCAGCTAATTTTTTTATTTTTTGTAGAGAAGGGGTTTCACCATGTTGGCTAGGATGGTCTCGATCTGCTGACCTCGTGATCCACTGGCCTTGGCCTCCCAAAGTGCTGGGATTACAGGTATGAGCCACCACATCCGGCTTCATCTTTTTTTTTTTTTTAACTGCTCCTTCAATTGAGAATCACAAGATAAAAAGCATCTGCCTCAAAGGTTTAATACCTTTAGCATCAAAGGTTTAATACCTTTAGCATCATTTGAGACTCAAATCATTAAACTCAAAGGTTTAATACATTTAGCATCTTTTCAGAAAATACTATTTGCTGAGAATGCTCAAATGGCCAGGGCAACAGAAGAGAGTGGTATTCTCTCTAAATGCTACGAGGATTCTAGATAAAAGTCTTCTTTTCCAAGTTACTTCTTGATAAAAGTTCATATATCATAAGACATTCAGAGGTACTTTTTTTTCTTCTTAAGCACCAAAGCTCTTTTGGATTTGTACGCATAGGATGAAGAATGGCAATTGCTAGGCAGTAGAGCCTCACCAATGAAAGTTGTTTGCTCTCCAGTATCTGAAGAGACTAGTCTTTGTTTGAAAACCTTGTGATAATGTCACTTGGGGCAGACACCTTGGAAGAGGATGCCCATTCTCTTCAAGACCCATGATAACCATCCTTTATTGCCACTAGCCCCATAACTAGGATCAAATCTTGACATCTCCAGGTGGGCAGGTACACACTATGATCCAGGAGGAAATAACACCAAAATAACTGCAATATTTTGTTAATATATATGAATGGAAACCTGGTGAATGTGTGGAAGTGGATGCTAAAGGTATTAAACCAAGGAAAACAGAATAGAACACTAGATCCAGCTGAATTCACTGCTATGGATACACTTTACTAGGGACTGCAGGTTCAAAGTGTCAGTCCATGCAGCTGGAGATGGCTGTAAAAGCTTACTTGGTTGGTTGACTAAAAATTTCGACTCACTGGTGGTCTACAGTTAATGAGGTTGAAATGCTGGAGCTTCCTTGGCATGATGTGAAGGAAGTAATCCAAAGGCTAGCCTCTGTCTTTTTCCATAGCAAACTTCAATGCTGGAAGATTTTTGAGAAATGGCTACAAAATCCCATAGGAAAGAAAACATGAGCCAAATATTTTCAGGTGTAAAGACAAAAGATAAATAGTTTGAAGATGAAAGAACTCTTGGAATATTATTTTCATAAATCCATTTGAGAAATGTTAGAAGGTTCAGTAGAACAAGAGATGAGTGGAGAAACAACTGCAGACGGGATTGGCAGTGAGCTTTGATGCAAATCACAGGACAAAGACAAATATGAGGATTACGGTGGAAAGATGGAATTTAAATGTTATTAGCCCTGATGATGTAGAAATGATAGAGCAATAAAAAGTGGAAAGCAATGGATGGAAAAGGATGAAAATATACTGATTTTTTTGTTTGTTTGCTGGATACTATGGTGTGTGTCTGTAATCCTAGCTACTTGGGGGGCTGAGGCAGGAGGATTGTTTGAGCTCAGGAATTTGAGACTAGCCTGAGCAAAATAGTAAGACCCCATCTCTAAACAATTAAAAATTATATATATGAAATAAAGTATACTGATTCCTCATCTTTAATAACTAGAGGTGAAAAGTTATTACTTAAAGCTAATTAAATGAATAGTAGAGTTATAAGTATAAAATGGAATAATACAGAGGTAAAATAATTAGAGGTAAACATGAAGAAAGATAATATTACTAAAATCAGGTGATAGAGAGGGGGAGATGGAGGAAAAAATATGTTAATTCTGTCATTGTAAATAGAAGAAAACTATTATATACTGTTGGAGTGGGGGAAGGAGGAGAAGATGAATTATTCAGTGAGTAGTAACTAGTATCAAGAAAACTGGAAAAATCCAGTTGACCCTTCAACAGCACAAATTTGAACTGCATGAGTCCACTTATATGTGAATTTTTTTCAATAAATATATGGAAATTTTGGGGGGATATTTGCAACAATTATAAAAAACTTGCAGACAAATCACATAGCCTAGAAATATGGAAAAAAGAAAATGTTAGGTATGTCATCAACGCATAAAAATATGTAGACACTTGTCTATTTTTATCATTTACTACCATAAAATATACACAAATCTATTATTAAAATGTTAAAATGTATCAAAATTTACACACACAAACATCAGACTACACATGGCGCCATTTGCAGTCCAGAGAAATGGAAACAAATGTGAAGATGCAGTATTAAATCATAACTGCATACAACTCACTGTAGTACACACTGTACTGCTGGAATAATTTTGCAGCTGCCTCTCGTTGTTGTCGTGGTGGGCTCCAGTGTTGTGAGTATCCACCCAAAACGTTGTGTGACGCTCGTCGGTCATCTCCACTTGCCCAGTTCATCTCTCCAGTAAATTCCATTGAAGTAAAAACTAATTTCTCTCAGTTCTTGCATTTTTTGTGTGTGTTTAGTGTGAGAAAAATGAAATCCTAAGCCCCCCAACCAACTAAACAGACTCCTTTCTCGGCCAAAACTCAGTTCCAGCTGTGACGAGATGGGGGCCTCATTACACCTGCTCCTGCTCTAACTGCTCTTAGGTTTTCTTCCTTAAGGGTTACAGAGAAGCCAGCCCTTCTGAGAGACTTGCTCCACTGCTGATAGCCACCAACCACCTGTCGCTGCCCTTCCATTTGGCAGTTTGGACAAAGCTTTCCTTCCTCATAAGAGACCAGGGTCCACAGAGTGGCTCTGGCCAGTCTACCAAGGATGAGCAGAGAGGTTTTCGTGTTGTCTGCTTCACCACTTGAAATCAGAGGGCCAAAAACTCCACCCTTGGATGGAGGGTGCTAACACTGCCACTTTTTGAACATGGGTCCCATGGAGAAGCATGAAGCTCTATTGTGCATGTGTGTGTTTCTCCTTTCATAAATAATCATAACTCCTCCTATAGCTTATTAAGTATGTATATTTGGCCACCTGCTTCAGCAAATCTCTGTCATACTCTTCCCCCTGTCAAAGTGTCTGTTTTTGGCTTCTGGCTGGAGGCTGTTCTTTCCAGCCTGTCAGAATGGCCACCCTGCAAGCTGCAACCCTTTATAAGAAAGCTCTCCTTTCCAAATGTATGAACCTCCATCGTTCTTCAGTTGACAAGTGCAATACTGTAAACCTTGAATAACACCATGGGACCCATACAAAGTGCCATTAGTGATGCCTGAAGTGCACTCAAGAAGCAGATAAAAGTCATGATATCACAAGAAAAAGCTGAACTCCTTGATATGAACCTTCGATTGAGGTCTGCAGCCACAGGCGCTGACCATTTCAGACAGATGATTCATCTTGTAAACAGACAATGTGAACTTGGTTTGATGAATACAGTAAAATACTGTACATGCATTTTCTCTTAAGATTTTCATAGCTGGGCACAGTGGCTCACATCTGTAATCCCAGCACTTTGGAAGGCCGAGGCAAGAGGATTGCTTGAGCCCAGGAGTTCGAGACTAGCCTAGGTAACATAGTGAGATCTCCCATCTCTACCAAAAAAAAAAAAAAATAGCCAGGCATGGTGGCACGTGCCCGTGGTTTCAGCTTCTCTGGAGGCTGAGGTGGGAGGATTGCTTGAGCCCAGGAGGTCAAGGCTGCAGTGAGCCATGACTGAGCCACTGCACTGCATCCTGGGTGACAGAGCAAGACCGTCTTAAAAACAAAAACATAAAAAGGTTTTCTTAATGACATTTTCTTTTTTCTATCTTAAGAATACAGTATATGATACATATACAAAATATGTGTTAGTTGACTGTTTATGTTATCAGTAAGGCTCTGGTCAATAACAGGCTATTAGGAGTTAAGTTTTGGGGGAGTCAAACATTATGCATGGATTTTCGACTGCATGGAGTGTAGGGACCCCAACCCCTGCATTGTTCAATGGCCATTTTTTTTTTTAAGACAGGTTTTCACTCTGCCACCCAGGCTGGAGTGCAGTTGCATGACCTTGGCTCACTGCAGCCTCTGCCTCCCAGGCTCAATCAATCCTCCCACCTTAGCCTCCCTAGTAGCTGGGACAACAGGTGCACACCACCACACCTGGCTAATTTTTGTATCTTTTGTACAGACAGGATTTTACTGTGTTGCCCAGGCTGGTCTTGAACTCCTAGGCCCAAGCTATCTGCCTGCCCCGGTCTCCCAAAGTGCTGGGATTATAGGTGTGAGCCACCACACCCAGCTCAATTGTACCTTTTTTTTTTTTTTTTTTGAGACGGAGTCTCGCTCTGTTACCCAGCTGGAGTGCAATGGTGCAATCTCGGCTCACTGCAAGCTCCGCCTCCTGGGTTCAGGCCATTCTCCTGCCTCAGCCTCCCAAGTAGCTGGGACTTCAGGCGCCCGCCACCACGCCTGGCTAATTTTTTGTATTTTTAGTAGAGACGGGGTTTCACCGTGTTAGCCAGGGTGGTCTCGATCTCCTGACCTCGTGATCCTCCCGCCTTGGCCTCCCAAAGTGTTGGGATTACAGGCATGAGCCACCGCGCCCGGCCGCCCAATTGTACTTTTTAAAAAATGGTTAGAATTCAACTTTATACCATATATCAAAATCAATAATAACTTAGAGATTTAATGTAAAAATGAAGCCATAAATATATCAGAAGGAGTTTTAAGAATGTATTTATATAGAAGAGTGGGGAAGGCCTTTCTAAACACGTCAACAATGACAGTGCTGTGGTCTGAATGTGTCCCCCACCAAATTCATATGTTGATACTTGATCACCAATGTGATAGTATCAAGAGGTGTTGACCAGGTACGGTGGCTCATGCCTGTAATCCCAGCAATTTGGGAGGCCGAGGCAGGCAGATCACCTGAGGTCAGTAGTTCAAGACCAGCCTGGTTAACATGGTGAAACCTGTCTCTACTAAAATATACAAAAATTAGCTGGACATGGTGGCACAAGCCTATAATCCCAGTTACTCAGGAGTCTGAGGCACAAAAATCGCTTGAACCCAGGAGGTCGAGGTTGCAGTGAGAGCTGAGATCATGCCACTGCACTCCAGCCTGGGTGACAGAGCGAGACTCTGTCTCAAAAAAAAAAAAAAAAAAAAAGGAGGTGGGACCTTTAGGAGATGATTAAGTTATGAGGGCAGAGTGTTCAGGAAGGAGATCAGCACCCTTATAAAACAGACTGAAAGGAGCTAGCTTGCCCTTCCACTATGTGAGAACTCAACAAGGTGTCATCTTTGAAGCAGGGAAGGCAAGCTCTTACCAGATGCTCAGTCTGTCGGTAACTTGACCTTGGGCTGCTCAGCCTCCAGAACTGTGTGCAATACATTTCCATTGTTTATAAACTACCCAGTCTAGGCTGGGCGTGGTGGCTCACGCCTGTAATCCCAGCACTTTGGAAGGCCAAGGCAGGTGAATCACCTGAGATCAGGAGTTCGAGATCATCCTGGCCAACATGCTGAAACCCCATATCTACTAAAATAAAAAAAAAAATTAGCCGGGTATGGTGGTGGGCACCTATAATCCCAGCCACTCAGGAGGCTGAGGCAGGAGAATTGCTTGAGCCCGGGAGGCGGAAGCTGCAGTGAGCCGAGATTGTGCCAGTGCACTACAACCTGGGTGACAGAGCGAGACTCTGTCTCAATAATAATAATACCACTAATAATAAAGTAATAAATTACCCAGTTTAGCTGGGCATGGTGGCTTACGCCTGTAATCTCAGCACTTGATGGGAGGCCGAGGCAAATGGATTGCTTGAGCTCAGGAGTTTGAGACCAGCCTGGGCAACATAGTGAGACCCCATCTCTAAAGAAAATACAAAAATTAGGTAAGTGTGGTGGCACATGCCTGTGGTCCCAGCTACCTGGGAGGCTGAGGCGGGAGGATGGATTGAGCCTGGAAGGTCAAGGCTCCAGTGAGCCATGATCATGCCACTGCACTATAGCTTGGGTGACAGAGTGAGATCCTGTCTCAATAAATAAATAAGTAACCCAGTCTAAGGTATTTTGTTATAATAGCCCAAAAGGACTAAGACAGAATCCATAAAATGAAAATTTTAACTAAAAAAAAAAAAAATAACTGCAGGAGTCTCTCTGGGCCTACTCTGGCTCAGGAGGCTGCCCAATAAAATAAAAATTTAAATTAAAAAAAAATTAAAAACACCATAATCAGTGTAAAAAGACAAATAACAAATAGGGAAAACTTTTAGCAATACATATGAGAGTCACAGCTAATACAGCATACGAAGAAAGTTCACAAAGTTCCCGAACAGAAAAATAAACAAAGGAGAAGAACAAACCCCCAAAGAGGAAGTGCAAATAGCTGAGTGATTTATGAGAAAAATTACACTTATTAGTAATAAAAATGCAAATTTAGACAAATGCTGTATGATTTCATGATATAAGGTTCTAGAGCAGTCAGATTCGTAGAGACAGAAAGTAGAATGGTGATTGACAAGAACTGAGCAGTGGCGGGGGGAAATGGGGAGTTAGTGTTTAATGGGTATGGAGTTTCAGTTTGGGAAGATGAAAAGTTCTGGAGATGGTAGTGATAGTTACAACAATGGCAACGTACATAATGCTATAGTACACTTAAAAATGATTAAAGTGAGGCTGGTGTAGTGGCATATAGCTATAGTTCCAGCTACTCTGGAGGATGAAGTGGGAAGATTGCTAGAGCCCACGAATTTGAGACCAGCCTGGCTGCATAGTAAGACCCCATCCCCCTCCCAAAAAAAAGGTTATATAAAATGGTAAATCTTATGTATATTTACCACAATTCAAAAAAAAAAACCCAAATGCAATTTTTAAATGAAGGCTTTTTAAAATCTGTAAACTGTTCAGTCTCTGTAATTAAAAAAATAACAGTATATAATATTATGAAGGTTCAGAGAAAGCATATAGTAACGCAACTTGACAAAACACAGCAAAGGCAAAAATACTAACCCTTCTACTCAGAAATTCTACCACTAGGAATTTTGCCTAAAGGAAATAAAGATGAGTATAAAGATTTCGCTATTAGAGTGTTCATAGCAATGGTGTTTATCACTGTGAAACAGGAAACAAATCTACATGTCCAATGATAGAGTTACAACAAATTAAAGATTCATCCATTTCATGGGATAACTGTGGAAACCATCAAAATAATGATGTAGAATTATACTGAATGACACATGTGGTAAACTTCTGTTATTTTTCTGCACAGAATCCATTCACTTTTCCAGGCAACAGGACCCTAGTTTTCTTTGAGGGGACCACCACCCTTCCTCATCTCATTTCAGGAAGTGAGTTAGCCATTACCCCACTTCAGGGCGGCATGATTCATGTCTGTTGAGTCAGCATCTCCTGACTCCTGGCTCAGTGATGGGTTCCAAGATGGGCACCTGACCTATGTTAGACCAGTGCGTTTTGATCCCAGGACTTTTTGTGCAAAAGATTGGGAGAGGGAAGTTCTTTTTCATCTGCTAGAGTTGATACAAAGGATAGCTTGGAGTTGTGGGAAAGAGGTCCCTTGAACAATGCCTACCAAAAAGAAAGCACCTGGACTTTTCACTCTTTTTCTTAAACCAGTTTGATTTGATTTTGGTTTTTGTCACTAACCAAAAAAAAAAAGTCATAAAGGATATGACATAGAAAGATGTTACAAGTCTTAAGTGAAAAAAGCATATTGCAGAATAGTATGTGTAGCACTTCTACAAATCATTTCCATAAATATCCGTAAATATAGTCTAAAGGGATATAGTCTGTAATGATAAAGTATGAGTAATTTTTCTTCTTGTTTAATGTCTCAAGATGAGCTTTTCATTCCTGTAAGATTAGAAGGCACTGTAGGTTTTCCATGAGAGTCCCTTCAGTTCCGTTACGCTAGCATTCTATTTTAGGTTTAAAATTTATACAGGAGCTTCTCTTTAGTGAAGTATCTGTCATCTGAGTCTCTGCTGTTTAATATGGAGGTATACTCAGAGTTGTTACTGTAGTGTCATTGCTTCTAGACCCTCTCTGTGGACAGAGTTAGGAAACACATGCATGACTACACACACACACACACTCACACCACATTTCCCAATTCCAATCCATCACCATAGTGTTTATTCACTTTACACCTTCCACATATGTACCTCCCTACTCCAGTAGTGAGAAACCTAGCTCCCATTTCCTTAATATATGTATTTATTTGTTCAAGCCCCTGTAAATAGACTCAATCTCCCAATTGTGTGGCCTTCTCCTTGGCCCTGGAGCAGCCATGCCAGCCAAGCTCCCCCTGGTTTCAACACTGATACCACGGACTCACTCCAGCTGCACTGGCTGAGTTGCACTGGCTAAGTTTTCAAAGGAAATCCTTAAAAGCACTAAAATAAAGTCAACATGTTCGTCCTGACAAGTTTGGACACCATTCATTTATTCAAAAAATCATCATTGAGCACTTATTCTGTGCCAGGCACTTTTCTGAATGTTGGAGATGAAAAGATAAAACAGACAAAAAGCTCTACCTTTGTGGAACTTGCAGTCTAATTGGGGAGACAATAAAGATAAATAAACTGTGCATGGTGGTTCATACCTGGGATCCCAGCACTTTGGGAGGCCCAGGTGGGAGGATCACTTGAGCCCAGGAGGTCAAGTTCAGCCTGGGCAATAGAGTGAAATTCTGTCTCTACAAAAAATCAAAAAATTAGCCAGGCTTTGTGGTACATGCCTGTGGTCCCAGCTACTCCGGAGGCTGAGGTGGGAGGATCCCTTGAAGCCAGGGGTTTGAGGCTGCAGTGAGCTGTGATCAAGCCACTGCATTTTTGTCTGGGTGACTGAGTGTGACCCTGTCTCAAGGAAAACCCAAAAACAAACAAACAAAATAAATAAATAAGACCAGGCATGGTGGCTCATGTGTGTAATCCCAGTACTTTGGGAAGCCAAGGTGGGAGGATCACTTGAGGCCAGGAGGTCAAGACCAGCCTGGGCAACATAGTAAGACCTCATCTCTATAAAAAATTAAAAATTAAAAAAATTAGCCAGGCATGGCACATACCTGCAGTCCCTGCTTTTCAGGAGGCTGAGGTGGGAGGATCGCTGGATCCCAGGAGATGGAGGTTGCAGTGAGCCACGATTGCACCACTGCACTCCAGCCTGGGCAACAGAGTGAGACCCTGTCTCACAAAAAAAAAAAGAGAAATAAAATAAATGGTATGCTAGTGATAACTGCTAAGAAGAAAAAATTAAGTTGGGAAGGGGGATATGAATTGCCTGGGGAAAGGGATTAAATTTTAGATGACCAGGGGAGGCTTCACAGAGGAGACTTAAAAAAAAATTTTTTTTTTTGGCTGGGCGTGGTGGCTCATGCCTGTAATCCAGCACTTTGGGAGGCCAAGGCAGGCAGATCACCTGAGGTTGGGAGTTTGAGACCAGCCTGACCAACATGGTGAAACTCCGTCTCTACTAAAAATACAAAAATTAGCTGGGCATGGTGGTGTGCACCTGTAGTCCCAGCTACTCAGGAGGCTGAGGCAGGAGAATCGCTTGAATCCGGGAGGCGGAGGTTGCAGTGAGTTGAGATCGTGCCACTGCACTCCAGCCTGGCGACGGAGTGAGACTTCATCTCAAAAAAAAAAAATTTTCAATGGAGTTTTGGGGAACAAGTCGTGTTTGGTTACATGAGTAAGCTCTTTAGTGGTGATTTCTGAGATTTTGGTGCACCCGTCACCCAAGCAGTATAGACTGTTCCCAATGTGTAGTCCTTTATCCCTCACCCCACTCTTATCCTTTCCCCTGAGTCCCCAAAGTCCATTGTCTCATTCTTATGTCTTTGTGTCCTCATAGCTTAGCTCCCACTTATGAGTGAGAACATATGATGTTTGGTTTTCCATTCCTGAGTTACTTCACTTAGAATAATGGTCTCCAATTCCATCCAGGTTGCTGCAAATGCTATTATTTTGTTCCTTTTTATGGCTTAGTATTCCATGGTGTATGTATATATATACCACATTTTCTTTATCAACTTGTTGCTTGATGGCCATTTAGGCTGGTTCCATATTTTGTAGTTGTGCATTGTGCTGCTATAAACATGCGTGCACAAGTATCTTTTTTGTGTAATGACTTCTTTTCCTCTGGGTAGATACCCAGGTGAGGGATTACTGGATCAAATGGTAAATCTTCTTTTAGTTCTTTTTTTTTTTTTTTTTTTGAGACAGAGTCTCGCTCTGTCGCCCAGGCTGGAGTGCAGTGGCGCAATCTCGGCTCACTGCAAGCTCCGCCTCCTGGGTTCACACCATTCTCCTGTCTCAGCCTCCCAAGCAGCTGGGACTACAGGCACCCACCACCACGCCCGGCTAATTTTTTTGTAATTTTAGTAGAGACGGGGTTTCACCATGTTAGCCAGGATGGTCTCGATCTCCTGACCTCGTGATCTGCCCACCTTGGCCTCCCAAAGTGTTGGGATTACAGGCGTGAGCCACCGCACCCGGCCCTTCTTTTAGTTCTTTAAGAAATCTCCGTGCTGTTTTCCACAGGGGTTGTACTAGTTTACATTTCCACCAACAGTGTAAAAGTGTTCCCTTTTCATCACAACCATGCCAGCTCCATTATTTTTTTATTATTATTATGGCCATTCTTGCAGGAGTAAGGTGGTTTCACATCATGGTTTTGATTTGCATTTCTCTGATCATTAGTGATGTTGAGCATTTTTTCATATGTTTGTTGGTCATTTGTATATCTTCTTTTCATATTGTCTATTCATGTCCTTAGCCCACTTTTTGATGGGATTATTTGTTTTTTTCTTGCTGATTTGTTTGAGTTCCTTGTAGATTCTGGCTATTAGTCCTTTGTCAGATGCATAGATTGTGAAGATTTTCTCCCACTCTGTAAGTTGTCTGTTTACTTTGCTGATTGTTTCTTTTGCTGTACAGAAGCTTCTTAGTTTAAGTCCCATCTATTTATCTTTGTTTTTATTGGGTTTGCTTTTGGGTTCTTGGTCATGAAGTCTTTGCCTAAGCCAAGGCAATGGTTTTTCCTATGTTATCTTCTAGAATTTTTATGGCTTCAGGTCTTAGATTTAAGTCTTTGATCCATTTTGAGTTGATTTTTGTATAAGGTGAGAGATCTGAATCCAGTTTCATTCTTCCACATGTGGCTTTCCAAGTATCCCAGCACCATGTGTTGAATAGGGTGTCTTTCCTCACTTTGTTTTTGTTTGCTTTGTCGAAGATCAGTTGACTGTTAAGTATTTGACTTTATTTCTGGGTTCTGTATTCTGTTCCATTGGTCTATATGCCTGTTTTTATACAGGTACCATGCTGTTTTGGTGACACTGGCCTTTTAGTATAGTTTGAAGTCAGGTAATGTAATGCCTGTAATGCCTCTAGATTTTTTTTTTTTTTTTTCTGCTTAGTCTTCCTTTGGCTATGCGGGCTCTTTTTTGGTTCCATATGAATTTTAGGATTGTTTTTTCTAGTTCTGTGAAGAATGATGGTGGTATTTTGATAGGAATTGCATTGAATTTGTAGATTGCTTTTGGCAGAATGGTCATTTTCACAACATTGATTCTACCCATCCATGAGCATGGGATGTGTTTTCATTTGTTTGTGTTGTCTATATTTCTTTCAGCAGTGTTTTGTAGTTTTCCTTGTAGAGGTCTTTCACCTCACAGAGGAGACTTTCTAGTAGACCTGAAGGAGGTAAGGGAGCAATCCAAGAGGATAGCTGGGGGAAGAGCACCCCAGGCAGGGGCAGTGATACAAGGATGGAAGTGGAGAGAGGCCAGAGTGAATCAGCAGAGAGCAGGAGATAAGGTCAGAGATGTATCAGGGACCAGAACATGTGGAGCTGTGCTGGTCATGGTAAGGACTTTGGTTTTCTGTGAGGGATAAAAGGAGCCACAGGAAGCAAAGGGGCTGATTTCGTCTGACTTGTTTTGACAGGATCATGCTGGCTGCTGTGTGGAGAAAAGACCGAGGGGAAGTAAAAGAACAAAGAACAAAAGAGAACATGATGGCTTGGATCAAGGTAGTGCCGGTGGTGATAGTGAGAAATGGAGAAATTCTGGGTATATTTTGGAAGCAGAGCCTATAGGATTTGCTTGCAGAACAGGAGACATTTGGTTGGCAGATATAAGGCTCTGGAGTTCAAGGGGGAGGTTCGGGCTTCATCAGCATTTAGGTAGTAATTCAAGCCATGAGATAGGACAAGATCATCTAGGTAGTGAATATGGATAAAATACAGAAGGGGTTCAAGAACTAGGCTCTGATGTACTCCCAATATTTAGAGGTTAGAAGATGAGCAGGACCCAGTAAAGGAGTGGCTAGAAAGATAGGAGAAAAACCAGGTAAGTGTGGTGTCCTGGAAGCCTGATTCAGAGATAGGAATTGATATATTGTACCAAATAGTGTAGATAATTCAAATAAAATGAGGACTGAAAAATGACTATTGGATTTAGTAATTGTGGAGGTCAGTGGTAACCTAGTGATGAGAAGGGCAGTTTCAGTGGAGTGGTAGAGGCAAAATCCTGATAGAGTGGATTCAAAAGAGAATACGAGATAAAATGGGAGAGAGTAAATACGTATTTTTTCAAGAAAAAAAAGTTGGTTATTTAGTCTTTTGTGAATGGATAGAAAAAAGTGATGCAAGACTGGGCACGGTGGCTCACGCCTGTAACCCCAGCACTTTGGGAGGCTGAGACAGGAAGATTGCTTGAGTCTGGGAGTTCAAGACCAGCCTGAGCAACATGGCGAAACACTGTCTCTATAAAAAATGATAACAAGGCTGGGCGCGGTGGCTCACACCTGTAATCCCAGCACTTTGGGAGGCCGAGGCAGGCGGATCACGAGGCCAGGAGTATGAGACCAGCCTGGCCAACATAGTGAAACCCTGTCTCTACTAAAAATACAAAAATTAGCTGGCTGTGTGTTGGCAGGTGCCTGTGGTCCCAGCTACTCGAGAGGCTGAGGCGGGAGAATCGCTTGAATCCGGGAGGCGGAGGTTGCAGTGAGCCGAGATTGTGCCACTGCACTCCAGCCTGGGCGACAGAGCGAGACTCTGTCTCAAAAACAAAAAAAAGATAACAATAAAAAAATTAAAAAGTCTTTTTTTGTCAAGATGAAATAATAGCATGTATATATGGGAATGCTGGTGGAAATGATCCAATAGAGGGGGAAATTGATAATATGAGAGAGAAGAAATGGTTGGAGAAGCTGGAGGTATTTAATTTGGAAAAGGAAAGGTGTAGGGGCAATAGTAAGTGGAATACTGGGGCGGTGGGGGCGGGGTTGCAGTTTTGTAGATCCTAGGGTTAAGGATTAGGGAGGAAACAAAGTAAAAACTGCAAAGACCTGGGAAGTTTTGATAAGAGGCAGGGGTGTTGGTATTAAGATTTCAAAGATGAAGCCATTTCCAGAGATGACAAGGCTCCAAGTGTCTCTGTTAAATTAGTGGAAATAAAGTTGCTCCACATGAATACTGAGCCTTGGACCAAAAGCCATTTGCTGGCATACAGATGGATATATGAGAATGACTGGGGGGTCCACAGATGACTGTGACACAGACAATAGAAGGTGGTAGAGCTGTATGGGGTAAGAAAGAGAAGCAGAGGGCCCAGCTGTGGAGGGGACCACCATGCAGGGTGGTAAGCTTCCTATCTCTGGAAGAAAACACTGGTGACTCTGATTTAAGGATTTATAAAAAGAACTCCTGAATTTAAAAAGTATTAGATTCACCTATAGGAGACTCAGAACTTTCAGTCCTAAAAGCCTGATACTATGGTAATTGGTATGTCTCTTAAATTAGGTTTTCGGTATGAATTAGAATTCTTCTATTTTTTTCTATAAAAATTATTTTCTGGCCAGGCGTGGTGGCTCATGCCTATAATCCCACACTTTGGGAGGCCAACGTTGGCAGATCACCTGAGGTCAGGAGATCGAGACCAGCCTGGCCAACATGGTGAAACCCCCCCTCTCTACTAAAAATACAGAAATTAGCCGGGTGTGTTGGTGGGTGCCTGTAATCTCAGCTTCTCGGGAAGCTGAGGCAGGAGTATCACTTCAACCCGAGAGGCAGAGGTTGCAGTGAGCCAAGATCGCGCCATTGCACTCCAGCCTGGGTGATAAAAGTGAAACTCCATCTCAGAAAAAACAAAAAAAACCCAAAATTTTCCTCAGGAGAATGAATTTTATCCTGCTTAAGATCAGTAACAATTGGTCATATCTATTCTCTCCTCAGTTCCCTCAAAGGTCTTCTAATGGCCTACACATTCTGACATGTAAATACTTTTTGGATTAAATGACATATCACAAATGCCAAGTTCTTGAGTTTAATGTATTAAATCTCATTAGTACTATTAAACATAAATAATGATTTGCTTTGTAGTTAAGGCTCATCAAATCATAAACATCTTCTGATGGCAGAGTCAGTTTTTATCCAAGCAAGCAATCCACAGTAATGGGACTGCTTTTTTTTTTTACAGCCTGGTTCTTGACTATCCCCTAAAATTGTCAGTCAGTAGAAGCTCACTGAGTATCATCTGAATTTAGTAAGTGTAATCAATGTAAGAAAAATGGCAATGTAAGTCAAGTACAAAAAAAGTAAGCGTCAAATAGAAGTGGTTTTTAGACTATCTAAAGCTTTTGGATCATTTCTATCCCTGTTCCCTGCTCCGGGGAAATAACAGTACCCAAACGCATGTAGAATACAGATATGCAATGTAAAAAGCACACAGCTTATTTCTTTTATTCAACATAAACTATTCCTTTCGTTTCAATAATTTCCCCTCCCCCACCCTCCAGAGAATTCCACAAACATAACCACAAAGCCTTATAGGAATTTGCTAAAAAGTTTTTATTGCATTTACTAAGAGTATCACATTTTTCCACAGTAAAATAATCTTATCCTCCAAGCAATTGTAAAGATCTTTTCATTAAAAAGATTTTGGTTATCTATATTAAATTGCACATTATTAAAAAAATTGTAAATTATAGTCTTCAAAAAGAAGCATACATTTTTTAAAAAGTACTAAAATACTGCATACTGGTCAAATCCAGCATGAGCATTCAGCATAGTGATCTACATTTGAACAACTATTGTGCCAAAAATGGCCCCAGGGTAGGTTGGGAGAGAAGCAGAGCTGCACTGCGGTGTATAGCATACACTTGGAATAATTTGGCTTTGGTGTCTAAGATAAAGTGTGTTTTTCTAACTCAAAATATACAAAATAATTAAAAAATTAATTTTCAAATAAACATTAAAATAAGTCCACATGAACAATGTCATATTATACTAGGAGATACTTAAAATATCCACACTCTCTTTCAGTAATAACTACAGGGTTCAATTTGTTGTAGCTATAACTTTAAGGCTAAAATAAACTGGTGGAAGAACAAAAGCAAAATGCAACTTTTATCAAGCATTGTGCAATGCCTCTACAATCTTACACATCTCAAACCACATTAAGTTACATCAGAAGTTATTATTAGAGTGATGTTTAATCTCACCCTAATGTAACTTCTGATTAGCAAGCTTCCATTCTCTCTGCCAAATATAACTCATGTTAACGTAGAAAAGTGTTATCATTAGTTACCAGAGCAAATCCAGTGTACTGGATTGTGAATGCATAGTCTTTCTAATTAGGAAAATGAGAGTGTGTATTGTCTTCTTAATTTACATTTATAAAATCCTCATAAAATACAGTTAAGTCAGGGTCTTTTAAAAGAGAAGAATTCAACTGAAACCTGTCATTCTCTAGCCGGGCATGGTGGCTCATGCCTGTAATTCCAGCACTTGGGGAGGCTGAGGCAGGTGGATCACTTAAGGCCAGTCTGGCCAACATGGTGAAACTCCATCTCTACCAAAAATACAAAAATTAGCCGGTGTGGTAGTGGGCACCTGTAGTCCCAGCTACTCAGAAGACTGAGGCACGAGAATCACTTGAGCCCGGGAGGCGGAGGTTGCAGTGAGCTGAGATCGCGCCACTATATGGAGCCTGGCAATAGAGCAAGACTCCATCTCAAAAAAAAAAAAAAAAAAGAAACAAAGAAAGAAAAAGAAACCTGTCATTCTCAATTCATCTGAATCCTACCTACAGAACATTAAAGAGACCCGTATGTCTCGAACTCCTGGCCTCAAGCAATCCGCCTGCCTTGGCCTCCCAAAGTGCTGGGATTACAGGTGTGAGCCACGGCGCCTGGCCAAGGAGACCCATATGTTATTTTACTTAGGTGTTACACAATCAGACCAACGATGGTGCTGAGAGCCCTTGATAAATCATAGACCTGAGATTTGCTGACAGTGACCCAGCCGCAGTACTTATTGTTTATGTTAAATCTGAAAGACAAACAATGATACTTTCAGTGATAAATTTCAAATAATTATAAAAATATAACTGTGCAAATAACTCATTATCCATGTTTTAAGATTGATGACTCTCAAAACTCTGATTTTAGCCTGAAAGTTGCGAAATAGTTTCAAATGTCCAAATGTCTACATAAGCCAGCTCAATAGGAAGCTATTATATATAACTTTTTCACATTGCCTCAAAGTTACAGAATATATTTAAATCCCTCACTTTGTGCTAGAAACATTGACAAGGGACTTTTTCTTTAAAATTATTACCTTGGGAGGTTGTGTTCATTAGAACATTCTCATTTGGTGATCATTTTCTTGTGAGTTTCGTAATTTAAAGTCTTATATGTTAACAAAAATTGCATACCTCTAACTAGATACTGGAACTCAATAATCACTGTATAGGTGAGCTTTTTTCCTCAGTCATGTATATAACATGCAACATGCATAACGTTGCTGGCTGTATACATTTTCTATTGTGTTGTATATTAATATTTTTAAAAGAAAAATAATTTTGAAAGGAACATGAAGTATAGCACCAATCTTGATCTAATAATCTTTGGTAGAAAAAAAAGAGGCACCAACTATACAGTCTGTTCATAGTCCAGGGTCAAAATGCAGCACTATTTTTTTTTTTTTTTTTTTTGAGACAGAGTTTTGCTCTTGTTGCCCAGGCTGGAGTGCTATGGTGCAATCTTGGCTCACTGCAACCTCCACCTCCTGGGTTCAAGCAATTCTCCTGCCTCAGCCTCCCGAGTAGCTGGGATTACAGCATGGAGCCACCACGCCCGGCTAATTTTGTATTTTTGGTAGAGATGGGGTTTCTCCATGTTGGTCAGGCTGGTCTCCAACATCTGACCTCAGGTGATTCGCCTGTCTCGGCCTCCCAAAGTGCTGGGATTACAGGCATGAGTCACCGTGCCCGGCCCAGCACTATTAATAACAAACCCTCCATTCCTGAAATAACATTTCAATATAGACTGAATTATGAAAGATACTTTGACTCATTAGGGAAGATCACAGTAGAAAGGTTTTGTGTTTACACATTTAAAATATTTAACAAACTGACTCTTCTAATGACGGATACTGAAAAATATCTAGTAAAGAATAAAAGTCATACATCACAGGCTCCAAAATAGTATTACCAATCTAATTTGAGTTCTAAGTGTTATTTTATATTGGTAGTTCCTATCGCATACATGTTTAGGGACATTGAACTCCAAAATACTCTTTTTATAGCACTCATATTGAAAGGCAAAGCAACTTCTTTGGGTAGACTGGGTTAACTCCTACACTATTGCCACACTCAAGAACAGCATTTTAAAAAACTCCAGTGAGTCAAAAATTCATTGTCCCAGTCCTTGTTCTACTAGGAAGGAGTGTCTCTTACAGGAGTTTAATGTGTAAGTTGTCAGGTTTGGGCACAGCTGTACAATCTGTCATCACTGATCATCTACCCTCTTGCCAATGAAAACAAAACTTTTTCATAATCAAGCTTCCAGTGTAACTTGAAAAGCCACTGGCGAAGCATTCTAAGTGTTCATTAGAATCTGAGTGTGTCTAATTTAGAATCTAAGTGTATCTAGATTCTGAATTTCTTCAGGTTTTTCTTTGTCAGATCCACAGGCCATATTAGTTGTTATTCCTTTTTTGTTACTTTTACATCCGTTTATCAGAACAAAGCACTTAAGAAATTTTACTGATATTTTGACCCCACTAACAATTTGCACCCCCCTTGCTTTTTAATCCCAGAATCACCATTAGCTCCCTTCTGATGAAGCAGGAGTTGACTCAGCTGGGCTTTCAGCTGGACACGGAAAGCGGAGGTAGATGAATTGTCATGATCAAGTGGGTGTCATCAAGTACTTAGAAAGGTTTCATTTTGTTCCTACTGTCTTTCCAACTTACTAATAAAAATATTGAAATCTATTTCAAAAATGAGGTAGCCTCATGTTATTTTATATCTGTCAGGAATATAGTACCATGGGGAATTTTATTTCCCCAGAAAGCAAGATTACACCCCTTTAGTATGGAACACTGAACTTTAAAAGAGGTGTCCTTGAACGTGTGGAAGTGAAGACAAAGTTTACGATTTAAAATTTGATAATTTTAAAAAAGGCAAGCTAAGTAAACTACGTCCTGAGTTTCAAGATTTTTCTGAGTGATTCAAAGATGTCATGAATTTTCCAGGAGTCTTTACTGTCTCAGGAGGAGTCATCTGATAAAATGCACATTGATGGTGGGTCCATAATTGTGGTTCCGACACTTATGCAAGCTTCACACTTAACTGCGAGCATTCGGCTTTGTTCTTGAGAATCGTGACCTATTGTTCTATAGTATATTTATAACACAAAGCATTAATCTCTGCCAACTAATAATAAACAGGTCGTGGCTATGAAATTATAGTGAGCCCAGGGCCTGCTTGTCTACCTTGTTATTATTTGCTCCAGAACCATTCTTAAATTCAGCTCTAGACAGTCTTTTTAGACCAAGCTATCAACAAAAGTCAGCATGTATAGTAGAGCAGAACAAATTTTTTTTTCCTTTTTGTAGACAAGGTCTCATTTTGTCACCCAGGCTGGAGTGCAGTGGTGCAACCACAGCTCACTGCAGACTTGACCTGCTATGCTCAAGCAATCCTCTTGCCTCAGCCTCCTGAGTAGCTGGGACTACAGGCATGTGCCACCAAGCTGGCTAAATTTTTTTTGTAGAGACGAAATCTCACTATGTTGCCCAGGCTGAGTCTTGAACCCTGGGCTCTGGTGATCCTACCGCCTTGGACTCCCAAAGTGCTGGGATTACAGGCGTGAGCCGCCACACATGGCCTTAGAACTAATGATTAAGTCAGTAAAGTAGCAAGTCTTCCTTCTACGATGTATTCTTATTCCACATTACCATTATGAATGACAAATTGCGTTTTGTTTTCATAACAAGACAAAAAGCTGGTCTTTTTAAGAGTTAATTAAATTGTTATGGATGATGCATTTCTTATTCACCAAGATACTACTTGCCTTTCAAATTATAAAAACATATAGATGTAAAAAGAAGGTAATAGTTTTATTTCCTTCTATTTTTAAGACAACACACTGGAAAAGCAACAATCTTTGACCTAATGTAAAAGTTGCTCCTTAATGTTTATACCAGCAACAATGACCTTTTTTTCAGTGTTAGAGACTTCCTAAAAAGTTTTAAATACTTGTTTAAATTGTTTACATATTATAAAATTGGAGCTAATTAGCTTATGCATTTCTACTTGTATCTCTAAACTCTGGGAATTTACTCTAACACCATTCACCAGAAAATGTAACCTAACCTAAGGAAGGTCCCTGAAGAACAATCATTAGGAACTGCATCAGAGAGGCACACTACATTCCCAGTCACCCTTCATGCTGGGCTCTCGGAACTAAGATTTAATGAAACCTTAGTGAAACTGGAAATCAAAGTAAAAAATTACGCTCTCTGAAAATATGCTAAAGACTTGGCAATGGTTTTTTTTTTCCCCAAAGCATTTACCTTAAAAATTTAAATACAGTTTTAAATGTTAGCATAAAAGATACTAATTTGTATGAAATTTATTTCTTCCCTTAAATATTTCAGTCATGTAATTTAAATTCAATGTAGATCATTAGAACTAAGTCGAAGGCTGAGAGAAAGCCATTCACCAGGATACACGAAATTGGGTGGGGATCCATTCAGTGAAACTACAGGGATCAGTAGGAAATACAGCCATGCAACCAGTGGAACTAAGCATGGATGTTAATGGACTCTTCAGGAGGTTTTTGAAGGATAGGAGGAAGTAAAGGGAAATGAAAAAATGATGAGGATAAGAATAATGTAAGAAGAGTAAGACAAAAGGTACATAAGAAAGGGCATGAAAGTGCACCAGCAGGAACTCCTCAGAGCCACCCATGCTATAGGTTGCCTTCCCCCTCCCCGATCTCGTGTCATATTTTCTATTCAGTTTTCCATTGATTTAACATCAAAAGTCATCTGGACATAGGCCAATTTCAAGTAACATTCGTATAAATTAAAATATTCTTAAATGCAGCTAAAAGGATTAGAATTATCCGAAGTAAACATGTTTACTTTTAAACTGTGTGTACTTTTACTTTTTTTTTTTTTTTTTGAGATGGAGTCTCGCTCTGTCGCCCAGGCTGGAGTGCAGTGGCGCAATCTCGCCTCACTGCAACCTCTGCCTCCTGGATTCTTCTCCTGCCTCAGCTTCCCGAGTAGCTGGGACTACAGGTGCATGCCGACACGCCTGGCTAATTTTTTTGTATTTTAGTAGAGATGGAGCTTCACCGTGTTTCCCAGGCTGGTTGCGAACTCCTGAGCTCAGGCAATCCGCCTGCCTCAGCCTCCCAAAGTGCTGGGATTACAAGCGTGAGCCACTGCGCCCAGCCAGAATTTGAATCTTAATACAAGAACTATGCAATTTTCAGTGGAAATTTTAAGTCTTGTAGCAGGGCTATGGAGTAAGCATTGTAAATATGATCAAAGAGATGAACACATCTTGCATAAAGTATCAATAATCTGGGTGGTATATTACTGCTTAAATGGATGGATCCCAGCAATATCCATTGCAATAAAATTTAACCAAAATGTTTCTGGAAGTTTCTTGGCCATCTGTTACAATAGTATCCAATCTAGAGTATCTATAAAAAGGAATGTTACTCCCTTTCATGCTTTTTTTGGCCTCAAATGCCAGAACCTTTCGAATTTGAGAATTTTCTGAGTCTTATCAAAAACAGGATGAGGAGATAAAAACAGAGTTCTGACTCTGTATTCTTTTCAGACTCTCAGAAAAGTGTCTGGATTGAACACAAAAAATTTAGGCTTATCAGGTCACTTTATTGCAGCAGTAACACTTCATTCAGAAATTAGAAAGGATTTAGTTTGACTAGATTAAAGCACAAATTTTTATATTAGTATTTTTCATTTTCTTTGTGCATTTTAAACTTTTAGAACTTTTCCCACAAAAAACATAGTACTAAATATGCATTTATGGAATTTAGCATCTTACGTTTATACTTTTTCTTCTTAATTTTATATTATTATAGCAGAGTATTCTCCGTATGAGTCTATTACAATAGAACTTTTTCAGTGTTATAGATCCAGTTTGATTCATTCCATTAAACTGAAAACTACATATGTGAAGTTTAATATACAAACACATATGCTGAGATCTAAGTTATATATACTTGTCACTGCTGTTTTAATATGGAAACTAACCAAGCAATTTCTTTTAGTTTCAGATGATCACTTTTTTCCTAAAATCAGCCAAATTTTGAAAAGAAAAACACTGTAGAGGTCTTTACAGAGTAAAGTTTTCATTTTTAAATTACTTTCTGTAAAATTGGGGAGAAGGTGTTTTGAGGGGAGTCTGTGCTAAAACTTAAAACAAAATTTAACATTTATTTTTTGTTTTTGATTTTCTTTTACAGACAGGGTTCTGCTCAGTTGAACAGGCTAGAGTACAGTGGCATAGCTCACTGCAGCCTCCATCTCAAGGCTCAAGCAATCCTTCCACTACCTCAGCCTCTGAGTAGCTGGGGCTACAGGTGGGCACCATCATGCCTGGCTAATTTTTAAA
This sequence comes from Homo sapiens, assembly GCF_000001405.40. Lineage (NCBI taxonomy): Eukaryota > Metazoa > Chordata > Mammalia > Primates > Hominidae > Homo > Homo sapiens. Next base: position 111,224,082 of record NC_000006.12, on the reverse strand, counting down.
TTTTTTGTAGACACAGGGTCTCATTATGTTACCCAAGCTGGTCTTGAACTTCTGGGCTCAAGTGATCCCCCTGCCTTGGACTACCAAAGTGCTAGGATTACAGGCATGAGCCACTATGCTTGGCCTAATTTTTTTTTTTATTTTTAGTAGAGACAGGATCTTGCTATGTTGCCCAGGCTGGTCTCAAACTCCTGGGCTCAAGCAATCTTCCCTCCTCAGCCTCCCAAAGTGCTGGGATTATAGGCGCAAGCCACCTTACCCAGCCAAAATTAACATTTATAATAGTGGGTTTGATGATTGGTCTTAGTAGTATGTTTTGTTGAACTTCTCAAAAATGAGAAAGTAACGTTTTATATAACTGGACATGACTGAATGAAATCATTTTCTAAAAGCTTATAATAAGGACATGAAAGGGTAGTATGGTCAAAATGTAGATTTTTTTTCCTGCAAAAGAACCATCCACAGGCAAATTATCTAAGTCCCCTGAATATGAAATATGACACTATTAGAAGTGGTAAGGTGCAACTGCATGTATGACAAAGTAAGTTGCTGAATGTCTTCACAATCAAAAGCACTAACTTTTAAAGGCCTCAAGTACTAAAGCATAATTTTAGGGATAGAGGAAAGTGTTCTTGTTTTTGTAAATGAGTATGGGTCATGGCATGACTTTGGTTTTATTTTGGGTCCTCAAACTGAGAGCTTTCTTATGATAATCTGTATATAAATAGCAAAAAAAAACAATGGGAATGTTCATAGGATAAATAATATGAGTGCAAATTTTTGCCAGAAAGTTCTGGAAATGTAGGACTTGGTTCTTTTTATAAGTGCTTTTAACCTTTTCAGACTCATTAATTTCATAAACCAATTTAAGCAATTATTTCTATCAGCTACAGATATTTTCTTCACAAATATAAAGGGTTTTGCTCCCCTCCCCATCCTCCAGCCTCCACCAATTTGTGCCTGTAACTGCCACTTGATAGCTGCTCAGTAAGACTTTAAATATCAGGTTCTAGTGCCAACAAATCCAGAAGTCAGAAAAATTCTAAGTTACAATCGCCAGAATATCTTTCATGCATTCTATTTTACTTTATTGTTACAGTTTAAACAAATTCAGAAACGTGGGGTGTTTCTGGCTACTTGAGTAAAACGCACTGCAAACGCAAAGGGAACAACGCTGTAAACTTAAATGATTTCTGAACAGCTCAGGATCCTCCTGGAGGGGATCCTTTTCATCTCACATATTGATTCTGAACACTATGTTAGCACCTGCTCCCAGAAGGTCCCTTGACACTGGAGCAAGTCAGAATATCTTAATATCATAGCTTATTTAACAGCAGGAAAGCAACTTTAACATAGACTTGAGGTTTAGGTAGATCTGGTATTATCTAGAACCCAGGCTTAAATTTTGCAAAAAGTTTCCAAAGAGCATAAGAAAGTAAAACAGAGGTACCAGAACTGAAGACATCATTAACAAACAAAATATTTCCACTCCTAACCAAACTGCAACCCTTTCAGTATAGCCTGAGGTATTTTTAAACATTTGTACAAGCTAAAGATCATTCACAGTTTCCAAAGCTGCTTTTTACTGAGATAGCTTCAAATTTTCACAATATGTGACTTTCAGACGTTTTCATATACCAGAGTCTCTGCCCTCAGACTCATGGAAACATCAGAGATATTTAGTGGCAGAAAATGGTTCTTCTAGTGATAAGGGTTCTATTTCCCAATTATTGTGCTATTCCTAGGATGTGATTAAAAAAATATGAAATTTGCAATTTGTATAAAAGGAAAGGAAACTTGCTTAAAATTCAAAAAGCAAGTCCAGTCTGGTGGAGGTATGTAAGATATTAAATAATAGAGTCAGATTCTTTCTTGAACATTCCAGATGAACTTGACAGCAGAGAGTTCTGGTTTTCCAACATTTTCTCCATCTTTTCTTTTCCAGTGGTTTTACTGATCTCTCTTTGCTTCTTACTATGGATCCACGGGATAAAACAAAGCACAGCACCTCCAATAAGGGGAGGGACTCCAGCGAGGTAGAATGCCACATCATAGGAGCCCAGTTTGTCACGAAGTAACCCTGAGAAGGGAAAAAGCTGTCACCAAGGGAGAACAAGTGTGGCTCTGTAGGGGGTCTAGATCAGCCACAGGACTGATTCAGACATCTCAGACATCAGACTTTTTTTTTTTTTTAGGAAACAGATCTGAAATATAAACCCTTTTTGATAGGAAGAAAAAGATCTCATATCTTTAACGTTGTCATAAAGTACAGTCCTCTGGATTTTCATACCAAGACATTACTTGAAAAGATAGAAAGGTAGACGTTTTTTTTTTTTTGAGACAGGGTCTCACTGTGTCACCCAGGCTGGAGTGCGGTAGCATAATCATGGCTCATGCAGGCCTTGACTTCCCAAGCTCAATTGATCCTCCCAGCTCAGCCTCTTGAGTAGCTGGGACTACAGGTGCATGCTACCATGCCTGGCTAATTTTTATATTTTTTGTAGAGATGGGGTTTTGTCACATTACCCAGGCTGGTCTCAAGCTCCTAGGCTAAAGCAATCCTCCCACCTCAGCCTCCCAAAATGCTGAGATTACAGGCATGAGCCACCATGCCCAGCTTTCAAACTACTCTTTGGTGTATTTGTTTTTTATGAAATAACATGAAAACTATTTAACATCATAATTCAAAATTAAGAAAAATTTTAAATTTAATAATTTGGATGAAAGTTAGGTTGTTAAATACATTTTGGAAATAGACTAAGGTTTATAAGTACCTGGAAGAAAATGTAAGTATATAAGAATTATTAATGGCATTCTATATTCGGGTTCTGCTTCTGAAAACTTTTACGGTACTCAACATTTCTAATTTCTCTAACAAATTCCAGGACTCATGGTTTTAAAAGTTATCTTAGTGTTTTTAAACTCTTATAACTTATACTATAAAACCTAAGTTATCTAAAATGTCCAGGGAATATACTGTACTAAATATCTATCTGACATTGTTAAATAAATAGCTGACCATTTGTCCAATTAAGTACCAACACATAAAAATGTGTACATCCATTCTGCATATATAAAATAGACAATATCTGTAAATGCACAAGTTTTCTATCTTTGGAATCAGACCATTCCTGAACTCTTCCTCCTTATGAACACTCATGATTATGTTCTGCTGTAATACTATGATGCCCTCAGAGCCTCCTGGTGAGCCAGCAGCTTTCTGCTGCCAGTTGCTGTGTGGTGGTGTTCTGCCTGCTTTAGAAGTTTCCTGTTACCTCCCTTATTCTTGCTCTGTTAACTGTCACTTCTGGTAGCAAAACTATTTACTACTAGAGTGCTGCTTATATAAAATCTGCTGTGGACTTAGAAACTATAAAACTAAGCTTGTAGGCTATAGAAAGAAGAGTGAATACTATATTACCTGCGGGAGAGAAGAAGGAATGGAGGGTTCTCCTATAAGGAGACCATGACCTTTTGAACTTAAACTGGATTTGGTCTGCTCAGTAGTAACTCTGCTTGCTTGATTCATGACTAGGAATACAGTTCAGGGTATGAGAATGAATTGAGCTAAACCTTCACTGAGCACCTCATGTGCCAAACACAGATGACAGTACACACATTTAAATTTTATCATATTTATACTGAATCTTCTAATACTAATTGACACAGGCACCCAAGTAATACTGAACATAGGACATCTTTATAATATCATTCAGAGAATTTCTAGAGGTGGAATTCACATGAAATAGAATTAACCATTTGAAAGTGAACAATTCAGTGGCATTTAGCACATACACAATGTTTTGCACCCACTGCTTCTATTTAGTTCCAAAATATTTTCATCATGCCAAAAGGACACTTCATTCCAATTAAGTAGTTACTTCCCAATCCCTTTCTCTCCAGCCCCTGGCAGTCACCAGTTTTCTATCTGTATGAATTTACCTATTTTGGATATTTCACATGAAATAAATCATACGATATATGACCTTTTATTTTGAGACAGGGTCTCACTCTGTCACCCAGGCTGGAGTGCAGTGGTGCTATCACGGCTCTGCAGCCTTGATCTCCCAGGCGCAATAGATCCTCTCGCCTCCGCCTCTGGAGTAGGTGGGACTACACTAATATTAGTATGTGTCACCATGCCAGGCTAATTTTTTTTATTTTTAGTAGAGACAAGGTCTTGCTATGTTACCCAAGCTAGTCTGGAACTCCTGAGCTCAAATGATTCTCCTGCCTTGGCCTCTCAAAGTGCTGGGATTACAGGTGTGAGCCACCATGCCCAGCCACGTCACCTTTTATGTTTGGCTTCTTTCACTTAGCATAATGTTCTTGAGGTCCATTCACCTGGTAGCATCAGTTCTGTACCTTACTCCTTTTTATGGCTGAATAATATTGCACTGTAGATATTCCACATTTTGCTTACCCAGTTAGGTATTTACAGGCATTTGGGTTTTTTCTATCATGTTATTTTTCATCAACTACTCCTCAGGGGGATGTATGATCTCTTACCAAAAGCCGACATATTTAGAAATCTTTCAGAATCTTCAACTTTTTTTTTTTTTAAAGATAGGGTTTCGCCTAGGCTGGGGTACAGTGGTATGATCACAGCTCACTGCAGCCTTGACCTCTGGGCTCAAGCAATCCCCCCACCTCAGCCTCCTGTGCATCTGGGACTGCAGATGCATGCCACCACGCCTGGCTAATTTTTTTATTTTTTATTTTTTGTAGAGATAGTGTCTCACTATGTTGTCCAGGCTGGTCTCAAGCTCCTGAGCTCAGGTGATCTTCCCGCCTCAGCCTCCCAAAGTGTTTTATATAGTGTTTTAGCTGCCAGTAAGGATAAGAGGGACTCTTCAGCAAATTCAACATACTGTTTAATAGCTAGTCTTATTAAAAATGTTACCAGTAAGGCACACATAAAAGCAAAAGACCAGTAATCAATAACCTGTAATATGTTTTACATATAAATGAGACTTAATTAAGACCTGAAGTAGAAAATACTATGAATTAATATAACTACTGGAGAATCATTATATTTACCTGCAATGGGTGGGCCAACAGTCATGGGTATAGACATGAATCCGAGCAGAAATCCAATTGCTTGGGAGACATCCTGGGCACCAACTAACTCAAAGGCTATGGGAGCCATAATGGAAATGAAGCATCCATCGAAGAGACCCATGATGAGGCACACAGCAATGAGGGCCCCAAAGATGCTACACAGAGGAATCATCATGGACATCAGACCAATGAAGAAAAAGGAGAGTACCTAGGACGGACACCACAAGGTCAGCTCCGCTCGCAGGAAGCAAATGTCACAATTACCATGCAACATGCTTAGGACTTCTAAGTCATTACTGGTTCCCCCTTTCCCCCCTGCCACTGCCTCATTCACTTTGATTTTACATACATAATCAACTCCTATAATCATCTCCTTCGAGTTCCCCTAGACATTTTCTCAATATTTCCATTAAGGGACAAGATTAAAAAAACGTATTGTTTTTGAGCTGGAGTCTGTCTCTGTTGCCCAGGCTGGAGTGCAGTGGTGTGATCTCAGCTCATTACAACCTCCGCTTCCCAGGTTCAAGCAATTCTTCTGCCTAAGCCTCCTGAGTAGCTGGGACTACAGGCAAGCACCACAAAGTCCAGCTAATTTTTGTATTTTTAGTAGAGATGGGGCTTCCCCATGTTGGGCAGGCTGGTCTTGAACTCCTGACCTCAAGTGATCCACCTGCCCGGCCTCCCAAAGTGCTGGGATTACAGGCATGAGCCACAGCGCCTGGCCGAAAATGACTTTTTATATATTTAATTTCCCTCCCAGCCTGCAAATCCCTTGAAGTCAGAATCTGTACCAAAAAAAAAATTCATCTTTGGACTAGATATTATGAAGTTTAAGGATCCTGTATCTGGTCAGTGCTCAATCAGCTCAAATTCATTAAACACTTGATTTTTTTTTAACCTTTAAAACTATGTATACTTCACTGGCAGAGATTATAGATAAATTTAAGCACCCCAGAGTTAAGGCTTATTATATTATTTTGAGCCATTGAACACTTTCAGTTCAGTGTTAGAGTAGTTAATAGAATTGAACACCTGATTTTGCCTACTATTTGGTAGGCACTGTGCTATGTGCTAGAGGTTTCAACAATGAATAAGATTTCGTTCCTACCCTTGGGTTATGGAAAGATGGACATTTAAATAAATAAGTGCAAGTGAAGTGTTTATATGCTGCCGTAGTTATATATTCAAAGTATGATGGGTACAAAAAAGGAGGAAACAGTCAATTTAATAACTTTTTTAAGGCACAGAACCTGTTAAAACTGAACCATTCATGGCCGGGCACGGTGGCTCATGCCTGTAACCCCAGCACTTTGGGAGGCCGAGGTGGGCAGATCATGAGGTCGGGAGATCGAGACCATCCTGGCTAACAAGGTGAAACCCCGTCTTTACTAAAAATACAAAAAAATTAGCCGGGCGTGGTGGCCGGCGCCTGTAATCCCAGCTACTCGGGAGGCTAAGGCAGGAGAATGGCGTGAATCCGGGGGGTGGAGCTTGCAGTGAGCCGAGATCATGCCACTGCACTCCAGCCTGGGCGACAGAGCGAGACTCCGTCTCAAACAACAACAACAACAACAACAACAACAAAAACTGAACAATTCACTAGTCAGCAGAAAAAATTTTTAAAAGCATCAAGTTTTTTAAAAGTATGCATATAATAGCAACTATCATTTATTTAGTGTTTACCAAGTGCCAAGCATTGTTGTAAGCACTTTAGATTGATTATCTCACTGGTGATCCTCATAACAACTTTATGAGGTGGTACTAATGTTATCTCCATTTTGCTGATGAAGATAGTGACGCTGGGAGAGGTTAATGTGCCCAAAGCACAGAAGATGGAGCCGTCCTGGAACCATGGCCCACGGGGGCAGCAGCAGGCTGTGAACAGAACTGTGCCTGGAGGGTGCCCTCCAATAGCAGTCAGGCTAGGGAGGAAGGAGAGACCAGATAAAGCAGCTGTATGCATCACTGTCCTCATCTGTTCTGTTTTTCCTAGGCCCTACTAGCACACCTACGGACCTACGGAAGCTGGAGGTTGGTAGTACACCTCGGGGCAGCCACTCACAATCTGAGGGCCTCTGAAGGTGCAGAGTGTGAGTTCTGGGTGGAATTCAGGAGTGTTGGTTTTCACAACTTTAACACAAGTGGTCCACTGACACCAAAATAGGAAACATGCTCCTGAAAACTGTTTCATATTGGGTTAGTTCTTTTTGACACCATCATATCATACAGTTCGGTACATTTTTTCTTCAATCACTAAACTATGGTCTTATGGTAAAATTATGATTCGTTTAGGAATACGAGTTGGCCGGCTGGGCGCGGTGGCTCACGCCTGTAATCCCAGCAGTTTGGGAGGCTGAGGAGGGCGGATCACGAGGTCAGGAGATCAAGATCATCCTGGCTAACACGGTGAAACCCCGTCTCTACTAAAAATACAAAAAAAAAAAAAAAAAAGTTAGCCGGGCGTGGTGGTGGGCGCCTGTAGTCCCAGTTACTCGGAGGCTGAGGCAGGAGAATGGCGTCAACCCAGCAGGCGGAGCTTGCAGTGAGCCGAGATCGCCCCACTGCACTCCAGCCTGGGCGACAGTGTGAGACTCCCTCTCAAAAAAAAAAGAAAAGAAAAGAATACGAGTTGGGCATTTGAAAAATAAGCCTAGCACTTCACACTAGCATTTCAAAAGAACAAAATCTCCCCATTCTCCTGACTTTTGTTTGCCAGTTAAATATCCTTTTCTCCAATGCAACTTCCATGACAGCACAAGCATAATTTCTTAGTGGTGAGTAATTGTTGGGCCTACAGCCTGGCAGGTTGGAAAGAACTGGGGCTCAGAGGGACACTACCAGGTTCTAAGCTCTCTATGACCTTGAGCAAGTAAAAAGACTTCCTGATACTTCCCATTTATTGAGACAAAAAGAGATTTAAAGATAAATCAAAATGTAGAAAAGGGTTTGAAATTAACAAGCAGGTAAAGATTTAAGTAGTAATTTTTATTGAAAATCTAAGTAGATAAACCCCAATTTTTTATTTTTGAAACAGGTCTCACTTTGTTGCCCAGGCTGGAATGCAGTGGTGCGATCATAGCTCACTGCAGCCTCAACCTCCTGGGCTCAAAGTGATCCTCCCACTTTAGTCTCCCAAGTAGCTGGGACATGCCACTATGCCCGGCTAATTTTTTATTTTTTGTAGAGATGGGGTCTTACTATGTTGCCCAGGCCATTCTTGAACTCCCGGGCTCAAACAAACTACTTGCTTTGGCCTCCCAAAGTGCTGGGATTATAGGCGTGAGCCACTGCGTCCAACTCTAATATTCTTAACAATAGAAACATTTTTATTCTATGTACAAACATAAAAGGAGATAAACATGGAAAGTTACTTAAATCTTAGAAACATATCTATAATCACAAACTCCAGAGAATCTAGAATAAAACTTTAGGATGGTACGGGGCCAGATTCAATGGATTTAATTGTTAAAACTATAGACCAAACATTCCCAACCATGCCACTGTAATTATACAAGGTTTTCAGGAATATATATTTTTTTCTTTTAATGTGCTTCATATTTTTTTTCTATTTTGGTCAGTACATATTTCCTTTTTTTTTTTTTTTTTTAACACCAGTACCACTTGCCAACAAATTTCTTTAAAGATAAGAAAACCAGCTCTGTGGAATTTTATACTTAGTTAGTGTTGGAAGCCTAGTACAGTACTTGGCTTTGTTAACTTTTCAACTTTGTTAAGTGCTAATGTTGTTTTAGAACAATTTACATAACATGAGTCTTGGAACTTGGCCTCTTCACGTTTTTGTTCTTTGGTCAGTTTTGTAAAAATTATTCAAGTAAAAGTTTCCAACTTATTGCTATATATTTTGAGCATAATATTTCTTTTTTTTATTTTTTTTATTTTTTTGAGATGGAGTCTTGCTCTGTCACCCAGGCTGGAGTGCAGTGGCGCGATCTCGACTCACTGCAAGATCTGCCTCCCAGGTTCACAACATTTTCCTGCCTCAGCCTCCCGAGTAGCTGGGACTATAGGCGCCCACTACCACGCCTGGCTACTTTTTTGTATTTTTAGTAGAGATGGGGCTTCACTGTGTTAGCCAGGATGGTCTTGATCTCTTGACCTCGTGATCTGCCTGCCTCGGCCTCCCAAAGTGCTGGGATTACAGGCATGAGCCACCGCGCCCAGACTGAGCATATTATTTCTTAATACTTTCCCTGACTGCAAGTTGTCCTTTTCTCCATTCAAGCTATATTAAGTTATATTCTTATTAAAATTAGGCAATGATTTATGTAGTTATTTAAATGTAAAATTTTTTCATTTTCCTTTAAGACTTGTGTTTATAGAAATTTACACATCTATTCTTTAAGTACTTCTCAGAAAAATACTTTGCTTCTTCCACCTTATTTGTAGCTACTGTAGTGATGCTCTTTCCCAGCAGATGTTAATACCCAGAATCTGGCTAAATGTGGAGGTAAGTAGGTGAGGCTCGTGAGAACGTACCTATTCCTTATATGCAGGGATGCCTGGGCCACAAGGAGCACATGCCGACGCTCGGCAAACTATACATATAGCAGGTTCAATGCTTCATCACTCCCCAGAATAAAGATTGATCCAGGCATCAAATACTGATCTGGTGATGCTGGGACTCAGTGTGAAAGATGAATAAACTTAGTATTACATACAATCTTTTAAAACTTGCTCTCAAACACAGCAGCTCTGGTTAGATTCGAGTAAGGAATTCACAGGCTCCTTATTTTCTCCTAGGCTCTGGCACTGACACTTAATAAGCCAGTGACAGTTTAGATGTCTATATTGCTTTTGTTTTCTTTAAGGAAATATATCATAAATATATAATACTTGTTATAATAGTACAGGCTATAGAAGTATTAACCTTCTATGAGTTAGTGTATGCACATGAGAACAAAAGATTCCTTTTGCTCTTACTTTTCCCATTTCTATCTCAAGGAGAGCATTGCTGGAGAAATGTCAGTTTAGGTTTTGCTCAAGAATCTTAAGTGTAGCTCAAGAGGAAACAATGAGCTGCACCTGAATAAAAGAAGGCATCTTGGAGATAGACATGTAATTGACGTTCCTAAAGTTTAGCCCATATAAAGTCTCCAGACTTTCAGAACCTCTGGCTAGGCACCCAGGACAGAAAACAGTTGGCAACAGAGTTCTGCTGGCCCATCACAAACTAAAGGAAAATGTCAGGCCACACAGCAGGTGGCTGGATTCTTCTGAAGCACACAGAGGCCAGTGTCACTTCGAAGTGCTTCACAGGGAGTCTGTCAACCTTCTCCATGGCACATGGTTACTCTCACTTCTGCCTGATGGAGAAACATGCATTTGATACGTTCACACCCAGTGCCACAGTCTAGATGAGACTGAGTACGGAGCCTCTGATCATTTACTTAGGCTGGGAAGTTGTTAAGTATTTGGATTTACTACTTTGGAAATAGCTTACATTTGATAAAGTATATACCCTCATCCCAAGATATCTTTAGGCAAATGTAAAATGCTAAAATGGAAAATGGAGCAACACTGATCCAATTCATTCTACCTGAACCGGAAGAGGAAGCTTAGGCAGACTGATGGATAGGAAAGTCATTAATATTTCTACATTACAAAAGTAACTCATGAATATATTTTTTAAAATTCAAACCTTAGAGAAATGTACACAGTAATATATGAAAGTCTTCCTACAACCTCTTCTCACTCTCAACCCATGCCCATTCACCTCCTCAGGAATCAACACTTAACAGTTCGGTTTGCATCCTTCCAGAGCGTTCCTGTGCACATGTGTGTGTTGTCTGGGTTGTCTGCTTTATGTGCATGGACATGATGTCCATGCTTCAATATGTCCATGTCACAGAGAAATATGACACAATGGAAAAGTGATCTAAATTCCAAGTTTTCAATTCTTTCATACACAGTTTTAACTTTCAAACCTTTGAAATATTCTCACCCTTCCAAAACACTTATATATTACATTAAAAACACAAATCTGTAGTAATTTAATGGTGACTAGAAACACAGGCCTATAAGATTAAGAAAATAGTAAAAAGATACCACGACACACGTAGCTTCTCCTGTCCCAATAAAGTATATATTCTGGGAACTTTTGCAAAGCTTTTCTTTAACCATTATTATTCTACGTAATGCACTTCAGTCATCTCTTCTGGCAGGAGCAGTAGACTTGACTCAGCATTTTTTTTTATTTTTTTATTTTTTTGAGACAAAGTCTTACTCTGCCACCCAGACTGGTATGCAGTGGCATGATCACAGCTCACTGCAGCCTCAACCTCCCCAGCTCAAGCAATCTTCCCATCTCAATCTCCCAAGTAGCTGGGACTACAGGTGTAGGCCACCATGTCCAGCTAACTTTTTAATTTTTTGTAGAGATGAGGTCTCACTATGTTGCCCAGGCTGGTCTTGCATTCCTGGGGTCAAGGGATCCTTCTGCCTTGGCCTCCCAAAGCGCTGGGATTATAGGCATAAGCTACTGCAACCAACCACTCAATATTTAGAATTATTAGGTTGAAAACACCTGGGACCCAGGACCTTGATGGAAGTTTAAATTCAGAACTCTTAAGCAAAAATGTGAGATAAATTCATAAATTCTTTGTTACCTATAAGCAAAGACTCTAATTCAGGATTAGACCCTAGTCTCCTTTCTTGAGACCTATTCCAAATCAGGATCTGCTTTCAGTATTTAATAAGATATTAAAACATAACAGATGCAAGGATTTATTAATCATCCAGTCTGGGCTAGGCACTTTACATAACCTGCCACCAAGAATCCTCACCACAGCCCTCTGCTGATTCTCAAGTTGGTGGTAGAACTGGGGTGAACTGGCTTCTCACTCCAGAGCCTGTGCTCTTGGGCTCGGCAGCCTCCTAGACTAGGGATTACCATGATCTGAAACTAGACCATGCGGGAGGGCTATGAAGTGTGTCTGTGTCACCAGTGTTCTAGGCCTGGCTGCTACTCAGAACTGGCTTCCAGGGGACAAAGAGGGAAGAGTTGTCACAGCCCCAAGAAGTTGAAAGATGAAAGCAGGGAGCAGGTATGTCTGAGAAAACACACCACCAATGAATGGAAAGAAGGTAAGCCCAGGAGCATTCCAAGCCTTAAAGGATGGGCCAAAAGGCAGAGAGCCAGGGATGGAGAAAAAGGAAGGAACAAACAGGCAGAGCTGGAGTCAACTGCAGCAGAGAAGAGCCAAGAATCAAAAACCACACTGTGTGTTTGGGATGTTGGGGCAAGGAAGCCATGAAAAAGGAGAGAGAGGAGGTAGTGAATAAGGGAACGAGTCCAGCATCCTGCATGGGTTAGGCCTGTGTTGCGTCCTGTGCCGCTGTGTTCACAAGGTGGAGTCCGTGAGTGGCTCCTCGCAACCACAGGACACACTGAAGGGCTTTCTTTCTCCTTCTCAGGCTTGTTTGAAATGCAGCTGTCACACCTGTGACTCAGCATGTGCTACTGGGTGCCACAAACGATGCTCTACATTTGGATGCAAAAATTAGATAAGGCCTAACAGAAGCCAGATTGTGGCTAAACTTTCATCTAAAGTGAAATATTTGACCCCCAATACTAACTTTTAACTTACTGCTGTGTAACTGCAGACCAACATGGGACAAGTTAGGAAAGGCTATATTTTCTTTTGTAAATTACTGGAAACAGTCAGGTATTAAAATGTGCTCCAAAAATGTTGCAGATAATCTGTCTGCCCTATCTAGGGTAGGAGGACGTTCAAACATTGTTTTGGAATAAAATGCTGATATATAAAATATATCATGACTTTATCTATTACAGCACCATAGTCCATCATCTCTCACCTGGACCCTGAATTGATCTCCTAACAGGTCTTCCTCCCCTCTTGCACTCTTGTTTCCCTCCCTGTAATCCATCCTCCAAACACAGAACAACCACAGTGACTTTAAAAACAAAATCAGACCTACGTCCTCCAACAAAGGTCCACTACTTTTTTTTTTTTTTTTTGAGACGGAGTCTCACTCTGTCACCCAGGCTGGAGTGCAGTAGTGCGATCTCGGCTCACTGCAACCTCTGCCTCCCAGATTCAAGCGACTCTCCTGCCTCAGCCTCCCCAGTAGCTGGGACTACAGACGCGTGCCACCAAGCCTGGCTAATTTTTTGTAATTATAGTAGAGATGGGGTTTCACTGTGTTTCGATCTCCTGACCTCGTGATCCGCCAGCCTTGGCCTCTCAAAGTGCTGGGGTTACAGGCGTGAACCACTGCGCCCGGCCAAAATCCACTACTCTTAAAGCAAAGTCTCTTCATCCTGGCTTTCAAGGCTCTGTCTAATCTGACCCACTCTAACTTTCCAGTCCCTTCCCATGCCACTTTCCCCATCTTCTTGGGTTTCCACACACATTCGGCTTCTTCCTGCCTCAGGCTTGCTTTAGGAACTCAGGGACCATGTCTGTCTTGTTTGCATCACCCTAACAGCATCTGAGCTGGTGCTTGGGGCACAGGAGGCACTCAATTTTTGAATGTATGAAAGCTGAAAGTCTGTAGTGCAATAAATGTCCATTAGAGGGCTCCCTTGACACTAGAGAACAAAACTAAATGTTAGATGAGGATGTCCACAGTGAAGTACTGACAAAGTGATCATGATACAATAAATACATTTTTAAAAGCAGCACATTACCAACTCTCTTCACTTCCTTCTAGCTGTGTGACCAGACTGTCCTGTGACTGCCTGGACCTCTATACACACAGACACCCACAGTGAGGTAGCCTCTCAGTTCCTCAGTGTTCACATCTCTAAGTGGAAATAACAATGGTACCTCCTCTCTTAAAGGGCTGGGGCAAGGATCAATGAGATAATGCATGTAGAGCCCTTAGTTCATTGTCTGGCACATGAAAGTCCTCAATAAATGGTTGACTGTTATTACTTCAAGTCAATTAATGGAAGTTAACTTTATCTGTAATGCCTTTTCCAATCATTTTCCTGTGTCCAAATTTCACCTCTTTTTCAAGGCCCTGCTCAAATACTGCCTCTCATGTATAATATAATTAGACAGGCTTAATCCTCAAAACCTAAGACCCCCCCTTGTGGCTTGCCTTTACCTTCCTTCCACAGCCAAGCATTTGGACAAAGTTGTCTATATTTCCATTTGTTCAAATGATCATGATCAATTTTCTGCACCTGTAGAAACCATTCTCTGTAAGCTCACTCATAGCCTCCCTATTCTAAATTCAATGAAAACCTTTCAGCCTCTTTGTCACTAGCTACTGACACTGCTGACCACTCCTGCCCCTAGAAACACTCTCATCCCTGTTTTCCCCCTGCCTATCTGGCCACTCCCTTTCCATCTCCTTAGTCCTCCACTTACTTCATGCAGCCCATGAATGCCAAACCCACAGGCTTCCTAACCCACAGGCCTCTTAACCCACAGGCCTCTTATCCAGACTCTTCCATGAGCTCTAAACACTACTTGGCTTTCCTACAGGCATCACAAACAACATGGCAAAAACAAACTCATCACTGGGGCAAGGGCAGGTAGGTTGGGTGAAAATTTTTTTTTAATTTAAAAAACCCCAATTCATCATCATACTTAGATCTACTGCATATTGATCTTGATAAGATGGCAAAATCATCTACTCCATTACCTGAGCCACAAATCTCAGATCCAGCCTAAGTGGCTTCATCAAATTCTCATTCTCTATGTCCCTAGCTTATTCCATTTGATCTCAGTATCTCTGCCTTGGTTCTTCCTGCCTAGATGCCTAGACTACTTTAATATAGTTTCCAACTAGTCCCTGGACCTCTACTCTTTTTCTCTAAATTTTAGAGACATGGTGTCACTCTGTCACCTAGGCTGGAGTACAGTGGCATGACCATACTCCCCTGTAATCTCAAAGTCCTAGGCTCAAAGTCCTCCCACCTCAGCCTCCTGCATAGCTAAGACTATAGGCATGTGCCACCGTGCCTGGCTAACTTAAAACAATTTTTTTTTTTTGGTAGAGATGAGGTCTCACTATGGTTCCAGGATTGTCTCGAACTGGCCTCAAGTGATCCTCCTGCTTCAGCCTCCTAAAGTGTTGATATTATGGGCATGAGCTGCCATGCCTGGCCTTTTTAAAAATAGCTTTATTGAGATATAATTCATATTCTATGAAATTCACCCACTTAAAGTGCACAATTCAGTGAGTTTCATCACTATCTAATTTTATAACATTTTCATTACCCCACAAAGAAACACAGTAGCAGTTACTCCCCATTCCCTCCTTTCCCTAGCCCCTACAACCACAAATCTACCTTCTTTCTCTATGGAAAGAGACAGAGATTCCTATTCTGGACACTTCATATAAATGGAATCATTCAGTATGTGGCCTTTTGTGACTATCTCAACTCTTGTCCCCTCCTCCACTCCATTCCACTCTTCACAGTTACCAGATTGATTTTTTTTTTTTCTCTGAGATGGAGTCTTGCTCTGTCACCCAGGCTGGAGTGCAGTGGCACAATCTCAGCTCACTGTAACCTCTGCCTCTCAGGTTCAAGTGATTCTCCTGCTTCAGCCTGCTGAGTAGCTGGGATTACAGGAATGTGCCACCATGCCTGGATAATTTTTGTATTTTTAGTAGAGACGGGGTTTCACCATGTCTAATCTCAAACTCTTGGCCTCAGGTGATCTACCTGCCTCAGCCTCCCAAAGTGCTGGGATTACAGGCATGAGCCACCACGCACAGCCGAAATTGATCTTTATAAAACACAACTCAGGCTGGGCATGGCTCACACCTGTAATCCCAGCACTTTGGGAGGCTGAAATGGGTGGATCGTTGGAGTCCAGGAGTTCGAGACCAGCCTGGGCAACACAGCGAAACCCTGTTACTACAGAAAAAAAACAAAAAAACAAAAATTAGCCAGGCATGGTGGCACGCACCTGTAGTCCCATCTACTCAGGAGTTTGAGGTGGGAGGATTGCTTGAGCCCGGGATGTTGAGGCTGCAGTGAGCTGTGATGGCACCACTGTACTCCAGCCTGGGAAACGGAGTGACACCTTGCCTCAAAAAACCAAAAAACACCAACCCCCGCCACCCCAATTTATGTCACTCTCTGGCTTAAAATCCTTTAATAGCTCCTAGTAGATTGCAGGATAGAGCTCATGTACATAACCGCCCTTCCCAAGCTGCTTCCTGTCCATCCCCCCAACCAATCCATCCACTATTCTCCCTTTATTCCATTCAAACATTTGTTTCCCAGATATAACATCCCATGTCACACCTCCACAGTGTGGGAGGTGTTTCCCATGTGTTTGTCTCTGCTCGGAGCATGCTTCTCTGTCTCCCTTATCTACACACTTGGTCCTCACCTCTTAACTCTGCTCAGCCCTTCACTAGTGACTCAGATGCATGGTGCCTGTGTTGCTATGGCACTCATCTAGCAAACCCGTTATTCCACTGTGCTGCAACACTGCTTTATCTTCTCCCATGAGACCATTAGCTACTAGGTGAGGGCACAGACCATGTTTCACTTAAGTCTTCAGCATTTAGCAGAGTGTGTGGCATGAAGGAGTCACTTCAATACCTGTTCTGTTGATTGTCAGCAATGATCTTGGAATTAGCATTTGTTTATGCTCACCCCAAAACACGAGGAGGCAATTTGCAGTAAAGAAGCTGAAAAGTCACACACACAACCAAATTTCATAAGACATGCAAAGGGCACAGGATCTGCACATGACTATGAGAACTACACCAAAAAACATTCTTCATAGAAAAAGCAATGGATGAAAACCATTCTGGTTTGGTGGAGTTCCACGACAAAACAAAGAAATTGTTGTTTCATTGCCAATTTCTCATGTTTAAAACCCAAACTAATAACTAATTTTGTCCTTGAAAAACTGCCTATAGAAGTTATGTTGTAGAAAATATTTCTCATTTTTATAGAAGAATTTAAGCCACTTTGGGAGGCCGAGGCGGGCAGATCACCTGAGGTCAGGAGTTCAAGACCAGCCTGACCAACATGGAGAAACCCCATCTCTACTAAAAAAATACAAAAATTAGCCTGGTGTGGTGGCACACGCCTGTAATCCCAGCTACCTGGGAGGCTAAGGCAGGAGAATCCCTTGAACCCGGGAGGTGGAGGTTGCAGAGAGCTGAGATCGTGCCATTGCACTCCAGCCTGGGCAATAAGAGCGAAACTCCATCTCAAAAAGAAAAAGGAAAGAAAAAAAAAGAATTTAAGCATGTAAGTACATTTAATGAGACATCGGGTGATGAGAGTAATTTTTGATAGGGGAAAAAAGGTGTAAAAAAGTACCTGTAGATAAACCTTCTTCACACCAGGCACATAATCTGCAATCCGGCCAAAGAGCAGTCGTCCAACTCCTGAAGTGACGCCAATGCACATGAGAACAACCTCTTTATTTTTTTCATCTTGAAATCTTTCATTTACATGTTTCATCTATAGGCCAAAGAGAAAGAAACCACACTGAATATGGTAGAAAAACTTGACAAATTTGAGGCTTTGCATCAAATGCATTTGCTTCTCTGCAATGTTATGGGCTTGCAACTTTTTCCAAATTTCAATATTTATGAAACTTGTCCTGTGATAATTTTCATGAAAACATTTGAAAAAAATTAACATGTTTTAGTTTTCATTTTTAAAAGCATTTTTAAGGCCGGGCATGGTGGCTCACGCCTGTAATCCCAGCATTTTGGGAGGTCGAGGTGGGTGGATCACCTGAGGCCAGGAGTTCGAGACCAGCCTGGCCAACGTGGTGAAACCTCATCTCTACTAAAAATATAAAAATTAGCCAGGCGTGGTGACGCATGCCTGTAATCCCAGCTACTCGGGAGGCTGAGGCAGGAGAATAGCTTGAACCCGGGAGGCAGAGGTTGCAGTGAGCTGATTGCACAACTGCACTCCAGCCTGGGCGACAGAGCAAGACTCCGTCTCCAAAAAAAAAAAAAAGCATGTTTATAAGAGTTTTTATTTTTCAACAAAGGGTTAGAAGCATGCAATTATAAGCTACACTGATCCATTAGCTAAAGGAAGAGAACAGACATTTGAACATACCTGTTCTCTCAAGGTCACCCAAGGACCCGTTACATTATCTGCTCCCTAAGAGACAGTTCAAGGGTCAATTCTGGAGTTTTATTTCTTCCAGGAGGACCTGGACCAAATTGACACCCCTGAAACGAGTTATAACAGAGCATCCAGAATAAAGCATAAGGTCCTCTACCTGTAAAGTTGCCTATCTGTGTAGCATTAGAACAGATTAAAATGCAGGGGCAGTTTAACATAGCAGTTAAAAGATAAACCTCTGGAGAGGCAGACTGCTTGCGTTCAAGTCCTGGTTCTGTTCTTATCAGCCTTGTGGCTTTGGATAACTTCTTAACCTCTAGGGTTTCAGTTTCTTTGTCTGTAAAATGGAAATTGGAAAAGTACCTACTTCAGAAATTGGTTGCGAGGATTAAATAAAATGTCTGTGTAAAGAGCTTAGAACAGTGTTTGGCACACAGTTAATAACAATCAGGTATTAATTTTAGCTTTCTTTTTTTTAAAGGACCTTTCTCCTCCACTTAGTGTACTTATAACAGAGACTACAGTGACCTGTGGGCCATAGATAGCCAGTGAGCATATTTTGTTTGACCTTTCCATAATGCCTGACAATCACCGTCCCCCACACCACACATTGGTCTGAGTTCTGGAAGTCTGCAAGCAAATTTCCCACCAAATACAACCACCCATATAGTGCCCATGTGGCAGTGCATAGACTTTCTGGGTGATATCTCTTTAAAACACTTCTCATTTTGCATTTTAAAAGCCCATTTATGTATCCCAACACCATCTCCTTTTTCTCTTCTCTTTCAAAACTATTAACTGTTTTCCCTAACTTCTGTGTTTTCATACTGGTCCAGAATAATCCTCCTAAATATGGCTTTAATCTCATCAATTCCTTATTCAAAGGTGGCCCACTGCCTACATTTACACTCCTTAGATTGGTATTCAAAGCTCTCCGTAATCTGTTGCTAATCTATCTTTGTACCTTTATTACCTACTGATCTTTGACTCAGAAGTAGAAAATTCATCTGACTTATAAGCCTGGATTAAAAAAAAAAAGTACAAAATTTAAATGTCTAAGGGCTCAGCGAAATAACATAAGTAAAACAGGTTCATTGGAGAGAAAGGACATATACTTCAGTCGATTATTATCATATAGGTCTACCAATGTTGCCAAATCTACCTCTAGGAGCCCTTTAGTTTAAAAGAAAAGTCAGAAATCCGGATTTTGTGTGGAAATGTTGGCACCTAATTTAAATTTAGGACACTGTGTGATCCAGCTCTACAAAAGTCTAACAAAACACGTCTGCAAACTGCATTAGGCCTGCTTTGATCTCAGCCCTAATCCCATCTGGCCCAGTAGGACAGGTTTATTCACAATGTCACTTAAACATGCCAACATGTTCTTATCCATCTACATTTCTGCTGCCTCTTCTACCCTCTTCAACTTCCTAACTTCTTGTTATTGCCAAAAGTTTTCATTTGGCACCTGAGGTATTCCGTGTTCCTACCCAGCCCTGTTAATGTCTCTACACATTCTCTTAAGTAGACACTTCATGTAAAATTAGACATATCCACTCCTGTTTCAAAGGCACCTCAAAGTCAACAGGCCCTGTGCTGAACTCAACTCACCCTCACAAATTGCCTGCCCCCCAATTCAGTTAATACACTACTGTTAGCCCAACTACCCATGGCAGAAACTGACAGCTACCCTAGATTATTCCCTTTCCCTCTTCAAATCCAAGAGTCACCACTGAATCCTGATGATTTACTTTCTAAATCTCTCAGACTTGTTTCCTTTGGCCCACATTCCTCATGGTATTTTAGTTCCATTCCTTTCACTCCTCACCGGGACCACTACAGCAGTCTTCTAACATGCTTCTTGCTTGAGCCCTCACTCCTAAATCTCTCCCCTCTAACCTATGTTCCCTGAGAACACCAGGTTAGGTTCAAAATGAACCTGTCTCCAACAAACAAAAATAAGAGGCATTCTTTAGTATTCATAAAAGACTGAATCTACCAGGCATCTTTTTTTTTATGAAACTAAGAACACCTGTCTGTCAAATGGCTATTATTCTTTATTAGTGGTTTATTATTTCCCCCCTGCTCTACTTTGTAATCCTTAAAAAGAATAATAAGGTGAAATGTTTGAGGTATTTTGAAAGAAGATAAATTGGGTAAATCCAAATTATGCTTAGGTAGGAACTTAGTTTTTCAACTAGAAGGGGCATTATTTTATTTATTTATTTATTTATTTATTTATTTATTTGAGATGGGGTTTCGCTGTCGCCCAGGCTGGAGTGCAGTGGTGTGATCTCAGCTCACTGCAACCTCCACCTACCTGGTTCAAGCGATTCTCCTCCCTCAGCCTCCAGAGTGGCTGGGATTACAGGTGTGCACCACCACGCCCAGCTAATTTTTGTATTTTTAGTAGAGATGAAGTTTCACCAAGTTGGCCAGACTGGTCTCAAAACTCCTGACCTCAAGTGATCTGCCTGCTTCGGCTTCCTAAAGTGCATGAGCCACCACGCCTGGCCTAGAAGGGGCATTATTTAACCGAATTTTGTTACTGCCATGATTATTTAAATAAAGCAAGAACTTCAGCTTCTAATACTCCTCCCTATTCCCACCAAAATCTGCAAACTAAAAAAGTTTCTTTGGTCAGTATGTGAGGGAATCTGGTGATGCTGGATCTCTGGATCCTTTCTCACTGAGACAGTAGTACCCAGGAGGTCTGGTATGTTCTACTTGTGGCCTAGGCTGTCCATGACTGCTGCTGTTTTATAAATTTCTGCCCATCTGTCATCCTCTGGAGACTGGCATGCACTTTAGTTCAGCAGAAAGTGAATATAGGACAAAATGGATATTTCTAATAAAGAGTTGTAGAGATATGAAAATGTTGAAGAGATGTTTTCATACTTAATCTATTTTTTAAACCAATTTAAAGCTTATACTAGAGGTCACTGTCTACACAGGGGATAATATTATGCTGTAGAGCAGTTGTTTAAAGTTAACTTTAAAGATAAGTTAGACTTTATCTAAATGTATTAAGTGTCAGGAATTCATCTTTTTTTTTTTTTTTTTTTTTTTTTTTTTTTTTTTTTGATGGAGTCTCACTCTGTCACCCAGGCTGGAGTGCAGTGGCATGATCTCAGCTCACTGCAACCTCCGCCTCCCGGATTCAAGCAATTCCCCTGCCTCAGCCTCCTGAGTAGCTGGGATTACAGGTGCCCGCCACCACGCCCGGCTTATTTTTGTATCTTTAGTAGAGACGGGGTTTCACCATGTTGGTCAGGCTGGTCTCGAACTCCTGACCTCATGATCCACTTGCCTCAGCCTCCCAAGGTGCTGGGATTACAGGTGTGAGCCACCGCGCTCGGCCAGGAATTCATCTTTTATTTATGTTCTTAAACATCTGTTTAATCCTGGGTTGCACACTTCCAGGGGATTAAAAAAACCTTGCTAATTGACATCTTCAACACTGACTGTGCCTGAAACATTTTTTCTTCTTGAGACAGAGTTTCACTCTGTTGCCCAGGCTTGAGTGCACTGGCGCAATCACAGCTCACTGCAGCCTCGACCTCCTGGGCTTAAACAATCCTCCTACCTCAGCCTCCCGAGTACCTGGGACCACAGGTACATGCCACCACATCCAGCTAATTTTTAAATCATTTTTGTAGTGACATGGTCCTGTTATGTTGCCCAGGCTGGTCTCAAACTGCTGGGCTTAAGCAATCCTCCACCCTTGACCTCCCAAAGTGCTGGAATTACAGGCATGAGCCACCACACCCGGCCGTGGGTAACTGTTTCTGACCAGCCAACTGAAGGCCGGTTACTTTCCCCTCACTAGAGCCCACAGACAGATCCTGTTTGAGAGGTCTCAGGCAGTAGCCTAAGAAAGTGATCATCTCACTGGAATGGCCTCAGCCTTGGCCTCTCTCCTCTCCACCTCTCTTACAGGGGAGCCACAGTGTAAGACATTTGGAGACATCACATGGTGTTCTGATGAAGAAGCTAAGGCAGAGTCCTCTAGCTCTCATATATCAACCACAGAGGAAGTTAAATGGGTGGCCACAGTACAAAAGCAGCTCCAATAAAGCCAACGAACATGCATTAGAAACTCAAGCTTCTCATCACCAAATGGTTTCACGATAGAAGAATGCTCAACAGAAGGGAACCCCAAATCACTTTATTTACAGAAACCTGTGAAGTGCAGTGGTGGTACACACCTGCAAAGCAAGGATGCCATTAATCAAAAAGGTCCAATAATTACCTACTGTACTGTTTCCTAAGACTGTGTAATTTGGCCATGCCTTGATGGTCATTATCTTCCTCCTTTTAAGGGGGTGAGTACTTTTTGTTTAATATCTTTTATGTAAGGTGTATGGAATTTATTAAATAAATATGATAAAATACTGGTGCACACAAGTTAGACTATATATCTTTGGGGAGTCATAGTTTAAAAAGAAGGGGGATTACTGGAGACTCTTCAAACAAAAGTAACTTTATTTCTGACAGAGGACTTGGAGTAACAGCTGACTGACAACTACAAAGTGCTAACAAAGGCCGTATACAGAGGCCAGGAAAGCAGGGCAAAAACAGGCCCAGGGAGGAGTAGAGACTGTGGGACTAAAATAACTACAACTGTCTTCTAGGCAGAACTGAGCAAAACAACCCCTCTACCCCCACCCAGTAGTTATCATCCACTGCTGCTGCAGTTAACTATGCTCTTTGGGAGATAAGATTTCAGTCACCCAGTCATCATCTGTATTCGTTTATAATGATTTTGATTCTCTCATCTCTGTCCTTCCTCATCAGATACACATCATCGAACTGGAAAGGGGTGGACAATGGCTAGGCATGTACACTCATTTTATGTCTAGGAGAATAAACTCTTCAGGGGAGGGAGGGGACCTGTATGTTTTACATTTACATGGTACATCAAAAAATGGGATAATAAATGCTACATAATATTTACAGCAATTATGGAATTCAAACTGATTCTTTCAACTTCCTGCTTTCCAATACGGACACTAAGTTCAAAGCACTTTTACTCACTGCTATTCATACCAGAGACTGGCAGCTTCAGCTTGTTGCTTCTCATTTACTGCATTTTGGAGTAATTCTAAGAAAATATCCATCCAACATTTGAAAAGCTATTCCATAACTCTAGAAGACCATTCTGCCTAAACATACTTTTTTGAAAGGTAAACTCAAAAAGCCTGGGCCCTTTAAAAAAATAGACGTACATCTGAAAGGGAGTAGAAAGCCTGCAAGCGTGGGTTAATGGATAATCTGAGTTTGTTGCAAATCAAAACTTAACACTACCCTTTGACTTAAAAGTAGGATGAACAGAAATCTTCTGAATGAAATGAGACAGTTTATTTTGTTTTTTTCTTTCTTTTTTAAACGATTTGTGTTTCCTCTAGCTGTGTTTTTGCTAGAGGAAGTAAATTAAAACAAGTGGGGCACTCCCTTAGGAAGTTTTGCATGAGCACTGCACACCAGCAAGCCGAGTGAGGTGATTAAAGGTGGAAGAAAACAAACTCCATAGACTTGAGTACATAAAATTAATCCCTTTACACCAGAAAACACTGAAATAAAACTTTATGGCCACTGATAGATATTTATCGATTAGACCAGCCCCAAAATGTAATCTTAGCTTCTTTAATCTGATCAACTGTGCCTTTAGACTAAAGTATCTCTAAGATGTGCTTAGAGAAAAATTTCTTTGCTTGCCAACATTTTTAAGGACTGACATCTTTTGGTAGCCCAACGATATTTCTGTTGTGGCTAAACTGTGGTACAGGTACCTGCCCCCTCCTCAGCAGCTGACCAGGTGGAGAGCAGACCTTTGGCCTAACAGGACTGTAGGAGGCATGGGTGATTGGTTGTTTGTTTTTTTAAACAGCAGATCTTTCCATTTCATTAAGATGGGTTTCCATGGTGTAGATAATCATGCATGGCACTGTTAAGACATGAAAAAGGACTGGGAAAAAAGAAGTTTCTGGAATGCAGATTATTTCATAGCTACCAAAGGGCAGAAAAAAGAAGAGTTCAGAAGGAAGAGATGGCTAATGGTTTAAAGAACCTAATTTTGAAAACATTTCTAACTCTAAAAATTCTTTAAAAGCCTTTATTTCTACTTGTTTTTTTTTTTTAAATTTCCCTGGATTACAAACAAAACAAATAAACAGTCCATCTATGACATAGCATCATTTAGATAAGATCAAGATTTAGTAAAATGTCCTAGAGGAATTACCAACCAAAACCAGCTTGGATTTAGATGCCAGTTTAAATAACCCTGCATTTTAGAAGTTTAAAGTAGACTTCATCTTAAAATAGAAAATAAATCACTAGGATTTTTAGGTAATTTGAAATTATTTAGTGGCTCTAAATAATTTCTGTGCCAGATATTTCACAAGTTATCAAAAATTGTTCTGTTCCTTCCTGAACAATGAAAGGTTTAATCTGTTAGTTTATTTAAATTTTTATTAATTCCACCTACATTCGATTTTTTTTTTTTTTTGAGATGGCATTTTGGTCTTGTCACCCAGGCTGGAATGCAATGGTGTGATCTCGGCTCACTGCCACCTCCACCTCCCGGATTCAAGCAATTCTCCTGCGTCAGCCTC
Organism: Homo sapiens; assembly: GCF_000001405.40. Classification (NCBI taxonomy): domain Eukaryota; kingdom Metazoa; phylum Chordata; class Mammalia; order Primates; family Hominidae; genus Homo; species Homo sapiens. Next base: position 111,199,353 of record NC_000006.12, on the reverse strand, counting down.
CCAAGTAGCTGGGATTACAGGTGTCCACCACCATGCCCAGCTAATTTTGTGTTTTTAGCAGAGACAGAGTTTCACCATGTTGCCCAGGCTGGTCTCAAACTCCTGACCTCAGGTGATCTGCCCACCTCAGCCTCCCAAAGCGCTGGGACTACTGGCATGAGCCCCCACACCCAGCCTAAATTTAAATTTGATTCTGAAGTTTCTTTCTTGGAGTTTCATTCTTGGCACACCAGACTTACCATTCTCAGATCCTTGGTTCCTGGCAAGTTTGAATGAACACAACAGACCGTGTCTATGCTGGTCATCAAGACAGCTCCTGAGGGCTCAGCCATGGTTGGCAGCCTACCTGCATGACTGACTGACTCCGATACTTTGGTAGAGCACTTTGAAGATATAAAAGTGGTTGCAAAGGCTCTGTAAATGTGGACTCCTGTTTGTGATTCATGCTCCTTTGAGGTATCATGTACTTCCATGTTTTACATTTATTAAAAAACAAGAAAAGGGGACATGCTCTTTAAACTTATTCTTGGACTGATCTAGTGATAAAGTCACCTATCGGCTAAATGTGCATGCAAATGAACAGGTAGGTGTGGGTTATGGAGTCTCTAATCAATAGTGGAATTACAGTCATGTGCTACATAATAACATTTCTGGTCAAAGATGAGCCACATATATAACAGCGATTCCATAAGATTATAATCCTGTACTTTCACTGTACCTTTTCCATGTTTAGATACACAAATACCATGTGTTACAACTGCCTACAGCATTCAGTGCAGTAACATGCTGTACAGGTTTGTAGCCTAGGAGCAATAGGCTCTACCTATGCCATATAGCCTAGGTATGTAGTGACTACACCATGTAGGGTTGTCTAAGTACACTCTATGATGTTTGCACAACAATGACATTGCCTAAGGATGCATTTCTCAGAACATATCCTCATTGTTAAGAGATGCACGACTGTACATGAATTTGGAAAAATAGTCCAAAGTGAACAAATGCACCCAACAAAAGGCTAGTTGAAATGATATTAAATTTTATAAGTTTAATATAGGCTTCTCTTTTTTTTAGACAGAGCCTCACTCGGTTGCCCAGACTGGAGTGCAGTGGCAGAATCTCAGTTCACTGCAACCTCTGCCCACGGGTTCAAGAGAGCTTCCTGCCTCAGCCTCCCGAGTAGCTGAGATTACAGGTGTGTGCCACCATGCCCAGCTAGTTTTTGTATTTTTAGTAGAGATGGGGTTTCACCATGTTGCCCGTGCTGGTCTCAAACTCCTGACCTCAAATGATCTGCCTGCCTCGGCCTCTCAAAGTGCTGCGATTACAGGCGTGAGCCACCGTGCCCAGCCTAAGATAGGCTTCTGATATGGTTTGAATGTTTGTCCCTTCCATATCTCATGTTGAAATGTGATTCCCAATGTTGGAGGTGGGACCTGGTGGGAGGTGACTGGATTTTGGAGGTGGATCCATCACAAGTGGCTTAGCACCATTCCCTTGGTGATAAGTGAGTTATTGCTTGTGTTCACTAGAGATTGGGTTAAGAGTGTGGCAGCTCCCCACCCATACTCTTGCTCTCAATTTCATCAAGTGACCTGCTGCTTCCACTCTGCTTTCGCCATGAGTAAAAGCTCCCCGAGACCTCACCAGAAAACTGAGCAGATGCTGGGGCCATGCTTCCTATACAGCCTGCAGAATCGTGAGCCAATTAAACCTCTTTTCTTTATAAATCATCCGGCCTCAGGTATTTCTTTATAGGAACACAAGAACCTAATACAGCTTCTTCTTAAAACAGAAAAGGATACATTCAGAAAGCATTATTTAAATCACTGGGATCTGAGGTAACTTGATAACTTATTTAATGACCTTGGCAATAGTGTCAATAAGCAAGTATTTTGTAAATTCACAAAATTGGTTCTACCTTCTTCTGTTGGTTATTGAAATTTTAACTTAAAGATTTGATTTTTGAAAGAAACAAAGAAATTAGGCCATTAGTTCTTATTCAGCTTCCTAATTTTTCCCTTAATTCTGAAGTGAAGAAAAATGGATCCTTCCATGAAAATTCTACCTTTCTTCTAACCTCTCTTCACTAAGATTTAGGCTAATGATGTTGGCTAAAGTGCTACTTTGCCAAAGTCTCCTATCTATCTCTTTCCCTCAGTCTTTGGAAGGCATGATGTTCAGTCTTTTTTTATTAATCCTAAGAGCCATCTAATTGCTGGCTCAAATTTGCACCCATAAATCTAATTTGTTTTTACCGGAATGAAGATTAAAATTTGTTGAGTAGGCCTAGATCAGCTTTCCTTCCACTGTTATCATTTCCACATACTTCTGATATTGTCTATCCCAACTGCTCCTTTTCTTATTCTTATTTCAGAGTTCTGGTGTGGAGGTTGGGGAAATGAAATTAACATTAGTCTCTTGGTATCCGTGGAGAACTGAACCCAACACCTCCTCAGATACCCGTATCTATGGATGATCAAGTCCCCTATACAAAATGGTGTAGTATTTGCATGTAACCTATGTATATCCTCCTGTATACTTTAATTAATCTCTAGATTACTTATAATAACCAATACAATGTAAATGCTATGTAAATGATTATTCTGCATTTTTATATTTCAATGCTCTACACAGAGAAACTTCTCTAGTAACAAACTATGATCCCCAGAAATGGTCCCTGAAAGTATAGTCTCCTGTTGTTGTTGTTTGTAGAGATGTGGTCTTGCCATGTTACCCAGGCTGATCTAAAACTCCTGAGCACAAGCAATCCTCCCACCTTGGCCTCTCAAAGTTCTGGGATTACAGGCATAAGCCAGTGAGCCCAGCCTGTATTTTGTTTTTAATCTGTGTTCTGTTTTATTGTTTTTGTTTTGAGATGGGGTCTCGCTGTTGCCTAGGCTGGAGTGCAGTGGCACGATCACAGCTCACTGCCACCTCAACCCCCTAAGTAGCTGGGACCATGGGCACATGCCACTATGCTCAGCTAATTTTTATTTATTTTTATTTTTATTTTTTTGAGACAGAGTTTCACTCTGTCACCCAGGCTGCAGTGCAGTGGTGGGATCTTGGCTAACTGCAACCTCTGCTTCACGGGTTCAAGAAATTTTCCCTGCCTCAGCCTCCTGAGTAGCTGGGACTATAGGCAGCTGCCATCATGCCTGGCTAATTTTTGTATTTTTAGTACAGACAGGGTTTCGCCATGTTGGCCAGTCTGGTCTCGAACTCCTGACCTCAGGTGATCTGCCTGCCTCAGCCTCCCAAAGTGCTGGAATGCTCAGCTAATATTTTAATGTTTTTTGTAGAGATGGCATCTCACTATGCTGCCCAGGCCAGTGTTTTTTTATTGTTTTTTTTTCCCCCAAATATTTTCAATCCATGGTTGGTTGAATCCAAGGATGTGGAACCTTGGATGTAGAGGACTGCCTATATTTTAAATATGTTTAGTTTTGTCTGGTAATTATACAGTCAGTGTTCAGGAGGAAAAGGACCACACCCTGGTAGGAGGACAGATAAGAAAATGGAAGGCTTGTGTACTCTGGATTAAGGCAGCCTACAGAGCAGAGAGAAAACTTCTTTGGACTGGGAATCAGATGGCCTTGGCATGGTAGGGAAAGAAATGTCTTTGGAGTCAAATTATGAACTCTACTCCTTATTGAGGCTAAAATCTTGGGCATCAGTTTCCCAGTCTCAAACACTACACATTGGTTCACAATTTGGTTCACCATTTAGGCAGCAACACCTCATTAGGGTTGTTTTGGAAATTTGTGGGGACTATTTTTATTTTTTTGATATACTTTCGCCCAAGCAGTAACTTTTCTTACTTTTTAATTTTTTATCGTGATAAATTCCTATTTCATAAAATTTGCCATTTTAACCATTTTAAGTGTACTATATTAAGTACATTTACATTGTTGTACAACTGTCACCACCTCCTCTCAAGCTGAAACTCTGTGCCCATTAAATAACTCCTCATTTCCCCCTCCCCTTGGAAACCACCATACAACTTTCAGTATTTATGAATGTGACTTCTCTGGGTACCTCATCTAAGCGGAACCATACAGTATTCGTGCTTTTGTGCCTGGAGTATTTCATTTGGTGTAATGTCCTCATGGTTCATCCATGTTGTAGCACGTATCCCAGGCATTAACTTACTTCTTTTATTTCTCCTTTCTGTAACGAGTGGGACATTACTGATTTTTAAAAACATTATGTATATAGGTAGTTTTCTTTTTTTTCCCTAAAATCAAAGACAAGGCCTGGAATATAGAGGTCTTCTTATCTAGGAATTTTATTTCAGGAGAGAAAAGGAGGCACCGAGTATGACACTGCTTTGGGTACACAGGGTTGCTGTGAAGGTATAAGGGATGCAGAGTTGAGAAGTGCCTCACAAGGAAGCGGGGGTGGTGGGGACATTAGGTGATTCCTAATCCTGGGCAATTCCCACTGCATAATTCAGAACAGCTCTGAGGGCTCAAGAGCCTAGCAAGGAAATATCTGGCAGAAAAAAGCAATTAATGCTTGAGGAATCAACAGGAAGCTAAGAATTGTCCTCTGAGAAAATGCTGAAAAGGACAAGGTCAGGAACTGAAAAGTCCCTGAGAGAGCACCTGAGGAGTAAGGAGCATATAAAAGAAAACATGTGTTCACAGAAGCAGAGATAACAAGTTGGGACAGGGACACTTGGTTTATTATTGAGGATATTATAATGCTTCATAAATTCAATCATCAATATGTGGCAGCATTCTAAATCCCACTGATATGTATGTGGGTCAAGAGGGGCGTGGATATCTGTTAACCTACTTGTTGGGTGATGTTCACACTCAGACACCCCGTTCTTCTGGAAGCAGCAGCTGGGAGAAGGCACAAAGCACTGGGCATTATTTTACTCCAGCAAGACTGACTATACTTCTTGGCATCCATTTCCATACCTTTAAGTTATTTCACATTGAAACTACTCTAGATAATTATAAAATCACTTTTATTTCTATTATTTAAGGTTTAAACCTCACCTTGTCATTAACTATATGTGTGTGACCTGAGAAAGTCTCTTAACTAACTCTTCTCCCTGCAAGATGGAGATAAAACTGTTCTCACCTTATTATACATTGAAGAACAAAGAAAAAAAGCACTTGAAGAACATAAAGTGCTATTAGAAAGTAAAGTAGTCATGAGTAGAGAAATTAGTAGACCTTGTACTCTACCAGCCTATAAACTCAGCTAGCCTATAAACTCAACCTGAAATCAGTTAAAAAAGGAAAGAAAAGATTGAGTGCCAGGCACATTCTAGGTGCTGGGGCTAGAGCAATGAAGAGAAGACGCTCTCCCTACCCTTGTGGAGTGTTCAGTCTATCCTACCCATTTCTTCCTTAGCATTTCCTGAGGTGTTAGGACACTTCCCACACAAAACTCCCCAATGTACCAATGTATTTTGTAGATAAATCCACAGTTTTCACCAGCCTTTCCCATACTTACATAGACTATATTACCCAATATAAGGGCCTAACAAAAATACACTACTGCTGTTTTTCAATTTAAGTTAAAATTAGATATTTTCAAATGTTTGTGGATTTATTTCTCCCTCACAAATTATAAATATTTTAGAAGTTTGGGGCCTACATTACAGGGATAATTTCCACCCCTGAGTAATCCATGAATCATTTCTAAAAACTACTATTCAATTATCTATAAATATTTATTTTTGGCTAAGTATAATTTGGAACACAGGACAAACTTGGTCTACCTTACTATAAGCAGCAGCTTTGTTTTAGTTTAATTATTTCTCCATGATCAGTTCTCTAGATTTCTTCTGTATTATTACCTCTTCTGTCAAGTTCCTATGCTAGTATATTATATTTTGAAAAGAAAAAACAAGCTTGTTTTGATGAAAGTGTTCTGTAAATATTAAATGTCCCCATGAATGAGTAAACAAGTGGTCAGATAAATAAAGATCCTTATTCATCTCAAGTAGGAGAATGCTGGTGAATACTGCCTAAGGCACAAAACTGATAAATGGGCAAATTGTCACTAACCTGAACAGTCAAATTGCAGCAGATGTTGAGATCTGAAGGAAAATAAATGCAAGGTTAGAAAAGCTAGAAAAAAACAAGAAAAGCATAGACATCATTGAAAAAAATCTGAGAAAAAGTAGGGACAAAGTGAAGGAGAGAAGGTGTCTTAATCATTCACTGTAATAACCACATGAGACCAGGAGTGATGGCTCACATCTGTAATCCCAGCACTTTGGGAGGCCATGTGGGAGGATGGCTCATGCCCAGGAGTTTGAGACTAGCCTAGGCAACATAGTGAGACTTCATCTCAAAAAAAAGGTAATAAGAAGAATAACCACATGAGAACAAGTGTATTATTAGAAGAGATAAGTAGTTAATAAAGTATATAATATGGCTTGGCTGTGTTCCCATCCAAATCTCATCTTGAATTGTAACTCCCATAATCCCCATGTGTCCTAGGAGGGACCTGGTGGGACTTAATTGAATCATGGGGGTGGGTTTTTCCTGTGCTGTTCTCATGATAGTGAATAAGTCTCATGAGATCTGATGGTTTCATAAAGGGCAGTTCCTCTGCATGCACACTCTTGCCTCCTGCCGTGTAAGACATGGTTTTGCTCCTCCTCCACCTTCCACCATGATTGTGAGGCCTCCCCAGCCATATGGAACTGTGAGTCCATTAAACCTCTTTTCTTTATAAATTGCCCAGTTTCGGGTATGTCTTTATTAGCAGCATGAGAACAGATTAATACAGTAAATTGGTACTGGGTAGTGGGGTGCTGCTGTAAAGGTACCCAAAAATGTGGAAGCAACTTTGGAACTGGGTAACAGGCAGAGGTTGGAACAGTCTGGAGGGCTCAGAAGAAGATAGGAAAATGTGGGAAAGTTTGAAACTTCCTAGAGACTTGGAGGGCTCAGAAGAAAGGAAGATGTAGGAAAGTTTGGAACTTCCTAGAGACCTGTTGAATGGCTTCTGAGGTGGTCTCAGATGGAGATGAGGAATTTGTTGGGAACTGGAGTAAAGGTCACACTTGCTATACAAAGAGACTGGTGGCATTTTGTCCCTGCCCTAGAGATCTGTGGAACTTTGAACTTGAGAGGATGATTTGGGGTATCCGGTGGAAAAAATTTCTAAGCAGCAAAGTGTTCAAGAGGAAGCAGAGCATAAAAGTTTGGAAAATTTGCAGCCTGACGATGCAACAGAACCATAAAAACCTTAGAAGAAAACCTAGGCAATACCATTCAGGACATAGGCATGGGCAAAGACTTCATGACTACAACACCAAAAGCAATGGCAACAAAAGCCAAAATTGACAAATTGGATCTAATTAAACTAAAGCGCTTCTGCACAGCAAAAGGAACTACCATCAGAGTGAACAGGCAACCTACAGAATGGGAGAAAATTTTTGCAATCTATCCATCTGACAAAGGGTTAATATCCAGAATCTACAAGGAACTTTAACAAATTTACAAGAAAAAAACAAACAACCCCATCAAAAAGTAGGTGAAGGATATGAACACTTTTCAAAAGAAGACATTTTTGCAGCCAACAAATATATATAAAAAAAAAGATCATCACTGGTCATTAGAGAAATGCAAATCAAAACCACAATGAGATACTATCTCACGCCAGTTAGAATGGCAATCATTAAAATGTCAGGAAACAACAGATGCTGGAGAGGATGTGGAGAAATAAAAACGCTTTTACACTGTTGGTGGGAGTGTAAATTAGTTCAACCATTGTGGAAGATAGTGTGGCAATTCCTCAAGGAACTTGAACCAGAAATACCATTTGACCCAGCAATCCCATTACTGGTTATATACCCAAAGGATTATAAATCATTCTATTATAAAGACACATGCACACATATGTTTATTGCAGCACTATTCACAATAGCAAAGACTTGGAACCAACCCAAATGCCCATCAGTGATAGACTGGATAAAGAAAAAGTGGCACATATACACCATGGAATACTATGCAGCCATAAAAAAGGATGAGTTCATGTCCTTTGCAGGGACATGGATGAAGCTGGAAACCATCATTCTCAGGAAACTAAAACAGGATTAGAAAACCAAACACCACATGCTCTCACTCATAAGTGGGAATTGAACAATCAGAACACATGGACACAGGGAGGGGAACATCACATTCCAGGGCTGGTCAGGGGAGTGGGGGGCTACAGGAGGGATAGCATTAGGAGAAATACCTAATGTAGATGACAGGTTGATGGATACAGCAAACTACCATGGCATATGTATGCCTATGTAACAAACCTGCACGTTCTGCACATGTATTCCATAACTTAAAGTATAATAATAAAAAAGGAAGAAGAAAAAGAAAAACCCATTTTCTGGGGAGAAGTTCAAGCCAGCTGCAGACATTTGCAGAATTTGCATAAGTGACAAGAAGCTCAATGTTAATTGCCAAGACAATGGTGAAAACGTCCCCAAGGCATGTCAGAGACCTTCAACGTAGCCCTTCCCATCATAGGCCTGGAGGCCCAGAAGGAAAAAATGATTTCATGGGCCAGGCCCAGAGTCCCCCTGCTGTGTGGCCCCCCTGCTGTGTGCAGCTTAGGGACTTAGTGTACTGTATCCTAGCTGCACCAGCCATGGCTAAAAGGGGCTAAGGTACAGCTCAGGCCATGGCTTCAGAGGGTGCAAGCCCCAAGCCTTGGCAGCTTCCACATGGTGTTGAGTCTGCGGGTGCACAGAAATCAAGAATTGAGGTTGGGAACCTCCACCTAGATTTCAGAGGATGTATGGAAATGCCTGGATGTCCAGGCAGAAGTTTGCTGCAGGGGCAGGAACCTCATGAAGAACCTCTGCTAAGGCAGTGTGGAAGGGAAATGTGGGACTGGAGCCCCTACACAGAGTCCCCAGTGGGGCACTGCCTAGTGGAGCTATGAGAAGAGGGCTACCGTCCTCCAGACCCCAGAATGGTAGATCCACTGACAGCCTACACTGTGCATCTGGAAAACCTGCAGACACTCAATGCCAGCCCATGAAAGCAGCCAGAAGGGGGGTTGTACCCTGCAAAGCCACAGGGGCAGAGCTTCCCAAGGCCATGGGAGAACACCTCTTATATCAATGTGCCCTGAATGTGAGACATGGAATCAAAGAAGATCGTTTTGGAACTTTAAGGTTTAATGACTGCCCTATTGGATTTCAGACTTGCATGGGGCCTGTAGCCCCTTTATTTTGGCCAATGTCTCCCATTTGGAATGGGTGTATTTACCCAATGCATGTACCCCTATTGTATCTAGGAAGTAACTAACTTGCTTTCGATTTCACAGATTCATAGGCAGAGGGGACTTGCCTTGTCTCAGATGAGACTTTGGACTGTGGACTTTTGAGTTAATGCTGAAATGAGTTAAGACTTTGAGGGACTATTAGGAAGGCATAATTAGTTTTGAAATGTGAGGACATGAAATTTGGGAGGAGCCAGGGGCAGAATGATATGGTTTGGCTGTGTTCCCTACCCAAATTTCATCTTGAATTGTAGCTCCCATAATCCCCACATATCATGGGAGCAAGCTGGTGGGAGGTAATTAAATCATGGGGACAGGTTTTTCTTGTGCTATTCTCGTGACAGTGAATAAGTCTCATGTGATCTGATGGTTTTATAAAGGGCAGTTCCCCTGCACATACTCCCCTGCCTGCCACCATGTAAGACATGCCTTTGATCCTCCTCCATCTTCCACCATGACTGTGAAGCCTACCCAGCCATGTGGAACTTTAAGTCCATTAAACCTCTTTTTCTTCCTAAATTACCTGGTCTCGGGTAAGTCTTTATTAGCAGTGTGAAAACAGATTAATGCAGTATACGAAGAAAAAACAATGATTGGGTCCTACAGCAAAGTATGCAAGACATTTTCATTTTTGATATGCAGATTTTTAATAATACATCAATTAAAAATAAGTTGGATAAAAAAATCCAACTCTTGATTGGCCTTAGAGACTTGAGAAATTCTGTTATAGGCCTCCCAAGGGCAATAGAAAGCTGTCTTATTTTTGTACCTTCAAAGTACCTTATACTACCCTTTACCCAAAGGATGTACTTACTATCAGCTTTTCAATGAGGTTGTCCCTGACTGGCCAAAGTTGTCTCTTACCATCTCTTACCATCACCTTCCATCTCAATTTGTTTCCTTTGAAGAAAATATCACTATTTGAAAACTACTTTGTTTCTTTATGAATTTACTTGTTTATTGAGCTGTGTATGAGAAAGTATCTGTTCTTAGCATTGTATCCCCACATCTAGAATGTCTATGGCACACAATAGATACTCAAATGAATGCCTGAATCTGTTTAACTGATTTATAATTAGAGCAAGTCAAACAACAATAATTAAGGTTGCCATTAGAATAAACTGGAAATCTATTCTAATGGCAACTCTGTTACTTAACTGTGCAACCTTAGGCAAACCTTTTAAACCTCTCTGAGCCTCAATGTTCTTATCTATTAGTAGAAGAACCACTATTAGCACTGCTTTCCTTATAAAAGGTTACCATGAGAGTTGAATCATAAAATGTATATGTGCATAAATATCTTCATAGCCTTTTTGGAAGTTAATTGCGAAGGGAATGAATGAATGAATAAAGGAAACATTTCCAGGCCACATAACAACAACAAAAATACAAGAAATACATATAGGGATTGAGAGTAAATTTAATCAGCACAAATGAATCTCAGTGGGTAAATTATCATATTTAGATTAATAAAGGCTGAGTACAGTGGCTCATGCCTGTGATCCCAGCACTTGGGAAGGCTGAGACAGGAGGATCACTTGACACCAGGAGTTCAAGGCCAGCCTAAGCAACATAGCAAGACCCTGTCTCTAAATATATATATATATCCTTGTGTCAAGGAAATGTTATAACCCTATTTTTGAATGAAAAATAGAAAAACAAAATTACTTAAATTTGAAAGTCTTGAAGAAAAAGCAAAGTGATTACTCTTTATTTTGCAAAGTAGCAAAGCATTGTGCAAAGTAGCAAAGCATTCTGCATAGTTAAGAAAAAGGAAAAAGGAAAGAAGGGAGGGAGGGAAGAAAGAAGGAAGGGAGGGAGAGAGGGAGAGAGGGAGAGAGGGAGAGAGAAAGTAAATGAAACTTTTAAACCCTAGTATTTAAGACTCTAGGCTAAAAACAAAATTAATATTTTAAGCCTTTCTATTTTAATTGGTTGCAGTGCTGACTGAGATAGGGCAACTCTTCAGTTACATAACTCCATTTTAAATAAATAAAAAAGTTTCCAGCACTCTGTAACCATCATCCACCAGGCTGGGGACATGTAACGGGGACCAAGACTTTGCTTCTGTCAGAACCTTATAGTGAACAGAGATAAACACAACCAACCAACAAAGATAAACCAACCAACATGAAGGAGAGGTCACCTTCAGCAGCCCATTCCTGGCCCAGTGTACAGTGAACTTTGGTTTATAAGGATACTACTGTGAGCCTTGCATTGTCAGGGACAATCTGCCGCATAACAACCTTGTCCCTGAGCTCCAAATAGATCCATGAAAGAAAGACAACAAAGCCAGTTGCAATTGCTCTTGGCAACTCTGAGAAAATGGATCATGTCAAAATGGCAAAGCAACCTCCTGATTGGGAAATGAACCCTATGAGTTGACCAGGGTTAGGACAGAAACTAATTTCACTCCTCTAATAATTTTGTTTCTACATACACATTCTGTTTCTATGTACATATTTACAGGCTGGGCTGTAATAAGCTTCCATTTATTTTCCATGGATGTTCTTGGGTATTACACCCAGTTCTGCTACTTTTATAACTGTGGCTTTTGGCAAGCAACTTAACTATTCCATGCCTTCGTTCCTTTACCTTTCTTTTTTTGTAGGGCAGGGGGAGGAGTGCAACTACCTGATCTGTACAATGCCTTTCAGGTCCTAAGTTAATGTTATACTTTTTTGGCAGGCACTTAAGTATTTTATTTAAAAGCCACACTTTTAAGAAGACCCAAGCTCAAGCCCTGGCTGCACCATGTACCATCCTTGCAACCCTGAGCAAGTTGTTTCGCCACCCCAAATCTGGTTCTTTTCTTGCTAGATAGAAGCCCTGATATTGCCCATTTCACACAGTGGTCCTGAGACTCCAATGAGAGATAATGTGGAAGCATCTTGTAGACTAAAATGTTAATAAAAATGTTAACTAAAATGTTAAATCAAAAAGAAATGCGGGAAATAAATGTTGTATTTGTCTAAAAGAAACCTGTGGTTTTCAAAGCACACCATTGCATGGGTTGGAGGATTGGGCAAAAATCTTAAACTATGCTCTGAAGACTAGATGTTGCCACTGTTCTTACCATTTTACTTCAAAAAAGCATCAGTTCAATTTAACATGGATACAGAGATACAGGGATTGCATAACAGAGATATAGGGATTCCATGTTTGCAATTATACACCTCCAATTTGGTGCGCATTGCCCTTTAAATGAGCACTTTTACAATATGTTATGAGGGAATATAAACTTTCTAATTACAAGTAAGCTGCCCAAGGAGAGAGGGGCAAAAGAGCCAGAGATATAATGATAGGGATAGAAAGTGGGGAAAGCATAGGGGTAAATAGATGCTACATGGGCAGCTGAGGGTTAACACATCAGCAATGTACAGCCCCTAGAACTTTGTTTGGGTGCTAAAGACCCTTCCTGATAGCATGAATACATAAGAAGGCCTGCTTACCCTTATGCTCTATGATCCTTAGAGTTAGTGACTACAAGGGCTTCTCCCAAAGGATGCCCTAGATGTTGAAGGTAAGAAATGTACTCTCAATGGATCAGACAACTCTCTCCACAACCCAAAGCCACCTTGTAAATATCAGGCAAAAGCCATTTAGTATAGCCTCACAAGGGGAAGATTCTTCAAATTAAGATTTCTATTTCTATTCATCCCATATCAAAACAATTTATTTTCTAGTTGATATAAAAACATGAAAGGACCCTTATCTAATTGGCTAATTTAGGTTCCTCAAACTTGAACAAACTTTAATTTGATTATTAGTCCAAGGATTTGAGACATGCCAATGTCCATATTAGAAATGAAATTTGAGATGATTCAAAGTATACTGCATTTTATCAAATAAAACCTGAGACACATGCAAAACAAAATGAAAAACCTAGTGAAGGCCAGATGCAGTGGCTTGCACCTGTAATCCCAGTGCTTTGGCAGGGAGCCAAGGCAGGAGGATTGTTTGAGCACAGAAGTTTGAGACCAGCCTGGGCAATGTGGTGAGAACCCCATCTCTACAAAAAATTAAAAATTAGCCATGTGTGGTGGTGTGCACCTGTGGTCCTAGCTACTTGGGAGGCTGAGGTGGGAGGATTGCTTGAGTCCGGGAGGTCGAAGCTACAGTGAGGTGTGATTGCACCCCTGCATACCAGCCTGGACAAGAGAGTGAGACCCTGTCTTAAAAAAAAAAAAAACCCACTGGTGAAATTTACACATTAACAGGAGGGAACAGTTTTCCAACACACTAATTCTTTAGAGCTCTCTCAGGAGACTAATGATCCACCAGTGGCCTCGGAGCGTTTATATGTGACTAAATTTCAAGCAGTTTACCTTTTTCCATTTTCCTGCAATAGTATTTATGTTAATCAAATAAAGGATAGATCTTGCTATAAATTTGTACATGTCCATTTTTGTTCTTCTGTTATGCTTAATGTTTACTGTAGAAAGCAAAATTGAACACAAAGCTATGTATGGTCCATGTTCTGCTTGTCACAGGTTGTGAAAAGTAACTGCATGGCCTCAGTTTTCTCATATTCACAATGTACTTGAGATCAAAAGAGAAGTTGGGGCTGAAAATAAGGGTATAGATATTTTCTCATTCCCATTAATTATATCAAAACAAAAGCTGGTTTCCTCCAGAGTTTTCTCCCTGGCTGTGAAGCATGCTCTGAGTGCTGGAACAGCTCAACATGGCCTCTGTTCTTCGTTCTGAGAGAACAGAAGGGAAACGTGCAAAGCAATCTTTGGTGTAGGCCCAGTATGGCTGAAAATAGCAGCACTCCTATCTCTGGATTAGCAATGAAGGAATGCAGACTCCTTCATAAAAAGAGTATATTTCAGACATATTTGTCTGAAACCTGTGTTCAAATCCCAGCTTTAAGCATAATGCGAATGGCTTTGAACAAGCACAGCTTTGCAGAATTGTTTCCTTGGCTCTAAGTATGTGTTATTTATTACACTCATCCTTGTGGTGGTTCTGTGAGATTTTGGGGAAGTGCTTGACACATAATCAATTCTTGGCAAATGTTACATGAATCTCCCTCTGAGGAAGCCACAGAGAGATGAAGGCTTGTATGCTGTTCCTATTTGCGTGGCTCAGCGCCCTTAGCTCTGGCTTGGAGCAGTACTGCTGCTCTGACCACAGTGTAAATGGAGGTGCTCTGCCTAGCAAGGTCTAATAGCTACATTCCAGTGTTGATTGACCCTTGGCAGCATCTGGCACTACTCAAAGCTAAAAAATACCTTTCGAGGTTTACATGCTCCCTGTACTGACTTATTAGTCTCAAATTTTCATTTCTGGTTTAAAAATACAATTCATGGCCAGGGGCGGTGGTTAATGCCTATAACCCAGCACTTTGGGAGGCCGAGGCAGACAGATCACCTGAGGTCAGGAGTTTGAGACCAACCTGGCCAACATGGTGAAACCCATCTCTACCAAAAATACAAAAATTAGTCAGGCGTGGTGGCAGGTACCTGTAATCCCAGCTACTCGGGAGGCTGAGGCAGAAGAATCGCTTGAACCCAGGAGGTGAAGGTTGCAGTGAGCCGAGAGCATGCCGCTGCACTCCAGCCTGGGCGACAGAATGAGACTCAGTCTCAAAAAAAAAAAAAAATCATTTCCAATTACTAGTGGACTTGAAGTTCACCTAATTGCCCTGCTAGCAAGCAAATGATCTGTCTGTCTTGAACCATAGCATCAGGTAAATGGGATCTTCCTACCAGGTCAAAGTTTCTTTTGAGAACAGTCAATTACTATCTGCCACAAAGTCAACCCACTTATAAGGGAGTTTTTAAAAAACAGGCTAATGAATACATATTTTACAGATTTCAATATGAGTCAGTCATCTTCTTGACAGAGAACCATGTGGATCTAAAATTTAAAAACTGAAATTTGACCCAATGATATGGTCTAGAGTCAAAGAACACAGGTACTAAGTAGCTGATTTTCAATCTGAGTAGCAGGGGAGAGAGATGAGAGTAACTGAAACTACATCATCAGCTTCAGATTGGAGATAGAGCATTTCATGCCGATGAGAAAAGTTACCATCATTTTTGGTAACTTCATTATCATTGTCACTGTCATTCTTCGGCATTTATCATTGTCATATTTGGCATTTATCATTGTCATATTTGGCATTTATCAGTTATCTCACGAGGCCCTATGCTCAATGCTCGACCAAAGCTATGCAGACCTGAGGCCTGGTTATGGTTCTGCATCCTGCATCCTATTCTTAAACACACCACTCCAGACTCTTTGAGATTTTTCAGTGGGTACTGAAGACACAGTTACTTGAGGGACCAGAAATTTCTTCTATTTATCTTAAAATTTCAGCAAAGGCATAAGTGAATCAGAGCAAAACACACCAACTCTCTCCTCCATCAACGGACAGCATTACTGGTTACTCAATTATTCCGAGGTTTCCTTAGTTTGAGCTTATTTGTTGAATAAGTATTGAATAAATATTAATAACACCATGTCCTGCAAGTACAGAATGTGAAAAATCATTATAGCATCAAAGTAGAGAATTTTAAAGATCCAAATGATGAAAAAATGAACATTACTTATACAGTGTCACTTCAGACTCACCCAGAATATATTTAGTCATTCAACAAATATTTGAGCACCCAGTGTGTGCTAGGCACTGCGCTAGATGCTTGGGATCTACCACTGAATGAAATAGATCCTTACCCTTGTGGTGTTTACATTCTAGCAGACGTGTAAATATACGGATAGTAAGCAATGACTACAATAAAGAAGTAAAATAGATAATGTTAGAAAGTATTAAGTGCTACAAAAAAAGAAAAGGAGTAATAGGAGCGGTTTGTGAATACTCAGGGGAAAAGGGACGCAGGAAGTTTCAAGCAGGTAGTCAGAGTGAGCCCCATTAAAAGGCGAATGGCAGAAGCAGAGTGGGCAAGGGACAGCGATGGAAGCTCGGAGAGGTAGTGGGGGCCAGATTGTGAAGGACCTTGTAGGTCACTGTAAGGATATTGGTTTTTACTCTTAGGGAAATGGGAAGCCATTGAAGGATTCTGAGCAGAGTGACTTATGTTTAGAAAGAATGCCTGTGGCTTCTTCATAGAGAACAAACTCCGCGGGGCAGAGAAGGAACAGAGAGACCAGTTAGGAGGCTCTGGCAGTGATCCAGGCTAGGGGTACGTGGTAGCCTGGGCTAAGGTATGAGTAGTGAGGATGGTGAGAGGTGGTCAGATCCTGGATATATTTTGAAAGAAAAGCCACCAGGATTTCTTCACTGGATCAGGACTATGGTGTGCAAGAAAGAAGAGCCAAGGATGACTCCAAAGTTTTGAGTCTGATCAACTGAAAGGGCGGAATTGCCAGCTCCTGAGATGAGGATGGCTGGGGGCAGAGTAAGTTTTAAGGGGTAAGATCAAGACCTCAGGGTTAGACAGGGTAAGTCTGAAACACCTAGCAGTTACCCAAGTGGAGATGTTAAGTAAGCAGCTGGATATACAGCTCTGGTGGAGGATTCAGGGAAAAGGTCTGGACCAGAATTATAAATTTGAAGTCATTGACATATACGTGATGTATGAACTTAGGAGACTGGATGAAACCACCGTAGAATACATGGAGAAAAAGATCAGGGGACAAGCCCTAGGACATGCTGATATTCAGGGGTCAGTGGGAAAAAGAAGAAGTGAGCAAAGAAACTAAGGAGGAGTGATGTGGAGGTAGGCAGAAAACCAAGAGAGTTTATGCTCCTGAAAGCTAAATGAGAGGAGTCAGAGGAGCCGTTAAAAAGGAAAAAAAAAAAAAAAAAAAAAAGAAACCCAGAGGCCAGGCGTGGTGGCTCACACCCGTAATCCCAGCATTTTGGGAGGCCAAGATGGGTGGATCACCTGAGGTCAGGAGTTCGGGACCAGCCTGGCCAATGTGGCAAAACCCTGTCTCTACTAAAAATACAAAAAATTAAGTCAGGTGTGGTGGCAGGCGCCTGTAATCCCAGCTACTAGGGAGGTTGAGGCAGGAGAATCACTTGAATCCGGGAAGTGGAGGTTGCAGTGAGCCGGGATTGCACCACTGCACTCCAGCCTGGGAGACAGAGCAAGACTCCGTCTCAAAAAAAAACGAAAACAAAAACAAAACAAAACAAAACAAAACAAAAAAAGATTCCAGAAAACAAAACAAAACAACTCTCAGGCAAAAGGGGCAATTCATAAAAACTGATGCAGCTGCTACTAGGAATCGTTTTTAGAAAGTTAGGCCTCATCTAAATTGATCTATAAGATTTGTATCCTTCTAAAAAAGATTTTAAGTGGGAAGGCCTAAAAGAAAGGTAAATTTAGCTTCGAGGAGGCAATCTAATTCTTCTTTTTGAAACGTCAACTACGAGAAGATCAAACCTCCAACCTCACTTTGAAAGCAAGCATGCATATTCTCTCTCAAATCATCATGTACAATCTAATAAGATCTTAGAATTTTTAACATAGCAATGAGAGCACTCCATTGTATTTCTGAATCTTCAAAGACCTAAACTGGTAAGTTAGTTCCCTAGTTGATCAAAGATCAGATTTGTACACAAAATCTCATGCTCAAGGCCCAACTCCAATGCTATGAAACTTTTTAAAACCACTTTTCCAAATGGGTATTATCTTTCTCCTTTCAAAATTTACTTCTATCTCAAGTTGGCAATCACATTGCCTTACATTAAAATAACTCCCATTTTTATGCCAGAACTGAGGTAGATGTTTCACATACATTTTATCTAATCCTCACAACTCTGCAAAATTGGGTTTATCTCCATAGATGAGGAAACTGATGCTTACAGAGGATGCCCAAGGTTATGCAACTAGTAAGAAACAAAACCTGAATTTAAATCCAGATCTGTCTTACTTCAGAACTTTTTTTTTTTTTTTTTTTGAGATGGAGTTTCGCTCTTGTCACCCAGGCTGGAGTGCAATGGCGCGGTCTCAGCTCACTGCAACCTCTGCCTCCCAAGTTCAAGCGATTCTCCTGCCTCAGCCTCCTGAGTAGCTGAGATTACAGGTGCAAGCAATCACGTCCAGCTAATTTTTGTACTTTTAGTAGAGACAGGGTTTCACCATGTTGGCCAGGCTGGTCACAAATTCCTGACCTCTGGTGATACACCTGCCTTGGCCTCCCAAAGTGCTGGGATTACAGGGGTGAGCCACCGCACCAGGCCCAGAACCTTCACTTTTAAACCACTATACAATACTGCCTCTTACATAAAAGTACTACAGTAATAATTATCAGTCACTATCTCTGTGACCTCAAGCAAGTTACTTCTTTATTTATTATCTGTTTTTTAGAGACAGAGTCTTGCTCTGTTACCCAGGCTGGCGTGCAGTGGCACAATCATAGCACACCACAGCCTTGAACTCCTGGGCTCCAGCAATCCTCCTGCCTCAGCCTCCTGAGTAGTTAGGACTACAGATGTGTACCACCACATCTGGCTCTTTATTTCTTCACCTTCCATATTTAAAAGGCTGCCACTAGGAGGAGGAGACAAATAAATTAAAAATTGTTCAATCTGTTCTTCCTTTAGAATACTTTATAATTTTTTTTAGAGATAGGGTCTTACTCAGTCACCCAGGCTGGAGTGCAGTCGCACCATCATGGCTCACTGCAGCCTTGACCTCCTGGGCTCATGCGATCCTTCCACCCCAGCCTCCCAAGTAGCTGGGACCACAGGCATGCACCACCATGCCCAGATAATTTTTTTAAATTACTTTTTGTAGAGATGGAATCTCACTATGTTGCTCAAGCTGGTCTTGAACTGCTGGGCTCAAGTGATCCTTCCACTTCATTCTCCCAAAGTGGTGAGATTATAGGCGTGAGCCACTGTGCCTGGCTGAGCAAGTTATTTAATCTTTCCGGGCCTTAGTCTTCCCTTCCATGAAATAAAGAGGATACACCACAGGTACTGCATTGTTGTGAATATTAAATAAGAGAATGTATGTAAAAGTGCTTTATAAACTGTAGCCATTTTTAATTACATGTACTAGGTTTATGCTCCTTCAGAGCAAATTTTTACGTCTCATATATGTGTCCCCTCAACAGTCAATAAAGGGTTTAGTAGGAATTGAACATCATCTACTTTACTAGTCTTTTGAAGGATATGAGACACCTTTTCCCTGTATAAGGAGGAAACTAGTGTCCCATTCCTGGTTAAGTATCCATAATTCAAACCTTAAATTACAACAAAGTGACAAACTCAGTACATAACCAAAGAGGAGATTTAAACACCTGTATGGCATTTAGCTATCTGATCTTTCCTCTACCGTGCTGCATTCGGTGCGATAACGGGCACCGTTATGAGAAAGAGAAAATCTCAAATGAACAATGTCAACATATTTTGTAAGAAAACATGCCTGGAAGAAGGGAAAGCAGAAAAAAGGCATGGTTTATTAACAGAATTAACAGAGACTTTATTGTTCTGTGCACCATCTGATTTGCCATCTCCTGATCACAAAAGTATCTATAACATTGTCTAACTCACCTTCCACTATGAAATTTTATTTACCTGAAGAAATAACATGCTTATTAAATTTCCTTAGGCATACTCATTTTTCCCCTAATAAGATGGACACATTTGGTAATATATCCAGGGAAGTGGCCCAATATGCTATTAAGACTGTAGACTGATTTTGCTACCAGGTAAGCACAGTGGAAGAGAACTAACTCCTGCTCTGCTGTTTACTGACATGTAATTCTTGGAAAATCACTTAACGTCTCTATTAACAATAGATCTGTTTTTCAGTCTGTAAAATTGGAGCTAATATTTATTTTATCTGCTTTACTGGTTTATTGTGAAAGTCAAATGAAGTAATATATGTGAAATTAATTTACAAATTATAAATATATAACCAAAAATAACTAGACAGTCATCTACCACTTTTCCTTTGGTAAATGTCTAGTATTAGCAAAGCTGAGTTATGATTTCTCTAGGTGTGTTCATGTGGTAGTACCAAAGAGAATTTTTTTTTAAAGCTGGGTGTGGTGGCTTGCACCTGTAATCCTAGCTGAGGCAGGAGGGTTGCTTGAAGCCAGCCTGAGCAACTTAACAAGACCCTGTCTGGAAAAAAGAAAAAAAAGAAAAAGAATTTCTACTCATCTTTTTAAGAAAGGACACAATAAATGTTCTCTTGACTACAGAAGCTATGAAAGAGGTTGGATGGTAAAGTTAATCCTGTCACAACAGATCTATATTCCAGGAAACTTACCTTAAGTTGGTTCGGCTATACTTTCCTAATAGTATGAAAATGGACTATCAGATCAGGATGTAGCCTGATAGTCCGTAAATCGGTTATATTTATACTTATTTCTTAACTAAAGAAAAATTGCACAAATCTCCAAAAGTAGACTGTAAGCTAGAAAAAAATCCAAGTTCACAAACATACAAATATGTGTGCCAATGCCATTTTTATCATTTACGGTGAATTGTAAATACATTTTCAGCCACAAAAGAAAAAAGGAAGAAACATAATGAACACTTTTGAACAAACGTTGCCAGGGGCAGATACTTTAGACACTGCTTCTTCCTTCTTTTTTTTTTTTCCTTCCCCAGGTAGGGATGAAGTCTCCTTATGTTGCCCACGCTGGTCTTGAACTCCTGCATCAGCCCCCCAAAGTGGTGGGATTACAGGCGTGAGGCACCAACCCCAGTCTAGACATTAATTATTCGTATTTCAGTATAACAAAGCTGAATTTTGCCTTTGAAATAGAAATAAACAATATAAACTTCTTGAGCACTTGAAATCCTAATTTCCTATAAAACCATAGTTCTCTTTCCTCATTTAGATCTTGAGTAACTTTTCTCAGATATTCCTCTGAATAGAATTCCCATTTTCCCAGAAGTGTACCACAAGTAGATGTAATGTTTCTTTGTATCAACATCATGGCTTTTTTGCTAATTACCTACACCCTTCGGTTGAAAAACAATTTACTTATGGTAGCAAAATCATAGCGCTAGCTTTGTCCCTGATAAAAGCCATATGAAGAAAAAGAGACCTATCAAATGTTTTATACTGATTGTAATTTGTTCCACTATTTTAGCCTTCCTGTTAAAAAACATTGTGTTTGTTTGGGGACATTTATTTTATTTTTAGAGGTAGAGTCTCTCTATGTTGTCTAGGCTGGATTCGAACTCCTGGGCTCAAGTGATCCTCCTGCCTCAGCTTAGTAGCTGGGACCATAGACAGGCACCATGGTGTCTGGCTGGGTTTGCAGGGTTTTTAAAATACCAAAGCACACTATGAAACATACTCTCTCTGTTTAGTGGTCTAATGGATGTGCTGACATTGTCTTGAGAGACCTTTCATTTCAAGAATACCAAAATTACAACCAGGATAATGTTTGAGGCCAACTTTAACTCGACCTAACTTTCTCTTCAAAGAAGTTTTTCTTTATTAAATAGTAATATTCATGATCAGTGAAGGAGCATACTCACCAAGTGAACATAAGGCACAAAGTATCCAAAAAGTGCAAGTGGTATTCCAACTGCCCACACTGCATAAGCTGTCACCTTGAAGATGGCAAAATTGAAAATTTTTTTTGGAGGACTGAACTTTTTCCTGGAAAAGAGGGAGGATCCGCTACCTCCACTCTCTTTATCTTTGGTACTGGTAGCAAGAGGTCGGTAAGTAAAGCCAGCCAGAAAGAGAACAAACATGAAGATGCAGAGCACCCTCAATGTGTAAAAGAGGCCCACGCTGTCAATCAGAACCCTTAAGAGCAAAGGCAGCAGGATTGTGAAGACACTGCTGCCAGCAGTGACAATGCCATTCACCAGTCCAAGGCGCTTCTTGAAATAGTGTCCCAAAATGACCAATGAAGGCTGGTATGCAAAGGAGCAGCCGCAGGCAAATATGATTCCATAGGTAAGGTACAGAGGCTCGATGGAACTGTATAAAGATGAAAAAGATGGAAAGCAGCTTTCAATATTGTTACTGTGTGCTTGGTAGAATAAAATCTTATAGTATAAGTGGGTTTTTGTTCATCAACATATTTTCTACAAGTAAAAGTTAACCAAAAAAAAAAAAAATTAACCAAAATAGAGGGAAAAACTCAGTAAGTCAAGCATGTAGCACTAAACGTATTTTAATTTAATCTGAATATGTGAAAAATAACCATTAAGGTCATCAGTGATTTTGTTCAGCCACCTCTTTCTGTGGATTTCAGGTGACGCACACAGCACTGAGTGAGAACTGTGCTCTCCACAGCTCAGAAATAAAGGTTGGTGCCAGGAAGGGTAAAATCAACAGTGATTCAATTAACAAACCAAAAACCTAGTCTCAATGAAACATTTTTTAAAAAAGTTAGAATTAACTATGAAATCTAATTATTTCATGGAGTTTTTCCAGGTACTTACCAAACAAGGTAGTAAAAGAAAAGGCCGCATTTTATATTTTTTCCCCAAGGTTATGTCAGGAACATTTGCACAGAGGTGCAGTTGTGCCTGTTTTTGCTGGCCTAAGGGCTGTAGACCAACCTTCGCCCTGTACTGCACTGTTCTCAGTATTGTGCAAGACAACAAGAAATCATATTCTGACTACAGAAAGACTTAAATTAAGTGTATTCCTTTAGTGATCCCAGTTTGTAAGCTGTAAGGCCATGCATGTGTCAAAAGAATAATGGATTAAATAATCTTACAGTTTAACCAAATAATTGCACATTTCTTAGGAAGATAAAGGATCATATCATTATGTTCTTTGAAACAATTATGGTAAGGAATAAAACTAGTTAAAGTTTTTTGAAAAGGCTATCAGTAGTAAAAGCAAACAATTTGTTAGAAAGTAAGATTAAAGTTGGTTAATAATTAAAATTTTGGATAATAATGCTAGTCTAGCAACATGCTGAGGTAATCATAAGGAACTCTAGAATCTGATAAAATTAAGGCATGTTGGCAATCCTCTCTCTGAGATGCCCTTCTCCCTCTACTAATCCACAGCTAGCACCACCTTCAAATCAGGCTCAAGAATCACTTCTAGGCTTTCCCAAATTAATCTCACCTCACTCTGATCACCCTTTACTGAATCTCCACTCTTTGTTTAGCCAACATATTAAGCAACTACTGTGTACCAGATACATTGTGGAAAAGAATATTAAAAATCTGGTCCTTGGCCAGACGTGGTGGCTCACACCTGTAATCCCAACACTTTGGGTGGCCAAGGCAGGAGGATGGCTTGAGACCAGTCTGGCAACATAGCAAAACCCCATCTCTATTTAAAAAAAAAAAAAATAGCTGAAATTAGCTGGGTGTGATGGCACATGCCTGTAGTCCTAGCTACTCAGGAAGCTGGGGCAGGAGGACGGCTTGAACCCAGGAATCCAGGCTGCAGTCAGCTATGATAACACCACTGCATTCTGGCCTGAGTAATAGTGAGACCCTGTCTCAAAAAAAAAAAAAATGTGGTTCTGCCTTCAAGATATTCATAGTCTGCTTAAAGAAACAAGACATCTATCCCAAATAATAATAACACAGAACAAAACAGAAATTAATACTTCATTCATTCTGTATCAGTTTTTCCACCTAAGTAGTTTTCCAGATAATTGTAACTTACTTAAAGTGCTTATTTGTTTTTATTTAACAATTTTAAAGAAAAAAATTTAAGTCTATTATACATTTCTCTCTGCCTTCTTCAAAGTGTATATTAAAAATACTGTTCACAGCAGAATCATCAGGAACATCAGTTCCTGTACAGTGGTATCACTGTACTGTAATGCTCTCAGTTGGAAAACCACAGAGCTTCTCCCTCCTGCAGAGTGAAGTATATGAGCTTTATGATGGTATTTGCACTACTGCTGAACCCTTTTCACTTCCAGGTTTTCCCTTCAGTAACACATGGTTCCAGTTTGTGACGTTTGGCAGCCAAATAAGTGCAATGTAAATGAGTAAGGCTGTCGGATACCAATCATATGTGCAAAAAGGATTCAGAGAAGGGACATGGGTGTGATTGACCTAAGTTGTTGGAGAAGGTTTTCCTCAGAAGGCAGAACTGGAGCTAGAGGAAAAAATGGACCTGCCACTTGACACTCAGAATCTATACCACATTTCCCCTTGCTCCTGTATCTTGCTCTCAAGTTTCAGTAGCCTTTGATCAGCAAGCTAAATAACGAAATTTAATAGAATATATGAGAATATTACATGTAGTAAGGGAATTTTGGTTTCAATAAATTTTGTTTCACTTAGAGGGTAGAGAAAGAGAGACAGAACTGGGTCACATCAAAATATATGTCATAATTTTTATTGCTCAGTGGTCAGAAAAATTTGAAAAACATTGCTTTGTATGTGTGTTTTGTTAACAAACTAGGTAGTAGATTACATAAGTTGTCTACCTCTCAGTCCCCTCTCTACCACAACTAGAGTTGTAATACATTCGGCAAGTGGTAGAGCCACAAGTACTGACAATAGGTACCTGGAAGCTTCCAGATCAAAGAAGCTATCTGATGAGGTATTAATAACATTAATTACATTAATAATAATGTAAATATTATGTTGCTGCTAAAATAAATCATCTCATGGAATTACCTACAAGAATCTTATTCCAAATAAAACTTTTTTCTTTAAAAAACAATTTTAGAAGAAAAAACCCATAAAGGTACTTTAAAGATGAAAATATCTATTTTCTACAAAGAAATAAATATAATTTTTAAAAATCCAAATAGAATTTCTAAATTAGATGGAAGAAAATATGAAAGAATGAGGCTCACTTTAGAGTTGAGGAAGGGATGTGTGTTGGGGGGTGGGGGGCGGCAATGAGTAAAACCAAGGATTCTGTTGATTAAATATTTAAAAATAAAAAGTCAAATGTAAATTTGACTTATTTTTCCTTAATGACCACATTAACGCTTTTCAACTAAAGCAGCATAAAGACAGCTAGGGACAGGAAAGAGGCAGGAAATGAAGATAAACCACTAAAGTAGAGACAAAGGATGGAAATCATCTTAAGAGGTTTTCTTCTTAATCACCTCCTGTTAGCCAGAGCTACATATTAAATCAGTGTTTGTCTAACTGAGGATTATTCTACCAACGCAAGGGACTTACAAGGAGAACTAGAGCTGCAGGGAGAGATGTTCCATGCAGTTATGTGCCCATCCGTTCCTTACAGTGAGTCCCTCTTCAGTGCACTGTGTCTTTTCTTCTAATACAGGAATCCCCAATCTTTTTGGCACCAGAGACCAGTTTCAGGAAGAATTTTTCCATGGATGGTGCCGGGGGAGGGCGGTTAGGGATGATTCAAGTGCATTACATTTATTGTGCACTTTATTTCTATTATTATTACATTGTAATATATAATGAAATAATTATACAACTCATCATAATGTAGAATCAGTGGGAATCCTGGGCTTGTTTTCCTGAAACTAGACAGTCACATCTGGGTGTGACGGGAGAAAGTGACAGATCATCAGGCATTTAGATTCTCATAAGGGGAGTGCAACCTAGATCCCTCATATGTACAGTTCACAATAGGGTTTGCACTCCTAGAAGAATCTAATGCTGCCACTGATCTGACAGGAGGTGGAGCTCAGGTGGTAATGCAAGTAATGGGGAGCAGCTATAAATATAGAGGAAGCTTTGCTTACTCACCCACAGCTCACCTCCTGCTGTGCAGCCCAATTCCTAACAGGCCATGGACCCGTACCAGTCTGTGGCACAGGGGTTGGGGATCCTTATTCTAATAGATACAGGAGAAGTACATTGACATTAAGTTTTATTTTAAGGTACATTGGACCACTTCATTTTGCCATGATATTTTAAAATTTTAGCATGTTCTTTTTTTAAAGAACAGACAGGAATTCTCTACCTGGGTTGGAATAAATGGCAAAGTTTTGGTCTCATTAACAAAAATATTTCATATCAAGCCTATGAACAGCTACTTTAAAACACCACTTATTGTAACCCGTGGGCCTCAGACTGAACTGACCCTAAACTAAGGCTGCTGTTTTAGATAAATCATTGTTATAACTTGAGTGCCATTAGGATTTTTATGTGAATAGAAGAAAAAGATAAGGAGAAACATTTTTCCATGCACCAAGAAACACATATATCCTGATTGATGTCTAAGTCTTAGGCATTACAAGAAAAAAAAGCATTCAAATTCTCAAGCTCTGATTTGCTGCTATGGATAACAGTTTGTTTTATAAGTCATATTGCTTAAAGTTTTAAAAAATGAAAAGGAGGATCTTTGCTTGTAAATAGCATAGTTTCTGAAAGTAAAACTTTAAGGTATCTAACAGTTTTTAAAAAGCAACATGAAAAAACCAAGTCCTTACCTTACAAAAGAACTGGACATGAGCCCAACAAATCCAACAGCAGCACCCACGACAGCTGTTTTCCGACAACCAAATAGGTCTGTGAAGACGCTGACTATTGGGCAGCAAAAGAAAATCATCCCCATGGAGAGAGAACCTACCCATGCTGTAAAAGAAGGGAAAGCGTGGGGGGAATTATGACATGGTAAGTTATATTTGTATTTATTCCATTGATATAATACACATTTAGAAAAATTTTATTTTTAGTTTTTTTGAGTATAGTGCCTAAGCTTAGTTCTTTTGCCATGGAAATTGACTCATACACTAGTAGAATATTTGCTGACCTGGATAATAGTTACTGGGTATTTATTTTATAATCATTTATAAAACCATAGATATGTTTAATCTTTTTTTCTGAAGGTATGTTATATTTCACAATAAAAAAATTGAGAATCAGAAGTCAGATTCCATAAAAACTCAAAAATGAAAACCAACAGGAAAGAAATATTAAATACAAATAATCATAATTCTGTGCCAAAGAAATGAGTAATCTGACTTCGCTGAGGAAATCAAGTCTGTAAGTCCTTCTAAAATATATAATAAACTAATGGAACCTAAGTGAAAATGGGCTATGGAAAAAACAGACATGAGTCATATTCCCAGCTCTACAACTACAACGTATTCTTGGTCAGGTTACTTCCCCTCTGAATGAGTTTTCTTATCTTGAAAATGGATCAAACACATACCTTTCTAGAATTATTAAAGATTAGAGAAAGTGTATATAAACTTCAGTATCTGGCACATAAGCACTTAATAATTTAGAGTTTAACACTGATGATGACAACAAATTGTCTGTCTTGGTAGATGACCCTGAAGCTCTATGCAGCTCTGGAAGTCTCCTAGTATACTACTCTATTTTCTTAGCAAAGGAAGTTAAGCCCTATGCAAATGATCATCATTTCTAGAAATGAGTTTCATATTAAGTCCAAACGAAACTTTACCATACTAATAATTTAATTTTTTGCCTTTTTTTTTTTTTTTTTTTGAGAAAAGGTCTCACTCCGCTGCCCAGGCTGGAGTGCAGTGGTGCAATCTCAGCTCACTGTGATCTCGACAGCCCAGGCTCAAGCAAATTTCCCACCTCAATCTTCCAAGTAGCTAGAACCACAGGTGTGCACCACCATGCCTGGCTAATTTTTGTACTTTTTGTAGAAACAAGGTTTTGCCAGGTTGCCCAGGCTGGTCTTGAACTCCTAGGTTCAAGCGATCACCCACCTTGAGCCCAGAAATTTTTTGCCTTCTTACATTTTAAAGTATTATGAAAATTATATGTATTTTAGTCAGTCATATTTCTTTTGTGTGTGTTTCTTTTGTACAGACAGGGTCTCACTTTGCTACTCAAGCTGGTCTTGAACTCCTGGCTTCCAGCAATCCTCCCACCTTGGCCTCTAAAATGCTGGGATTGCAGGCGTAAGCCATGGCCCAATCAGTAAGCCATATTTCTATTTTCTTTCTTCCCTCACCAGAAAGAAGACTATAATCTTAAAACACAATGAAGAGACTGTGTAAACACTGTCATCTTGACTTAGATGGTGGTGACAGGGATTCAAAAGTAGACAGTAGGAAGGAGCTGATTGGCCAAATATATTAGCACAATCCAATCAAGACATGCAGAGCCTTACAGTATGGAGAGCTTGAGACAGGTTAAATTTTCTTTTTTTAATGAGACAGGGTCTCGCTGTGTCACCCAGGCTGGAGTGCGGTGACGCAATGTTTGCTCACTGCAACCTCTGCCTTCTAGGCTCAAGCCATCCTCCCACCTAAGCCTCCTGAGTAGCTGGGACTACAGGTGTGTGCCACCACACCAGCTAATTTTTGTATCTTTTGTAGAGACAAGGTTTCGCCATGTTGCCCAGGCTGGTCTCAAACTCCTGGGCTTAAGTGATCGGCCCACCCTGGCCTCCCAAATTGCTGGCATTACAGGCATGAGTCACCACACCCAGACTAGTAAGAATTTGTTAGTCTACTATCTTATACAAAAATTTTACTAATCTCTAATCATTTAATTTCATTCAAAAAAGTTCAGACATCTATGGTTTAAGAAACAATCTAGGCTGGGTGCGGTGGCTCACATCTGTAATCCTAGCACTTTGGGAGGCCGAGGTGGGCTGATCACCTGAGGTCAGGAGTTCCAGACCAGCCTGGCCAACATGGTGAAACTCCGCCTCTACTAAAATACAAAAATTAGCCAGGCGTGGTGGTGGGTGCCTGTAATCCCAGCTACTCAGGAGGCTGAGATGGGAGAATCACTTGAACCCGGGAGATGGTGGTTGCAGTGAGCCGAGATCGCGCCACTGCGCACTCCAGCCTGGGCAGCTGAGCGAGACGCTTTCTCAAAAAAAGAAAGAATCTAATATAAATACTAGGCAGGCTAGAAGAAAATATCCTAACATCTACTTTTATTTTTTATTTATTTTTTACAGCAAACATTGCCTGACAACTAACATCTACTTTTAGATAAAAGCAACTTTTATAATTAAGGGGCCAACACTAAATATTAGACCACATCAAGAAACCCAAGAGCATATCCTTATATTGCATATACTGCTTATATGAGTGAAGATATTTTCAAGAAAAAAGACCTTGGCCGGGCATGGTGGCTCACACCTGTAATCCCAGCACTTTGGGAGATCAAGGCAGGCAGATCACCTGAGGTCAGGATCAAGACCAGCCTGGCCAACATGGAGACACCTCGTCTCTACTAAAAATACAAAAATTAGCCGCCCGTGTTGGCTCATGCCTGTAATCCCAGCTACTCAGGAGGCTGAGGCACAAGAATTGCTTGAACCTTGGCAGGTGGAGGCTGCAGTGAGCCGAGGTCATCCTACTGTACTCCAACCTGGGGGACAGAGTGAGATTCTGTCTCAAAAAAAAAAAAAAAGAAAGAAAAGAAAAGAAAACAAAACCCTTGCACAAGTTTCTGTGAATTACTGTGGATTTCAACCTACTTCTATACCAAATATTAAAAATTACAGATTTATGTGTCTATTGAATAAGCACTAACAGGATATAATCAAATATAGCTTCTTGTCTTGACTGCCTTCTTAAAATTTATTCAGTGGGGAAAAATTTTCCCTTGACACTAGATGAACACTTCAACAGGCCCATTTGATTCTTTTGGTCAATGTTAAAGAAAGGCTTATGGTCACTTTAGGTAACAAACCAATATTCACTAGGTAATCAAATCTTTTCCCCAGCCCCAGGGAACCTGGGAAGGGATTGAAATCAGCTGCTTTTCTTCTCTTCCACGACTTTACACCAACCCTAGCTGTCGGATCTTTCCAAGGTAGGCATGGGAGATGGAGGCTGGGGAAGGAAGGCAAGGAGATTCCAACATGAGCCCTCCTGCCAAAACACCTGTCTGCTGATGTTTGAAGCTAATTCTTTTTTCTCAGATGCACTTTCATGGGTTATTCAGAGTCTCACCTCAGAGTTCCTTCTGGCCATAGCACCATTGACTTGGATAATTCATTCTTCTCCTGGCTTTTTGGCTGTCATTCAAAAGACTCACCGTTGGAACCTCACTGCCCTTTCAGGCATCTATTTGGACAGGAGTCAAACTCCAGGCTACCCTTCTCCTCCGCTAGGCCCACCTCTAATCTGCAGGAAATACATTTCCTTTGCCCTGACAAAGGCTGGAGTGTAGGCAAATTCAACACAGACACCATTACAGTATAGCTCTTTCTGTGGGAACAGTAAGCCAGCCACAGTTCTCTCCTTGTTGGGTGTCTCGGAGAGTCAGACCCTGGTCCTCTGTTCCCCACAACTGGGGGGAATCCTTTAAATCTCTTAAGTCGTCCCTCTCAAGCCCCTCTCACTCGATACCAAGTGAGAGAACAAGGAGAGATACCAAGTAAGAGAACAAGTGAGAGTAACCTCCACTTGTACCATGGTGGAGGGGACACAGCACCGTTTTCTCAAGAGTCCTCATAAAATGCTATTCCTGACCCATAGTATCCTTCTTAATGGGTTTTAGAGCCTTTAACTGGTTTGAAAACCTACTTTAAAAAGCCACATAAAATATCTCACTTTTGAAATTCACACTGTTGTACTGCAGTGCCTAAACTGAAATTCCAATAGATTTTGTTACAATAGTAATTGGCAATAGATGAAGTTAGGTCTGTCTTCTGATCAAATTCAAGAATAAATTAATGATTGGATTAGTTATCACCTGCTATTGCACACTCACAACATTTCTAGTTTTGTCAAGTTTTAACATGGCATCTAAACAATCCAAGGTCTTACGACCTATGATATATATGCCACAAAAATAAAATGGACTGTTGTTCTCTTTCACCCCTTCCAAGTCTGACTATTACTGCTATTATAATAATAAAGACTCAATAGAGCTAGCTGTTGTGCTGATAATATATTTGTTGTGCTCAGAAGACTATTTCATTTAATCCCCAAAATTCTATAAGGTAGTACTTCTATTAAGTTCGTTTAACAATTGAGAAACTGAAGTACATAGCTACTACAATATATCCAGCATGGTAAAATTTTTATCTTAAAAATGCAAACGGCCAGGCGTGTTGGCTCACACCTGTAATCCCAGCACCTTGGGAGCCCGAGGTGGGTGGATCACCTGAGGTCAGGAGTTCGAGACCAGCCTGGCCAACAGGGCGAAACCCCATCTCTACTAAAAATACAAAAATTAGCTGGGTGTGGTGGCGGGTGCCTGTAATCCCAGCTATTCGGGAGGCTGAGTAATGAGAATCGCTTGAATCTGGGAGGTGGAGTTTCCAGTGAGCTGAGACTGTGCCACTGCATTCCAGCCTGGGCAAGAGAGTAAGACTCTGTTTCAAAAAAAAAAAAAGTGCAAACTAGACCAGGAACAGTGGCTCATATGTATAATCCCAGCACTTTGGGAGGCTGAGGTAGGAGGATTACTTGAAGCCAGTAGTTCAAGCCCAGCCTGGGCAACAAAGCAAGACCCCATCTGTACAAAAAAAAATACTTTAAAAACTAGCTGGGCATGGTAGCACACAACAGTACCCCCAGCTTCTTGGCAGGCTGAGGCAGGAGGCTCCCTGGAGCCCAGGAGTTTGAGGCTGCAGTAAGCTATGATCATGCCACTGCACTCCCGCCTGGGCAACGGAGCAAGACCTCGTCTCTCTCTCTTTCTCTCTCTCTCTCTCACATACACACACACACAATAAATAAATAAATAAATAAATAACAATCGAGCCCTAGTCCCTCTAGGTCCTTCTACAAAACACCCACAGAGGACTTCCTAATATATATTTTCCCCCCAAGGATCTCTCCTCGAAAGTTAACAGTCTATTTGCAGACCAAAGCATGCCCCCACAGAACTCTCCACAGGGTCATCTCAGAACTCATGCCCACTAGGAGGGCATGTTGAAAGCATACCCACTTGGCCACTTTTACAACTTACTTCTGCCCAAGAAGGTGCCAGCTCAGATACTTGCCCAGTAGCAGAGGGACACTTGCCCTTGCTCATTTCCTCCCCTACCTTATAAAAATGCCCACTTTTTGCTCCAAAGGTGAAGTGGCACATTTAAAGGCAGGATGCTTTGTGCCTCTTCCCCTAAGCTAGTTTTGAAATAAATACACTTCTTTGTATCAGAACTTGCTCTTGTTAATTGGACTCTACATGCAGTGACCAACTAACCTGCTTTTCAGTTACACTATTAAAATTTTAGTGTTCTTTAATGTTCTAGGCTCTATCCTAGGCTGTTGGGAATATAAAAACAAATAAGAGATTTCTCTACCTTCCAATAATTTTCAGTCTAGTAACATGCAAAAGTGGTTCGATCAGAACACCAGATAGAATGTCCTGTGTCTTGAGACATAGATGCCAAAAATGTGCAAGATGTGCTTGTATAACTCTTATTTGAATATGTGTGTATGTTTGACATCAGAGAGACACATCCAAGAAGCCATGTTAAGAAATCTTTCAACAGAAAAATACCAGGAAGCTTTTCAATTTCCCTATCCAGACCCTATTTGTTTCCTACTCCATTCTGAGAAAAAATCCCAAGGCTCTAAATGTATGACAAAAGCAGGATGCAAATCACTCAAAGTGGTTAGGTTTAATATTTAAGAAGATTCTCCTGCATGCCAAATAAAGCAAAGGTGTTGTAATTATGCCGATGTAAATGACTGCAAGGGCAAAGTGTTTACAAATGAAAATACCCAAAGGGAAGATTTATTGTAGTTAAAGGTTGATGAATAGTTTTTTGCCCTTTGGTAGCTCCAACCTGCATTTCCACTCCATCTTGGCCTCTTTCAAGGTATCTATGCTCTGTAATAACCAATATTGGTCTAATAGCCTTAAATTATGTAAAATAAATGTATGCAAATATATATATAATTTGCTAATCAACTTCTGTTTGTGGCATTGGAATAAAGTGGTCATGCAAACCCTACTACAGATAACTATTATTAAATCTGGGCTAAACAAAACTATTTAAACATACTGGAAAATATCTGTGAAAAGTTTAGTATCCCCAAACCTTAAACTGCTTGGCTTAAAATTGAACTGGGAAGGGAACCCAGAAGCCTGACATGCCAGTAAAAGAGTAAAAGTTCTTACCAGTCAGACTTCTGGCCTCTTTCTCCCTGTGCAAACCAGTAAAAGGAAGGATAAAAATCACTGTTTATTCTTCTGTAGTTTTGATTAATGGAAAAAAGGATTTGTGAGGCTAATCTTAAGCTGTAGCCAATCTGCTATGCTTTGTGTGTCTTTCTGTACAGTTCTGTCATAAGGAGTAAGACAGGATAGAACACAGACCTAGGACCCCATAAGCCCACTGTTCAAGCCAGCCATGCAAACTGGTCAGTTACAGACTTTGCTACAGGTCTCTGAAGGAAAAAAAACTGAATAAGGTCTCCATCTTGTTTTATGTCCTTGGGAGCTTGACCTTGTAACCACGTGGAAGGACTTTCTTTTGGTCTCTGCCATTTTACAATGGAAGCCCAGGTTCAATCCTGGCTTAGGGAATGAGTACTTTCTGGCTAATATCTGTGTGACTTTTATCATTTGCTGATTCTCTTCCCCTCCATGAACAACTTCTAGCTTCCTTTCTTAAATCTTCCTTTCTCTGAGCTATCTTTAAAGATTCTAGATTTTGTAAAAACTGCTTACCATCTCTTTGAAAATACCTTGTACACAGGCAGTGAAGTCACAACCTTACTTAAGGCTTGTTGGTTTCACCTGTGAGGTTACTTTTGGTAAAGTTCAAAAGCCAGAAATATTGGCCACTTGGTGAGGCTAAAGTTGGGTAACAAGGGATTTAAAAGGATTTTTTAAAATAAGAGCACTATGGTAAAAAGTCAGCTTAATTAAAAGTGGATATCCAAGCTATAGGCATATTTAAAAGGCCTCTATGTTTTCCTCTTCTTGCATCTTGTTTCACTGGAAAAAGATTTTCTTTTTCAGTCAACTGAATTACTTTTCTCCATTTTGTCTTGCCTCTCTTAATGCACGCATGAGAGGCCCTAAGATAACTTCTGATGGCCTGGGACTCCCTGGAAAAAATGGAAGAGGCACCACTGACCCCATTTTAGAAAAAAACCTCTGTTTTCCTCATGAAACCCAAAGAATTAAAAGCAGATAAATCCCTCTCAAAATCTGTTTTTGTCTTCCAGCTATAACTATTTATTAGGCCCTAGAAACTGCATGCTTTCCTAGCCCTGCTCTTGAAGGGCTCCATCCTGAGGTCAGTAATCTAATTAGGAGATTGGACAATGAAAAATCTTACAACTACTGGATCCTCTGTCTGTGTAGTTATATATGTGCAATATGTGTGATGTTTGTATAAAAAAGAGCTCTAATTAATTGGCTTAGAGAAAAATAAGCACTTAGATCAAATATTTTCTGAAGGAAAAATAAAAGCTATAATACCTTTTAGTTCAAATGATTTTAATATTTGAAAAATAAAAAGTTTTAGAGATTATTGGTAAAATACAAATGTCTTCAAAATGTAAACATGTGGTCTAAATTATGCAGGTCAGATACTAGGTTTACTAAATGCTTTAAAGTTATAAACTGCTTCTTTGGCTTTTTTCTCTTTTTTGTTTTTTCAACAGTATCACTCTGTTGTCCAGGATGGAGTGCAGTGGCATGATCTTGGTTGCCTCTGCCTCCCAGGTTCAAGTGATTCTCCTGCCTCACCCTCCTGAGTAGCTGGGACTACAGGCATACACCATAATGACCAACTAATTTTTTTATTTTTTTTTTAGTAGAGACGGATTTTCACCATGTTAGCCAGGCTGGTCTTGAACTCCTGACCTCAGGTGATCCACCTGGCTGGGTCTCCCAAAGTGCTGGGATTACAGGTGTGAGCCACCACACCCAGCCTGCTTCTTGGGCTTTTGAAAATTGTTCACCTTGCTTGCTTTTCAGTTTTGTAAGGCCATATTACCAATAGCACACCAGAGTCGCTACAACTTAAGGTATAATTGGTAGCACATAATTAAAATAACTTACCAGGCTTTACATTAAAATTAAAAATTGCTAAGGTTTACCATTATACCATGTAATTGAGACTACTGAAAACAGATTTACATCAAGGTGTGTAAGGAAAGTAAATGTGTTTTTAGTAAAGGATTATAAGAAGGCATGGGAATTTAAATTTTTGCCTAGTTTAGAGGATTAAATAATTGTTTTAAGTTGGATAAGATAAAGTTGAAGGTTGTGGAAGGTTTGTAAAAATTAATCTTGCAAAAGAAATTCTGTGTGTGAACATATTGACTAAATTCAAAAGGGTATTACATGGTTTTTCTGTAAATTGAACATTAGAATAAAAGAACAAGGTTTTCTTAAGGCACTGATCTACTCTTTAACAAAAATTTGTAAAGGTTTATAAGAATCTCACCTCATGGTCAAACTGGTTAAGATTGGACAGAATTATCTAAAGATTTCATCAAAAAATAAAGGGTGTGGGAGAGACCAGAGATGGATTGTTTGTTTGGAAAGCTGTCTTCACTCTTAATGAGTAAAGGTTTTTACCTTTTTAAAAATTTTTGAGTCATCATTTTGGCTAAATAAATGACTTATGGTAATCTGGAATTGTATTTCATAATATAAAGTGTTTTAAACCTCTAATGTACTTAACAGGCTTCCCAAAATCAAACTTCAGTTTCAAGGTTGTCTTTTCTGACCCCTTACTTTTGAATACTACAGAGGGCTCCTGGAGCATCCAAAAGAGAGGTAAACAGGATTAACTGACATGTTTAGTTATGTGGGATTGCCAAAATAAAAATAATGTTTAATCTTCTTCAGGTTATATTTTAATGAAAAATACATATGTTCCAAAATTCTATGAGGTTTCTAAAATTCTAATGTCTGAGTATATGCTATCAATCGTAATTAAAATTATTATGTTGCCGGGTGCGGTGGCTCACGCCTGTAATCCCAGCACTTTGGGAGGCCGAGGCGGGCGGATCACGAGGTCAGGAGATCGAGACCATCCCGGCTAAAACGGTGAAACCCCGTCTCTACTAAAAATACAAAAAATTAGCCGGGCGTAGTGGCGGGCGCCTGTAGTCCCAGCTACTTGGGAGGCTGAGGCAGGAGAATGGTGTGAACCCGGGAGGCGGAGCTTGCAGTGAGCCGAGATCCCGCCACTGCACTCCAGCCTGGGCGACAGAGCGAGACTCCGTCTCAAAAAAAAAAAAAAAAAAAAAAAATTATTATGTTGTTATTGTAAAGCTCAGAAATAACCAAATTTCTTTGTCAATCATGGCTTTGACTGTTATTACCCAAAGACATTTTGTCATTCACAGACAATTGTCTTATTTTGATCCTTTTCAAAAGATGGTTTATAATCAGCTATGGGACTTTGACAGGTGCTCTCAAATGCAGGTTTCTGATAACTTTGGAGATTGTGACATTGGAATAGAGGGAAAATGTACAGGACTCATGAAGAGCTGAAATGTTCATGAATATCAAGCAGAAGAAGAGTTAATAGAATGTACTGAACTAATAGAAAGCTGAAGTAATCTTTTTTTGCTTAAAACATTGCTGATCCTTGTTTTGTTTTTCAGAGTCAAGGAAACTTTCATGTTGAGCTATCTATAGCTTTTAACAATTGAGTAAGGTATACTCCAGTGAACAAAATTTGGAGCACATTTATTTCTTTTTGCCTGGTTTCCTCAGAACTTGGAAACTATTTGTGAGTATTCTTAATTTGCAGCAATACAGTTATTTGCATCAGTGCAGTAAGAATCCATTTTCTTTTGCAACAGGACACAACTGGAGAAACTGGTTGTTTTACCAAGGCTTTGACTGGAAGGGTGTGCTTACCTTTAAGAAATCAAGTTTGACTTGCAGAACCAATAAAAGCCCCTTGGGAAAACTGGCCTCATACTTTGTCTTCTACACAGTCCCTGTACAGAGTTCCTAATCTGTGGTGAATAAAGAATGTCACTTTCTAATAGGCCCAGGAACCCCATGTTATCTTGGGACCTCAAGAAGAGAGGAATTTACCCAACTCATAGGTATTTGAGGATACAAACCCATGGCTGGGCTCAGCTTTAAAAGGTCTTATCTGAAATTCCTTGTGGAACAGAGTTCCATCAAAGCCAATTTTAAAAGCCTGTGTGAAAAATAATTATTCTTGCTGTGCTTTATGCAAATAACCAGGCCAAATATAAGACTAAAGTTTATTCTGCAAATGACTCAGTCCTATCATGATTTGTTTTTAACAAAAATGAGGACTGGAGAGAGAAAAATTATGTTTCAAAATTTATCATACACTTTTCATTAAATTCTAGTCTCATTAGTTGTTTTTAAGTTTTTGTCTGCATTTTAGACTAACCCTGCTTATTTCTGTGAACCAACCAGTGATCATCAGCTGCAGCTCAGAAGAAACAAAAGGGATGGGTGATGTAAAAATCTGGATCAATATTCTAGTTCTGGGCAATTATCCTGCAAATCCTGCCAGGTGATAGGAGTAAACAGGGTGCCCGTAACCCAGAGGTTTCTTTGTTTGGGAAAATAAGACCAAAGAAGCTGACCAAAGCCGAGCCTCATTCACCCAAATCTTAGCAGGCATAACTATAGCCACCTGTTATCTGGGCATGTTGGCAGCCTCAGGATTTTTGAGCTGTCCTTACCCCCTTATTTTGTTTTGATACATGCCTTCTAATAATCTGGTTGTCTTCTCATTTTCAGGCCATTAAACTCCAGTCATGAAACTGGAGCCTCAGACGATGGCTCCCTTTTACTGGGGACCCTTAGATAGGCCTCTGAGGGAGATCTGACTGCCATTTTCCCAAAACAGCACCCCGCACCCCTGTCAGCAGGAAGCAGTTAGTATCAGTCATCATCCCTATTCTAATGGCAGTTAGATGTACCTCTTCAGAGGGGAGAACTGATAGCAGCAAGAGGCAGACAAATGCCTAGGCAGATAGGGGTGTAGGAACGGGTCCCTGGTGAAACCTGACCTTCAAGCTGAAGACACTTTAAAGCCTAGCTACAAGTCCCAGGCAAATCCATGGACTGGATTGAGAACCTGTCTTCCCATTTGGCATGCTTTCCTCTGATTGATCCCCACCCTCCACCTATTTTACACATACCTACCCTTTCTTTTTTTTTTTTTTTTTTTTTTTTGAGACACTGTCTCGCTATGTCAGCCAGGCAGAAGTGCCATGGTGCAATCTTGGCTCACTGCAACCTCTGCCTCCCAGGTTCCAGCAATTCTTCTGCCTCAGTCTACCAAGTAGTTGGGACTACAGGTGTGTGCCACCACACCCTGCTAATTTTTGTATTTTTAGTAGAGACGGGGTTTCACCATGTTGGTCAGGCTTGTTTCAAACTCCTGATCTCAGGTGATCCACCTGCCTTGGCATCCCAAAGTGCTGGGATTACAGGCACGAGCCACCATGCCAGGCTACATACCTACCCTTTCCTAATTGGTTTTCTACACTATCGCGCCCACCTTTGAATATTGTCTTCACTTTAACTTTTATTGCATACTCACAAACCAATCTGTACACACTCCCCATTCTGAGTCCATAAAAAGCCCCAGACCCAGACACAGAGAGAGAGAGAGAAAAACCACCTGACTGTGGGGGTGAGGGAGCACCCCGTGTCCCCTTAATGCTGAGAGTTGTTCCATAACTCAGTAAAATTCTTCTCCACCCATCCTTACACTTCAAATTGTCAGCATATCCTCCTTCTTTTTAGATGCATGACAAGAGCTCGGGAACCGCTGAACGTCAGTAGAAGCTATAGCACAGGTGGACCAAGTGAGCGGGGTGCCTTGGCCCATGGCCGAGTGAGTCCCTGGTTGGCAAAGTAGCTGAGCAAAATCCTGTGTCACCAGCACTTTGGGAGGCTGAGTTGGGCAGATCACCTGAGGTTAGGAATTGAAGACCAGCCTTCCCAACATGGTGAAACCCTGTCTCTACTTAAAAAAATACAAAAATTAGCTGAGCATGGTGGCACATGCCTGTAATACCAGCTATTCAGGAGGCTGAAGCACAAGAATCGCTTGAACCCAGGAGGTGGAGGTTGCAGTGAGCTGAGACTGCACTACTGCACTCCAGCCTGGGCAACAGAGTGAGACTCTGTCTCAAACAAAAGAAGAAAATACCGGAGAAAATCTTTGTGATCTTGGTTTAGGCAAAGATTTCTTAGATATAACATGAAAAACCTAAATGCCCATACAAGAAATCAGTACAAGAAAATGTTGATAAACTAAACTTCATCAAAACTAAGAACTTCTCTTTGAAAGACACTGCTAAGAGAATAAAAAGACAAGCCACAAACTGAGAGAGAAGATTTGCAAATTACATATCTAGTAAGAACTTGTATATAAATTACATACAAAATTCTCAGAACTCAATAAAAACCAAGCAACTCAATTTTAAAAATGGGCAAAAAATTTGAACTTTACAAAAAAGATATATAAATGGAAAATATGCCTATGACACCCAATATCATTAGTCATCAGGGAACTGTCAATTAAAACAATGAAAAACCACACACATCACAGGATATCTAAAAATGACTAATCATACCAAGTGTTGGTGAGGATGTAGAGCAACAAGAACTTTCACATACTGCTACTGGGAATATAAAATAGTACAAACACTTTGGAAAGCAGTTCAGGAATTTCTTAAAAAGTTAAACATAAACCTACCATATGACCCAGCTATTCCTCCATTCCTAGGGGGTTCCCAGCCCCTGAGCCTAAGAGAAACCAAAGCATATGCCTATACAAAAACTTATATACAAATGTTTATAGCTGCTTTATTTCTAATAGTCAAAAAAACAGAAAGAACCCAAATGTCTATAAATAAGTGATTAGATAAACAAATTATGGTATATCTATGTAATGGAATACACAGCAATAAATAAGAGTGAACTACTGATAAATACAACAACATGTACATGCACCACATTCTAGTAATTCCACTCCCAGGTATGTACTCCAGAGAAATTTTGCACATGTGCACAAGGAGAAATGAGTAAGGATGTTCACAGAAGCATCTGTAATAGTAAAAATCTGGAAATAACCTAAATTGCCCATCAGCGGTAAAATAAATGAAAAAATGTTGGTATTAACATACAGTGGAATATAGATTCACACATTTGTAGTCATAGCATAAAACATGATGGGAATAATTAAAGCAAATGTGGGATAGTGATTACCTGTGGGAAAGTGTGCATGAAGGGGATTAGGAATGGAGAAGTGTACACGGGACCACAGCTGGGCCTGTAATGTTTACATCTTTTTTTTTTTTTTTTTTTTTTTTTTTTTGAGTCAGGGTCTTGCTTTGCCACCTAGACTGGAGTGTAGTGGCAGGATCACAGCTCACTATAGCCTCTGGTCAATTGACCCTCCCACCTCAGGCTCCCGAGTAGCTAGAACTACAGGTGCAGGCCACCACACCTGGCTAATTTTTGTAGAGACAGGGTTTTGCCTTATAGCTCAGGCTGGTCTCTAACTCCTGGATTCACGTGATCTGTCCTCCTTGGCCTCCTAAAGTGTTGACATTACAGGCATGAGCCACTGTGACCAGCCTACATCTTTTCAAAACTGAGAATGTTAGGATCTGAGTAAAGAGTAGTGGATACGCAGAAAATACATTTGTTATGTCATTCTCTAGATTTTTGTTTGTTTAAAATATCGAGTAAATACAAAAAAATACTAAAGTTAATTTTCAGATCTTCGAAAGGTTATTTACAGCAGGGGTCCCCAGCCCCCGAGCCTGTTAGGAACCAGGCCACACAGCAGGAGGTGAGTGGTAGGTGAGCGAGCATTACCACCTGAGCTCCACCTCCTGTCGGATCAGCACAGCATTAGATTCTCATAGGAGCACAAACCCTATTGTGAACTGTGCATGCAGGGGATCTAGGTTGCACATTCCTTGTAAGAATCTAATGCCTGATGATCTGAGATAGAACAGTTTTATCCTGAAATCATTCCCCCTCCAATTTGTCAAAAAATTGTCCTCCATGAAACCAGTCCCTAGTGCCAGAAAGTCTGGGGACTGACGATCTACAGGAGGTAAAATCACTTTACCAGAAAAAAGCTAAAAATAGGGAAAATGTGCACTGTAATTGTCATGGCAGAAAAGTAATAAAAATAAATAAATATTAATAATAGGGAAATAATTTCAAACTCTTTTCATTATAAAGTTCACTTTAAAAATGACAGACTACATTTTGCAAAAATAATCTTAAAACCAAACATCCCATTCCTCTGAAATTAAAACTTCTCTTCACATTATATTATTAATAGCTCTTTTAAAACATTAAATAAAAATACGATAGAATAGCTCTCTGTTATGCCCTCTCATTTCTGCATGCTGATAGCATTTCATGATGCTTTCAAATAAGAAAGTCATCTTTTCTGGCTATAAGTCAACATTCGCAACTAGGATCACAGTTCTTTTTCTTTTTTTCTTTTTTTTTTTTTTAGTCGGATATAGCATTGTAAGAAGGATCATAGTACTGATACTCTGAAATATTTACCTACATAAACTATTTGGAATTCTTCTGCATGGGAGATTTGTCTAGTCTCCCACATTTATGTATTTATTCAATCACTTGTTTATATCATTATGGACTCATAGATATTTATTTTATACTTTGATTTAAATTCAAATACTTCTCTGTGGCATAGATCTGCCTTAAAACCACAAGTGGTCTGAAGTTATACTCTGTGGTTTCACTGATACTATTTAGCTAACTTGTATCTTCAATTCTTGGAAACCTCATTCTCAGATGAAAACA
Organism: Homo sapiens; assembly: GCF_000001405.40. Classification (NCBI taxonomy): domain Eukaryota; kingdom Metazoa; phylum Chordata; class Mammalia; order Primates; family Hominidae; genus Homo; species Homo sapiens. The sequence goes on along the minus strand of NC_000006.12, from coordinate 111,157,589 downwards.
CCAAGTTTGGCCAGGCACGGTGGCTCATGCCTGTAATCCCAGCACTTCGGGAGGCCAAGGTAGGCGGATCACGAGGTCAGGAGTTAGAGACCAGTCTGGCCAACATAATGAAACCCATCTCTACTAAAAATACAAAAAATTAGCTGGGCGTAGTGGCAGGTGCCTGTAGTCCCAGCTACTCAGGAGGCTGAGGCAGGAGAATCGCTTGAACCCGGGAAGTGGAGGTAGCAGTGAGCCAAGATCATGCCATTGCACTCCAGTCCAGGTGACAGTACAAGACTCCATCTCAAAAACAACAACAACAACCAAGTTTTATCTCAATAGTACGATCAAAATGTGAAACTTTCCTACCTTTTAAAAAATAAACTTTTGTCTGGGCGCGGTGGCTCACGCCTGTAATCTCAGCACTTTGGGAGGCCGAGGCAGGTGGATCACCTGAGGTCAGGAGTTCAAGACCAGCTTGGCCAACATGGTGAAACCCCATCTCTACTAAAAATATAAAAATTAGCTGGGTGTGGTGGCGCGTGCCTGTAATCCCAGCTACTTAGGAGGCTGAGGCAGGAGAATCGCTTGAGACCAGGAGGTGGAGGTTGCAGTGAGCCGAGATTTCACCACTGCACTACAGCCTGGGCAACAGAACAAGACTCCGTCTCAAAATAAAATAAAATAAAATACACTTTCATTTTAGAATAGTTTCAGATTTACATAACAATTGTGAACAGTACAGGGAGTGCCCATATACCTCACATCCAGTTTCCTCTATTATTAACATCTTACGATAGTATGTTACATTTGTCACAATTAATGAACTACTATTGATACATTATTAGTAACAAACATCTATATTTTACTCAGATTTCCTCAGTTTTAACTAATATCCTTTTTCTATTCCAAGATCCCATACAAGATACCACATTATATTTAGTCGTCATATCTCCTTAGTCTCCTCTTGACTGTGACAGTTTGCCAGACTTTTCTTGTTTCAGATGACCTTGACAGCATTGAGGAGTACTTTTCAGGAATTAAGTAGCATGTCCCTCAATTAGGATTTGTCTGGTGTTCTTCCCATGATTAGTCTAGGGCTATGAGGTTTTTTGGAAGCACGACTACACAAAGTGCCATTTCATCCCATTATATCAAGGAAACACAGTGCAGTATCAACATGGCTTAGTGCTTTTGATGTAAACCTTGATCATCTGGGTGGGACAGAGTTTGCCAGATTCCTCCACTGTGAAGTTGTCTTCTTTTCCCTATTTATACTGCACTCCTGGAAGGAAGTCACTAAGCAGCCCACACTTACAGGAGTGGGGAATTAATTATGCTCTGCCTCTTTGACAGTGAAGTATTTACCTACATAAATTACTTGGAATTCTTCTGCATGGGGGATTTGTCTAGTCTCCCACATTTATTTATTTATTCAATCACTTGTTTATATCATTATGGACTCGTAGATATTTATTTTATACTCTGATTTAAATTCAAATACTTCTTCATTTTGTTGGCTATTGCAAACTCTTTCACATGGCTCCTGTGACCCTTTGACATACTCCCATTATTGGGGAGCAGTTTATTGTTTTTAGTTTTTGAGTACTCCCTTGCTTTCTGATATATAAGATGCTCCAGGCTAATCTTATATATTATCATCAGCCCTTTCTGCAAGGAGCCCTGGTTGTTTTTACTGGAGAATAGTATTACAAACCAAGATAAATGGTGCTAGGTGTTTTTGTTGCAACAGGGATGTCATGGCTTCTGCGCCCTCTTAGCCAAAGGAGGTAGAAAATACATGTACATATACCAACCTATCTATGCATAGCTATAAATACTTTCCACATGTAACCATCTGTATCTACATTAAGCTAAACATAAATTCATGCTGAGCATACTTACATACACCTCCAACTCTTCTAATTCATTATCACACAGGTTATTCTAACTCCTTCCTTGCTTGTCTATAATCTTTCTTTACAGCAATGAAAAATCTGGGAACTTCCTACTTTTCACCTCAGAAAGTTACAAGAGTAAAAGAAGAAATGAATTTATGTTTTGAGAGGAAATCACTTCTTCGAATAACCACATTATTATGTTTTTTGGGCCAGGCGTGGTGGCTTACGTCTGTAATCCCAACACTTTGAGAGGCAAAGACTGGAGAGCTGCTTGAGGCCAGGAGTTTGAGACCAGCCTGGACAATCTAGGGAGACCCTGTCTCTACAGAAAAAAAAAAACGAAACAACTTTTTAAAATTAGCCAGTCACGGTGGCATGCACCTGTTGTCCCAGCTACTCAGAAGGCTGAGCTGGGAGGTCAAGGCTGCAGTGAGCCATGATCATGCCACTGCCCTCCAACCTGGGTGACAGGGCAGGGCAAGATCCTGTTTCAAAAAAAAAAAAAAAAAGTCCTGTTGAAAGCAGTGATATTTAAAGAAGATAGGAAGATTGTGCGGTGTACCCTCTGTGTGTCACCTTAGATGAGGCCAGACCTAGAATCCATAACCCAGATGAGATCATCCTGGCCCCTGGTAGAACGACTCACCACTTTCAGAATTGTCTTTTTTTTTTTTTTTTTTTTTTGAGATGGAGTCTTGTTCTGTCACCCAAGCTGGAGTGCAGTGGTGTGATTTCAGTTCACTGCAACCTCCACCTACTGGGTTCAAGCAATTCTCCTGCCTCAGCCTCCCAAGTAGCTGAGATTGCAGGCACTGCCACCACGCCCAGCTAATTTTTGTATTTTTAGTAAAGACAGGGTTTCTGATTTTTGTATTTTCAGTAGAGACGAGGTTTCCATGTTGGCCAGGCTGGTCTCGAACTCCTGACCTCAAGTGATCTGCCCGCCTCAGCTTCCCAAAGTGCTGGGATTATAGGTGTGAGCCACTGCTCCCGGCCTCAGAATTGTCTCTTGATGTCATAGCCTCATCTTTCATCAAGAGATGCTTAAAGAAACTGCCTGATAAAATCCATTATTACCTCCACTATAAGGCCAATGCCAACATTACTTCATTACCCAGCATCTCCTATAAGAAACAAAGGGGCAAAAAATACTTGCTTCCTTGAGTAAAGTAACAAGTAAATTGTGTCTTATTTAACCACATCCATCATGCTTCCCTTTTCATGTTGTTTGCCAGAAGCTTAGAGTCAAATTTGCTATGGGACTGTAACAACTATATAGGCCCTGACTGGTGATGTGTTTACATTCCCCCAGTCTTAACAACATATACTATGTCATATTTTTCATGGTTGCTGAAATTTTATTTTCTACTCCTATCCTACTATTTTATTTGTGCAGTGTTTTATGCTTCTAAAAACTACCTCAAATCCTTTGCGGAATGAAGTAATATAAATTAATGCACATATAATCCTGTTATTACTATAGTTGTTTAATCTTTGAAATAATAACAGGATTAATGGCCTATAGTGGGAAGCTAGTTAAGAAGAAAAATTTTTACAAGGTTCTTATATAAGATAATGAAAATATTCTCCAATATAGAGAGGAAATAATAAACTGTTCTTAACCTGAATATTATCATTTTCTCATAAGACTCTATAATTTTAAATTCTGGACCACCAGGAAAAATACTTTCCTAATTAGATCCCCTTCAAACATCTACTTTCTCTACACCCATTTCTGTACACCTCTTTTCCCCCAGTAGTGAACCTTTGCCTCTTTTGTTAACTGCAGAAACCATATGGGTGGTGGCTGGACCAAGATTTAAAATCATAACCAATAATGATCAGGAAGCCTAAAAATATACTCAAAGCAAGCATCTTATCTTTGTAAGGAGAAAGGGAAACTAACATTTCTTGAGAACCTGCCACATGGCAGATGATGTTTAGGAGCACTTTATATATACGGTTTCATTCAATCTTTGAAGCAACCTCAGGTGAAACAGGCAAAGCTCAGAAGTTAAGTGATTTGCCTAAGGGCTCCCTGCTATTTAAATGGAAACTTCTAGATTCATACCCCAGCCTTACCTGACTAGCCCAAAAACCTCCTCTGTCCACTCCATCACTCCTTATAAGCAACCACACTGCTTTTATTGTTTTAATTTAATTTTTTTTTTTTGAGACAGGGTCTCGCTCTGTTGCCCAGGCTGTGTGTAGTGGCACAATCTCAGTTTACTGCAACCTTCACCTCCCAGGCTCAAGCCAACCTCCCACCTTAGCCTCCTGAGTAGCTGGGGCTAGAGGCACGTGCCACTGCTCCCAGCTAATTTTTGTATTTTTTGTAGAGGCAGGGTTTCACCATGTTGCCCAGGCTGGTCTCAAACTCCTGAACTCAAGAAATCCTCCCGCCTTGGCCTCCCAAAGTGCTGCGATTACAGGCATGAGCCACCACGCCTGGTCATGCTGCTTTTATAATTTCTTGCCAGTGCACCTAAGCTAGGGAACCTTTTAAAGATGGGAGAACAATTTAATAATGCTTAACAGAATAAGGACGCAAAAAAGCTATTTAAAATGCCCTTCTATGGAGGAATACTTCAGAACCCAGCTCTTTCAAACATGTTCCACCCTATTGGCTCTCAGCACCCTCTCTCTCCCTTGATCTTCCCCAGCACTTAATTACCACCATTGCCACTCATTGTCACTGACTCAAAGTTCTTTACCCTGTGCATTTAAATTGCACACACATGCATGTGCACACACACACCTTGTATCCCCAAATCTGGGTTTCTTAAATGTTGCCACCATGCCTTACACATGCATTTCCCTCTTCTATTCTTCAAATTGTAGTAGATGCACAAAAAGTATCAAATGATTGAATGAGAACACTTAGTCTTTGAAAGGGAAGTTACTGCTGGATATGTAATAGTTGACCTCTCTACCTTCCTCAAAGAAGGCTGTATCCAAATCTATCCCCTCGGTCCACAATAAGGCATTCCTCTCTTACTCCAACAGCATGTTCTGGAAAGCCAGAGAAAAGTACTTACACGTAAAGTAAAATTACTTACAGCATACTATCAACCATTTCTATACTCTCTCACAATGAAATAACCCTGATTCATTAAGGTGTTCCTTGAATTTCTCAGTATAGCCTTGTTCTGTAAGATTCATGGAATTAACTCTTATGTGACAAGGAAGATTTTTAAAGGTTATCTCTAATAAAAATATTGAACAGAATGGAGCTAAGGATTAATATTTGAAAGAAAACCTAAGTTTTATTTATCAAATTTGTATGCAACACCTTCATTCATTCAACAAATACTTTGTGAGTATCTATATGTGCCAGCACTATTCTAGATGCTGAGAAAACAGCAGTGAACAAAACAGACACTAATCCCTGTCTTCATGGAGCTGCCATTCTACCGGGGGACAAAAGCTAGAAAGAACTGTTGATATGCTGGTTGACAAAATTAGGACTCAAAATCCATATAAAGAGGAAACTGAAACCAATAAAACCAAATTTAATGGAGAAAAATACAGCATTTAGAGTTCAGAAATTAAATGGATAAGTATGAACAGGAAGGGGATATATAGCTTTATTCATGCAATACACATTTATTTGTAGGTTCTCTTCCCCAGGAGTAGTTACTGAGGGGGTGGAAACAGGTCCTGCTCTGCTGGGCACTGGGGATCTCAGGTCCCTAATCTCAAGAAACTCATATTCAAGAGACACAAACAACGGCAGAACAACAAACAGTGTGATAATCGACCAAGGTGTGTACTGTGTGTTGTGGGACAACTTAGGAGGGGTATCCAGCCCAGATGGGCAGGGAAAAAATAACCACTGTTTCCTCAGGGTAACACCCAAAGTGACATGGAGGATGAATAGGCGTTCATCAGGCAAAGGATGGGGGAAAGAGGAGGCAGGAACATTCCATGTAAAGGGAATAGCATATGCAAAATTAATATCTGCAAGTGATTCTCTAAGGATGTAGCCAGAATCACAGCAAAGCCATGTCAGTCATCCCAAGAAATACGGACTTTATTCTTTAAATGTCAGAGAGTCAACATTAGGTTTTTAAAACCTGGAATTACATGATCAAACGGTATTTTAGAAATTCCTCTTTGGCAACAGTTTGAAGAACAGAATGCTCATAGGGGAGATTGGGAGGAAGGCAGCTGGAAGGCTGCTGCAAGTGACAAATGACAATTGTCTGAAATCAGAAGTAGCAAGATATCCAAGGAGACCGATTTGAGAGATGTGAGTGATGAAATCAACAGGACTTATGATCCATTAGATTAAAAAAGATGAAGGGAGTGGCAATAGGTTGGCTCTTAAGAGATTTAGCTACGTGGTAAAGTGAGGGGAAGACAGATGCAGAGTTTAAGAATGAAGAAAATGAACAAGTTTGGGGAATGGGGAAAGGAGAGGTGATGAATTTGTTTGAAAATGAAGGCAACTTACTCAATATGCCTGAATATAAAGCAAATTTCTTTTCCCAAAATTATTCCTCAGAGGAAAAAAATAGTTACTGTACATTAAATTCTCTTTCAAAAGTTTCTCATCATGGGGTACTTTCCAAATTTCTGTATTTTGAACAAATTATTGTTTGGGAAAAACAAGCCAGAAACTACCTTTAATTGTTGCTGAGTATGTACGCTACTAGAGGTCACCTGATGGATGGAAGTGTCCTAAAAGGAGCAAAGAATTTTAACAGATATATAATTTTCCTGAGAGCATACCTCACATTTGCAAATTTAGATGTTATAAATTTCAAAAAGCAACACAGTGAGTAAGTAGTTATGTTGTGGAGATCAAAAATATGCACCCACAGAACAAATTAAAAAAACAGCTGTCCTAATATTGTACGAGTAGAGACTTGCCACAGGGAAACTCCTTAATTCCCTGGCTGCTATCCATTCAGGGACTTCTCAGTGGAGTCAACTCAGAGCCTGTTTCCACCCCCTCAGTGTCTACTCCTGGGAAAGAGAATCTGTCTGATTGAGGCCTTTGGTAGAAAGAACTGAGCATGCTCAATCAGCTCCCTCTGGGCTTTTCTTGTCAGTGGCCTGTCATTAGGAGGTCCAAATTCTCTGATTATCCATGACACAAGTTTATGGCAAAGCCTATAGGAGAGGTTTATAGCCAACTAGCTCACTTATATTAATAACTGCTACACCAGCCCTCATCCTTTAAATGCAGAGGGAGGTATTATACAGCCACAGATGATGATGATGATGATATTGATGATATCGATATCTGGGATTTAAAATGTACAATGTGCCAGACAGTCTAGATGCTTCATATATATTAAGTGTCTCAGTCTGTTTTTTGCTGCCATAACAGAATACCAGAGACTGGGTAATTTATAAAGAAAAAACTTTTATTTCTTACAGTTCTGGAGGCTGAGAAGTCCAAGATCAAGGAGCCAGTGTCTGGTAAGGGCGTTACTACTGCATTATAACATGGCTAAGGCCATCACATGCATGAGGTGGCAAGGAAAGGGGGTCAAACACTTCCTTTTATAAGGAACCCACTACTGCAACAACGGCATTAATCCATTCATGAAGGCAGAGCCCTCATAGCCTATTCAACTCTGAAAGGTCCCACTTCTTAACACATGCACTGGGGATTAAGTTTCCAACAAATGAACTTTGGGAGACAAATTCAGCCCATAGGATTAAGTCACTTAATATCAACAGCAATTCTATGAGGTATCTACTCAGTTGACAAAACTGAGACACTGACGTTTTAAAGCTTGCTCAAAGTCACACAAAGTAATGGGTGGTGAGGCTGGAATTTGAGGTGAGCACCCTCACTCTTAAGCCACTATACTATACTGGCTTTTAATTGATTTAACCAAAAATTTTAACATAGCCTACATTAAGAGATGAGAAAAGGAGTAGCACAAAAAGAGTTAAATATTTATCTTCCATAAGGAAGTCTGTAGATAAAAATCTAAGTTTGAAAATTCAAAATACAACCATATAAGCATGCTGTTTTGAAATATGAAGATAACCATAAGAAATGGCTAAAAGAGCTGAAAGCAGTTGATTTTGGAGTAAGGTGCCCAGTATGAGAGGGGAATAGGGCAGAGGAATGCTACTCTTTATTATAAGCCTTATAGAAATCTGATATTTTATACTGTATGCATATAAAACTTTGATAATCATAAAAAATTAATTTTAGGAAGAAAACATACCAACTTTGTTGAAATTAATCTGGGCATATGACCCAGGTCCTGCTTTTAAAAATCATATGATCCATTATGATGAACAAGACTTCACAAAACTACCTATCAAACAGCCTACACTGAGAATGACACTACCAGGAATAGGAGAGTCATGACAGTGGCATAGCCTTGCTGAGGATTTGAGAATTCTTATCAAAATTCCTGGGAATAGATTGGATCTGTAGGTCAGGTATCAAAGAAAGAAGCGGGTTCCTTAAACCAATGCAGAACATAGTTTCTCCTGATTGGGGTGGGTGGTTGGGGGACCAGGGAGGAGATTAAAAACAGTCTTATGTTCATAACTGGTTTTGTCTGACCTAGAATCATAGTTGAATTACTAACTTGCCAGAATGCTTGAAAGCATAAAGACATCATTCCTTTATCAATGAGAGTATCTGTAGTGTGAAGAATGAAATGGAAGGCTAAGGTAATAGCTACAGAGGAAACTAGAGAAGAAGGGTCCTGACTGAAATAGGCTGCTTTGTCAAGCAGTATCAATTCTACCATGGACGATCAATATCAGGCCAGCATAAGTAAAGGAGAGATGGGGTTTCACCATGTTGGCCAGGCTGGTCTGGAACTCCTGACCTCAGGTGATCCACCCACCTCGGCCTCCCAAAGGCTGGGATTACAGGCGTGAGTCACCACGCCTGGCCTGATTGAAGTATTCTTATTCTCCTTGTTCCGATAAAGAAACTGAGGCAAAAAGTGGTTGGTTAAACAACTTGCCCAAGGCCACACAGACACAGGGTGGAGGAAGGGAACCCAGTCTAGAGCATACATTGTTCACTGTTACACACTGTCCACCAGGAGCAGCCCAACTTCTGTAAAGAACTACAGCAAACCTTTGGAGACATTTGGAGTACACCTTCCTAAAGTTGTCATGCACAAACAAGCCTTAATATTCTAAAAACATATCAACCCACATAGACATGTTTCCACCTAACAGGCAGATTTCTATCTTGATGAATCAAATGCCTCCTTGCTCATAATTGTTGGCCTGTCAAATAGGTGACACCTTCTGTTCTAAGTACCAATTAAACAAAGATGCTCTGATAACAGCATTCTCTAGCCACAGGTAATTCTGCCAGGGAGTTACTTACTATTGAATAGCAAGAAGTTAAGAGATAAGAAAGAACATTAAACCTGCCAAGAAAAACCATAAACTGCGTACACAGGCTGAGTTGCAAGTCAATCTTACATTCCTCCTTGACAGTGGATGTGGGACCTGGATCCTCTTTTATATAGAAGAGTTCATTAGGAAAAATTGAGATAGATGATGAATAACTGAGAGAGAAAAAATAGCTTAGGAGAAAGATAGGATCCCAACAGCACTCATCTTTTACTCTGTTCTACTGTCCTAGAAATCTTGATCTTCCTACCAGAGCATGAAAGAAAGATGTGTCTCAAAATTGTCTCTGCCATTCTGTTTAATCTCAAAATCAAATTTAAATAACAGGCATCTATTTAAAGTATAGTAGTGGGAAGGTACACTGATGATCAATAAGGCCTAAGGATGGGTGTGATGTGATCAGCAACACTCCTTCAGAGTCACGTAAGAGAAACCTGCCAATCACAAACACACACTCGCAAATCAAAGAACACATGGATGCTCAGCACTGACAGAATGAGACTCACAGACTTAATGGCGTTTGTGCTGGCCCCAGAGAAGTACAACTCCACATCTGTTGTTCTATGTCCACAAAACAAAAAGGGATTTCACCTAACTGCCATAAAGTTATGGCTGTGCCACTGCCAAACTCAGAGACTGACACTGCATTAGTGTGTGTAGAGGATTTGAGCAGCAGAAGCTCTTAGGTTAGTGAAATATTAATTTATCAAACACTCCCCCTGAGAAGGCATGAATGCAATGAATTCTTGCATAGTGAGGTTTCATTTCCAAATAGTGCTGAATGTTCATTTTCTTGCTTTTCTTCCTGTTCCAATTCATAGTTCTTAGTGTACTAATTAGTATGGTACTCACAGCCACCGTACACGAAAACATTTTGCAGTACTGACCAATCACATTATTCTTAAATATATACATATGTGGTGGACCCAACATGAGTAAAACATGATATTGTTTGTGTATTGCAAATTAATAAACACTGAATGCTAGAACAGTTTTGCTTTTATTAAACTATTTAATAAGACATTTTAGAAGTAAATCAAATTTGGCTATAAATACTTTATATTTAAAAATTAAAATACTTGAATTATACTCTGTATTTTGCCTTTGATTTTTTTCTCATGTAACTATTTTAATGAGGTATCATTCACATACCATAAAATTTAACTTTTTAAAAGATACAATTCAGTGTGTCTTAGTATATTCACAAAGTTGTACAACTATCATCATTATGTAATTCCAGAACACTTTTCTCACCCCAAAAAGAAACCCTGTACCCATTAGCAGTCACTCCCATTCCTCCTTCCCTCAGCCCTTGGCAACTACTAATCTACTTTCTGTCTTTATGGAATTGCTAATTCTGGACATTTTATACAAATGTAATCATGTACTATGTGGCCTTTTGTGGCTGGTTTCTTTCATTTAGTATAGTTTTCAAGGTCCATCCATATTGGATCATGTATCAGTACTTCATTGCTTTTTGTGGCTGGATAATATTTCATTTATTAATACACCACGTTTTGCTTATCCATTCATCTACTGATGGGCATGTTTATTGGAATACTACTATGAACATCTATGTACAAGTTTTTCTGTGTATATATCTTTTTTTTTTTTGAGACGGAGTCTCGCTCTGTTGCCCAGGCTGGAGTGCAGTGGCGCAATCTCGGCTCACTGCAAGCCCCGCCTGCCGGGTTCACGACATTCTCCTGCCTCAGCCTCCCGAGTAGCTGGGACTACAGGCGCCCCCCCACCACGCCCAGCTAATTTTTTGTATTTTTAGTAGAGATGGGGTTTCACTGTATTAGCCAGGATGGTCTCGATCTCCTGACCTCGTGATCCACCCACCTTGGCCAAAGTGCTGGGATTACAGGCTTGAGCCACCGCGCCCGGCCTGTATATATCTTTTTAATTGTCTTGGGTATACACCTAAAAGTAGAATTGCTGTGCCATGTGGTAAATCTCTGAGGAATAGCCAACTTTCCAAAGTGTCTGCACCATTTTACATTCCCATCCACAGTGTATGAGGGTTCTAATTTTTCCACATACTTGCCAACATTTGTTATTGTTCATCTTTTTTTATTTTAGCCATCCTAATGGGTGTGACTTCTATTTGCATTTCTCTAATGACCAATGAGGTTGAGTACATTTTCATATGCTCATTGGTGATTTATATGTCTTCTTTGAAGAAATGTCTATTCAAATCCTTTCAACATTTTTAAATTGTGTTACTTGTCTTTTTATTGCTGAGTTGCAAGTGTTCTTTATATATTCTGGACACCAGTCTTGTAAAATACATGATTTGCAAAAAATTATCTCCCATTGTGTGGATTCTCTTTTCACTTTCTTGGTGTGCCCTTTGAAGCACAGAGGTTTTAATTTTGATGAAGTCCAATTAATCTATTTTGTTGTTGTTTGTGCTTTTAATGTCATATTTAATAAACCATTGCCTAATCCAAGGCCACAAACATTTATACCTTTACACTTTGTGGAGGAGGGGTGGAGCAGACAAGGTCTCACTCTGTCACCCAGGCTGGAGTACAGTGGTGCAATCATAGCTCACTGCAGCCTCTAAATCCTGGGCTCAAGCAATCCTCTGGCCTCAGCCTTCTGAGTAGCTAGGAATACAGGTACACACTGCCATGCCCGGCTGATTTTTTTTCTTTTTTAAGAGACGAGGTCTCAATATGTTGCCCAGGCTGGTCTTGAACTCCAAGCCTCAAGTAATCTTCTTGTCTCAGCTTATACTTAGGTCTTTAATCCATTTTGAGTTATTTTTTTATATGGTGTGAGGTAGGGGATCTAACTTCATTCTTTTTCCTGTGGCTATGCAGTTGTTCCAGCACCATTTGTTGGAAAAACTATTCTTCCCCCACTTAATTGTCTTGGCTTGCTTTTTATCTTAATAATATATTTTTAAAACTACGACATATATTATCTATCTATTTATTTTGAGACAGGGTCTCACTCTCTCATCTAAGCTGGAGTGCAGTGATGCAAACATGGCTTATTGCAGCCTCAACGTGCTAGGCTCAAGTGATCCTCCAGCTACAGCCTCCTGAGTAGCTGGGACCACAGGCCACCACCATGCCCAGTTAATTTTTCAATTTTTGATAGAGATGGGGTCTTGCCATGTTACCCAGGCTGGTCTTATGCTGGGATTACAGGTGAGAGCCACAGTGTCTGGCCCTTACTTTTCTTTTAAATATTAAAAATTAAGATGGCCAGGTGCAGTGGCTCACACCTGTAATTTCAGCACTTTGGGAGGCCAAGATGGAGGATTGCTTGAGCCCAGGAGTTCAAGACCAGCCTGGGCAACATGGCAAGACCCTATTTCTACAAAAACTAATTTAAAAATTATATGGGTGTGGTGGCATGCGCCTGTGTGGTACCAGCTACTTAGGAAGCTGAGGCTGGAGGATCACTTGAGCCTAGGAGGTCAAGGCTGCAATCAGCACTCCAGTCTAGGTGATACAGGGAGACTCCGTCTCAGGAAAAAAGAAAGAAAGAATGTTTTTAAAACAAACAAAATTTTATGATTTTTAATTTTATAGAATTGTTATGCAATAAACTACATAAAGTATTCAACAAGAAATCTTGACATATGGATGTACCTGTGCCAACATCACTGCAATCAAGATAATGAATATATTTATTACCCCAAAAGTTTTATCATACCTCACTGCAATTCTTCCCTCTTGCCTCCAGGCAACTGCTGATCTATAGAGTAGTTTGCCATTATAAGTTAGTTTGCATTTTCTAGACATTTATACAAATAGAATCAGACAGTGATTTGTTTTTTATTTTTACATTTGTTTTAATTTACATCTTTGATAAAAATCATTCAAATAGGCCAGGCGCGGTGGCTCATGCCTGTAATCCCAGCACTTTGGGAGGCTGAGGCGGGCAGATCACGAGGTCAGGAGATCGAGACCATCCTGGCTAACACGGTGAAACCCCATCTCTACTAAAAATACAAAAAATTAGCCGGGCATAGCAGCGTGTGCCTGTAGTCCCAGCTACTAGGGAGGCTGAGGCAGGAGAATGGCGTGAACCCGGGAGGCAGAGCTTGCAGTGAGCCGAAATCGTGCCACTGCACTCCAGCCTGGGGGACAGAGAGAGACTCCGTCTCAAAAAGAAAATAATAATAATAATTCAAATATTTTCCCTCAAATATAATTTTATTTTTTAAGACCTTTTTTTTTAAGAGCAGTTTTGGATTCACAGTAAAATTTAGAGGAAGGTAAACAGATTTCTCGTATACCTCCTGCCCCAACACATGCATTGCCTCCTTTATTATAAACATCCCCCACCAGAGTAGTACATTTGTTATAACTGAGGAACCTACACTGAAACATCATTATAATCCAAAGTCCATGGTTTCCTTATTTTTGTAGAGATAGGGCCTCACGATGCTGACCAGGCTGGTTTCAAACTCCTGGCCTCAAGTGATCCTCCCATCTTGACCTCCCAAAGTGTTGGGATTACAGACATGAGTCACCATGCCCAGCCCCAAAGTCCATAGTTTATATTAAGGTTCACTGTTGGTATTATAGAATCTATGGATTTGGACAAATATACAACGTGTGTCCACCATTACTGTATCAGAGACATTTCACTGCCCTAAAAATCTTCTGTACTCCACCTATTCATTCTCCCCTGACCAACTCCCTGACAATTCATCTTTTTATTGTTGCCTTCGTTTTGCCATTTCCAGAATGTCTTATAGTTGAAATCCCATGGTATATAACATTTTCAGACTGGCTTCTTCACTTAGAAATATGCATTTAAGTTTCCTCCATAGCATGGGCCACATTGCAAGGCTCCATCTCTACAAAAATTTTAAAAAAAATTAGCTGGGCTCCTACTTGAGCCCAGGATCTTGAGGCCACAGTGAGCTATGACTGCATCACTACACTCCAGCCTGGGCAATAAAAAGCAAGGCCTTGTCTCTAGAAGAAAAATAAATTTAAAAAAAAGTCAGGCATAGTGGCTCACACTTATAATCCCAGCACTTCGGGAGGCTGAGGCAGGAAGATCACTTGAGCCCAGGAGTTCAAAACCAGCCTGGGCAACACAGCAAGACCCAATCTCTCAAAAAAAAAAATTAGCCAGGTGTGGTGACATGCACCTGTAGTCCCAGCTACTTGGGAGGCTGAGGCAGGAAGAGAGCTCAAGCCCAGGAGGTCAAGGCAACAGTGAGCCATAATTGTGCCACTGCATTCCAGCCTGGATGACAGAGCAAGACCCTGTCTCTAAAAAAATAAAAATATAAAGGTTCCTCCATGTCTTTTCATAGCTTGATACCTCATTCCTTTTTAGCACTGAGTACTCCATTTCTGGATATGCTACAGTTTATTTATTCATTTACCTATTGAAGGACATCTTGGTTGCTTCAAAGTTTTGGCAATTATGAATAAAGCTGCTGTAAGCAACTATGTGCAGGTTTCTGTGTGAATATAAGTTTTCAACTCCTTTGGGTAAATATCAAGGACTGCAATTGTTGGATCATATGATGAGTGTGTTTAATTTTGTAAGAAACTGCAAACTGTCTTCCAAAGTGGCTATACCATTTTGCATTCCCACCAGCAATAAATGAAAGTTCCTGTTGTCCCACATCCTCACCAGCACTTGGTGTTGTCAGTGTTTTGGATTTTGGCCATTCTAATAAGTGTGTAGTAGAATCTCATCATTTTAATTTGCATTTTTCTGATGACCTATGATGTGGAGCATCTTTGCATATGCTTATTTGCCATCTATATATCTTCTTTGATGAGATATCTATTAGAGTGTTTGGCACATTTTAAAATCAGGTTTCTTTTTTATTGTTCAGTTTTAAGAGTTCCTATATATTTTAGATAAGAATCATTTATCAGATGTGTCTTTTGCAAATATTTTCCAAGTCTTCTCATTCTCTTGACATTGTCTTTCACAGAGCAGAAATTTGTATAGTTTTGTGTTTCATGTCTAGGTTGATGATCCATTTTGTGTTCATTTTTGTGAAGGGTGTAAGGTCTGTGTCTAGATTCATTTTTTTACATGTGGACATCCAGTTATTCCAACAGCATTTGTTGAAAAGGGTATCTTTCCTCCATTCTATTGCCTTTGCTCCTTTGTCAAAGATTAACTGTATTTGTCTGGGTCTATTTCTGGGCTCTCTATTCTGTTCCATCGATCTGTTTGTCTATTCTTTCACCAATACCATACTGTTCTGATTACTGTAGCTTTACAGTAAGTCTTGAAGTAGGACACTGTCAGTCTACAGTTGACTTGATATTGAAGAAAATGAGTTGATTTGATATTGAAGAAAATGATATTGAAGAAGAAGTAGAGACTTTAACTTTATTCTGCTTCAATAGCATGTCACCTATTTTGGGTCTTTTGCCTGTCCACATAAACTTTAGAATCAGTTTGTCAATATCCACAAAATAACTAGCGGGGATTTTGATTGGAAGTGTACTGAATCTATAGATAAAGATGAAAAGGACTGACATCTTGACATTACTGAGTCTTCCTATCCATGAACATGGAATATCTGTCCATTTATTTGGTTCTTTTATTTCTTTCATCAGAGCTTTATAGTTTTACTTATATATCTCTTATACCTATTTTGCTGGATTTATACCTAAGTATTTCATTTTGAGGGGTGCTAATGTAAATGGTACTGTGTTTTTTGTTTCTTTTTGTTTTTGAGACAGAGTTTTGCCCTTGTTGCCCAAACTGGAGTGCAATGGTGTGATCTCGGCTCATCACAACCTCTGCCTCCCTGGTTCAAGTGATTCTCCTGCCTCCGCCTCCCAAGTAGCTGGGATTACAGGCATGCACCACCACACCCAACTTATTTTGTATTTTTGGGAGAGATGGGGTTTTTCCATGTTGGTCAGGCTGGTCTTGAACTCCTGACCCCAGGTGATCCGCCTGCCTTGGCCTCCCAAAGTGCTGGGATTACAGGCGTGAGGCATCGCACCCAGCTGGTATTGCATTTTAAATTTAAATTCCACTTGTTTATACTGGTTCCTATTATATTTTATTTTTTAATCTTTACATCATTACTGTGACTAGATCTTGTTACTAGAATACCAAAATATCTTGATTATGCTAACACACTGATTTTGCTAAAATAAAGGTAAATAATTAATTTTTTAGAATAACTACATAATTTTCAAATATATGTCTTTGATTTACTTTATTATTCACCCAAACATCACATCCCTATCAAAGGAATACTAAAACATGTGAAATATTAAATAATTGAATTATGTTGGGTGGGTATAGTGGCTCCCACCTTAAATCCGAGCACTCTGGGAGGACAAGGCAAAAGGATCCCTTGAGCCCCTGGAATTCGAGACTGGCCTAGGCAACATAGTGAGACCCTTACCTCTATTAAAAACAATTTAAAAATTAGCTGGATTTGGTGGCACATGTCTGTAGTCCCAACCACTTGGGAGGCTGAGGCGGGAGGATCACTGGAGCCCGGGAAGTTGAGGTTGCAGTGAACCATGATTGCATCACTGCACTCCAGCCTTGGTGACACAGAAAGACCCTCTCTCAAATAAAATAAAATAAAATAATTAATTAAATTCTATCATCTTTGATATTTTGCTTTCAATTATTTAATGCCATAACATTAAACATTTTCTAATTTTGTTATAAAGGTTTGTCAAGGTAGAAAGCATATTTTAATGGTTTTTTAATTTAATAACTTTAAATATTTAGACATAAGGTACATAAGCCTCCACTGGCATACCTTAGCCTCCACTGACATACCTCCATAGACATAGGGTATGTGAGTACTTTAGAAGTGGGTTAGTGATGACTTCATTAGAGTGGTGGGGGAGTGAAGAAGTGCAGTTGGGCTGGTAACATTCTGTTCCTTTTCTTTTTTTTTTTGGAGACAGGGTCTTGCTGTGTCGCCCAGGCTGGAGTGCAGTGGCATGATCACAGCTCACTGCAGCCTTGACCTCCTGGGCTCAAGCCATCCTCCCAGCTCAGTCTCCCAAGGGGCTGGGACTACAGGTGCACACCACCATGCCCAGCTAATTTTTGTACTTTTTGAAGAGATGGGGTTCTGCTATGTTGCCTGGGCTGGCCTTAAACTCCTGGGCTCAAGTGATCTGCCCATCTCACCCTCCCAAAGTGCTGGGATTAGAGGCAATTAGCCTCTATGCCTGGCTGGCATTCTGTTTCTTTTAAAAAAAATTAGGTTTAGGGGTACATGTGAAGGTTTGTTACATAGATAAACATGTGTCACAGGGGTTTGTTGTACATATTATTACATTGTCCAAGTATTAAGCTTAGTAACCAAGAGTTATCTTTTTTGCTCCTCTCCCTCTTCCCACTCTTCCCACTCAAGTAGATCCCAGTGTCTGTTTCCTTCTTTACATTCATAAGTTCTTATCATTTAGCTCCCACCTATAAGTCAAAAAGTAACAGATGCTGGCGAGGTTGTAGAGAAAAAGGAATGCTTATATACTGTATGAGTGTAAGTTAGTTCAACCATTGTGGAAAGCAGTATCCTCAAAGAGCTAAAAGAAGAACTACCATTCAATCCAGCAATCCTATTACTGAGCATATACCCAGAGGAATATAAAGCAGTCTACCACAAAGACACATGCACGTGAATGTTCACTGCAGCACTGTTCACAATAGCAGACATGGAATCAACCTAGATGCCCATCAATGATAGAATGCATAAAGAAAATGTGGTACATATATACCATGGAATACTACACAGTCATAAGAAAGAACAAGATCGGCTGGGCGTGGTGGCTCATGCCTGTAATTCCAGCACTTTTGGGGGCCGAGGCAGGCAGATCACCAGGTCAAGAGATTGAGACCATCCTGGCCAACATGATGAAACCCAGTCTCTACTAAAAATAAAAAAATTAGCTGGATGTGGTGGCACGCGCCTGTAGTCCCAGCTACTCAGGAGGCTGAGGCAGGGGAATCACTTGAACCCAGGAGGCAGAGGGTGCAGTGAGCCGAGATCACGCCACTGAACTCCAGCCTGGTGACAGAGCGAGATGCTGTCTCAAAAAAAGAACAAGATCTCTGCAGGTCTAGATCTGAAAAAGGGCCAAAATAAAGAAAGAAAAAGAAAAAAATTAAGAAGAAAAAGAATAAGGTCATGTCTTTTGCAGTAACATGGATGGAGCATTGTTTCTTAATAAGACTGTTAATAATTACTCTTCAAACTATACAGGTATGTTTTTGTACTATTCTGTATATAGGTTGTTTTTCACAGTAAAAAAAAAAAAAAAAGAAGAAGAAGAAAAAAAAAAGCCAGCAGGGAGAAGGAAAGGGAATGGAGAGGGAAAAGTATCTCAGAAGGTCACAGTATGTGAGCCTGATGGACACCATAAATATTCTAGACTTTGTGTAAAGTATGGGTGAAATGCTCACTTTGTTTACTTATGAATTCAGCTTTTGGAGGATGTGAGGTGAGCTATGTAACTCTACTGCATCCTCTCTCCCTGAGGCAACCAAGTCCTTCTTATATACATAAGCCCCAAAACTGTCAGAAGAGCTAGGAAGGAACTAAGGAAAAAGAACATTCAACGAGCACTGCCACCAGGCACAGTGGTGCAGGCCTGTAGTCCCAGCTACTTGGAAGGCTGAGGCAGGAGGATCACTTGAGCCCCGGAGTTTGAATCCAGCCTCAGCAAGATTCAAGCAAGACCCTGTCTTAAAAAAAAGAAAAAAAAAAAGCACCAAATAGGCCAAGCACAGGACTAAGTGGTTTGTACATATACATGTTGTTAAATCCTTGCAGCAACCCTGCAGGACAGGGAGGACTAACTTCATTTCACTGGTAGGAAAGCTGAGGTTTACAAATATTAAGAAATTCTCCAAAGGGCCACAGAGCTGGTTAGTTGTAGAGCTGGCTCAAGGCCAGTTCTCTGAAGATTCACTTATCAAATATAACAATTTATTGCTTTGTCAACAGCAGAGGAATGATTTAGAAATTGGAAAAATAGGCAAATCATCATGATGAATAAGACAATCAGGCCAGGGGTTCAAAGACCAGATTCTAGTTTTAGTTCTTTATCTTGTATCTCTCTGCCTAAAACACATGCCTGCCATCCTAACTACCCACTTATTTATTCATTCCAACTCTTACTAAGTAATAACTTTTCTGAATTCCTCAAGTTTTCTGCAATGTTAGTGTAGGACTTTTATAATTAGAAAAAAAGTATTTGGTTTACTTTATGCTTATATAATGTTTACCATAAGTCAGTCACTGTTTTTTTGTTTGTTTGGTTTGGTTTGGTTTGGTTTTTGTGCAGTTGCAAGATTTAATAGAGTGAAAACAGAGCTCCCATACAAAGGGAGGGTACCCAAAGAGGGTAGCCGTTGCCGGCTAGAACGCCTGGGTTTATATCCTGATCATTGTCCCTCCCCCTGTGCTCTCAGGTGATAGATGATTGGCTATTTCTTTACTTCCTGTTTTTGCCTAATTAGCATTTTAGTGAGCTCTCTTTACTACCTCATTGGTCGGGTGTGAGCTACGTTGCAAGCCCCGTGTTTAAAGGTGGATGCAGTCACCTTCCCAGCTAGGCTTAGGGATTCTTAGTCGGCCTAGGAAATCCAGCTAGTCCTGTCTCTCAGCAACCCCTCTCAACAGGAAAACCCAAGTACTATTGGGGAGGTTGGCCAACGGCCGCTCTAACTGCTTCCTGCTGAACTGGTGCAACTAAGGGTCATGCACTTGAGATTTCCTCGGGAGGGGTGCCTTTGATATCATCAACATCGAAGCATGGACTAGCAGGCCGGTCCAAGGGTCCGCGGTAGATTTGAGTCATAGACTGCATCTGGGGATCCATTTGAAGAACCATTTGTAGCTTTACAGCTTCAATTCTGTAAGAGACAAACTTAACAAGGAGGTTAAAGATTCAGGGATTGAAATGCATGGCCTGAAGTGCAGGGGATTATTTTTTGGCACACTTCACAGGCTCTGACTATCTGCTTCATAGTTTTGAAAAGGCCTGGTCCAGTAAATAATGATTTGGCCATCTGATGGGTGCTATCAATGCCTAAGTGAAGGGTTTTAAGTAATTTCCATTGGTTAGCTGCAGGCAAAAGTATTTTTCCTTCTTTGGTGGCTAGCCATCCTGAGGAGGAAACTACGTCCTCATGAGGTTTCCCATTCTATTTCTTCTTCTGAGTACTGGGGCTTGGTTTCTTGGAGGGGATTACCCCATACTAGCGGTTCTTCTATAAGCATTTCTAATGGAGGGTCCCGCCTTGTGGCTCTTTCGGCTTCAATATCCACTCGGCGGTTCCCTTTTATTTCTCTGTCCTTTCTTACAGCAGTGTAAGACTGCCACTTCTTTAGATTTCTGTGCAGCCAATAATAGTTTCTTAATGGCTTCCTGATGTTTGATAGGGGTTCCCTCAGAAGTTAGGAATTCCCTTTCTCTCCATATTGCTGCGTGAGCATGGAGGACTAGGTAAGCATACTTAGAGTCTGTATATATATTTGCCCTTTTTCCTTCTCCTAATTCTAGTGCCTGAGTGAGGGCTATTAGTTCTGCCAGCTGAGCACTAGTTCCTGGAGTCAGAGGATTACTTTCAAGTATTCCATTATCACTGACCACTACACACTCTGCTTTTCGAAGTCCTTTTTCTACAAAGGAACTTTCATCAGTATACAAGTTGAGGTTGGGATCAGTCAAGGGAACCACTAGAAGGTCCCCTCAAGCGGCGTAGGTTTGAGCAATTACTTGTTGACAGTTCTGTTCTATCTTTTCTTCATTGTCTGGAAGAAATGTCGCTGGGTTAAGAGTTGCACAAGTGCGCAGTCACAGCACTGGCCCTTCAAGTAATAGAGCCTGATATTTAAGCAAACAGTTGTCTGACAGCCACCAGTCTTCTTTAGCAGTGAGTATGCGGTTCACATCATGAGAGGTTCACACAGTAAGATCTCTTCCTTGTATTATTTTAACTGCTTCAGATACTAAGACTGCTACTGCCGCCACTACCCGTAAACAATGAGGCCAACCCTTTGCCACTACATCAATTTCCTTACTCAGGTATGCCATGGGTTGCAAGCTGGTCCCTCGGACCTGTGTAAGGACTCCTAGAGCTATTCCTATTTTTTCTGTGACATAGAAAGAAAAGTCTTGCCCCGCTGGCAAGCTTAACACTGGGGCTTGGGTTAGGGTGTTCTTTACGGCCTGGAAAGCTGCCTCTGCTTCAGGTGTCCATCTTACTAAATGGGTATTGGCTTTCTGAGTTTCCTTAATTAGTGTATATAATGGTCTGGCTATTTTGCCGTACTTGGGAATCCATATTCAGCAGAAACCTGTTATGCCTGTTATGCCTATTATGCCAAGGAACCTTCTTAGTTGTTTTAGGGTTTTGGGATAAGGATAAGCCAGTATAGGCTGGATACATTCCTCACTGAGGGCCCTGGTGCCTTTGGATAATTTTAGCCCTAAGTATTTAGGGATAAATAGCCCTCTGCTGTGAGCAGAGCTGAGCCTTTGGTTTGGAAACCTTGTAGCCACAGGTGGCGAGGAAATTTAAGAGCACTTGGGTGGCTTGATGGCACAAGGTTTCTGAACGGGCGGCTAAAAGTAAATCATCCGCATACCAAAGGACAAGAATATCCAGGTATGAGAACTGGCTCAAGTCTTGGGCTAATGCCTGGCCAAATAGATGGGGGCTATCCCTGAATCCTTGGGGTAAAACAGTCCAGGTGAGTTGAGATGTTGGGTTCGAAGGATCTTCAAAGGCAAACAAGAATTGAGAGTCAGCATGTATAGGAGTGCAGAAAAAGGCATCCTTAAGGTCCAGGACTGTAAACCACTTTGCTTCCTCTAGTATTTGGGAAAGCGGAATATAAGGATTAGGTACAGCTGGGTATAGAGGGACAATGGCCTCATTGATAATCCTGAGATCTTGCACTAACCTCCACTGTCTGTTGGGTTTCTGTACTCGTAAAGTTGGAGTACTGCAGGGGCTACTGCATGCTTTTACTAGGCCTTGGGCTTTTAGGTCCTTAACAATCTTTTGGAGTCCTTGGTGGGCCTCCAGTCTAAGGGGGTACTGCCTTTGGTAGGGAAAGGAGGCAGAATCCTTTAGTTTAACTTGAACAAGATGGGCATTCTTTGCTCATCCGTATTGTCCTTCTGTTGCCCAGACTTCAGGATTAATTCCTTCCTCCAGCAGGGGACAACAAATGGGTGTTCCTTCTCCTATGTTCAGGTGTATAATGGCCCCTGCTTTTGCTAGAATGTCTCTCCCTAACAAGGGAGTGGGGCTTTCAGGTACAATTAGAAAAGCATGTGAAAACAGTAAAGTTCCCCAGTCACAACTTAGTGGCTGGGAGAAGTATCTAGTGACTGGCTGTCCTGGGATAGTGACAGATATGGAGGCCAGTTGTCCGGGACAGGAGAGTAAGACTGAGAAGGCCACACCAGTGTCCAGGAGACAGTTAGCCTCCTGGCCCTCAATGGTCAAGCATACCCAGGGCTCTGTGAGGGTGATGGCATGGGCTGGTGCTTGCCCCAGGCACCCTCAGTCCTGCTGCTGGATCATCTGGTTAGTGGCTTCTGACTCAGAGGACCTACGTCCCCTGGGGCAGTGGGCCTTACAGTGATTCCCTTGATATAAGGGGCATGGACAAGGGAGTGGCTTATTTCTATTTGGATAATCTTTTTTAAAGTGTCCTTGAGACCGCACTGGAAGCAAGCCCTATTAGGCATTCTATTTGCCCAGCTTTTCCCTTTTCCAGAGCCTCCAAAGTCCGCTTGCCTGAGGGCCATGACTAAAGCAGTGGCCTTTTTTTTTTTATCCCATTTGTCCCATTCTGCCTGCTCCTCCTGATCTCTATTATAAAAAACCGAGGTTGCCAAGTTCAGTAGGGTTTCTAACTTTTGCTCCGGGCCTAAGGCGGACTTTGGAAGTTTTTTTCTAATATCTGCAGCTGACTGAGTGATAAACTTTTCCTTTAAGATTAGTTGGCCTTCAATAGAGTCAGGTGACAGAGAGATATGCTTTGTCAATGCCTCCCTTAGTCTCTCCAGAAAGGTGGTAGGATTTTCTTTCTTTCCCTGTGTTATAGTGGACATCATTGAATAATTCATAGGCTTCTTCCTAGTTTTCCTTAGTCCTTCTAGCACGCAAGTTAGCAAATGTCTGCGGCACCAATCTCCATCTTCTGATTCTGTGTCCCAATGAGGAGCTACACTGGGAACTGCCTGCTGCCCTGTGGGGAATCGTTCTCTTTCCTCCGTTGTCATCCTATCATTGACCTGACTGAGATACCAGAGATTGCCAAACTCTCGGGCTCCAGTTATGGCAGCACTTCTCTCATTTGAGGTTAGCGTCTGATTTAGCAGTAATATTATATCTCTCCATGTCAGATCAAAGGATTGTCCTAATCCTTGTAAAACATCAATATAGCCATCAGGGTTATCTGAGAATTTACCTAGGTCTATTTTAATTTGCTTCAAGTGTGAGAGAGAAAAAGGTACATGCACTCTGGCTGGGCCGAATTCTTCTCCCACCGCTTGGAGGGTGCATAACCAGGGAATATTGGCACTCTTTGGTTCATTGTTTACTCCTTTGTCTATGTCCTTTTGGACTGTTTGGGTTGAAAGGGGGGTCCTTATTAGTTGGGGAAGGAGTCAGGGGGACATCAGGTTAGGGAGGTAGACTCTGAGGGCTTCCTGTAGGGCATAAATCATACTTTTTACATAATTGCAAGTTGTCTCTTAATGAAAAGAAAGTTTGTACATATGGCACTTCACTCCATTTGCCTTCTTTTCTACAAAAGAGGTCTAGTTGTAAGATGGTGTTATAATTTATACTTCCCTCAGGAGGCCAGGTTTCTCCCCCTTGAAGAGGACATCATGGCCAGGTGGTACTGCAGAGGAATGTAAGTCATTTCTTTCTTAGCATCTGAGAGTCAAATTGGTCCCAATTCTCCAGAATATATCTTACGGGCATTTTTGCCTTGGGGGGAACATTTCCTATCTGAAAAAAGGACATAGGGATGCCAGCACCCCTAGTCATTTTCCAATGAGCATTAGTCCTAGAGCGTTCTCTATGGTCCTAATGTTTATTCCTTTCCAGGGTGTGTAACCACCCATGGACCTCTGCTTATCAGATTAGTTGCACTCACTGATGTAGCAGTCCTGCACCCCTTTTCCTGCCTTTCTTGACCACAAAGAAAGGGGTCCAGGCTGCTGGATTCTAGTGGTCCTTTACCAGAGTGCCCAACATTGCTTTTTTGCTCAGGGGTGAGTCCTGGAGCTGGGCTGGGTTCCTGAGTATTTCATAACAACCCAGTTGCCCCATCAAGATGCATTCCCATAAACAACAGTTCTTATGCAAATTCATTTCAGAGAGGGTGTAGGTAACCTTTTGAGTCAGGATTGAGATTGAGTTTTTTTGATTCTGTAAACACTTTAAGGCTTGGCTGAGTGCAAATAGCTCGCATGTTTGAGCAGACCAATTATTAGGCAATTTTCCTAACTCTGCTTCTACAAGAGTTTCCCTATCAATTACTAAATACCCATTGTGGTTTTTTCCCTCAATTACCTGGGAGGAACCATCTATCATCCTGTCCTGAAGGGAGTTCCTCCTAGATCTGTCGGACCTTTGTATGGTAATTAAGATTTAAATCCCCTGTTAGGAAATCTGCTGGGTTAAGGGAATTTTCAGTGGTTAATAAGTTACCTTTATTCTAACAGAAGAGCCCCATATTTTAAGATTTTCGAGTTAGTAAGTTACCTTTTTGCTTTTTTGACTTAGGATAGTTTTGAACTGGTGAGGTGTACTCACAATGAGGTTTCCTCTAAAGTTATTTTTCTACTTTTAGCAAAGCAGTTGCCGCTACCGACTGAATGCCTTTGGCCCATCCACGTGTTACTGGGTTACGGATTTTTGATAGGATTTTGATAGGTTGTCAGTGGTCTCAGTGTTTTTGGGCTACCCCCTTGTTTACACTGACAATAAAGTGGTATTGGAGTGTTACAGGGTCAGGAGAAGACCTTCAATTATCAATTATAGGTTTTAAATTTACTCTGGCTTTTAAAGGAATAGGGCACACTATTTTTTCTTTACTACTTCTATCTTTCTCTTTCTTTTTCTCTTTGACTCCCTCTTCGTCTCTCTCTCTTTCTCTCCCCTCTGTCTCTGTCTCTCTCTCTCTCTCTCTTCTCCTAGCCCTTTACAAACCTGGGACCCTGGCAAGGATGGTGGGGAACAGGTCCTACATAACTGCCCATGTTGAGAGCTGTATGCCTAAATTGGGAGGGACACCAGGGACAAGACTATCTGGGTTCAGAGCCTAGGGGCTTAAGGACACAGCATAGAGCTTCCTTAGATCCCTTTGGAGATACAGCTTGCTAGAGGAAATGAAGGTCTGAACCATTAGTACCTAGGAGGCAGGGATTGGAGGAAGTAGATTCAGAGGTAAGGAGAATTTTGGGGCTACACTTTCAAGCAAGTTGTGGTCAGGACCAAGAGGTATAGGTCAGAAGGAAAGGTAGGGGTGCACGCATGGCTGACTGTTGAGTAGAGACTTCTGGCTGCGCCATGATCTCAACCAGCTAACACCAGGAGTTCAGGACAACAGCTTTCTGCCTCTAGTCGGCCCTCAGCTTCCCCAGGAAAACTGAAAGTGGAAGCTGGTTCCAGACAGCCCAACGCTCCCAACCCAGAAGGGTTGGGGGCTGTTAGACAGCCCTTCCCCAGACAGCCTCACACCTGAGTCTTAAGTCTGGTGGCCATGCTAATTGTTTTTAACCAGCTGACAGGTGCCCGGTATTTTCCTCCAATTCCAATGAAGAATAGGGCAGAACAGCAAGCAAAAGTGGTCCCATATTACTCACCGCTTTGGAAGTCCCTTCATGGTGGCCAAAATGTTACCGGGGGGTCCTTGTTCTTAGAGCTCCCAAGATGGTGGCGGGCTGCTTCCAAGATGGCGGCAAGCCTCTTCTTCTCTGACCTGGGGTTCTTGGCCTCACAGATTCCAAGGAATGGAACCTTGGGCCATACAGTGAGTGTTACAGCTCTATTCAGCTCAATTAGCATGAACCCAGGGCACTTAGCCCGTGCAGGAACAATGGCAAGCCCCTAGCCCGATTGGGAGCGGCAATGGGCACCACCTCGCTGGACCAGAGGTGCAGTGGACACCCTGCCGGATCCAGAGGGGTGGAAGTCAGCGGCGGGTCTGCGATGGCAGCAAACAGCAGTGGTGGACAGCGAGCGAAAGCTCAGCTTGAGCCATAACAAACACAGACTGGAAGAGTGTGAAGTTGCAAGATTTAATAGAGTGAAAACAGAGCTCCCATACAAAGGGAGGGGACCCAAAAGGGGTAGCCCAAGTCAGTCACTGTTTTAAGTGTTTTACAAATACTCACTCATTTAATCCTCATACCTACCCTATGATGGCATAATTAGTATCTGCTTTATACCTAAGAAAATTAAGGCACAGAGAGATTGAGTAGTTTTCTCAAGATTACATAGCTAGTAACTCAGCCAGGATTCAAAATCAGACACAGTTTGGATCATGCTCTTAACCATTATACATTGCTGTATGTCTATTTAAAAAACATTATGGTAGGGAAAAGCTACTTTATTATCCTAGTAGATTATATCAGAGCAGAGATGGGCAGGTGGGAGCATGGATAATAGCCCAACGGACCCAGGTCCAAGGCCCAGGTGGTGGGAGGGTAACACACTCGAGGAAACAGAGGTGCTGGTAAGTAGCAGCAGAAGTGAATGGCCCTTCTGCCTGGTGAGGCTGCAGCATGTAATGCAGAGGTAATGCTACCAAGCCACAAGGAAGCTCCACACACACATAACAGAATGTCTAGTGCTGAGAGTACAACAGTGCTCATTCAACTGATACTCCCCCAAAAAGGGGGAGTCCATCAAAAAAAGAACAGCTTGGGGAAAGATGCTTCTAAGCACTGTTTACATGTAAACATAAAGAAACTAGCAACATGTCAGTGAACAGATTCACTGAAGACCATCTCAGCTGTCTTCTAGAGGGCACATAAACAAGTTCCCATAGTAGAGAAGAATGCCTTCACATGAGTTTAACAGGAAGACCTTCTCCCCTAGAAATATTGTGTTGACTCCACTGTGATGGGATTTCGTTTAGAACACATTCCCCATGACTATACATGCTACAGTACTAACATGTGTCTCTTGTTTTTTGTTATGATAAAGTGTGGCAGGGAGCAGGTCTTAAAAGCACACAAATAAGTGTTAGAAGCAAACTACATACTCTGACATGATGACTGTGTCTCATAACCAAATATTCCAGTTGGTAACTCCAGTGTAGGTTTTCTTAAAGAAATGATAGCTTGAACTTAATGCAAAACCTAATTTTGGAATTCTAGTTGTATAAATTATTTTCTCAGGATTTTGGATTCTGTTGTGTAAGATGACCTCAATCAGACTAAACACAATGTGTCAAAGCAAAAAATTAAAAAAAAATCACTTTGAATTTTACTTATTTTATGAGGGAGAAAAGAGAAACAATTGTCTCTATCAGTTGTCTCAGGCCTTCTGCATTGAGATTTAACAGCATCTCTACTTTGTCCTGTGGCCTTTCACTCAAGTTGTCCCTTGTCACACCCAGAGGCCCAAGAGAGAAAAGGCAATTTGGATATGGGGAGCTGTCAGTAAAGATTCTGAATATGGGATTCCATCCTAAGAGTGTCTCAAGTTATATCTTGGAGGCCTTTGAATGCCATATGGCTAGTCTACAGTTATACAAATGTAAAACTTAAAAACCACTTTGAGTTAAACTGAATTTAAATACAGAATAACAGCTTTATCACTAAAATAGCATTTGTCAAGAACTTTGTTCTTTCACTGATAAAACTGGCTTTATAACATGTAACTATTAAATATAAAGCCACTGACAAGAACAAAATATTGATAATTCTGACAAATTATAATGCATTGCCTATTCACTGAAGTGCTAACCTCAATTAAAGTACCATATCAGGTAGAAATTGTTTTGTTTTTCCTATTTTCTAACACTGAACTCAACCAGCTTGATAGTTTCACATCAGTTCCAAACCACTGTACTTTTCCACTTGTGCCCCCAACCCCCCTTCCTTCTTTGCCCACTTTCTTGGAAGCCTGACAGACTGCTCCAAGGTCCAAATACACAGCTGTTCCTTCCAAGGCCAGCTCCAAAACTGACATGGGCTGCCTGGTAGGCATCATTCCAATCAATTAGTAATGCCTCGTAACCTTTTCATGTTTCAGTCTTTTCCTTTTCACTGGAAAGACTTACTGCCTAACTTTAAAACCTGTTATAGCATAATGTTAAATGAAAAATAAGTAGATACTCTATAACTGTGTATAAAAATGAAAAAATATGAAATATGAAAAATATGAAAAAATAAAACAATTGAAATGAATATGAAAATTGTTTTATTTTTGAATATGAAAAAATAAACAATTGAAATGAATATGAAAATTGTTTTATTTTTGAATATGAAAAAATAAAATGAATATGAAAAAATATGAATATGAAAAATATAAAAACAATTTGTTGGGGTAAAGATTTTTCTTGATTTACAAATTTTTATAATTATTATTATAGTCTGTGCAATAAAAAAAAACCACTAAGGAGGTAATCATCATAATCTGTCACTGGCAAGCCCCCTTCCATCTTCTATAAGGAACAACACACTCTCTTTTGAATACAGAGGTATTCGTTCTCTCCTCAATAAAAAGCCTTCCTTACTGCATCCGACTTCGAGTGGCACACAGGTGGAACTCGTCCAGTAGAAATGTTTAGAGTGTGGTGTTATGGAATTAACATCTATATTTTTTCTTCAAACCAACCAGTGTGTCTTGATCAGCCAGCCTTTCTTCTCCAACAGAAGAGCACCGCTCCCTCTTCTTATCAGACCACTAAATAATCAATAAGTAATCATTAAACATATGATTGTGAAGAAATAATTAAGAAAACAGTCTCTAGTGTAGAGTTAAGTGTAGGTTTGAACCCTGGCATCACTGACCTGCTACGGGACCTCAAACAGATTAATTAACCACTCTGTGCCTCATTTTCCTCATCTGTAAAATGAGAAGGAAAGTAGCAGAATAATGGAGATAAAAAAGCTTGGAACTGGCTCTTCGTAAGCACTCAATAAATGTTTACTATAATTATAATTATTATTAGAATGCTAACCAATTGATGATAACAGTTAAACTGACAGAAAGATTCAAAGAAACAAACTTCCAAGGAAATGAAACCCTGTTTTAAGAAGAAAATTCAAGGGTATCACTGCCCCTTTTGGCCTCAGTAGAGACGAGAAAAGCTACTAACAGTCTAAAGCCTCAGAGCAAAGGCAGCAGTAATCTTGGATTGGGCCTGGATTCAGCTTGGTGAATAGGGAAGACGACCCAGTCCACGCAGGTTCACTCATGTAATCTCAAGAAGCCACAGTTTCAACAATGTCCCTCTCCATGCACAACAGGATTTTGCTTTTTCTCCTAACCCCCACTACTTCCTAATCCCTATTTTGTGTCTAGTGTTTAGAAATAGCCTTTTCACCCATTTCCCTCTACTCTGTTTCCACCCTTCATGCCCCTTCGGACTGTTAGAGCAAACAGATCCAATGATAGATAACTAGAACCATAATGCCACTTTAGAGATGACTGCTGCAAAAATACGTGATAAATATCATCCAATGATCAGATTAGGAGTACACCAGCAAGAACACTGCAGTTCTAATTGCTGATCAGCCACCACTAGTTGTATGTCACATAAGATTCTAGCAAGAAAGACATATTTCTTCTATACCATTATTTCCTTCACAGTACCTGGCCTAGCGCCCGCCCAAAATAAGACACATCACTCCCCTGCTCAAAATCCTACACTCAGAAGAAATCCAAGCTCTTTACCCTGGCCTACAAACCCTACACAATCCAGTCCCTCTACCTCCACACTGCACCAATAAAATGTGCCGCCTGTGATCCTGCCTTTCGGCTTCTGTGCTTCTGTTTCCTCCTGGGAAGTGATTCCCCCAGGTATTCATGTGGCTATGGTCACTCAGGTCTCAGATCAAATACCACTTCGTGTGATAGGACTTCCCAACTAGCACCCTTCTCAAGCATTGTCCCGTTTTACTTTCCTCAAAGTCCTTGTCACTCCATAAAATTCTTGTTGACTCATTTACCATTTCTACCACTAAAATGTAAATTCCATCAGAGTAAGCACCCTACCAGGTTTGCCCTGTGCTCCTGATGCCTAGCACAATGACTAGCGTATAGAAAGGGGCTCTCAATTTTTGTTGAGTTAAATGAGTAATAACCTCTGAAAATAATACTACCAATATTTATTGAATGCCTACTATATGCCTCCACTGTTCTAAATATCAGGTTGGTGCAAAAGTAATTGCGGTTTTTGCCGTTACTTTTAATTCTACCTATTATCTCATTTAAGCTACCCAACAATCCTATAAGGTCCTCCATTTTACAATGAGAAAACCAGGGCTTTGAGAGATTAAGTTGCTGCACCATCACTCAGCTAGGTAATTGGTAGAGCTAGTATTCTGGTCTGGTTCATAATATATAATTCATATAAAAATATAAGAACTTCTATTATTAACCACAGTGCTATACTACCTCCAAGTCAGAGTTCTTCATTTGTAATATATTAATAACCATGTCATCTCACTAGACTTGACAGGCTTATAGTAAGGAAAAATATATAAAAACAAATTGAAAAGTATAAAGTACTATGTGGATTATATTATAACATCCTAAAAGTCATGGACTGCCTCACATGACTCTAACTAGATCAAAAAGAAACGTGGTAAGCAATAAAGCTCTTTAATCTCACACTTCACCTAGGTCACAGTGCTCAGTAGTAGCATGAATATGACGCTCCTAGATATAGTTCAACATTAGTCAATGCATATTTCTACCTACTTACCATTCAGCTGCAACTGTACAAGCATGAACTATAAGAAGAAGCTAATCAAAGGATTAGTGTGAAAAAGAGGATCCATAAATACCAAGAAACACCTCCTGGTGAAGTCAACCTGCCCTTTACAACCAAACACCAACCCCAATGGCTCCTCATTCATTACATGGAAAAAACTAAGGTAAAAAACTAAGGAAAAAAAAACTAAGGAAAAAATCCAGCCTGGAACACTGTTTTAAGCAGTCTTCAAAATCTTAATATTTATTATTCTAGGACTTTAAGATAATTCCTAATTCCTATCAGAGGTTTCAACTATAAATTTAGAAATGGGCACTATCGATTATAAATCTGACATTTATGATGAGTATTACACAGATATAAACATATACCATAAAATATGCATGTGCCTGTGTTTGAACAAAGCCGCTACTGACTCAAGTTACTAATTTCTATGTCTGTCTTCTCTAAGAATTTACAACAGAAATCAGTATATAACTGTAATTCAGTGTAGAGCAGTATTTGAGTTCAAAGATTTAGGCTTGTGTCCTAGGTTTTCCAGAAAACTCCTGTTTGATCTAGTCAATCTGAGCCTCAGTTTCCTTATCTGTACAATGAAGATAATAATAATACCATCCTACCTGTTGGCCAAGTTAGAATTAAGGGTGTTACTTTATATAAAAATACACCAGAAGGTTTAAGGCAGTAAACAGACTTTACATTTTTTATATAGCAATTGAAAGGAATCCTAATAACAAACATACAGTATAAATATAAACTCTTATGGATATTCAAGAATAAAGAGAGTTGTAAAGGATATTTATTTAACCACAGAAAAATCCAAAAAAATTACATGCCTCTATTCAGACTGTCTAGAAAAATTTAACAGAGGCAAGGGAATTTCAGGGGCGGTTTGATGAGATGTGGATAGAACAGTTTTTTGGTAAACTCATTAAGTCAGAGTTTTTCAATGAGCCTTAATCGTTATGGTAAGGTGTTATATCTTACCATAAATGTGTCCTGGTTTTCCGGATCACCTTTCCAGAAATTTCATGAGGAGGTAAGTGATAACCACTCCACGCCCATATGCATTTATCAAAACATATTATTGTTTCTACAAAGGTTTACTCCAAACCACTCCCATGAGGCCTGGAGATGAACTAATAAATGTCTACAATTTAATGATAATGCTGCTTTTAATGATAATGTGAGCTTTAGTGTGGTAAATTATAGATGCAGAAAGATCTTTGGATTAAAATACGTCTTTTGGCAGGATTCACGGATCTACTGAGATGTTACTGAGAATTCGGAAACAAAAATAAACACTAATTCAGGGTTTAAATAAATTTTATTAGTAAAATGTAAAATACTTTAATAAGATACTTTCCTAGTTGTATTTCACCGTCCCATTATAGCTGTACTAAGGTTAAAGTATGACTGTCTTTAATGAATTGTGCCATGTAGTCATCAGCACTTAATGATTCAAAGTCTTACTAATTAACAGTGAGAAAAACTCCCAGAAAATGTACAATTAACTGACCTTGAACTCTGACAGTTATCAATAGATGAAAATGCAGAGGTAGGAAGAACAAACAGTTGATAAGCAGATCTATAAACATTTATTTTTCCTATAGAAAGTCTGTAAAGAACTTTTTACTTCATGTTTGTAGAGGTTTATGTAATGCTAAAGATTACACTGAAAATTATTACTCTCTGCCATTCCTACTCAATTACCTAAGCCAGAATAAAATTTTGAGAATTCAACAAAGGAAAATCATTCTGGCTGGGCATGGTGTCTCATGCCTGTAATCCCAGCACTTTGGAAGGCCAAGGCGGGCAGATGGCCCGAGCCCAGGAGTTGGAGACTATCCTGGGCAACATGACAAAATCTCATCTCTGCAAAAAATACAAAAATTAGCTGGGTGTGGTGGTGCACGCCTGTAGTCCTAGCTACTTCAGGAGGCTGAGGTGGGAGGGTCACTTGAGCCTGGGAGGTCAAGGCTGCAGTGAGCCGTGGCCATGATTGCACCACTGCACTCCAGCCTGAGCAACAGAGCCAGACTCCGTCTCTTAAAAAAAAAAAAAAATCACTCTATTGGGGAAGAATTAATAAAAGTTCTTTAAGTTTTTTTTTTTTAACTATAAGTATAAAAGTTAATTTCTTAGCCACCAATGAACCCCAAATAATTTGGTTTGGTCCTAACTTCACAAGAGTTGAAAGCATAGAGTTCCCTATATTTCTATGGCCAATCCTATTGCCTGCAGTTTACCTACTTCCTGCCAATCAAAAAGCCCATTACTAATCAAGAACCCCTCCATCTCAAGTCATATGATGAAATCATCCTGGATTTAGAGCAATCTTCTCCTAGGACCTCAGAGTATTTGGTTTGCTCCTAATGCGGCCCTCAAGCCCTCTAAAGTAGAGCAACTGGAACACAAGACCCCTTTCTCACCTCTGACTGGCTGACTTTTCTGCCCCTTCTGATCCAGGATTGACCCTCAATTCTGGGGATTCTTGAAAATTTTAAAAGGAAAAGAAGAGGGGAGAGGATTAAAGCCAATGTCTCCCAGATGGTAACATAACACAAACCCTACTTTTTTTTCTGATGAATATCAGCACTTTCTTCAGGAGGGCATTTAGGTTAGAAAGGACTCCTTGAGCCAAGGGTCACAGAAGTTACTATTACGGAAGACAAAGACTCAAATCCAGTAACCCAGGGAAACCATCCCTGCCAAGGGGCTCAGATTCAGGCTCCTATTGCCCCTTAGACCTACATCAGAATATTACTGTTACTGGTTATCTGACTTGGAACACAAAAGATACTGTCACCTCCTGGCTCAAGGGCTTAAACAGTAAACCAAATAACTGAGGCAGCAGCAAGTCTTAGCCAGTAGGTCTTGCCCTGATTCTGTCCTCATGAAATTAGACACTGAGGAAGTGGACTAATACCAGACAAAGACCCTTGTCTAGAGGGAGCCACAGTCTCAGAGGTAAACTAAACACATACCTGAGCATGGATGTGAATTACACAAGTAAATAAATAATTGATTCAGTAAGTAATGAGAGGTTGAAAGGGAATGGATTCTTTTACCCTGTAGTAATCTGAAGAGACTTCCTTGCAAGCATTAAAACAACCTGAGCTATGGCCTATACACTGGGATTATCAGGCACAGTTGCTCATGAGAGAATTATATTTGACAGGGAAGGGAAGAGTGGGTTAGAGAAGAAATAAAACTCCAAAAGCCAAGTGACTATGGAACCAGGCAGAGATCAACCCCGACAGGATGAAGACAGGTGGGAGGAATGGGCCAGAGTCCAAAGCAGCACCTGACGATAAAAACATACATGGTAATAAGATCCAGATCACATTAGGCTCCAAGATCATGCTGATCTTTTCAGTTAATATGCAACATGTGAGTGAAAGGCAAGTGTAAAAATATACCATGAACAGATGAGGCAATGTTTATTTTCCAAATGGAATGAGTCTCGGTAATGATGAAGAACTGGTAGTAAATAAAATACCAACAGTGATTATGCTCAGTACCCCTCTCCAGGGGATGAGTGACTGTCAGCAACTAAGAGTAAACTCCAACCATGCAGAAAAGCCTAAAACAGTTTTCAGTGCCTGAAGGGCAGGGTCTGGGAGGTGAGCTCCTGGCCTGGCTAAGGAGGTCGCTTCTCATCGTCCTCACCACTGCTTTACCACCCCCACTCCCCTCAATAATGCGGTTTGACACCTCCCACCACCACCAAAAAAGAAAAGCCTAAAACAGAACCTACCACTTCTCTCTGAGGAAGCAGGAAGCTGAGCTGAACATAAGAACCCGATAAGAACAAGAAGTAACAAGAGCCCTTACCTAAAGCAGGTGCTAGGTCTGCATGGATGAACTGTACCTCAAGGATCTCAATTGTGCCCTGGAAACTTTAAAGAGCACAGGGTTCTTTAAAGGCAAGGGTTCCTCCCCAGCCAGCCCACAGTGAACAAAGGGCACTAGTGGGTCATTAAAGTTCCACTTGCCTGGAAAATCAGTGATTCAGCCCAGCCAGAATCTGAACTCCTTTCCAATTGATAGCATATGGGGTTCCATCTTTAAAATCCCAAAGCATATTCTTCTTTGTCTCTGCAGTTTAGGTGGGCTTCCAAGGAATGCTGAGAAGTGGACTAGACTAAAGCCAAGATACAGAGTCCGGTCCAGGGTCAGGACAAATCATCATGCCAGCAGCTGCTCATCAATATGCCAGCACGCTGCCAGCCTGGGATAAAATGACCACCATCACTCCCCACAACACTGTGAGTCACAGACGCCTGATCCCAACCCTCCCTGAGCTTGTACCCAGGACCCAGCAAGAGGTGGAGGGTGACAGCAGAACATGGGTTTCCTCCTCTCCCATGTGACCCAGTCATCACCCAAGGTGAGGGCAACAGTGAACACGGGGTAGGGGCCAAGAAGGGCCTGGGGTGCCAGGGTACAGAAAGCCAGCTGCTGAGAGCCCATCCTGGGGAGGTGGGAAGGATGTACCTCTCATGAGCCAAACCCAGACCCCTAGAACAGCCTCCACTGGCCCACTGGGCTTATAACTTACAAAACAAGATGAAATATAAAATTATTAAAAATTTTCAAGATGCTGACAGCAGAGCATTAAGCCAAGTATGGGACCCTTCTGAGCAGAGCCCTGTGCAACTGCAGAGGACACAAGCCCAGGAATCTGGCCCTGGCTGGTTCTCTGCTATAACATGGAAAAAAAACCAAAGGAAAAGGAGGTTAGTCTGTAGCTTTCCATAGTTTCTTTAAACCAAGCTGTAATGGAAATAGAAGAATAACACAGAATTTCTCTAAAAACTATGTTTTTCAAAACACAATACAATCTCTTTTGTTTGTTTAAGACAGGGTCTCACTGTATCACCCAAGCTGGGGTGCAGTGGCATAATCAGAGCTGACCACAGCCTCAACTTTCTGGGCTCAGGTGATCCTCCTGCCTCAGCCTCCGAAGTAGCTGGTACTACAGGCACACGCCACCACGCCCAGCTAATTTTTATATATTTTGTAGAGACAGGGTTTCCTATGTTGCCCAGGCTGGTCTTGAACTCCTGGGCTCAAGCAACAGGCCCAACTCAGCCCCCCAAAGTGCCGGGATTA
The DNA here is from genome assembly GCF_000001405.40 of Homo sapiens. Lineage (NCBI taxonomy): Eukaryota > Metazoa > Chordata > Mammalia > Primates > Hominidae > Homo > Homo sapiens. Next base: position 111,121,304 of record NC_000006.12, on the reverse strand, counting down.
CCGGTGTGAGCCACCGTTGCCGGCCACAATAAAATCTGGATAATGCTGCTGCCAATGAACTGGACTAATCCAGGCCTACAGGGTTACCAGAGTGCCTCAATTCCTCCAACAGGGAGTAAGAGGCACACGTGTCATTACATTTTGCTGGTCATTATTTGACCTATGGCTCACTTAAAGTGGAGTTATAAGAAGCTGGTTGTATTGTATATTCCAAAATTTCCTGGAAATAAACATTCCAAATATACTTTGAATGAATGAATAAAACAGAAATATTTGACAAAAATATATATTTTTTTCTATTAGGGAAATAAAGTGCCTACTTGGCTGCTATCTACCCACAGACTTATAAAAAATAACTTCAAAAATTATACATCAAAATAAGCTCTATTTCAGTGGAATTCAGTTTATACCGTTAGTACTAAAGAATAAAAATAACCCTAACACCTTAAGATAAATGTTTCCAAGTCAATTCTTAAAAAACAAACACACACTAAGCACTCCACAATGATTGGGACATCGAGACAACCCTAATATCTTGCTCAAATATTAATAACCAACACTATGATATGATGTTCTCTTTAAAAACAGCCAAATAATCTACAGTATCTGCTGGCTCATGGTATAAGTGAAAGTCATCTGGACCAATGCTGAAAGTGGTTCATGGACAGGCACCAGTCTGAAAACTATTACCAGTTCACAAGATAACTAAAGAAACAAAGAGTGTTTAGAAATAGCAGTTTAAAAGAACAATTTTATATCTGATAAATCTAATAATATAAAATACAAATAAAAGTCATTATGTCTGATATTTTTGGAATTCTGGAATGGAGGGATGCACACATTAACAGAATCAACTGGCATTTTGGCATTTCACTTTACTTCCATTTAAGTTATAAAATGTTATATTGTGTAGAAACTCAACTATAAAAAAGTATATTTGAAAGTGCAAAGACTTCCAGAGTTATCTAAGCCTGAACTAGTCCATAAGCTAAGTTAAATTTCTAAACAGTGACATGAAGAACTGCCATTTATCAACTCCAATAAGTGCCTCTGATTTCAAGAATCCAAGAAAGGATTACTAAACACAGAAAAAGGAGAAATGGAAAAAAATGTTTCATGAAATCCAAACTAAGGATGTTGGAAGAATGACGTCAGCATGTTTCCCTGAGTGTCAGTGTGGTTCTGCAATGTGAGGACATACGCAAATCTCTTTTTTGGGAAATGGATACAGACATTAGTCATGACCACACTTTTTTATATTTCTAGTCTACATTTCCAGTTAATTTCTAAGATGGATGTCCCCATTAATACTACTTAATGGCTTAAGCCAACTTCATAATTAAAGACTTCACCTAATAGTTTGAAAGAAATTCCCTTATCATACAAATTGGGTCTGGATACATAAAATACTTGAAAGAAGACATTCAAAATAATAAAAATGAAGACCAGCAAGCCTGCCAGTATTATGGTTTCTAAACCAGTAAGGTTACAATGTTCTGCATTTTCTCAATGAGTGTATCTGGTGTTTCTTCTTGTAAGGACACTAATCCTATCTGACCAGGACCCCACCCTTGTGACCTCATTTAACCTTAAGTACATCTGTCAAGGTCCCATCTCCAAATATTGCCACACCAGGGGTTTGAGCTTCAAAATATGGATTTTGGGGGTTACAAACATTCAGTCCATAACATATGGCTAGCATTATATTTCTACTGGCAGTGATGCTATAGAGTAAAGATCAGCACAATGTGCCCTGCAGGCAAAACATGGTCCACTGCTCATTTTTGTACACCTCACAAGCTACAAATGCTTTTTACATTTTTAAATGGTTGGAAAAAATCAAAAGAATATGTCAAAACATATAAAAACTGTGTAAGATTCCAATGTTAGCGTCTAACAAAGTTTTACTAAAATACAGTCACACTCATTTGTTTACTTGTTGTATGAAGCTGAGTAGCTGCAAAAGAGACTATGCAGCCTACTCTAAAATATTTACTAAATGGCTCTTTACAGAGAATATTTTTGCCAATTCTTGCTACAGAGGATTAAAATGAAGCATCTCTATATGGTCTGACTGACTCACCTCTAAAATATGTAATGAACTTTAAAAAGCAATACTATTTATCACTTTTACCCGGTTTACCTCCAAATAGGATCTGAGGAGACCTATTTTTGTGTCAGCGATATTAAGTTCAAAGCTCTTATCAGAACTCCTGGGCTAGCTTAGCCCTTCAAAGGTATGGCACATTGCTTGCCAACAACAGATAACCCACTCAGTTACTGAAATGCACTTGGCCTCATTTCAAAGTCCCATCCCTGCCTTCTTCAGCATGACACCTTCCAGTGACTGTGCAGACTTTTGGTCCTGTTCCTACTTTGACTGTTCTTGTTCTTTGGCTTTGTCTTCCTGAGGATCCTGCAAAATCTTCTGAATAAGCATGAAAATATTTCCTCAGTAAGAGATGAACCAGCTTCTCTGGTTGTGTGTGGCAGGAAAGGCAAGTAAAATTAGGTGGCGATACCTATTCTCAACTGCTTTGAGTCCTTCACAGCTTCCTTCAATAGTGGTCCATCAATGCCATATAAAACCTGAGATAATTCACCTTTTTTTTTTTTTTTTTTTTTGAGACGGAGGCTCACTCTGTTGCCAGGCTGGGGTGCAGTGGTGCGATCTTGGCTCACTGCAACCTCCACCTCCCAGTTTCAAGGAATTCTCCTGCCTCAGCCTCCCAAGTAGCTGGGACTACAGGCATGCACCAGCACGCCCAGCTAATTTTTGGATTTTTTAGTAGAGACAGGGTTTCACCATGTTGGCCAGGATGGTCTTGATCTCTTCACCTCGTGATCCGCCCGCCTCGGCCTCCCAAAGTTCTGGGATTACAGGCGTGAGCCACCACACCCAGCCAATAATTCATCTTTACAGGTGCTAGACAGAACTGGAGGGAATGAATAAAAAGAGGTTTAAAACTACTATAACTTTCAGAAAATTTATTGAGCGGGTTATACTTCGTCTTTTATCATTTGCATTCATTTTTTTATGTTATAATTACATTTCCTAAAATTAGGGTAGATTGTCAACAAGAAGCCCTATGAGGCCAATGGTTTGAATAATAAAGCTCATAGTAAATGTTTTCTCTTGAGATAGCAATAGATATTTGTTATTTACATTTCTTAAATTATGTTGTGCATTCTTTCATGCCTACTGTATTTCTTCTTTGGTGAACTGCCTGTTCGTATCTTTTACCTATTTTTGTTTTGGAGTGGTAGTGTTTTTAAAAATTCTATAACTTAACATGATAATGACACCAAGTCCAATGTCCTATCCTTTCTTAAAAAGCAGCCTCTAAAATGTCAGTATTTTGGCTTCGCTCTCCCTCCAGTTCTCTCCTTGAAGTATAACAGAAAGTGCACTAGATTTGAAGTCCTAAGACACAGGTTCACTGCTGGGTCCCTGGGACTTGTTTACTTACCTGTAAAGTGAAGGGGCTGGATTAATTGTTCAGCAAGGCCACAGAGGTCTAAAATTCTTACAGTCTATTAGTTTTTCTATTCTCTCCCCATTCATCACCAGCTCCTGAATTCTATCTACGGTGGCAAGATGGCAGCTGTGAGTTAATTACAGGATCTGTGGGGTTTTGGTAGTCATAAATCGGTGGTGAAGCAAAAACCAAAAACAAGAAGTATAGAGAAAAGAAATAGTACTTCATGCCCTCAAAGGGTTCAATTTCTATTCAAATGATAAAATTAGTTAAGATGCTGCCATTTCAGGGTCAGACTTTGGCTCTGTTGAGGATGTTAATTGCATTATTGCAAACAAATAGCTTCAAAGCAAATAACCAAATATTGACTAAAGTAAAGTTGGTCCAAAAATTCGGTTTATTTGGTGGTACAAAAGAATAAACGTGCACATTGGCTTTGACCCTCCCACTTTTTTTTTTTTTTTTTTTTTTTTTGAGACGGAGTCTCGCTCTGTCGCCCAGGATGGAGTGCAGTGGCTTGATCTGGGCTCACTGCAACCTCCGCCTCCCGGGTTCACGCCATTCTCCTGCCTCAGCCTCCCAAGTAGCTGGGACTACAGGCACCCAACACCATGCTGGGCTAATTTTTTTTGTATTTCTAGTAGAGACGGGGTTTCAACGTGTTAGCCAGGATGGTCTCGATCTCCTGACCTCGTTATCCACCCACCTCGGCCTCCCAAAGCGCTGGGATTACAGGCATGACCCACCACACCTGGCCTGACCTTCCCACTTCTTTTATCAATCCTCTTCAATAACCCAACTTCCATGTAATTGTGTTGGGCCAACTTTCTTCTAAAGGACAAAATTAAATAATCAATACATGTACTGCTAAAGCAATTCCAGGCTTAAAATGTTTTAGTTTTATCTTCAAAGGGGGCACTACTTTTAGTTTTCTAGTATCCCCCATCCTTCTGTCTGCCATTTTCTTAAAGAGAAATTCAAATTTACCTTTAAAAGATCTGGCTGCCCACAACGAATTAAGTACAAAAATTTTTACCAATAGTGGGGGGAGAAATCCACTCAAAATTCTACCACCCTAACACAACTATGTCTTCATTTTTCTATATTCCCTTGATCTCTCCTCACATGCAAGCACATTTTGGAGTTACAGTCATGTGGTACATCCTGCTTTCACCAAGTTCTTCCATGTTGCTGCACAGTAACCATTATCATTTGCATTTGCATCATAGTACATAAAGTAGGTCATCAGCATTTAACCATTCCTGTATTTGGGGGCATTTAAGTTGACTTCAAATTTTTACTTTTTTTGCCCAGGTGCAGTGTCTCATGCCTGTAATCCCAGCACTTTGGGAGGCTGAGGTGGGTGGATCACCTGAGGTCAGGAGTTCGAGACCAGCCTGGCCAACATGGTGAAACCCCGTCTCTACTAATAATACAAAAATTAGCCAGGCATGGTGGTGCATGCCTGTAATCCCAGCTACTCCGGAGGCTGAGGCATGAGAATTGCTTGAACCCAGGTGGCGGAGGTTTCAGTGAGCCGAGATTGCGCCACTGCACTCCAGCCTGGGCAACAGAGAGAGACTACATCTCAAAAAACAAAAAAAAAATAACAAAAACAAATTTTTACTTTTTTATAGTAATGGTATAGTGAACCTCTTCATGCATTTAGCTTTTTCTTTCTTATGAGTCATTACGCGAGATGCTAGGGAGTGAGATTCTGAATCAAGTGATGTGACTATATTTGCCATTTAAAAAATTGGTCTTGCCCAAATTATTTTACTCTAACAGTAAGGACATTAAAACCTAAGTGTGATACTAAAAGAATATTATGGGATATAAGAAATATTCCTTTTTCATGGGTATAGGAGGTAAGGGGTCCCTACAAGTAGTATGATAAAACAAACACCCCTTCAGTCCTTTGATTCCTCACTGCCTGAGGAATAAGCAAACACTACTACAGCCCTTTCATCTGGTGACAGGAGGGAAAAACTGCAGACCTCTTTTTAGGTTTCAGTAAAGGGGTTAAAAAAAAAAAGTTTGTTAGCTTCAAGGCTCTATTTTAAAAGTGCCTCTTTATCAGATCTCTAGGCATGATACTACTGAGTTTTGCTCAACTTGTACAATAATTTTTATCAAGGTACTCCTGACCCTTTCTAGATACCACATGCCTGAGAAAGAAAGAATAAGGGAGCAACCAGAAAGCTGGCTTCAAAGAAACATATAATGGAAACATTTCTCACTGCTTATTAACAGCAAGAAATAATGCCAGCCAATCCTATTCATTCCATGACATCTTTACCATTAAAAACTTTTTCCAGGCCGGGCACAGTGGCTCACGCCTGTAATCCCAACAATTTGGGAGGCCAAGGCAGGTGGATCACCTGAGGTCAGGAGTTCAAGACCAGCCTGGCCAACTTGGCAAAACCTTGTCTCTACTCAAAATACAAAAATTAGCCGGCGTGATGGCAGGCGCCTATAATCCCAGCTACTCAGGAGGCTGAGGCAGAGAACTGCTTGAACACAGGAGGCAGAGGTTGCAGTGAGCCAAGACCGTGCCACTGCGCTCCAGCCTGGGCGGAGACTTCATCTAAAAAAAACAAGCAAACAAAGAAACCTTTTTCCTTGTTTGATGACTACTAAGATAATACATGATACTTGTCCATCTTTTAATTCAGACACAAAAATGGAGATGTGGAAAGCAATCTGTCCTCACTTCCACCAAAAAAGGCACAGCTATGGTAAGATGGACATAGGAAAAAGTGTAGAAGAACATACAATTAAATACTATTTAAAAAAAATAGAATCCACTACATACAGGCTTCTGCAACTTGCTTTGTATGTGACTTTTAAATAATGTAGCTTTAAGGAGGTTGCAGTGAGCCAAGATCACACCACTGCACTCCAGCCTGGGCGATGGAATGAGACACTGTCTCAAAAAAAATAAATAAAAATAAATAGATAACGTACCTTTAAAATACATACTTTTCATTATGAAATACTGAAAGCACTCAGAAAATTATAGGTGCTTACCAATGAATTTTGTAAAATCTTAACTCTGGTAATATTTGCTTTATAATTTTAAAAAATAAACTACAGAGATGAGGCCCCTCCTCTGGCCTCCCCCCTCCATTTCCCTCCCTCCCTTTATAGAGATTACCACATCCTGTATTGGCTAAATAGCATTCCTATGCATGCTTTTCTATTTTTATTACATAACTATGCTTCAATAAAATACATTTACCTTATTTCCTTTGAAATAATTTAATTAAATTTACCTTCAATTTAAAATGCATATTTTTAACATTATACCATTTCTAAAATGTAGATGTATCTTACAATCCATAATGAGACATTACATCACAATTTAAGTGGCAATTTTCCCCCTTTCTCAGTGTACAGAAAATAATAGTGCATCTTAGCATCAGTATAGCCTTTTAGATTCTATGAGATGTGGTAGGATTGCTTTACATGACTTTTTAAGGAAATGGCATCACATCAGACATTTCACAACTTTGTCTTTTCATTCGATATGATGTTTTTGAGATTTACCAATGTAGTCACATGTATGGAACATCTTTAACGTCTCAACTAACTGTGACACATCACAGCATTAGAAGACATTTAAGTAAGACAGAAGTCCTATGCTTGCTAAAGGAAATGGTAACTAGTGATGTTCAAATGCTTGACTTAAACAAAGAAAAGGTATACAAAACAAGATGGAAATACAAAAAAAAGAGGGAGAGAAGAGAAAGAAAAAAATTCCCTGCTTGTTTGATCTGTATGTAGCTGGGAACAGCAGACGTCTGAATAACTAAATTTGATGACTCAGGAATAAAAATGACAAGAGGAACTGTTCCTGGAAATCTGTGCTGTTGCTGCTCCAGGGCCCAGTCAGAAATGCAAGCTGCTCATATCAGCCACGCAGGCACTGAGACCTCAGACCCGGCTTTTACTCACTCAAGGTTGGCTGAAAACCAGCATCATCATAAGACAGGCAACAACACTGGAGGGACAAAGAAAGGGCGACTGAGACTGCAGCCTCATTCACTGTTTCCTGTGACTCTGCTCTTCCCTGTCCCTCCTCCCTTATTTGTATTCCTCTTTTTCTCTATTACTTTAGCCAAGAAGTCCATTTCAAAGACCTGTACCCACTGTCTGTCTGCCTTACACGCTTAAACACACAAGTGCGTGCATGTACTCACACACACACAATCCCCACAATGAAAAGCCAAAGTAACCACTCAGTACTAGATTTTGCTGAATGTACATAAGAAATTTTCTATTACTGGTTCCTCAAATGAAACCCCAGTTTTAGCTTGAGAGTTAAAAGTGGCAAAACAAACAAACAACAACAAAAAAAACCCCAGAGCTCCTGATAGCTTCTTCTTCCCCTTTCCATGTGATCGAAAAACACCTTGCTGGAGGCAGATTTAATTTTTGAAAAGGGCCTCCAGTGGCCTTTTTCACAAGCACACATGGAGCCCTTACTTTTCACAGAGGACACACTGTGATAACTCTTACAGGGGTGTATTAAATATTGTACTACTAATTCTTATATGTGTAGTTTGCCCCTTTACTTCCATTTAACCATAAGCCAGTTGAAAAAAATGGCAATACTCTATCTAATTCTAGCTAACACAGAAATGCCCATATTTACTCATATTAAAGTATTACAGAACTAAGTAGAATTCCTAAATTATTTAATTTGTTAATAGGTAAACTGCATCTTTTTATCTTTTAAAATTTAATATTTTAAATTCTAGTATATTTAATATAGAGTAATGGAACAAAATGACCCCCAAATCATTTTATTGGTTTTTCTTCCTCCAAAACATTCCTGGAAGCCAGAAAATCCACTGGAGTTCTTGTGTTTTGGGGCATTCTGCAACTAAAGTTCCTGTTACCTGCTGATATACTTGAAGTATGTCTGAACATAAATTATTGGAAGATTAAACTCTCAAATTTGATTAACTCACTTCCTGTCAAGTTATCCTAATTAACCTACAGCCTTCAAACTTTGGGATTATTGCTGCCAATTCTGTACAGCTATTTGTTTAGTGCACAGTCTGCTCTAATACCCTCCAAGGCAAAATTGCAAATAAAAACTCTTTTTGATTTCTACTAATTAAATAGACATTGGAATGTGCCATACCTATAATCTGTATTAATATGTGAATACAAATTTTGCCTACTTCATATGAAGCATTCAGAAAGAACTTATTAAACTGAAATAAATTCTTCTTGCAGCGAAGGACTTTCATTTGTTCAGAAACATCACTGAATGTCTACTATGTGTAAAGCACTGTGCTGGCCAGCGCAAATATAGTTGTAAACAAGACAGACACAGCCCCTGCACTCATGGACTTTCCATGACTAGGAAAGACAGATATTAACAAATAATTACAACCAAATAGTTAGAAAGCTAACACCACAATTTGTGCCTTGCACAGCACTTGCCAAAATTAAGCTCAGTATCAAAAATACAAATACTGGCCAGGCACGGTGGCTCATTCCTATAATCCCAGCACCTTGGGAGGCCAAGGCAGGAGGACTGCTTGAGCCTAGAGGTTTGAGGCCAGCCTAGGCAACACAGAGACCCCATCTCTAGAAAAAAAAAATTTTTTTTTAATTAGCCAGGCATGGTGGTGCATGCATGTAGTCCTAGCTACTTGGGAGGCTGAGGTGAGAGGATTGCTTGAGCCTGTATGGTAGAGGCTATAGTGAGCCATGATCATGCCACTCAGTCCAGCCCGGGCAACAGAGCAAGACTCTGTCTCAAAAAAAAATTTTATATCTATATCTATATCTATATCTATACATACCTATATACACACACACACATCTATACACACATACAAAAATATTCTACTCAGTTAAGGACTTTGTTGAGTTTATAGATCAAGAATGGTACAAAGGATAGAAGAGAGATGACAAAGTCATGCCTCAAATTAAAATTGTAGGACAGTAGTAATGGGTGAACAGCATTCTGTATGTACTTAATGCCACTAAATTGTACACTTTATAAATGGTGACAATGGTAAAACAAGCCAGGTACAGAAAGACAAATACTTACACGACCTCACTGACATGTAGAATCTTAAAAGGCTGATCTCATAGAAATAGAAAGTACAATGGTCTCAGAGGCTGGACTGGTTAGAGAGGAGAGGGAAATGGGCAGACGTTGGTTAAAGGATATATAACGACAATTAGGTAGGAAAAATAAATTCAAGAAATTTAGACAATATTGCATTCTTTTTTATTATTTTTTGTAGAGACGGGGTATCAGTATGTTGTCTAGACTGGTCTAGAACTTCTAGTCTCAATCAATCCTCCCGCCTTGCCCTCCCAAAGTGTTGTGATTACAGGCGTGAGCCACCATGACCAGATGATAAAATTTTATTCTTGAAAAATTTAAAGAGAGTGGATGTTAAAATGTTCTCACCACAAAAATGATAACTGTGTGAGGTAATGCATTTGTTAATTACCTAGACTTAACAATTCTACAATGTATATATGTTATGTATGACATATACATCATGTTATACATAATACAAAACATCACATTATGCATGTTAAATATACAATTTTATCTGTCAATTTTTTTTACAAAACATATTTTAAATGTCAAAACAAAAAAAATTTATAGCATAAAATTTGCCCTTTTGGTAAATTTACCAAAATTAAGTAGAAATCAAAACAGGTTTTTATTTGCAATTTTGCCTTGGAGGGTATTAGAGCAGACTGCATTAAACAAATGGCTGTACAGAACTGGCAGTAATTTACAGTAAGTTGACCAAAATGGTAAATTTTATGCTATAAATGGGTTTTGGTAAATTTACCAGAATGGTAATTTTATGCTATATATGTTTTGTCACAATAAAAAATGTAAAAAAAAAAGTTGTTAAATGTTTAATCAGCTTCACCAAAAACTCAAAACATATGAGTACTATATGAGAGAAGCTATATGGCACGGAAGTGAAAATAGATAGAAAACATGAAATTTCTTGGCTTTGATTATCTGCCAGCCTTACATCAATTGTATAGTTCACCTATCAGAGCACAGCTGGAGGTGGGTAAGGGCACAATCTTAGAAACAAGTTTCACTACAAATGCATGGTTTCTAATCTTCATCGGATTCTCAAACCTTTTCCTTATCACTAATCAGCTCCCAAACTTTTGCCATTCTCTTCCAATCTGCTGCTCAACCCCAGGACCACATTTAATGACCTCTTCCCCTCCATTTCCTGATCCTCACCAAACCTACCTACATTTGCTCCCATTCTTACTTTCTTCTCTCCTGGTTCTGAATAGGGGTTTTGAATCTTGCCCCCCAGCAAGAACCTTCCTTGTAAAGATCTGATCTGCTCATGAACCTTACCCCATCAATTAGACCTTTAGTAACTTCACCTCCTCCCTCTCTACAGGCTCCTTCTTTAAGTTAGTTCTCAAGCTACTCCTATCTTCAAAAAAAAAAAAAATTGTTACCCTCGCTTGACTCTAATCTTCCTCTAGCTACCACCCTACTTCTCCCTTTGACTTGACTTCCTCCCTTCTTAGCCTGTACCCCTATCTCTTCCTCCCATTCACTGCTCCACAGACTATAATCAGACTTCACTTCCCATATATCCAGGCCGATGAAAGCGTGCTGGCTGAAGTCATCAGAGATTTCCCACTGACTCATTTCAATGGACCCTCTTTGGTCTTTCTTAAATATAGGAAATATCAGCCATATTTAAATTTCTTTATTGGCAGCACCACTATTCATCCAATCCTCTAAACCAAAGCCCTGTAACTCTCCAGAGTCCTCTCACTCCTACTTTTTTATCTCCTTGTTCAGCCACAATTTTTTTAATTTCAAAAAAAAAGTACACAGTATTACCCACTTGAGAAATTTAAAAATACAAATAATACAGAACAAAATTTAAATTTAAATTTAATGTACAAAAGAGAAATAAAAACATACATCCCAACAAAGGTTTGCATACAAATGTTCATAGCAGTTCTATTCATAATAGGCAACAACTGAAAACAACCCAATATCCATCAATATGTGAATCGATAAAAAATTGTGGTAGGCCAGGTGTGATGGCTCACACTTGTAACCCCAACACTTTGAGGGGCCAAGGCAGAAGGATTGCTTGAGGCCAGGAGTTTGAGACCAGCCTGGGCAATATACAGAGACCCCCATCTCTACAAACAATTTAAAAATTAGACAGACTAGCACACACCTGTGGTCCCAGTTACTCAGGTGGCTGAGGCAGGTGGATCACCTCAGTCTGGGAAGTCAAGGCTGCAGTGAGCCATGATCACACCACTGCACTCCAGCCTGGATGTCAGAGCAAAACTCTGTCTCGAAAAAAAAAAAAAAAAATGTGGCATAGGCATACAATGGAATACTACTTAGTAATAAAAAAGAAAGAACTACTAATACATACCACAACAAGGAGAAATCTCAAAAGCATCATGCTGAGTGAAAAACAGATACAAAAGAAAACACACTGTATGATTCCATTCATATAAAATTTTAGAAAAGGCACAGCTATAGTGACAGAAAGCAGATCAAGTTTTCAGGAGCCAGAATGTAAGGGAAAAAGACTAACTGCAAAAAGGATCACGAGGGTACACCCTGGGGTGATGGACACACTATATTATGATTGTGATGGTGGTTACATGATTGTATACAGTTTGATTGTCAGAACTATCAAACTGTACACTTAAAATTTGTGAATTATATAATATCTAAGTCATCCCTCAATAAAGCTGATTTTAAAAAATTAATTACATTTAATTAATTGAGCCTTCTAACATAAGATTTTTAAATCTACGTTTCTTTTCTAAAGATCTAATTTATATTTATTCCAGTTCTGCAGTGAATCAATCCCATATATAGTATTGTGTTGCTCATAATGACACAAAATTATGATTGGAAATAATACTTAGCTGAATTACTTTATCTCCGGGAAGCTTATCAAGGCAACAATTTACAATGTACATAAGCAGGTGAAGTTTGTTATGAAAATGGCATTATTTTGATTATGATAAATAAGCCGTGTGCTCTTTGATTCCACCTGCATAGCAATCTCATTTATTCTCTTTGAGAACCTCCTGAATGGAAACCTCAAATTTCAAAGGGTGAATACTGGTCTGTGTTTCAGACACTGTACCTAGGCAGACAGCACAGGGCTAGGACTTCCTCCTTTCTTTATTCCCTTAGGATTAAAATGTATACAAGGGGACCTCAAAAAATTCACTAAAGAATGAAATTAAAAGATAATGAAAATATACACTTCATTTCTCAACATAAGCTCCATCAAGTTCAAGATACTTTTGTGAGTTGATACCAGCCATTAGTCCATCTCTAAAGAATTGAGGGTCCCAGGAATTTAATCATGTCAATGCAGTCCTTTTTACATTATTAACTGAAGAAAAATAGGTGCCCTTTAAATATTTTTTAAGATTAGGAAAGAAAAAGAAGTCAGATAAAGCCAAATCAAGACTGTAAGATAGGCCAGGCACAGTGGCTCATGCCTGTAATCCCAGCACTTTGGAAGGCCGAGACAGGTGAATCACCTGAGGTCAGGAATTCAAGACCAGCCTGGTCAACATGGTGAAACCCCATCTCTACTAAAAATACAAAAAATAGCTGGACATGGTGGATCACGCCTGTAATCCCAGCTACTTGGGAGGCTGAGGCAGGAGAATTGCTTGAACCTGGCAGGTGGAGGTTGCAGTGAGCCAAGATTGCACCACTGCACTCCAGCCTGGGAGACAAAGTAAGACTCCAACTAAAAAAAAAAAAAAGACTGTAAGTGAATGCCTAATAATTTCCCATCAAAACTCTTGCAAAATTGCCCTTTTTTGATGAGAGGATGACCGGGAACATTGTCCTGGTGGAGAAGGACTCTCTGGTAAAGCTTCCCTGGGTATTTGTTTGTTTTGCTAAAACTTTGGCTAATTTTCTCAAAACACACACAATAAGCAAATATTATCATTCTTTGGCTCCCCAGAAAGTCAACAAGCAAAATACCTTGAGCATCCCAAAAGTCTCTTATCATGACCTTTGCTCTTGACTAGTCTGCTTTTGCTTTAACTAGATCACTTCCACCTCTTGGTAGCCATTGCTTTGGTTGTGCTTTGTCTTCAGCATCATACTGGTAAAGCCATGTTTCCTCTCCTATTACAATCCTTCAGACATATGCCACAGGATCTCAATCCCACTTGTTTAAAATTTCATGTAAAGTTCCCTCTTCAATTACAGCATGAACAAGATTAATTTTTTCCTTGAAAATTGACACGGATGGTCTACTGCTGTGGGCTTCCTCTTCAACATCATCTCGTCCCTTCTTAAAGGATGTTAGCCATTTGTAAACTGCTGGTTCCTTTAGAGTATTGTCCCCATAAACTTTTTGTAAAGCATCAATGATTTCACCATCCTTCTACCCAAGCACCACCATAAATTTGATGTTTGTTCTTGCTTCAATTTTAGCAGAATTCATGTTACCCTGATAGGCGCTTTTTAAAAACTGGTGCGATATCATTTCTTAATGTCTCGAACTGTTCAGACATGTTGTAACAAGTTCAGACATGTTGTAACAAGTTAGTACAAGTTGATTTTGGTTCAAAAATATTTTGAAATCCATGCACAGTTTTTTTTCATAGTGTACATTTTTTCCATGAACTTTTCCAAGACCCCTCATACGTTTCTTTATTCCCATACCCACCCCAGCATCTAATAAATACAGACTGAAACAATGTCGACTAGTTCAAAATATGTATCTATTTAATGCATAACAGAATTGCTGCCACCAAAAGACTCACTTCCTAAACAATCCACACTCAAACCAATTTTATAACACTAACTTACCTAATTCTAGTAACTGAAAATGCATACACAGGGTGCAAACATTTAACTATGAAGGCAGCTTTGTTAATCCCCAGCTAGAGGAAAGGCTCTGAACTTTGTCTAAAGCCTATCTGAAAATCTACCACAAGACAGTGTATCAATGTATTTTCACTGTTGTTCCATAAACCATTTCCAGAGTTACAGAATGATCATGCTGCAATGCAGGGAGGAAAGGGTTGAAGGCAACTAGTTTCTATTCACTTATCATTAAGCTTAGAAAAGCTGATCAGTTTTGACAGTTCTAACTCACTGACTTGCTTTCCAAAATACTAAGGATAGTTCCAGCTCAATAGAGTGATTATCCAAAGATTAGTGACCGCTGATTAATTTATCCTCTCAAGTAACCGTAAATAATAGGGATTACATTGCCTTGACGTTCTTCCATAACCCATTCTCAGTTGCCACCAGACACCCAAAGTCATCTTGATGAATTAAGAGGATGAAGACAGATTAATTAGATTAAGCATTACTTTTACCAGACTTTTTTTTCCAAAATAGTCTGCCTCTTGAAGTGGCTCAATATTTGTTTCCTAATCAAAGTACAAAAAATAACTACCACATATACAAAATTAATTATAATACCATACACGTAACAAATGAACACTAAATTATAGAACACCATGTTTTGAAGTCAATATCAAAAACTTACATTGTTCTTTTGATTCCCAACCTTTACTACTATCAAGTCTCTTCTTGTCTGATGTGTTGGCATGGAATTTAAAAGATTGCATGAATTCTATTTTTCAAACTCTGAGGAGAAAAATGCTTTAATTGGACTTTCCTTTTCTTCCCTTCCCTATAATTGTCAGAAAACATATTTACTAGTCAGTAAGCCAGTACTTCAGTTCACCCAGAAGGCACAACAGCAGACAAATGTGGTCAAAATACCACCTTACATGCTGACTTTTGCTTTAATACAGATTCTGTAAATGAAGCCAAATGATATTAAAAGATGAAACAATTACTGGAAGGGTAAAGGTGTCTTGGCTTACAAAAAACGGCAGATATCTATTCTTACACAACTATCAATTCCCTTTCATCCACCCTCTGCTGTTACTGGTTCTTCCTCCAGGGTCACTGCACTTCCAGCACCTTCAGCTGGGCTTCAGTCACAACAGAGCAATTCAGGACCTGAGTCCTGAGAGATCACAGGACAGCACGTGAGTCAACACACACGCCCGCACACAGGCACCGTGCCAACCTGCTCACTCACAACAGTGTGGACAGATCTGTAGTGCTTTATGCATTGAAAAGTACTTTGACACTCTCTTGAGTCTCACTGCTCAGTGTGTGACAGGTAACTAAGGCAAAACACACTTGTGTGTGGCCAGGTGGCTAGTTATTATCTCAATTAGGACTGACTCCCTTCCCAGCCAGAAAGTGCCATAAAGATGACACCTCCTCCCCTAACAAACCTCAAATGTCCATTATGAATGTGCAAAAACAGTCCATATTTCTCAATAAACTGTGCAATATTCCACCCCAGTCCCAGTCAGATAACTTAATTTCACTTATTCTATAATAGTATTATAGTAGCTCTCCTAGATAACTCTTTTAAAGAGTAGAATCTATACTTACTTAAAAGAATTAGCTGTTTTCATTTTGAACTGTGAATGAAGTAGTTGGCTCAGTTACTAAACTCTGTGAATATATAAGATAACATCATCTGCTTGTTGAACAGGTTTTCACCACTGTCAATACTTTAAATTTAAAATACATAAATTAGTTGAAATGACTGTAAGCTATTCTCACAGTCTCTTGGTCTAGAACATCTTAAAAATAAGACTTACAGACCAACTTAATTACATCACAAATGAAAGGAGGAGGAACATGCCAAAAGTCTTTAGCAGTCATGTCAAATTGAAGGAAAAAAATGACTAAGTCTTAAGACGAAGTTTTGGAAATACCTAAGACAGGGATAGTAAAAATATAATTTTGACCCTTGGGAAGACGCAAATCTGAATTAGAGAAATCCAAAGGCTAGAAAGACATTTTAAGGAAGTTCTATTACTTTTTTTTTTTTTTAAGACCAAAGCTAAGAGGTGGCAGCAGCTACAGTGGCCATCTCAGTGCGGCCATACTTTTAAATATAATGATTTCAGTAGAAATGAACTAAATTACCTAGAAGCAGCCCCTGAGTCCGCTCAAGACAGGATTTCTGGGTTTCCATTATGTCATGTTCCTCTTAGAGATACATGTTCTTTCCAAAGCCCCACCACTGGACTCAGCGTCACTCTGAGACTACCAGTTTGCATTTCCAGTTACCTGCCTGACATCGCCCTTGATGTCTTGCTGACCCTTAACGCTCCACATGTCTAAAATGTGAGCCAGCCTTTCCCTGGCAACTCTTTCTCCTCATGCCCCATACCTGTCCATGACATCATCTAGGGCTGTCGACATGATTTTGTGGGGCACAATACAAAATGTATTGTAGGTCTCCCTGATCAAAAATTATTAAGACACAGGCTCCAGATGTAGGCATCAATGCTGTTTCTGTGTTCTTCATCACTGTCCAACCCATTCTTTGCCAGAATTCCTGCAGTCTATCCTTTGAAATGTCTCACATCTGTCCCTTCATTCCCATTTCCATGGCTGACCCTCAAATCTCACTCGGCTTTCGGTCGGGGCTTTGTAATTGGTGTTCCTCCTATTTCTTGCCTCTGCAACCCAGAGATCTTTTTAAAGCACTACTTAGAAACCCTCTTCAGAAATCCTCAGTATCTCCCCATTGCCTCTATTAAATAATGTCCAAGCTTACCTTGGCATTTAGATCTTCCGTTCCCCAGCTCCACCATTCTTTGCCAGCCTTATAGTCTATGACCTTTCACTACATATCCTCGGCCCTCGACAAATCAAACTCCTTGTCATTCACTTAATAAGCCCAGTGTGGAGTCAAGTATAAAGAACCTGGGCCACGAAGCTGGAGACTTAAGTTTAAATCCAGCCTCACTACTTACTAGCCTTAGTAGCCCCACCTAAAACACACACATCATAATTGTTACATGAAAGGATTACTGGATAGATTAAACAAAATAACCTGAAATACATAGTAAACCACAGTCAGAACATTCAGTATTAGAACTGCCTCCCAACCCTTGCCCAGGCCTTACACTCTCACCTCGGATACCCTCTTCTGTTAGATATGCTGAGAAAAGTCTCCCAATCTCGTAACACCTAACTCAAAAACTGAAGCCTTCTCTAGTCAGCTCAATCAGAAGTCATTCTCCCTTCCTCTAAAATCCTATATCTTACTTGCACAGGATTTAGCATGTGCAGCATATTCTCTCAGAGTTACTTATGTATCATTTTGTTTCCCCTCATGACCTCTCAAGAGCATGGAATAAGTCGAATTTGTTTCTTGCGTGGCTCTCAGTACATATTTTGTGCTCAAAAAATTAAATGGGTGGCTGGACATGGTGGCTCACATCTATAATCCCAGCACTTTGGGAGGCCGAGGCAGGTGGATCACCTGAGGTCAATAGTTTGAGACCCACCTGACCAACATGGTGAAACCCCATTTCTACTAAAAATACAAAAATTAGCCAGGTATAGTGGCGTGTGTCTGTAATCCCAGCTACTCGGGAGGCTGAGACAGGAGAATCGCTTGAACCCAGGAGGTGGAAGTGGCCGTAAGCCAAGATCGTGCCATTGCATTCCAGCTTGGGCGACAAGAGTGAAACTCCATCTAAAAAACAACAACAACAAAATTAAATGGGGAGCCGGGCCCGGTGGTTCACACCTATAATCTCAGCACTTCGGGAGGCTGAGGCAGGCAGATCCCTTGAGTCCAGGAGTTTGAGACCAGCCTGGGCAATGTGGCGAAACCCCGTCTCTACAAAAAATATGAAAATTAGCCAAATGTGGTGACATGCACTTGTAGTCCCAGCTACTCAGGAGGCTGAGGTGGGAGGATCACTTGAGCCTGGGAAGTCAAGGCTGCAGTGAGCCATGAGCGTGCAACCGTATGTACTCCAGCATGGGTGACAGAGCGAGACCCTGTCTCATAAAAATAACTAAATAAATACATGCAAACAAAATTTTTAACATACCCCAAAATTAATTAATAAAATATTTTCAACGGAATTAGCTCGAGTCCAGAGGTTGATGCAAGGTGATAGCACTGAAAGAGATTAAGATATGGCTACTCTTGCAGACTTGATCCTCTGAAGGATGAGATGTCACCTGGAAGAATCACAAAGTCCTCATGCCCAAGTCTCTACATGGTTTATTTCCATTCCTATCCCCCGCCCTAAGACAGACCTTGATCAACACCTGGGCTAAGACAGCAGAGGAAACAAGGACATGGTCTACCTGCCAAGATGTGTCAGGTGAGAATCTAAGGCCTAAGATAATCTCAAGCATTCCTTCATTACCTATGGGAATGAAGTTTTACTCTAATATATTCACTGGCATATGTCCTCTTGTATTTTCAAATATTATATATAATTGCCAGGTCATTTGCAGCTTCTAAAGGGCTCAAAAACTGGGAACACAGACTTATAAGCACTGAAATATGATTTTAAACTACTTTTAAAAAATATCATTAGTACTTATCAAATTAGCAAATACTAATAAAAATAAAACCAAACATTGGTAGGGTTTTCAGGAAGCCAGCACATCACTGGTGGCACAATAAACTGATTCAAGTTTTCTAAAGAATAATCTGGCAATGTGTAACAGGTGTTATAAAGTTGTTCATACCCTTTGAACCAGTAATCTCACTTCTGGACGTACACCCAAGGAAGCAATCCAAGAGAGGGGAAAAAAACAATTTGTTCGACGACATATACAGATATGCTACATATGTTGTACAACACTGCCTGCTACTCACTAAACAAAGGAGGCCTGGTTGAGTAACCTAGGGTAGACCAATATGGTAGAACATCACACTTACTGAAACAATTAAGCAGGTGCCTTATGAGATACAGAAAAATGTACCTTAAAAAACGTTTACTGAAAAACAGAAAACAAAAGCAAATATTGACATATAAATGTATAATTCTGCCAGGCCCAGTGGCTGACACCTATAATCTCAACACTTTGGAAGGCCAAGGCAGGCGGATCACTTGAGACCAGGAGTTTGAGACCAGCCTGGCCAACACGGCGAAACCCTGTCTCTACTAAGAATACAAAAATGAGCTGGACATGTTGGCACACTCCTGTAGTCCCAGCTACTTGGGAGGCTGAAGTGGGAGGATGGCTTCAGCCTGAGGTTGAGGTTGCAGTGAGCCGTGATCGTGCCATGGCACTCCAGCCTGAGCAACACAGCAAGACTCTGTCTCAAAAAAAATAATAATTTATAATTATTTATTTGCAAATCTGAAAACCCAAACCCAAAGTTTTTGTAAGAGAATATCAACATTTAATTAGAAGCAAAACTTGATCTGAACTGACCTGAAGCTACTCATGGTCTCTATTTAACTCACTTATCCATACATTTTGCTGCAGAAATGTTAATGTATTTGATTATAGGGTACCTGGGACTCTTCTAGGGGTGTCAGAAAATACAGGTGTCTGTACCAGATTACTTTTTTTAACTCTATTTACTTCAGTAGGGAGCAGGTTACTTTTTTACAATTCAAAAAAATCTAGGCTGGGCGCAGTGGCTCAGACCTGTAATGCCAGCACTTTCAGAGGCTGAGGTGGACAGATTGCTTGAGCCAAGGATTTCAGGACCAGCCTGGGCAACAAGGCAAAACCCTGTCTCTACAAAAAAATACAAAAATTAGTTACGTGTAGCGGCATGCCCCTGTAGTCCTAACTACTTGGGAGGTTGAGGTGGGAGGATCACTTGAGCCCAGGAGGTCGAGGCTGCAGTGAGCCATGATCCCACCACTGCACTCCAGCCTGGGTGACAGAATGAGATCCTGTCTCAAAAAAAGAAAAAATATATATACATATATTTATATATATATATATATATATATATAGAGAGAGAGAGAGAGAGAGAGAGAGAGAGAGAGGGAGAGAAAGAGCGAGAGAGAACCCCAAGTTTCAGATAAACAATTACTATACTGATAGACTATACTGATGATACCCATACATATATAACAACATATACATGTATGTATGTATGTATATATGCATACATGCATCAGTTATAAATTTAGGTAAAAGTGTTAAAGTTTGGCATTCCCTGGCTTTGTTGATAAAACCGCTTAAGGAGAGTGTATTCTTTAAGGAAAGCTAACCTCCTTATAATGATTCATCTGTGGGAGTGAGTAAAAAAAGACAACTGTAGGCCGGGCACGGTGGCTCACACCTGTAATCACAGCACTTTGGTAGGCCGAGGCGGATCACGAAGTCAAGATATCGAGATCATCCTGGCTAACATGGTGAAACCCCATCTCTACTAAAAATACAAAAATTAGCTGGGGATGGAGGTGCATGCCTGTAATCCTAGCTACTCAGGAAGCTGAAGCAGGAGAATCGCTTGTACACGGGAGGCAGAGATTGCAGTGAGCCGAGATCGCACCACTGCACTCCAGCCTGGTGACAAAGCGAGACTCCACCTCAAAAAAAAAGACAACTGTAGATAAACCAAATCCAAATCCCCAAATAATTACAAATTCAAAACCAATAAAACCAAATGTATTACAATTTATTTTTATTTAAATTCAAGTAGACATCCATAGATAATTTCACAACATTTCTTCAGAAAGTTCAGGCTTCAGATCTATTGAGCATCATTTACAGACACCCGTGTATTGAAAGAAGTAATAAACTCTCATGTTTTATAAAGAATCTTCCAGGTGACCCATAAATAGACTAATCTAAAGTTTAAATCATTAGGAAGTATTACTTTAAATGTAGTAGTTTAAATGAACATTTGAAACATAATCTTTTCCTTCCCCTGCTTTGTCTATGCTGAAAAAAAATAACCTTTTTTTTTTTTTTTTTTGAGACAGGGTCTTGCTCTGCTGCCCAGGCTGGCGGGCAGTGGAGCAATCTTGGCTCATTGCACCCTTGACCTCTAGAGCTAGGTGATCCTCCCACCTCAGCCTTTTGAGTAGCTGGGACTACAGGTGCCTGCCACCACGTCCAGCTAATTTTTGCATTTTTCGTAGAGATGGGGTTTCACCATGTTGCCCAGGCTGCTCTAGAACTTCTGGGCTCAAGCAATTCATCTGCCTCAGCCTCCCAAAGTGATGGGATTACAGGCATGAGCCATTCTGCCCAGCCTTAATCATTTTTAATGCAGGTAAAAACCCTCTGAGATTCTGGCCAGCAACAAAATGTGGAAAAAATAGCCTATTTGCCCTCCCCTCTCCATACAAAATAGGATTTTTAGATTAGAAATTATTTATCAGCTGAACATGGTGGCTCACATCTATAATCCCAACACTCTGGGAGGCCAAGGCAGGAGGATTGCTTGAGCCCAGGAGTTCAAGACCAACCTGGGCAACGTGGTGAGACCCCATCTCTACAAAAAAACTTTAAAAATTAGCCAGGTGTAGTGGCACATGCCTGTGGTCCCAGCTACTCGGGAGGCTGAGGCAAGAAAATCGCTTGAGCCCAGGTCAAGGCTGCAGTGAGCTGTGTTCATACCCCTACGCTTCAGCCTGGGCAGCAGAGCAGGACCCAGTCTCAAAAATAAATAAATACATACATACAAATTATTTATCAACTCTGGATTTAATGTTTCCTATATAATTATGCATAAAAATACAAATATAAGTCTATTATCTCCTCTGACCCTTCTTTATGCCTCACCAGCTCCCCTGCCCCTGCAAAAAATGAACAAGAACTTAATGTGTAGTCACTGGCTGAGGCTCAGGTGTTACCACTACATTATAGAGCTCTTAACATTGTGCATCTGATATTAAACATTTGTTTTGAACCAATATCAAAATATGGCCAAAGAATCTGATCTTATTAAAAATCAGATCCTTTTTTCAGTTTAAGCCTATTCCACAGTAACATTTTTCTCTGAGAAGAAGGAGACAAAACATAACACCTACAACTAAAACTCCATACATTTATCATTTATTCCTAAAAAACAACTTACTCTTAAGGGAAGTGTACTTACAGTCAATAACTACATGGCTGGGGTCCTCCTGTCAAAGTTTGAGTGCTACGTTACTACAGGACAACAATGACAACTTCCTGCCCCATTCACACTAAAACATCAATTAACTTTGTGGAATGTCGTTGTTTAAACAACCACTGACAAATGTGAACCCTTTGAGATGCTGCTTTGAAGTTGCAACATAAAGTCAAAACTAATAAAAAGGATAATTAAGATGAAAAGGTTTTTATTAATAAAAACAGTCTCCAGACTAACCTACTTGACTTGGCATTAATACTTATCTACACAGAAAAGTCAATAAATATCACCATTTAATGAACAGGTAGTTTTCTATTTTTGTAATATTAAAACACATCTCAAAATTGGTCTTGGATCCAATCTAAATGAAACACAAATATAAATTTTGGCTTTCTGAACACAGGCAGAACACTGCTGATACAATTTACTCTTTTTAAAAATTTTACTACACTTTTTAATGTTAATTTTATTTTAATTAAAAGTAGAGATGGGGTCTCACTATGTTGCCCAGGCTGTTCTTGAACTCCTGGACTCAAGCGATCCTTCCACCTAGGGTTTTCTTTTTTTTTGAGACTGAGTTTCACTCTTGTTGCCCAGGCTGGAGTACAATGGCATGATCTTGGCTCATTGCAACCTCCAACTCGCGGGTTCAAGCGATTCTCCTACCTCAGCTTCCCCAGTAGCTGAGATTACAGGCATGCGCCACCATGCCCGGCTAATTTAGTATTTTTAGTAGAGACAGGGTTTCTCCATGTTGGTCAGGCTGGTCTCTAACTCCGGACCTCAAGTGATCCGCCCACCTCGGCCTCCCAAAGTGCTAAGATTTACAGGCATGAGCCACGGCACCCGGCCTCCATCAGGTTTTCAAAGTGCTGGGATTACAGGTATGAGCCACCCCGCCCAGCTGCAATTTAATCTTTAGCAAAAAATAGGTACTAGCTGAACTGTAGACCAATGCACCTTTCCGTAGGTGCAATGGACTTTTATCCATTAATTTAATCATTGACCTTTCATTTAGACTTAACTATCTAAAGGATACCTTTAATTGAATTTAAAACTCCTTAGTGAGTGATTCTTAAGTGGAGGCACTGGAGGAGGAAAGCGGCACAGCTCCCCTCACTCACTAAGAGGCATAGATCAGAAGTTCTAGAGGGGTACATTTACTAATTTTTTTAAAGCACACATTCAATATTATAATTCTGTATTTAAAGAACAAGAAAATAATTCTAATTATATCCACAACATAACTAAAAGTAAAGCTTGGCCGGGCATGGTGGCTCATGCCTGTAATCCCAGCACTTTGGGAGACTGAGGCGGGTGGGTCACCTGAGATTAGGAGTTCGAGACCAGCCTGACCAACATGGCGAAACCCTACCTCTACTAAAAATACAAAAAAATTAGCCAGGCATGGTGGTGCGTGCCTGTAGTCCCAGCTGCTCTGGAGGCTGGGACACGAAAATCGCTTGAACCCAGGCATCGGAGGTTGCAGTGAGCCGAGATCACGCCACTGCACTCCAGCCTGGGCGACAGAGCAAGACTCTGTCTCCAAAAAAAAATACAAATAAAAATTTAAAAAATAAAAGTAAAGCTTGACAAAATTTTGGCTGATGGATAAATACAGAGTATGACATTGTCTTCTGCCACTCACAAGGAAAGGCAAACTACACTTGGATGTGTGCAACAAAATTCTGAAGTACCATGAGACTTTTATGTTTATCAAGAGGGGACAAAGGGAGTTACAAACACTGTTTTGGGGCCAGGCACAGTGGCTCAAACCTGTAATCCCAACACTCTGGGAGCCTGAGGTTGGAGGATCACTTGAGCTCAGGCATTTGAAACCAGCTTGGGCAATATAGAGAGACCCTCCCCCACAAAAAAATTTTTAAAAATTAGCCAGGTGTGGTGGTATGTGCCTGTAATCCCAGCTGTTCAGGAGGTTGGGGCAGGAGGATCCCTTGAGCCCAAGAGGTTGAGGTTATGGTGAGCCATCACATCACTGACTGCACTCCAGTCTGAGCAAGAGAGCAAGACCCTGTCTCTTAACAAAAAAAAGAAAAGAAAGAAAGAAAGAAAAAAGATTCACTGCTTTGGTCCACAAAGGAAACATTGCTTTGGTCCACATTCAGTATTTCTAATCTGTATTTCATACTTATGCCCATAATTAAAAATTAGTGAAATGAAAAAAGACTTCTTACTTGAAAATAAGGCAAGCCATTTCTTCATCGACTTTTTTTTAGTTCCTATATGCAAGGTGAGGAATTACTTTTGCTGTTAAAGAAGGCACTTTAACAAAGAGGTATGATCATACACATTTGGCATGTACATTTGAAAGCACTGCTTTCCTCCATTCCTCCAGCCACTGATAGGCTATCTGTCTTATGTGGTGGGTCTGCGCAGTTCCCAGGTGTGCTGGAGTTTCCTGTTCTGAATCTCTGCCAATAAAAACATCCACAGTCCCTGCGTGGGTGGCACCAGGCCAAGGCAGGTGCTCAGAACTGTGGTGAGCTGACTGTTCATGTTATGTTTAGGGTTTAGCTTGTTTTTGTTAAGGTTTGCTTGTTTAATTTGAATATAAGACCAGATTTCTAGCTAGGCGGTGATAACTCTGGAATTCTTTTCCAAAAATGACATCACAGCATTTCTGATGACTTGAGTAGGAGACACTATTGAGAGAATATTCTAAAGAACATGCAAGTAAATATGTAGTAAATAGTTTCAGGCTGGGGACAGGAGTAGGATTCTACTTTCAGGACAACTTTGACATAAGTACAACTTTTTTCCAGCCAAAAAGCTGCTCTTAAGTTCAACTTAATAAAAGTAAATACTGATATCAATCCTAATACTGTGCAAGTTGCAACTTTCTTATCTATCCATGGAGGTAATGACATACCACAAGGCTACTCTAAAAAATAATGTACATGAAAGCCTTTTCTTTATGGTAATGGAATGTATTACTCCATTTTCATAGTGTTATGAAGAAATATCTGAGGCTGGGTAATTTATAAAGAAAAAGAGGTTTAATGGACTCACAGTTCCACATGGCTAGGGAGGCCTCACAATCATGGTGGAAGGTGAAAGAGGAGCAAAGGCATGTCTTACATGGCAACAGGCAACAGAAAGTGTGCAGGGGAACTGCCCTTTATAAACCATCAGATCTCATGAGACTTATTAACTATCACAAGAACAGCACAGGAAAACCTGCCCCCATGATTCAATTACCTCCCACCAGGTAATTACCTCCCTCCCATGACAAGTGTGGATTATGGGAGCTACAATTCAAGATGAGATTTGGGTGGGAACACAGCCAAACCATATCAGAGAATATAAAAATTACCACTTTAACAAATATGGATCATCTTTAAAATGGCTTTCACGGAATGCTTTATTAGAATAGGTTGAAATCAGGTTCTCTGTCTACCACTTTAAACATAATTTGTAACTTATTTGAATTCGTTCTCAAAACTCCAAAATGTAGCTACCCCCAATATTCCAAGTGCATCAAATACATAACAATTGCATAAAATCACTGTTTGTGTCCCAGGATTGTGACATAAGAATAAAATGGCCAACCATTTCATCAGAATCTCACAAGGACCAACCATCGCACTGAAGACAGGAGTGGCACACACAAAGGTACAGAGGCAAAAAGCAGCAAGACAAATTTGGGCCAGTGTAACACCTACAGGTTGGCTAGAACACAAAGACCAGTAAGGGAGAGAAGCAGGGGCAAGGCTAGAGGGCCAGGCAAGGGCCAGAGCTTGCAGGCCTTCGGAGTAGGGAGTTTGACATTTTCCTAAAAGTAATGAGTGTCACTGGGCATTTAAACAGAAAAATCATATGGTCCAATCTTTTAGAAAAATCACTCAGATGTACAACTGAGGACAAGCAATCCTGTTAAGGGGTTATGACTAATTGTTGCCAATAGTAATGAAGGTGGCCAGGCACAGTAGGTCCCGCCTGTAGTCCCAACACTTTGGGAAGTTGAGGCAGGAGGGTCGCTTGAGGCCAGGAGTTCAAGACAAGGCTGAGCAAAATAGCAAGATGCCATCTCCACATAAAAATTTTTTTTAATTAGCCGGCCATGGTGGCATGTGCCTGGTGTTGCAGCTACTCAAAAAGCTGAGATAGGAGGATTGCTTGAGCTTAGAAGTTTGAGGCTGCAGTGAGCTATGATCATGCCACTGCACTCCAGCCTGGGGAACACAGTGAGGCCCTATCCCAAAAAATAAAATAAAAAGTAAATGAAGGCATGAATTAAGACACAGTAGTGAAAGAAAAGTGGGACTGATTTATGAGGCATTAAGAAGGTAAACACAAAAGAACTCTGATTTAACAAAACAGGTAAGGAAGGAAGAGAAATAAGAAGCTAAGATACATTCCAGGTTTCTGACTTAAACAACCAGAGGTATCATGCACAGAGAATTAAGAAGGAGGAATATGGATTCAGAAGAATGCCGACAAATGGGCTGTCATTTTTGGTAGTAAGGGAAGGTTGTATGGTGTAGCTGAAAAATGAGTTCATGTTAGTTTAGTATGATGTACCTGTGTACCCAAATGGAACTGTCCAGAAATAGTAAATAAGTCTTGAACACAGTGATGAGATTTGGAAATAACAGCCCCAAGACAGTGGATGGAAGAAAGCAGGAAAAGTGAAGCAAGTATATGGCCAGGGGCTGAGCCTCAAGGAACTGCAACAAAAAGATGTAGCAAATCACATCAAAAGCAGAGTACAATTTATTCTAAAAGACACCTCAAAATCGCTCCTGAAAAAATGTGTTATGCTTTTCATTTTGGCTAATTGGGTTCTTTCAGCAGTTAATTTTATTGAAATTATTAATTTTTAATTCCATGAAAAAACACCACAGGAATCTCACATTGTTGTATTTAATTAGAATTCACTATATATGCTATTCAGTCTCGCACTTAATCCAGAAACATTCTGGAAATGAAGTATGAAACGCCCATACCATACTCACTATTATTCCAAAATCCTAGAACCATTTTTATAATCTTCTCACTTATTTTAGCAGGTAGTTTAGATTGGTTTATTGCCATAAGTGAGTTCTCTTAGCTTTTCTACCTCTCTTCCAGTGTAAATAACAATCAGGTATTTTTCTTATAGTGAAAGATGTATAGGACCATGAACCAGATTATTTGTTCACTGTAACTAGCTCAACAAAGGACTGTTACTAAAAATTTTTCTAAGATACAGAAATGGCTAGTTATGCAGGCCGCTTTTCCTACTAAACAAAACAAAATCTCTTTAGCGTAAAGGCAAAACATAGCAGTTAATTTCTGAACTATAGCCAAAATTTCCTATAATCTAGGTGTCACATACAACAGTACAATGTGGATATCAGTATAACTGTAAATGTGAAAACTTGGTGTGGGGGGAACAATTTCTGAGGAAGCACTAACTGACCTGAAGTTTCAGAGGGGCTAGCAAGATACATGGAGAGGTGCTGCAAGATTCATTCATCCCTAAATGCTACTGAAAACCCTACTTTGTGACTGTAACCATCTAAAAAGAAATCTGTCTCCATACAGGGAGTGTAGAGTTGCGTTAAAGATTATAGCCAAAGAACCTCCCTTTCAGGACCTTTTTGATAATCTACTTCCAAACTACTTAATTTTTAATGTTTTGATTTACACTTTTTTTGTGTGTGAGACAAAGTTTCTCTCTTGTTGCCCAGGCTGGAGTGAAATGGCACAATCTCAAAACAAATAAAAAGCCCTAGGCTCTTCATTAGTTCCATGGGTTTTCCAGTATCTAGCAGAGTTAAAACAAAGTTGCTCTTTCTTTTTTCTTTTTTTCTTTTCTTTTTTTTTTTTTTGAGACGGAGTTTCACTCTTGTTGCCCATGCTGGAGTACAGTGGCGCCATCTTGGCTCACTACAACCTCTGCCTCCCAGGTTCAAGCAATTCTCCTGCCTCAGCCTCCCGAATAGCTGGGATTACACGCATCCGCCACCATGCCCAGCTAATTTTTTGTATTTTTAGTAGAAACGGGGTTTCACCATCTTGGCCAGGCTGGTCTCAATCTCCTGACCTCAGGTGATCCACCTGCCTTGGCCTCCCAAAGGGCTGGGATTACAGGCATGAGCCACTGCGCCCAGC
Organism: Homo sapiens; assembly: GCF_000001405.40. Taxonomy (NCBI): domain Eukaryota; kingdom Metazoa; phylum Chordata; class Mammalia; order Primates; family Hominidae; genus Homo; species Homo sapiens. The sequence goes on along the minus strand of NC_000006.12, from coordinate 111,092,758 downwards.
CCAAAATTGCACTTTCTAAAGAAAAACAATGTTCCACTTAATTGTATTTCTTTGTATTCTTCCCCAGAGTGTCTGATTCCTCTCTACCTAGGCAAGAAGAATACACATGTGAACAGGTAAAAATTCAACTAAAAAGAGACAACTTGGCCAGGCGCGGTGGCTTATGCCTGTAATCCCAGCACTTTGGGAAGCCGAGGCAGGTGGATCACGAGGTCAGGAGTTTGAGACCAGCCTGGCCAATATGGTGAAACCCTGTCTCTACTAAAAATACAAAAATTAGCCAGGTGTGGTGGCAAGCGCAGGTAGTCCAGCTACTCGGAAGGCTGAGGCAGAATTGCTTGCATCCGGGAGGCAGTGGTTGCAGTGAGCCGAGATGGTGCCACTGCACTCCAGCCTGGGCGACAGAGTGAGAATCTGTCTCAAAAAAAAAAAAAAAAAAAAAACAACAAAAAAAGAGACAACTCAAGCTTAGCTTGCTCCCTCAGACAGAGCAGTATGTGTGAGACACTCCTCTGAGTGCCATGTCATTGGCAGCTGGGCACCATAATGGGACTGTGATGCCGTCAGCATTTTTCATTGGTTCTACTGCCCAACTTGGAGTTGGCTTACTTCCCCTTTCCAAAGTCTTAATTTCACCAAGTGAGATTTATAACCATAGAGAAAGAGGCGTCAAATGCCTTCCCCACCCCCAACCCCACCACCTGTTGAAATGACCTTAGAATTTCAGCCTTTTATAGTAAAACTGAGTCCTGTTATATTGAAAATCCTTCAGGGAAATATTCTATTACTTCTGGTCTGTTATTAATTTGTATCCCACAACAGATCCTAAGCTACTTTGAAACAGCTGACATTTTCTCTCTCAGTCATTATCTCCAGTCCCCAGGACAGAGCCCAAAACAAAGCGTGTTAGATAACTTGGTAAACATTTGTATAAAGAGAATTAACAGTAAGATGTGTAAACTCACTTACACCTTAGTGTGAATGAACTTCTTCAGGCCCTTTCCTGAGAAATTTTGGGTAGATTATCCATTGCGTGGGAAGAGTTAACAGAGCCCTGAAGAGAAGTGAGCCTAAGAAAGGCTCCTCCTCAGTTCTGCCTAGAAACATTGTCCTGCTGTGGATCAATCTAAAAGTTCTTCAAAGGAAACCCCAGACTTTTGCTTGAACGGCATATGGAAGTATCTTGTTCTTCTATGGAAGTCTCTCTACACTTCAGAAATATAGTTTGAGACATTAATAATTTGCAATTGTTTATTCACCACAAAGTAGGACCAAGAAACAGGGACCCTTCTTTCTAATCCCAGAATGCATGGTAGAGCACTCAACCAATCACTAACACTTAAATTAATCAACAACATAAAAAACATCGTATTTGCAGAATGTTATCTAGTCAATGCAATATGATGAATGATTAAAACCCAGCTCCTGGTGCTTGCTTCAGCAGCACTTTGAACAACAATCTACTAAAATTGGAATGACACAGAGAAGATTAGCGTGACCCCTGAACAAGGATGACATGCAAATTCATGAAGCATTCCATATTTTAAATAAATAAATAATTAAAATAAAAATCCCAGCTCTTAGAGTCAGATAAGCCTGGGGTTGAATTCTGGCTCCACTTCTTACTTAAACTCTGTAAGCCTGAGTTCCCATATCTGAAAAGAAAGATATTAACAAAGTCTATCAGAGAATCGTGGTAAGGTTTAAATAGGAACGCATCTAAAGTGCTTAGCCACAGGAAAGTACTCAAGAAATGCGCACCATCATTTGGAGACCTAGATTCCATTCCACCACCACCTCCCTGTATATCCTTAGGCTAGTCACTTGCTATAAAGAAGTAATGGAAACAAGGAGACAGAACTAGCTGTACTCTAACACCAGGATTATCCATCATGAGTACGGTAATAGAAAATAGACCAAAACTTTGAAAAATAAAAGGCTTAAACAAATTCCAGATATTTTTTGGCATGTATTTGAAGCTTGCATATGCTTGATCACAGACGACTCAGCATTCGAATATCAAAGTGAAAAAGTGTGACCAATCAAACTTCAAAGCAGATATTCTCAAATAACAGTGACTGTGGTAGATGAGGGACTTCATGAAACACCTTTGTGTGTGTGTGTGTGCACTGAAGGAAAGAGAAAGGGGTAGGGGACAGGGGAAGAGAGAGAGATCTCAACAATAACTGGCTTAAAGACTATCTTGTAACCATTTTTTCAGCACTAAGTTTAAATCTGTTTTCTTCCTCAGCCCTTAACATCTATCAGTCATATATGTATTACCTAGCACCCAAGTAATGGCCATTGTTCAATCTAGATGCTGTGTTATACAGGGCCATTACAAGTGCATAGGGCCCTTCTGTAGGAATCAGACAAAGGGCACCCAGAGCCCAGGCTGGTTTTCAGTCCCCACTTACCCCTGAGTTGGGCACCCTTGTGCAATGGCACAACCATAAATAGATATACAGCAGTCAGGCAGAGAAACACAAAGATCTTCACACATTTAACTAGCACACCTGTGCAACTGTTTATATGATATATACCCACACATACACAAACATGACTGAAAAAGTTGTCAAAGACTGAACTGAGTAAAAAGAAAAAAGATATTCATCAAAATGGAAAACACAAAGTTCCACAGAGTGCAAAAGAAAAACCAGGTTCCTTCCCTCACTCTCAGCTACCCAGTATTGGGATATTGTGTAGCCAATTAGAACTTTGGGGACAAGTAGTAGGTAGAGACTTTGACACTGCAAAATTCTCATCCCTGGCAAAGCTATGGTCTCTCTGGCAATTGCTCTCTCTCTCTCTCAAAAAAAAAAAAAAAAAAAAAAAAAAAAAAAAAAAAAACCCACCCACAGACACCAAAGGATCTACTTAACTGAATTTGCAAAAACAATGATAAACAAAAGACTGCTGTTATCTTGACTGCATTAAAAAATCTGTAATCCCAGGCAGGAATATGGTAAATGTTGGAACTAGTCTTTAAATGTTAACTCTGTCAATTCTGCCTTCTTTTGGGGCTTTTCTCTCTGACACCCAATACTCATATAGAAAAGACAACAAACTATTTTTGTTTGCTATTATATATGCATATCTCCCCTGCTAAACTTTACAATGATTACTTCCCTTAAATGGTAAGGATATGTTACTACATTTTTAACACTTTTTGTACCTAGCCCATTGACCCGCATACCACAGCAGTTTCAATAGCTATTTAAAGAACAGAAATTCCAGGTTAAAATGGTACCGTATTCACATGCATAACGAGAGTGTACAAGAATATTCATTGCAGCATTGTTTAGAATGAGTTTGGAAGCAATCTAAATGCCCATCAGAGGGAGAATGCATAGAGTATAATATAGTCAAACAATGCAAACCACCTAAGTTAAAATGGAAAGAATTTGAGTTATCAGTTCACACTGAGGTATTATGTGGATAAGTCACAAACATGATGCGGAATGGAAGAAAAGTAAGTTGCAGAATGATACAAATAGTTTAATAGTATTTATGTCAGGTTTTAAAACTCTCAGCATAACCCAGCATTACCTTTGTCTCAGAATTTATTACAGTCTTGCCCATTCCTCATATGCATACTAAAGACCTAAGAAATATTCACTCTAAAAATAATAGAAAATCAAGGTTAAAAAAAAAGACTATTAATCATATAAAGTTACCCCAAATGATGGGGAGGGAGGTTGATTTAGTAATGGAAATCACTTAGCCCTTGAAGTCAGTTGATATGTGTTTTATTGCCATTCTACTACCCACCAAGACACTTTCACTGAGCTACAGTTTTCTCACCCAAATGGGGTTGACCGCGCTCACCTTGCAGGATAAAGTGAAAGAATTTATGTTAAAGTGTCATGCAGAAGGTCTTAGATTTGTTTTTTGCCTAACCAGCCAAAAAGTCATAATAATGCTCTACAGGGAGAAAACGCTGAATCTGCACCTTTTGTATCTAATTTACTATATGGTTAAAAAAAAATGTCAAAAAACACAACAGGAAGAGGGAAGAAGCAACCCTTCACCTTCCTCATCCTAGTCCCTAATCCGGCTGCCTCCCGTGTTTTCTACATTTAACCCAGAGGGCAAAAAAAGGCGGGGGGACGGGAACGCACGGAACCGTGACTCTTGCAGGGCCCCCTTTGGAACTCCAGTGACCTTCGTACAAATCTCTTTCATTCCTCCAAACTCCACCCCCCGCCCCGCCAACATACGCACACCCCTCTGCGGCCCAGGGAGGCAGGTGAAGAACTACATAACTGGCATAGTCACGAAAGAGACCACAAAAATGACAGGGCGATGACTGGGGTTGAAGGTTCTGGGGTTCTGTTTGTTTTCAAACAATAAAAGGAAGGGCTCCTGTGGACTGTTAGCGTCTGCTCTGCTGAGGGGAAAGGAGGACGATCTCGGCAAGTAAGTTCTGCGACCTGCTTGCAAACACACAGCTCTGCAGCTGGATTCCATATAAAGACGGGCACCCCGAGGCCCCAGAAGCGGCAGGCTCTGTCTGCAACTCGAAAGACCCCCCTGCTCGCACCCTCTGGCACAGGGACCCACCGACATGCACACTCGGAGGCAGACACAGCCCACACGCGGGATGCGCTCGGGGGCCCCACGCGGGTCGCCCAGGCTGGCCTCGGCGGGCGCCGCGCCTCACCTGTCTTAAAGACCATCTTGTCATCGTCTTTGGAGCCGAAGGTTTCCAGCATGGACACGAAGAGCACCCCGCAAGCGTTCTGGATGCCGAACACCGACCCGTTGCACCACATGGCCGCCAGCATCACCAGCCAGCCCCAGCCGCCCTCGGGGGGTTCGGGGGGCTCATGGGGCTCCGCGGTCGCCGGCCCCGCCAGCTCCACCTCCACCTTCTCGACAGCCGCCTCGGGGCTGTCCGAGGGTCCCGGGCCGGGCGGCGGAGCGGCCCCCGTGGGCGCGGGGCCGAGCGGCTGCGCCTCGCTCGTGCCCCGCGCGGAGTCCGGCTCCTCCTGGGAGAGCACCATGGCCCGAGGCGGGCCCCTCAGGCGCCGGAGAAGCGCGAGGGACGCGAGTTACCAGCGGGCTCCCGGAGGAGCTGCGGGGCTCCTGGCGGGCTAACGAGGCCGAGGCGAGGGCGGCGGAGCCCCTGGCGGGCGGGCGGGCTGGCAGCGCGCAGGCGGCCAGCGCGCAGGCGGCCGCGAGGACAGCTGGCGCGCGCGAACACCTCGGGGATCGACACTGAAGCCTCTAGGTCACAGCCCCGCACCCCCGACTGAGCCCACTGCCAGCCGCCGGTTCTTAAAAGCACCCCCCGCCCCGCCGGCTGGGGGCGTGGCCGGGAGCGGGACGTGCCCCCACAGCCTCCAGATGATTGGGCCTCGGAGAGCGGAGGCGGGGCGCCCCGCGGCGCGCGGCCCCAGGTGCCCGCGGCAGACGCTGTCTGCGCGCGCGTCTGCGACGGGGCCTCCTCCTGCTCAGAGAGGGGCACAGATGTGTGGGTCACCCCGCCTCAAAGCATGAGCAGAAGGGGCGCGTCTCCTAGGTGCGGGCGCGGTGGGCCTTCAGGAGAGCCACACTGGATCGTTAGCCTCAACTCACCGACACAGCGTCACAGTCACACTAACATTGTCTCGATTGTGTTTGTTTTATGTTTTGGCATTCACCTCTCAGTACTAATTATAATATGTAAGATTCGTTATGCCACCTGGCTTCTTAAATAAGTCATCTGAAGGATCAGAGCCCTTATTTTATTACTTCAGTTCCATTCTCTTGCATTCGTATACAATTTCCTTATGAATATTTGGCACACCAAAGATGCTTATTTTCAGTCCTCACTGGACTGCAATTCCGAAGTCTTCAACCAACAAACATTTTTAACAGACAGCTAGAAAGCATTACTTTTCAACTACATCAGAGTCGTTTTCACTTTAAACAAAAACTAAAACCTGTATTCAACTCCTCTGTCTCCCTGAAGCATGGAGTGCCATCCTATGTAAAAGAAAAGAAGAGTAACCTGCTATGCAATATTGAGGATGCTTCTTAATTTCTGTTATTCGTATTCTTCACTTCAATCAAAGTCAAAATATGCTAGTTACTTGATGTGCCCACCACTGTGATAGAGTACACAGATGAGTGCGATTGATCTCGTTTCTGCCTCTTATCAGTTGATAAACTGGTAGGAAAAAAGAGTCCTGGGAGAGACTAGGAGGCTCAGATGATGTGTTATAATACATGTACAAAAGAGAGAGATGAGATAGTCCCTTAAATTCTCTCCAAACACTGTAGAAGAGCCTCTACAGCAAACAGCCTTTGGCCGAAGCCCTGATTCATACATACGACTTCAGTGGGTCAAGACAGGAAAAGAGCATTCCAGGTAGAGAAAATAGCATAAACTAAGGAAAGCAAGCCGTGCTTGGTTGTGGAATGGGGAACATAGCTCAAGTGTAATCTGCCTTAGAAATGAGGGTAAAATAGTAAACAAAGGAATAGGCACATAAGTGCACAAAAATGTATGTATGAAGATGATACCCCAGTATTGTTGGAAATAAGGAAAATTTGGAAGTATAATGTACATTGGTAGAAGACTGATTAGATACTTACTTTAAAACCTCTAAAAGTTCTGAAGGTCATCTGTATTTATTGACTTTGAAAGTTGTCCACAACATATTATTGGGCAAAGAAAGCACATCGATTATATATTTGCATGCACACAAACAAACACATATGTAAGAATTATCCACGAGTCAGTACTGATGTAAGTAAATGATTAAATAAATAATGAGGAGAGAATAGACAAATCTCTCCTGCAGGAAATGTAAATACTTTATGAACATACTCCCTCCCTCATGGAGGTGAAGTACAATGGTTTACTCTTTAAGTGTGGGTATGCGTAGTAACTTTCTTCCAAAGAGTATAGGATGGAAAGGGGGAGTGGGGGGAAGAAATAACTTTAGGGTGCAAAAAATGGCACACAGTACCTCAACTAGATGATAATGTATCCCCGATATGATGTGATGAAAATGGTACTTTACCTCTGTGGTCTTCCTGCCAAAACCCATAATCCCTGGCTAACCATCAGAAAAACATTAGACAAATCCCAATCAAGGACAGTCTACAAAATACCCATTAAGTACTTTCATTACTGTAAAAGTCATCAAAAACAAGGAAAGTCTGAGAAACTGTCACAGTAAAAAAGAGTCTAAGAGGGCTGGGTGTCGTGGCTCATGCTGGTAATCCCAGCACTTTGGGAGGCCGAGGCGGGCGGATCACTTGAGGTCAGGAGTTCGAGACCAGCCTGGCCAATATGGCGAAACCCCATCTCTACCAAAAATACAAAAATTAGCCAGGCATAGTGGCGTGGGCCTGTAATCCCAGATACTCAGGTGGCTGAGGCAGGAGAATCGCTTGAACCCAGAAGGCAGAGGTTGCAGTGAGCTGAGATCGCGCCACTGTACCCCAGCCTGGGTGACAGTGAGATTCCAACTCAAAAAAAAAAAAAAAAGCCTAAGAGACATGATAACTAAATGTAATGTGATATCCTGGATGGATACTGGAACAGAAAAAGGACATTAGATTAAAAGTAAAGAAATATGAACAAAATGTCGGCTTTAGTTAATAATAATGTATCAACATTGGGTCATTAATTGTAACAAATGAGGCAAGGTGTGGTGGCTCAAGCCTGTAATCCCAGCACTTTGGGAGGCTCAGGTGGGAGGATGGCTTGAGGCCAGGAATTCGAGATCAGCCTGAGCAACATTGCTGAGACCAGCAACCAGGCTGGTCTCGAACTCCTGGCCTCAAGCAACATAAGTAATAATCCATCTCTTTAAAAAAAGAGTGTTTACTTCTAACTACCAATAGGCTATTGAATGGAGCAGAGTTTTAGGTGTCCAGGAAAACTACCTTCTATTTCTATGTCCACACTAATCAACAACTCACATTGTGTTATTGGATTGACCTCATCTTCTCCACCTGAAAATATGAACCTGTTTACTTATAACTACAGCATAGTGACATAGTGATGGTATTTTTTTTTTTTCCTGAGATGGAGTCTCACTCTGTCACCAGGCTGGAGTACAGTGGCCCAATCTCGGCTCACTTCAACTTCCACCTCCCGGGTTCAAGCGATTCTCCTGCCTCAGCCTCCTGAGTAGCTGGGACTACAGGCGTGCACCACCACACCCAGCTAATTTTTGTATTTTTAGTAGAGATGGGGTTTTACCATGTTGGCCAGGGTGGTCTCGATCTCTTGACTTCGTAATCTGCCTGCCTTGGCCTCCCAAAGTGCTGGGATTACAGGCATGAGCCACCATGCTCAGCGCAGTGATGGTATGTTTTTAATGAGTTCCTATTTATTAAGTGCTTTGAGATCAGATAAAAAGATTTATAAAATTTTAAAAGGTGTAATAGTTCATTAAATCTAAATGCCAACAGTGCTTTATGTAGGCCTTTTCATCAGCAGTTTATGTTAAACTTATTTATTAAACAAAACAATCCACTTGATTCCTTATTCTATTTCAAAAGACCAACCTTTCCTATTTAGGACAGTCTTATTTATTTATTTTTATTTTGTTTTATTTTATTTTTGAGACAGAGTCTCGCTCTGTCACCCAGGCTGAAGTGCAGTGGTAAGATCTCGGTTCACTGCAACTCCACCTCCTAGGTTCAAGTGATTCTCCTGCCTCAGCCTCCCAGGATGGTCTTGATCTCCTGACCTCATGATCCGCCTGCCTCTGCCTCCCAAAGTGCTGGGATTACAGGTGTAAGCCACTGTGCCTGGCCCTTTTTTTTTTTTTTTTTTTTGAGACAGAGTCTCTCTCTGTCCCCGAGGCTGGAGGGCAGTGGCACAATCTCAGCTCACTGCAACCTCTGCCTCCTGAGTTCAAGTGATTCTCCTGCCTCAGCCTCCCAAGTAGCTGGGATTACAAGCACGTGCCACCACGCCCAGCTATTTTTTGTATTTTCAGTAGAGACAAGGTTTCACCATGTTGGGCCAAGCTGGTCTCGAACTCCTCATCTCAAGTGATTTGCCCACCTCAGCTTCCCACAGTGCTGAGATTACAGGCGTGAGCCACCACGCAGGGCCAAAAAATGCACTTTAAAAATGAGACTGAACTAATTCTCTCATCTCCACTTTTTTACCTCTCTTTCAGAAGTCCCCTCAACCTGATTCTCCTTTGGTATTACTCCTAATCCTCCCAAATCCAAGCTGAAACCTGGGTCTGCTTCCTAATATACTTCTCCCCTGGTTCTCTCAAACGCAATCCTGTCAACTCTAGCTCCAGAAGGTCTTTTGCCTGGTTCCCTACTCTCCATCCTTGCTGCTGATTCCTTAATGATTCCTTATCATTTCTCAAGGACCATCATAATGACCTACTAATTAGTCTTGCTGCCAACAAATTCTGCCTGCACCAATTCATCCTCTAACCTATACCTGCTGAAACTCTGTTCTGCAGTCTTAAGGCCTGCTCCTCATTTCAGGAACAAGTATGAACACCTCTATTCCTCCCTGCAGACCCTGCTTCTGAAATGACCACCTCTCCCCTTTTCCTAATGGTGAAATCTCACTCAATCTTCAAGGCTCCACTCTAAAATGGAATTCACTTCTCTGAAGCCTTTACTGATCCTTCCGCTAGGCTTCCATATTTTATTTATAGCAGTTTTTATGGTCAGTAGAATGGTTTTCAATCTCCTTGGCTAGTGTAGGAATTTTCAGACAGGTCAGATAGTCTTTCACAAATCTTTGAACCACAGCACCAAGTAGTGTTAGTGCACAACAAATATTTATTGAACCAAATTGAATAGAATTCAAAAATAATTTAAAGAACCACAAAGTGTGTAATTGAGAAGATTCCGTATTTTCAGGTGAAAACTTTTAAATATGTTTAAATCATGTGTTTCTTTTTTTAGTTGTAGAAGTAATACAGAGCCTGGCAAGGTGGCTCACATCTGTAATCCCAGCACTTTGGGAGGCTGAGGTGGGCAGATTATTTGAGGTCAGGAGTTTGAGACCAGCCTGGCTAACATGGTGAAACCCCATCTCTACTAAAAATACAAAAAATTAGCAGGCATGGTGGCATATGCTTGTAATCCCAGCTACTTGGGAGGCTGAGGCAGGAGAGTCCTTGAACCCGTGAGGTGGAGGTTGCAGTGAGCCAAGATCACGCCATTGCACTCCAGCCTGGGCTATAAGAGTGAAACTCAGTCTAAAAAAAAAAAAAAGGTCGGGTGCAGTGGCTCACGCATGTAATCCCAACACTTTGGGAGGCCGAGGTGGGTGGATCACCTGAGGTCAGGAGTTCGAGACCAGCCTGGCCAACATGGAGAAACCCCGTCTCTACTAAAAATGCAAAAATTAGCCAGGGGTGGTGGCGCACGCCTGTAGTCCCAGCTACTCAGGAGGCTGAGGCAGGAGAATCACCTGAATCTGGGAGGTGGAGGTTTCAGTGAGCCGAGGTCGTGCCGTTGCACTCCAGCCTGGGCAACAAGAACAAAACTCTGTCTCAAAAAAAAAAAAAAAAAAAAAAAAGAATACAGGCCTGGTATAGTGGTTCACACCTGTAATCCTAGCACTTTGGTTTGGGAGGCCAAGGTGGGAGGATTACTTGAGCCCAGGAGTTCTAGACCAACCTAGACAACATGGTGAGACCCTATCTCTACAGACAAAAAAAAAAAAAAAAAAGTAATACATGCTTGTTATAGCAAATACCATAAAAACAATAAAGTTTAAATCATTTATTATAGCCCAGGCATGGTGGCTCAACCCTGTAATCCCAGCACTTTGGGAGGCCAAGGCAGGTGGATAACTTGAGGCCAGGAGTTTGAGACCAGTCTGGCCAACATGTTGAAACCCTATCTCTACAAAAATTACAAAAATTATCTGGGTGTGGGGGCACACACCTGTAATCCCAGCTACTTGGGACGCTGAGGCATGAGAATCACTTGAAACCAGGAGGCAGAGGTTGCAGTGAGCCCAGATGGTGCCACTGCACTCCAGCCTGGGCAACACAGCGAGACTCTGTCTCAAAAAAATATATATATATATTTATTATAGAACCACTCAAATAACCCATTTTAACCTTAATATTTATTAATTATGCATGTATGAGAGATACCATATTTGTTTTGTATTTTTCCTGTAAAAATGGTATAGTATCACCAAAAAAAATTAAGCAACTCTTTTGATCCTTAATTAAAATTGTTGCATTCAAGATGATAAGTGAAACATGAAGAAGCCTGATAAGATTAGGATGCCCAGAGGACAACTAGAGTCATTTATACATAGGGGTTCTGCCACAGGCCTTCTCCAGAGGTTCTTATGTCTCAAATCTATACATCAGCAAACATACCTACCGATTATTATATATTATGAACCTTCAGGATTGCTCAAAAGCCATAGGTCTACTGTATTTTCTTCTAGTCTTTGTTTCTATGCATTTTTAAACAAAATGAGAATCATAGTTTAATGGACTTAATTGTGTCCCCATCCCCAAAATTCATATGTTGAAGCCCTAGCCCCCAGTGCCTCAGAATGTGACTGTACTTGGAGGTAGCACCTTCAAAGAGCTAATTAAATTAAAATGGGGTCATTATGGTGGACCCTAATCCAATATGACTGGAGTCCACATCAGAAGAGGGGATTGGAACCTAGAGAGTGACCAGGAAAAGGCCATGTGAGGACACGGGAAGGAAGACGTCTGCAAGCCAAGGAGAATGGCCTCAGGAGAAATCACACCTGCTGCTGATACCTTGATCTTGGACTTCCAGACTCCAGAAGTGTGAGAAAATATATTTCTGTTGTTTGAGCCTGGCACAGTGCCACGTGCCTGTAGTCCCAGCTACTCGGGAGGCAGGATGATCACTTGAGCCCAGGAGTCTGAGGCTGCAGTGTGCTATGACCACACCTGTGAATAGACACTGCACTCCAGTCTGGGCAACATTTCGAGACCCCCCCCATCTCTAAAAAAACAAACAACTTCTATTGTTTGAGTCACTAGGTCTGTGGTATTTCATTTTGGCAGCCCTATGAAACCAATGCAACATAAAAAAAATTAGCTGGGCATGGTGGTGCATGCCTGTAGACCCAGCTACTTGGAAACCTGAGGCAAGAGAATCACTTGAGCCTAGGAGGTCGAGGCTGCAGTGAGCCATGATCATACCGCTGCACTCCAGCCTGGGTGACAGAGTGAGACCCTGTCTCTTAAAAACAAAAACTAACACAGTACACATAATAAAGCACAATTTTGTATCCTGCATTTTTTTACTTATCACATCATAAATAATTTCCCCATGTTATCAAATATTCTTCAAAAGCAGGATGCAAATGGCTATAAAGCATTCTACTGTGGAGATGGACCATAATTTATTTAGTCACATCCCTATCATTGTACATGTAAGTTATTTCAGGTTTTCCACTATAATAAATAATACTGCAATAAACGTCTTTACACACAAATCTTTGTATCTCTAACAAGTTCTTAGAATAGAGTTCTAGATGTGAGATTACTGGTGAAAAGCAGTATTTTAAGGCTCCTAATACATTGCTAAATTTTAAAGAACTTTATCAATTCATACTACCACAAGTACTGTATCAAAATGCCCATGTTAGTGTACTCCAGGAATTTTTTTTTTTTTTTTTGAGACAGGGTCTCACTGTGTTGCTCAGTCTGGCATGCAGTGGCATGATCTCAACTCACTGCAACCTCTTCCCCCTGGGCTCAAGCTATCCTCCCACCTCAGCCTCCCAAGTAACTGGGGCCACAGGTGCACACCACCATGCCTGGCTTCTTTTTTTGTTGTTGTTAATTTATTTTTAGTAGAGATGAGGTCTCACCATGTTGCCCAGGCTGGTCTTGAACTCCTGAGCTCAAGCAATCTGTGCACCTCAGCCTCCCAAAGTGCTGGGATTACAGGCATGAGCCACTGCACCTAGCAGGAAATCTTGAATAATATAATTATTTTTAAATCTTTGCCAATTTAGGATAAAGATGAAATTTCATTGTTAGTTTCTTTTTCAAATCTTTGGTTATCAGTGAGAAAGATCATATTTATTGACCATCTGTATTTTCTTTTTTATAAATTGTTTCTTGGTGGTTGTTCTTCACATTTTCTAACAGAGAAATTGGCTTTTACTTAGTGATATTTATTAATATTTCTCCATGTAGATCCCATGCATTTCTTGTTAGGATTATGTCAGGCATTTCATTTTCTTGCTGCCAATGCTGTTGTCACTGCTTTTGGGAATGAATTTTTTTCCGTAAGAACTTCTAACTGGTTACTGCTAATGCAGTAAAAAGCAATTAAGTTTTTATATAGTTATCTGATCCCACCACTGTAGTATATTATATTTTTGAGAAATCTGGGGAAATTTAAATATAGTGCTTCAATTATCATTAAATGATAATTTTTCTTTTAGTCTGGCATTTGACAGTAAAGCCAGGTCTCCTAGGTTAAAATAACACAGCCTTAAAAAAATTTTTCTCTGGCAGCTAAGCTGTGAGGACTCAAAGGCATAAGAATGATATGATGGACTTGGGGGACTCCAGGGAAGGGTGGGAGGAGAGTGAGAGATAAAAGACTACCCATTGAGTACAGTGTACACTGCTTGGGTACACTGCACCAAAATCTCAGAAATCAAACTAAAGAACTTATCCATGTAACCAAAAACCACATGTTCTCCAAAAACTACTGGCATTTTTTAAAACTTTAAATTTTTTTCTCATTTTACAGTTTATGTTACATCTAAATCCTACATCTTAAATGAATACACTTTTTAAATTTTTATTTTGATGCAGCTACAAATGCCCAACCTATTTTATATTTCTAATGGAAAATAACTTCACCATTTCTTTTCTTTTTTATTTTTATTTTTATTTTTTTTGAGATCGAGTTTCGCTCTTGTTGCCCAGGCTGAAGCTCAATGGCACGATCTTGGCTCACCGCAACCTCCACTTCCCGAGTTCAAGCAATTCTCCTGCCTCAGTCTCCTGAGTAGTTGGGATTACAGGCATGTGCCATCGCGCCCGGCTAATTTTGTATTTTTAGTAGAGACAGGGTTTCTCCATGTTGGTCAGGCTGGTCTGGAACTCCTGACCTCAGGTGATCTGCCCCCTTGGCCTCCCAAAGTGCTGGGATTACAGGTGTGAGCCACCATGCCCAGCACCATTTCATTTTTTTAATGCAACGACTTCTGTCCTCAAACATTTTGGTTCCTATCTTAGGTGTATTCAAAAGCAAAACATTGGGCATCGGTTTTTATGCTGTTAATTGTTCCATCAGATTTCTCCAGCCTTGTGCTGGGGTATGTCTATAGGACAGGGCAGAGAGCAGCCCAAGGCTCCCAGGACACCCCTCAGGCCCCCAGGACACCCCTCAGGCCCCCAGGACACTCCACCCTTGGGGGTGTGATGTGGGCCCAGAGTCTGGTCTTCAGCTCTTTGTGTTCCAGAATTGAATTATCTCCCCTCACCAGAGCCATTTAGCCTCTAGAGAATGATTTAGTGAAAGCAAATTTACAGTAAAATGAATTGAGAACCTGCAATATCATTTTTAAATGTAATTTCATGTGCTGTCAGGCCAACTTGAGTATTCTTACGGGTTGCACAGTGCCTTATTTTCTAAGGGGGAAAGCTCTGTGTGACAAAACCTATTACTATAAAAAGGCTCTTAGGGGATTCAGAACCAGGTTAAAAAGATTTAATAATATTTAGAGAAAATGTCATCAAGCTATGCTACCCTGATGTCTCCCCAAGTCCACTATAGAAAACATTGGCTATAATGGCAAAAGCACTTGGGTTTTTTCTTTTTTGGGGGGTGGGGGGGTGGGGTGATGTTTTGAGATAGAGTCTCACTCTTTCTCCCAGGCTGGAGGGCAATGGCACGATCTCAGCTCACTGCAACCTCTGCCTCCTGGGTTCAAGTGATTCTCCTGCCTCAGCCTCCCGAGTAGCTGGAACTATAGGTGCACACCACCACACCCGGCTAATGTTTTGTTTTGTTTTGTTTTTAGTAGAGACGGGGTTTCACCATATTGATGAGGCTGGTGTTGAACTCCTGACCTCAGGTGATCCACCTGCCTCGGCCTCCCAAAATGCTAGGATTACAGGCATGAGCCACTGCACCTGGCTTTTTTTTTTTTGAGACAGAGCCTCACTTTGTTGCCCAGGCTGGAGTGCAATGGCACAATCTCAGCTCACTGCAACTGCAACCTCTGTCTCCAAGGTTCAAACGATTCTCCCACCTCAGCCTCCTGAGTAGCTGGGATTACAGGTGCCCACCATCACACCTGGCTAATTTTTGTAATTTTTGGTGGAGACAAAGTTTCGCCATGTTGGCCAGGCTGGTCTCAAACTCCTGGCCTCAAGCAATCCACCTGCCTTGGCTTCCCAAAGTGCTGGGATTACAGGGTGAGCCACCGTGCCCAGCCAGCATTGGGAATCAGATGAGCTTCTGTCACTTCACATCTGTGTGGCCGTGGTCCAGTCGCTAGCTTTCAAGAGGCTAGGTCTGTTGTTGTGCTTAGGGACCCACAACAATTCCTGGGCATCTAACCCCAATTGGTCCACCCCATATGCCATCATTCTATTATGATAGCATTACCTCAGTCATGCTGTAGTTTACCTTAGATATACTTTAGTGCTATTCATGAGGTTTGAAGAAACCCATATATATATATTTTTTTTTTTTCTTTTTTTTTTTTTGAGAAGGAGTCTCACTCTGTTGCCCAGGCTGGGGTGCAATGGCATGATCTCAGCTCACTGCAACCTCCATCTCCCGGGTTCAAGCAATTCTCCTGCCTTAGCCTCCCAAATAGCTGGGACTACTGGCACCCGCCACTACACCTGGCTAACTTTTGTATTTTTAGTAGAGATGGGGTTTCGCCTTGGCCTCTCAAAGTGCTGGGATTACAGGCATGAGCCACATAGTCTTTGAAAATATTCTGGAATGACAACTGTGGTTTAGATATTTAAACAGCTTCATTTGCATACAGCAACATTGCCTAACCAGGTCTCAAGCTTTGGGAATATGTCCTATTTGTGGCCTGTGGCTCCCCATGCTGTGTCCCCAAAGCATGGCTGCTCAACAAAGATCTCCCTTCAGCACAGATCCTTCCTATGATGTTTGTTGAAGTGTACTGAATAGAATTAAATTTACTGTCAGAAGAAGAAAAAACAGGTTTAAAAAATTTCTTAATTAGAGGCAGTGTCTTACTCCATCGCCCAAGCTGGAGTGCAGTGGTGCAATCATAGCTCACTGTAACCTCCCTCTCCTGGGCTCAAGCGATTCTCCCACCTCAGTCTCCCAAGTAGCTATGACTACAGGCATGCACTAGCTAACATTTAAAACTTATTTTGTAGAGACATGGTCTTGCTATGTTGCCCAGGCTGGTCTGAAACTCCTGTCCTCAAGGAGACTTCCTGCCTTGGCCTCCCACATTGCTGGGATTACAGGGGTAAGCACCGTGCCTGACCAAAAAAGCATGTTTAATAATTTACATTTGGTGAAAATAATCGGTTTCCTTGTAGTATAGCAGAAGTTAAAAGGATTTTGGAGGAAGAAGATTTGAGCAAGTTGTGACTCAACCCCTCACAAGCAGCTGACCTCAGGCCTCAGGACTATTGAGGAAATGAAGCAGAAAAATGGCCAGAAGTTCTCTGTGACCCATGCCTCACTGTGAACGTGCTGCTGTTGTGGCAATTGCTGAAAATGATGTCCTTAGTTATAAATAGCTCTTGAAATGTTGTATTCATGGACTTATACAATATTACCTCTAGAGGAGGGAGTTTATTATTTTGTCTGACCTCCTGTTTAAGGCAAAAAACTCTTCTAAAGCATCATTGTAAAACTGAAGGGCCTACGCCATGCCAAGAAACTATGTCAGTGTATGTAAATGTCAGGGAGTCCACATTAACAACATGGCTCTCAGTTACACCTCACCCCCTCCTCTGCTCACCTTCTGAGGGGCTCTGCATGTCACAGGCTCAATACAAACAAAGACTGCCTGCTTGGGAGGAGAGTGTGGGATGGCATCATGGAAACTTGTTCTTCCAAATCACAGTGGAGGTGAATCCCCAAAGAGAGCCTTCTGCAGAGACAGGGAAACCTAAAACACCAGGTGGAAGGAACCTCAAGAATCACAGATTCCTGTGTTTTTAAAACATTTTTTACCATAACTCATAGTTAGAAACACGCTGGATGTCATTACCCAGTACATACACGCAAACACACACAATTGGAACAACAGTCTAACAAAACAATGTTTACATTACTAAGTACAAGACAGCACATTCTGATGTTTTATTTCGTTTTTTGAAAACTGTTGATAAAAACTGTAAATTGATTCCACCACCTACTAATAGATTGTGCTTTGAGGTTTGAAGAACACTGATTCAGTCTAACCTTCCCATTTTGCAGATGAAGAAACTGAGGCTGGGAAAAATGAAATGATGGACATTTGACTATTCCCTGACTACACGGACGTCTACAGCATGACAGCAACAAGACCCCAGGCTTCCAGAGCCTCAGCATGGCCTTGCTTCAGTACCTCCTATACCTTCTCCTGTCCACGTGTAGAGACATAATATTTCCTATTTCTATTTTAAAAGAGAGGAGGTCGGATGAGCCTTCCCTCCTTCTCACCTACCCTGACCTGCCCCCATTGCTATGGCTTAACATACTAGTGACCACAGAAAAGAGCACCCTATGGGGAATGGGGAATGTAGGGGTCTTTTTCTCCTCAAATCTTACGTTTGTGGGGATTTTGTTCTTCCAATTAGTTAGGCAACCCCTGAGAAGGATCACCTGAAGCTTGGCCTCTGAAAATTAAGATAAAAGATAGTTCCTTTCCATGGGGAGAAATGGGATGTGGGGAGAATCCTGCAGATAACTGGTCCATGACTAACCCTGGTTGATCAAGAGCCATTTGGGCCAATTGGGCAGCTATCTGGAAGTGTGATAACCCCTATCCCGGAACTAGTTGTGATGGATTTCAGAGAAGCAAAGCAGCATCTCTTTGCCCTCAGGCAAATGGCTTCCTCTACCTTCTCATCCTAAGACCATCCTACCTCCTTCCTCTCTCCCTTCTTCCTGGCTTAGATGATGGGTAAAGGGTGTGTATTCTTCAAATGATAAACTCCTTATGAGATTGGCAGTATGTTACATACAGAATATACAGAAACTGTCATTGCCTGGTCCTGGTTATTTAAAGGAATCAGGAAAACAAATACAAAAACAAAATCAAGAATATCTTTTTGTTGGCTGTGTTTCCACAGGCCATATTTTTGAACATGAGGTAGAAGGCTGTAGATACATAAAAGAGAAGAAAATGGTTAGAGTAGACAGGCAAGTTGACTGCTAGCCATAAAAAAATGTAAGATTGGGAGGATTTTTTTTTCTCTCCCAGTAAGAAAAATATATATTGTTGCTCTAGGGAGTTTGATCTGTTTTTCCTTAGAATTCCACAACATTTCTCTCAATTCCCCTTTCTCCTTCCCACCTGTCTTCCTACCTCTTCCCCACCTACCCTCAAACAATAAGACTTAAGGCCAAGATATTGAACTTGAGATATGAAGTCTAGGACAGGAGCCAAAACCCCTACACTGGCAGATTAGAGCAGGATATCAGTTAGTGCTGGTGGAGATGCTGTGTCTTATCTCTCTTGGCTCTGACTCCAGCACAGTTCCTGCCTGGAACTTGAAAGGTGCTCCATATAAACATATAGAATAAATAAATGGCATATATAATGTAAGAACAAGCAGAAGACCTAAAGAATACCAACTCAAAATCTGGATTCCAGACTTCAGGGTCAGAATCAGGAAACCAAGAAGTACAATGAGAAGAGAGTACTGAGCTAGACTCAGAATACATAGATGGCCACAAGTCAGAATTAAGAATGGTGGAAAACATGCCATTTTAACATGCTAGCCAGGGAGAAACACAAAATAGGTTTCTCCTATTATATGACAATTGTACTTATATGACAAGTGACAACAAACTGGTTTAGCATCAGTAAAGAATTAAGAGTTTTCAGAGAAGTAAACTCAAGATGAACCTATGGCTACTCCAAAACCATGCAAAATTAAACTACATTATTACAAATATAACATCTAGAATTGTGCTGCCCAATGTGATCACCGCTGGCCATACGCAGCTATTTAAATTTAAAATAATTAAAGTAAAATTAGAAGTTCAGTTCTTCATTCTCATCAGCCGTATGTCAAATGCCCAATAACCACAGGTGGTTATGATTGGACAGCACAGATACAGAACATTTTCCTAATCACCGAAAGTTCTATTAGACAGCACTGGCGTAATGAGCAGTAACAGTGACCCTCTGCTCTGGTGTATTCAGTCAGCCCTGCACATCACTCTAAGTGAAGCAGGGACCAAAAAAATCAGAAGAGGGTAACCACAAAGCTAAAATTCATCATTTGTGAAATAGTTCAAAAGACTAGAGATATTAAGCCTGGAGCAGAGGAAAACTCAGTAGGGGATGTGAAGATTATCTTCAAATATTGGAGGACTAGCATGTGGATAAGGAAATGATATTGTTACAAGTGACATAAGGGATAGAATTAAACTCATGGATCAGACTTAGAAGGAAAAAGATTGCTATCTCAGCAGAAAGAAGAACTCCTTCTCCATCAGAGCTGTCCAAAGTCAGGGTAGACTGCCTCATAAAGGAGTGACCCGCCATCCTGGGGATCTCAGGCAAAGGCTGAGCATAGGCCTGACAAACAGGTAGGACAAAACAGACACAGACAGGGTGCAGTGGTTCACGCCTGTAATCCCAGTGCTTTGGGAGGCTGGGGCAGGAGGATCATTGAGCCCAGGAGTTAGAGGCTGCAGAGAGCTATGATTGTGCCACTGCACTCCAGCCTGGGCAACAGACCAAAACCCTGTTTCAAAAAAATAAAGTAAAAAGAAATAAAAAACAACTTTTGGAAAGAAGGAAATTATTTATTTATCAAATATGTCAGGCAGGAGGGGAGACTTCAAACGTGAATGGTTAGAATAATCTTTGAAACCCTTTCAAACTCTGAGAACTTCTGACGCCTCTGGTTGAGATTCAACCACTGGCTGAGAAATTCTGGAGGGTGAAGTAGGCAAAGGGTCTGGACTCTTGAACAAGATCAGGTGGAAACTCAAGAATATGACAGGTGAGAGAGAGCTCCAGAGCAAAAGAGGAGAAGAAAACAGTGATCAATTAAGTGGAAGTAAGTGGAGCAGAGGGACAGAAAAGGAGATATAAGAGGAGGGGGACATCTTGAGAAAGAGAAAGACTAAAAGACTTGGAGTGTGAAGGAAGAATGGAACAAGTGTGGGAGGTTTGTGACAAAAGGCACAAATAGAAGCTTCGATTTTGACTCTTCCCTGACTCAGACAGCTCTTCATGAGACAGTTTCTTAAATAAGAGTAGAAAAAATATGATGGGCTATGTAGCCAGAGAGCTTGATAAAGGGAGACAAAAACAGATGAATAAAATAAACACAACACATTACAAAGCTTTTGAAATACCAAAGTGGAAAATATTTGAACACCGCCACCCACAGAGACAAAAGGATTTCATCTCCTACTGCCCACATACCCTCCAGACGTCCAATAGTCTAATAAAAAATAATATATTAGAAATTTTTTAAAAGATCTTTTTTTTTTTTTTTTTTTAACAGACAAGGTCTCACTATGTTACCCAGGCTGGCTGCTCGAACTCCTGTGCTCAAGCAATCCTCCTGCCAAGGCCTCCCAAAGTACTGGGATTACAGGTGTGCCACTGCAGCGGCCATATTGGGAACTATTTTGAAATGAGGATTGTATTGGTTTCCTATTACTGCTATAACAAATCCCCACAATGTACTGGCTTAAAATAGCACAAATTGATTCTCTTACAGATTTGAAGGTCAGCAGTCTGAAGTCAGTCTTACCGGGCTAAAATTAAGATGTTAGCAGGGCTGGAGGCTCCAAGGGAGAATCTGTTCCTTGTCTCTTCCAATTTCTATTTATCATATAATGAAATATATTTAATTATTTTAATAAAAAATAGATCCTGGCCAGCACAGTGGCTCGTGACTGTAATCCCAGAACCTTGGGAGCCCACGGTGGGTGGTGGATCATTTGAGGCCAGGAATTCCAGACCAGCCTGGCCAACATGGTGAAACTCTGTCTCTACTAAAAATACAAAAATTCGCTGGGCGTGGTGGTGTGCACCTGTAATCTCAGCTACTCAGGAAGCTGAGGCAGGAGAATTGCTTGAACCCGGGAGACAGAGGTCGTAGTGAGCCAAGATCATGCCACTGCATTCCAGCCTGGGCCATAGAGCGAGACTCTGTCAAAAAAAAAAAAAAAAAAAAAAGAGAAAGAAAGACAGAAGAAAGAAGGAAGGAAAGGAGGGAAGGAGGGAGGAAGGAAGGAAAGGTCCTTACCATTTATGATGAGTTTAGCCTCAAAGAAATCTTTCTGTTGGGAAACCTAGATGTACTACTCAGTTTCTATAATAGTAGTGCATGTCTACACCACCTGATAGCTTTGAGCACTAATTGTAGTCATAAAGCATTTGTGAGATTTTAAGATTAAATTTTGACTCCTTTCCAACTCATTCTAAAATGTGGGGAGGACTGTTAAATCTTTCTGCACTGTGGTTTCTGGCCACATTTAAGTCTGGGCTTTCTTCCCTGACCTGGCACAAATCACAAATTAAGAGTGATATGGGCTTTTATAGTCAAACAACCTTTTAAAAGGTTAAAATATATATATATATATCTCCAATAATGGCCACTTTCTATGATATAAGAATTTGAGGGAGCAAATTTGGCACAATTCTCGTCAGTCTCTTGAAACTAGTACGTCTCAAAACTAGATAAGGTAATTAATTTCCAAATTAGATACTAATCATCATTGTAGCTTCCTGAAGGTCAACAGGAGAAAGACAGAAGCTCACGTAAGCACCAGCGTAAGGTTGTAATTTAACTAGTAGTTCTCTTTTGTGATGACCACATTCCTACACAGAAAAGGAAATGTTTGTTCAACAGTTTCATCTGTTTCATTTCTTACTGTGGATTTGAAGGGATTTACAGTTGAGAGGCAATTGTGCATTTTTCTAACTCTAGCTCCTTTCTTAAACTTTAGGATGGAGCCCAATTCACAAAGTATATCAAAGGAGGGGGTCTGATGATACGGTTGTAGTCCCTTGCTCAACCATAGAGAGATTAAGACACCACAGTCACACGGTTATGAAAAAAGCAAGGTTTAGAACATGAAGTTCCCAGTCTCTGAAATAATCAAGGAGCCCTGTTTAGTGCTGTATTGAATCACACAGATCCCTTTTTAGTTTTCAACCCAGACTGTCTCCAGTTCTCACGTATTATAGCTTGTTTAGTGCCTATGTTGTTTCAGTGCCTATCACTTCCTGCTCCTTATTCATTCATTCAACAGCCATTTTTGAGCACCTGTTCCATGCCAGCCATCATATTAAATGTTGGAAGAATAAACAACACGTTGTAGTGTTGTGCCATTTACAAGCCACTTTTACAAACACCATAGCGTTTGGCAGTGTAATGTGAGCTATTCAAAGCCAAGAATCGAGATCCATTCATCCTCGCATCATCTGGGACTTAGTTTGGTGCCTGCTTAATGTTCATTTGTTGAATGAATGAATAAATGGAGGAGAGAATGAATGAATGAGTGAATACAGAAAGCCTCATATCCCTGGTCTATGCTATTAGTTTTCATAGGATGGTCAAACATTTACTTTTCTCTGTAACTCTTTTTTACCCTGGAAACACTTTGTGCTTCCTACTCATTTATTTCTCCCCTGTAGAGCAACACCTCCTAATGATGCCTAGGGACAGTACCTGAGCTCTGCACAAGTCCCTAGACCTGCTGCTTGCCTCTGCTTCTTTGCTGAGGCTGTTCCAGAGGCTAATGATCTCTGGGTGAGGAGTCACACTGTGTCAGCCCCAGTCCCATTCTGGCCTCTTTTTGAAACCGACCAACACTTTATGGATCATGATACAAATTGTATCACTCCTATTACTACTGTTGCAGAATAATTTTAATTGGGATTTTAAAAATCTGTGTAACAAGACTTCCCTTGTTAACTTAGAAATCAAGAAAGCAACAAGCCAAGAAATCCAGAAAACAGTGGTGGAAACCATAAGCCAAGCTGATGCGCATTTAGTACTCAGGATGAGATCAACAGGCAGAATCAGAGAATGGATGGCATCCAGAGATTGCTAAAAATATTTCAAGCAGTATTCTACTAGCTTTGCAAACAGAATGCTCTTTTCCTCTCTTCTCTTTTATTAAAAAGATAATCAGGCCAGGCACGGTGGCTCATGCCTATAATCCTAGCACTTTGGGAGGTCAAGTGGGGGTAGATCACTTGAGGCCAGGAGTTCAAGACCAGCCTGGGCAACATGGCGAAACCTCACCCCTGCTAAAAATACAAAAATTAGTTGGGTGTTGTGGCTCCCGCCTGTAATCTTGGCTACTCAGATGGCTGAGGCATGAGAATCGTTTGAACCCCGGTGGCGGAGGTTGAGGTGAGCAGAGATCAAGCCATTGCACTCTAGCCTGGACAAAAGAGCGAGACTCTGTCTTAAATAAATAATAATAAACAAATAAATAAACAATACCTTCCAGATCACCACAAATTTTTAAAACAGCCCCAAGCACAGATAAGACTTCAAAAAAAACAAGGCCCTCCTTTCCTGCCTAAGCTGGCTGTGGTCCAGTTTCTTTGTGCACGCATCCAACAGCTATCTGTTGAGCATGCTTGTTGGGCATTCTTGGGCATGCAGTGGGTTGTTTTGTTTGTAAATGACAGATAGGGATTCTGCTACATGCTCAGGGAAGGAGATGACACTTCAGCTGAGACTGAAGGATGAGCAGGAACAGCACATGCAGAGATCCTGAGGTGAAAGGGGCTGGGCTGCTCCCCCAGCCAAGAGATTGCAGAGGGAGGGGTTTTAAGATGAGATCCGAAACGGAGGCAGGAGCCAGACGGAAGAGATCCTAAAGTCAGAGAAGGCAGCTAGGTATGATTCTGAGCACGAGGAGAGCCACAGGAAAACTAGATTTTCAGGTTCTGATGTGTTTTTCTCAGTGCCACCTACAGTGACATGAACAACATCAAGGTCCAATGGCCTCCTAAGCGGCACAAAAGTTATTGGCCACCCCTTTAGCCTTGTTTATTTGGATGCTTTAGAGGATTAGCTAGGTCAATATGTTTGTTATTTTACTAAACACTTCTTTTTTGATAAAGTTGTGCCAGGTTTTACCTACATGATCACATTAAATCTTCACAAAAACCTTTCTTTATCAAGGTTACCAAAACCATCTTCAGGTCTTTTGACAAGAGAATTCAAAGACATCCCTATTCCGGTGCACCTACAGGTTGTTCCTATTTGAGATGACATTCCGATAAGGCAGTGGGAGGAGAGTCAAGATGAGGATCTGCACCCACTGCTGCTGCAACATCTTTCACTGCCAAGGCAGATAAAGGAGCTTGCAGATTTTGATCAGGAATAAAAGTAAACTCCTTCACTCAGCACATAATTATGTACACTAGAGATATGAAAACAGATGGAGCACAGCCCCAGTCCTTGTCCTTAGTTACGTCAGATGGAATCTAGTAAGAGCTCATACCTGTTACCCCTTTTTAAAAATTTTCTTTTAGTATTTTGAGTTGCTGCTTTATGGTGCCCCCTTTTTAATCACTCCTTCTCCACTGACACCCTCACATATTTTGGGATAGCTAGTGGGTGAGCCACACAGGGAGAGGGAGAATTGTGTCATGGACACAACACAGCTGGTGAACACACTCCGGAACCACTATGCATGAGATCAGGTGAAAATTGAGATCAAAGTTGATCTTGCTGGAGAAAGAAAGACAGGCTTGGCTGGGCATGGTGGCTCACGCCTGTAATCCCAGCACTTTGGGAGGCCTAAGCGGGTGGATCACGAGGTCAAGAGATCAAGACCATCCTGGCCAACATGTTGAAACCTTGTCTCTATTAAAAATACAAAAATTAGCTGGGTGTGGTGGTGGGCACCTGTAATCCCAGCTACTCGGGAGGCTGAGGCAGGAGAATCGCTTGAACCCAGGAGGTGGAGGTTGCAGTGAGCCAAGATCCTGCCACTGCACTCCAGCCTGGTGACAGAGCAAGACTTCGTCTCAAAAAAAAGAAAAAAGAAAGAAAGGCAGGCTTGGCCGGGCATGGTGTCTCGCGCCTGTAATCCCAGCACTTTGGGAGGCCAAGGTGGGCGGATCACCTGAGGTCAGGAGTTCGAGACCAGCCTGGCCAACATGGTGAAACCCTGTTTCTACTAAAAAAATGAACAAACAAACAAACAAACAAAAAATAAAATTAGCCAGGCTTGGTGTTGTGTGCCTGTGATCTCAGTTAGGAGGCTGAGGGGGGAGAACGCTTGAGCCCAGGATACAGAGGTTTGAGCCAAGATTGCACCACTGCACTCCATCCTGGCCAACAAAGCGAGATTCTGTCTCAAAAAAAAAAAAAAAAAAAAAGGTCGGGGGAGGAATAGTACCTAAGTGATTGGGCAGCTATAAGGACTGGATGAAGTGGTATGCAAAGCAACTAGCTCAGAGGCTGGCAGGTTGAAAGTGTGCCCCAGAGAATAACAAAGGAGACTTAGAAGTGGAGGAGAGGAGCTGACCCACCACCATGCCTTGGAGGTACAGGAGAAGATACGTATGGTCTGGCAAAGATTGGTTCCATAAAGCCACACATGAAGCAAAGTTCACAGACTCATGCACTGTCTTGTACATATGCAAGCCTCAGGTCAGAGGGGAGGTAACAAGACTGTGGGCACTACTGGGAGAGCTGTTCTCTCAGACCCCTTCCCCCTTTCCCTGCCTAAATTGTCACCAGCTGCAACTCACTGAAAGCACCCACAGCATCAACTGGTAGGAGATCCTGGGAGCCTGGGATCTCTTGACTTGTTCTATGAAGGTGCTGTCCCTCTCAGCTCTTATGGCCCACTTCATTCATTCAGCTCCATGGGGAAAACAGACACCTAAACTGGGCCTGGTGGAACACAGTGTGGCCCAGGAGCAACCAACTTTGGAGTCTTTAAACTATATTTATAGAATGTCTGTGATGATGTGCAACGTCAGAGGCCCTGCTCTTGCCCTGCTACAGATCTGGCACAGTAGATATGATGGCACCAAACAGTACAGATACCTGGGGAGGACAAACAGAGCACTGGGACTTAGGTGGGGGAGAGAGGGAAGAGTGACTGCATCCCATTGAGGGGCCTGGGGAGGCTCCAGGAAGCAGGTGGCTTCTGAGTAAATGGGAAGGGAGGGCATAAAAACCGCAGAGCTATTTTCCAAGCAGCTTAGCTTGAAAAGAAAGAGAGAGCGAGATGGCATTAGCTAGAAAGAAGAGAGAGCTGAAGGCCCAGGGGGGCAGCTCCCCAAGGGGCTGTGGTGCTGAGCTGGCCTGTGCAGAGGGACAGCTCGTCCTGCGATGTGGGAGAGAGGAGTGTGTTTAGTTCTAAGTTGACATAAAAAGGAAGCAGGAGCAGGTTGTTCAATTTTTTCCATGAAGTAAGGAGTCAATTCCTGAGAGTCAGGAGGTTCTGTCGGGTGGGGCTTGGGGAGAGCAGGGAAACTTTGCAAGCCTCACTGAAGACTAGTTTTGGCCATGGGGGGGCTCAGGTGCGACTGGAGAGGACAGAGGTTTTGTTGTGGTCCTAGTCCACACAGGAGTGTGGTTTCTTTTAAACAGAAGCCTATGCATCCTTATGGAGGGAGACAGGCTGCAGACACAGGATAGGAAGTCGGAGGAAGAGATGATAAGGTTCAGGTCATCAGGTGTGTGAATCAAGGTTAGATAGGAATATCTGGCCAGGTGTGGTGGCTCATGCCTGTAATCCCAGCACTCTGGGAGGCCAAGGGAGGGGGGGTATTGCTTAAGTTCAGGAGTTCAAGATCAGCCTGGGCAACATGGCAAAACCCTGTCTCTACAAAAAAAAATACAAAAATATTAGCTGTGATCAGTGGGTGCACACCTGTGGTCCCAGGTCTTTGGGAGGCTGGGGTGGGAGGATTGTGTGAGCGTGGGAGGTGGAGGTTGCAGTGAGCCAAGATCGTGCCACCACACTCCAACCTGGGTGACAGGGTGAGACCCTATCTCAAGGAAAGAAAAAAAAAAAAGGGAATGTCTGAGGTCAACAGAGGACCAACAAAGTAGGGAGGCAGTCAGACTTCAGGTCCCCAAGAGGGAAGGAGAACATGTGAGAGAAGTGAGAAGGTGACAACTGGAAAGACACTGTACTAGATTGAAGAGTGTCCCCAAAAGCTCATGTCCACCCAGAACCTCAGAATGTGACCTTATTTGGAAATAGGATCTTTGAAGATGTAATTAGGTAAGATGAGGTCAGTCTAGTCTAGGATGGGCCCTAAATCCATTGACTGGTATCCTTAGAGGAAATCAGAAACACAGAGATATGCACACACAGAGGAGGGTGCCATGTAAAGATGGAGCCAGAGTCGAGGCTGATGTGTCTGCGAACCAAGGAATACCAAGTGTTGCCAGGAACCACCAGCAGCTGGGAGAGAGGCAGGGAACAGGTTCTTCCTCAGGGCCTCCGGAAGGAACCATCCCTGCCAACACCTTCATTTAGAACTCCTAGACTCCCAAAAGCTTATCCACCACGATCAAGTCAGCTTCATCCCTGGGATACAAGGCTGGTTCAACTTACGCAAATCAATAAACATAATCCATCATATAAAGAGAACCAATGACAAAAACCACATGATTATCTCAATAGATGCAGAAAAGGCCTTCGACAAAATTCAACAGCCCTTCATGCTAAAAACTCTCAATGAAGTAGGTATTGATGGAACATATCTCAAAATAATAAGTGCTATTTATGACAAACCCACAACCAATATCATATTGAATGGGCAAAAGGTGGAAGCATTCCCTTTGAAAACCGACACAAGACAAGGATGCCCTCTCTCACCACTCCTATTCAACATAGTATTGGAAGTTCTGGCCAGGGAAATCAGGCAGGAGAAAGAAATAAAGGGTATTCAGTTAGGAAAAGAGGAAATCAAATTGTCCCCGTTTGCAGATGACATGATTGTACATTTAGAAAACCCCATCGTCTCATCCCAAAATCTCCTTAAGCTGATAAGCAACTTCAGCAAAGTCTCAGGATACAAAATCAATATGCAAAAATCACAAACATTCCTATATACCAATAATAGACAAACAGAGAGCCAAATCATGAGTGAACTCCCATTCACAATTGCTACAAAGAGAAAAAAATACCTAGGAATACAACTTACAAGGGATGTGAAGGACCTCTTCAAGGAGAACTATAAACCACTGCTCAACGAAATAAAAGAGGACATAAACAAATGGAAGAACATTCCATGCTCATGGATAGGAAGAAACAATGTCATGAAAATGGCCATACTGCCCAAGGTAATTTATAGATTCAATGCTGTCCCCATCAAGCTAGCACTGACTTTCTTTACAGAATTGGAAAAAAAAAAAACTACTTTAAATTTCATATGGAACCAAAAAAGAGCCCGCATTGCAAAGACAATCCTAAGCAAAAAGAACAAAGCTGGAGGCATCACACTACATGACTTCAAACTATACTACAAAGCTACAGTAACCAAAACAGCATGGTACCGGTACCAAAACAGATATGTAGACCAATGGAACAGAACAGAGGCCTCAGAAATAAAAACCATATCTACAGCCATCTGATCTTTGACAAACCTGACAAAAACAAGCAATGGGGAAAGGATTTCCTATTTAATACACAGTGCTGGGAAAACTGGCTAGCTGTATGCAGAAAGCTGAAACTGGATCCCTTCCTTACACCTTATACAAAAATTAACTCAAGATGGATTAAAGACTTAAATGTAAGACCTAACACCATAAAAACCCTAGAAAAAAACCTAGGCAATACCATTCAGGACATAGGCATGGGCAAAAACTTCATGACTAAAACAACAAAAGCAATGGCAACAAAAGCCAAAATAGACAAATGGGATCTAATTAAAGAGCTTCTGAACAGCAAAAGAAACTCTCATCAGAGTGAACAGGCAACCTACAGATTGGGAGAAAATTTTTGCAATCTATTCATCTGACCAAGGGCTAATATCCATAATCTACAAAGAACTTAAATTTACAAACAAACAAACAAACAACCAAACAACCCCATCAAAAAATAGGTGAAGGATATGAACAAACACTTCTCAAAAGAAGACATTTATGCAGCCAACAAACTTATGAAAAAATGTTCATCATCACTGGTCATCAGAGAAATGCAAATCAAAACCACAATGAGATACCATCTCACGCCAGTTAGAATGGCCATTATTAAAAAGTCAGGAAACAACAGATGCTGGAGAGGATGTGCAGAAATAGGAATGCTTTTACACTGTTGGTGGGAGTATAAATTAGTTCAACCATTGTGGAAGACAGTGTGGCAATTCCTCAAGGATCTAGAACTAGAAATACCATTTGACCCAGCAATCCCATTACTGGGTATATACCCAAAGGATTATAAATCATTCTACTATAAAGACACATGCACACATATGTTTATTGCAGCACTGTTCACAATAGCGAAGTCTTGGAACCAACCCAAATGTCCATCAATGATAGACTGGGTAAAGAAAATGTGGCACATATACACCATGGAATACTATGCAGCCATAAAAAAGGTTGAGTTCATGTCCTTTGCAGGGACATGGATGAAACTGGAAACCATCATTCTGAGCAAAGTAACACAAGAAGAGAAAACCAAACACCACACATTCTCACTCATAAGTGGGAGCTGAACAATGAGAACACATGGACACGGGGAGGGGAACGTCAGACACCGGGGCCTGTCGGGGGGTGGGAGGCTGGGGGAGGGACAACATTAGGAGAAATACCTAATGGAAGTGACGAGTTGATAGGTGCAGCAAACTGCCATGGCACATGTATACCTATGTAACAAACCTGCACACTGTGCACATGTACCCCAGAACTTAAAGTGTAATAGTAAAAAATAAAAAAGAAGAAGTCCTAGACTCCAGAACTGGGAAAGAATAAATTTCTGCATTTTAAAAAATATTTATTTATTTATTGAGATGTGGTTTGGCTCTGCTGTCCAGGCTAGAGTGCAGTGGCACAATCTCAGCTCACTGAAACCTCTACCTCCTGGACTCAAGCCATCCTCCCACCTCAGCCTCGCAAGTAGCTGGGACTACAGGTGCATGTCATCATGCCTGGTTAATTTTTGTTGTTGTTGTTTTGAGACAGAGTTTCGCTCTTGTTGCCCAGGCTGGAGTGCAGTGGTGTGATTTTGGCTCACTGCAACCTCCACCTCCAGGGTTCAAGCCTCAGCCTCCCAAGTAGCTGAGATTACAGGTGCGGCCACCATGCCTGGTTAATTTTGTATTTTTTTAAGTAGAGATGGGGTTTCACCATGTTGGCCAGGCTGGTCTCAAACTCCTGACCTCAGGCGATCCACCAGCCTCAGCCTCCCAAAGTGCTGGGATTACAGGTGTGAGTCATGGTGCCCGGCCAGTTTCTGCAGTTTAAGGCCACCCTGTGGTATTTTGTTATAGCAACCTTGGGAAGCTCATACAGACATGAAGAAGATGGTGGTTGGAGAGTTGGGGTTGATGGCGGGCAGTTTTTACAGTCTGGCTTTGGTGCTTTGTGATTGCTGTGAGGGTGAAGATGTCAGCAGATGCTAGAGAGATCCTACGGGGTGGACTTGGTGGGACTTGGCAACTCATCAGATGCTGAGCTGGTGGGGGAGGGGACGTGCCCAAAAGAGGTAAAGATGACTCCAAGGCTTCATAGCTGCTGCCTGAGAGACCACCTTTTTCCTGGTTCTGGGAATGGCAGTGCTATTCCCCCAGGGGAGATGATGTCGTCTGAGAAGATTCAGGAGTCTTGGTGTCTTCCTGGAGAAGGACTGGAGGAGGGAGCCATCCTGCAGAGTGATGAGTGAGTTTGTGGTGAGGAAATGGAGGTGGTGAGAGATGATGACTGATATGGTTTGGCTGTGTCCCCACTCAAATATCAACTTGAATTGCATCTCCCAGAATTCCCACGTGTTGTGGGAGGGGCCCAGGAGGAGGTAACTGAATCATGGGGAGCAGTCTTTCCCTTGCTATTCTCGTGATAGTGAGTAAGTCTCAAGAGATCTGATGGGTTTATCGGGGTTTCCGCTTTTGCTTCTTCTTCATTTTCTCTTGCCACCACCATGTAAGAGATGCCTCTTGCCTCCCGCCATGATTCTGAGGCCTCCCCAGCCATGTGGAACTGTAAGTCCAATTCAACCTCTTTTTCTTCCCAATCTTGGGTATGTCTTTGTCAGCAGCACGAAAACAGACTAATCCAGTGACTTTGCAAGTTTAGGAATGAAAGAGAGGAGGTTAATGTTTGCTAGGCCAGAAGGAGGCATGTTCTTTGAATGTCACTGTATTTTGGCTGCCAAAGGGCTATCTTGTCCTCAAAAAGGCAAATACTACTCTTTTTATTTCCTGCTCCCATCTCTGCTATAGCAAATTGAACCACGTCTCTGCATCATAATCCTGGATATTATAATCGTCTACCTGAATCTGAAACAGACAATGAAACAGGATTGGAAGAAGGCTAAAAGGAAGGGGTGCATGTCTGTGACCATGTCTTTGTGTGTGTGATTGTGCATGTGTGTGCGTGCATGTGCATGTGGGGAGGGGAGGGGGCGGGGAGTGCTTAGAAACTGTGCACCTCATCCCAACAATGCCCTTTGCCACACTTGTGTTGTCAATTTCTCAAGTGATGGCTCCCATCCTTCACCTGTCCCCACTCAGCCCACGTGATGATCATCCTATGGAGGTGTGACAATAGCAGTTGCCCACAGGAAGTCCTGGGCCTGGGTCTCCTCTAGTCAGCAGGGGCTGTGGCTCCAGAGAAGTTGGTTAACCACAGTCAGGGTCAGGGGGTACCTCCTCTCCTGCTTCTAGATCACAGCCATGGCTGCTCCTACTTCTTTCTTAATTTTTTTATTTCTAATGTTTGTGGGTACACAGTAGGTGTATATATTTATGGGGTACATGAGATATTTTGGTACAGGCATGCAATGCGTAACAATCACAACATGGAAAATCGAATATCCATCCCCTGATGCTTCTACTTCTTGTCCTTACTGGAGAAGACCTGTCTTCCAGTGTTGTGCTGTGTCTGAGTCCGATCACAGATCATTGTTGCTGGTTTTTTGTTTTTGTTGTTTTTTAGGAAACAGGGTCTTCCTCTTTCCCCCAGGCTGGAGTGCAGAAGCGCAATCATAGCTCACTGCAGCCTCCAACTCCTGGGCTTAAGCGATCCTCCCACCTCAGCCTCCTGAGTAGCTAGGACTACAGTCACGCACCATTATCCTTGGCTAATTTTTTAATTTTTTGTAGAGACAAGGTCCCACTTCTTTTCTAAGTACAACCCCTTGGCCTACATTCCTGGCACAGAAGCAATGAGCTGGTTAACGCTAATATCTTATTGTAATGGAGTCCTGGAGATCAAAGCCAGAGGATCAGGGGCAACAAACCTCCAAGAGCCTGAAAGGCATTTTTCCTTCCGGCACAATTTTGACCCCCATCCCTTGTTTGTTCAGACACTTCTTAGCTGTAGTATAATCCTCTGGCTCCAATTGCAGCCTAATGTCAAGAAAGAATTCATGCTTATTTATTAAACCTTTACAAAGAGTGGAGTTGAGTGGGATGAAAATTAAGAACATAATCAAATCAAAGGTTTAGCTGTTTTATCATGCATTCCATCATCCACATAGCCCAGGTCTGCTGATTGAGAGACAAGGGGAAAGAGATTGCCCCTCAAGCCATTGAGGCAACCTTGAAAAGGTGAGTAGGAGATCACTAAGTATGAAAAACAGCAGTGTTCAAAAGTACAGAGTTGTACAAAGTACCAAGTTGTAAAGAACAGATTTTGTTTGGAGGACATTAAGAAGCTGAAGGCTGGTATAATTTAGGCTGTGTTAGAGAATGCAGCCAGAGAGGCAGGTTGGGAATATATTATAAAGACTCTCTTCTACCGCACAAGAAATTTGGATTTTATCACATGAATGGAATTGTTAAGGAGGAGAGCTGAGAGTCCTTAAGTAGGAGAGCTGCTGGATCAGACTTTTATTTATAAATGACAGATTCTAGTAAAGGCTGGGAGACTGAAAGGTAAAGGATGATAGGCAGAAGGTATGGAGAGAAGGGGAGAACTGGCAGAACAGTGGGAGGGAGAGAGGGGTCGAGGCAGAGGAGAGAGTCAAGGTGAACGCTAAGATCCTGCCGGACGACTGGGTGGGTGGTAGTGCTATTAACAGAGACAGGGAATACAAAGTAGGCAGCAGGTTTGGCAGGGGAAACACATGCTTACTTCAAACCTGTTTAATGTAGCTGGGTGTTCTCCAGAAGACACCCAGGAGGTAGGGGACTTTAAAATAAGAGGTAGAGGCTAGGGACATTTAGCACAGGTGGGGACACACCTATAGATGGAGAATCAAAATGGACCCTATCGGCCAGGTGAGGTGGCTCACGCCTGTAATCCCATCACCTTGGGAGGCTGAGGCAGGTGGATCATCTGGGGTCAGGAGTTCGAGACCAGCCTGGCCAACATGGCGAAGCCCTGTCTCCACTAAAAATACAAAAATTAGCCAGATGTGGTGGTGTGTACCTGTAATCCCATCTACTCAGCAGGCTGAGGCAGGAGAATTGCTTGAACCCAGGAGATGGAGGTTGCAGTGAGCCAAGATGGCACTGCTGCACTATAGCCTGGGTAATAGAGTGAGACTCAGTCTCAAAAAAAAAAAAAAAAAAGGACAAGGAGCTAAGTGTGAACTTATGAGCTACCAACTAGAGAGAACTTAGAATGGGAGGTGATCCAAGCTGTGAGAGCACAGTAGATGGGAAAGCTTCAAGGAGGAGGTGTATGCAGACAGGCTCACTTGGCTCTCCTGCAGCACACAAACAGCCGTGGTGAAGGTGGAGAAAGTGCCTCAGATGGAAGCAACTGAAATCCTTCCTCCTTTGTTTGACTCTGCCCACTGCCTTACAGCTTCATCTCTAGTCCAGATCTGTTTTATCTTATTTCTTTACAGATGGGGTCTGGCTATGTTGCCTAGGCTGATCTGGAAGTCCTAGGCTCAAGCAATCCTCCTGCCTCAGCCTTCTGAATACCTAGGATTGTAGGTGGGATTGCTCCACCATACCCAGCTTCTAGTTCAAATCTAGCCCTCTCCCCCACAAGGGGAGTCAAGAACATGTGAGTAGGTTAGTCCACCTCTGGGCAGCTCAGTTGCTGCAACCTGGGAAGAAAAAAATATAGTCATATGTCACTTAACAATGAGGATACTGTAAACCAAAATTAAAATTCCAAGTCCCCCAACAGACTGAATGGACACCCCGTCTCAG
The DNA here is from genome assembly GCF_000001405.40 of Homo sapiens. Lineage (NCBI taxonomy): Eukaryota > Metazoa > Chordata > Mammalia > Primates > Hominidae > Homo > Homo sapiens. The sequence continues at coordinate 111,058,338 of NC_000006.12, read as the reverse complement.
CCAAGGGCCTTCCAAAGAAACCCAAATAGCTAGTCCAGGCCATGATAGGATGGGGTTGCTGGACATGCCTCATTATACACTCTCCCTTTTAAAGTTCACACACAGCTGATCACCATTAACATTAAAATAGAGATCTTAAGACTGACAGAAGTCTGGGCGCAGTGGCTCATGCCTGTATCCCAACACTTTGGAAGGCTGAGGCGGGGGGATCACCTGAGGTTGGGAGTTCGAGACCAGCCTGACCAACATGGAGAAACTCCATCTCTACTAAAAATACAAAATTAGCCAGGCATGGTGGCATATGCCTGTAATCCCAGCTACTAGGGAGGCTGAGGCAGGAGAATTGCTTGAACCCAGGAGGCAGAGGCTACGGTGAGCCGAGATTGCGCCATTGCACTCCAACCTGGGCAACAAGAGCGAAATTCTGTCTCAAAAAAGAAAAAAAAAAGATATTATAAACTATGTTATTATATATGTCTCATGAATATTACTTTTAGGAGCTAATTATTTTATTTGTTATGAAATAATTTATTTGAATAGATTATAATATATATGGTAAAAAAGTTCAAAATGCAAAAAAAGTACAGTTGTCCCTCCCCATTTACAGGGGATTGGTTCCAGGATCCCCTGAGGATACCAAAAACCTGTAGATGCTCAAGTCCCTTATATAAAATGGTGTAGTACATTCAGCATATACGGAGGGCCAAGAAGAAAGATGTCTCCTCGCGTTCCCATCCCTGTCTTCCAACCACCCAGCTCTCATCAAACAGTTCTAGTCTGCCGTGTGTACTTCCAGAGATATTTTGTGTATGCGCAAAACGAATTTACAACTACATATTCTTCCTTCTTCTCCCCCTAGTGGCAGCAGACTATGCACACTCTCTGCACCTTAGTTTTTTCACCTAGCAGTGTATCCTGGAGCCTGTTCCAGATTGCCTAATTAAAGCAGGCAATTGGAATAGCTTTTTATTAGAATAGCAATTTCTTTGCACACAACAAATGGTGGCTCTCCCAGGGGCATCCAGATCCTCCCTTGAGCCAAAATGACAGGAAGCAAGTGGCCCACCTACCACGTCTGCCCATGGAAACCAGAAATACAAACTCTGAGATTCCTGTCTCTTGCCCACAGCGTGGGGACGCTCAGGAGGCAGAATATCTCGTTAATAAATGGAGGCAGCATGTCCAGAGAAAACAAGACTGAAGAATGAACCCGAAATAAGGTTGCTTTCTGTCTTCTGCCCGCTGGCTTGTGCAAATCCAGGTGCTCTAGAAAACTGCCCCCCAATTCCCCAGCCTTCCATCTCTCAAGTGCCTCAAATGCAGATGGGCTGATCCAAGGATGTTGTGACCAGGGCCAATAAACATCCCCGTCCCCCATCGCCCTACCATCACCTTGCCATGGCATTTTCCTCCTGGGCTTCTAGAAATTTCCTAGTTAGCGAGACAGTCTCCTGCCCTCGCTCAATCCTCTAGCGTTTTAAGGTGTGTGTTGCCTTAAATCAGATCAACTAGCCCATGTTTTGAATACTCAGAAAGGCACTAAAAATCTAAGATTTGACATAATAATGATAATACTAACAGTCCTATAAAGAGGTGGATTGTTGAAGAGAAATGTGGATGGCAGCCTGAAGTATTTGTTGGGGACAAAGTTTTCCTATTTGCCTAAACTACTAAGAACCATCTCCGCTCCCACCTTGACCCCAGACAAATGGAAAGGGTGCATTTATCATGTTTAATGTGTTGAGGAGATCCTAAAAGCCACATTGTATGGCTCTGGGTTTCAAGGAACATATAATCCCCTATTTGCCAGGCACAGGGCCAGGCACTATGGACACAGAGAGGAGCAAGGCAGGGGCTCATGAACCAGGAGGTAAGATGAGACGTTGGCATGAAAAATCAACTAGACGGGGAGGGTTAATGAGTACAAAAAAAAAATAGAATGAATAAGACCTACTATTTGATAGCACAACAGAGGACTATAGTCAACAATAACTTAATTGTAAATTTTATTTTTTACGTATTTTTGAGATGGAGTCTCACTTTGTCACCCAGGCTGGAGTGCAGTGGTGCAATCCCAGGTCACTGCAACCTCTGCCTCCCAGGTTCAAGTGATTCTCCTGCCTCAGCCTCCCGAGTAGCTGGGATTACAGGGCGTCCACCACCACACCTACCTAATTTTTGTATTTTTTAGTAGAGATGGGGTTTTGCCATGGTGGCCAGGCTAGTCTCGAACTCCTGACCTCAGGTGATCTGCCTGCCTTGGCCTCCCAAAGTGCTGGGATTACAGGCGTGAGCCACTGCTCCCAGCCAATTGTACATTTTAAAATAACTAAGAGTGTAATTGGATTGTTTGTGATACAAAGATAACTGCTTGAGGGGATGGATAGCCCATTCTCCATGATGTGATTATTTCACATTGCATGCCTGTATCAAAACATCTCATGTACCCCATAAATATATACACCTACTACGTACCCACAAAAAATGTTTTTAAGTCAACTATACAAGAGATATCACTGGGTGATAAAGAAAGATTGCCAAAAGAATAACAGAGATTGACTTTTAAACGGTGGGTCTTGACTCATAGATAATAAAAGCGAGTTTGGTGGACAGTGGATATGACCAGAAGTTTTTTTTAATGGAGTAGAATAGAACGGAAAATATTAAGGCATACAGCACATACTTTGGATATTGTTTTGTAAAACCTTTGTTTTCAGTTTTTTGTCAAGTCACATATGTTCCAGTCATGATATGAAATATATTTTTTATTGTGGTTTACAGACACAAAGTTTGAAAACAACTGATATCACAGGAAGGAGTCACCAATGTAAATTTTAGAAACCTGGAAATAAATCCCTCAAAAGCACAGGATGTAGCACAGAGTAGGTGCTCCAAAAATGTTTATTGAGGCTGGGCACGGTGGCTCACCTGTAATCCCAGTACTTTGGGAGGCTGAGGCAGGCGAATCACTTGAGGTCAGGAGTTTGAAATCAGCCTGGCCAAGGTAGCGAAACCCTGTCTCTACTAAAAATACAGAAATCAGCTGGGCGTGGTGGTGCACACCTGTAATCCCAGCTACTCAGGAGGCTGAGGCATGAGAAACGCTTGAACCTGGGAGGTGAGGCTGCAGTGAGCCAAGATCATACCACTGCACTCCAGCCTGGCTGACAGAGCAAGACTATCTTTAAAAAAAAATGGTTATTGAGGCTGCACATGCTACAGGACTTTATTATAAGGCCTATTAAAGCAAGGTGGACTCAATGGCCCTGAATAAGTGAGGGGAAATTCTTGGTATCTATGTGGGGGCTGCTCAGGCAATGTATTTTATATCCGGAATTCCTCTACTTTCCTCTGAGTTAACTGCCAGCACTTGTCTAGGTCTTTCTGATCTCTGCTATGGACCAATGAAAAGGCCTCCAAACTGGTAGTCCCTCTTCCACTCCAGCCCTCCGTATCAGCCAGGAGTCTGTTCAGCTGTAACAGGAATCCCTACGTCAGTGGTTGAAACAAGTAGATTTATTTTTCTTATGTAACAAAAAGTCTGGATGTGGACAGACTAGAGCTTATATGGCTGCTCAAGAGTGTCATTTGAAAACCAAGCTCCTATATCTGCCTGCTGTGTGTGTGTGTGTGTGTGTGTGTGTGTGTGTGTGTGTGTGTATATGTATATTGGCATGAAACTTTCACCCTCATGGTTGCAAGATGGCTGCTTCACCTCTAGGCATTGTATCCTTTTCCCAGGCAGGAAAAATGAGAAAGGGTATAGGACAAAGGCACACACCTTTTATCAGTGAAACAATAGCCATCACTGAGACTACGAAAGTCCTCTCAGTAGACTTCCAATTATATCTCATTAGCCACTTATACTATCACTTGGCCACCCCTGTGGCAAGGAAATAAGTCAATTTGCATTTTTGGCTGAACACATTGCTGCCTTCAACAAAATCAGAGTTTTGTTAGTAAAGAATTGATATCTGGGCAGGGCATGGTGGCTCACACCTGTAATCCCAGCACTTTGGGAGGCCAAGGCAGATGGATTACCTGAGGTCAGGAGTTCAAGACCAGCCTGGCCAACATGCTGAAACTCCATCTCTGCTAAAAATACAAAAATTAGCTACGTGTGGTGGCGCAGCCCTGTAGTCCCAGCTGTTCAGGAAGCTGAGGCAGGAGAATCACTTGAATTCAGGAGGCGGAGGTTGCATTAAGCTGAGATCGTACCACTGACTCCAGCCTGGGCGACAGAGCGAGACTCAGTCTCAAAAAATTAAAAATTAAAATAAAATTTAAAAAAACAATTGATATCTGGAAGTGTCTGCCACATCCCCTTCAATACAGTCTCTGCTTCAAACCCTTCAATGGTTTTCCACTGCTTTTAAGAGTAAATCTGAAATCTTTAAAGTTATCCTAAGTGAAATGACACAGAAAAACATTTTTTAAGTAAAAATAAAAATTAAAAAAAAAAAAAAATAGGCCAGGTGTAGTCGCTCATGCCTGTAATCCCAGTACTTTGGGAAGCTGAGATGGGAGGATCACTTGAGGCCAGGAGTTCGAGACCAGCCTGGGCAACATAGTGAGACTCTGTCTTTATAATAATAATAATAAATAAAAATGGATCCCTTAAAGTTACTCTATGGACTGAATTGTGTCCCCCAACCCCACAAAAAAAAAATTCACACGTTGAAACCTTAACTCTCGGTACCTCAGAATGTGACTGTCATTGCATATAGGGCCTTCAATGAAGTAATTAAGCTAAATGGGAGTCTTTATGGTGGGCCCTAATCCAACCTGACTGGACCCCTATAAAAAGAGGAGATTAGGACATACAGAGAGATACTAGGGATGTGCAGGCACAGGGAAAAGACCATGTGGATGAGGCAGGAGAATAGGGTCTGGAGGCAGGGAAGCTAAGGCCAATTCACGCTGACTTTCTAGAACTAAATCAAAAGGAAGACCTCAACTTTCCACACCTAAGTAACAAAAGGACTGGAAGCTACTCCCTTTGCAAACTGCCCCCCACTTTTTATGCGTGGCAGATGGAATATTGAAAGTACCTCTGATTGGTTGCTTTCTGAAACCAATCAGATGTTTGCATAGGAGTGTAACTTGTAACTTCACTTCAGCTTCTGATTGGTTGCTTACCACAACCATTCAGACTGATTGCAGGCCTTGTCTTCCTTTGCATAAAAGCGTAACTTTGTAACTTCATTTTAGTCTCTGAATGGTTGCTTTCCACAACCAATCAGACGTTTGCAAATGGTGTAACCTTTGTAACTTCACTTCACTGATTGCGGGCCACTACTTCATTTGCATGGGTTGTACACCAAGTGACCAATGGAAAACCTCTAGAGGATATTTAAACCCCAGAAAATTCTGTAGCTGGGCTCTTGAGTCCCTGTGCTTGGCCTGCTCCAACCCTGTGGAGTGTACTTTTGTTTGCAATAAATCTCTCTTTTTATTGCTGATTCTTTCTTGGCTTTGTTTGTCCATTTTGTCCAATTCTTTGTTCAGAATGCCAAGAACCTGGACACTCTCCGACGGTAACATGGAGACACTGAGAGAAGGTGGCCATCTGTAAGCCAAGGAGAGAGACCTTAGAAGAAACCAAACCTGCCAATACCTTGATCTTGGACCTCCAGCCTCCAGTCATGAGAAAATAAATAAAATAAATTTCTATTGTTTAACCACCCAGCCCGTGGTATTTTGTTATGGTAGCCCCAGCCGACTAACACAGTTGCTTAAGAGAGCTGGGTGTGATCTGGATCCCTGCTAACCTGGGGTTCACTCTTTCGCCATTCTCCTTTGCTCATGGCCCTCCAGCCACACTGGTCTTTTCTAGTTTCTAGAAGGTCAGCCCCGTTCCAGGCTCTGGAGCTTTGAATGCACTGTTCCTTCTAACTGTGCCCCATGCTTTTTAAGTGACTGGCTCCTTCTTGTCTCACAGGTCTCAGCTGACATATCATTTCCTCAGAAGTGCCTTCCTGACCACCCCGTGGAAGAGAAGTGTCTCCCTCTCCCTGATATTCTCTATCCCTGGCCATGGTTTGTTTCTTTACAGATTTTTATCATGTTTTGTGATAATTTTGTTTGTTTACTTTTGTCAAGTCTTTTGTTTGTCTTTCCAATAGTAGACCTTAAACTCCCATGTAGGCAGAAACATGCCTGTCTTACTCATTGTTATATCCCAGTGGCCTAGCACATTCTAGACCTTCAATAAATAATTTCTGAGTGAATGCAATGTGTGTCATCTGGTATTTTCTGTTGCTTAAATTTATTATTTATTTATGTATTGAGACAGGGTCTCACTCTGTTGCCCAGGCTGAGTGTGGTGGTGCACTCATGACTCACTGCAGCCTCGACCACATGGGCTCAAGTGATCCTTCCACCTCAGCCCCCTGAGTAGGTGGGACTACAGGTGCACACCACCATGGCTGGCTAATTTTTTTTTTTTTTTTTTGAGACTGAGTCTCACTCTGTCGCTCAGGCTGGAGTGCAGTGGCACAATCTCAGCTCACTGCAGCCTCTGCCTCCTGGGTTCAAGCAATTCTCCTGTCTCAGCCTCCCAAGTAGCTGGGATTACAGGTGCACGCCACCACACTCATCTAATTTTTGTATTTTTAGTAGAGATGGGGTTTCACCATGTTGGCCAGGCTGGTCTTGAACTCCTGACCTAGTGATCTGCCCACCTCGGCCTCCCAAAGTGCTGGGATTACAGGCGTGAGCCGCTGCACCCAGCCAATTTTTTTATTTTTCTGTAGTGATGGAGTTTTACCATGTTGCCCAGGCTGATCTCGAACTCCTGGACTCAAGGGATCTGCTTGCCTCAGCCTCTCAAAGTGCTGGGACTACAGGCATGAGCCTGGCCAAACCACACCTGGCCACTTAAATTTATTTTATTTTTATTTATTTATTTATTGAAACAGAATCTCGCTGTCACCCAGGCTGGAGTGCAGTGGCACCATCTTGGCTCACTGCAACCTCCGCCTCCTGGGTTCAAGCCACTCTCCTGCCTCAGCCTCCTGAGTAGCTGGGATTATAGGTGCATGCCGCCACACATGGCTAATTTTTGTATTTTTAGTAGAGACTGGGTTTCACCATGTTGGCCAGGCTGGTCTTGAACTCCTGACCTCAGTGATCTGCCTGCCTTGGCCTCCCAAAGCACTGGGATTACAGGCGTAAGCCACTGCGCCCGGCCTAAAATCTACATTAAAAGTTTTTTGTGGTTTCTTCCCCCAAAGTTTCTAGGCCTCTGAACATATCTAAGGGGAGCAAAAATACTATGTTTGCATGTTTCAAATAAATGAATAAAATATAGACAGAATTGACTAACTGTCTCAAGAATTAGATCAGGACTTTTGCCTCTAAAATAAATCCAAATATTAGTTTTCCTATTTTTCTCACTTTATTATCATAAATGGGCCTGATTTTATTTATTTCTTTTTTTCTGCGTCTGCTTGCTAGGGAAATGTGTGCCTTATTTTAAAAGTCCGTTGTGTTCCTTGAAGGCTGTCTGCAAACTATTTTTGGAAAGTGAATCATCTAATATCTAAAGATATCAACTATTTTAGAGATCCTTATACTGAATTTTGTTTGCAATAGTAAGAAATATATTTGTAATGCAAATATTCACTTTCTAGTTTTTCTATCTTTGAAAATTCAGATTTTAAAGGCTCAGATTTATGTGTCTCATAGATTCTGAAAGTTTATCACTATTAAAATAGTAAATAGCTGACAAAATACAAATGGCATGATATAAAGCACAGAAAGGAATTAAATCAGTGGGTGGAAATGTCTTAACTTTGTGCTGATTAAGAAGTAGTATGTGAGAAGAACTGTTCTTTTCCTTTTTTAGCTTCCTCATCTCCCCTGTTATGTTGTCCTTCCCTCTCCCAGTCCCCTACTTCAGCAAGTTCCCAAATTTTGAACAAATCAGTCTCCTGTTTGGCAACTTTTCCTGACCATTCAGCAGTCAGAAAACAGGAAAGTTACTCTTCCCTTTGCCCTGTTTTTAAAACTTCTATTTCTACTAGGCAGCTTTTACCTATCACACTGGGCTTTAACAAAGTATCTGAGGAATTAACTCACACTAATGTAGAAAACACTGGTGGCAATTTTCCACGTCTGTTTTTTTTTTTTCTCTTTGAGATGGAGTTTCACTCTTGTTGCCCAGGCTGGAGTACAATGGTGCAATCTCGGCTCACTGCAACCTCCGCCTCCCGGGTTCAAGCGATTCTCCTGCCTCAGCCTCCCAAGTAGCTGGGATTACTGGCGCGTGCTACCATGCCTGGCTAATTCTTGTATTTTTACTAGAGACAGGGTTTCACCATGTTGGCTAGGCTGGTCTTGAACTCCTGACTTCAGGTGATCCACCCACCTCAGCCTCCCAAAGTGCTGGGATCACAGGCGTGAGCCACGGTGCCCGGCCTCCATATCATTTTTTTAAAGGTCACCCAGAGGCAACAATGTTTTGACTGAAAGGAACAGTTCATTAGTGAATGGATTCTCTAGAGGACTTCTGTTTTACATGCATTTATCTCTGCTCTCTCTCTAGTCCACTCTAACAAGAGTAAAGAAAAGAAGGCACACAGCCAAAAGGACAAAGAGACAAAGAAGAACAATCTAAACCCAAAGCAAGCAGCAGGAAGGAAATAATAAGGATTAGTGCAGATATTAACGAATAGAGAATAGAAAAACAGTAGAGAAAATCAATGAAAGCAAAAGCTGATTCTTTAAAAATACCAACAAAATGGACAAAACCTTAGCAAGGCTGACCAAGAAAAAAAGACTCAATTACCAAATCCAGAATTGAAAGAGGGCTCATTACTACTAATCTCACAGAAATAAAAATTGTAAGGCAGCCAGGCAAGGTGGCTCATGCCTGTAATCCCAGCACTTTGGGAGGCCGAGGTGGGTGGATCACCTGAGGTCAGTAGTTCAAAACCAGCCTGACCAACATGGTGAAACCCCGTCTCTACTAAAAATACAAAATCAGCCAGGCGTGGTGGTGCACACCTGTAATCCCAGCTGTTCTGGAGGCTGTTGGCAGGAGAATCACTTGAACCCGGGAGGCAGAGGTTGCAGTTAGCCAAGATTGCACCACTGCACTCCGGCCTGGGCAACAGAGAGAGATCCTGTCTCAAAATAATAATAATAATAATAATAATAAATTATAAGGGAATACTATGAACAACTGTATGCCAACATATTACATAATATAATTTAGATGAAATGAACACATTCCTCAAAAGACACAAACTACCAAACCTGATTCAAGAAAGAATGGAAAATCTGAGTATACCTATAACAACTAAACAGGCTGAATTAATAGTAAAATAAAAGAAAAGTCTGAGCTTCACTGGTGAATTATACCAAGCATTTAAAAAAGAAATAATACCACTATGGTGCTATTCTATGATAGTATTATGGCATGGCGATTCCTCAAAATTAGAAATAGGATTACCATATAATCTGGAAAATCTACTTCTGGATATATATCCAAAAGAATGGAAAGCATGTTCTCAAAGATATATTTCTTGTTCATAGCAGCAATATTCACAATAGTCAAAAGATGGAAGCAGCCAAAGTGTCCGTCGAAAGATGAATGGATAAACAAAACGTGATGTATACCTACAATGGAATATTACTCAGCCTTAAAAAGGAGGAAAATTCTGATGCATGGTATAACATGAATGATCCTTGAGGACATTATGCTAATGTGAGATAAACCAATCACACAAAGATAAATACTGTACGATTCCACTTATACGAGGTACGTAAGAGCAGTCAGAATCATAGGAACAAAGCCAGGTATGCATCTAAAGTCTGAGGTACTTGGGAGGCTAAGGCAGAAGGACTGCTTGAGCATGAGTTCGAGGCTATGGTGCACTATGATTGTGCCTGAGAATAACCACTGCACTCTAGATTGGGCGACATAGTGAGATCTTGTCTCAAAACAATTTTTTTAATTATAGAAACAGAAAATAGAACAGTGGTTACTAGGAGCAGGGAGAAGGGGAAATGGGAGGTTGTTTAATAGGTATAGAGTTTCCATTTTGCAAGATAAAAAAGTTCTGGGCCAGGTGCGGTGCTCGTGCTTGTAATCCCAGCACTTTGGAAGACTGAGGCAGGTGGATCACCTGAGGTCAGGAGTTCAAGACCAGCCTGGCTAACATGGTGAAACCCCATCTCTACTAAAAATACAACATTAGCTGGGCATGGTAGAGCATGCCTGTAATCCCAGCTACTTGGGAGGCTGAGGCAGGAGAACTGCTGGAACCCGGGAGGCGGAGGTTGCAGTGAGCTGAGATCGTGCCATTGCATTCCAGCCTGGGTGACAACAGTGAGACTCCGCCTCAAAAAAAAAAAAAGTTCTGGAAGCTGGTTGCACATCAATGTGAATATACTTATCACTACTAAATTGTAAACTTAAAAATGGTTAAGATAGAAATTTTTATATTAGTGTATTTTACCACAATTTTTAAAAGATAAATGATACAAATTCTTCACAAACTCTTTCAAAATATAGAAGAAAAGGGAACATTTCCCAACTCATTCTATGAGGCTGGTATTACCCTGATACCCAAACCAAAGACACCACAAGAAAGCTACAGACTAATATCTCTTACAAATAAGATGCAAAATCCTCAAAAAAATATTAGGAAGTAGAATTTGGCAACATGTAAAATGGATTATACACCACGATCAAGTGGAATTTATCCCAGGAATGCAAGATTGTTTTAACATCCAAGAGTAAATTGACGTAACACACCACATCGATAGAGTAAATGGGCCTTTCTGCAGAATCCACACCGACCAGCACCATGCCCGTGACACTGGGGTACTGGGACATCTGAGGGCTGGCCCACGCCGTCTGCCTGCTCCTGCAATACACAGACTTAAGCTATGAGGAAAAGAAGTACATGATGGGGGACGCTCCTGACTATGACAGAAGCCAGTGGCTGAATGAAAAATTCAAGCTGGGCCTGGACTTTCCCAATCTGCCCTACTTGATTGATGGGGCTCACAAGATCACCCAGAGCAAGGCCATCCTGGGCTGCATTGCCTACAAGCACAACCTGTGTGGGGAGACAGAAGGGGAGAAGATTTGGGAAGACATTTTGGAGAACCAGCTTGTGGACAACCACGTGCAGCTGGCCAGACTCTGCTACAACCCAGATTTTAAGAAACTGAAGCCAGAATACCTGGAGGCACTCCCTGCAATGCTGAAGCTCTACTCACAGTTTCTGGGGAAGCAGCTATTGTTTCTTGGGGACAAGATCACACTTGTGGATTTCATCGCGTATGGCATCCTTGAGAGAAACCAAGTATTTGAGCCCAAGTGGTTGGACGCCTTCCCAAACCTGAAGGACTTCATCTCCCGATTTGAGGGCTTGGAGATCTCTGCCTACATGAAATCCAGCTGCTTCCTCCTGAGACCTGTGTTCACAAAGATGGCTGTCTGGGGCAACAAGTAGTGCCTTGAAGGCCAGGAGGTGGGATTGAGTTGCCCATACTCAGCCTGTTGCCCAGGCTGTGGAGAGCAGCTGGACTCTACACCCCAGCACCTGCCTTCTTGTTCCTTTCTCCTGTTTATTCCCTTCTTTACCCCCAAGACTTTATTGGCCTTCTTCACTTCCCCTAAACCCGTGTCCCATCCAAGCCCTTTAAAGCCTCAGCTACCCATTTTCCTTCATGAACGTCTCCCTCCCAACATTACCCTTCCCTGCACTAAAGCCAGCCTGACCTTCCTTCCTGTTAGTGGTTGTGTCTGCTTTGAGGGGCCTAACGGGCCCCTTGCCTGTGGAGCTCAGCCCTGAGGTCCCAGGGCTGCATGAAAGAGCAGTACTGACTGGTTTACAGGCCCTTCTCCTGCAGCATGGCCCCTGCCTTAAGCCTACCTGATCCAAGTAAAGCCTAAAACACACACACACACACACACACACACACACACACACAGAATAAACGTCAAAATCCACAGGATCATTTCAATAGATGCAGAAAAAGCATTTGACAAAATTTAACACCCTTTCATGATGAAAAAAAAACACTCAACAAAGTAGGAATAGATGAGAATTTCTTCAACCTAATATAGGGCTTCTACAAAAAACCCACAGGTAACAGCATATTTAATGGTAAAATAACTGATTCTTTTTCAGATGAAGCATCAAGACAAAATGAAGAACAGGACAAAGATGTCCGCTCTCCCGGTTTCTATTCAACATTGTGAAGGAGGTTCTAGCCAAGGCAATTAGGCAAGAATAAGAAATAAAAGGCACCCAGCTTGGAAAGGAAGAAATAAAAGGCACCCAGCTTGGAAAGGAAGAAATAAAAGTATCCTATTAGTTGATGATGTGATTTTGCATATAGAAAATTCTAATGAATCCACTAAGAAACTATTTGAACTAATAAACAAGTTCAGCAAGGTTTCAGAATACAAGATCAATATACAAAGAGAAACTGTATTTCTTTATAGCAGCAATAAGCAAACAGAAAATGAAATAAAGAAAATTCTGTTTACAATAGCATCAAAAAGAAAAAATGCACAGGAATAACTTTAACAAAAGAGGTACAAAGCTTGTATGCTGAAACCTACAAAACATCATTGAAAGAAATTGAAGATTTTAATAAACGGAAAGATATCCTATGTTCACAGATCAGAACACGTAACATTGTTAAGATGGAAAAACTCTTCAAATTGAACTAAGATTCTACACAATCCCTAACAAAAATCTTGGCTGATTTCTTGGCAAAAATTGGCAAGCTAATCCTAAAACTCATGGAAATTTAAGAAACTCAGAATGGTCAAAACAGTTTTTAAAAAGAACAAAGCTGTAGAATTTACATTTCCCAATTCTAAAACTCACTACAAACCTATAGTAATCAAGACAGAGTGGTACTGGCATAAGGACAGACATATCAATCAACAGAACAGAATTGAAAGTCCAGAAATAAAGCCTCACATTTACTGTCAATCGATTTTTGACAAGAGCACACAACCATTCAATGAGGAAAGAATAGTCTTTTCAAAAAATGGTGCCAAGACATTGGATATCCATATGCAAGGGATGAAGATGGACCCTCTAACTCACACCAGATACAAAAATGAATTCAAAATGGATCAGATACTTAAATCTAAGAGCTAAAACTCTAAAACTCTTCAAAGAAAAGACAGGAGTAAGTCTTTATGACCTTGGACTAGGCAATAGTTTCTTAGATATGACACCAAAAGCACAAGCAAAAAAAAGAAAAAAATGTGTAAATTAGACTTTATTAAAACAAAACTTTAGTCCTTCAAAGTACATCATCAAGAGAGTGAAAAAATTCCAATGCTCAACACCATTAATCATCTGATACATGCAAATCAAAACCACAATGAGATACCACTTTACATCCATTAAGATAACTGTAATAAAAATGGAAAATATACATAAGTGGACTTGTGTTATATGGGGAAAAAATGGAAAATAGCAAGCATTGGTGATGATGTGGAGAAATTAGAACACTCGGCCAGGCATGGTGGCTCATGCCTATAATCCCAGCACTTTGGGAGGCCAAGGCCTGAGAATTGCTAGAACCCGGGAGGCGGAGGTTGCGGTGAACCAAGATCATGCCACTGTACTCCAGCCTGGGCGACAGAACAAGACTCCATCTCAAAAAAAAAAATAAATAAATAAATAAATAAATAAAAAATAAAAAGAAAAGAAATTTGTAATTAAAGATGTGCTTTGTTGAGTTGGTATGCCACAAAGTTATATAGTCCTAAAAATATGCCTGTACTCTTCTTACCTGGCGACTCCAGAACTGAGGGAGATCATGGAAGGATGAAAGCAATAGGTTTCTCATGGCAGTGAATATGATTTTCTTCTTCAATTTTCCTTCTCCTTCTTGTTAAATAAAATTCCCCTGGTTGCAACTTCCTAATGAGAGGATTGATGACAATTGAGTTCTTTTGGAAGATCCATCTTTAGGCAGATTTTGGTTGTATCACTGAAGCTGTGACTGGGATGTCATATATGAGAAGATATATAGAATGAATCTATAGGTACTGCAGGCTAAGTCTAAAGTATGCCTTGATTTGGCTTCCTAGCCTAAAGAAGTTTTAAAATGTCCATTCTTAGAGTTCTTATCAAAAGTTCCAGCAAAGCTTTGCAGCAGTTAATGTTATAGAAAAAGAGAAAAAAAGTTCCAGCAGTCTGGGTGCAGTGGCTCACGCCTGTAATCCCAGCACTTTGGGAGGCCAAGGCAGGAGGATCACCTGAGGTCAGGGGTTCAAGACCAGTCTGACCAACATGAACAAACCCCGTTTCTACAAAAAATACAAAATCAGCTGGGTGTGGTGGCGCATGCCTGTAATCCCAGCTACTCGGGAGACTGAGGCAGAAGAATTGCTTGAACCTGGGAGGCGGAGGTTGCAGTGAGCTGAGATTGCACCATTGCACTCCAGCCTGGGCAACAAGAGCGAAATTCTGTCTCAAAAGAAAAAAAAAAGTTCCAGCAAAGGAAACTTAAAAACAGTCTGTGTGGTCATTCACTATTCCTGCTGCTCTTACGTAAATAATCAGGCTAAGTTTGATGAGACTAACCTTATTTTGTAAACACATTTGTGTTATTCTGATTATTTTTGGTAGAAATGGGAGTAACTGCAGAGAGAAAAACTGTTTCTGAAGAAAAGCTATAGTACACCTGCTATTAGGTTGTGGCTTTGCTCATCGTTTTCAAGTTTTTCTTATCTTCTTGTAGACTGGACTAGATTCTAGAATTCTCTTTTCCTCCAATATCTGGCTACAATTCTCCAACTAAGAACAAGAACTGCTCTGTACCCAAAGCCCTCTAAGCTGAAACCAGACAACTCGTTGTAAATTTCAAGGGACAAGTGCCATTCCTGATGTGTTGGCCACACAGAGTTCACCAAAACGCCTGATGCCATAACCAGAGACATTCAAACTGCAAACCAGGGAAAGAGGTTGACAACTTCATGTTGTAAACAGCTTTTCCCAAGGTGTCAGCACAAGACTGCCTATCATAATAAGACTCTTGCCCCTCTGAACTTTTTTTTTTTTTTTTTTTTTTTTTGCCCATCTTTTTCGCTTGGCACAGTCAGCAGCTCCTGCGGGGGCAATCTGATGAACTGTTGGATCTGTCGTGTGAAACCCAAATCTTTACATAACCTAAGAGCTTCTTTAGTCCATCTAGTGGGTAAGTTTAGCAACATCCCTAACGTAACTGTTGTTCAAATTGTACTAGTGGTCCCTTTAATAGGGTTACACTTCTAGATCCACTTGTTCTCACTCTCTGCTTTAATATAACCCAGTCATAGGATACCAGATTTCCTGCTAGCTGTATAGTATAGGAGGAGTCTGTGCCATTGATAACACTTCTTGTTGTACATGGGTAGATACGTTGGGTATTACAGAGACTTGGTTGCAAAAAATGAACAGTCTGCTTGGTTAAAACAAGTGGACTCCTCATCTGGCTCATTCTTTGATCTATTCAATTTTAGTTGGTTTGGTTCATGGGGACCCTGGCTAAGGAGCTTATGCCAAACTGCTGGTATTATCCTCCTGATAGTCATAATAGTAGTCTTGCTGGTGTGCTATATTCTCTCAAAGGTTTTAAATACTTACATGTAGCCATCCATCGAACATTGAATGATCTCTCTTCAGCTAGAATAACAAAAACTCAAAGAAATATGTGATCAGACCAGACTTGATGGCTCACGCCTATAATCCCAGCACTTTGGGAGGCCAAGGCCAGCAGATCACGAGGTCAGGAGATCAAGACCATACTGGTTAACATGATGAAAATTTGTCTCTACTAAAATACAAAAAAAAATTAGCCGGGCATTGTAGCGGGCACCAGTAGTCCCAGCTACTCGGGAGGCTGAGGCAGGAGAGTGGCGTGAACCTGGGAGGTGGAGCTTGCAGTGAGCCCAGATCGCGCCACTGCACTCCAGCCTGGGCAACAGAGCGAGATTCTGTCTAAAAAAAAAAAAAAAAAAAGCAAAAGAAATATGTGATCCTGAGGACACCACAATCTAAGAATGGTACATCGAGACCAGAAACCCAGAATGATGGTAACTGAGAGCAGTGTGAATGGCCTAGGTTTTGGTCGCACTCTCACCTGGGTGACAGCCTGACCCAAATGGTGAAATTGTTTAAAAAAAAAAAAAGTATAGGAGGCCATTGGTTTGGACTGAGCTCCTGCTTTAGATCCAACAGATCAAACCAAAATGGAGTCAGTCATGCTAAAGTTTCACATCACCAAACTGAAACTAAGTTGTTTATCTAACATTCTGAGAAATCAGGCGAGAGATAATAGCTAAATCCCCAAACAAGCAATTTCAGCCAGTATGATAAAGAAATCCCCTCTCCTTTAGCCTTTACAAGGAAAGTATAACTTTGAAACAATCAATCGACTTTTTGTTTTCTGTTTTGGCTTTTCTCAGCCTTTTTCTGTCTATAAAACCAACCTCCTCTGATTAGAACACTCATTGTACTTTTTTTTTTTTTGAGACTGAATCTCGCTCTGTCACCCAGGCTGTATGTAGTGCAGTGGTGCGATCTCGGCTCACTGCAACCTCCGCCTCCTGGGCTCAAGCAATTCTCGTGCCTCATCCTCCCGAGTAGCTGGGATTACACGTGCGTGCCACCACGCCTGGCTAATTTTTGTATTTTTAGTAGAGATGGGGTTTCACCATATTGGCCAGGCTGGTCACGAACTCCTGACCTCAGGTGATCCGCCCGCCTTGGCCTCCCAAAGTGCTGGGATTACAGGCATGAGCCACCACACCCAGCCTTATTGTATTTTATAGTATGAGGTGTTTCTCAGTTCTAGAATTACAAAAAGCCAATTAAGTTTTTAAGCTAAATTTGTTATAATTTTGTCTTTTGCAACTCTTCTTTCTTCTCCTCCTCTTCTTCCCCCCCGCCTTTTTTTTTTTTTTTTTTTTTTGAGATAAATCTCGCTCTTGTACCCCAGGCTGGAGTGTAATGGCACGATCTTGGCTCACTGCAACCTCCGCCTCCCGGGTTCAAATGATTCTCTTTGCTCAGCCTCCCACCATTCACCTTACAGGCACCTGCCACCAGGCCTGGCTAATTTTTGTGTTTTTAGTAGAGATGGGGTTTCACCATGTTGGACAGGCCGGTCTTGAACTCCTGACCTCAGGTGATCTGCCTGCCTTGGCCTCCCAGAGTGCTGGGATTACAGGCATGAGCCACCGTGCCCCGCCTTTTCCCCTTTCTTTTCTTCCATTGTTGTTCTTAAGTTTGCACAATAATTAGGATAAATAAGCATTTATAAAATCAGGTATAATTTAGTCTTCTAATACATATTCCAATTGTGTTGTCACATCTTTTATCCAGATTAATACCTTGGTACATATCCTTTAATTTTATTAATAAAAGTTAATTATTATTTTAATTACTTTATTTATTTATTACAGAAGGGGTCTTGCTAGGTTGCCAAGGCTAGTCTTGAACTCCTGGGCTCATGCAATCCTCCCACCACTCAAGTAGCTAGGATTATAGGCATGAGCCACCATGCCCGGCTTGTCTGCATGCCTTTCTTCCTTCTTTCCTCCCTTCCTTCCCTTCCTTCCTCCTTCTTTTTTCATTTTCTCTCTTTCTTTTTATTTTCTGATTTATTGGTAGAAATAGGGTCTCACTGTGTTGTCCAGGCTGGTGTTATTATTTGTAAATGGGCTGATTTAGGTAAATGATGGATTATCACCCCTTCTTTTTTTTTAGAGATGGGGTTCTGCTATGTTGCCCAGGCTGGGCTCAAACTCCTGGGCTCAAGTGATCCTTCTGTCTCAGTTTCTCAAGTAGATGAGACTACCAGGCTCGCACCACTGTGCTCAGCTTCCCCCATTTTTATTATTAACATTTCCTCAGCCAGGCATGGTGCCTCATGCCTGTAATCCTAGCACTTTACAATGTCGAGGTGGGCAGAGCACTTGAGCCCACGAATTTGAGACCAGCTTGAGCAACATAGCTGGGTGTGGTGGTGCGTGCCTGTAGTCCCAGGTATTTGAGAGACTGAGATGGGAGAATTGACTGAGCCCAGGAGGTCAAGTCTGCGGTAATCATGCCACTGCACTCCAGCCTGGACAACAGAGTAAGATCCCATCTCAAAATAAACAAAACAAATTTTCTCACACTTTCTTATACACTAACTATAGACTATGTCATTTGACTGAAAGAGAATAGTACATTCTTCTTTTCTTTTTCTTCTTTTTTTTGAGATGGAGTCTCACTCTATCGCCCAGGCTGGAGTGGTGCAGTGGCGTAATCTCAGTTCACTGCAACCCCCGCCTCCCGGGTTTAAGCGATTCTCCTGCCTCAGCCTCCTGAGTAGCTGGGATTACGGGCATGCGCCACCACAACCGGCTAATTTTTGTATTTTTAGTAGAGACGGGGTTTCACCATGTTGGCCAGGCTGGTCTTGAACTCCTGACCTTGTGATCTGCCCGCCTCAGCCTCCCAAAGTGCTGGGATTACAGGCGTGAGCCACCGCATCTGGCCTAACATTCTTCTTTTCTCAGCCTTTTAATAAACACTTGAATGTTTTCTTTTTTTTTTCTTTTTCTCCCTCTCGAGACGGAATCTCGCCCTGTCGCCCAGGCTGGAGTACAGTGGCGTGATCTCGGCTCACTGCAACCTCTGCCTCTTGGGTTCAAGTGGTTCTCCTGCCTCAGCCTTCCGAGTAGCTGGGATTACAGGTGTGCGCCACCATACCCAGTTAATTTTTGCATTTTTAGTAGAGACAGGGTTTCACCATGTTGGTCAGGCTGGTCTTGAACTCCCGACCTAGGTGATCCGCCCACCTCAGCTCCCAAAGTGCTGGGTTTACAGGCGTGAGCCACCGTGCCTGGCCAAAAATCTTGAACATGTTCCAAGTGCTTATTGTTAAAAATAGAAAGTAGAAAAAATATATTTTGTTTTTTAATCAGTTGCCTTATAAATTCATTCAAAATTACAACAGTTGGTTTCTAGGCTAGATTTATATTTGCTCAATAATTCATTTTGAGAACTCAAAATCACAAGTCTGGTTCCAGGTCCATCTAGTTGTAGTTCTTATTTATATTGGTAGAAAACATCTTTTTTTTTTATAAAAAGGAAAAAAGAAAATGAAACCTCAACAACAAAAAATAACTTAAAACCTGGTCATTTTCCTATCCCCAGAAGTCCCCAAATCACAGAATCTCAGCTGGGGAGTGCATCTGGTCTCGTCTCCTGCCTTCAGCCATATTCCTCTCTCTAGTATCTCTCTTGTCTATGTCCAATCGCAGAAGCCTCACTGCCTCCCCAGGCAACTCATTTCAGTCATGAGTAGCTCTACCCACAAAAAGGTTAGACTGAACTGAAAACTTTCTCCATCTCACTTTCACTCATAAGTCATAAATATGCCTCTAAATTTCTTAGAATAAGTGTAATTCCTTTTCCACTTGGTTTTCCTTCAAATGTCTGGTGACAACTATTACATCCTTAAGTCAAATGCTTTCCTTCCTCAAGGACTTGACATTGGCAGTTCTGAAGTGTGCTCTCCCAAATTTTCACATACTAACAACTTCTTGATATTCAGGACTCAGTTCAGCCCATATATTGCCTTTCAAAGAGCTCTTCCCTTGCCATTCATGTTAAAGTAGCCCCTCCTGAGTCGCTCTCTGTCTACTCTTTTATTGTTCTTTTTTTGTTGTTGTTTTTGAGATGGAGTGTCACTCTTGTCGCCCAGGCTGGAGTGCAGTGGCACGGCCTCAGCTCACTGCAACCTCTGCCTCACGGGTTCAAGTGTTCCTCCTGCCTCAGCCTCCTGAGTAGCTGGGATTACAGGCGCCCGCCACCATGCCCAGCTAATTTTTGTACTTTTAGTAGAGATGGGGTTTTGCCATGTTGGCCAGGCTGGTCTCGTACTCCTGACCTCAGGTGATCCACCCACTTTGGCCTCCCAATGTGCTGGGATTACAGGCGTGAGCCACTGTGCCCGGCCTCTTATATTGTTCTTATATCACTTATCGCTTTCTGAATGTATTCTATTTGTTTATATGTTTTACCACCTCTTTCCCTCCACTAGAAAGCGAGCCTTCTGGGGACTGGGAACCTGTCTCTTGTTCATTCAGTTCCTAATGTGACCCAGGCATTCTATTCCTAGGTACTACCCCAAAGCAATGAAATCACTTCACCATACAAAGACTTGCAGCACAAATATTCATAGCATCTTTTTTTGTAACAGCCAAAAAGTAAAAGCAACCCAAGTGTCCATAAACAGATGAATATATTAAAAATCTATAAGAAATCCATATTATGGACTACTACCTATAGCAACCAACTACAGATACATGTAGCAACACGCATGAACTTCAAAATATTCATGCTGAGTGAAAGAAGCGAGTCACAAGAGTTCTTCTCTTTCATTCCATTTATACAAAATTCCATTAAACATAAATTAATTTCTAGAGACAAAAAGCAGATCAGTGGTTGCCCGGGACATGGGGTAGAGGGAAATAAACAGGTATGAATTTTTTGGGTCAGATGAAAATATTCTGCCTCTTGATTGTGGCAGTGTTTTCGTAGGTGTTCACAAACGTCAAAACTCACCAAATCATATACTTTAAACAGGTGCATTTAATTGTACATAAATTAGGCCAGGCACAGTGGCTCACATCTGTAATCTCAGCACTTTGGGAGGCTGAGGTAGGAGGATTACTTGAGCCCAGCAGTTCGAGACCAGCATGGGCAACATAGTAAGACGTTTTCTCTATTTTAAAAATAAACAATTTTAATAAATTTATGTAAATTATACTCCAATTAAGTTGATGGAATCAAATTTTGTTCAGTAAATACTTTTTTTCTCCAGGTAAATGATCCCTGCCTAATCTGACAAGGTTTCAAGATTTTTCATTACCTTCGCCATTACCAAGTAGCTCAATTTCTCCAAGGGTGGTGCCCAGAAATGAAAGCAATATTATGATATGAACAGGTTAGAGTATATTGGGTCCCTGTTACTTCCACTTTTTTATTACTGTACATTTGAATCAGGATTTCTTGTTTTTAGACTTCAAAAAATCTCATACAAATGATTTTAATCAGCCTGAATGTTCTACTTCTGTGACAGTGCAGCTTAAATTTAGGGGGACCTTTCAGCAGCAGGCTTACATGGATGTCTGACACTGGGTTTGCCTCCAGGGGCATTTCCCAACTGTAGAACAGTCTCCTTTATCCTAACTATGTGTATATTTCTCCCCCAGGTTCTGAACTTTTCTTTGTGTCTTTTTTTTGTCTTCATGAAAGTGGAAGAACACCGTTTAAAGAGACAAAGGTCAATAGCAGCCCTGAGGCTTGTCAGTAAAGATCTGCTTTCTGGATGCCATGGATGTATTCATCATTCATCAATATCCTTTGGGTGTAGTTGTTTAAATTGCTATGAATTGGCCTGGGTGCTGATTAGTTACATCATTTCTCCATGTGATTCACATGAATACTGTGAGACACTTAAGACATCTTGCTGAGAATCCACTAGATTAGGAATTAGAAGACTTGAGTTCTAGGCCCAGATTTACCTCTTTAAGTTGTGTAACGTTGGACAAGTTTACTTAATCCAAGCCTCTGCTTTCTCGACTGGAAATTGTATAAAATACCACCTGCACTATTCAGTTTATGGAATATTTTAAATATCAACTGAAAATACCATGTGAAAGCACTTTCAAAAAAAGACTGCGCTTATCAGCCGGGTATGGTGGCTCACGCCTATAATCCCAGCACTTAGGGAGGCCAAGGTGGGCGGATCATGAGGTCAGGAGTTCGAGATCAGCCTGGCCAACATGGCGAAACCCTGCCTCTACTAAAAATACAAAAATTACCCCAGTGTGGTGGCGGGCGCCTGTAATCCCAGCTACTTGGGAGGCTGAGGCAGGAGAATTGCTTGAACCTGGGAGGCGGAGGTTGCAGTGAGCCGAGATCATGCCACTGCACTCTAGCCTGGGTGACACAGCAAGACTCCATCTCAAAAAAAAAAAAAGAAAAAAGAAAAAAAGATTGTGCTTATCATATTATTTATAATAATATCAACAGGAAATGCCATTAATGCCCAACAATAGAATGACTAAAATAAATAACATATCCACGTAATCAAATATTACAGAGCCATCAAAAATAGTGTTTAAAAAATAACTAATGACACAAGAAACTGCTTACATATAACATTGATTTCAAAGAGCAGGGCAGGCCAGGCACAATGGCTCACACCTGTAATCCCAGCACTTTGGGAAGCTGAGGCGGGAGGATTGCTTGAGCCCAGGAGTTCAAGATCAGCCTGGGCAACATGGCAAGACCTCTGTTGTAAAAAATTAGCTGGGCGGTGGCACATGCCTGCAGTCCGAGCTACTAGGAATGCTGAGGTGGGAGGATCACCTAAGCCTGGGAGGTTGAGGCTGCAGTGTGCTGTGATCATGCCACTGTACTCCAGCCAGGGAGAGTGAGAATCTGTCTTAAAAAAAATAAAGGGCAGAGCACCTAGTAAACCCTTGGGCAAGGGCCAATGATGGGAGCAGGTACAAGGGGACTTCTGTCGGTCTTTACAATATTTCTATTTCTTTTTCTTTTCCCACTTAGATAAAGGGGGTACATGTACAGTTTTGTTACCTGGGTATGTTGCATGATGCTGAAGTTTGGGGTATGAGTGATCCCATTACCTAGGTATTGAGCACAGTACCCAATAGTTTCTGAACCCTTGGCCTCCTTTCTCCCTCCCCGCTAGTAGTCGGTCCCCAGTATCTACTGTTGCCATCTTTATGTCCATGAGTACCAATTGTTTAGCTCCTACTTACAAGTGTGGTATTTGGTTTTCTGTTCCTTTACGTTAATTCACTTAGGATATTATTTCTATTTCTTGATCTGGATAATTATGCAAGTGTGTTCACTTGGTAAAAATTCGTCATGTTTTGCTCTTATGAACACTTCCATACATGTAGGTTTTAGCTATATATGTATTTAAAAATAAAAAAGCAGAACTCAAAATAAGACCACAGTTTTATTTTATGTATTTTGTTGATTGATTTATTGACTGATTGTGACAGAGTCTCATTCTCTGTTGCCCAGGATAGAATGCAGTGGCATGATCTAGACTCACTGCAACTTTTGCCTCCAGGGTTCAGGCTATTCTCCTGGCTCAGCCTCCTGAGTAGCTGGGACTACAGGTGCGTGTCACCATTCCTGGCTAATTTTTGTATTTTTAGTAGAGATGGGGTTTTGCCATGTTGGCCAGGCTGGTCTCAAACTCCTGACCTCAAGTGATCCGCCCGCCTCGGCCTCCCAAAGCGCTGGGATTATAGGCGTGAGGCACCGTGCCCAACCCCATAGTTTTATTTTTAAATTTGGGGTTTTTTAAAAGATATATATTTTAAATATTTTTTAGAGACAGTGTCTTACTCTATCAATCACCGAGGCTGGAGTGCAGTGGCAAAACCACAGCTCACTGCAGTCTCAGACTCATGGGCTGAAATGATCCTCCTGCCTCAGTCTCCAGAGTAGCCAGGACTATAGGCATGCACCACTATGCCTGGCTAAGTTTTTAAATTGTTTGTAGAGACAGGATCTTGATATGTTGCCCAGGCTAGTCTTGAACTTCTGGCCACAAGCAATACTCCTGAAATTATACGTGTGAGCCACCGTGCCTGGTCCTATTTTTATTTTTTTAGAGACAAGGTCTTGCTATGTTACTCAGGCTGGAGTACAGTGGCTATTCACAGGCATGATTATAGCATACTAAGGCCACCTGGGCTTAAGGAACTCTCCTGCTTCAGTCTCCTGAGTAGCTGGCGAAATCCCCTTTGCAAAAATTATAACTGAGGAAATTATGACAGTGAAAGAAATCAGACCTAAACAACTCCATCTTGCTTCTAACCTTTAAGCTGTCCTTGTTCATCCCTGGGCATAGGCTGAACCAACTTTGGGAAGGAATTCAGTTCATGGTTTGACTCTAGAAACAAAATTGGTAATAGCTCTTTCCTGAAACGACCCCCTTCTTGCCTGGGGACCAGTCTGCCTTCGCAGGACTAACAAATTAGCTACAAGGCTAGAAATTACAGTTTAGGGGTCATGCAGCCTCTGGCTCCAAGAGTCTGAACCTTCCCAAATTGCTCCTGGGGATAATATCACCATTGTGAAACCTACGATCAGAGCTATTGTGCAGACCCTGCACTCGATGGATCAGCTGACACCACCCAGACGGCAATCTGGCTCAACCAGTTCTGCCATCCCACCCAGGAACAGAAGAGAGCAAGAAAAATTCACTTCCGCCCCCTGTGAGTCCATCTCCAACCTGACCAATCAGCACTCCCCACTTCCCAAGCCCCTACCCGCAAAATTATCTTTGAAAACTCTGATCCCCAAATGCTCAGGGAGACTGATTTGGGTAATAATAAAACTCTGGTTTCCCACATAGCCGGCTCTGCGTGAATTACTCTTTGTCCATTGCAATTCCCCTGTCTTGGTAAATCGACTCTGTCTAGGCAGCCGGTAAAGTGAACCCTTTGGGCACTTAACTGGGACTACATGCTCACCACCACACCCAGCTTAAAACTATGCATTTTTTTCAGTGGTAAGAAATACAGCAAAATGTTAATTACCTGGTATTACCTGAGATTACAGATGACTTTTATTTTCATCTTTGCAACTTTCCCTTTGATTATCAGAAAAAAAGTTCGTTTTTTTTTTTTAAATCAGAAAAATATTCCTTGTATTTGAAAGAAAATGCTTGGCCTGGTGTGGTGGCTCACCCCTGTAATCCCAGCACTTTGTGAGACCGAGTCGGGCAGATCAACTGAGGTCAGGAGTTCCAGACCAGCCTGGCCAACATAGCAAAAACCCATCTCTACTAAAAATACAAAAATTAGCCAGGCATGGTGGTGGGCGCCTGTAATCCCAGCCACTCAGAAGGCTGAGGCAGGAGAATCACTTGAACCTGGGAGGCGGAGGTTGCAGTGAGCCAAGATCCGTGCCACTGCACTCCAGCCTGGGGTGACAGAGCAAGACTTGTCTCAAAAAAAAAAAAAAGAAAAAAGAAAAAGAAAAACAAAAAGGAAAGAAAGAAAATGCTTTCTAAATTGTAAACATATACAGTGTCAGGTGTTATTCCCAATGCCTGAAACATAATAATGCTTGATAAATGTGGAGTGATTGGTTATTGTCCTGTGAAAGTTGAACCATAAGAATTGGGTCATTCTTGTCAGATCCAACTAAAACAGAGTCAAGAAGCTAGGAGGAAAAACATTCAGGGTACCAAAGCATTGCTCCAAGAATAGACTTTCTTTGCAAGCCTGGCTGCTGAAGCTGCTTGTTGTAAGCTGAAACCAGTTTTATCTATAGCTTCTGAGATAACTTGCTACAATTCTAGGACTAATTTTGCCCTCTGCTGTTGCTCACCGATCAGAGCTCCCAGCTCCCCAAACCCACAGTGCCAACGAACTTTCTCAAAGAGCAATACATAACATTTCTCCTTTTTAATAAAACCTCTGGCCTTTTCTTTGTTCTTCAGACATTCCGAAGACCACCCAGTCTGCATGTATGTCTGAACTTATAAATTCTGAAACCACCCTCACAGGGTCGACAAGAATTGCATGTTAGGTTCTGGCCAGAAATGTAGTTATAATTTATCATTAATCAAGCTGCCCTTTGGCCCACTTCCTTGTTGCTAAATCACATAGCACTAGATACTGACCATCTGCATCCCCACTGTATGATGGACAGGATTTCTGACATCAGGGTCATAAGACTAAGAATTGACTTGCATCCCCATTGTTCCTACAGGGTCTCTGAACATTAGATCATAACACTTTTGTTTAAGGATCACTTAAAATGTTTTTCAGGGCCAGGTATGGTGGCGAGAGCCTGAAATCCCAGCACTTTGGGAGGCCGAGATGGGAGGACTGCTTGAGGCAGAGTTCAACCAGCTTGGGGAACATAGCAAGACCCCGTATCTTCCTACAAAAATATTAAAAAATTAGCTGGCCCTGGTAGTGCGCGCCTGTAGTTCTACCTATTTGGGAGGCTGAGTTTGGAGGACTGCTGGAGCCCAAAGAGTTCGAGGCTGCAGTGAGCTATAATCACACTGGGTGACAGAGCAAGTCCCTATCTCAAAAAAACAAAAACAAACAGATGTTTTTCAGACCCCGAATTCCAACAAAACAGCTGATGCCAACCAGCTTGAAGATCCCACCAGAGGAAGGGGATCAGTATGAGAATAGTTTCTTCATCTCCCTGTCCTATGACTTCACTTTGCACTCTTTCATCAATTAACAATCTCTAAAACCCTAAAAAATCCTAACCTCAAATTCCTTAGAATTGTATCTGAGGTTTCTTCCCATCTCCTCATTCAAATTTTTCTTTTCTTTTCTTTTTCTCTTGAGACAGGGTCTCACTCTGTCGCCCAGGCTGGAGTGCAGTGGCGTGATCTCAGCTCACTGCAACTTTCACCTCCTGAGTTCGAGCGGTTCTCCTGCCTCAGCCTCCTGAGTAGCTGCAATAAATAGCGTGTACTACTGTGCCCGGTTTATTTTTGTATTTTTAGTAGAGATGGGATTTTGCCATGTTGGTCAGGCTGTTCTCGAACTCCTGAGCTTAAGCGATCTGTGCGCCTTGGCCTCCCAAAGTGCTGGGATTATAGGTGTGAGCGACCATGCCCGACCTCCTGGTTCAAATTTTTATGATTCTTCTTCTTTCTCTGCTGCAACCTGGTGTCTCAGTGTATTGACTTGCTGTGTGCCTCAGGCAACAAATTTATTATGGTTACAATTCTTTCTCCCAAGTAAAACAAATTTAGAGATTCGTCTCTACAATTTTGACTTCAACGCTCTACCGGGAAAGTATCTGTTTCAAAAAAGGAAATGGGTTAACACTCTTAACTCTCAGGGAACCCAGGCTGGCTCCTAGTGATGACTATTTCCAATTCTAAGTAAGAGCTCATGAGGCACCTACATGATTCTTCTTATAATTTTGCCAGAGTCAAAACTAGAAGGTATCTGTCACCAGTTCTCTGCCTCATTCTACGTCCCCATAGTTCCTTCAAGATTAACTGAATGTGCATGTTTGGAATGGAGACTCAGTTATTTCAAGCGGCCAGGTGCTTTGCATGCCATATTTCACCCACCTTGAGGTTAGGATAGAATTACTTTCGGGAGCCCTATTTCTCAATCATGATGGCTACTCCTCTCATTTTCTAAGAATGGAGATAACATGGGAATTTCATCAGCCAGTATTATACCAGTTGCCTTATCAAGTCCCCTTTTAAAATTCTTTGTCATACTGCTACTACTACTACCACAAAACAAAGCCACATTGATTGCCCTTTGCATTTCTTGAGTCTGCAAACATTTTCACTTTTCTTAGAGAACCATATTACTAATTGGTGTTGCCCATGGTTTTATGCACTGTATCTTTTAATTGTCCTTTTAAATCTCAGCTGAGCTCTCAGAGTAGCAGGCGAGGGTTGTGTCGGTTTCATTTAATGCCACACTCCTTCCCACAACACTGCCCTGTCTGCCACTCCCACATACTCTCCTGCCCGTATGGTGATGCTGCTTTTGAGCTCTCATGCCACTTGAGCTTTGATTGATTTTTCAAGATTCTGTCTAACCTTTCCCCAAGGTCACCCTTAATGGAGGAAGGTGCTGGGGGTAAAATTCAAAACATATTTGTGGCATTCACTAGCTTTGACTGGGGAGCCAGATGGATGAAATGGGGCCTCATGGGGACAGTAAAGAATTCTCACGCTCTCCCAGTGCCATAAACCGAGCGGCCTCCGAAAGGCTGAGCCGGAGGTGCTGTTGCAGGTGGTGTCATCTAAACTGATGTCTCTAATCAGTCAAGTCACTATGCTATTTGCTTTGTCAGATAAGTGACTCTGGGGAAATCAGGTAGGAGAGTGGGAAAATAAATTGCTCAAGCTGATAAATGTGAATCTTCAAAATCTATTTCAAATGCAGAAATTAAATAAGCTTGCCTTTCAGGAACCTCTTTCGTAACTCATCCACAGTGTGTGAGAGGGACAGAGGGAGTTACCAGAACACAAGTTCAACTTTAGCTTGGCTCTAACTCTGGTTGCAGGTTCCCCCTCCTACTCGGTGATCTAGTGTCCACAGATGGTGCCTGTGCAGCCCTGGGTTCCAGCTGGGTGAGAGGGCAACGCCTCACGGAGCCAACATCTGCCACTCTGTGTCTGTCTGAGCCCTCAGAAGCCTGGTTTTCAGTTTGAGGAATCAATCCCAATCCAGTAAAGCACTTACAGCTCTGGGGCTTTGATCTTTGCTTGGCAAATGCCCTAACTGCTGAGTTCTACATACTTTGCCATTTCTCCCTTATCTGCCTTCTTTCATACAAGCCCCAGCTTGTATGAAACTAGAGCCAGAGTTTTCTCCCTGTTTGGAACCCACTTTCTGATTCCTTGAACATGTGTGAGAGGAATGGGGGTAGGGGTGAGATGGGTTGGGGAAGGAAGGACAGAAGTTTATTTTATTATTTTATTTTATTTTTGAGACGGAGTCTCGCTCTGTCGCCCAGGGTGGAGTGCAGTGGCGCGATCTCTGCCTCCCGGGTTCACGCCATTCTCCAGTCTCAGCCTCCCGAGTAGCTGGGACTACAGGCGCCCGCCACCATGCCCGGCTAATTTTTTCTATTTTTTAGTAGAGACGGGGTTTCACCGTGTTAGCCAGGATGGTCTCGATCTCCTGACCTCATGATCCGCCCGCCTCAGCCTCCCAAAGTGCTGGGATTACAGGCGTGAGCCACCGCGCCCGGCCGAGAAAGGACAGAAGTTTAATGGAAAAACAGGAACAGAATTAAAACGCATTTATGGGCTGGGCACTGTGGCTCACGCGTGTGATTTCAGTGCTCTGGAAAGCTGAGGCGGGAATATTGCATGAGGCCAGGAGTTCAAGACCAGCCTGGGCAACATAGTGAAACATCGTCTCTACAAAAAAAAAAAAACTAGCCCAGCTGTCGTGGCACCTGCCTGTGGTCCCAACTACTTGGGAGGCTGAAGCGAGAGGATGCCTTGAGCCCAGAGTCTGATGCTGGAGTGAGCTATGACTGCACCACTGCACCCCAGCCTGTGCAACAGAGTGACACCTGATTTCTAATACATAAAATGTATTTATGCTATATTTAAAAACTTTCTCAGCTGGGTGCGGTGGCACACGCCTGTAATCCCAGCACTTTGGGAGGCCGAGGCAGGCAGATCACTTGAGATCAGGACTTCAATACCAGCCTGGCCAACATGGCGAGACCCTGTCTCTACTAAAAATTAGCTGGGCGCAGTGCGCATGCCTGTAATCCCAGCTACTCGGGAGGCTGAGGCACGAGAATCGCTTAAACTCAGGAGGCGGCACTTGCAGTGAACTGAGATCGCATCACTGCATTCCAGCCTGGGCGACAGAGCAAGACTCTGTCTCCAAAAAAATAATAATAAAAACTTTTTTCCAGAGAGCTCTGAAATGGAAAAAGAGTGCAGAATAGCTTCAATTCAATGATGGCAAAGTTAAAATTCCTAACATGGTCTAACTGGCACACTCTGAATGATACGAGAAACACAATGACATCCTTGCTGTTTTTAAACTTGAGCAACTCGAGTTGTTGATATGAGAGACAAACAACATCTAAATGCAAGCTGACTTTCTTTTCACAGCTAGCATATACCTCAAGTAAGCAAGCCCATTTCATCTTCTTTTTCAGAATAGCTTCTTTCAATGAATATCAAACAGTATTCTCTACAATTTCATAATGTATATACGCTAGGATGCATTTGTCTTAAATGCAGTTATGTTTTGACTATTTCTAAGTAAAAGTGCATTAAAAACATAATGAAGCTCGTATTTTTTGCACTGTCTCTTAATTTTATGGTGGACAAAGCACCAATTTCTGAAATTCAATAAAAGCAAACCTTCCTTTGTTGTTCGGATCTTAGCAATGGGTTTAGTAGTTTTAACTTCTTCCATTTTGAAGCCTTCCATTTTTAGCCTTAAGTAGCTAGACATAAAAAGGAAAGGAAGGAGAGATCATGTAAGTAGCTAATCAGATAAATGAAAACTGACTTGAAGTTAAGTTTTATTAGCCCTTTCTTTTCTTGAATTGAGTAATAACATCTCTACTTTGGATTATGTTCAATAACCAAGAAAACAAACAGCACTTAATTTTAAAAAAACAAAAAAAAAGAAACCCAAATTCCATGAAATAATAGCTTGGTAATAGTATTAATATTCCAGAAAAAATATAAGAAATTTGGTATTTAAAACAAAACAAATAACCAAAATGCTTTCCTCATCTACCAAAACCCAACATTAAGTAAAACTTAAAACAGGCAATTTACCACCTCCATTGAAATGAATACATAGTCTCCAATTTATGTGTGTTGTATTCTAAAGTAAGGACAACTGAAAATCAAGATGTGCTCTCCACAAAAAGTGATATAAATGGCAGCTCAAGAGTTCCAGATAGTACAACACTACAAGGTGTTCTCAACAAAAAGTCTTTGTTAGACTTCAATAATACTATTTGGTACTTCTATCAGCAAATAGGAAGCATTCCAATACTTATTAGATCCTCTACCATCAGACACAGAAATTACCTAGAAAACAGAAATGTATTGCCAAATCTCAAACAAGAGGGCTGATTAAAACAAACAAAAACACCCTTAAGACGTCTCACATACAGAAATCATGGCCATCTTTGGGTTAAGATTGGCTGATTTTCCAGTAGTGCTGGGGTAGGTCTTCCTGATAGAGGGGTCCAGGCATGGCAGGGTCCCGTAAGCGGCTGGTGAGGAGGACCCACTGCTTTGCCTCCTACCAGTGATGAGCGAGGCTTTGGGGAAGGACTATGCGTCCATCACTCCTGATGTTCTTTTCATGGCTCCCCTTCTCAGCTATTGTCCATCTACCTCCAGATGGCAGCAAACGACTTATCTGAGCCCCTTCTTCTCATTTAGATATAAAGTGCAAATGTCTGATTCAGGTACGAGACTGTATGGTCTTTGGTTAAACGTATAATCAAACAAAAAGTATAAATGATACCAGCTCCTTCATTTTTCTGGCAAGAGGAGAGTAACAGCTATCCGGAGAGGACTAGGGAAAGCTAAGGAATGGATTCAAAAGAGAAGGGAAAGGGTAGAAGGTAAAGCTGAGGCTCGAACTTTTGCTTAGTGCCAGCATTGTTGATCTGTAGCTGAGCAAGCTTACATAAAGGCATGTATACACAGGCACGGAGCTCTCTAACATGGAATTGAAGTGAAACCCTGTCTCTACAAAAAATCAGCCAGGCGTGGTGGTGGGTGCCTGTAATCCCAGCTACTCGGGAGGCTGAGGCAGAAGAATGCTTGAACCTGGGAGGTGGAGGTTGCAGTGAACTGAAATCGCGCCACTGCACTCCAGCCTGAGCGACAGAGCGAGACTCTGTCTCAAAAAACAACAAAAAAGAAAGCACTGGTACTTCATGTAACAAATTATGATTTGCGTATGTCTGTACCTTTACAACATTACTGGCACTTGTATAAAGGAGATTCCTTGTCAAGGACTGAATCAAGGAACTTAACACCCTATTCCAGAAAAACAAGTATGCAATACTAGTAGAAGGAAGAAGAAAGCTTCTGTTTTCCTAGGCACAAGGCCTGTCTTCAAGAAACTTTCAAAACAAGTAGTTAGGCTTTGGCTGGCTTCTACACCATCTGCAAACGCCCAGGGCCTTCATGCAACCTTTAGCTACCTAGGGCTACCCAGTACCCTAAAGTGCCCTGCACCTTAAAACTCACCTGTTTTCTCCTTTTTCATTTCTGCCCCTATCAAAACTTCTTTTCTGCCAGGTGCAGTGGACCAACATCTGTAGTTCCGGCTGCTCAGGAAGGTGAAGTGGGAGGATCACTTGAGCCCAGGAATTTGAGTCCAGCCTGGGCAACACAGCAAGACCTCATTGCTTTAAAAAAAAAAAGTAGGGCTCAGTGGCTCATGCCTGTAATCCCAGCTACGTAAGAGGCTCAGGCAGGAGGATTACTTGAGCCCAGGAGTTCAGGGCTGCAGTGAGCTGTGATTGTGCCACTGCACTCCACCCTAGGTGACAGAACAAGACCCCATCTCTTAAAAACAAACCAACCAAAAAACACAGGTTTCGTCTCAGAGAAGCGGGGTGGGCTCTACTTAGTAGTAGAGTCTCTTAAAACAATCAACAGTAGTGTAATTTATCAATAATCAGATAGCAGACATCCCTCTCAGAGATCTATATATTTTCAGCCACAAAGCTTAAAATCTCAAATGTCAACGAGTAGGATTTCAGGCAAAATAAAAGTAGAAAATAAAAATCAGAATGTAGATCCATGTTGGGAGAGGAGGTTAACTTTCCAGGTAATTCATACTGAGATTGTTTACACAGCTCCTGCGGGTCCGGCTTTCTGTGGCTTTCTTTAGCTAAGGCCAGAAATTCAAAAAAATCCCAATGGTTATGGAGATCCCTCCTCACCCATCCATCCACCCAATGAGAAAGAAGAATTTGTGGAGGGCAGGGGATATCACAAGAGAAAATGGCACACCAGGGTGTAATGTCTCAAATAAAAGGCTTACTTTACACTTAATACTAGTATATTACTGTTCATAATAATATATCGTAAAATTATCATGTTATAAAAATATATAATAAGATCTTATAAGAAACTCTGAATGGATTGACGCTTGATAATTCTCTTAAGTAGAACACAATGAAACAGTAGTGGCTGGCTAAGTTCCATCAATTTTTTTTAATTCTTTTTGACTTTTTCTCGTGGTCTTCTGTTATCCTTTCTGCAGGTCGCTTCTTCAACCCCTTCATTTTCCTGGTTTGTAGTTTGCTTAGGTCTTGCTTCTGCATATGAATCCTTCCATAAGTTGTACCAAAAGTATCATGGGAAATATTTTTCTTCTTCTTTGGCTACGATAAAAGAATATGTATATATTTAATGGCCTTCTACTATAATGAGCCAGTAAAAATCTAGTCTGTAACAACTATCTTAGTAGCAATTTCCATTAGTGCCTGCCCCTTCAGTGACACAGTATATAGCCCTATACACTTTTCTTCTCAAACTTAAGTGTGCATACAAATCACTTGGGATCTTGCTAAAATACAGATCCTAATTCAGTATGTCTAGGGTAGGGCCTGATATTCTGCACAATTCCCAGGTAAACTGTCAGGCCACACTTTGAAAAACAAAACTATAAACTACACTAACCACTGTCACACATCAAGAAAATAGCCTGTGTTTAGCTTAAGAAGTTGTGACTATTGTTTCAATTTCTATTGGCATTTTAGAGATTACATTTCTTCTTGTCTTTTAAAACTACTTAAAAAGTCAAAACACATTTTATGCACATATGGTTTATATACCCTGTACTCTAAATCCTTAGCCTTTACAGTGTACCAAACAACTCTCTTTCTTTTGCTGAAAACAACAGTCTTGACTATCAGAAGGCACTTAGCCAAACCTCATGTCTGGGTTTTGCAACTCTTTTTTTATTATCCCTTATTGTTGGCTTATTTGGTTCTCTCTCCTTTTCCTGGCTCTGTGAGTCCTAGTTTAATCTATTGTATTGATCTCTTTATATATGTCCTTGTCTTTTTTTTTTTTTTTTGGCTCACTCTGTCACCCACGCTGGAGTGCAATGGCGTGATCTCTGCTCACTGCAAGCTCCACCTCCCCGGTTCACGCCATTCTCCTGCCTCAGCCTCCCAAGTAGCTGGGACTACAGGCGCCCGCTACCACGCCCAGCTAATTTTTTGTATTTTTCATAGAGACGGGGTTTCACTGTATTAGCCAGGATGGTCTCGATCTCCTGACCTTGTGATCCACCCACTTCGGCCTCCCAAAGTGCTGGGATTACAGGCGTGAGCCACCGCGCCTGGCCTGTCCTTGTCTTTTAATATAATATGCCACAAATTCTTTTTGGAAAGAAAAAGGATTAAAGTAGAAAATACAAATAAATGTGGTACCAAGCTCTAAGTTATATACCTTGAGAGCTTTTGGCATTTTCATAGATAATTTATAAAGGTCATCCGATGCCAGGTGTGTCCTCCTCAGAACCAGATCCAATGAGGGTCCCATCTCTTCCAATTCAATCCGTGGTGTTCTGCAACCAGATTTCTTCAACAGCAACCTTTAGGAAATAGGTAAAAAGAAATGTTGCTTTGACTTTCATAAAAGTCCTCTCCACCAAATATTTTTTGTTCAGGGGATTTACAATTCCATTAAATGATATAAAATGTTTAGAAAGACTTACTTAAATACTTAATACTATTCAAGCCAAGTATATCCTTTGGTTCACATCTTCTTTTATAAATTTTTTTTTTTTTGAGACGGAGTCTCGCTCTGTCCCCAGGCTGGAGTGCAGTGGCGCGATCTTGGCTCACTGTAAGCTCCACCTCCCAGGTTCACGCCATTCTCCTGCCTCAGCCTCCCGAGTAGCTGGGACTACAGGCACCCGCCACCACACCTGGCTAATTTTTTTGTATTTTTAGTAGAGATGGGGTTTCACCGTGTTAGCCAGGATGGTCTCGCTCTCCTGACCTCATGATCCTCCTGCCTCGGCCTCCCAAAGTACTGGGATTACAGGCATGAGCCACCATGCCCGGCTTTTCTTTATAAGTCTTTTATCCCTTTTTGAGCTAAAGGGTCACACAAATATCAAATTAAAAATTTTTTTTTTCTCTTTGAGGTCAAGGGCAGTTTGCTTATTTTTAAAAATCAGAAATAAAATTATACAATATTATTGAGAAACAGCAAGTGAGATACAAAATTATTCTCAGAAATGAAATAAAATCCTTTGATTTGACTTCTTCATCTTACTCATAGATTTATGTATGTATAAAAGTAATTATAATTGGCTTTTTCTTTGAAACAGTATGTTTATACGATTAACAAGTTCTTATCTAAGACTGTAGGAGTTAAACCAACCCATTCAGAATCAACTTTTCCTCATAGCACAGACATTTACTAACTTCCTTACATTGAAGTGAACTTTAAAATCTTAAAATAACAAAACCACAACTTTCTGAATACCCTATGTCTAAACAGCTCTGGATCTGGAAACACTGGTGGAGGAGAACTGGGGAATACAGGCAGGATAAAGTGATGGTGGAGCAGCCAGGCGTGGTGGCTCACGCCTGTAGTCCCAGCACTTTGGGAGGCTAAGGCAGGCAGATCACCTGAGGTCAGGAGCTCCAGACCAGCTGGCCAACATGGTGAAACCTCATCTCTACTAAAGACACAAAAAATTAGCCAGGCGTGGTGGCACATGCCTGTAGTCCCAGCTACTCGGGAGGCTGAGGCAGGAGAATCGCTTAAACCCAGGAGGCGGAGGTTGCAGTGAGCCGAGATCGCGCCACTGCACTCCAGTCTGGGCGACAGGGCGAGACTCCGTCTCAAAAACAAACAAACAAAAAAAGAAATCAGGGACATGTATTTTAATTTTCAACTAAAATTTTTTCTTCCACTTAAAACTGCTAATTTTCAGCTAGTTAGAAAACTTGTCAATTCAAAACAGCTCATGGCATATCCGATAGATTCAAATCACCCAAGTACTACTATACACTGCCAAAAGCACCTTTTAATTAACTGAAGCACCTTTTAATTAACTAAAAATAATTTTTAAAATTGATGCATAATAGATGTACATAGTTTCAGGGTGCATATAATAATTTAATATTGTGCCTTTTTATTCACAAGCGTCCTAATGAATTTTTTGAGTGGTACATAAAATTAAGATTTCCAAATAACTATGTATAATTACCTATGTTGTTATTTCATTAAAGAATTAAGTACAATGTCATACTTTTCTGTGTAGATGATCTGATCTTAATCATTTCAGTGAGTATGTTTACTGGAAGATCAAACTGATTTAAGGAAATATTCTCTAGCTTTTAGTTATCTGCAAACAGAACCCAGTTCTTTCTCTCTCAGATGGGCTCAAGCTGGTAGATATGCTAACTGGTAATTTCTACATATTTTTAAATATTATTTGTCTATTTCTTGAGGAAGAGTGACATTACCACTACTGTTCAAATTGTAATTTCCTCATTTTTCTCCCTCTCATACACTTCTCTGGCTGAAAGTCTGTTTTCATTAAGTAAACTCCTCAATTAGAATGTTATGTTTGCTTTTCAAAGTATGCTACCACTTTGTTTTGCATATTTCCCCCCATAAGGCCTAACCATTGTGCAAAGGCACATGTGGCATTACTAACGATTTTGTTTCATATTAATGGCTCTGACTCCATAGTGAATAAAATTTCCCAACGGATATAAATAGTCACTCACATACAAGGAATAATTACTATAGGATGTATAGGAACAGTGGTCAATAACACTATGATTTATTCACCCAAAAGATCATGTTAAAGGTTATATTAATATAATTTCCTGTTTAGAGTTCCTTTCATCCAAAAAGCTCAAAACCATTTTATAAACCTCATTTATCTTCACAAATAAAGTGTGTGAATATTAAATATTACCATTTTCAAATTGCATAAGGGCTAATTTGCAGTAAGAGCGAGGGAAAGGGTTCCACAGTATAGCTAGCCCAAAGAATGCCTGGGGAGCCAAGTTAAGTCAGACATACTTTCTGGTATATGCCCATCTATGAGTACCCCTTTACTCTTATAAAGCAGTACTGTCAATCTTAGGGGGACCTCAGAATTATCTAAATGGTATTGCTATAGTTTACAGAGGAAGAAACAAAGACCCTGAGAAGTGGTGACCTGCCCATGTCACGTGGCTGAGCCCAGCTCAGAGCCAGGTCAGTAGGCTCAGAGGTGATGCTGAATCCCTGGACCACCCCTTCCTCCCATCCTCAATGCTCCCCAAGTGTGGCACAGCCTCTGGAAGCTAAGCTGATCCACATGTTTAGTGATTCTTTCAAGTAGCAGCTCACTCTCAATCACAGTGTCCATTTTTTATTTCAAATTAATAGCTAACAAGTATTACAAGGCACATATGGAACATCTAGTGATCAAAATTACATACTAGGGTCTCTGATTTTAAAATTTCAAACTTTTTTTCATTATGAAAGATGTCGTGCTAGTGTAAAGGTGATTCTAGCAATCAGATTTTTGGTGGATCTATGTATTATAGTTACACTGCTAGTTTTTTATTTTTGTTTTTATTTTTATTTTTTTGAGACAGAGTCTTGCTCTGTCACCAGGCCGGAGTGCTGTGGCACAATCTAGGCTCGCTGCAATCTCCGACTCCGTGGTTCAAGCAATTCTCCTGCCTTGGCCCCCTGAATAGCTGGGATTACAGGCATGCGCCACCATGTCCAGCTAATTTTTTGTATTTTTAGTATAGATGATGTTTCACCGTGTTAGCCAGGATGGTCTCGATCTCCTGACCTCGTGATCTGCCCACCTCAGTCTCCCAAAGGGCTGCTGGGATTACAGGGATGAGCCACCGTGCCCGGCCTTACTGCTAGTTTATTCTTTTTTTTCTCTTTTTTTGAAATGGAGTCTCGCTGTCACCCAGGCTGGAGTGCAGTGGTGCGATCTTGGCTCACTGCAACCTCTGCCTCCCGGGTTCTCCTGCATCAGCCTCCTGAGTAGCTGGGATTACAGGTGCACACCATGTTGCCCGGCTAATTTTTATATTTTTAGTAGAGACGGGGTTTCACCATGTTGGCCAGGCTGGTCTCAAACTCCTGACCTCAGGTGATCCACCCATCTTGGCCTCCCAAAGTACTGGATTACAGGCATGAGCCACCACGCTGGGCCAGTTTATTCTTGCTCTAAAGTCTGACTTGATAATTCTCTATTTTGTTTTATTTTCTCTGTATCTTTCTTTACAAATAAACCCTTTTCACTAAATACAAGTGAATACTTTCTGCGAAACCGTTCAACACAGAAGAGTTTTAGGCTACTGTTACCACTCATTTCTTACTGTCAATGATTTTTTACCGTTATATTTTTATCTCCCTTGTATCCCCTCTATGTTTAACACAGAGGGCATACATACCCACCCGAGGCAGGAGAATCGCTTGAATGCGGGAGGCAGAGGTTGCAGTGAGCTGAGATGATGCCACTGTACTCCAGCCTGGGCAACAGCAAGATCCTGCCTCAAAAAAAGAAGTGTTCCAGGTCAGGCGCGGTGGCTCATGCCTGTAATCTCAGCACTTTGAGAGGCCAAGGCAGGTAGATCACGAGGTCAGGAGATTGAGACCATCCTGACTAACATGGTGAAACCCTGTCTCTACTAAAAATACAAAAATAAAATTAGCCGGGCGTGGTGGCGGGTGCCAGTAGTTCCAGCTACTTGGGAGGCTGAGGCAGGAGAATGGCATGAACCCGGGAGGCAGAGGCTGAAGTGAGCTGAGATTGCGTCACTGCACTCCAGCCTGGGCAACATAGCGAGACTCCGTCTCAAAAAAAAAACAAAAGAAAGAAAAGAAAGGTGTTCCAGATTTCTGGTTTTTTTCAGAGTTTGAAATACTTGCATACGTATAATGAGATATCTTGGGGATGAGATCCAAGTCTAAACACAAAATCCATTTATGTTTCATATACAGTTTATATACATAGCCTGAAGGTAATTTTATACAATTTTTATTTTATTTTATTACTTTATGTCTGAGATGGAGTTTCACTCTTGTTGCCCAGGCTGGAGTGCTCGGCTCACTGCAACCTCTGTCTCCCGGGTTCAAGCAATTCTCCAGCCTCAGCCTCCCGAGTAGCTAGGATTACAGGCGCCTACCACCATGCCTGACCAATTTTTGTATTTTTAGTAGCGACGGTGTTATGCCATGTTGGCCAGGCTGGTCTGGAACTACTGACCTCAGGTGATCCACCCGCCTCAGCCTCCCATGTGCTAGGATTACAGGTGTCCAGCCAACATAAGTTTAATTTTGTTTTGTTTTTTTCAGACAGTCTCACTCTGCCACCTAGGCTGGAGTGCAGTGGCACAATCTCAGCTCATTGCAACCTCTGCCTCCCAAGCTGAAGCAATTCTTGTGCCATAGCCGCCTGAGTAGCCGGGATTATAGGCGTGTGGCCCAGGCTCAAGCAATTCTCATGCCACAGCCTCCCAAGTAGCTGGGATTACAGGCGTGCGCCACCATACCCAGCTAATTTTTGTATTTTTTAATAGAGACAGGGTTTCTCCATGTTGGCCAGGCTGGTCTTGAACTCCTCAAGTGATCCGCCCACTCTCTGTAACCTCTGCGTCCTGGGCTCAATTGTCCTGCCTCAGCCTCCTAAGTAGCATGGAGGCCAGTGCCACCATGTCCAGCTAATTTTTGTATTTTTAGTAGAGACAGGTTTCGCTGTGTTGGCCAGGCTGGTCTTGAACTCCTGGCCTCGAGCAATCCACCCACCTCGGCCTCCCAAAGTTCTGGGATTACAGGCATGAGCCACCATGTCCGTCCTGAGTACTTTTTTATATTAGTGATTTTTCATCTTTTATTTCTTGTTCTCTAAATAACAGTCATCTACTGTATAGTATAATACATACTTAGAAGCTCCCAAATCACATATGGAAACTCAAACAGGAGACTTAAGGGGCTTTCGATCTTAACCAGCTAAAAATTACTATAAAGTCTCTAATTACATCTTATGATCATTGGGTATTTTACTGCATTTTGCCTCATTTATTTTTAGTGAGAGGAAAACAGAAAAACAGAAGCGGTGGTATTAATTATATGGAGAAAAAGAACTAAATGTCTCTGATTTAATACAGTTGAGCCCAAGATGGAAATTATCAGCTAAGAGGTGAATATTTAAGTTTCATTTGGACATTCATAGGACATAAAGCTGGTCAGTCATGTATTTTCATTGTGAAGAAAACAAAATAAAAACGATGTACAAAATGCTAGATACAAATGGTTGGACAAACAACACTACTGTACAGAAGACACTGTCAACACCAAGCTGTCAGCTCTCAGGCTGCAACACCAGCCACACCATAGCTCAAAATGTACAGCAAAGTCTAAACTCAATGTACAGAGAAAGGCAATTTGTGGGAGTCAGTGTATTCTTTAGGAAACTGTGGGCTCTGTCAGCCAGTACCAACGCCTTAAAAAAGAGAAGTCACACACTTATCTCAAGAACCACAATTGCCCTCTCCCTCTCCCTCTCCCTCTCCCTCCCCCTCCCCCTCCCCGGTCTCCCCCTGATGCCGAGCCGAAGCTGGACTGTACTGCTGCCATCTCCGCTCACTGCAACCTCCCTGCCTGATTCTCCTGCCTCAGCCTGCCGAGTGCCTGCGACTGCAGGCGCGCGCCGCCACGCCTGACTGGTTTTCGTATTTTTTTGGTGGGGACGGGGTTTCACTGTGTTGGCCAGGCTGGTCTCCAGCTCCTAACCGCGAGTGATCTGCCAGCCTCGGCCTCCAGAGGTGCCGGGATTGCAGACGGAGTCTCGTTCACTCAGTGCTCAATGTTGCCCAGGCTGGAGTGCAGTGGCGTGATCTCGGCTAGCTACAACCTCCACCTCCCAGCCGCCTGCCTTGGCCTCCCAAAGTGCCAAGATTGCAGCCTCTGCCTGGCCGCCACCCCGTCTGGGAAGTGAGGAGCGTCTCTGCCTGGCTGCCCATCGTCTGGGATGTGAGGAGCCCCTCTGCCCGGCTGCCCAGTCTGGGAAGTGAGGAGCGCCTCTTCCCGGCCGCCATCCCGTCTAGGAAGTGAGGAGTGTCTCTGCCCGGCCGCCCATCGTCTGAGATGTGGGGAGCGCCTCTGCCCTGCCGCCCCGTCTGGGATGTGAGGAGCGCCTCTGCCCGGCCGCGACCCCATCTGGGAGGTGAGGAGCGTCTCTGCCCGGCCGCCCCGTCTAAGAAGTGAGGAGCCCCTCCGCCCGGCAGCCGCCCCATCTGAGAAGTGAGGAGCCCCTCCGCCCGGCAGCCGCCCCGTCTGAGAAGTGAGGAGCCCCCCCATCCGGCAGCCGCCCCGTCTGGGAAGTGAGGAGCGTCTCCGCCTGGCAGCCGCCCCGTCCAGGAGGGAGGCGGGGGGCAGCCCCCGCCCGGCCAGCCGCCCCATCCGGGAGGGAGGTGGGGGCGCCTCCGCCCAGCCGCCGCCCCGTCCGGGAGGTTGGGGGCACCTCTGCCCGGCCACCCCTTCTGGGAAGTGAGGAGCCCCTCTACCCGGCCGCCACCCCGTCTGGGAGGTGTACCCAACAGCTCATTGAGAACGGGCCATGATGACGATGGCGGTTTTGTCGAGTGGAAAGGGGGGAAATGTGGGGAAAAGATAGAGAAATCAGATTGTTGCTGTGTCTGTGTAGAAAGAAGTAGACATAGGAGACTCCATTTTGTTCTATACTAAGAAAAATTCTTCTGCCTTGGGATGCTGTTGATCTATGACCTTACCCCCAAGCCGGTGCTCTCTGAAACATGTGCTGTGTCCACTCAGGGTTAAATGGATTAAGGGCGGTGCAAGATGTGCTTTGTTAAACAGATGCTTGAAGGCAGCATGCTTGTTAAGAGTCATCACCACTCCCTAATCTCAAGTACCCAGGGACACAAACACTGCGGAAGGCCGCAGGGTCCTCTGCCTAGGAAAACCAGAGACCTTTGTTCACTTGTTTATCTGCTGACCTTCCCTCCACTATTGCCCTATGACCCTGCCAAATCCCCCTCTGCGAGAAACACCCAAGAATGATCAATTAAAAAAAAAAAAAAGAAAGAAAAAAAAAAAAGAACCACAATTACAGCATGTCATTAACTCTTTAATAAACATAGAATCTGCTTAAGAGTTTTTTGTTTTTTGTTTTTTCAGCGCCCTCACTCTGTTGCCCAGGCTGGAGTGCAGTGGCACAATCATGGCTCACTGCAACTTCCACCTCCCAGGTTCAAGCGATTTTTGTGCCTCAGCCTTCTGAGCAGCTGGAACTACAGGCATGTGCCACCACGCTGGGCTAATTTTTCTGGTTTTTTTTAGTAGAGATGGGGTTTCGTCATGTTGGCCAGGCTGGTTTTGAACTCCTGGCCTCAAGTGATCTGCCTGCCTCAGCCTCCCAAAGTGCTGAGATTACAGGTGTGAGCCACCATGCTCGGCCTGCTTAAGATTTATATTTATATTGTGGTAGGGGTAGAAGGCCTAGGCTAGAGAGACAGAGTGAAATGAATCTAGCCACTGAATCTTCTTATTCCTTTTAGACTCAATTGTTAAGACTTAGGGTTTTGAGATTTGCTTTGCCTAGCCAAGGATTTGTGGCTTAGTGCTGTAAATCCAACCAAGAACAATAAAGAGATGCTGCATAAAGCTAGGAAGGGTTGGTGCACCTGGCTCAGCGACAGTGCAGCATCAGATGCTCTGGGGCACTGGAAAAGTAGGGTTTCAGAGGCAAAGGACTGAGGATCAGCACAGAGCTGCTGTCACTGCTATCCTGCCAACTCTCCAAGAAACCTTTTGGCCAGATACCAATTCTAAGTTTGGGCTCTAAAAAACAGTCACACAGTTTTAAACACTAACCCTGAGGATTAAGAAAATATGTGAAGAAATGCACTTACTTATAGCTTCGAAAGTAAATCTTCCCATTCAGTGCAGTGAAGTGCAGAACATACTCTAATCCAGCCAGGCGGATATTTGATACTGTGGGGCCTCTGAAGAAATCTAAAAGCACATATTAAATTATTAACAAAACAAAACAAATACTTGCAAAATTCAGTTACAAAGAACTGCACTCTAAACAGTTTTGCTCCAATACTTATCTAAAAAAGCACAAAAAATGATTCCTGAAAAATGTCTGAAGGTCCCACCCCTTAAGCATTTAATCTCATGACTTTATTTTGGTATTTTGGTGTTCAGTTCACTGAGACATTTAATGTTTCTGTTTTGAAGTTCTTCCTCTGAGTCAGCTCAGCATCAAAAAATCATATCCATTAAAAATACTAACTTTTAAAAAATGTAAATCAAAGCATAAAATTTTAATCTACTGGTAGATGAAGATAGCAAATTTCTATAAAAATGGCTGTTCAAATTGACTATTAAAATCAAATTAGCCTTAATTTTTTTTTCTATGAGGGAGGCCAACAAGAAAAAAACTCTAATAAGAAATCTTGATTATATGAACAAAGGATAAGAAACTTTATAAACTGTTAATGCCAGAAAAGAACCTTGCATATCAGTGATAGTCTTTTTTCTCACAAAGTGGTAATCATACCACCGGTGGCACATGAGAGCATTTTAATGATACAAAGCCAGATATAATTTACTACGTATTTATTTTATCCTGTACCATTCTCCATTTACAATAGGGACATAAAATTTCCTTTTAAAAAGAGTAGTCAGCCATGCACAGTGGCTCATGCCTGTCATCCCAGCACTTTGGGAGACTGAGGCGGGCGAATTGCTTAAGCTCAGGAGTTTGAGGCCAGGCTGGGCAACATGGTGAAACCTCATCTCCACTAAAAGTATAAAAAATTAGCCAGGTTGTAGTCCCAGCTACTGGAGAGGCTAAGGTGGGAGGATTGCTGATCCCACCACTGGACTCAGTGAGAACGACAGAGCAAAACCCTGTCTCAAACAATAACTTAAAAAGAGGAGTCAATTAAAAGAAAATCTCCAGTGAACTGCACGCTAAGGATACTACACAGACTTGGCTATGAAAGAAGTTTGGAAAACAAGTGTGATATCTTAATTTTACAGCTGAGAAAATCGAACCTCAAGGAGGCTAAATGGAAATTCATGAATAACATTTGGCTAAGATAAAAGGTCTATATAAAAGTTTATCCAAGTTTGCTTAGGAAGAGCTGCCCAAGGCAGGTGATGTAGTAAGTGGGAAATTCT
The DNA here is from genome assembly GCF_000001405.40 of Homo sapiens. Lineage (NCBI taxonomy): Eukaryota > Metazoa > Chordata > Mammalia > Primates > Hominidae > Homo > Homo sapiens. Next base: position 111,014,577 of record NC_000006.12, on the reverse strand, counting down.
GTTCTAGTCCCATTCTGTAGCCACCTAGCATTTTCCTTCCTGCTTCCCATTAGCCCATAAGATGCAGATTATCTCCATGTGCACAGATGAACGCATCTTTTGTTGTCTGCTTTTCCTTTCTTGTGCTTAACCAAAAGAAAATCACAGGCCAGGTGCAGTGGCTCATGCCTGTAATCCCAGCACTTTGGGAGGCCGAGGCGAGCAGATCATGAGGTCAGGAGATCAAGACCATAGGGGCTAACACAGTGAAACCCTATCTCTACTAAAACCACAAAAAATTAGCCAGGTGTGGTGGCAAGTGCCTCCCTAGCTACTTGGGAGGCTGAGGCAGGAGAATCACTTGAACCTGGGAGGCGGAGATTGCAGTGAGCCGAGATTGCGCCACTGTACTCCAGCCTGGGCGACAGTGTGAGACTCAGTCTCAAAAAAAAAAAAACCCAAAAAACAAAAAACACAGCATTAACTTGTATAAAACAAACACAAGTGGGCAGGCACATTTATACACCACCCTCCTCTACTCCCCCAAACAAGAAAAAAAAAAAACTAATGAACATTTTTAATTTAAAAAAAGTACATATACTACATATATTTATACATATATTATGTACGGATGGGGTCTCACTATGTTGCCCAGGCTGGTTTCGAACTCCTAGACTCAAGCACTCCTCCTGCCTTGGTCTCTCAAAGTGCTGGGATTACAGGTTTGAGCCACCACGCCTGGCCTGGGACATTTTTATAAAACAAGTTTGTACTTTTCAAGATATTTTAATCTAAATATCATAATAAAGAGCTTTCCCATGATTTTGCCAAAGCCTGACTCTCCTTCAGTGGCCAAGTTAATAAAGCTCACTCATTGGTGTGGCATTACTGAAGTCAGAGTACTTCTGGGAAACGAAATATGTACATTCCAGTCTGCTCTGAAACAACTTTCATAATGCAAAATTTTCAGGACATCTGTGCTTTGGGAGAAAACTTTAGGAACACAATAAGCACATGGAAAAGTACTCTTTATTAAGTCAAAATTTCTAAGACTATGAATATAAAAGGATTTTCAGTCTGTATCCAATAGTTCTAACCAGCCATCCTTTTATTACAACATTTTCTCTTAACTGCCAAACTGAAATTTCACTAAAGTTTGCAAATCATCAAGGTAACACAAACAAGTAATGAATGAAAACGGGAGGGCATAAATGGTAGTACTTAGTAACCGGAAAGCAAATATGTCTAACAGCATGATATTTTCTGGCTAGAACACAACAGAGTATTGTTTACACATGAATACCATTGGCAAGAATCCATTCACTTAATAAATTGTACCAGAGCACCTATTATGCAAAGTGATAAATGACATATAGCATTTTTCTATCAGGGGCCCTGCATTCTAGGTAGATATGAATACATACAAACAACTGCAATTTAAAGTAGCACATTAAAAGGAGAACAGTATAAACCATTCTGGAAGTTCTGAGGAGAGAAAGATCATTTCTAGTTGGGAAAGACGTCATGCAAGTGGTATATACACTGTTAGGATTTTGACCAAGAAGTATGATAAATAACTTTATGAACTTGATAACCTAAAGTATAATAATACTGTATAAATAAAAGCATGGCTGGGCACGGTGGCTCATGCCTGTAATCCCAGCACTTTGGGAGGCCAAGATGAGTGGATCACCTGAGGCCAGGAGCTTGAGACCAGCTTAGCGAACATGGCGAAACTCTGTCTCTACAAAAAATACAAAAATTATCCAGGCATGGTGGTGAATGCCTGTAATCCCAGCTACTCAGGAGGCTGGGGCAGAAGAATCGCTTGAACAGCTGATGCGGAGGTTGCAGTGAGCCAAGATTGCTCCATTGCACTCCAGCCTGGGTGACAGAGTGAGACTCCATTTCAAAAAATAAACAAATAAGAAATAAAAGCATGTACTTTGGAGAGACCTAAGTTCAAAACTTTAATATGCCACTTGGTAAATGCATGACCTTAGAAAAGCTACTCACCTGTCCAGGCCTCAGTTTTCTCAATTGTATAATGAAAATCAGAATTAAAAATTCCTCTACTCCAAATTTTTTTAAACAACCATATATATAATATGCTACCATTTAAGAAGGGAAGAATAGGCCACGCATGTTGGCTCACACCTCCAACTTTGGGAGGCTGAGGCTGGAGGGCTGCTTGAGCCTAGGACTCTGAGACCAGCCCAAGCAATGCAGCAAGACCTCATGTCTACAAGAAATAAAAAAAATTAGCTGGGCGTGGTGACGTGTACCTGTGGTCCCAGCTACTGAGGGGAATGAGGTAGGAGGATTGCTTGAGACCAGAAAGTTAAGGCTACAGCAGTGAGCCATGATCATGCCACTGCACTCCAGCCTGGGCAACAGAGTGAGACCCTGTCTCAAAAAAAGAAAAAAAAAAAAAAATGATGTAAACAAATTAAGAATGAACAAAATGGGTATCTTGCATGAAAAAAAGTTAACTTTTCTTTCTGGTCAATTAAGAAAAAAAAAAAAAAGGAACTTCCTAAATGAAAGCCCTTCATACATTTCTTGCTCCCTACTGATATTTCATTTGAACACACAACATAAACCAAAGAGCAGTTGTTTTACTTCATATTTATACTGAAAACTCAACTTCCCTTGGTGCCCTACAGTCTGAATCTGTTCCTCTTCTACCTTTCTGCTTCTGTCCAGATTCCTTTTTGGTTTTCACTCCCTTCCCCTCACCACTGCATTATGTGATCATTCCTGCCATCTAGTGGAAGCACAAAATAATGAGAAGGTGGGGCTTATTAAAATACAAAAAACATTTAAACAAATGCAAACAAAAGCTCTCTCTGTTATAACAAATTGTAAGTATCTGCCTCACTGACAATAAACAATTATATGGGAGACCTAGGGGAAAGAGAAAAAGGCAGAAAATCTAGGTCAATGGAGTACAAGTAATGGAAATCTTAGCTGAAAATCTGGCTGACATTTTGGCTGGAAAAATACCCTTGACCAGGCACGGTGGATCACACCTATAATCTCAGCACTTTTGGGAGGCCAGGGCAGGCAGATCACTTGAGGTCAGGAGTTCAAGACCAGCCTGGCTAACATGGTGAAACCCAGTCTTTACTAAAAATATAAAAAATTAGCCGGGTGTGGTGGCATGCACCTGTGGTCCCAGGTACTAAGGAGGCTAAGGAAGAGAATTGCTTGACCCTGGGAGGTGGAGGTTGCAGTGAGCTGAGATCATGCCAGGGCAACAGAGTGAGACTATGTCTCAAAAAAAAAAAGAAAGAAAGAAAGAAAGAAAGAAAGAAAGAAAAATACCCTTGATAATTTGGGATATATAATATTGAGAGAAGGAAATATTAGTCATTGTCTTTCATGTATGAATTTAATTCATGGAAAATATGGATAAGAACCTATAAAGATTCTAGAAGGGATCATGGGAATATGTTTACCACAGGCAAGATGGACAGTAGGGGAAGAAAAGCTCAGGCTTTGGAAGCGTTGGGTTTCAACTTGGCCTTACCTACTTAATAGCTCTCATTTAACTTCTCAGAGCCCCTGTTTGTTTTCCCATCTGTGAAATGGGAATGTCATCAAACTCAAGAACTTTTGTAAAGATTAAACAGATAATAGTGGTTCTTAGTTTCTTTTTTAAAAAGTAGCTATTACTAATACGGGAAATAAATTCTAAAAATTATAATCCCAAGAATGGGTGACGTGTTTTTTTTTCCCCTAAAAATTATAATCCTGACAATAAAGACCATAAATAATCCCAAAAAGGGAAAATGAAAGCAATGTATTTGTCACAGTTTTTTTGGTGGGCTCAGATTTGTAAAGCATGTGCATACAACGTAATTTTATACCCCATCAATTTTTCAAAAGTGATCTACAGCAAAGTATATAAAAATTTAAAACAAGGGTAACAAGAAGTGTAGCATAAGCTTGTAAGCATGGTGCAAGAAAAGCTCAAATGGAATAAAGTAGACAAGGCCACTGAGCATCAGATGGAGGCCTCGCGGCTGTCAACACTAAGGTGAAATAGGACCATAAAGGACTGCTGCTTTGAGAGTATCAGTGTACTGTGCAGGAAAAGCTGAATCTCTCAATCCCCATGAGGGAAAAGAAGCAAAAAATTCAGTAAGAAGATTTTCTTAAATTGGAGAGAGCTAGGTGTGGTGGCTCATGCCTGTAATCTCACCACTTTGGAAAGCTGAGGCAGGTGGATTGCTTGAGCTCAGGAGTTTGAGACCAGCCTGGGCAATACAGGGAGACCCATATCTCTACAAAAAATTAAAATAAAAATTAGCTGGGCATGGTGGTGTGAACCTGTAGTCCCAGCTGCTCAGGAGGTAGAGGACTGCTTGAGCCCAAGAGGTCAAGGCTGCAGTAAGACGTGATCACACCAGTACACTCCAGCCTGGGTGACAGAGCAAGATGCTGTCTAAAAAGAAAAAAAAAAAAGAAAAAAAAAAAAATTGAGGGACAGAGAGACAGACCCAAGACCCTTTAAATTAGTACCAATCTCTTGGAAAATTAAATTACTTTCCAGAGTTATAAAAGAGCTGGCAAATATAATTGCAGAATGCTAAGTACTAATAACCTTTTAAAAATCATGGAGGCTGGGTGTGGGGGCTCACACCTGTAATCCCAGCACTCTGAGGGCTGAAGTGGGAGGATTGCTTAAGCCCTGAAGTTCAAGACCAGCCTGGGCAACACAGTGAGACCCCATCTTACAAAAAATTTTAAAAATTAGCCAGGCATAGTGGCATGTGCCTATGGTCCCAGCTACTTAGGAGGCTGAGGTGGGAGGATCACTTGAGCCTGGGAGGTTGAGGCTGCAATGAGCCATGATTGAGCTACTGCACTCCAGCCTGGGCATCAGAACACGACTTGCCTCATAAAGGAGAAAAAAATAGAAAAGGATGTAGTCCTTATATTCATTACACAAATCATTTAGAACTAGCATAGTTTGCTAGGTGTGGGTTATCTGTAGAACAACCTCACAAGGTTCTTGTTAGAATGAAGCAGTGTATATGAAGTGCCTACTATATGCCTGGCACTTAGGATGATGATGGTAATAAAGTAAAAATGAGCCAGGGCCTGTCGCAGTGGCTCATGCCTGTAATCCCAGCATTTTGGGAGGCCAAGGAGGGTGGATCGCCTGAAGTCAGGAGTTCAAGACCAGCCTGGCCAACATAGCAAAACCCTGTCTCTACTAAAAATAAAAAAAAAATTAGGCCTGGCGCAGTGGCTCACACCTGCAATCCCAGCACTTTGGGAGGGCGAGGCGGGTGGATCACGAGGTCAGGAGATTGAGACCATCCTGGCTAACACAGTGAAACTCCATCTCTACTAAAAATACAAAAATAAGCTGGGCATGGTGGCAGGTGCCTGTAGTCCCAGCTACTCGGGAGGCTGAGGAAGGAGAACGGTGTGAACCCGGGAGGTGGAGCTTGCAGTGAGCCGAGATCGCGCCACTGCACTCTAGCTTGGGCGACAGAGCGAGACTCCGTCTCAAAAGAAATTAGTCAGCATGGTGACGGGCACCTGTAATCCCAGCTACTCGGGAGGCTTAGGCAGGAGAATCGCTTGAACCCGGGAGGTGGAGGTTGCAGTGGGCCGAGATCACACCATTGTGCTCCAGCCTGGGCAACAGAGCAAGACTCTATCTTTAAAAAAAAAAAAAAAAAAGGAGCCAGGAAGGTCACTGAGGGCTTCCCGGAAAAGAAACTTGATGATCTGACACTTAAATGAATAGTAGAAACTGGATAAATAAGAGCAATATCAGAATACACAATAGAAATGTGAATAATATATTGGCAATAAACCCTTTCTAATGGAAAAAAAGAAGGCAATAGGAGATCAAGAAGGCCAAGCTACATTGGTTATATATTGTGAAAGGCCTTGTATATTCAACTCAGAAAAACTAATTAAGGTTTTTGAGTTGGAAGTCGGTGATACAAACAATCTTGAAATTTTAATCCCTCAACTTTCTAAATTTAATTTTAAATGATGCTAGGAATGACAGGAGATGGGTGCAGGAATTTTATAAAACACTATACAAGTAATACCTAAGTTACTAACACATCCAGAAATAATCATCTACACAGTACAACAGCTGCTTTAACTCTCCCGAGATACTTAGGTGCTTTCCTGCTGCTGGTAAGGGAAAAAAAAAAGAGAAAGGTCCAAAAAAAGGAGGAAAAAGAAGTTGTGCTCGCTTCGGCAGCGCATATACTAAAACTGGAACCATACAGAGAAGATTAGCATGGTCCCTGCGCAAGGATGGCATGCAAATTTGTGAAGCACTCCATTATTTTAAGTATATAAATATTATTTTTAAAATAAGAGAAAAAAGAAGTTACAAACCTAAAGTAGCAAAGTGCCACCAGTGAGAGTCTGAGACTGTCTTCCTGAGCTACCCTGAAGATAATAAATACTAAAATACTTACCAATAAGAAGACTTTTTAGTCTTCTATAATCTTCTGTTACATCGAAATCATCGCCAGCAAATATCAGCATGGGTTTTGTTCCCTCAGGACATTTACTGTTCTAAAAAAAAAAAAAAAAAGCAATTATATAATTACCAAAGTCTAAACTGTTTATATATTGATTTTGTTTTTTATTTTTATTTATTTTTTTTGAGATGGAGTCTCACTCTGTCATCCAGGCTGGAGTGCAGTGGCACAATCTCAGCTCACTGCAACCTCCACCTCCCGGGTTCAAGCAATTCTCCTGCCTCAACCTCCTAAGTAGCTGGGACTACAGGTGCACACCACCATGCCTGGCTAGTTTTTTTGTATTTTTCTTACAGACTGGGTTTCATCATGCTGGTTAGGCTGGTCTCAAACTCCTGACCTCAAATGATCCGCCTGCCTCAGCCTCCCAAAGTGCTGGGATTACAGGTGAGAGCCACTGTGCCTGGCCTATACTGATTTTAAAGTAGTCAATACTTTACACTAATTTATTTTCACATTTTATTAACTGTTCCAAAATGATGTCTGTGAATACTGATATTAGAGGCAAAAACAGAGGTGGGTTTTTTTTTCTTTTTAAAGAGACAGGGTCTCGCTGTGTTGCCTAGGCTGGACTCAAACTCTTGGGCTCAAGGCATCCTGCAAGTAGCTGGGACTACAGGTGCAGGCCTGGCTAAGATGACATTTTTAAGCTTCTAGACTTCTATACTAAAAAAAAAATTATTTGTTCCATTCATTTACATTACCAAATAAAAGATGGCAAAAGAATGATGTAAAGGGCTTTTTTAACATTAGTCTACGCAAAGAATAAAATTAAAAGTTACTCTTGCAAAAGGAAAACAAAACAAAACAAAACATAACACAACACAACCAACCAAGCAACCAAAATAGACTTCTGATGGCCAGCAACCCTGAATCAAAATAAATTTAAGGCCAGGTGTGACGGCTCATGCCTATAATCCCAGCACTTTGGGAGGCCAAAGCAGGAAGACAGCTTGAGGCCAGGAGTGAGTTCAAGACCAGCCTGGGCAACACAGTGAGACCTCATCTCTACAAAAAACCTTTTTTTTTTGAGACGGACTTTCACTCTTGCTGCCCAGGCTGGAGTGCAATGGCGCTATCTCGGCTCACCGCAACCTCCACCTCTCAAGTAGCTGGGACTACAGGCATGTGCCACCACGCCTGGCTAATTTTGTATTTTTAGTAGAGATGGGGTTTCTCCATGTTGGTCAGGCCGGTCTCGAACTCCCGACCTCAGGTGATCTGCCCGCCTTGGCCTCCCAAAGTGGTGGGATTACAGGCATGAGCCACTGCAACTGGCCAAAAAAAACTTTTAAAAATTAGCTGGGCATGCTGGTGAGTGCCTATGGTCCCAGCCACTCGGAACGTGAGGTAGGAGGATCGCTTGAGCCTAGAAGGTGGAGGCTGCAGTGAGCCATGATCGTGCCACTGTACTCCAGCCTGGGTGACAGAGTAAGACCTTGTCTCATGAATAAATAAGTTTAATTATAATTTATTTGTACCACTGTGCCTTTCCCACTATACCCTATAAAAAGTATTTTAAAATGAAGGCTATGGGCTGGGCACAGTGGTTCACGCCTATAATCCCACCACTTTCAGAGGCAGAGACGGGGCTGATCACTTGAGGTCAGGAGTTCAAGACCAGCCTGGCCAACATGGTGAAACCCTGTTTCTACTAAAAATAGAAAAAATTAGCTGGGCGTGGTGGTACACGCCTGTAGTCCCAGCTACTCCAGAGGCTAAGGTAGGATAATCGTTTGAACCCAAGAGACAGAGGTTGTAGTGAGCCGAGATTGCACCACTGCACTCTAGCTTGGGTGAGAGCGAGATGCCATCTCAATAAAAAAAAAATGAAGGCTATAGGCTAGGTGTGGTGGCTTACACTTGTAATCCCAGCACTTTAGGAGGCCAAGAAGGGCAGATCGCTTGAGCCCAGGAGTTTGAGACCAGCCTGGGAGACACGGTCTCTACAAAAAAATACAAAACAGGCTGGGCACGGTGACTCACCCTTATAATCCCAGCACTTTCGGAGGCTGAGGCAGGCGCATCACTTGAGGTCAGGAGTTTGAGACCAGCCTGGACAACATGGTAAAACCCTGTCTCTACTAAAAAACACAAAAATTAGCCAGGTGCAGTGTGCCTGTAGTCCCAGCTAGTCGGGGCTGAGACAGGAAAATTGCTTGAACCCAGGAGGTGGAGGTTGCAGTGAGCTGAGATAGCGCCACAGCACTCCAGCCTGGGCGACAGAGACTCCGTCTCAAGAAAACAATAACAAACAAACCAAATACAAAACAATTAGCCAGGTGTGGTGGTGCACATCTATGGTCCCAGCTACTTGGGAGGCTGGGGTGGAAGGATCACTTGAGCCCAGGGAAGTCCAGGCTGCCATGAGCCGTGCTCTTGCCACTACACTCCAGCCTGGGATACAGAGTAAGACCCTCAAAACAATAAATAAATAAAAATAAAATGAAGGCTAAATTAAACTACCAGCTGGACATTCACATGAGAAGTAATATAATTTTACATAAGCTATAGAAAGTATAGACCAATTCTCATCAGCAATGTTGAAACTCTTACTATAAAAAGTATTTTCACCAGTTGTAGATTTTCTACACCAAATAGAATGTGATGTGATTAAAAAGAGGATTTAGAAGCCACCAAAGAGGAAAAAATGAAATAGTAAAAATTCTTTAACTGGATGAGTAATTTATGGAGGAAGGTGAATGACTGTTGGTCTGAGCTTCCTATAAATTCTCTGTTCTGACCAAAAATCAAGAACTATCCAAAATCCAGCAACAAAAGAAAACAAAAAAAACAGTACAAAAACCAAACACCCTCTGCCCTAGGACCAGAGGTCACCTGTTGCTTTGCTGCTCACCATGACCACTCTTGTTGACATTCTCTACTTCCAAACCCGGAACCTTAACGGTCTATACTTAGGAGATGGAGATGTGCCTAACATCTGTCTGTCTGATACAGAAGCTGAAAGGACGTTCCAGATCTAACAAGTCTTCCATGCTTCAACCACGCCAGTCTGACCCTAGGACTATAGGGTCTATTTAGGTGTACAGAAGGGAACAAAAAGCACAGCATCATCAACAACAACTTTTGGTTTTCAAACCATCCTGACCACAATGCATAGTAATAAAAAAAAAAAAATTTGAAGTTGTCACCCAGTATACACATCATACAAAGACAAATAAAAGTTATGTGAAACAATATTTGGCCGGGCGTGGTGGCTCACACCTGTAATCCCAGCACTTTGGGAGGCTGAGGTGGGTAGATCACTTGAGGTGAGGAGTCCGAGACCAACCTGGCCAACGTGGTGAAACCCTGTCTCTACTAAAACTACAGAAATTAGCCAGGCGTGGTGGCTCAACCAGCTACTTGGGAGGCTGAGGCAAGAGAATTGCTTGAACTTTGGGGTGGAGGTTGCAGTAGAATTGCTTGAACCTTGGGGTGGAGGTTGCAGTGAGCTGAGATAGCACCACTGCACTCCAGTCTGGGCAACAAAGCAAGACCCTGTCTCCAAAAAAAAAAAAACCCCAATACTTAATACATACAGCACTGATATTTTTTACTCTATTCCATTTTTTAAAAATACTAGTCACGGCCGGGCACAGTGGCTCACGCCTCTAATCCTAGCACTCTGGGAGGCCGAGGTGGGTGGATCACAAGGTCAGGAGTTTGAGACTAGCCTGGCCAACATAGTGAAACTCTGTCTCTACTAAAAATACAAAAAATTAGCTGCATATGGTGGTGTGTGCCTGTAATCCCAGCTACTTGGGAGGCTAAGGCAGGAGAATCGCGTGAACCCAGGAGGCGGAGGTTGCAGTGAGCCGAGATCACGCCACTGCACTCCAGCCTGGGCGACAGTGTGAGACTCCATCTAAAAATAAAAATAAAAATAAAAATAAAATGCTAGTCACATGCACATGATGAAGACCCTGAACTAGGCAGGAGTCTACAATAGATGAGCTGGCTGGGCATGGTGGCTCACATCTATAATCCCAGCACTTTGGGAGGCCAAGGTGGGTGGATCACCTGAGGTCAGGAGTTTGAGACTAGCCTGACTAACATGATGAAACTCCGTCTCTACTAAAAATACAAAAATTAGCTGGGTGTGGTGGCGCACACCTGTAATCCCAGCTACTCGGAAGGCTGAGGCAGGAGAATCTCCTGAACCCGGGAGGCAGAGGTTGCAGTGAGCCGAGATCACGCCATTGCACTCCAGTCTGGGCAACAAGAACAAAACTCCGTCGGTGGGGGAGACATGAGGCCTCACTCTGTTACCCAGGCTAGATTGCAGTGTAGCAATCATAGCTTACAGCAACTTAAACTCCTGGGCTCAAGCAATCCTCTCACCTCAGCCTCTCAAGTAGATGGGACTACAGGCACATGCCACCAAGCAAGGCTAATTTAAAAAAAAATTTTGTAGAGACGGGGTCTCACTATGTTGTCCAGGCTAGTCTTACTTCATTGAATATAATCATCCTTTGACGTATGGCCATCTTGAGGAAACAGGCTCCTAGAATACTCACTCAATTTCCTGGTAGAGTCTAATATTAAATATTCTCAATGAGCTTGTTTAAAGAGTTAAATATTCTCATTGTCTCTACTAAAAATACAAAAAAATTAGCTGGGCATGGTGGTAGGCACCTGTAATCCCAACCACTTGGGAGGCTGAGGCAGGAGAATTGCTTGAACCAGGTAGGCGCATGTTGCAGTGAGACGAAATCACGCCACTGCACTCCAGCCTGGGTGACGGAGCAAGACTCTGTCTGGTGAGGGTGGAGGAGAAGGACAAGTTAACGGAGGAATGAGGGTTGGCAACAAAAGTAGGTAGGTGAGGTAAGAAATATCTAGCACAACGTCTTAAAGACAAGGGAGAAGTAAAGGGAAAATAAGGGAAAGTGTACCAAAACAAATTAAAAATATAAACCTGTAACCAAATAATGGGGTATTGGTGACACTGGTGTTAGAAAATTAAAAAGAAAAAAAAAGGGGGGGGGGTAAAAAATGAAAGACTAGGGCTGGATACGGTGGCTCATGCCTATAATCCCAGCACTCTGGGAGGCTGAGGCGGGTGGATCACCTGAGGTCGGGGTTCAAGACTAGCCTGGCCAACATGGTGAAACCCCATCTCTACTAAAAATACAAAAATTAGCCGAGTGTGGGCGCCTGTAATCCCGGCTACTCGGGAGGCTGAGGCAGGAGAATTGCTTGAATCCGGGAGGCAGAGGTTGTAGTGAGCCGAGATCATGCCACTGTACTCCTGCCTAGGCGACAAGAGCAAAACTCCCTCTCAAAAAAAAAAAAGACTGCCTAATAAGTCTGAGTACATGTAGGAATTGCCAATGTAAGCACATTCTCAATTAATAAAATTTATAGTTATATATGCACTCCATGAGTGAAAATGTAGTGTTCAATTTAAATGGTTCTTGTTAAGAATGAGACCTGGGCTGGGTGCAGTGGTTCATGCCTGTAATTCCAGTGGTTGGGGAGGCCAAGGCGGGAGGATCGCTTGAACTCAGGAGTTTGAGACTAGCCAGGGCAATATAGTGAGACCCCATTTCTTAAAAAAAAATGTGGCTGGGCATGGTGGCACACACCTGCAGTCCTAGCTACTCAGGAGACTGAGGCAGGATAGCCTGAGCCCAGGAATTCAAGGCTGCAGTGAGCGGTGATCCCACCACTGTACTCCAACCTGGGCAACAGAGTGAGACCTTGTCTCTAAAAAACAAAAAAAGAAATGAGACCTGACAAACAATAATGGTTTTGTGGTCCAGTTTACTTTTTTATTTTTATTTTTTTAGACAAAGTCTTGCTGTGTCACCCAGGCTGGAGTGCAGTGGCATGATCTCAGCTCACTGCAACCTCCACCTCCTGGGTTCAAGAGATTCTCATGCTTCAGCCTCCCAGGTAGCTGGGATTACAGGCGTGCACCACCATGCCTGGCTAATTTTTGTATTTTTAGTAGAGATGGGGCTTCACCATGTTGGCCAGGTTGGTCTCAAACTCCTGAGCTCAGGTGATCTGCCTTCCTTGGCCTCCCAAGCTACTGGGATTACAGGCGTGAGCCAGCACGCCTAGCCGGTTTACTTTATACATATATGAGACAATGTCTCACTACGTTGCCCAGGCTTGTCTCAAATTCCTGGCTTCAAGCAATCCTCCCGCCAGGGCCTCCCAAAGTGATGGGCTTACAGGCATGAGAGCCTGGACTGTGGTCTAGTTTAGAAGCTGCACAATGACTGAAGTATTTCATTGCTTTGGAAGTGAAATGGAAAGAGTAGAGGGACTGGAAGGTGCTCATCAGCCAGTGCTCCCTCCCACTAAGCTGGTGATAAGCTAGTGGCAGTGGTAAAGGTGAAATGGGGTTATGCTGGTCATCTCCAGAGATTCGTGCATGGTCCCAAAGAGACACTATAATAATGACAGCTGGGTACCCCAGCACTTTGGGAGGCTGAGGAGGAGGATCTCCTGAGCCCAGGAGTTTGAGACCAGTCTGGGCAACACTGTGAGAGCTTGTCTTTACAAAAAAAAAATTAGCCAGGTGAGGTGGCACACACCTATAGTCCCAGTTACCTGGGAGGCTGAGGTGGGAGGATTGCTTGAGCCCAGGAGGTCAAGGCTGCAGTGAGCTGAGATCGCGCCACTGCGCCCCAGCCTGGGTGACAGAGCAAGACCCTGTCTCGAAAGAAAAAAAAAAACAGAAAGAAAAATAATATGAGGGCTTCCACCATAATCAAGCATCACAGTTTATGTACTTTACAAAATACGTTACAAAATATTATCTTTACTGATAAGCATTTTCACATATATTATCTCATTTGATGTTGTTATACTTATTTTACATGTGATTGCAACTGAAGGTCAAGGAAGCCATTGACTTGTCAGGTCACAAATGTCATCTAAATAGCCAAGACAGGCCTCAAATCCAAGTGTTCTGCCTCTAAATCTAATTTCAGACCACTGTTCCACCTGTACCTGAGGAAACTGGGGTGACTGACTAAATAGGGATCTGGTAAGAACCTTTTTTTCCAAACTCACGGGATAAAGTTGCTTAGTACAGGAATTCTACCAAACCTGGAAAGCATGTCCTCCTCTTAAAGTCAGGAAAAGAGTAATTATACATTTTTGCTACAATACTTCCAACTAGACCATGAGCCTCAAAAACCCATAAACTGAGAGCAGTTATATAACCTTCTATTACCAACAACATCACTTCTCTCAAAGCCCTAGAGTCCTAATCTTGGTTATACTGACCATATGTGTGATTCTAGTTCACCAATGAAACCCCTATGGGCCTTCAATCTCCCAATCTATACAAAAAAGAAAATTACTTAGGCCTTACCCAGATTGCTATGAGGTCTAGGTGAAATAATGTATTTGATAAGATAGATTAAGCCTGAAGCAGAGTTCTGAGGGAACAGAAGCCCAATTTGTACCCAGGAGCTGAGTTAGAACACTCTTCCTGCCTTTCTAAGAGTATTTTTACTACCATTTACTACTTTCTATTTCATAATATCATTAAAACAAAGATGCAACTCCCCAAGGGTGAACTGACCTGCCATTTGGTGGTTAGTAACCAACATACTATAGAATCAGCCAGAGCTTCCTGGGTTCAATTTGAAAATTCTACAGGTTTTTCTAAGGTTCCATAAAATAGGTGCTGTGATAATTCAGAGGAAGAGGACAGTATTTAAACTATAGACCTACAGGTGCTTTGGCTCACACCATGGTCAGGAATTTGAGACCAGCCTAGGCAACATGGGAAACATGACAAAACCCTGTCTCTACAATAAAAATACAAAACAATTAGCTGGGCGTGCTGGCATGTGCCTGTAGTCCCAGCTACTTGGGGGTTGAGGTAGGAGAATTGCTTGAGCCCAGGAGGTCAAGGCTGAAGTAAGCCATGTTCATGCCACTGCTCTCCAGCCTGGGTGACAGAGTGAGACCCTGTCTCAAAAAAATAAAACAAAATAATAAAAAATAAATTCAAACTATGAAAAAAGCAAAAAATAAAAACAAAAAATAAAAAAACTATGGCCTAGACAAGAATTAGTAACCACAGTCTGAAGTCTAACAGCCACAAAGTCCACATATGTTGCTATTCACTACAAATATATTCCTCTTTTTAAAAGAAAGGTAAAATAAAATTGTATTTTTATCCTGGAGCATGTCAAAATAAAAACACAAAGTTCTTGATCTACAAAACTCTATCAGTACTCTTCACCACAAGATGTCACTACTGGTCAAGAGAAGCATTACAAAATACTTTTCATTTCTATGAGTATCTTACCTTAATGTCTTTTAGAGAGACAAAATTCTCAATACCTAATTCAATCATATCCAGCACATGGTAGTCATACATACGACCTGGAAGGAAAATGTATTTTTAAGCATGTATTTTTCCCAAAGAGCCACCTTACATATACCCACAAGAGCTGTGTATTCAAAATGTCCTAATATCTGCCTCTTTTTTCTCCCTATACCCCCGCAAACATATCCCACTTTCTTACATTTTCAACTCTACTTATTGATTTTTATGATATTAGTCATGGAAAGGATCTCAGATATTACTTAGCCCAACTCCTTTATTTTATAGAAGAATAAATGACAGCCTACAGAAGGTAAAGGGCTTGCCTAAGCCAGTGAGCATGCCAGGCTCAATCTCAATACACTGAGGTAAAGGTTCTTTTTCAAATCTATTTATTCAATAGATATTAGAGAAGGATTAATTTATGTGGGTCGATACATTTTTTTTTCTAATATTGATTTAGTACATATATATATTTCATATGAAAAAAATATCTACAACTTAGGATAATTTTCCCCCCCAATTCCAATGGATCCATGCTATTTGGGAGCTCAGAGACACTCAATGCAAGTATAAAGTAATTGTGCTGCATCTACAACTAAGTAGGCAGGGATGCTGAGAGCCCGAAGAGACCACGCTTCCCATTTAAACCAGAATTTGATTCCGACAGAGACAGAAGGAAAAGGCATTCTAAGAAACATGAATTACCAGGGAATCTTTTCATATTCTTTCTTACTTGTGGCACTTCACTGTATTGGTAGGGTCATATTTATATGCCCCATTCTTTACTTGCTGACCGACATAAATTTTTTTTTTTTTTTTTTTGAGATGAAGACTTGCTCTGTTACCCAGGCTGGAGTGCAATAGCATGATCTCGGCTCACTGCAACCTCTGCCTCCCTGGTTCAAACAATTCTCCTGTCTTAGCCTCCTGTGTAACTAGGATTACAGGTGTGTAATCTATTTCTTGGGAGCCTGCCTCTCCTTGGCACTGGCTGCAACCAATTATTATTTTAGAGAGACAGTTAAACAGCTGCCTGACTGTCACCTGATGGTCGCCTGACATTCCTGGTTGGGGTCGGGTGAGTGGGCAGCCTCTCCTGTCCTGTGCGTGTCTGCCTATCTACTGTAACAAGCTCTGTGACTCAGATTAACTGATGGTATTGAGGAATCAGGAGTAATCAATAAGCTGTAAACTAGTTTGGTGGGGTTTTTTGGTTTTGTTTTCACCTTGTGACATTGAATAAAAAATTTTTAGATCAGGCCGGGCACAGTGGCTCACGCCTGTAATTCCAGCCCTTTGGGAGGCCAAGGTGGGTGGATCAGCAGTAATCAGCAGCTAGTAATCAGCTGCTTCCCAATAAGATCTCAGGAGTTGGGTGGGTGGGCTCAAGCATGCACACTAGGAGGCAAAATGGCTGACTTCAACTGGTATATGAACTTGCTCTATGCTTCAAATGAGCATACGTACAACTCCAATAAACACACCGTGCATGTGGCCCCTCCCAGTGCTGGCAGGCCACTGCACAGGCAGACAGCTCATCCCAAGGAAAAATCAAGGTAGGAGGCTAGGCATGCTGGCTCACGCCTGTAATCCCAGCACTTCAGGAGGCCAAGGCGGGTGGATCACTTGAGGTCAGGAGTTCAAGACCAGCCTGGCCAACATGGTGAAACCCCGTCTCTACTAAAATTACAAAAATTAGCTGGGTGTGGTGGTGGGCACTTGTAGTCCCAGCTACTCGGGAGGCTGAGGCAGGAGAATTGCTTGAACTCGGGAGGCGGAGGTTGTAGTGAGCCGAGATTGGGCCATTGCACTCCAGTCTGGGTGATGGAGCAGACCAAGACTCCGTCTCAGGAAAAAAAAAAAAAAAGAAGAAAAGAAAAATCAAGGGAGAAGAGACACCAACCCCCCTGAAGCATACCAACACATATAAAGCCCCCAAGTCAAAGGTCAAACAGCACACATGAATCTCTCAAGTTGCCTGCTTGGCGCTCAAAGCGTACTTCACTTCCTTTTACTTCCTTTGTTCCTGCTCTATAACTTTTTTTTTCCTTGAGACAAGGTCTCACTCTGTCACCCAGGCTGGAGTACAGTGGCGCCATCTTGGCTCACTGCTACCTCCATGCCTCAGCCTCCTGAGTAGCTGGACTACAGGCACGCGCCACTACACCTGGCTAATTTTTGTATTTTTAGTAGAGATGGGGTTTCACCATGTTGGCCAGGCTGGTCTCGAACTCCTGGCCTCAAATGATCCACCCACCTCGCCACCCAAAGTGCTGGGATTACAGGCATGAACCACCATGCCAGGCCCCTGCTCTAAAACTTTTTAATAAACTTTCACTCCTGTTCAAATACTTCCCTCAGTCTCTTACTCTGCCTATGCCTCTTGGATGAATTATTTCCTCTGAAGAGGCAAGAACCAAGTTGCTGCAGACCCGTATGAATTCGCTGCTGCTAACAAATTGACTCTATCAGTGAAAACATTAAAAAGTAAATTATACTTACCTATTACTAGATTATTTGGCCGCTTCTTATTATGGGAGCCAAACATGAATAAAGAACAATCTGACTTCTTTGAAAAGAATTCCTATAAAACCAAATAAATCCCATTTAGTCCATGCATAAATTTAAGAACTTTAAGAATCTTACCTTTAAAAATCTTACCTTCAGGCCAGGCACGGTGGCTCACACCTGTAATCCCAGCACTTGGGACGCCGAGGCGAGTTGATTACTTGAGATCAGGAGTTTGAGACCAGCCTGGCCAACAAGGTAAGACCGTATCTCTACTAAAAATACAAAAGACAGCCAGGTGTGAAGGCACACGCCTGTAATCCCAGCTACCTTAGTGGCTGAGGCACGAGAATCGCTTGAACCCAGAAGGCAGAGGTTGCAGTGAGCTGAGAATGCGACACTGCACTCCAACCTGGGGAACAGAGTAAGACTCTGTCTAAAAAAAACAAAACAAAACGAAACAAAAAACTCTAACAGTTTTTTTCTTCCAGTGGAAGTTAATGAAGACTTAATGAACCAGAAAGAAAAATACAGAGGAAAGGTATTTCCAGCTTTTTACTTCAAGTTTCCTGATTTGGGGTACTTAGGGAAAAGATGTGCATTTCAAGACTAAGAATACATGAAAACTATTCAGTTAATAAATAAAATGAAACCATTTATTTTGTTATGCTGTCATTTTGGAATAGCACACCAAGTGTTTCATTTGCTGAACAAATTCCTTTTACTCGCAGGATATCACTACTATCATTGCATACATTCAAAACACACGAGGCCCAGTAAGGTGGCTCATGCCAGTAATCCCAGCACTGTGGGAGGCTGAGGCAGACGGATCACCTGAGGTCACCTGATGTCAGGAGTTTGAGACCAGCCTGGCCAACATGGTGACACCCTGTCTCTACTAAAAATAAAAAAATTAGCCAGGCATGGTAGTGCATGCCTGTAATCCCAGCTACTCAGGAGGCTTAGACAGGAGAATTCCTTGAACTTGGGAGGCGGAGGTTGCAGTGAGCCAAGATCACACCATTGCACTCCAGCCTGGGCAACAAAAGCATTGCATACCAGTCTGGGCAACAAGACCACTGCACTCCAGTTTGGACAATAAGAGCAAGACTATCTTAAAAAAAAAAAAAAAAACTTATCTGGCTGGGTGCAGTGGCTCACGTCTGTAATCCCAACACTTTGGAAGGCTGAGGTAGGTGGATGGCTTAAGATCAGGAGTTTGAAACCAGCCTGAGCAACATAGTGAAACCCTGTCTCTAAGAAAAATACAAAAAATTAGCTGGGTATGGTGATGAGCATCTATAGTCCCACCTACTTGGGAGGCTGAGGTGGGAGGAAGGATCGCTTGAGACCAGGAGATCAAGGCTACATGCAGTGAGCCGTGATGGCATCACTGCACTCCAGCCTGGGTGACAGAGTGACACCATCTTGGAAAAAAGAAAGAGAGAGATCTTATCCATTTGGTTCTCAGAAGTACAGACTTCCATTACAGATTTCAGAGTACTAAAAAAATCTAGGTGTGGGGTTCTAATCCTAGACAGCTCTTTTTACATTATGCCTGTAGTCTCCACATCCCGCATGCTTTGATTCAGTTTACTGAGATCACCACTTTTAGCACGAAAATTAGAATCAACATGTTTTAGTCCAGAAATCAATTGGAAAGCCTCTTAACTTAATATTAAAGAAAAAAACAGATGAAAGAGTCATAACCCTCCATTTTTCTTTACTCCTTACAAGACTCTCCAAGGTATGGGCCCCTAGTTTGGTTATCATTCATTCTAGCCTCTAAACAGAAGCATAAATGGCAAACAACTACCCACCTGGCCTGTCCACAACCAGAGTGGGGGATGCAGAGTCAGAAAGTCCAAGAATTCAGGCTCTGCCACTAAATATCTGGACAAATAATCTTTTCTGAGAATTAACTTTATCAATAGGGATAATACCACCTCCTGCAAAAACTTGCAAAGGCCACATGCGATGTCATATGTGAACACACCTTGTACAAAGTTGTACAATGTCCTGAACAAAGTGGGTGTCCAAAAAATATTTTCTATGGCCAGGTGTGGTGGCTCTTGCCTGTCACCCCAGCACTTTGGGAGGCTGAGGTGGGTGCATTGCATGAGCTTAGAAGTTGGAGACCAGCCCAGGCAACGTGGCAAAATCCCGTCTCTAGTAAAAATACAAAAAAAATCCGGGTATGGTGGTATACACCTGTGGTCCCAGCTACTCAGGAGACTGAGGTGGGAGGATCGCTTGAACCCGGGAGGTGGAGGTTGCAGTGAGCTGAGATGGCGCCATAGCACTCAAGCCTGGGTGACAGAGTGAGACCCTGTCTCAATTAAAATATATATATTTATTTTGTATGTCTAAATCAATGGAATTACTTTCTTAAAATTTTAAAAACATTTTCATGGTATGACTAACATCTCAAAGCTTTCCATAAAACACCCCTCATATATACTTGAGTGTTTTATATACATACATACTCGTGTGTGTGTGTGTGTGTGTGTGTGTGTGTGTGTGTATATATACTCATCCCATTCTCCACAAAGTCTGCTTTTTATTTCTTAAAATTCTAGAACGGGGTAGTCAAATTACCTGCAAAAAGCCATATAATAAGTATTTTAGGCTCATTCTTTTGTTTTGTTTTTAGCCAACTCTTCTTTTTTTTGTGAGACAAGGTCTCACTCTGTTGCCCAGGCTAAAAGTGCTGTGGTGCAATCATGGCTCACTATAACCTCAAACTCCTGCACTCAGCTGATCCTCCACCCTCAGTCTCCCAGATAGTTAGCACTTGGGCTCCCACCACCATTTCCTGCCAATTTTTAAATTTTCTTTAAGAGATGGGATCTCAATATGTTGCCTAGGCTGGTCTAGAAATCCTGGCCCCACGCAATCCTCCCACTTCATCCTACCAAAACAACGGGATTAGAGGTATGAACCACGGTGCCCAGCCTAACCAACTCTTTTTTTTTTTTTTATTGAGATGGAGTTTCACTCTTGTTGCCCAGGCTGGAGTGCAATGCCACAATCTTGGCTCACCGCAACCTCCACCTCCCGGGTTCAAGTGATTCTCCTGCCTCACCTCCCGAGTAGCTGGAATTATAGGCATGTGCCACCACGCCTGGCTAATTTTGTATTTTTAATAGAGACAGGGTTTATCCATGTTGGTCAGGCTGGTCTCGAACTCCTGACCTTAGGTGATCCACACGCCTTGGCCTCCCAGAGCGCTGGGATTACAGGCATGAGCCACCATGCCCAGCCTAACCAACTCTTTAAAAATGTAAAAACCATTCTTAGCTCATGAGCCTCACACAAAGAGGGATTTGATCTGCAAGCAGTATATTTTTGCCAACCCCTCTCTAAAGCAGCAAAACTCATTTATCCAAGATTGTAGTAAAAAAAATGTGTGGAGAGGGTCAGGAGGAGAAAATTGACCACTATTTCCAACACAACCACTCCTTCCATAGCCATTTTGAGCTCCGTAGGTCTGGGATTCAGATAGCTAATAAATATATACTATAACTGGAGGTGGGAGATCAAATAGAGGGAATGTCACAACCTCAAGTGTAAGAAAAGCTGTTGTCAGCTTTTATCAACACTAGACTAAAAAAGCTCAAATGCTACAGCTTTCACTATGTAACACTGCCACAAAGTGGTCATGCAACTAAAAGCATTATGGTATCACAAAAACAAAACCAGGCCTTGATTAAGTACTATATGAAAGAGAATTCTGAGATAAATCTTATATTTTTACTTTCATGATCTCTTCAACAAATGACTGTAAAAAACCTGAGACAAATAAAAGTAATTTGAAAAAAACTGAGTAAAATGCATTTTATCAATACTATCTTAATTTTCACTGCAGTTAGTTACAATAAGATTATTTGATTTTAATCTAATTTATCATTGAGATTAATTTCTTTCTTTTAAATTCACTAACTAAAAGAAAAAAAAACATTAAAAAGGTCAAGTGAACTTAAGAAAAAAAACAACAACAAATAATGGGTTCCTGGTTGGGTGTGACGGCTTACACCCATAATCCCAGTACTTTAGGAGGCCAAGGCAGGCAGATCATTTGAGCTCAGGAGTTTAAAACCAGATTGGGCAACATGGCAAAGCCCTATCTCTACAAAAATTAGCCAGGCATCGTGTCGTGCACCTGCAGTCCCTGCTTCTGACATGGGAGAATGGCTTGAGTCTGGGAGGTGGAGACTGCAGTGAGCAGAGATCATTCCAATGCACTCCAGCCTAGGCAACAGAGCCAGACCCTATTTCAAAATAAACAATGGGTTCCTATCAAGAAAACATAATCATATTAAGTTTTTTTATTTTTATTTTTTAAATAGAGACAGGGTCTCGCTACGTTTTCCAAGCTGGTCTCGAACTCCTAGGCTCAAGCGATCCTCCTGCCTTGGCCTCCCAAAGTGCTGGGATTACAGGCGTGAGCTACTGTGTCTGGCCCCTGATGATTTTCTTAAGGAAGAAACCAATATCATCACATACTGAAAGTCCATTCATCATTCTCCATTTACTATAAACAATCTTTGATTTCACTAACCAGTTTTTTCATTTAGTTTTGGTTGACTATACACTCAAATAAGAATCTGATTAACTCTAGGAAAGCAACTGACATCTGTTAGCAATAATTCAGGTAGTGTTCCTTGTTTTAAAAGTATCCAATTGTGTGTGATGGTGTACACCTGTAGTCCCATCTACTTGGGAGACTGAGGCAGGAGGATTGCTTGAGCTCAGGAGTTTGAGACCAGCCTGGGCAACATACCAAGACCCAAGCTTCAAAAAAAAAAAAAAAGTAAAAACATCTGAAGGAAGAGTCATATTTTTAAAACTCAAACTTGCTTTATAAAAATAGATCTATAACAAACTTCCTTTTGAAAATTCATTATGTCCTTTAAATGCAACTCAAGTTTTAAATATTTTTTTTTTTGAGCCGGAGTTTCACCCTTGTTGCCCAGGCTGGAGTGCAATGGCGTGATCTCGGCTCACTGAAACCTCTGCCTCCCGGGGTCAAGTGACTATCCTGCCTCAGCCGCCTTAGTAGCTGGGATTACAGGCATGTGCCATCACGCCCGGCTAATTTTTTTTGTATTTTTAGTAGAGACGGGGTTTCTCCATGTTGGTCAGGCTGGTCTTGAACTCCCAATCTCAGGTGATCCACCTGCCTTGGCCTCCCAAAGTGCTAGGATTACAGGCGTGAGCCACCGCGCCCGGCCAAGTTTTAAAAATTTTATCAATATATTTGCAGGCAATGAAAAACACATTTCCCAGCCATAGTGAAATGAAAGCTCTATAGATATTTTTTAAAGTATTTCCTCTCCATTTTACACAAAATTCCCTCACACAGGATGACTTCTAATGTTTAAAAAAATCACAAATTTGGAGTACAAATGAATTAGTCTGAATAATTACTACTTATATGCTTTCTTAAATCATAAAGATTATTATACTTACCAGTGATGTCTGATCCTCAAAAGGTCTTGTAATATTTTTCCTAAGAATATCAAAAAAGTGACAATTTTAATAATCTAAATAAGTATATACAATTAATATATTAAGGTAATTTTATATTCAGATGATAAAACAATTGAAAGGATATTCATTCATTCAAATATTTATTCAGTGCCTGTTATATGCCAGGCTACCATTCTAGGAGCTAGTGATACTATACTACTACATTAAACAAGATGCTTGCTTTCATGGAGTTTATAGGCTCGTGGAAAATAAGTAGTCCTCTGTACATATGGATTCTGCATCCTTCTGCATCCATGGATTGATTTGACCAACCACGGATTGACAGTATTCAATAGACAAAGAAAGTGTGTTAAAAAAAAAAAAAAAAGCAGGGGGCGCCGAGCACAGTGGCTTACAACAGTGAAATATGATCGTGCCACTGCACTCCAGCCTGGGTAACAGTGAGACCCCGTCTCTAAAAAAAAAGTTAAGAAATAAAAAGAAAAAGGAACAATAAAAAGCAGGATAAACCAGAAAATACAGCATTATAACTATTTACATAGCATTTACATTATATTAGATATTATAAGTAATCGAGAGATGATTTAAAGTATATGCAACTTACTTTTATGGGAAGCATTTTTTAAAAAAAGGATACAGGAGGAAGTGTGTGGGTTATATGCAAATACTAGGCCATTTTATGTAAGAGACGAGCATACCCAGATTTTAATA
Source organism: Homo sapiens (assembly GCF_000001405.40). Classification (NCBI taxonomy): domain Eukaryota; kingdom Metazoa; phylum Chordata; class Mammalia; order Primates; family Hominidae; genus Homo; species Homo sapiens. Next base: position 110,991,054 of record NC_000006.12, on the reverse strand, counting down.
AGGGGAGGTTTCTGGAACCCATCGCCCACAGATACTGAGGGATGACTGTAGCTTATTCCAGGGCTGTGGTAAGGAAAAAGACAAGATGAACCCAGATAATTTTGTGATGTTAGAAAGTAAGGAAGTGCTCAAAAACAGGAGGCATGTTGAAAGGTCATAGGAACCAACGTAAAAGAGTTCCCAGCTGGGAGCAGTGGCTCACGCCTGTAATCCCAGCACTTTGAGAGGCTGAAGCTGGTGGATCACCTGAGGTCAGGAGTCTGAGACCAGCCTGGCCAACATGGTGAAACCCTGTCTCTACTAAAAATACAAAAATTAGCTGGGCACCTGTAATCCCAGCTACTCAGGAGGCTGAGGCAGGAGAATCGCTTGAACCCAGGAGCCAGAGGTTGTGGTGAGCTGAGGTCGCACCACTGCACTCCAGGCTGGGTGAAAGAGTGAGACTCCGTCTCATACTAAAAAAACAAACAAAAGAAAAGGTGGGGGGGGGGGGGGTTCCCAATTGCCAAACAGAACAATTTAAGCAACAAAATTAAGAACACTGGATTATAATCCAGAAGAATATATGAGGAAAGCACAACATTTTTGTAGTGTTCTTGACAAACATGCATAACCTCAATCAATTCATGAGAAAATTTAAACCCAAATTGAGGGATAATTTACAAAATAACTGACAAGTACTTGTCAAAAATGTCAAGGTCATCAAAGACAATGAAAGACTAAGGAACTGTCACAAATTGGAGAAGACTAAGGAGGCATGAAAACTAAATGCAACATGGGATCCTGAAGAGAAAAAGAGTATTAAAAGGAAAACTAGGGCCGGGCACGGTGGCTCACGCCTGTAATCCCAGCACTTTGGGAGGCCGAGGTGGGCAGGTCACCTGAGGTCGGGAGTTCGAGACCAGCCTGACCAACATGGAGAAATCCCGTCTCTACTAAAAATACAAAATTAGCCGGGCGTGGTGGCGCATGCCCGTAATCCCAGTTACTCGGGAGGTTGAGGCAAGAGAATTGCTTGAACCCAGGAGGCAGGTGTTGCAGTGACCTTAGATCATGCCACTGCACTCCAGCCTGGGCAACAAGAGTGAAACTCCGTCTTAAAAAAAAAAGAAAAGAAAGAAAAAAGAAACTGGGCCGGGCGGGGTGGCTCACGCCTGTAATCCCATCACTTCGGGAGGCCAAGGCGCGCAGATCACCTAAAGTCAGAAGTTTAAGACCAGCCTGGCCAACATGGTGAAACCCTGTCTCTATTAAAAATACAAAAATGAGCTGGGCATGGAGGTGCATGCCTGTAATCCCAACTCAGGAGGCTGAGGCAGGAGAATCACTTGAACCAGGGAGTCAGAGGTTGCAGCGAGGCGAGATCATGCCACTGCACTCCAGCCTGGCAACAAAGCTAGACTCCGTCTCAAAAAAAAAAAAAAAAACCACACAAAAATTAGCCAGGCGTGGTGGCACGTGCCTATAATCCTAGCTACATGGGAGGCCAAGGCAGAAGAATTGCTTGAACCCAGAGTTAGAGGTTGTAGTGAGCAGAGATCATGCCACTGCACTCCAGCCGGGCGACAACAGGACTCCGTCTCAAAAGAAGGAAAAAAGAAAAACTGGTGCTAATCAAATATGTCTGTCATTTGATTAACATGAGTGAATCGGTGTTAATTTATTAGTTTTGATCATTGCATTACGGTTATGCAAGATGTAACATTAGGGGAAGCCAGGTGAAGGGTATATGGGAATTCTGCATTATTTTTGCACTTTTCTGTAAATCTGTATTTCAAAATAAAATATATATGCTATGGTTACAACTATGCAAGGACATTCAATACAAATGAAAAAAACAGACCAAAAGAAAGAAATTAAAATATTAATAACTGTAAGGAATTTTAATATCTTTTTAAAAAGTTTTTGTTTTCCAAATCTTCCATAAAGTGGTTACTTTTATAATGAAACAAAATCATTTAAAATACAGTAAAAGAAATCATGACTTACTTTTTATATAGTACACCGTATGGTTTTTTCAGTGCATACTGTAAAACAAAATTTATAGCTTTCAAAACAAAACACATTCTGAAAAGCAGAAATAAAAATAAAGCATCATAACAGTCACTCTCCAAGATTGCTCTGGGGCCTCAATCTTATTCTGAGGGCTTCTGCCTGGCTCCCTTTTCATCACTTACAGTAACTTGAAATGTAAGCTTAATATTCTTGGACTAGACTTTCCTATTTAAAAGTTTCTATGCCCTGTCAATAGTCTATCCAACTTAAACAATTTCCTTCATTTCTTTAAACTCGACTTAGTCCAGTCTCTCTCTAGGGAAACAATTCCAGGTGCAGTGGCTCACGCCTGTAATCCCAACACTTTGGGAGGACAAGGCAGATCACTCAAGCCCAGGAGTTCGAGACCAGCCTGGGCAACATGGCAAAACCCTGTCTCTACAAAAAACTGCAAAAATTAGCCAGGCATAGTGGTGCATGCCTGCAGTCCCAGCTACTTGGGAGGCTAAGGCGGGAGGATCACCCGAGCTCAGGAATTCGAGGCTGTGGTGAACCGTGATTGCACCACTGCACTCCAGCTCTGGTGATAGAGTGAGACCCTGTCTCAGAAAAAAAAAAAAAAAAAGTAGTAGACAAAAACAGAAAAAATAAATTCTATCACGAAAGGCTGACAGATTGAAATAATGTTGCGTGGAGATCAGAAAACTTAGAAACAGTAATAATGATGACAATTAGAATACTAGCCAGAGGTTAAACACAGCTCTTTAAAAAATGCCTATTATTCAATGTTCTTCATTTTTTTCCTAGTTCTACCTATCCACAAATAATCATTCATTTTATTTTATTTATTTATTTTTGAGACAGGGTCTCACTCTGTTGCCCAGGCTGGAGTGCAATGGCGTGATTAAAGCTTACTGCAGCCTGAAACTCCAGGGCTCAGGTGATCCTCCCATCTCAGCCTCCCAAGTACAGACACATGCACCACGCCCAGCTAATTTTTGTATTTTGAGTGGAGATGGGGTTTCACCATGTTGTCCAGGCTGTATTTTATTATTTTTTTAAATTTAATTTATAGAGATGGGGTCTCACTTTGTTGTCCAGGCTGTCATCCTAGGCTTAAGTGATCCTCCCACCTCAGCCTCCCAAAGTGCTGGGATTACAGGTGTGAGCCACCACACCTGGCCTATAATCATTTATTACTTGTATGGCCAGTACTGCTCTACCATAGAGAATAACAAAGATGTCATCAGGTACTACCTTGCATTAGAGAAATGGGTAAATGAGGGAAACAATGAAAAATAAGGTATAATAATCATTCATCAACTATCAGAGTTGGTGAACAAAGAAAATGCAACAGTAAAATCTACCTTTTTAAGTACTAAAACTTTTGATGATTCTTGGCCAACTATTTCCCTGTTTCCGTGTAATAAACATTGCCACCTCTTCTTGATGACTCAGAGTCATCATGATGAATTTTAATTATTGTAGTAATCTGTAATATTGTGCTGCTTTTAAAGCTTACTTAAATATGCAGGGTCATTGTGCTGATGGATACTAGAAGGAGAGGGGCAGTTTCCCGTTAGCACAATGAAATTCAGACAAACATTTCAAAAAAGGGATGGGCCTATATAAGGCATTCAGACATCTGAATTGACTATGCTTATCAGGCATAGAGTTTGGTCAAGTTTAAAATATATTCAAAGCCAGGCATGGTGGCTCACTCCTGTAATCTCAGCACTTTGGGAGGCCGAGGCGGACAGATCATGTCAGGTCAGGAGTTTGTGACCAGCCTGGCCAACATGGTGAAACCCTGTCTCTACTAAAAGAACACAGAAATTAGCTGGGTGTGGTGGCTCCCAGCTACTTGGGAGGCTAGAGGCAGGAGAATCGCCTGAACCCGGGAGTCAGAGGTTGCAGTAAGCCAAGATGGCACCACTGCACTTCAGCCTGGGCAACAGCGTGAGACTCCACCTCAATAACAACAACAAAAATGTATTCGATTACTTAATTGATTTAATTCAAAGATCTATTGGCTGTACTCAAGGCCTAATTAGTCAAATAACCTACTAGATATCTCCACATACTATGTCTTTTTTTTTTTTTTAGTTGGAGTCTTGCTCTGTTACCCAGGCTGGAGTAAGTGCAATGGCGTGGTCTCAGCTCACTCCAACCTCCATCTCCCAGGTCCAAGCAGATTTTCCGGCCTCAGCCTCCCTAGTAGCTGGGATTACAGGCGCCCACCACCATGGCTGGCTAATTTTTGCATTTTTAGTAGAGACAGGATTTCACCGTGTTAGCCAGGCTGGTCTCGAACTCCTGACCCCGTGATCCGCCCACCTCGGCCTCCCAAAGTGCTGGGATTACAGGTGTGAGCCACTGTGCCTGGCCCATACTATGCCTTTCTTTCATAGATTACATATATATTGAGTACCTACTATGTCCAGACACTGGGCTGTACACTAGGCTACAGAGGTAGAAAAAACAAAGCTTTTATTTTCATTACTTAAATTACATGTCCCAAACCGAACCTTTCACCTTTCCCTCCAAACCTGCTCCGCTTGATACATTTTCTAATTGGCATTATTGCCCATCAGGCACTCAAGCCAAACACCTGGGAAGTCATACTTTTCACTAGTTCCCAACTCTTCTTTCCTCAACATCTATTCTTTCTGGTCATTTCTCATTTTCATTGCCACCACTGGACTCCAGATGCTCTTCACCTAGCTGGCAGCAATGGCTTAGTTTCCTACATTTGCTCTCAACCCTCTCTAATCAAGCCAATTAAAAGGACTGATGGTATCTCTTGCTTAATATCTTTCAATGATTACACGGAGCTTTCAGATTAGAATTCAAATTTCATGTTACTATGTGACCCATGCCTCCTCTTCTAGCCTCATCTAGCCCACTCTCCTTTGGCCATGCCCAATTATTTACAGTTCTCCAAATGCATCAATGCTCCTTCATACTCCCTTTTGCACAAACTTCTTTCTCAGCCTCAGAGGATCTTCTCTTTCTCTCCCACTTCTTGCACCAACTTCTCCTTCAAAATGAAGCTGCAGTGTTATCTCTGGGGGAACCTACCCTGTGTGGGGGTCCCCCTATGTGATTTTTTTTTTTTTTTTTTGAAATGGAGTCTCTCTCTGTCACTCAGGCTGGAGCAGTGGCACAATCTCGACTGACTGTGACCTCCACCTCCCAGGTTCAGGCGATTCTCCTGCCTCAGCCTCCCGAGCAACTGGGACTACAGGCGCCCGCCACCACACCCGGCTAATTTTTGTACTTTTAGTAGAGACGGGGTTTCACCATGTTGGCCAGGCTGGTCTCGAACTTCTGACTTCGTGATCCTCCTGCCTCGGCCTCCCAAAGTGCTGGGATTACAGGCGTGAACCACCGTGCCTGGCCTCCCCTATGTGATTTTAACTGTTTCCCACCCTACCCTGTCCATGCCTCCAGCACAGCACAGTGTAAGAACTTTTTACATGTCTATCTCTCTAAGCTCACTGAAAGAACTGTGTCTCACCTATTAATTCCCAGCAGAGGCACAGTAACCGGTGTTGTTGAATGACTAAATATACAGCAATATGCAGTTACTTCTCTTTACAAATTAGATTTTTTCCTAAAATGTAAGTAAGCCAAATTCTAGTAATTGAAAACAGTTTAAATTTACTAAGGGAGACCTTCACTCTACCAGACCCACCTGTGCTCCTAAAAAACAATAATAAAATTTACTAAGAGAACTAGTTGCTTTAAGAAAAGGTGCCACGCAAGGTAAATAAACCCCCAACTTTAGCTCTTCTCTAAGACTAGTAGTTCTTATGGTAAGGCAAGCTTATCTACGTATTTCTCCGACAGCCCATCCTAGCATGCTGAAAATTCTAAAATGACTTCAATACCTTTTAAAGATTAAGTATATATACTTACCACATCTTTAAGTACTTTTGTCACTGTTGCATTTGCATTTCCCCCTTTAATCAGCATGGCATTTTTAATATTTTCATTGAGTTTCGGTTCTCTCTTCTCAAGGAATCTCTTGGCTCTTTTCGTTTTGGGCTTTCTGTTCAGAAAAGCACAATTCATAACTATTTAAACATTTTCCTCACATTGCAAAGCCATGACTTAACTAATATGAAAATTCTTAAAAACATATTTGTCACTTAGGGTTCCACCCTTAAAAAAAATCTCACTTTCTTTTTTTTGTTTGTTTTTTTTTGTTTGTTTTTGAGATGGAGTCTCACTCTGTCACCCAGGCTGGAGAGTGATGGCACAATCTTGGCTCACTGCAACATCCACCTCCTGAGTTCAAGCAATTCTCCTGCCTCAGCCTCCCGAGTAGCTAGAATTACAGGCACACACCACCACGCCTGGGTAATTTTTGTATTTTTAGCAGAGACAGGGTTTCGCCATGTTGGTCAGGCTATTCTCGAACTACTGACCTCAGGTGATCCGCTCACCTCGGCTCCCAAAGTGCTGGGATTACAGGTGCGAGCCACAAGGGCCGGCCAAAATCTCACTTTTTTGGTAGATATTAGTAAAAGATATTTCCTTATTATTGTTAAATAAGTGTTTTGATAGCTTTTAAAAAAAAGCTTTCATTTTTGTATTCCCACCATTCTTTTATTACTGCTCTTTCCAATCTTTTTTTTAAGTAAAAAATAAAAGGCTCAAGTAAATACTGTTGCTGTTTTTTTTCTCTTACTCTTTCTTACTCTTCTTTTTTCTTCAAACTTTAAGTAGTCAAACTGTATCCTGTACCCTAATACAAAGAATTGAGCATCAACTGCTGATCAACCTGTGGACATTTACTAAACATAAGACTAACGACTGCTTATTTTTCTTTTAGGTTTAAGACCACAATGCCTGCCAGGAAGTATACACTGTTGCACTCCAACATCATTGCTGAGAATGCCAGTATTATTGCCAACAATGGGGAATAATAAGGCTGATGTTTACATGGAGTCACTCTATTAAGGCTTAATCTTCACCACAATCCTGAGAGTTACAATTCTTATTTATTTATTTATTTATTTTTTTGAGACAGAGTCTCGCTCTGTCGCCCAGGCTGGAGTGCAGTGGTGCGATCTCGGCTCACTGCAAGCTCCGTCTCCCAGGTTCACGCCATTCTCCTGCCTCAGCCTCCCGAGTAGCTGGGACTACAGGCGCCCGCCACGACGCCCGGCTAATTTTTTGTATTTTTAGTACAGACGAGGTTTCACCGTGTTAGCCAGGATGGTCTCGATCTCCTGACCTCGTGACCCACCCCCCCGCCTCAGCCTCCCAAAGTGCTGGGATTACAGGCGTGAGCCTCCACGCGCGAGTTACAATTCTTATCTTCACTTTACAGATGAGGCAATTGAACAGACAGGTAATGTGCCCAAGATCACACAGCAAGTAAACAGGCCAATTTTTAAAATGAGCTAGGGCTGGGAGGTGGCCCACAGCCTGTAATAAAAACACTCTAGGAGGCCAAGGTGGATGGATCACTGAGCCCAGAAGTTCGAGACCAGCCTGGGCAACAATGCAAAACCCTGTCTCTACAAAAAATACAAAAATTAGCTGTGGTGGTGTGCGCCTATAGTCCCAGCTACTCAGCAGGCTGAGGTAGGAGGACTGCTTGATCCCAGGGAGGTCGAGGCTGCAGTGAGCTGTGATGGGGCTACTGCACTCCAGCCTGGGTGACAGAGTGATACCCTGTCTCAAAAAAAAACAAATTTTTTAAAGCTAGATTTAAAAATTCGTCTAGACCAATTACCCTGTAAAATATGAAGGGAAAATAAATTCATTATTCTGACTTTATGATGTGACAGTAGGAGTGGCATGTTTTTACACACTTCTGTTCAAAAGAGGGGCTTCACCTCTGCTTCCTCTACAATGAGCACCTTGCTTTTCAGACAGTTCTCTGCCATCTACTGAAAGAATTCTTCCTCCCAAATAATTATGACCCTCCCTCGTCCAGTCCCATGGACACTTTGGGAAGAAAAAGAGACCATACATACACTTAAGTTTCCCATGTAGATTTTTAAAATACTCCTCCAGATATAATGTCACATATAAAGCTTCTGATCATTTACTGGTTGATAAAGATACAAATTATTCTATCTTTTGTATCTCATTAAACAGCAACAAATGCAAATAGCAATTAACATGTTTTATTAGCTGCCTGCTCCCAATTAACGTGTGAACTAGTCCCAATACCTAGTAAACTACTCTTTGTAGTCCAAACAGCTAGAGGCATAGCAGGTGTGCAAAATCTCTGAATGACTAAAACTGTCGTTTTGGATACATGTTAACTTAGGTAAATAGCAAGAAAATCACAGCAAGTAACAGCAGGGCTGTTTAGCCCAAATATTCTTGAACAAATTTAAAACAGGTATCATTCAAGGATAACTCAGAGGAGTGTACAAAGTTGGAAGGAAAAGAAAAAACTAATGAACATTTCTACGTGCTGCAGCAAAGGCTCTACATACATTCTCGAAACTAACCCTCACAGCTCTATGAAGTATGACTATGGTGAGCGCTATTTTACAGAATAAGCTAAGATTTAGAGATATTTAATGACCCAAAGTCACAAAGCTTTAAGTGGACGCGCCAGACTGTCACTCAGATCTGTCGGATTCCGAGGGCTGTGCTCCTAACCCCACTATACCATCTGTCTCATACTTCGGAAGTCAGACGTTTTTCAACTGGCTAGGATAAAAGCGGCCAACGCTTCAATCCCACATCCCTCCCATCCCACGGCTCCCACTTGAGAGCTTCCCCACTGTCTCCTGGCAAGCAGCTCGCGCTGAGGAGGACCCGGGCTGGTGATCGATCGGCCCCCACCCAGGTAATTAGAGGGGTAACCAGGAAGAGTGAGAGGCCGAGACAGTACCACCCTCATCACGGGACCCTTTCACCCCAACGCTCCCCGGGGCTGAGACCCAGCGCACTTACACTACTCGATCCAGAGTGTCCATCGCTACCGCTACCTGCAACTCTTAACCAGGGGGCATGCACGTGCCCTCGGCGATTACGTGCGCCGGAACAGGCGGAACCGGAAGCTGCGCGTAACGCCACTTCCGGGGACGGCCTCGTAGAGGGCGTCTAGAGGCGCTGGCGGCCATCTTGATTGGAATCGCGCCCTGTTGTCTTGGTTACGGATTTTTGCCCCGGCTCTTTCCTGGAGTTACAGGTGCGAGGTAATACTTTTAAGTAACACTGGCCGGGCGTGGTGGCTCACGCCTGTAATCCCAGGATTTTGGGAGGCCCAGGCGGGCGGATTACCTGATAACAGGAGTTCGAGACCAGCCTGGCCAACATGGCGAAACCCCGTCTCTACTAAAAATACAAAAATTAGCCGGGCGTGGTGGCGGGCGCCTCTAACCCCAGCTACTCGGGAGGCTGAGGCAGGGAGAACTGCTTGAACCCGGGAGGCGGAGGTTGCAGTGAGCGGAGATCGCGCCACTGCACTCCAGCCTGGGTGACAGAGCGAGACTTCGTCTCAAAAATAAAATAAAAATAAAATAAAATAACATAGACCCTCGCAGTTTGATGTACGCGCTAGTGTGCATACCTGGAGTCAGGTATTCAGAAACCAGATTTTATTCTTCAAGGAATCCCAGGATGCTAGAAAGGTTGATTGATTGCACGGTAGGTACTCACATAAGCACTAAAAACATTGATGTGAAAGGGGCACTATTGACAACTATGCGATCTGTGTGACAGAATTTATGACTACCACAGTTGCCTAGTACATAAAAGATGCGCAGAAAATGTACTGCTGTTCGTGATTTTTCCCCAGTTTTTAAGTTACCATATACTTCACATACCATAAAATGTACCCCTTTACAGTGTACAATTCAGTGATTTTTGGTGTATTCACAAAGATGTGCAAATATCACCACTAATTCCAGAATATTTAATCACCTCAAAAAGAACCCCCCTGACACACACACCCAGTAGCAGTCCATGCCCCACTTCCCCCTCCTGCCAGCCCTTGGCAACCAATAATCTACTTTATGTTCAATGGATTTGCCTATTCTGAACATATATAAATGGTTTCGTGCAACGTATGGCCTTTTGTGTTTGACTTCTTTCACTATCTTTTTGAGGTTCATACATGTAGCGTGGATCAGTACTTCCATTTTGTTAGGACTGAATAATATTCCTTTGTATGGATATACCACATTTTGTTTATCCATTTATCAACCTAGGTACTTTTTTTATTTTAGACATAGTCTTGCTCTGTCGCCAGGGCTGAAGTGCAGTGGTGCGATCTTGGCTTACTGCGCCGTCCACCTCCCGGGTTCAAGCAGTTCTGCCTCAGCCTCCCAAGTAGCTGGGATTACATGCACGCACCACCACACCTTGCTAACTTTTGTATTTTTTAGTAGAGACAGGGTTTCACCATGTTGGCCAGGCTGGTCTTGAACTTCTGAGCTCAGGTAATCCACCCGCCTTGGCCTCTCAAAGTGCTAGGAATACAGGCGTGAGCTACTGTACCCGGCAGCTTATGTACATTTGAATGGTTCCTATTTTTTGGCTATTATGGATTATGCTGCTTTGTGTTTTTTTGTTTTGTTTTGCTTTGCTTTGTTTTGTTTCTGAGACAGAGTCTCACTCTGTCACACAGGCTGGAGTGCAGTGATGCAATCTCAGGTTACTGCAACCTCCATCTCCTGGGTTCAAGTGATTCTAGTGCTTCAGCCTCTCGAGTAGCTGGGACCACAAGCGCGTGCCACCACACCCAGCTGCTTTGAATATTAGTGTACAAATTTTTGTGTGGACATACATTTTCAATTCTCTAGGAGAAAAATTGCTGGGTCATATGCTGACTCTTAAGTGTAACATTTTGAGGCACTGGTAAACTGTTTTCCAAAGCACCTGCACCACTTAAATTCCCATGAGCAATGTAAGAGAGTTTGGTATTAGTTTCCTATTTCTGTTGTAACAAATTATCACACATTTATTATTTTATACTTCAGGAAGTCAGAAGTCTGAAATCAGTTTTGCAGGTCTAAAATGTAGGCCGGAAGCAGTGGCTCACACCTGTACCCAGCACTTTGGAAGGCTGAGGTGGGCGGATCATGAGGTCAGGAGATCAAGACCATCCTGGCTAACACCATGAAACCCGATCTCTACTAAAAATACAAAAAATCAGCCAGGCGTGGTGGCACGCCTCTAGTCCCAGCTACTTGGGAAGCTGGGGCAAGAGAATCACTGGAACCTGGGAGGTGGAGGTTGCGGTAAGCTGAGATCGCACCACTGCACTCCAGCCTGGGCAACAGAGTAAGACTCCGTCTCTTAAGTAAATAAATAAATAAATTAAATAAATAAATAAATAAAATGAAGAAGTCAGTAGGACTACATTCCACCTGGAGGCTTCAGGGGAGAATCGGTTTCTTGGCTTTTTCCAGCTTCTGTAGACTGTCTGCATACTTTGGCATTTCTCCATCTTCAAAGATCATCAGTTGAACTTCTTCCATTGTCACATCTTTTTCTCTGATGCTCTGACACTCCTAACTCCCTCTTAATAAAACCCTTGTGATTACATGGGCATCACCTGGATAATCCATGATAATCTCAAGATCCTTAATCGTATAGCAAATTCCTTCTGGGCATATAAAGTAACATATTCACAGATACCTGGGGGTTCTCAACATCTTTGGGCTGGGAGTTGAAGGAAGCATTGTTCTATCTACCAAAGGTTCCAATTTCTCCACTCCTCACCAAAACTTAGCATTGTCCATCTGTTTTATTAAGCCATCCTAACAGATATGAGTGGTATCTCATTGTGATTTTCATTTCCTTGATGGCAAGGCAAATGATGGTGAGCATGTTTTCATGTGCTGATTGATTACCCATTTTTATATCTTCTTTGGAAAAATGCCTATCCAAATCCTTTGCCCGGTTTTTAAATTGGGTTGTCCTTTTATTGTTGAGTTCTAATATTTTCTCATGTATTCCAGATATAAGTCCCTTACCTGATACATAATTTGCAAATATTTATCCCATTTAGTAGGCGTTATCTTGTTGTTAATGTGCTTTTCAGCACAGATCTTTTGAACTTTGTTGAAGCCCAGTTTACATATTTTTTCCTTTTGTTGCCTGTGCTTTTGGTATCATATCTAAGAAGCCATTCCCTATTCCAACATCACAAAGATTTACCCTATGTCTTCTTTCAAACATTTTTAATTGCAGCTCTTATATTTAAGCCTTTGGTCCATTTTTATTTTGATATATGGTGTGAGATAGGGGTTCAACTTTATTCTTTTGTATATGGATATCCAGTTGTCCCAGCATCATTTGTTGAAAAGATTATTCTTTCTCCATTGAATTGTCTTAGCATCCTTTTGCAATATCAATCGACCATAATTGTAAGGGTTTATTTCTGGACCCACAATTCTATTTAATTGATCTGTCTGGTTTTCATTATGCTAGATCCACAGCTTTGATTACCATATAGCATTGTAGTAAGTTTTGAAACTAAGAAATGTGACTTTTATGATTTTTCTCTTTTGCAAGATTGAATTTCCATATGAATTTTAGGGTCAATTTCTCAATTTCTGCAACAAAGGCAGCTTGGATTTTTCTTTTCTTTTTTTTTATGTTATTTTATCAATTGATTTTTTTTTTTGAGATACAGTCTCCTTTTGTTGCCCAGACTGGAGTGCAGTGGTGTGAACACAGCTCACTGCAGCCTTGACCTGGGCTCAAACAGTGCTCTCACCTCAGCCTCCCGAGTAGCTGAAATCACAGGCATGCACCACCACGTCTCACTAATTTTTAAATTTTTTATAGGGATGGGGTCTCATGTTGCCCAGGCTAATCTCAAACGGCTAGGCTCAAGCAATCCCCTTGCCTCAGCCTCCCAGTGTTCAGATTATAGAAGTGAGCCACAGCACTCGGCCTGACTTCTTTTCCTAGTTTGTTGAATGCTTTTTATCATGCAAGTGTGTTGGATTTTGTGTGTGCTTTTTCTGCATCTATTGAGATGATCATGTTGTTTTTTCCTTTATTCTATTAACATTTTGTATTACACTGATTTTCATATGTCCAACCAACCTTATATTCTTGGAATCAATCCTATTTGGTCATGGTGTATGATCCTTTTTATATGTTACTGGGTTCAGTTTGTTGATAGTTTGCTGAGGATTTTTGTGTCTATATTCATCATATTGGCCTGTAGTTTTCTAGTGGAATCTTTGTTTGGCTTTGGTATTGGATCAATACTGGCCTAATAGATTCAGATGGGATGTATTCCCTCCTCTTTAGTTTTTTGGAAAAGTTTGTGATGTCTGCTGTTAAGTGGCAGGACTGGTGGTGATGTTAGTGAGATTTTGCAGCGGTTATTAAGGATTTTTTTTTTTTTTTTGAGATGGAGTCTCACTCTGTCACCCAGGCTGGAGTGCAGTGGTGCTATCTCAGCTCACTGCAACCTCCGCCTCCCAGATTCAAGCGATTCTCCTGCCTCAGCCTCCCTAGTAGCTGAGACTACAGGCGCCCACCACAACACCTGGCTAATTTTTGTATTTTTAGTAGAGACAGGGTTTCATCATATTGGCCAGGCTGGTCTTGAACTCCTGACCTTGTGATCCACCTGCCTCGGCCTCCCAAAGTGCTGGGATAACAGGCGTGAGCCACCGCACCTGGCTAAGAATTTTTTTTTTCAGTAAAACTTTATTAACCCACTCATTATTATCAGAATACAAATAGGAGTACACTGCACAGTGAAGAATTTGCATAGCAAATGAATGACATGAACAAAATATTCAGAAGTGTCACACACTTAAATTGATTAATTCAAGTATTTATTTTCGTGAAAATAATTTGTGAATAGCATGGTCCCTATCATTCTCCCCTTAATAACTTTTCAGTAACATGTTGTACTGACATGTTCAGTAATTGTTGTAAGTTAATACAATTGTATTTCATTTATCCTTAAATTGTAGTTGTTTTGATATATACATGTAATTTGAACTGGCCTCTCATGAAAAAATTCCAAATGAGTATTTAACAGTACAAAGTTACTAATCACCATTTAAAAAAATGTATGATACAGTTGAGTAAAAGTATAGAAAATATTGTTACATTTTATAAATCTAAATATAGGTCAAGTTATTCTTGACAAATTCTTTTGAAAGAAGCTAATACAAACAAATACTAGAGCAGCACCCCCTATAAGAAAGTACATGGTCCTTAGCACTTTGGGAGGCTGAGGCAGGCAGATCTCCTGAGGTCAGGAGTCCAAGACCAGTCTGGTCAACATGGTGAAACCCAGCCTCCACCAAAAACACAAAAATCAATCAGCCAGGCATGCTGGCAGGAGCCTGTAATCCCAGCCACCCAGGAGGCTGCGGCAGGACCAGCTAAGAATCTTTAAATAGGGAGATTATCTTGGATTTTCCAGATGAGCACCAATCTAATGACAATGGACTTTATAAGAGGGAGGCAGAAGTTTAAGAGTCAGAGAAGGAAATGTGATAATGGAAGCAGAGGTCAGAGTGAGAGAGAGAAGATGTAATGCAGCTGGCTTTGAATATGGAGGAAGGAGCTACAAACCAAGGAATTCAGGCAGCCTCTATAACCTGGAAAAAGCAAGGAAAGAGATCTTGATTTTAGCCCCATAACACTGGAACTTACAATTGTTTTTTGTCTTTTTTTTTTTTTTGAGATGGAGTCTCACTCTGTTGCTTAGGCTGGAGTGTGCAGTGGCATGATCTCAGCTCACTGCAACCTCTGCCTCCTGGGTTCAAGCAATCCTCCTGCCTCAGCCTCCTGAGTAGCTAGGATTACAGGCATAGACCACCATGCCCAGCTAATTTTTTTTGTATTTTTAGTAGAGAACAGGGTTTCACCATGTTGGCCAGGCCTGTCTCAAAACTCCTGACCTTGGCCTCCCAAAGTGCTGGGATTACAGGCGTTAGCCACCACGCCCAGCCTTGAACTAAGAATTTGACCTCCTGAACTGTAAGATAATAAATTGATGTTGTTTTAAGCCACTAGTTTGTGGTGATTTGTTACAGCAATAGTGGAAAATAATACAGTTCCCAAATGGGAGCATGAAATAAGAGTACAAAATAAAATTTTTCATACATGATAGTAAAAGAGATCTTATTTTGCATCTGAGAAAACTAGAACCTCTACTATTTTCACCTTCTTATTAATGATACACAAGTATGGCCGGGCTCCGTGGATCACACCTGTAATCCCAGCACTTTGGAAGGCTGAGGGAGGTGGATCTCCTAAGCTCAGGAGTTCAAAACCAGCCTGAGCAACATGGTGCAACCCCATCTCCACCAAAAAATACAAAAAATTAGCTGGGCGTCATGGCATGTGCCTGTGGTCCCAGCTACTTGGGAGGCTGTGGTAGGAGGATCACTTGAGCCTGGGAGGCAGAGGTTGCAGTGAGCAGAGATTGTGCCACTGCACTCCAACCTTGGTGACAGTGTGAGACTCTGTTTCAAAAAAAAAAAAAAAAAGATGCATGTGTATGGCTGCCTTGAACCCATATACCAACTATCAGTAACTACCAGCTACAAATTGACATTAACAAAGGTGTATATTTACTTTGTACTGTATTAATAAAGTAAAATGTACTTATGGGCAATTTTATAAACAGCATTTTCTCATTCCACAGGGAAATAATGGTCAAAGTCATAAAATATAGCAAATTCATCTCCAAAATCAATACAAACATTTCTGGAAGATAATTCCATGTAAACCTTAGACATATTAGGAAAGTTGAATATTTTCACATAAGCTATTGGAACAAGAGGAAATAAGAGATTCTAAAAAATTAAAAACTGCTGCTATACAAATAGAAAAGTATATATCGTCAGTAGTTTCACTGAGCTGGCTGTCTATCCATAAATTTATGATCAGCTGTGCAGTACATAATGAATAAATGAGTGGAGTTGCAAACATTTTTTTTTGAGATGGAGTCTCGCTCTGTTGCCCAGGTTGGAGTGCAGTGGCGTGATCTTGGCTCACTGCAACCTCCGCCTCCTGGGTTCAAGTGATTCTCCTGCCCCAGCCTCCTGAGTAGCTGGGACTACAGGCGCATGCCACCACGCCCGGCTAATTTTTTTGTATTTTTAGTAGAGACAGGGTTTCACTGTGTTAGCCAGGATGGTCTCGATCTCCTGACCTCATGATCCACCTGCCTTGACCTCCCAAAGTGCTGGGATTACAGGCGTGAGCCACCGTGCCCAGCTGCAAACATTTTTTATAATGGGCTTAAGGAATAATTCTCCATGATGCACCTTAACAATACAATCTTTTTTTTTTTTTTTTTTTTTTGGAGACGGAGTCTCACTCTGTCGCCCAGGCTGGAGCGCAGTGGCGCAATCTCGGTTCACTGCAAGCTCTGCCTCCCGGGCTCACGCCATTCTACTGCCTCAGCCTCCGGAGTAGCTGGGACTACAGGCACCTGCCATGACGCCCGGCTAATTTTTTTGTATTTTTTACACGGGGTTTCACCGTGTTACCCAGGATGGTCTCGATCTCCTGACCTTGTGATCTGCCTGCCTCGGCCTCCCAAAATGCTGGGATTACAGGCGTGAGACACTGCGCCCGGCTTTTTTTTTTTTTTTTTTTTTTTTTTTGAGACAGGTTTTGCTCTATTGCCCAGGCTGGAATGTAGGGGCATGATCACAGCTCATTGCAGCCTTGACCTCCCTGGGCTCAGGTGATCCTCCTACCTCAGCCTCCTGAGTAGCTGCAACTGCAGGTGTGCAACACCACGCCCAGCTAATTTTTATGTTTTTTTCTTTTTTGAGACGGAGTCTTGCTCTGTCACCCAGGCTGGAGTGCAGGGGCGCGATCTCGGCTCACTGCAAGCTCCGCCTCCCGGGTTCACGCCATTCTCCTGCCTCAGCCTCCCAAGTAGCTGGGACTACAGGCGCCCGCCACTACGCCCGGCTAATTTTTTGTATTTTTTTAGTAGAGACGGGGTTTCACCGTTATAGCCGGGATGGTCTCGATCTCCTGACCTCGTGATCCACCCGCCTCAGCCTCCCAAAGTGCTGGGATTACAGGCGTGAGCCACCGCGCCCGGCCAATTTTTATGTTTTTTGTAGAGATGGGGTTTCTCCATGTTGTCCAGGCTGGTCTCGAACTCCTGGGCTCAAGCAATCTGCCTACCTTGACTTCGGCCTCCCAAAGTGCTGGGATTACAGACGTGAGCCACTGCGCCCAGGCAACGATATGATCCTTTTAAATTGAAAAGTATTATTTGTCAACAAAAGCAATCCACTGCATTCAGTGTCAAAAGTAGTACTTAGTGGGAGGCTGAGGCAGGCAGATGGCTTGAGCCCGGGAGCTCAAGACCAGGCTGGGCAACTGGCCAAACCCCTTCTCTATTTTTTAAAAATAATATTACTTAATTTTTTTTTAAAAGTAGTACTTAGTGTGATAGCTATACAGGGACTCTGGTTCTAACATTAGCTTTTAAGTAATCCTAGTGAGTTACTAAGGCAATTAAATGGCAAAGAAATTCATAAATGAAATTCTAGTCTCACAAAATATTACATAGTTAAAAAATAAGACTTTATTTTACTAAATTTGAAACACTTATAAATAGGTAAGGAGCTTAACATGTATGTTTTCGTCAGAATTTAAGATTTTATTTTCCTCTTCAATTTAAGGTAGAACTACACTATCGTGTAGATGAGTTTCTTTTGCAAGATTACAAATCTCAAGAATATTCCACTTCTTTATACTTTTAATAGAGATGAGGTCTTGCTATCTTGCCCAGGCTGGTCTTGAACTCCTAGTTTAGGCAGTCCTCCTGCTTTGGCCTCCCAAAGTCTGGGATTACAGGCATAAGCCACCACGCCTGGCCTACTTTTTAATATTTTTCATGTTTTCTAAAATACATATGTATCAGGCCGGGTGTGGTGGCTTACGCTTGTAATCCCAGCACTTTGGAAGGCCAAGGCGGGTGGATCACTTGAGGTCAGGAGTTGGAGACCAGCCTGGCCAACATGGTGAAACCCCGTCTCTACTAAAAATACAAAAAATTAGCCGGGCATGATTGTGCACGCCTGTAATGCCAGCTACACGGGAGGCTGAGGCAGGAGAATTGCTTGAATCCAGGAGGCAGAGGTTGCACTGAGCCGAGATTGCGCCATTGCACTTCAGCCTGGGCGACAGAGAGAAGACTCCATCTCAAAAAATAAAAATAAATAAATAAAATACATATGTATCAATTAGTATTATGTTTGGCTATTACAGAGAGTGACCTAACGAAGAGAGTAGCTTATTTCTCTCTTAGGTAGAAAGTGGCAAAGCCTCTGCCTTCTCTGCCTAAACAGCAGCAATAGCTACAGGTTTGGAAAGACATTCACAATCACAGGACCCCAACAAGCCTTGTGGAACCCAATCTGGCACCCAGCTCACTTAGTATTCCAGGATACAGAACAAGGAACAGCACAGCAACACAGCAGCATGAGACTTATTTCTGCAGGAGTCTTTACTCCAGCCTCCCAAGTGTCAGCTGAGGGGTAAAGAAACAAGATCATTTTCGGTGGGTGCAGAAGCCACCTGGCTTAGAAGCTTTATGCTCCAGAAAAACCAATTCCTGTTGAAACAGTACATGAGTATTGCTTCCAGAAATATTTGCAATAAGGAACACCACACTTAAGGAATCCCAAAGCCCATGTTTTGAATGGGCATTTGTAGTACGTGTTAGTCTTCCTGGTCCAGATAGTTTACCAATAAGGTGTCTTTTTTTTTTTTTTTTTTTTTTTTTTTTTTTTTGAGACACAGTCCTGCCCTGTAGTACAGTGGCATGGTGTGATCTCGGGTCACTGCAACCTCCACCTCCTAGGCTCAAGCAATCCTCTTGCCTCAGCCTTCTAAGTAACTAGGACTACAGGCATGCACCACCATGCCCAGCTACTTTTTTGTGTGTTTTTTTAGAGAGGGTTTTGCCATGCCACTCAGGCTGGTCTCGAACTCCTGGATTCAAGTGATCCACCCATCTTGGCCTCCCAAAGTGCTGGGATTACAAGTGTGAGCCACCGTGCCCAGCTAAGGGCTCATTTTTAATCATAAACAATATTGCCTAATATTACAGCTGACATTCCATTATTACCTTGCCTAGTAGGTTTCCAGAGAAACAGTGCTGAAAGCCAAATTCGAGGTCATTTCACCAGGGAGAGAGAAAGGATTTTATTAACCCTTTACTCATAGCAGTACTGGGTAATCTCACAGTATCAGGACCCAGTCTTCTATATTGCTGCTCTGCCATTCATGACTTCTATTTCCAAAGTTACTTTGAAGTCCAAGAATGCTGCTGGATGGAGCTCTAGCTACCACATCCATGTTCCAGCAGGAACAGATGAGCCCTGCTGCTTCCTCTTAAGCCTTTAAGTTAAAGGAAACTTCCCAGAAGCACCAGTCAGCACTTGTTTTTTTCTTGGTTTTTTGTTTTTGTTTTTTTTTTTCCATCACTCAGCACTTCTTATTCCATGTCAATGCCGGAACTTAGTCATATGACCACATATATCTGCAAGGAAAGCTAGGCACGTTGCTAACCTGAATACATTCTGGGATTCTGATACAAAGCCAAAAAGGGAGAATAGATAATTGGGTCAGGCAATTAGCATTCTCTCCTATACATACATATAGGGGGAACAATAAGCTGTTCACTAAAAGCTGAGACTAAAAAAAAAGTCACATAAATTATTAGCTGGGCATGGAGGGATGTGCCTGTAATCCCAGCTACTTGGGAGGCTGAGGCATGAGAATCGCTTGAACCTCCGAGGTTGTGGTGAGCCAAGATCGTGCCACTGCACTCCAGCCTGGGCAACAAGAGTGACAGACTATCTCAAAAGTAAAAAAATTAAAAAGTCATACAGACATTGGAAAGATTATGCTTATAATCATCTGCTTATGATTTGAAAATGCTTTTTATTAAGGTATTTTCCAATTAAATACAAAACTTTTTGAAGAAAAAATTCTTTGGGCCAGGCATGATGGCTCACACCTGTAATTATAGTACTTTGTCAAGGCAGGAGGATCACTTGAGCTCACTAGTTTGAGACCAGCCTGGGCAACATGGCAAAACCCTATCTCTACAAAAAATACAAAAATAAGCTGGGTGTGGTCACACACCCCTGTAGTCCAGCTACTAGGGAGGCTGAGGTGGGAGGATGGCTTAAGCCCACGAGGTGGAGGTTGCAGTGAGCCCAGATTGTGCCACTGCACTACAGCCTGGGTGATAGAGCCAGAACTTGATTTAAAAAAAAAAAAAATTCTTCATCCTAGAACATTAGCTCTTTAATCTGTTAAAATAGCTATATCTCCATCAATTGTGAGATGTAATTAACATGAGGTATGTTTTAACTTACTGGTACTAGGTTAAACTATAGGAAATTGCTGTTGTTTTGTAGTTGGAAACAATCAAATATTAGCAATTTTACACAGCTCAACAAAGTATCAAAGTATCAAAGAGTGAATAATTTACTTAAAAAATATAAACTAGCACAGATTTATTTTACTGCCATAATAAAATGACTAATACAGCTGACTTCCAATAATCTTTCTCAAGTGGGAATTATTTTTCTTGATAAAATACTTTGTTGTAGACTAAAAATAGGCCCCAAAGATTTCCATGCCCTAATCCCTAGTATTAATGCCTGTGTATGTTAAATGACCTAGCAAAAGAGACTTTGCAGATGGAATTAATGTTTTTTGGTTTTTTGGGGTTTTTTTTGAGACGGAGTCTCACTCTGTCACCCAGGCTGGAGTGCAGTGGTGCAATCTCAGCTCACTGCAACCTCCGCCTCCCAGGTTCAAGCAATTCTCCTGCCTCAGCCTCCTGAGTAGCTGGGATTACAGGTGTGCACCACCACACCTGGCTAATTTTTGTATTTTTAGTAGAGATGGGGTTTCACCATGTTGGCCAGGCTGGTCTCAATCTCCTGACCTTGTGATCTGCCCACCTCGGCCTCCCAAAGTGGTGGGATTACAGGTGTGAGCCACTGCACCTGGCCAGAATTAATGTTATACACCTTTGGCTGGGTGCAGTGGTTCATGCCTGTAATCCCAGCACATCCAGAGGCTAAGACAGGAGGATCACTAGAGCCCAGGAGTACAAGACCAGCCTGGGCAACATAATGAGACCCCATCTCTTCAAAAAAAATTAAAAAAAACACAGCCAGGCATGTTGGTGCGTGCCTGTAGTCTCACCTACTCAGGAGGCTGAGGTGGGAGGATTGCTTGAGCCTGGGAGTTCAAGGCTGCAGTAAGCTGTGGTCACACCACTGCACTCCAGCCTGGGTGACAGAGCGAGACCTTGTCTCAAAAGAAAAAAAAAAAAGTTGGCCGGGCACAGTGGCTCACGGTTGTAATCCCAGCACTTTGGAAGGCTGAGGCGGGTGGATCATGAGGTCAGGAGATCGAGGCCATCCTGGCTAACACAGTGAAACCCTGTCTCTACTAAAAATATAAAAAATTAGCCGGGCGTGGTGGCAGGCGCCTGTAGTCCCAGCTACCCAGGAGGCTGAGGCAGGAGAATGGCGTGAACCCGGGAGGCAGAGCTTGCAGTGAGCCAAGATTGAGCCACTGCACTCCAGCCTGGGCAACAGAGCGAGACTCTGTCTCAAAAAAAAAAAAAAAAAGTTATCAACCTTAAAATAGGCAGATTATCAGGCCAGGCGCGGTGGCTCACGCCTGTAATCCCAGCACTTTGAGAGGCAGAAGCGGGTGGATCATGAGGTCAGGAGGTCGAGACCATCCTGGCTAACACGGTGAAACCCCGTCTCTACTAAAAATAAAAAAAAAATTAGCCAGGCATGGTGGTGGTCACCTGTAGTCCCAGCCACTCGGGAGGCTGAGGCAGGAGAATGGCGTGAACTCGGGAGGCGGAGCTTGCAGTGAGCAGAGATCTTGCCACTGCACTCCAGCCTGGGCAACAGCGTGAGACTGTCTCAAAAAAAAAAAGGGAGATTATCCAAGTGGGCCCAGAGTAATCAAATAGACATTTAACAGTGGAAATGGAAGACAGAAGGGTAGGTCAGAGAGAGGGATGATAGAAGTAACAGGAATGATTCAAAATGGGAGAGGGACTTCACCCACTATTGCAGGCTCTGAAGAAAAGGGGATCATGAGCCAAGGAATGAAGGCAGCCTTCAGAAGCTAGAAATGACCCTCAGCTAACAGACAACAAGGAAAGGAGACTTTGATCCTTTAACTGCAAAGAACTGAATTCTGCCAACAACTAAATAAACAAGGAAATGGATTTGCCCCCTACCCCAAAACCTCCATAAAGGAATGCATTCCTGCCAGCACCTTGAATTTAGCCCAGGTAAGACCCGCGTCACACTTCTCACCTACAAAACTATAAGAGAGTACATTTGTGTTAAGTCACTGAGTTTGTAGTAATTTGTAACAGCCTCAAAGGAAAACTTTATATACTTACCTTAATACAACCTTGAATTTAAAGGACTCAGAAGGGTCCCTAAAGTCATTTAAAAATATTTCATTTTACTTTTTTTTTTTTTGAGACAGAGTCTTGCTCTGTCGCCCAGGCTGGATTGCAGTGGCGCAGCTCACTGCAAGCTCCGCCTGCCGGGTTCACGCCATTCTCCTGCCTCAGCCTCCCAAGTAGCTGGGACTACGGGCGCCCCCACCACGCCTGGCTAATTTTGTGTATTTTTAGTAGAGACGGGTTTTCACCGTGTTAGCCAGGATAGTCTTGATCTCCTGACTTCATGATCCACCCACCTCAGCCTCCCAAAGTGCTGGTATTACAGGCGTAAGCCACCGCGCCCGGCCTCATTTTACTTATTTTTTGAGACGGTCTCACTGTGTCACCCAGGCGAGAGTACAGAGGTGCAAACACAGCTCACTGCACCCTCGAGTTCCCAGTCCCAGGCCATCCTCCCACGTCAGCTGCCCAGTAGCTGGTACCATAGGCACACGACACTATGTCCAGCTAATTCTAAAAAACTTTTTGTAGAGACAGGGCCTCCCTATGTTACGCAGACTGGTCTCAAACTCCTAGGCTGCTCAAGTGATCCTCCCACCTCAGCTTCCCAAAGTGCTGAGATTACAGGTGTGAGCCACTGCACCCAGCCTAAACTGTATTTTAAAAATCCAACTCATGTCTGGTCCCAAATGATTCTGGTACAATAAGTTGTGTTATGACTGGATATGTGTGTATAGCCAATAAAATGCAATAAAATATTAAAAGACTGAAAGCTACACAGCAATTATTTTTATGTAACAACTCTAAAAAGTTCTTGACAAGTTATTATGAGAAACATTTCATCTAGGAGTGATTTCTAAGGCAGCATTTGAGTTTCCATAAAAACAGAACCTTCTGTCTCAGAAGGTATATCAATAAGAGGACCAGAATCTTCTATTTCCAAGTGCATTGGTTTCTCCTGTTCACAACTCAGGTTTGAACTGTCGTTCATTTGAATCTCTTCCTCTTCCAATTCCAAAGATTTATCTGGGGCTGAAGCTACCACTTCTTCGTCTTCATTTTCATGTAGAAAGTTACAAATCATGTTGGGTCGATAGGAGAAATCATTATCCTTTATTTGCAGCCATTCCACCCCACCTAATTTGGAGGGGATGAGGAATAAACAAAAAAAGAAACAAAAAATGAATTTTAGTATATTTTTCTTTAATTTAAATTTCTATCCTATGAATACATGTCAAACTGAAAGCCTAACATAAACCAAGGAATATGGTGTCTGTAACTACTGATAAAATATAATTTGCATCTTCTCTGGAGACCTTGGAATGCCTATTAGGTAGGTACCATCAAAATCACTACGTTACCAACTTTGATTACTATTCCATGCCTTTTTCCAGAGTTCAGTTCTCAGCTCATTCTAAGAAATAATTTGAGCACTCTCTGCCATCTCATGCCTTCAAGGAAACTTATCACTTCCCTACAATGTTTTTTTTTTTAAGACAAAGTCTCGCTCTGTCACCCAGGCTGGAGTGCAGTGGGTACGATCTTGGCTCAGTGCAACCTCCGCCTCCCTGGTTCAAGCGATTCTTGTGCCTCAGCCCCCCGAGTAGCTGGGATTACAGGTGTGTGCCACCATGCCTGGCTAATTTTTGTATTTCAATAGAGACGGAATTTCACTATGTTGGCCAGGCTGGTCTCGAACTCCTGACTTCAAGCCATCCACCCGCCTCACCTCCCAAAGTGCTGGGATCACAGGCATGACCCACTGCGCCTGGTTATTAGTCCTTTTTCTTCCAATTCAGCTTCAACTATAGATATTCATATTTTTTTCCCGCAATAACATCGTTCTCCTAGTCAGCCAGACTCAAAATCTTGAAGCTTTCCTTTATTCTGTTATTTAGCACAGTACTTAAAATAGAATGAATTTGATGTTCACTCTTATTCATCCATGTCTGTTTCAATGTAATTTACTTTAGAATGCAAGTTCCTAGAAGGTAACGGTCACACTTCCTCTGTCCTGTTTTGCCTCCAGCATGTAGCCGTGTTTGGTAGCCAGACTGCAAGATGGTCCCCAATGATCTTCACCTTCCTGGTATTCATGCCCCTGTGTAGTCCTGTCCCATACTGAATAGGATATTGTGGAAATGACAAGACTGTGACTTTTTTTTTCTTTGAGATGGAGTCTCACTTTGTCACCCAGGCTGGAGTGCAGTAGCATGATCTCGGCTCACTGCAACCTCCGCCTCCTGGGTTCAAGCAATTCTCCCACCTCAGCCTCCCGAGTAGCTGGGATTACAGGTGCATGCCACCATACCTGGCTAATTTTTTGTATCTTTAGTGGAAATGGGGGGTCTCACCATATTGGCCAGGCTGGTCTTGAACTCCTGACCTCAAGTGATCCACCTGCCTTGGCCTCCCAAAGTGCTGGGATTACAGGTGTGAGCCACCACGCCTAGCCAAGACTGTGACTTCTAAGGCTAGTTCATAAAAGACACTGTGGCTTCTACCTTGTTTTCTTGGAATACTTTATCTGAGAGAAGCCAGCTGCCATATCAGGAGGACATTCAAACAGTCTTGTGAGGAGGACAACATGTCAAGGAACTGAGGCCTCCTGCCAACAACCAAAACAAATTTACAAGCCATATGAATAAGCCATTTTACTTCCAGCATTAGTCAAGCCTTCAGATGACTGCAGCCTAGATAACATTTTGACTGCAACCTTATCAGAGACCTGGAGCCAGAACCACCTACCTAAACTGCTCCCAAATTCCTGATTCACGGAAACTGTAAGATACTGGTTTTTTGTTGTTGTTTTAAGCTGTCAAGTTTAGGGATAATTTGTTATGCAGCAGTAGGTAACCAATGCAGACTCGAATTGTTGGTTGCTCATTTACTTGACTAAACAAAACACCCAAATATTCCCAAAGATCTGTCAGATTATTAAAGACTAGGAAGAGGAAACTCACTCTAATAAGAATATCCCAATGATAGCTAAGCTTATGATACAAGTCAGCCTTTCAAGTTTATTCTAGAACCTAGTACCTCTTTCTTCTTATAATTATTACAAGGTGCCTAAAAAAGGGGATAGTTCAGGGATATACATAATAGGAACAAGGGTTTATTATATAGTTGTATATAGATGATACAATTAATTTTATAAGATCAATGTACCTTCAAATGTTTATTCCTTGTTAAGCTATACTCATCATGAGAATCTTATTTACTAGAGTTTCAAATATGTTGTTGAGCAGTGAACTTTTAAACCATCAAATTATTATTTTTTCAACTCCACAAACGTGTCTGCTTCAGGTGAAAGAAGCACTAGTCTAAAAGTCTCTAGTATGTGGTGACTAGCAAGTGAAGAAGAATAAGTGGATGCAAATTAAGAACTCATCACTGTAATCCCAACACTTTGGGAGGCTGAGGCAGGAGGATCACTTGAGCCCAGGAGTTTGAGACCAGCTGGGTAACATAGTAAGATCCTGTCTCTATTTAAAAAAAAAAAAAAAAAAAAAAGGTTGGGTGCGGTGGTGCACACCTGTAATCCCAAAACTTTGGGAGGCTGAGGTGGGCGGATCACTTGAGGTCGGGAGTTCGAGACCAGCCTGACCAACATGGAGAAACCCCATCTCTCTACTAAAAATACAAAATTAGCTGGGCGTGCTGGTGCGTGCCTGTAATCCCAGCTACTCAGGAGGCTGAGGCAGGAGAATTACTTCAACCCAGGAGGCGGAGGTTGCAGTGAGCCGAGATCGCACTACTGTACTCCAGCCTGGGCAACAAGAGCGAAATTCGTCTCCAAAAAAAAAAAAAAGAAAAAAAACTCCGTCTCTACTAAAAATTAGCCGGGCGTGGTGGTGGGCACCTGTAATCCCAGCTACTCAGGAGGCTGAGGAATGAGAATCACTTGAACCTGGGAGGCAGAGGTTGCAGTGAGCTGAGATCACGCCACTGCACTCCAGCCTGGGGGATGGAGTAAGACTCTGTCTCCAGGAAAGAAAAAAAGAAAAACGTCAAAAGGAAAAGAAAGGCTGGGCACAGTGGTCTCTTCAGGAGTTCTAGGCAAGCCCAGGCAACAGGGTGAGACTCCGTCTCTACTAAAAATACAAAGGC
This sequence comes from Homo sapiens, assembly GCF_000001405.40. NCBI lineage: Eukaryota > Metazoa > Chordata > Mammalia > Primates > Hominidae > Homo > Homo sapiens. The sequence continues at coordinate 110,964,536 of NC_000006.12, read as the reverse complement.
TGGGTGCAGCATCTCATGCCTGTAATCCCAGCACTTTGGGAGGCTGAGGCAAGCAGATCATGAAGTCAGTTCCAGACCAGCCTGACCAACATGGTGAAACCCTGTCTCTACTAAAAATACAAAAATTAGCTGGGCATGGTGGCATGCGCCTGTAGTCTCAGCTACTCAGGAGGGTGAGGCAGGAGAATCGCTTGAACCTGGGAGGTGGAGGTTGCAGTAAGCAGAGATCGCGCCACTGCACTCCAGCCTGGGCGACGGAGTGAAACTCCATCTCAAAAAAAAAGAAAACAAAAACAAAAAAAAGAAATAGCCAGGCATGGTGGAACACGCCTGTGGTCCCAACTACTGGGGAGGCTGAGGTAGGGGGATGGGGGGCAGAGGTCACAGTGAGCCAACATCACACCACTGCATTCCAGCCTGGGTGACAGGGTGAGACCCTGTCTCAAATAAAATAATTTAATAATAATAACAAAAACTAGACTGAGGACTAACAACTGTGGTCCTACAGTCTCCCCCACATTTAAAGCCAGCTTTTGGCCAGGGGCGGTGGCTCACACCTGTAATCCCAGCACTTTGGGAGGCCGAGGCAGGTTGATCATCTGAGGTCAGGAGTTCAAGACCAGCCTGGCCAACATGGCGAAGCCCTGTCTCTAATAAAAATACAAAAATCATCCAGGCCTAGTGGTGCATGCCTGTAATCCCAGCTACTCGGGAGGCTGAGGCAGGAGAATCGCTTGCACCCAAGAGGTGGAGATTGCAGTGAGCCAAGATGGCTCCACTGTACTCCAGCCTGAGTGACAGAGCGAGACTGTCTCCAAAAAAAAAAAAAAAAAGCCAGCTTTTTCCAGATGTGAGCCTGTTGAAGGCTGCTGCAGCTGCCAGAAGTTTCCAGGGGATTTCACCTTGGGAATTCAGAACTATTGTGATCATATCCACTTTGCTCACAAGGAAGTTTTTTCCCCCCACACATCAGACAGGTAATATGCTGACATCATAACAAGGTTTGAGGGAGGCACATCTTACACATGAATGTAAAAACATAATCATCATGCTTATGAACTACAAAAAGATACAAGGAAGTTTTTAATTAAAGAGGGGAGAGGGAGAAGGAGAAGAGAGAGACAGAGAAGCACTACTGAATTCCCTAGGGCTTAGATACCAAGTTTCTTCAAAAACTCCTCAGTCATTTCCAGTGCCAAGCAGATAAAAGATTTCTATGTCCCCAGTGCCCTAAGCTATATGAGAGTTCAACTGAATTTTAACTCTGCTTGGTACTTTAGATGGAGTACCCTCAATTTTAATATATTAAACATATTATGAGGCCAGGCACAGTGGCTCACACCTGTAATTGCAGCACTTTGTAGGCCAAGGTAGGTGGATCACTTGAGGTCAGGAGTTTAAGACCAGCCTGGCCAACACGGTAAAATCCGGTCTCTACTAAAAAAAATTAGCCGGGCGTGGCCAGGCACCGGTGGCTCACGCCTGTAATCCCAGCACTTTGGGAAGCCAAGGCGGGCGGATCATGACGTCAAGAGATTGAGAGCATCCTGGCCAACACTGTAAAACCCCGTCTATACTAAAAATACAAAAATTAGCTGGCCCTGGTGGTGCGTGCCTGTAGTCCCAGCTACTCCGGAGGCTGAGGCAGCAGAATCGCTTGAACCCGGGAGGCGGAGGTTGCAGTGAGCCGAGATCGCGACACTGCACTCCGGCCCGGGCGACAGTGCGAGACTTCGTCTGGATAAGAAAAAAGAAAAAAAAAGAAAATTGGCTGGGCGTGGTGGTGGGTGCCTGTAATCCCTGTTGCTCAGGAGCCTGGGGAAAGAGAATTGCTTGAGCCCAGGAGGCGGAGGTGGCAGTGAGCCGAGATTGTGCCAGTGCATTCCAGCCTGGGTGACAGAGCAAGACTGTCTGAAAAAACAAAAATCATGTATAGTTATTACTAAAAAGTACAAGGACTATCCTGGCATCAATGTATCATTGTCAAAGCCAGTACTGGATCACCTGTTTTCAGAGAATAATGGAACTAACCTATGTTTTCTTCTCCTTCCTTCTTCTCTGTCAGGAGAGTTCTTGTCATGCTGAGCTTCTTCATTGTATGGCATTTATATTTTAGCACTGTTTTATTATTGCCTTCTGTATCAGCTGGAACAGAAATGAACAACATTATTATACTTCTTATGCCATCAAATAAAACAAAGATGAAGCCTTAGTAATTCCAGTGTAGGGAGTCAGATTAAACTACTTCCTGTCAAGATAGTGTAGTAAATTCAAGGTATAACTCATCCCTCCTGCTCCAAGCATAGAAAAATGATAGATAAAATACATTAACAGGCTGGGCACGGTGGCTCACACCTGTAATCCCTGCACTTTGGGAGGCCGAGGCGAGTGGTTCACCTGAGGTCGGGAGTTTGAGACCAGCCTGGCCAACATGATGAAATCCCGTCTCTACTAAAGATACAAAAAATTCGCTGGGCATGGTGGCACACGCCTGTAATCCCAGCTACTCGGGAGGCTGAGACAGGAGAAATGCTTGAACCCAGGAGGCGGAGGTTGCAGTGAGCAGAGATTGTGCCACTGCACTCCAGCCTGGGCAACAAAAGCAAAACTGTCTCAAGAAAAAAAAAAAAATACGTTAACAGTTGAAAGCACAACTGGATTCAAAAGTAACAAACATCTTCAAGGGACAGAAACACAGAGTTATGAGTGAGATTAAACCCATAGGTCTAACAGGCTTCATCCTTGAAATGGAAATTGGGGCCAGGAATTTTACCCTACAGCGTATTGGGATCTAAAATTCTACCAATCAAATTAAGGACCAAAGTCAGACTTACTACCTGAAGCCAAAGTATGGAGTAGGGACATTCTCAATCATGAAAGCCTGAGGAAAAAAATTGCTGCCAACCTGCTGCCTGGAGTTGAAACTTTCAGAAAACTGTATGCCTAGGCAGGACGGAGGATAAGGCCCTTGAGCCAAGGATATGAAGCACAGACACTTCCATACATTGCTACTGTGAGTATAAATTGATACCATACTTTAGAAAGTAGGCTGCTCTGCCTATGAAGTAGCCCTTCTTTTATTCCTTGGCCAGGAGTGGTGGCTCACACCTGTAATCCCAGCACTTTGAGAGGCCGAGGCAGGCAGATCACTTGAGGTCAGGAGTTTGAGATCAGCCTGGCCAACATGGCGAAACCCTGTCTCTACCAAAAATAGAAAAATTACCTAGGCGTGGTGGCAGGCGCCTGTAATCCCAGCTACTCGGGAGGCTGAGGCAGGAGAACTGCTTGAACCTGGGAGGTGGAGGTTGCAGTGAGCCAAGATTGCACCACTGCACTCCAGCCTGGGTGACAGAGTGAGACTCTGTCTCAAAAAAAAAAAGAATTCAGGAGAGTGATCATCTCTGAAGACAGAGGGAAAGAAGTAAGTTTGGAAAGGGGGATAGAAGGACTTCAAATGTATCTGGAATGGGTTCTTTTGTTTGTTTTTGAGACACAGTTTATCTAGCTCTGTTGCCCAGGCTGAAGTGCACTGGTGCGATCTCGGCTCACTGCAACCTCCACCTCCCAGGTTCAAGCAATTCTCGTGCCTCAGTCTCCCGAGTAGCTGGGAGGCACATGCCACCATACCCAGCTAATTTTTGTATTTTTAGTATAAATGAGGTTTTGCCATGTTGGCCAGGCTGGTCTCGAACTCCTGGCCTCAAGTAACCTGCCTGCCTTGGCCTCCCAAAGTGCTGGGATTACAGGATTGAGCCACCTGGCCCAGCCTGGCATTTTTTTTTTTTAACTATAATCTGAGTCACGTTTGGGAAAATGATAGGATATGATACAGCTAGACAGTGGATACATGAGATATTTATTATGCTTAAGTATGATTGAAATAGTTCGTATTAAAAAGGGCTGGGCTAGCAATCACTTACCATGTTCAACATTTTCTTCAAATATAACACAGGTCCCTAGAGTGTCTGCAGAAAAATACAAAGGCAAATTGTTGAGAAGAGCTACCATCTCTGAAAAGCCCATATCAGAAAGAGTTCCATCTATCTGACATCCTCCTACCTTCATACTCCCCAGCAAAGACACAGCTGTCCACTTGCAGAATGGGCCTCTCAGTGTCAATGCCCTACAACAGAATAAAGGATCATAAAAAAAAAACATAATTAGAAAAAGGCTTCAACATTGTAACCTTGCTACCAAGGAAACTAATCTCCAAAACTGGGGAACCTCTAGAGCATCTTGTCCTACCAAGTACAGGATAAACTACAACTGCTCTGATCACAGCAGTTACAACCTGAAGACTACTTAATTCATACTCAAGTAACAAGGTTTATTTCAATCAACATCCTGTTCAAGAGTAAGCTAAAAACAGAGGAAGTTTTGTCAACAGTAGTGCAAAGAGTCTATCTGTCATCTATTTATTTTTTGAGACAGTGTCTAGCTCTGTCACCCAGGCTGGAATGCAGTGGCATGATCATGTTCAGGCAATCCTCCCACCTCAGCCTCCTGAGCAGCAGGGACCACAGGCGCATGCCACCATCCCCAGCTAATTTATTATTATTATTATTTTTTTTTTTTATTGAGATGGAGTTTTGCCCTTTGTTGCCCAGGCTGGAGTACAGTGGCGCGATCTCGGCTCACTGCAACCTCTGCCTCCAGGGATCACGCGATTCTCCTGTCTCGGCCTCCCGAGTAGCTGGGATTACAGGCGCCCACCACCATGCCTGGCTAATTTTTGTATTTCAGTAGAGACGGGGTTACACCATGTTGGCCAGGCTGGTCTCGAACTCCTGGGCTCGTGATCTACCCGCCTCGGCCTCCCAGTATTGGGATTACAGGCGTGAGCCACCGCGCCTGGCCATTTTTTTTTATTATTATTTTAGAGAAGGGGTCTCGTTATGTTGCCTAGGATGGTCTCCAATTCCTGGGCTCAAGTGATCCTCCCACCTCTGCCTCCCAAAGTGCTGAGAATACAGGAATATATGTACGGTTCCATATCACAATGTTACTTCCTCCAAATCTGTAACTTTCTCTTCAGCCACACATTCAAACAGGCAAGCAAAGTTAGCCATTTTCTCCTATCTGCTCCCATAGTCCCCGCTGTACTTCTACATTATACTTAATTACATATTAATTAATTATACTTAGTATACTTCTTATCCTTAGAGTTCACTACTTTGTAAGGTGAAATAAATATATCAATACTTGCGGATAGGTATTTCACCATTGATTCTTGTTTTACATTTAAGACACTCTAGAACAATCCCCCCAAGTCTAGAAAACTCACCAAAACCTTGCATTTATTTTCACATTTTGAGAGGAAGTCTGAATCAATAATTCCTGATAATTCCACCAGAACCAACTGCTCCTGGTGAAAGAAAGAGGGGTTAACATGCTAGCACGCGAGCGGCCAAGAGGGAGCAATTAGCAAAAGAAGCCAAATTTCCCACATTTGTGAAAACCGGACCCTGTTTTCAGCAAGAGGAAACTACGCTACCTAAGGTAACTTCCCGGTACTTCCCATCCCAAGTACGGGGTGACGATTAGGGCTAAGGTCCCAAGCTGCCCGGCTCCTCGCGCCCAGGAGCAAGAAGCCGGTGAGGAGCAGTGGGGCCTCCCTCCGGCCCGCAGCTCCCCAACTCCCTTCCCCACACACAGCCAGCACAGGCATCACCGCCACTGCGGTGCAGGCTTTTGGCGTAGCGCTTACTACCTCCTCTTCCTCGTCTTCTCCGTCCTCTGGACTCCGCTCGTCCGCCGCCGCCGCCATGGTCCCGCGGCGCCTCGCCTTCTAGTCACTGGCCACGCCCGCCCGGAGCCGCCATCTTGAGTACGGGCTTCAGCTCCGAGGCGAAGCAGCTTATTGGGTTCCTGCCGCTCCGCTCCTCGCCGCGCAAATTGCTTCTGCCAGAACTCGAGATGTCGGCTTCCGGCGGGCGGGTGGCTACGGGCGCCGAGAGCGCCGGTACCCACGTGGAGACTCGCCACGGGCCTCCTCGTTTCTCGGTGCCTCAGAGCAGGGGCTGGGGGTGGGCTGCCGTAGGCAGCGGAGCCCGCTCGGTCACGCAAGAGTCGCCGGGCTCTCGGCCCCGCTGGCGGGGAGGACTGGCAAGGCAGAAGGGATAAAGGCGAAAACAAGGAAACCATGGTTTCAGGCGGATCATGGACAGAAAGGCCTTGTGTTTGACCCGAGCACATTTCTTGGAAAGAAATTCTTAATATTGTGTGAGCGCTCATCCTCAATTCAACGTACCCCAAGCCAAGTTAAAGGCACATTCAGTTTAATACTAATGAGCGCCTACACAGTAAAAAGCACTGCACCAGGAGCTATGAAAAATAGAAAGTGGGCTTAAGTTTCAGGCCTGCAGGAGCATAAGATCTGTGAGAGGTACATAAATGGATCCAAGCAAGTGCTGTAAGAGATACACATTGTTATAGGAACACAGAGACCTGGGCAAGAGAAGTTTGAACAGAATTTTCAGAAGTATCCCATAGATGTTTGTGATTGTGAAAGAAACGGTCTTCGTACTTGCGATAGCGTGATCTAGTGGTTAAGATCGTGAGTTTTGGATTTTTATTTATTTATTTATTTGGAGATGGAGTTTTGCTCTTGTTACCCAGGCTGGAGTGCAATGGTGCAATCTCGGCTCACTGCAGCCTCCACCTCCCGGGTTCAAGCGATTCTCCTGCCTCAGCCTCCCGAGTAGCTGGGATTATAGGCATGCGCCACCACGCCCGGCGAATTCTGTTATTTTTAGTAGAGACGGGGTTTCTCCATGTTGGTCAGGCTGGTCTCGAACTCCCGACCTCAGGCGATCCCCCTGCCTGGGCCTCCCAAAATGCTGGGATTACAGGTGTGAGCCACCGTCCCCAGCCTGAGCTTTGGATTTTAATACCAGTCAAGTTCTGCTGCATTATTAACAGCAAGGCTTTGGGCAGATTGGTGGTTGTGAGGATTAAATGAGACAATACATATAAAATAAATTTAGCCCAGTATTCAGCACATAGTAAGCATTTAAAGTGCATTTAATCTATTATTAGTAGTAATATATAAATTTTTTAGTATGATGCTCTTTCTCTCTTTCTTTTATTCATTGTTTGTTTCTTTCTTTCTCTCTTTCTTTCCTTTCTTTTTTGTGACAGGGTCTGGCTCTGTCGCCCAGCCTGGAGTGCAGTGGCGCCATCGTAGCTCCCTGTACCCTCAAACTCCTGGGCTCAAAGGGAGCCTCCTACCTCTGCTTCCTGAGTAACTGGGACTACAGGTGCACGCCACAGCGCCTGTCTTTACATAATGGTTGTATGAGTGTGCCATAACTTGATCCTCTATTTTTTAACACATAGGTTATTTACAATTTGTGGATATTGTAAATAACACTCTTTTGTGTATATTTTTGTCCAGTTGCCTAATTAAATGTATAGGATTTCATAGCTTAAAAAAGTAGAAGGAACACTGGACCTGTTAGAAGTACATTTCAATTCTAGCTCTGAAGCTTAATAATTGTGAAGTTTTCCAACCTCAGTTTTCTTATTTATTATATGAGGATGAAAATAATTATACTTAACACCGGGTGCGGTGTCTCAAGCCTGTAATCCCAGCACTTTAGGATGCTGAGGCGGGCGGATCACAAGGTCAGGAGATTGAGACCATTCTGGCTAACACGATGAAACCCTGTCCCTACTAAAAACACAAAAAAATTAGCTGGGCATGGTGGTGTGCACCTGTAGTCCCAGCTACTCCGGAGGCTGAGGCAGGAGAATGGCGTGAACCCGGGAGGCGGAGCTTGCAGTGAGCCAAGATTGTGCCACTGCACTCCAGCCTGGCCGACAGAGCAAGACTCCGTCTCAAAAAATAATAATAATACTTACTGTGTCTTTTTTGCTTGGAAAGCAAAAATTCAATCGTATATCTAAAAATACTTGGTAAACTGAAAAATTACATAAATTGTCAGATTTTGAGGGAGATGTGGGGAGAGTAAGGAGGAGTGGATAATCCAAGCTGAGGGAACAGCAGAAACAAAGGCTTGAGGAATGAAAATATGTGTGTTTTGAAAGGTTAGTGTGTTATAACTCAAGATGTCCCTTTAAAATAAACAAGCCTCATACTTCTAGCAAAAGTTATTGTTTGGTATTTATGAAGTAATTATTTTTATTTACTTTTAATGATTTACAAAAGAATACACAGTTAAAAGGGAGCTTTTTTTTTTCCTTTTTTTTTTTTTTTTTGAGACGGAGTCTGGCTCTGTCGCCCAGGCTGGAGTGCAGTGCCGTGATCTTGACCCACTGCAATCTCTGCCCCCTGGGTTTAAGCAATTCTTGTGTCTGAGCCTCCCTAGTAGCTGGGATTACAGGTGTACGATACCACACCGGGCTAATTTTTGTATTTTTAGTAGAGACAGGTTTCACCATGTTGGCTAGGCTGGCCTTGAACTCCTGACCTCAAGTGATCCACCTGCCTTGGCCTCCCAAAGTGTGAGCCACCGCGCCCAGCCAGAAAGTGAGCCTTCTACACCTGTCCCCCAACCATTTGTACCAGTTTCTTTTATATCCTTTCAAAGATATTCTGTGTGTTTACAAAAACACGTGTATATAAAATCTGTGAAATAATTTTTATTTTTAATTTTAATTTTTTTTTTGAGACAGTCTCATTCTGTCGCCCAGGCTGGAGTGCAGTGGCACCGTCTCAGCTCCCTGCAACCTCTGCCTCCTGGGTTCAAGCAGTTCTCTTGCCTCAGCCTCCCAAGTAGCTGGGACTACAGGCGCCTGCCACTATGCCCAGCTAATTTTTGTGTTTTTAGTAGAGACAGAGTTTCACCATATTGGCCAGGCTGGTCTTGAACTCCTGACCTCAGGTGATCCACCTGCCTCAGCCTCCCAAAGTGCTGGGATTACAGGTGTGAGCCACCATGCCCAGCCAATAATTTTAATATTATAATGTGGCTTGCAGACTGGAAAACCATTCCCTTGGAAGGAAGGAGGACATCATAGTAATGACTCCATGATCTAGAGCTTGTACCCTGTGAAAATAAGCTTAAAGTTTGAAACATCTCTCAGCTCAAAACAGGAGCTTATTAGGCACAATAAGCATCCATAAGCATCCATAGGCACCCGTCAGCATCAGCTTTGAAAGGAGACAAGCCTTTTGGTGACTGGGAGGAATTTCCACAATCTAACAGTGGGACTCCATTCTTAATACAGTCTACTCTCAATGACTTAGAATTCCTAAAAAGATTAAAAGGAGCGGGGTGCAGTGGCTCAGGCCTGTAATCCCAGAACTTTGGGAGGCTGAGGCGGGAGGACTGCTTAAGCCCAGGAGTTTGAGACCAGACTGGGCCATGTAGTGAGATCTCGTCTCTACAAAAAATTTTAAAAATTACCCAGGTATGGTGGCGCATGTGTTTAGTTTCAGGTTCTTGGGGGTGCTGAGGTGGGAGGCTCGCTTGAGCCCAGGATCTCGAAGCTGCAATGAGCTGCAATCATGCCACTTACTGTACTCCAGCCTGGGTGACAGAGTAAGACCCTGTCTCAAAAAAGAGAAAACATTGTGCCAAGTGAAAGAAGTCAAGACACAGAGGACCACATACTGAATGGTTCCATTTATATGAAATGTCCAGAATAGGCAAGCCTATAAAGAGAGATAGTAGGTTGGGCGTGGTGGCTCACACCTATAATCCCAGCTCTTTGGGAGTCCAAGGTAGGAGTATCCCTTGAGGCCAGGAGTTTGAGACCAGCCTGGGCAACATAGAGAGATCCCATCTCTATCTTTAAAGAGAGAGAGAGATTAGTGGTTGCCAGGGGCTTGGGAGGATGGTGGAATGAGGAGCGACTGCTACTGGATGAGGAGTTCCTTTTTTTTTTTTTTTTTTTAAGTAAAAGCAAGTTTATTAAGAAAGTAAAGGAGCCGGGTGTGGTGGCTCATGCCTGTAATCCCAGTACTTTGGGAGGCCGAGGCAGGTGGATCACCTGAGGTTAGGAGTTCGAGACCAGCTGGCCAACATGGCAAAACCCTGTCTCCACTAAAAATACAAAAATTAGCTGGGTGTGGTGGCGGGTGCCTGTAATCCCAGCTACTTGGGAGACTGAGGTGGGAGAATCGCTTGAACACAAGAGGCGGAGGTTGTGGTGAGCCAAGATCGTGCCCCTGCACTCCAGCCCGGGCGACAAGAGTGAAACTCCGTCTCAAAAAAAAGAAAGTAAAGGAATAAAGGAATGGCTACTCCATAGGCAGAGCAGCAGTTTGGGCTGCTCTACTGATAATACTTAATTAAGTTCATTTTTGATTATATGCTAAACAAGGGGTGGGTTATTTATGAGTTTTCCAGGAAAGGGGTGGGCAATTCGCAGAACTGAGGGTTCCTCCCCGACTTAGACCATATAGGGTAATTTCTGGACATTGCCATGGGATCTGTAAACTGTCATGGCGCTGGTGGGACTGTCTTTTAGCATGCTAATGCATTATAATTAGCATATAATGAACAATGAGGATGACCAGAGGTCACTCTCGTCACCATCTTGGTTTTGGTGGGTTTTGGCCAGCTTCTTTACTTCATCTTGTTTTATCCACAAGGTCTTTATGACCTGTATCTCGTGCTGACCTCCTATCTCATCCTGTGACTTAGAATGCCTAACCTCATGGGAATGCAGCCCAGTAGGTCTCAGTCTTATTTTACCCAGCCCCTATTAAAGATGGAGTTGCTCTAGTTCAAACGCCTCTGACATATTCCCCCACCCTTTTACAAGGGAACCCTTAATCCTAAGGGTTGTAGAGGGATGAAGATCCATTTTCTGTCACTTTTTCAGGATGAATAGGGGCAATTATATTCCTGCCTAACTATGAGGGGCTCTTGTATTCAGAGTAGAGAGGAGCTTAGTCAGAAAGCATCAGTATGGTGAGGGCCACTCATAACTCTTGAGTTCTGACAAAAGGTGATATAGTTTCCAAATTCTAGAGAAAACAGGTAGAGAGAGACTAATATGCTCCAAAGTTTGTTCACAGGAATATACTTTACTCAATTTTTAAAAGCTATAAATAGCTCAAAGGAAAAGTTTTCTTGATTCCAAAGTCAGCCAATTGTGGTGCTTCGGTCTATTTCCTTTGGGTTGGGAGTCTCCTCAGTTTAGTTGCTTCATGGTTTGCCAGGAAGATGTTACTGGAAAGGGGTCCTGATCCAGACCCCAAGAGAGGGTTGTTGGACCTCACACAAGAAAGAAGTTGGGGAGAGTCCATTGAGAAAAGTGAAAGCAAGTTTATTAAGAAAGTAAAGGAATAAAGAAGGGCTACTCCATAGGCAGAGCAGCCAGGAGTTTCTTTTTGGGTGATGAAAATGTTCTGAAATTAATGGCAATGGTTGCACAGTTCTGTTAATGTACCAAAAAAAAAAAAAAAAACCAACTGTATATTTTTAAAGGGTGATTTTTATGGTATATGAATTATATCTTGATAAAGCTGTTTTTTTCCTTTTGTTTTTTGTTTAAAAAAAGAATAGAAACACTTTTAAACTGAACAGAGCAGAGGAAATTTGCTTGGGGCGATCAAGGAAAAATCTTTGAAAGCTAGATAAGGGCTAGAACCATGGTGGCTGCATAGAAATATAATTTGGCTCTGGATCCAAAAAAGATGGCTTAAGGACCCATGGCTGAGAGGAAGAAAAGTTGGAAAGGGTCAAGTGTTATTAGTTTGCTTTAACTGAACCCACTTTAAGCCTTGTCTACTGAAACTAAGGCTGCTGAGGCAGAAATAATTTGAAAAACATTTATTGGAAGCCAAATGTGAGGATTGAACTGGGAAGACACACCAACCAGAGTTAGGAGTGTTCTGGAGTCTGTTACAAGTTACTGGAACAGGCTTTTAAAAGGACGGCCTTTTTTAGGAGAAGGGAGGAGAAGGAGAGGGAGGGAAGGAGAAGGGAGGAGTACTCCTTATACCAAAGTTATTGGAGCGTACAGACAGTACAGAAGTTACAGTCATTGGCTACAGATTGCAACATGCAGGATAAAATGTCTGTGTGCAAGACAATCAGTAAAACTTCATGATCAGAAGTCAGTGTCCTTTCCATTGTCAGTAAGTTATGCATTAATCAGTATGTCAACAATTTGAAGAGCGCACAGATTCTTTACTCAGGGATAGGATGTTGCCATGAGTCACAAGACCTCCCCAAGGCAAGTTAATTTGGAAGCCAGTTTACTTTAAAAGTAAACTACCAAGTGTGACATATAGGTTATCAGCCTCATGATAGTCTCAAAAGATAACTATTATCAAGAATGACATTTAATGAATTATCAAGATTATTTAACAATTAACTAGCAGGGCACAACGACTCAGCCATGCTGGGGTAGGGTCCTGGGAAAGTTGGATCATGGGGAGGCCTGGAGTGAGCTAAAGGCTTGCGGTGGTTGCTTGTTACTGGCTGATACGGGAAAAATGTCTCTAATTTAACAACTGGTATGTTTTTAATCAGTGCATACAAGCTAAATATCAGCCCTCATTAGTCTAACTTCCATTTTACACTTTGGGAAACTGACACTTAGAAAATTAGGAAACTTGGCCGGGAGCGATGGCTCACACTTGTAATTCCAGCACTTTGGGAGGCCGAGGCGGGTGGATCACAAGGTCAAGAGATCGAGACCTTCCTGGCCAACATGGTGAAACCCCATCTCTACTAAAAATACAAAAATTAGGCTGGGCACGGTGGCTCACGCCTGTAATCCCAGCACTTTGGGAGGCTGAGGCGGGCAGATCATGAGGTCAGGAGATCAAGACCATCCTGGCTAACATGGTGAAACCCTGTCTCTACTAAAAATATAAAAAATTAGCCGGGCATGGTGGTGGATGCCTGTAGTCCCAGCTGAGGCAGGAGAATGGCATGAACCCGGGAGGCGGAGCTTGTAGTGAGCCGAGATCGTGCCACTGCACTCCAGCCTGGGTGACAGAGCAAGACTCCATCTCAAAAAAAAAAAAAAAAAAAAGCAAAAATTAGCTGGGCGTTGTGGCATGCGCCTGTAGTCCCAGCCGGGAGGCTGAGGCAGGAGAATCACTTGAACCCAGGAGGCGGAGGTTGCAGTGAGCCAAGATCATGCCACTGCAGTCCAGCCTGGCGACAGAGCGAGATTCCGTCTCAAAAAAGAAAGAAAGAAAATTAGGAAACTTATCTGACTTACTACACTCTATTGTCTTTTCTGGGAAAGCAGGTAGAGATGCCAACCTCTGCATCAGGCTAGTTAAGAGTCAACAGAATGAGATTGAGCATCCAGCCTTAATAGAGTTGAAGAGGAGTTAAAGAGCTAGGGAGCTGCACACCTGATTAAACTGGGTCAGCCACATCATTCTATGGTAAGACTTTAATGACATTAGGATCAATAACCCTTGTTCTGTAAACACATCTATTGCTATGTTCTTCATCTCTTTCTGCTTTGTTTTTCACTGTATTTCCTGGGGTGTGAACTGCAACCACAAACTTTGATATTTAAGAAAAACCGTGTTTCCTTATTTTCCTTAAATTAAGCTTGACTCTGAGCCCCTGTCACATCAAGCTGGCAGGAAAATTTAATCTCAATTTCCTCTCCTTTACACTCCCAGATCAGGCATAGTATTTGAAGAGGCCTCTCCAGTCTTTAATCCATATTGGTTACTACTGAGATTCCCATGGTTCTTGAAGCCACACAGACCCTTCAATTTCAGGCACTATGTTTCAGTAAAGCATGGGAATCCCTGCTGTTTGGAAACCCTGAAGTTTAGAGCAGGCCTTTCTGAGGCTAGCCTCTTAGGTCTTGGCACTACTTCAGGACACTGCTGGGAGAGAAGAGACACACCAGTCCTTTCCCAGCCTAAGGAAATCTCCATCTCCTCCTGTAGTTTTTATTTTTTGTTTTAGATACAGGGTCTTGCTCTGTTGCCCAGGCTGTAGTGCAGTGGGGTGATCACAGCTCACTGGAACTCCTGGGCTCAAGCAATCCTTCTGTCTCAGGCTCCTTAGTAGCTGGGACTACAGGCATGCATCACCATGCCTGGCTAATTCTTCAGTTTTTTTTTTTTAATATTTATTTATTTATTTATTTATTTAGAGACAGAGTCTTGCTCTGTTACCCAGGCTGGAGTGCAATGGCACAATCTCAACTCACTGCAACCTCTGCCTCCTGGGTTCAAGTGATTCTCCTACCTCAGCCCCCCAAGTAGCTGGGATTACAGGCATCAGCCAATAGGCCTGGCTAATTTTTTGTATTTTTAGTGGAGATGGCGTTTCACCATGTTGTCCAGGCTGGTCTCGAACGCCTGACCTCAAGTGATCCACCTGCCTCAGCCTCCCAAAGTGCTGGTATTATAGGCATGAACCACCACACCCAGCCAGCTTTCCATTCTTTTAAACATCACAGATAAAGAAATACAAACTGCCTACCTGCCTGCTTGGAAGGGATAAAGGGGGAGAATGTAGGGTATTAGTGTCTCCATAAATTACCCTGCCATATCAGTAAAAGCCTTTGAATCGCTTCAACCAGGGAGTTGGAGGTGGCAGTGAGCTGAGATTGTACCACTGCACTCCAGCCTGGCGACAAAGTGAGATTCCGTCTCAAAAAAAAAAAAAAAGAATCATGAAAAATTTCAGAAATATGATTTCTGAAAAATCAAGTGTTGTGCTCTATATTTAAAAGCCTGCCACTAGGAGGAGACAAATGAATTAAAAATTGTTTAACCTGTTCTTTTAGAACACATTTTCTTTTTTTTATTTGTTTTTGAATTTTTTTTTTTTTAGAGACAGGAGGTCGCTTTGTCCCCCAGGCTAGAGTGCAGAAACGCTATCATAATTCACTGCAGCCTTGATATCCAGGGCTTAAGCGATCTTCCCACCTCAGCCTCCACAGTATCTGGGACTACAGGCTCATGCCACCATGCCCGGCTAATTTAAAAAATTTTTTTGTAGAGATGGAGTCTCACTATGCTGCCCAAGCTGGTCTTGAGCTCCTGAGATCCAGCAATCCTCCTGCCTCAGCCTCCCAAAGCACTGGGATTACAACTGTGTGCCACCTCACTTTGTCTTAAAAATCAACATTTTACACTTACGTAGTAGTTTATATTCCATTTAAGGACAATACGAGCTTTTAAAAATGTATCTTATTCTGTTTTAGATTGAAAACTAAATGTTAATCGACTGGTTCTCAAACTTCAGCTGTATCAGAATCAGCTGGAGGGCTAATTAAAATGCAGACTGCTCAAGCCCCACCCCCAGAGTTTCTGATTCAGCAGGTTTGATATAGGAGAGGACAGAAAATATGCCTTTTTTTTTTTTTTTTTTGAGACAGGGTCTCACTCTGTCACCCAGGCTGGAGTGCAGTGGTGCGATCTCTACTCACTGCAACCTCCATTCCCTGGGTTCAAGTGATCCTCCCACCTCAGCCTCCTGAGTAGCCATGCATCACCATGCCTGGCTATTTTTTTTGTATTTTTAGTAGAGACATGTTGCCCAGGCTTGTCTCCTGAGCCCAAGCAATCCGCCGGCGTCAACCTCCCAAAGTGCTGGGATTACAGGCGTGAGCCACTGCGCTCGGCCGAACATACGCCTTTCTAACAAGGTCTCAGGTGATTCTGATGCCCTGGTCTAAGGAACACGCTTTGAGAACCACTGTGCTAGATGACAGTAGACGTCAACACCACCTGCCAACAATCAGATTCAATTAAATATTGAGAACACACTAAGTAAAGTATTCCAGTTTGCTAGAAAGTAATGTAGTGTTAGAAATAAGACTGGAATTACCGTCTTTGAAGGCCTTGAATTCAAAAGAAAGCACTTGGCTGGCGTGGTGGTTCACGTCTGTAATCCCAGCACTTTGGGAGGTTGTGGCAGCGGATCACCTGAGGTCAGGAGTTCTAGACCAGCCTTGACCAACATGGTGAAACCCTGTCTCTACTAAAAATACAAAATTAGCTGGGCGGGGTGGTGCATACCTGTAATCCCAGCTATTTGGGAAGCTGAGGCAGGAGAATCGCTTGAATCTGGGAGGCGGAGGTTGCAGTGAGTGCAGGTTTTGTTTTTTTTTTTTCTTTTTTTTTCTGAGACAGAGTTTTGCTCTGTCACCCAGGCTGGAGTGCAATGGCATGATCTCAGCTCACTGCAACCTCCTCCCCCTCCCAGGTTCAAGCAATTCTCCTGCCTCAGCCTCCCGAGTAGCTGGGAGTACAGGCCCTGCCACCATGCCCGGCTAATCTTTGTATTTTTAGTAGAGATGGGGTTTCACCATGTTGGCCAGGCTGGTCTTGAACTCCTGACCTCAAGTGATCCACCCGCCTCAGTCTCCCAAAGTGCTGGGATAACAGGTATGAGCCACTGCACCCATCCCATTCCTTTTATGTTAAAGCAAAAATAGATGGAGAAGATTGCAAAATCTGCATAACTTTTTTTTTTTTTTCTTTCTTGAGACAGTGTCTCACTCTGTCACCCAGGCTGGAGGGCAGTGGCACTATCTCGGCTCACTACAACCTCTGCCTCCCGGGTTCAAGTGATTCTCCTGCCTCAGCCTATCGAGTAGCTGGGACTACAGGCGCCCACCACACCCAGCTATTTTTAGTGGAGATGGGGTTTCACCATGTTGGCCAGGCTGGTCTCGAACTCCTGACCTCAGGTTATCCACTCACCTCAGCCTCCTAAAGTGCTGGGATTATAGGCATGAGCCACTGCACCTGGCCAAATATAATTTTTTTTTAAAGTTCCAGTTCCAGAGTCATCTTTATTTAAAAAAAAAAAAAAAGTTGAAGCTTTTCCTAAAGCATGGTCCTAAGGTTCAGATAGGTGGGTTCTTTAAGGGAAGGGGTAGGAGGTCGTGGTAGAAAGGAAATATAAGGCTGGGCTTGGTGGCCCACGCCTGTAATCACAGCCCTTTGGGAGGCCAAAGTGGAAGAATCACTTGAGCCCAGGAGTTCAAAACCAGCCTGGGTAGCATAGTCCCGATCTCTACAAAAAATTAAAAAAATAGCTGGATGTGGTGGCACACACCTGTGGTCCCATCTACTTGGAAGGGTGAAGCAGGAGGATCATTAAAGCCTGGGACATTGAGGCTGCAGTGAGCTGTGATGGCACCCACGCACTCCAGCCTAGGTGACAGAGCAAGACCCTGTCTCCAAAAAAAGAGAAAAAAGAAAAAAATATATATCAATATGGAAAAACAAATTTGGACATTTAAATATTGACTTAAGGCCGAGTGCGGTGGCTCACGCCTGTAATCCCAGCACTTTGGGAGGCCCAGGCAGACAGATCATCTGAGGTCAGGAGTTCAAGACCAGGCTGGCCAACATGGCGAAACCCTGTCTCTACTAAAAATACAAAAATTAGCTGGGTGTGGTGGCGAGTACCTGTAATCCCAGCTACTTGGGAGGCTGAGGCAGGCGAATGGCTTGAACCTGGGAGGCAGAGTTTGCAGTGAGCCGAGA
This sequence comes from Homo sapiens, assembly GCF_000001405.40. Taxonomy (NCBI): domain Eukaryota; kingdom Metazoa; phylum Chordata; class Mammalia; order Primates; family Hominidae; genus Homo; species Homo sapiens. The sequence continues at coordinate 110,947,126 of NC_000006.12, read as the reverse complement.
TTTGCGCCTCTGCACTCCAGCATGGGCAACAGAGCAAGACTCTAAATACATGAACAAATAAATAAAAGTAAATAAATATTATTGACCTAAAAGCAAAAGTTTAGAGGTGTTCCAAAATTTAACTTAATGTGATAACCAAAGGTGGCCGATCGATGGCCTTGAGGGAAACCATAAGCATTTGAGGACTGTCAGTGGAAGGGTAATTTGGCAGCTGTGGGTCTAGGGCAGCTTGACTCAGGAAACTTTTCTGTGGTCCAGGTACGGGGAGATGAGACCCTGGATGAGGGCAGTGACTGAGGAAGATAAAGGGAAAGATCAGAGACATTCCACTTATAAATCATAAGACTTGGGTGACTGCCTAAATGAGGAGGAAAAAAATCTCCAGTTATGAGCCTGAGAGTCAGTTCAGAAATATGGTACTGGCAACATGAGGTAGCTTGCCCCAGTTGCTCTGTCCAAACAGATAAAAGGATGATTAACCAGACCAGTGGTTCTCAAGTGTGGTCCCCAGATCAGTGTAGTCAGCATTACCTGGGATTTTGTTAGAAATGCAAATTCGCAGGCTATACCCCAGATGACTAAATCAGAAATGCTGGGAAGGGGTCCTACAACTTGTGATTTAAGCTCTCCAGATGATTCTGATGCATATTATTATTATTACTTTGAGTCAGGGTCTTGCTCTGACACCAAGGCTGGTGTGCAGTGGTGTGATCACAGCTTACTGCAGCCTTGACCTCCTGTGTTCAAGTGATCCTTCCACCTCAGCCTCTTGAGTAGCTGGAACTACAGGCACACATCACCATGCCCAGCTAGTTTTTGCATTTTTAGTAGAGATGGGTTTCGCCATGTTGGCCAGGTTCTGATGCACATTTAATTTTGAAAACTGAACTAAGCCAGTCAAATTTTTTTCTTTTTTCTTTTTTTTTTTAGATGGAGTCTCTCTCACTCTGTCATCCAGGCTGGAGTACAGTGGTATGATCTTGGCTCACTGCAACCTCCACCTCCCAGATTCAAGTGATTCTTCTGCCTCAGCCTCTCGAGTAGTTGGGATTACAGGCACACACCACTACGCCTGGCTAATTTTTTTTTGTATTTTTAGTAGAGACGGGGTTTCACCATGTTGGCCAGGCTGGTCTCAAACGCTGACCTCAAGTGATCTGCCCGCCTTGACCTCCCAAAGTGCTGGGATTACAGGCGTAAGCCACCAAGCCCAGTCATATATATATATTTTTTCAGATGGAGTTTCGCTCTGTTTGCCCAGGCTGCAGTGCAATGGCGCGATCTCGGCTCACTGCAATCTCCACCTCCCGGGTTCAAGCAATTCTCCTGCCTCGGCCACCCAAGTAGCTGGGATTACAGGCATGCACCACCACTCCCGGCTCATTTTGTATTTTTAGTAGAGACAGGGTTTCTCCATGTTGGCCAGGCTGGTCTCGAACTCCTGACCTCAGGTGATCCGCCCACCTCGGCCTCCCAAAGTGTTGGGATTACAGGCATGAGACACCGCGCCCGGCGTTTTTTTTTTTTTTTTTTTCTTTCAGGAATTTGGGCTGGGCATGGTGGCTCATGCCTGTGATCCCAGAGCTTTGGGAAGCCGAGGCAGGAGGATTGCTTGAGCCCACCAGTTCAAGACCAGCCTGGGCAACATAGTGAGACACTGTATCTACAAAAAATTAAAAAATTAGCCAGGCGGCTGGACAAGGTGGCTCACGCCTGTAATTCTAGCACTTTGGGAGGCCAAGGTGGGCAGATCACCTGAGATCGAGAGTTCAAGACCAGCCTGACCAACATGGAGAAACCCTGTCTCTACTAAAAATACAAAATTAGCTGGGCGTGGTGGCGCATGCCTGTAATCCCAGCTACTTGGGAGGCTGAGGCAGGAGAATCACTTGAACCCGGGATGCAGAAGTTGCGGTGAGCCAAGATCATGCCGTTGCACTCCAGCCTGGGTAACAAGAGTGAAACTCCATCTCAAAGAAAAAAAAAAAAATTAGCCAGGCATGGTGGCACAGCTATAGTCCCAGCTACTCAGTAGGCTGAAGTGGGAGGACTGCTTAAGCCTGGGGTGCCAAGGATGCAGTGAGCTGTGATCACGCCACTGTACTCCAGCCTGGGTGACAGAGTGAGACTCTGTCAAAAAAAAAAAAAGAAAAAAAGAGAAAAAGAATTTGAAGTTGATTATACAGAGAATCAGTCTGTTGAATGTGGGGAGAGAAGCTAAAAGTGGTTATAAGTGGTTATAGAGAGACATGATATGAGTAAACTGGCATTATGACTAAGCAGAAGCTATGACTAAATGAGGTAGTTGGCTGGTAGTCATAGAGACAGAGAGAAATGGTGATACACACCCTCAGGTTTGGGGAGTACTGCATGACTCCTGCCACTGAGAGTGACACTTAACTCCATCTGTAGGTGTGCATAGAATTTGTTGTCCACTTCCATGTTCATTTTAGTTCCCAACTGCAGTCTAACCACTTGACTGTTCTTAAGTTCCTATGATATTCTCATCTTTCTTGTCATGTGTATCCTCAAAATAGACTTCCTCCCAGCTACTCAGAAGGCTGAGACGGGAGGATCACTTGAGCTCAGGAGTTTGAGACCAGCCTGGGCAAGATAGCAAGACCCCCATCTCTTTATAAAATATGTGTATAGAGAGACTTCCTACTACTTGAGATGGCAGGAGTAAATCTGCGTTCCTAAAACTTGAAAAGTTGATACAGGTTAAGCAACCCTAATCCAAAAATCTAAAATCCAGAATTCTCCAAAATCCAAAGCTTTTTTTTTTTTTTTTTTTTGAGGTGGAGATTCGCTCTTGTTGCCCAAGCTGGAGTGCAATGGCGTGATCTCGGCTCACTGCAACCTCTGCCTCCCTGGTTCAAGTGATTCTTCTGCTTCAGCCTACCAAGTAGCTGGGAGTATAGGCATGTGCCACCACACCCAGCTAATTTTGTATTTTTAGTAAAGATGGGGTTTCTCCATGTTGGTCAGGCTGGTCTCCTGTCCTCAGGTGATCTGCCCATCTCGGCCTCCCAAAGTGCTGGGATTACAGGTGTGAGCCACCATGCCCGGCCCAAAATCCAAAACTTTTTGAGTGCCAATGTGATGCCTCAAGGGAAAACTCCACACCTGACCTCATGTGATGGGTCAAAGTCAAAACTTTGTTTCAGGCTGGGCACAGTGGCTCATGCCTGTAGTTGCAGCACTTTGGAAGGTCAAGGCAGGTGGATCACTTGAGGCCAGGAGTTCCAGACCAGCCTGGCGAACATGGCGAAAACCCATCTCTACTAAAAATACAAAAATTAGCTGGGCATGGTGGCACACACCTGTAATCCCAGCTACTTAGGAGGCTGAGGCATGAGAATCGCCTGAACCTGGGAGGCAGAGGTTGCAGTGAGCCAAGACTGCCCCACTGCACTCCAGCCTGGGTGACAGAGTGAGACTCTGTCTCAAAAAACAAGAACAACAAAAAGAACTAAATAAATGGGAAAGCATCCCATGTTCCTTGATTGGAATGCTTAAAAATTTTTTTGTTTGTTTGTTTCAGAGGAGGGGAAGGAGAAAAAAAAGAAAGAAAGAAAAAAACTTTACTTCAACCAGCACATGGTTTATGCTTGTTATCCCAGTGCTTTGGGAGTCTGTTGCACGAGGATCACTTCAGCCCAGGGGTTCAAGACCAGCCTGGGCAACATAGCAAGATCCCATCTCAATTTAAAAAGAAAAAGAAAACTTTATTTCATGCACAGTTATTTAAAATATTATATAAAATTACCTTCAAGCTATGTGTATAAACTGTATATGAAACATAAATGAATATTGTGTTTAGACTTGGGTCTCATCCCCAAGATATCTCATTATACATATGCAAGTATTTCAAACTCTGAAAAAAACAGAAATCTGGAACACTTCTTTTTTTGAGACAGGATCTTGCTCTGTCACCCAGGCTGGAGTGCAGTGGCATAATCTCAGCTCACCGCAACCTCCACCTCCCACATTCAAGCAATTCTCCTGCCTCAGCCTCCCGAGTAGTTGGGACCACAGGTGCACACTACCACCCCCAGCTAATTTTTGTATTTTTAGTAGAGATGGGGTTTCACCATGTTGGCCAGGCTGGTCTCGAATTCCTGAGCTCAAGGGATCCACCCCCCTTGGCCTCCCAAAATGTTGGGATTAGAGGCGTGAGCTACTGCACCCGGCCAGAAATCTGAAACACTTCTGATCCCAAGCATTTCATATAAGGGATACTTAACCTGTATAGCTTCAAAGTAGATTGAGCAAAAGTTTAAATTAATAAAAACAATTACTTTAAAAATTATGGGCTTAGGCCGGGAGTGGTGGGTCACGCCTGTAATCCCAGCACTTTGAGAGGCCGAGGTGGGTGGATCACGAGGTCGGGAATTCGAGACCAGCCCGACCAACATGGTGAAACCCCATCTCTACTAAAAATACAAAAATTAGTTGGGCGTAGTGGTGCACCTGTAATCCCAGCTACTCGGGAGGCTGAGACAGGAGAATTGCTTGAACCCGGGAGGAAGAGGTTGCAGTGAGCCGAGATCGCGCCATTGTACTCCAGCCTGGGCGACAAAGCAAGACTCCATCTCAAAAAAGAAAAAAAAAATCATGGGCTTGGCTGGGCATGATGGCTCACGTCTATAATCCCAGCACTATGGGAGCGAGGTAGGTGGATCACTTGAGGACAGAAGTTTGAGACCAGGCTGGCCAACATGGTGAAACCCCATCTGTACTAAAAATACAAAAATTAGCTGGGTGTGGTGGTGCGCACCTGTAGTCCCAGCTACTCAAGAGGCTGAGGCAGGAGAATCGCTTGAACCCAGGAGGTGGAGGTTGCAGTGAGCTGAGACCACACCACTGCACTGCAACCTGGGCAAGAGAGTGAGACTCCATCTCAAGGACAAAAAAAAAAAAAAAAAAAATATATATATATATATATATATATATATATAGAGAGAGAGAGAGAGAGAGAGAGAGAGACAGAGAGAGAGAGAGAGAGACAGAGAGAGAGAGAGAGAAAGAAAGAGAAAGAGAGATGGCCAGGCAAGGTGGCTCACACCTGTAATCCCAGTACTTTGAGATGCAGAAGTGAGCAGACTGCTTGAGCTCAGGAGTTTAAGACCAGCCTGGTCAACATGGTAAAACCCTGTCTCTACAAAAAAATATATAAGAATTAGCTGGGCATGGTGGTGCAGGCTTGTAGTCCCAGCTACTCAGGAGGCTGAGGCAGGAGGATCACTTAAGCCTGGGAGGTGGGAGGCTGCAGTGAGCCAAGATGGTGCCACTACACTCCAGACTAGGTGACAGAGTGAGATCCTGTCTTTAAAAAAAAAAAATTACAGGTACTTTTTAGTTCTTTTTTAAAATAAAGTTTACAATCTTAACCAACTTTAAGTGCACAGTTCATTAATGTCACATGTATCCACGTTGTGCAACTGGTCTCCAGAACTACTTCATCTTGCAAATACTTTTTTTTTTTATTTTTGAGACGGCGTCTCGCTCAGTTGCCAGGCTGGAGTGCAGTGGCGTGATCTCGGCTCACTGCAACCTCCGCCTCCTGGGTTCAAGCGATTCTCCTGCCTCAGCCTCTGAGTAGCTGGGACCACAGGTGCACACTACCACTCCCAGCTAATTTTTGTATTTTTACTAGATGGGGTTTCACCATGTTGGCCAGGCTGGTCTCAAATTCCTGAGCTCAAGGGATCCACCCCCCTTGACCTCCCAAAATGTTGGGATTACAGGCGTGAGCCACTGCACCCAGCCAGAAATCTGAAAACCTGCTGATCCCAAGCATTTCATATAAGGGATAACTCAATCTGTATAGCTTCAAACCTGTATAGTACAGACATAGTTTCACCATGTTGGCCAGGATGGTCTCCATCTCTTGACCTCATGATTCACCAGCCTTGGCCTCCCAAAGTGCTGGGATTATAGGCATGAGCCACCTCACCTGGCCTCAAATAATTACCTTTCTTTGTTTTTTTGTTTTTTTTTTTTTTTTTGAGACAGAATCTTGCTCTGTCGCTCAGGCTGGAGTGCAGTGGCATGATCTCAGCTCACTGCAAGCTCCATTTCCCAGGTTCACACCATTCTCCTGCCTCAGCCTCCTGAGTAGCTGGGACTACAGGCACCCACCACCACACCCAGCTAATTTTTTTGTGTTTTTAGTAGAGACAGAGTTTCACCGTGTTAGCCCGGATGGTCTTGATCTTCTGACCTCATGATCCGCCCGCCTCGGCCTCCCAAAGTGCTGGGATTACTCTTTTTTTTTTTTTTTTAAGAGATGAGGTCTCACTATGTTGCCCAGGCTAGTCTCGAACTCCTTGACTCAAGTGATCCTCTTGCCTCAGCCTGCCCAAAGTGCTGGGATTACAGGTGTGAACCACTGTGCCTGGCCAAGAGTTACTTTTAGATGAAATGTGTTGTTACCTTTCCCCTTGAACAACCACCACTTCTAAATTAACCTTCACTTCTGATGCTGGGGTCACAGTTGGAAATCTTTATTTTTCTCTTCTCTTATGGCCTCCTTATTCAGGCAGTCACCCTGAAAATGTAGTACAGGTAATACTTTCTCAACTGGAATGTCTCTTGATCTCTCCTCTATTTCTCTCAACCACTGCCCCAATCCAAGTCTAAACTTCCCATCCTTAATTTCAACATCTTCTGGGTATAGTGTCTTTGTCTTTTCTTTAATTTTTTATATGTTTCATATTTTTCATATTGATCTTCAAAGAATAACAGTCGTGTAATTCGGGTAGAGTTGTGAACACAAAGATTCCATCAACTGTTAGTAAATGAGGCAGCAGTGTTGTCTGGCATTGTCAAAACTTTAGACAGGACCCTACATTGCCAGGAGTCTTAACTTCTTATCTGGTAAAAGAGAGGTTGAATTAAAAGAGATATCTCTAAATTCCTTTTCATCCGTGACATTGCCTATACCATTTTATTTGCTCTATCATCTTGATGGCATTGCTCTTTAGTCTATTTACAAAATATTACTTATTTAAATAGCTTGGTCTAGGGCTGGGTGTGGAAGCTCACGACTATAAACCCAGCCCTTTGGGAGGCCCAGGGGAGTTTGAGCCCAGGAGTTTGAGACCAGCCTGGGCAATATGGCGAAACCCCATCGCTACAAAAAATTAAAAATTAGCTGAGCATGGTGGCACATGTCCGTGGCCTCAGCTATTCGAGAGGCTGAGGCAGGAGGATCACTTGAGCCCAGGCTGCAGTGAGCTGTGTTTGCACCACTGCACTCCAGCCTGGGTGGCAGAGCAAGACCTTGTCTCAAAAATAAAAATAAAAAAAGAATAAATAGCTTGGTCTTACAGAATGTTTTATTACCAACACATTTCAAGAAAGGAAGTTATAAGAGCAAAACTGTTGTACTTAGGGTGTTATGAATGTTTTCATTTGTTATGACAGTTTGACTTGTATCAGAACCCACCACACCTTATCAAACCTCACACTCTTCCTTTTCACCCACCAACTGGCCCTTTTGTTCCAACCAAGATGATTTATTGAAACTCTACATCCTGCCTTATATTCTCTTTGCCACTGGGCCTTTGCTAATGCTGTTTTCTTTGCCAGGCTGACTTTTGCTTCTCGGTCTTTGACGATTATGTCTCTCTTTTCTTTTTTTTTCACCACATGGGTTTAGTCTTCTCACATAGGTAATTAGAGTAGGTAGTCTTGAGCGGCAGTGTCTCCATCATGTCACCAGTGTCTCTTCTTCTTGTATCTTATGTTTTCTGTCTTCTATTCTGCTCATTGTCTCTCCTGATCAAAAGATGGCCTTTGCACCCCAGCCCCACGTGTCTGTGCCAGGGAAGTAGAAGAAAGCTGTAAGGAGAAAATAAAATAGAAAGTCCTTGCCTGGCATGGTGGCTCATGCCTGTAATCCCAACACTTTGGGAGGCTGAGGCAGGCGGATCACCTGAGGTCAGGAGTTTGAGACCAGCCTGGCCAACATGGCAAAACCCTTTCTCTACTAAAAATAGAAAAATTAGCTGGGTGTGGTGGCATGCACCTGTAGTCCCAGCTACTTGGGAGGCTGAAGTAAGAGAATCTGGGAGGCGGAGGTTGCAGTGAGCCGAGACTGCGCCACTGCACTCTAGCCTGGGAGACAGAGTGAGACTCCATCTCAAAAAAAAAAAAAAAAAAAAAAAGAGAAAGTCCAGTAGAGGCTGGGCGTGGTGGCTCACGCCTGTAATCCCAGAACTTTGGGAGGCTAAGGCAGGCGGATCATTTGAGGTCAGGAGTTAGAGACCAGCCTGGCCAACATGGTGAAACCCTGTCTCTACTAAAAAATACAAAAATTAGCTGAGCGTGGTGGTGTGCACCTACAATCCCAGCCACTTGGGAGGCTAAAACACAAGAATCCCTTGAACCCCAGGGGGCAAAGGTTGCAGTGAGACAAGATGGCGCCACTGCACTCGAGCCTGGGCAACAGAGTGAGACTGTCTCAAAAAAAAAAAAATTACAAAAAGAACATCCAGTAGACTTTCATGTAAGTCCCATTGACCAACACTGTGGAATATGGCCACCCTTGGGCTGTGAAGGAGGTTGGAAAATGTAGTTCTGTGGTTAGCAATATTCCTGCTCTCTCAGAAAGAAAAAAATAAATAAATAAAAGGACAATGAATTGAGGGAAGGCAGCTAGTAGTGTCTGCTCCAGTCTCTAAAAATAGAAAATTTTCAGGCTGGGCACAGTGAGTCACACCTGTAATCCAGTATGTTGGGAGGCTGAGGTGGGAGGATTGCTCAAGCGAGTTTGAGACCATCTTGGGCAACATGGCACTACCTCATCTCTACAAAAAAATTTTTTTTTAAAAATTAGCCGAGGGCGGTGGCATGCGCTTATAGTCCTGGCTACTCAGGAGGCTGAGGTGGGAGGATCACATGCACCCACGAGGTCGAGGTTGCAGTGAGCTGTGTTCATACCACTGTACTCCAGCCTGGGCAACAGAGCAAAACCCTGTCTCAAAACAAACAAACAAACAAAAAATATTTTTTTCATAGAGAAGCGTTGTCACTGTGTTGCCCAGGCCGGTCTGGATCCCAGCACTTTGGGAGGCCACAAGTGATCCTCCCACCTCAGCCTCCCAAAGTTCTGGGATTACAGGGGTGAGCCACCTTGCCTGGCCTTCCAGTCTCTTCTTGTTCATCTTGTGGGGTGGGGTTACCTCATTATTTTCCCAATAGGACACCTAATAATAATGACCACCAGTTAAGTAACTATCATAAACCAGGAAGTTTGTCAAATCCTTGATGTTCATGTTTTTCTTCAGTTCTTACAAGAAGCCTGAGGGTAGATTATTACCACCCTCAGTTTACAGATGGAGGAATGGAGACTGACAAATGTGTCTTGTCCAAGGCTTCACGTAGGCAGTAGGTGACAAAGTCTAATTTTTCTTTTTTTTTTTTTTAGATAGGGTCTTGCTCTGTTGCCTGGGCTGGAGTGCAGTGGCATGATCTCAGCTCACTGCAGCCTTGACCTCCTGGGCTCAAGCAATCCTCCCACCTCAGCCTCCCAAATAGCTGGGATTACAGGTGTGTGCCTCCATGTCTGGCTAATTTTTTTTATTTTTTGTAGGTACATGGGTCTCGCTCTGTTGCCCAGGCTGGTCTTAAACTCCTGACCTCAAACAATCCTCCTCCCTTGACCTTCCAAAGTGTTGGAATCACAGGCATGAGCCACTGCACCCAGCCATAAGGTCTACATTTTAATTCTGATCTCTCTGACCCTAAAATCTAACTTTCTGCTGTAACTCAGTACACATCTTGATTATTGCCTCAGAGGAAGGGCTGGCACTAAGAGATTTTCATGCTGAAGGTTCTTCTTCCAAATCCAGCGTCCTTCGTTATGCTCCTCTGATGCTTTGTCTCATTAGCTTTCTCTACTCACTGATGTGAACAATCTGGTATCCAGGCTCAGCTGGCCGTCTGCTTTATTTATTTATTTATTATTTTTATTTTTGAGATGGAGTCTCACTCTGTCACCCAGACTGGAGTACAGTGGCGTGATCTCAGCTCACTGCAACCTCTGCCTCCTGGGTTCAAGTGATTTTTGAGCCTCAGCCTCCCGGGTAGCTGGGACTACAGACACACACCACCACGCCTGACTAATTTTTGTATTTTTAGTAGGAACAGGGTCTCATCAGCCAGGCTGGTCTCGAACTCCTGACCTCAGGTGATCCACCCGTCTTGGCCTCCCAAAGTGCTGGGATTACAGGCGTGAGCTACTGCGCCCCGCCCATCTGCTTTATTTTGTATTTTGCAAACAGTTTTGTACCAAAAGTCCTTTTCAGTCTACACATACCAACTTTACAATTAATACAATTGTAAGTTTACAGTGCGTACTTAATAAATACTTCTTGAGTGAGTGAGTAAATTACAAAGAAAAATTTTTTTCCCTTAGAAGAAAGAACCCTCTTTGGCTAAGTCAGTATTTCTCAATGTGGTGCTAGACCCTCTGTAATATAATCACTGAAATGCTTGTTAAAAATATAGATCCCAGGCCGGGCGTGGTGGCTCACGCCTGTAATCCTAGCACTTTAGGAGGCCGAGGTGAGCAGATTACCTGAGTTTGGGACTTTGAGACCAGCCTGACCAACACGGAGAAACCCTGTCTCTACTAAAAATACAAAATGAGCCGGGCGTGGTGGTGCATGCCTGTAATCCCAGCTATTCATGAGGCCGAGGCAAGAGAATTGCTTCAACCCGGGAGGCGGAGGTTGCAGTGAGCCGAGATGGTGCCATTGCACTCCAGTCTGGGCAACAAGAGCAACAAAACTCTCTCTCAAAAAAAAAAAAAAAAAAGATAGATAGATAGATGATAGATAGATAGATAGATAGATAGATAGATAGATAGATAGATCTCAGCCCTGCAATCCTAGCACTTTGGGAGGCCAAAGTGAGGCTTAAGCTCAGTAGTTCAAAACCAGCCCGGGGAACATGGTGAAACTCCATCTCTATAAAAAATACAAAAATTAGCCAAGTGTGTTGGTGTACACCTGTGGTCTCAGCTACTTGGGAGCTGAGGTGGGAGGATCACTTGAACCCAGGAGGTTGAGGCTGCAGTGAATCAAGATCACACCACTGCACTCCAGCCTGGGTGACAAAGTGAGACCCTGTCTCAAAAAAATATAAAATATTAAATATGGATCCTTCAGTTAAACCACAGACCTACTAGAATCAGAATGGGGAGGGAGGGTTGGTGTATGGACCAGAAATATGCACTTTTAACAAATGCTTCAAGTAATTATGATGCTTTTTAAAATTTGAGCACCACTGCCCTAAGTATAAGGTAAGACTAATAAATAAGGCTCAGAGGTGGCCAGGTGCAGTGGCTCACGCCTGTAATCCCAGCACTTTGGGAGGCCGAGGCGGGCAGATCACCTGAGGTCGGGAGCTCGAGACCAGCCTGACCAACATGGACAAACCCCGTCTCTACTAAAAATGCAAATTAACTGGGCATGGTGGCACATGCCTGTAATCCCAGCTACTTGGGAGGCTGAGGCAGGAGAATCGCTTGAACCCAGGAGGCAGAGGTTGCGGTGAGCCGAGATCGTGCCATTGCACTCCAGCCTGGGCAACAAGAGCAAAACTCCGTCTCAAAAAGATAAATAAATAAATAAGGCTTAGGAAGGTAGCCACTCAGCAGTTAAGAGGATGGGCACTGGAGCTAGACTTCCTGGATTCATCTAACTAAGGATTTACTAAATGTACAAACTGATCACACTAACCTCCCTGTGCGTCAGTTTTCTCATCTGCAAAATGGGCAAAACAGCATAATTACCTCATATGGTTGTTGTGAACGTTAAGTGAGTCAATGTATGTAAGGTATTTGGAACAGAGCCTGACACAGTGTAAGCTCTATGTATATATTTGTCATTATCAGAATTTTAAGTATCTACTTTCTATCAAAATAGTACATTTCTCAGTCTGGGCATGGTGGCTAACGCCTGTAATCCCAGTACTTTGGGAGGCTAAGGCAGGCGGATCATTTGAAGTCAGGAGTTCAAGACCAGCCTGGCCAACATGGTGAAACCCCATCTCTACTAAAAAATACGAAAATTAGCCGGGCGTGGTGGCAGACACCTGTAATCCCAGCTACTCGGGAGGCTGAGGCAGGAGAATCGCTTGGACCAGGAGGTGGAGGTTGCAGTGAGCAAAGATTGTGCCACCGCACTCCAGCCTGGGCGACAGAGCGAGACTCCATCTCAGAAAAAAAAAATACATTTCTTTATAAAGCCTATTTTACTGTAGAAAACCTAACCTATAGATTTTGTCCTTTCTTCTTTTGTCCTTTTCTGTTTTAGAGAAGTGGACACTTCAAACCAGAATATTTCCTTATTGTGGGGTCAAACTGCACAAAGAAAGCTAAGATGATTACCATATGCTGATGAGCCAGAGGATCAGAGGTCAATCTTTGTACCGCTTCCCCATAATTAAGATCACATAAAAAGGGCAGGGATTCAAAATGAGCCTAATATGTTTTCTCACTTACCAGAAAGTGTTGGGGTAGTTACAAAGGATAACAAAACACAAAGCCTATTGTAGCAACAATCCTTTGGCCAAGTCATCTCCTGTCCCAAGTCTCTGTGGAGACTCTGTTGACTCCAGGGCCTCTTCTTCCTTCCTACTCCTGTCTCCAGGAGGTTTGTGAGCCTTTGATAGATGGAAAACATTCCCAAGAGCAAACTAGAAGGTTTAGCACTTCCATTCCCCATGCCTTATAGAATGAGATGAGCTTTGGCAACTGATCACTCGAGGATGATCCTTGAGAGCAGGTGTGCCTCGGAAGTTTAAGACGGTTTTTCTACAATGGGCTTCTTCTTGGTGTATGAATCCAGACTGGATATGATTAATTGACTCTTTTATCTTTTTTTTTTTTAACTTGTCACTGACTTGTAGCTAATAATTGACTCTTTTAAAATTAGGCTTTCCTTTTATCACGTGACTTCTTCAAAGTTACTTAAAATTAGAATTTCTATTTCCCTATTTGTAAAAAGGAACTTGTAATAGAATGTTAGTGCTAAAGGGAATTTCTAAGACAACTTAATATGACTCCTTGCATTTTATAGAGGCTAGATTCAGAGAGGTTGAGGGACTTATTCAAGGTCCAAAGAGCTTGTAAGTAGTAGGGCCAGGAATAAAACTTGAGGATTTAGTTAATTTTGCAGTTGACATAATTGAAGCTGAAATTGGAGAATTACTGAAATTTTTGCTTGAAGGCCAAAAATTTAAGTGCCATTGATATTCTATTTTGGTATTAATTATTTCTCTGACAATCTAGCTAGTGAATAAAAAACACAAAGTGGTCAGGCACAGTGGCTCATGCCTGTAATCCCAGCACTTTGAGAGGCTGAGGCAGGTGGATAGCTTGAGCTCAGGAGTTTGAGACTAACCTGGGCAACATGGTGAAACCCCATCTTTTCTTTTTTTTGAGATGGAGTCTTGCTCTTTCGCCCAGGCCAGAGTGCAGTGGCACTATCTCGGCTCACTGCAAGCTCCGCCTCCCCGGCTCACACCATTCTCCTGCCTCAGCCTCCCGAGTAGCCAGGACTACAGGAGCCCGCCACCGCGCCTGGCTAATTTTTTGTATTTTTAGTAGAGACGGGGTTTCACCGTGTTAGCCAGGGTGGTCTCAATTTCCTGACCTCATGATCCGCCTGCTTCGGCCTCCCAAAGTGCTGGGATTACAGGTGTGAGCCACCGCGCCTGGCCTGGTGAAACCCCATCTTTACCAAAAATACAAAAAATTAGCTGGACATGGTGGCATAGGCCTGTGGTCCCAGCTACTTGGGAGGCTGAGGTGGGAGGATTGTTTGAGCCTGGAAGGCAGAGGCTGCAGTGAGCCAAGATCACAACACTGCACTCCAGCCTGGGTGACAGATCCAGACCCTGTCTCAAACAAAACAAAACAAAACAAAACACAAAAACTCCACAAAGTATAATTCTCTAGTGTTTTATCTAATGAAACTACAATAGAAGCTTTGCTGTTAAACATAAGATATAAAGTGCCTGTGAATACATATTTTTCTTTTTGTTCTTTTTTTCATACATATTCTGCTTATGTAATATTTTTCATAATTACTTTGGATCATAATAATTTTTTTGAGATTAAGTCTTACTATTTGGCCTAGGCTAGCCTCAAACTCTTAGGCTGAAGCGATCCTCCCTCAGCCTCCTGAGTATCTAGGACTGCAGGTGGGCACAGCAGGCCGTCAGGATCATAATAGTTTTAGTTGATGTTTTAATGAATCTTGATTCTTTTTTAAAATAATGACATGGTATATGAATTATCTATCAATTTAAAAATAATTCTAATTTTCTGTCACTCATTAAATATATAATCCACTTGCATGAACCTTCATTCTAAGTTAAATATAATTTCAGATATACAGAAACATTGCAGGAACAGTACAATGAATTTCCAGATAGCCTTCACGTTATAACATTATATACATTTCTTTATAAAGCCTAATTGTAGAAAACCTAACCTATAGATTTTACATAGGTTAGACTATACATATATATGTCTTTTTTTTCCTGAGCAATTTAAGAGTAAGTTGCAGACATAATGCCCTTCTAACCTTAATTCTTAACTGGAAAAAATATACCACACCCAATTAACTATACAGTAATCTAAGTATCAGTCTTTTCAGCAACACCCAATTAGATAATAATCATTGTTGATAGCATCATTTTCAAATTGTAGCATCTTCTAACTTGAACAATGGTAGGTAAAGTCTAGCTATAGGAGTAACTGATATAGTCAGCCGGGCAGCGCAGTGGTTCACGCCTGTAATCCCAGCACTTTGGGAGGCTGAGGCGGGCGGATCACGAGGTCAGGAGTTCGAGACCATCCTGGCCAACATGGTGAAACCCCATCTCCACTAAAGATACAAAAAATTAGCCAGGCATGGTGACGTGTGCCTGTAATCCCAGCTACTAAGGCAGGAGAATCGCTTGAACCCGGGAGGCGGAGGTTGCAGTGAGCCGAGATCGCGCCACTGCACACCAGCCTGGGCTATAGGGTGAGACTCCATCTCAGAAACAAAAACAAAAAACACACACAAAAAAACAAAAAGTAATTGATATACTCTTTTAGCTCAATAAATACTAAAGAGTAAGTGTTTTAGCTGGGCACAGTGGACATGCCTGTAATCCCAACTATTCAGAAGTTCGAGGTAAGAGGATTGCTTGAGCCCAGGAGTTTGAGACCATCCTGGGCAACATTGCGAGACCTCTGTCTCTACCAAAAAAATTTTTTTTAATTAGGTGTGCATGGTGGTGCACGCTTGTGGTCCCAGCCACTTGGGAGGCTAAGGCAAGAGGATCGCTTGAACCCAGGAGGTTGAGGCTGCAACTACACTCCAGTTTGGGTAACAGAGTAAGATCCTCTGTCTAAAAAAAAGGGACGTCTTTACTATGAGCAGTGAACACCACTCCTTCATGTTCTGTTTTTCAGTTTATATTTGTTTTCTCAGGTGTTACACAGCTGTTTTTATTTTTTTTAAAAGGAAGGAGGTGCTTGCTTCAGTAACACAGTATCCTATAGTAATTCATCCATAATTTTCTATATAGAAGTCACTGTCAACTTGGGAGCACAAACAGGCATCATTGGTGGCTTTTCATAAGCCTCTGATAACTTTGTGTTGTTTTCTTTTGTGATTTTTGTTTGTTTGTTTGTTTTTGTTTTTGAGATGAGTCTCACTCTTGTTGCCCAGGCTGGAGTGCAGTGGTACGATCTCGGCTCACTGCAACATCCACCTCCTGGGTTCAAATGATTCTCCTGCCTCAGCCTCCCGAGTAGCTGGGATTACAGGCGTTTGCTACCATGCCCAGCTAATTTTTGTATTTTTTTTTTTACAAGAGTTGGGGTTTCACCATGTTAGCCAGGCTGGTTTCAAACTCCTGACCTCAAGTGATCTGCCTGCCTCAGCCTCCCAAAGTGCTGGCATTACAGGCATGAGCCACCACGCCCGGCCAGCCCCTGATAACTTTGGATACACTTTAGGAAGAAGACATTTTTTTTTAACCTGCATTTCAGTAAACTAACAGGATCTATTTGTCTTTCATGAACCTTTTGTTCCATGAAACACTGCCCACTATCTGATAAGCAATATGAGAGTACAGACCAGTCTTCTTATTGTGTCCTTTGATGTCAAGCATAAGACAATACACATTGCAGGAGTTAGATATTTGATGAGTTGGAGCAAAATCCAGTTTGCAGATAAAGATTCAAAATAGGGGCAAAAAAGAATTAACTGGGCGGGGAAAAGCAACTTCAGTTCTTCTAATATTCCTACCATTAAAACCACATATATTTCTATTCAGAAGCATATTACCAAATCCAGTGGGGTATTATTTAAAGTTGAAACTTGGAAAAAATAAAATATACAAAGAAAAAGTAATTTTATATTTCTTACATATTGTTGTGTTTGATAGTATTGACGTTCTCCTGGGAGAAATAACAAAGGTTCTTTTTTAACTGGCATGAAAAGAAAGTTTTGTCTGGGTGCGGTGGCTCATGCTTGTAATCCCAGCTCTTTGGGAGGCTGAGGAGGGTGGATCATGAGGTCAGGAGATCAAGACCAGCCTGGCCAACATGGTAAAACCCTGTCTCTACTAAAAATACAAAAATTAGCCGAGTGTGGTGGTGCATGCCTGTAATCCTATCTACTTAGGAGGCTGAGGCAGGAGAATTGCTTGAACACGGGAGGAGTAGGTTGCAGTGAGCCGAGATCTCACCACTGCACTCCAGCCTGGCAACAGAGCAAGACTCTGTCTTAAAAAAAAGAAAAGAAAGAAAGACAGTTTTATACTACTAATGGGGATGTGGAGATGGGCAGCAGAAATTTCATAGAGTACTTAGTTATGTCAGCATTAACTTTCTGTCATAGATGTTACATCCTGGATTAGTCATGAAACAGGAAGTTTAAGAAATGTCTAAAATGACAAGTTGTAATATAAAAGTAACAAATGCCTCTCTCACTTTTTTTGTTTTTGTTTTTCTTTTTTTTTTTTTTTTGAGACAGAGTCTCACTCTGTTGCTCATGCTGGAGTGCAGTGGTGAGATCTCAGCTCACTGCAACCTCCACCTCCTGGGTTCAAGCGATTCTCCTTCTTCAGCCTCCCAAGTAGTTGGGATTACAGGCACTCGTCACCATGCCCAGCTAATTTTTGTAATTTTAGTGGAGGCAGTGTTTCACCATGTTGGCCAGGCTGGTCTCAAACTCCTGGCCTCAAGCAATCCTCCCAGCTCAGCCTTCCAAAGTGCCAAAATTACAGGCATGAGCCATCACGTCTGGCCTATAGGTACCTTTCTTATTAAAGAAATGAATGAAAGAAAAAAAGCCTTATGACCTTAAGCAAGTTCCTTAACAGACCTCAGCTGCCCATTTATAAAATGAGAAAATTGGATTGGATAATACTAAGGTCCTTTCCACACATCATAATGTTTTTTCAGAAACAAAAAGGTCTCATGTGACAGGAACTGACCAAAACAAGCTACAGACCAGGCGTGGTGGGTCACGCCTGTAATCCCAGCACTTTGGGAGACGAAGGTGCCTTTGCAGATAGTGGATACTCAATCAAACCCCATCTCTACTAAATACAAAAAATTAGCTGGGCTTGGTGGCGCATGCCTGTAATCCCAGCTACTCAGGAGGTTGAGGCAGGAGAATTGCTTGAACGCAGGAGGCGGAGGTTGCAGTGAGCCGAGATTGCGCCATTGCACTCCAGCCTGGGCAACAGGAGTGAAACTCCGTCTCAAACAACAACTACAACAACAACAACAACTAGCTACAATGAAAATAATGATAAGGATGGGTAGAATAAAATATAGCATAATTCATTCAGTAATGCAAAGCACAGGCACTCAGTTATTCACCTGCTGTCTCCACAATTATCACATTTGTCAGAATTTGCCGTTAAAGGGATTTGTTGTGTTCTAGACTACACAACACTGTGGCAGTCAGGAAACCTTTATGCTACTCTTGGGGTTCCAGATCTCTGAGCTTCCTTCATTCTGCAAGTTACTAGTCAGCTATTTACATGTTGTATTCTTTACTATATTATAATCTCTAGGAGGGCAGGGATCACATCCTATGCATGTCTATACCCCATTCTACCTTGTCTAATACTTTGCAGATAGTGGGTACTCAATAAATGTCATTTGATGATCTCTTTGTCTAGTAAATAAATGTGAAACGTGGTTTTTAAATGGCATTTCACATTAAATAATATAACACTTATATAATGTCCATCACCTAAAATATTTGCTTTTCCTCATGCTCATTAAATATTTGATCTTTCTTCAGGGGTCAGATGAGGTTCATCCTTCTCTATGAAGTACTAATTGGTTGTTACAGCACTTAATTATGGCGTTTTCTTATTTATTGTACCATTCAGGTGGCTAAGTATTTTGGGTGGGGTCTCTATCACCACACTAGATTTTTATTTATTTACTTATTATTTATTTATCAGAGACAGTGTCTCCCTATGTTGCCCAGGCTGGACTAGAACTCCTGGGCTCAAGCGATCCTCCCACCTCAGCACGTTAGATTTTTAGTTCAGCACAGGAAGAAGCATGTAATTTCTCCTTTATCCTGTAAGCATGGTGCCTTCATAACAAAGTTGCTAAATAAATATTTGATGATGATCCTGATGATCAATAATAAGTGATTTACTGTTAAAGGTTTACTAGTTGCTTATATCAACCCCCCAAAATACTTCAGATACAAATTTTCTAAAAGGAACGCACTTTGGGAGTGACAGCTTTGCTCTCACCTAGGTACAGGCTCCCGCAGCCTGTCTCAGACCATACCCAGGCGCAGCCTTTTCTGTATTTTATTGTCTTCATTTTCCTGGAAGCCAGGGGATTTGGAGGATGATCAAATGGAAAGAAGGAATGAAGGGAAGGAGGGAGGGAAGGAGGAAATGAAAATATATTTGTGTACATTGTGAATATAATGTACAAGATGTAACAAAAGAATAGACAGGCAGATTTTGAAGACATTATAATCTACTGGAATAATCTGGATACACACAATTGAAAATATATCAAAGTATATAAATAGTGAAACCCCATCTCTACTACAAATACAAAAATTAGCTGGGCATGGTGGTGGGCACCTGTAGTCCTAGCTACTCAGGAGGCTGAGGCAGGAGAATAGCTTGGAGGCAGGAGAATAACTTGAAGTCGGGAGGCAGAGGTTGTGGTGAGCTGAGATCATGCCATTGCACTCTAGCCTGGGCAACAATAGCGAAACGCCATCTCAAAAAAAAAAAAAAAAGAAAGAAAGAAAGAAAAAAGAAAAAAACTGGTTGAGTAAGTAGGAGGAGGGGCTAAATTGATAAGGAGATTTAGGGCTCAGTGTAAATAATTTACAGTTTCTATGAGGAGCTGCTAAAAGCAATTCAAGGTTTATGAAAAAGGGCTTCATATTCAAACAGTGTTTGAGGAAGATTATTCTTGCCATAGTAATGACATTTATTGAACATTTCTTATATGTCTTATATGTAAGTGCTTTACATATTAGCCCATTTAATCTTACAACTACCCCATGAGGAAGACACTGTCATCTCTGTTGTGCAGGCAAGGAAACTGAGGCACAGATCCTGGGTAACTTGCTTCCTCAAGGCCCCATTGCTTCTAAATAGCAGACCTGGAATATGAACTCAGGCTGTCTGAGTCTAAACCTGGTGTCTCTTCTAACCATCTCGTGACATGGCTTCTCTTTCCATAGAGCTATGTATCTATGTGGGAGACAGATAGGAGATTCATCAGGAGGTAGCAGTGGTCTAAGGCATGTAGTGATTAGACTGAGTGGGACTGTGATCACAGAAAAAGCAAGGAAGGGATGAAGCTGAGAAAATTCACATGAGAGAATTAGACTTGCTAGGTATATTTGGAAATGGAGGTAAGGGATAGGGAGATAAGGATATTATTTCATTCCAAAAAGATTTATTATTTTTTTTTATGACAGGGTCTTGCTCTGTCACCTAGGCTGGAGTTCAGTGGCGTGATCACAGCTCACTGCAGCCTCGAACTCCTGGACTCAAGCAATCCTCCTTCCTCAGCCTCCCAAGTAGCTGGGAAGACAGGTGCCCACCACATCTGGCTATTATTTTTATTTTTTGCAGAGATGGGATCTATGTTGCCCAGGCTGGCCTCCAACTCCTGGACTCGAGCAATCCGCCCACCTCAGCCTCCCAAACTGCTGGAATTACAGGCGAGAGCCACTGCTCCCAGCCCCCCAAAAGATTAATGAATATTTACTATGTGCCAGGAACTGTGTTAGGTACTGTATTCGGTTAAGAAACAGTGAACCAGATAGACAGAGTCCCTGCATTTATGGAGCAAGATTGTGTTATTAGTGGAAAACAGGCTCTATATGCATAGAAAACACAACAAACTGGAAACACTGGTTGTTTAGGAGAACTAGATGGAAGCAGAAACGTAGAAGAGAAACCTGTTGAACTTTACAGTTCTATTAGAATTTGTCTAAAGGTTTTCCCCTCCTAGGCACGGAGGGAACAAAGGAAACATTGAATTTTAACACATGAATATGTTAACTATTTTAAAAATAGGGCTTTTTAAATATAATCAGATCTCATGATGTAAAAAATGTGTAGTTTTTTGTTTGTTTTTTGAGACAGTCTCACTCTGTTACCCAGGCTGGAGTGCAATGGCGTGATCTTGGCTCACTGCAACCTCTGCCTCCCAGGTTCAAGGGATTCTCATGCCTCAGCCTCCCGAGTAGCTGGGATTACAGGCATGCACCACCACACTCAGCTAATTTTGATATTTTTAGTAGAAACGGGATTTCTTCATGTTGGCCAGGCTGGTCTTTAACTCCTGGGCTCAGGTGATTTGCCCCCACCAGCCTCCCAAAGTGCTGGGATTACAAGCATGAGCCACCATGCCTGGCCTATAGTTTTTTGTTTTTTAAAAAAACTGAGATACTGCCAGGTGAGGTGGCTCACGCCTGTAATCCCAGAACTTTGGGAGGCCGAGGCAGGTGGATCATGAGGTCAGGAGTTTGAGACCAGCCTGACCAACATGGAGAAACCTCATCTCTACTAAAAATACAAAAATTAGCTGGGCGTGGTGGTGTGTGCCTATAATCCCAGCTACTCTGGAGGCTGAGGCAGGAGAATCGCTGGAACCCAGGAGGCAGAGGTTACAGTGAGCTGATACTGCGCTATTGCACTCCAGCCTGGGCAACAAGAGTGAAACTCCGTCTCAAAAAAAAAAAAACCAACCGAGATACTAAGACTACGTGCTGTGTACACACACACACACACACACACACACACGCCTGTATACGCGCAGACTTTCTGACAATTCATACAAGAAACTGGCAAAACTGGACCCCTTGGGGAAGGGAATTGGGTGGAAATAGAGGTGAGAGACTTTACCCTTTTGTACCATTTGTGTTTTTATGAATTCAATTATTGAATATACTTTGTACAAGTATTTACTTAATAAAAGCAAATGAGTTTTAAAAATAGCAATCAGAAACCTAGGAATTAATAGAGGTTTTATGGAGAAAGAATCCCACAAGTTTGAAATATTTTACATACCAGCGTGCTTTTCTTTAAGTTTTAACTTTTACCAAAATTAGCAAAGAAAAAGTATATGTGTGTGCATGCGCAGTAGAAGGAAACCAATTAAAACTTTGGTGTTTGTGGAAATAAGAGAATTAAAATATTTTGGCATTTGGTGAATGTGGGAAAAACTCCTCGGCTATCAAAATTCTCTAAATAAGTTTTCAAAAAATGCCTAAGGCAGTTTCACTTCTTACAATAGACACTCTATTGAAACAGGTTCAGGTGGTGGCCAACCTCCACCCATAGGTTGCAGGGTTTTTGTGATTTCTTGTAGAACTAACTAATCCTGACATGACAGTTTGTACTGTGTTTTAAATCGGAATTGATCCCCTCGGTTCCAAACAAAATTTGGATGATGAAACCTATTATTCTTTTGCAGAGTGAGGGCCAATTTGGTTGAACCACGATTAGAAAATTTAGTTGTATTTCTGGAGATATTTTAACTTTCAGGATTTTTTTTTTGAGACAGAGTCTCTGTTGCCTAGGCTGGAGTGCAGTGGCGCAGTCTCAGCTCACTGCAACCTCTGTCACCCGGGTTCAAGCGATTCTCCTGCCTCAGCCTCCCGAGTAGCTGGGATTACAGGCACCTGCCACCATGCTGGGCTAATTTTTTTTTTTTTGATAATGTCAAGTTTAATCTGCCAAATATACAAGTTGAATTTGTGGAGCATGTTTTTCCCAGGTGCCACACAGTAAACAGAGGTTTCTTTTTTCTTTTCTTTTCTTTTCTTTTTTTTTTTGACACAGAGTCTTGCTCTGTTGTCCAGGCTGGAGAACAGAGGTTTCTTGAAATGATCAATGGGTCGGGTGAAAAATGGGCACTGGCCCTGGCTAGGTGGGTAGGAACCAGGTGGGGAAGGGCAGAGAGGTGAGGCCTTGGTCAGACAGGACTGACTGAGGCAAGCCATGACCCTCAAGGACCCAGGGGCGCAGGCTCCCAGATGACAGCCCCTCTCTGAATGAGCTCCCAGGCAACACAGTCCAGGGCTGGGTGTAGCAAACCCGTCAGCAGCTGCCTTCTGGCACGACCACTCCATTACGTGCTATCTACCAGACAAATGAAAGCTCTTCTTACCCGATCTCCCAGGCATCCCCGAGCAGGGGCTCTGAATTCTAAAAACAGCAAAAACATTAAAATGGTTCCATATGAAATGCTGTCCTGCATCTTTCTGTGTCAAAGATAACAGCTGCCCCTCCCCCACCCCACCCCCACATCCCTCAAACAATTTCTGTGCCAAGATGAAGAGGAGGCCCCAGGCCATGGGGGGGCTCCTGGCTGTGAGGGGCTGTTGCAGCAGCACCAGGGCACAGGGTGGGCGAGACACAGCAGAGGTCCTGGCAGTGCAGCCCAGGTCCCCAGCATCTCTTCCCATGGGTCGCGGTTACTTATTCAGGGAGAGCGACTGCATTCGTTTTCCTGACAATGTGGCATCGTCTTTTGCTTTCCTTTCCTCTTCCTTCTTCTGGGCAGTGTCCTCCTGCTGTTTCCAGATGATGACCAGCCAGGCCAGGTTGGCCTTGGTTTGCTATCTCTTCCCAGCCAAGTGCATTTTCATGTAACGCTCTTTTGCCTTCTGCTTCTCAATCTCCTCTCGTTCTCTCCTCAAAAGCTCCTTTGGCCCATCCAGATCCAGTTGTGTGACCTTTTTGGTTGTCTGTGCCACCCGGTTGGGATTCTCGATGTCAATGAGCCCTTCAACACCTTTGCGCCTTTGCTGGTAGTCATCTTCATCTTCACTCTCATCTGAGTCTAGAGATTTCTTCTCCTTTTTGGGGTCACCTGCAGCCCCGTCTCCACCTTCTTTTTGCTCCTCTTCTTCCCTGGCCTTCTGCTTCTCAGACTGCAGCTGCGTGTCGATCTCCTCAGGGCTTGTATATTGCCTCGCCCAGCCTTTGTGGCCTCCCTTTCTCCCTCCTTTAGGTATCATGGCTCCGGCGGTGGCAGCGGTGCCTCAAACTGACACCAGAACTGGAATTTTTGTATTTTTAGTAGAGATGGGGTTTCACCATCTTGGTCAGGCTGGTCTTGAACTCCTGACCTTGTGATCCACCCACCTTGGCCTCCCAAAGTGTTGGGATTATAGGTGTGAGTCACCGCGCCCAGCCAGGATTTTAAAAAATTTTTTCAGACAGGGTCTCGCTCTGTTACCCTCACTGCAGCCTTGAACTCCTGGGCTAAATGGATCCTCCCCACCCCACCTCCCAAGTAGCTGGGACTACAAGCATGTGCCACCACTAACCTGGCTAATTTTTAATTTTTTTTGTAGAGATGAGGTCCACCTATGTTGCCCAGACTGATCTCAAACTCCTGGGCTCAAGCTATTCTCTGACCTCAGCCTCCCAAAGTGCTGAGATTATAGTTGTGAACCACTGCAGGCAGCTACTTTTGGAATTTATATATATGCATACCGAGACCAGCTTGGTCATGGAGACCCTAACCCAGTGGCATTAGAGGAATTAAAGACACACACACAGAAATATAGAGTGTGGAGTGGGATCAGGGAGCTGACAGCCTTCAGAGCTGAGAGCCCCAAACGGAGTTTGACCCACATATTTATTGATGGCAAGCCAATGATAAGCATTCTTTCTATAGACTATAGATTAACTAAAATTATTCCTTACAGGAAACAAAGGGATGGGCCAAAACAAAGGGATAGGCTCTGGCTAGTTATCTGCAGCAGGAACATGTCCTTAAGGCACAGATTGCTGATGCTATTGTTTGTGGTTTAAGAATGCCTTTAAGCAGTTTTCTGCCCTGGGTGGGCTAGGTGTTCCTTCCCTCATTCTGGTAAACCCACAACCTTCAGTGTGGGCGTCATGACCATCAAGAACATGTCACAGTGCTGCAGAGATTTTGTTTATGGCCAGTTTTGGGGGCCTGTTCCCAACATGTCTCCCTTTTTTGTTTTGCAAAGCAATAAAAGCAAAGGCAGCTGTGTCTTGGTGAGCTACTTCTCGCAGGAGCTGGGATCTGCATCTGCAGACTATACAAAGACAAACAACACAGATTAAAAGCACAATCGTCATTGAAATAACAGAGCCTCCAAAAGTGTCTTTATCTATTCTAATGGATTACTAGCTGCTAATCTGTCTGCCACTCCTTCAAGCACTCCAGTTCCTGACATTAAGATCAGGTGTGCCTGGGATGCTTTAAATATTTGTTCCTTTGCTTTTGCAATGTCCAAAGACAAGTTTGTAGAGTGTCCTTCTAGATGCTTTTTTATTCTTTCCCAAATTTTGATCTTATTAAGAGCCATTAATAGTTTCCACAAATCCTTATGTTTAGCTCCTACAACAGGCCATATCATTTGAGGTTGAGGTGCCACTATACTGCCATGGTTCCAGATAATAGGAACTCTTGCCATACTTCCTACCGTTTCTACCATCTGACCATTTTGTTCACACCAGCTGATCACACCAGCTGAACATAGTACAACTGTGGCACTCAGACTGAGAGGTGCAATTCAAGCTAAACATCCCCTTAGGGGACCAATCAATAGTGATTCCATAGGAATCATTGCGCAGCACCTCTGCCCATTCTGCAATGCAATCTTCCCAAACAAGTAAGTTCATTATTTCTGGCCAGGTTCAATTCTGTTTGCAAATACGTTTTTGAGGGTTGTATACCTCAATTATAGGAGCAGATTTATTATGGTAAATACTGAGATCAGAAAGCATGTGTAACTGTGTCATAGAGTGATTACATCCAGGCATTATTGCAAGCCAAGATTGATAAATATAGCCAATAACTATAATTGTTCTCTGTGTCAGCCCTTATTGAAGGAATACTCATGGCAGTGGTGATAACTGCTATCATAGCTATCATTAAATTATTCGTTGTGACTGGTTGTCCTGCTTTCCTCAGGTTTTCTTCTGCCATCTGTGACAGCTTCTTGATCTGTCCCCAGGTGGGTGGCTGTGTTCGATGGGTGTTGCTCATGACAGTTGGGGTCCTCCTCAGCATCAGTCTCAACATGGCTGCAACCGGGGGGTCCTTGGGATCCTCTTGGAATCTTTTCCTTGGCATCTGGCTCATGATAAAGTTTCAGGTGTCTTGATGGTATCCAAATCAGCTGTTGATTTGGTCCTGGAGAAACACAAGCATAACCTGCACCCCAAGTTATTATTTTACCTATTTCCCAACTTTTTGTTATCAGATCTCTCCACCAAACCAGTTGTTCTGCTTCTGTCTTTGCAGCTGGTTTCTGTAGATGTTGTTCAGCAGCTGATAGCATCTGGCCTTTAGGCAGGCTCAAAAAATTTAAAGTCAATAATGCTAGATTCAGTTGCATATGGGGTGTTCCATAATCCCTATTTCCCCCTTTCTGCTTTTGCAATTGTCATTTTAGGGAGAGATTCATTCGTCCTACAAAGGCTTGTCCTTGAGAATTATATGGGATGCCAGTAATGTGTTTAATATTCCATACTGAGAAAAATGTAGCTAGAGCTTGGCTAGTATAACCTGGGGCATTATCTGTTTTAATAGAAGCTGGAATGCCCATCCCCACAAAACACTGCAAAAGATGACATTTAACACAGGCAGAAGACTCTCCTGACTGGCATGTAGCCCAGACAAAGTGAGAAAAGGTGTCCACACATACATGTACATAAGCTAGTCTCCCAAACGAGGGAACATGTGTGACATCCATTTGCCAAAGAGAATTAGGTTCCAATACTCAAGGATTAACTCCTCCTGTAAAAGATGAGGAATGCACCATTTGGCAAGTTGGGCTTCACTGGATAAGAGCTTTAGCTTCTTTCCAGGCAATGCTGTATCTGCATTTGAGACCAGAGGCATTAACTTGGGTTAAATTGTGAAAGTGTCTAGCATTAGATATTGCAGTAGCAACTAGATGATCAGCCATTTGATTCCCTGCAGTCAAAGGTCCTGGAAGAGGTGTATGAGCCCTAATGTGAGTGATGTAAAAAGGGTGCATTCTACTCCTAACTGCTATTTGCAATTGGGTAAATAAAGTCATCAGTTATTCATCTGTATGAAATCGTAACTGAGCATTTTCAATTAACTGTGTGGAATGAACCACGTATGAAGAATCAGAAATCACATTAGTAGGCATATCAAAAGCAGTCAATACCTCAATTACAGCTACAAGCTCTGCTTTTTGAACTGAAGTATAGGGCGTCTGAAAAACTTTACCTTTCGAGCCAGAATAAGAAGCTTTACCATTACCAGACCCATCTGTAAAAACATTTTCAGCACCTTCAATTGGTTTAAATTTAGTTATTTTAGGGAGAATCCAATTAGTTAATTTCAAAAATTGAAATAATTTTGTTTTAGGGAAATGATTGAGAATACCCACAAAGTCAGCTAAATGGGTTTGCCAAGTAAGACTATTTATAAAAGCTTGCTGTATTTGTGCCCTTGTGAGAGGGACAATAATTTTTCCAGGATCATATCCATGTAATTTAACAATCTGAGTTCTCCCATTTCCTATCATAGTAGTGATTTGATCCAAATAAGGAGTTAGAGTTCGTGAATTAGTATGTGGAAGAAAAAGCTACTCTACAAGATCTTCCTCTTGAACAATAACACAAGTAGGTGAATGCTGAGTTGGAAAAGTTAGCAAATCTAGAGTCTTCTCTGGATCTATTCCATTTATTTGAGCTTTATCGACTTGCTTTTTGATTAGCTGCAGCTCTGCCTCAGCTTCTCTTGTTAATTGCTGAGGGCTAGTGAAACTAGGATCTCCTCTAAGGATAGAAAATAGATTACTCATGGCATAGGTAGGAATGCCTAGAGCAGATTGTATCCAATTAATGTCCCCTAGTAATTTTTGAAAGTCATTTAATGTTTTCAATTGATCCCTACATATGGTTACTTTCTGTGGCACAATGGTAGTGTCATTTACTAAGGTCCCCAAGTAGGAGTAAGGAGTAGTAGTCTGAATTTTGTCAGGAGCTATAATTAAACCAGCATGAGAAATCGAATTTTGCAAGTGATCATAACATTGGAGTAATATTTCCTGAGTGGGGGCAGCACAAAGTATATATCATCCATATAGTGAATAATTTAACACAGTGAAAATTTTTTACGAGTAGGTTCAATTGCTTGCCCTACATAAGTCTGGCAAATTGTTGGACTATTTAACATGCCTTGTGGCAACACTTTCCAATGAAAACGCTTAGCAGGCTGTAGGTTGTTTACTGCAGGAATTGTAAATGCAAACCGTTCACAGTCTTGCTCAGCTAAGGGGATAGTAAAGAAACAGTCTTAAATCTATGACTATTAAAGGCCAATTTTTTGGAATCATAGCAGGAGAAGGCAGTCCTGGCTGCAATGTCCCATTGGTTGTATAACTGAATTAATGGCTCATACATCAGTTAACATTCTCCATTTACCTGATTTTTTATTAATTACAAAAATTGGAGAATTCCAAGGGGAAAATATTGGAGCTATGTATCCTTTTTCTAATTGTTCATTAACTAAGTCCTCTAAAGCCTCCAGTTTCTCTTTACTTAGCGGTCATTGTTCTATCCAAATTGGCTTATCTGTTATCCAATTGGCTTATCTGTTAACCATTTAAAAGGTGTAGGTTCTAGAGGCTTAACAATGGCTGCCATCAAAAATGATATCCTCAACCTTGGCGGGAATTTTGTCTTTCCACTTGAAGTGGTTCCTTCAAACTTTGCAAATTTTTTCCTAGTCCCATACCATGGACATACCCCATTCATGCATCATATGTTGACTTTGAGGGCTATATAATTGCTCTGGAATTAAAACTTGTGCTCCCCATTGTTGTAATAAATCTCTCCCCCATAAATTTATAGGCACAGAAGTTACAATTGGTTGAATAGTCCCAAGTTGTCCATCAGGCCCTTCACAATGCAAAATATAACTACTTTGGTATACATCAGGGCCTTTACCAACTCCAACTATGTTAAATTGAGCGGGTTGAATTGGCCACGTGGACGGCCAGTGCTGTAGAGAAATGATTGAAATGTCCACTCCTGTATCTACCAAACCTTTAAATTTCTTTCCCTGAATAGTTATTTCATAGGTAGGATGTTTATCAGCAATTTGATTCACCCAGTAAGCTGCTTTGCCTTATTTATTTGTGCTTCCAAATCCTTCTGTTCGTTTAACTTCACTTTTCCCCATTTCCACATATGGCACAATCAGGAGCTCTCCTGGCTCTGCTTTCCAGGGAACAGAAGTAGATATAACAATTTGAATTTCCCCATTGTAATCTGAATCAATGATGAATTGATTTGTTATCTGAATCAATGATGAATTGATGAATTTCCCCATTGTAATCTGAATGTACTTGCACTCCTTTTAAATTTAAACTAGATCTACCTAGAAGTAATCATATCGTCCCTGCTGGCAAGGGTCCACAGACCCCCGTTGGAACTTTTTGTGGGGGTTCTCCACGTAGAAGGCTCACAGCTTTTGTGCAGCAAAAATCTACTGCAGCACTACTGGCTGTGGTGGGGGACAGGCATTGTACACAGGTGGGGGAATGGCCTGAGCTGGAAATGCCCCGGTTTGGAACGGGGCCCAGGACAGGCCCCTCATGGCATTTCCTGAAATCGAGTTCCCATCTTTATCAAACTTAGAGTGACACTGATTAGCCCAATGTTTTCCTTTTTTACACTTCGGGCATAGACCTGGTTCATACTGATTGATAGCTTGTTTAAATTCTTTGAGTAATTTAAAAGGAAAAGGCACAAATGTAGCTATAATATTTCCCTGTTGATCTGGGGGATGTATTCTAACAGGGAACTGCCAAGCCTCTAAATCACCCTCTCTTCTAGCTTACTGGATTCCTGCCTGAGTAGAACTGAAAGCGGTCACTCGAGGTGCTGCTCGAACAGTCACTGGGGCAACTACTTTTTGCCCAGTGTCCTCCAGAAAAGAAAGATCTGGAGGGTCAGGCCACTCTTTTTCTTCAAAATAATGAGAGGATGCAGAAGGGTAGGGATGAACCTCTTCCTCTTTTGCTGCTTTAGCTTTAGCTGGCAAACAAACCTGCTCTGTCACCTCTTCTGCTACTTCGTTATACTTTCCTTCCTCCTCATCATTAGTGTGAAAAGGTTCCAAGGTGGAATGAATCAGAGCCCACACTTGTCCCATTGTTACCCTGATGCTTCTGAGCTCCCTTTCTCACTCACCAGAGGGATTGCTTAGGAGTACTCAGGTGTCATCCAGCTTAGTTCCTTGTTCTCCAACTGTCGCTCTGGCAACCCTTCGACCCAGGTTCGAGCCCCACGTATGGGCACCATTTGCTGAGACTCGGTTGTGGAGACCCTAACCCTGTGGTGCTAGAGGAATTAAAGACACACACACAGAAATATAGAGTGTGGAGTGCGATCAGGGGGCTGACAGCCTTCAGAGCTGAGAGCCCCAAACAGAGTTTGACTCACATATTTATTGACGGCAAGCCAGTGATAAGCATTCTTTCTATAGATTAACTAAAAGTATTCCTTACGGGGAAACAAAGGGATGGGCCGAAACAAAGGGATGGGCTCTGGCTAGTTATCTGCAGCAGGAGAATGTCCTTAAGGCACAGATTGCTTATGCTATTGTTTGTGGTTTAAGAATGCCTTTAAGCGGTTTTCTGCCCTGTGTAGGCCAGGTGTTCCTTGCCCGCATTCCGGTAAACCCACAACCCTCAGTGTGGGCATCATGGCCATCATGAACATGTCACAGTGCTGCAGAGATTTTGTTTATGGCCAGTTTTGGGACCAGTTTATGGCCAGATTTGGGGGCCTGTTCCCAACATATGTGTGTGTGTGTATATATATATATATATATATATATATATATATATATATATATATATATATATTTTTTTTTTTTTTTTTTTTTTTTTTTTTTTTTGAGATGGAGTTTTGCTCCTGTTGCCCAGGCTGGAGTGCAGTGGTGCAATCTCAGCTCACTGGAACATCTGCCTCCCGGGTTCAAGACATTGTCCTGCCTCAGCCTCCCAAGTAACTGAAATTATAGACACCCACCACCATGCCTGGCTAATTTTTGTATTTTTAGTAGAGATGGAGTTTCATCATGTTGGCCAGGCTGATCTCAAACTCCTGACCTCAGACTCCCAAAGTGCAG
This sequence comes from Homo sapiens, assembly GCF_000001405.40. Lineage (NCBI taxonomy): Eukaryota > Metazoa > Chordata > Mammalia > Primates > Hominidae > Homo > Homo sapiens. The sequence goes on along the minus strand of NC_000006.12, from coordinate 110,916,420 downwards.
GGATTACAGGCGTGAGCCACCATGCCTTGCCCAGAATTTTTAAAAACCACATTACTGAGGTATAACTGACACACAACAAATTACACATATGAAAAAGTGTACTACTTAATAAATTTGCATGTGTAAAGCTGTCACCACAATCAAGATAATAAACATATCCATCACCTCCCAAAGTTTTCTCCTGTATTTTTTTTTTTTTCTTCTTTTTTTTTTTTTAAATAGAGATGGATTCTTGCTCTGTTGCCCCAGCTGGTCTCAAACTCCTGGCCGCAAGTGTTCCTCCTGGCCTCCCAAAGTGTAGGAATTTACAGGTGTGAGCTGCTAAGTCCAGTGGCATACAGGAATCCATGTGATAAAATTGTATAGAACTAAAACAAGAATATAAGATCAAGGCCGGGCGTGGTGGCTCATGCCTGTAATCCCAGCACTTTGGGAAGCCAAGGCGGGCAGATCACCTGAGGTCGGGAGTTCGAGACCAGACTGACCAACACGGAGAAACCCCGTTTCCACTAAAAATACAAAATTAGCCGGGTGTGGTGACACATGCCTGTAATCCCAGCTACTAGGGAGGCTGAGGCAGGAGAATTGCTTAAACGTGGGAGGTGGAGGTTGCAGTGAGCTGAGATCACGCCATTGCACTCCAACCTGGGCAACAAAAGCAAAACTCCATCTTAAAAAAAAAAAAAAAAAGAATATAATATCAAAGGGCCAGACGTGGGGTGGGTGTGGTAGTGGCTCATGCCTGTAATCCCAGCACTTTGGAAGGCCGAGGTGGGTGGATCATTTGACGTCAGGAGTTGGAGACCATACTGACCCACATGGTGAAACCCTGCCTCTACTAAAAATACAAAAAAATTAGCCAGGTGTAGTGGCAGGTGCCTGTAATCCCAGCTACTTGGGAGGCTGAGGCAGGAGAATGGCTTGAACCTGGGAGGCACAGTGTGCAGTACGCTGAGATCTCACCTCTGCGCTCCAGCCTGAGCGACAGAGTGAGACTGTCTCAAAAAAAAAAAAGAGTATATGATCAGTAGATTGTATCAAGGTCAATATCCTGGTTGCGATGTTGTACTCTAGTTTTGTAAGATGTTAACATTGTGGGAAACTGGGTAAATGGTACAGAAGAGCTCTCTGTATTATTATTATTATTTTGAGACGGAGTTTCGTGCTTGTTGCCTAGGCTGGAGTGCAATGGCGCAATCTTGGCTCACTGCAACCGCCGCCTCCTGAGTTCAAGCAGTTCTCCCTCCTCAGCCTCCCAAGTAGCTGAGTTTACAGACATGTGCCACCATGCCTGGCCAATACTTTTTTTTTTTTTTTGAGACGGAGTTTTGCCCCTGTTGCCCAGGCTGGAGTGCAATGGCCCGCCTCCCAGATTCAAGCAATTCTCCTGCCTCAGCCTCCCGAGTAGCTGGGATTACAGGCACACACCATCACGCCCGGCTAATTTTGTCTTTTTAGTAGAGACTGGGTTTCACAATGTTGGTCAGGCTGGTCTTGAATTCCTGACCTCAGGTGATCCGCCCACCTCGGCCTCCCAAAGTGCTGGGATTACAGGTGTGATATTATTATTATTTTGAGACAGGGTCTCAGTCAGTTGCGCAGGCTAGCGTGCAGTGGTACAGTCATGGCTCCTGAAGCCTTGACCTCCCCTTCATATGATAAAGCCATTCTGTATTTTTTTTTTTTTTTTTTGGTAGAGTTGGGGTTTCACCATGTTGCCCAGGCTGGTCTCAAACTCCTGGACTCAAGCTATCTGCCTACCTTGGCCTTCCAAACTGCCTGGGATTACAGGCATAAGCCACTGTGCCTGTGAGACCCCATCTCTAAAAAAAAAAGAAAGATACAGAATGGCTTTGTCATCTTAAGGGTCTCATGTTGCCCTCTTTTAACTTCATCCACCTGCCTACCACACCCTTTATGTGAGTCTATTTCTTTTTCTTGCTGAGCAGTATTCCATTATGTGGATTATACCATGACTTGTTTATTCTTTACCTATTATTGACAGACTTTGGGTTGTTTCCAGAGTTCAACTATTACAAATAAAGCTGCTATAAACATTCATGTGCAAGTCTGTATATGAACATATACATTCATTTCTCTTGGTTAAATATCTAGGACTGGATTGGCTGGTTCATATGGTACATGTATTTTTAACTTTTTTTTTTTTTTTCTTGAGACAGAGTCTCGCACCGTCACCCAGGCTGGAGTCCAGTGGTGTGATCTCGCCTCACTGCAACCTCTGCCTCCCGGCTTCAAGCGATTCTCCTGCCTCAGCCTCCTGAGTAGCTGGGGTTACAGGTGCCCGCCACCATGCCCAGCTAATTTTTATATTTTTTAAATTAGAGACAGGGTTTCACCATGTTGGCCAGGCTGGTCTCAAACTCTGACCTCAAGTGATCCGCCCTCCTCGGCCTCCCAAAGTGCTGGGATAACAGGTGTGAGCCACTGCGCCTGGCCGTATTTTTAACTTTTTAAGAAACTGACAAACTCTAGTGGTTGTACCTACCAGCAGTGTATGAGAGGTCCAGTTCCAGTATATATTCTCTCCAACATGCCAGCCTTTTCTAAAAACATAGTTCTATTGAGATATAATTCACATACCATACAATTTGCACATTTAAAATAAAAAATTGGCTGGGTGCGGTGGCTCACACCTGTAATCCTAGCACTTTGGAAGGCTGAGGCGGGTGGATTGCCTGAGCTCAGAAGTTTGAGAGCAGCCTGGGCAGCACAGTGAAACCCCATCTCTACTAAAATAAAAAAAATTAGCCAGGTTTGTCAGTGTGTGCCTCTAGTCCCAGTTACTTGGGAGGCTGAGGCGGGAGAATTGCTAGAACCTGGGAGGCAGAGGTTGCAGTGAGCTGAGATTACACCACTGCACTCCAGCCTGGGCGCAGAGCAAGACTCTGTCTGTAAAAAAAATAATAATACAAAAAATAGCCGGATGCGGTGGCTCACACCTGTAATCCCAACACTTTGGGAGGCTGAGGCAGGTGGATCACCTGAGGTCAGGAGTTCAAGACCAGCCTGGCCAACTTGGTGAAACACTGTCTCTACTAAAAATACAAAAAATTAGCTGGGTGTGGTGGCGCGTTCCTGTAATCCCCGCTACTCGGGAGGCTGAGGCAGGAGAATCACTTGAACCTGGGAGGCAGAGGTTGCAGTGAGCCGAGATCACACCATTACACTCCAGCTTGGGCAACAAGAGCGCAACTCCATTTAAAAAAAAGAAAAAGTAAAACATTGTTTATTGTATTCGCAGAATTGTGCATCACTATAACCAATTTTAGAACATTTTAAAAAAGAAAACCCCCATACTATTTAGTGGTAACACCTCATTCTTCCCCCAGATCTTTTCCCCCTAGTCCTATGCACCCACTAATATACTTTCTCTCTGTGGATTTGCCTATTCTATACATTTTACATTAAACAGAATCATATGATACAAGGTCTTTTGTGACTTTCTTTCACTTAACATATTAGGTTTTCAGGGTTCATCCATGTTGTAACATGTAGCAGCACTTTATTTTTATTGCTGAATAATATTTAATTGTATGAGTATTTTGTTTATCCACTCATTAGCTGATGGACATTTGAGTTGATTCCACACTCCCATCTTTTAAATTGTAGCCCTTCTAATGGGTGTGTAGTGATAATCTCATTGTGGTTTAGTTTGTATTTCTCTAATTATTAATGATGCTATATGTCTGAAACCTATCTTACTTAGGTTTTTGAAAGATATTTTTGTTGGGTAAAGAATTCTATGTTGATGGCCGGGATCAGTGGCTCATGCCTGTAATCCCAGCACTTTGAGAGGCCAAGGTGGGAGGATTGCTTGAGCCCAGAAGCTCGAGACGAGCCTGGGCAACATGGCAAGACTCTGTCTCTACAAAAAAATAAAAATAAAAATAAATAAAAATTAGCCAGGTGTGGTGGCATGTGCCTGTGGTCCCAGCTACTCAGGAGGCTGAGGTAGGGAGGATTGGTTGAGTCTGGGAGGTCGAGGTTGCAGTGAGCCATGATTGGGCCTCTGCTCTCCAGCCTGGGTAAAAGAGCAAGGCTTTTTTTCTTTTTTTTTTTTTTTTTTGAGACAGAGTCTCACTCTGTTGCTCTGTCGCCCAGCCTGGAGTGCAGTGGTGCGATCTCGGCTCACTGCAACCTCCGCCTCCCGGGTTCAAGCGATTCTCCTGCTTCAGCCTCCCTAGTAGCTGGGACTACAGGCAGGTGCCACCACGCCTGGCTAATTTTTTGTATTTTTAGTAGAGATGGGGTTTCACCACGTTAGCCAGGATGGTCTCTATCTCCTGACCTCGTGATCCGCCCACCTCAGCCTCCCAAAATGCTGGTATTACAGGCATGATCTACCGCGCCTGGTTGGCTCTGCCTTAAAAATAATAATAATAATAATAATAATAACCAAACCACAAAGAGCAGGGCATGGTGGGGCTCACTTCTGAATCCCAGCACTTCTTTGGGAGAGTGAGGCAGGTAGATCCCTTGAGCCCTGGAGTTCAACCTTGAAGTGAGCCATGACTGAGCCAGTGCATTCCAGCCTGGGTTACAGAGTGAGACCCTCTTTTTTTTTTTTAAGATTCTGTCTCTTAAAAAAAACCAACATTGGTTAGAAATGAGCCATATCATGTTAGAAAGATATGTTGAAAGCCCTAGTGGTTCTTTTTTTTTTTTTAAACGCATCTCAAAATCAATAAAAGCAATTAAATCTACAAGGAAATGATAGTATTAACTAATATTTATAAAGTGCTTATAATCTGCCAACGACTGTGTTAAGCACTATACTTGAAATATTGCATTTAATACTCACAGTGTTTAAAGCAGGTGCAGTAAATAGTGCCTCTTCATTTTATCCTTCATTCATTTTAGACTTTTTGCAGATATCAAGGAAAATGAGGTTTAGTCAGCTTAAGATACTTGCCTGGCGGCCGGGTGCGGTGGCTCACGCCTGTAATCCCAGCACTTTGGGAGGCCGAGACGGGCGGATCACGAGGTCAGGAGATCGAGACCATCTTGGCTAACACGGTGAAACCCCGTTTCTACTAAAAATACAAAAAATTAGCCAGGCGTGTTGGCGGGCGCCTGTAGTCCCAACTACCTGGGAGGCTGAGGCAGGAGCATGGAGTGAACCCAGGAGGCGGAGCTTGCAGTGAGCTGAGATCACGCCACTGCACTCCAACCTGGGGGACACAGCAAGACTCCGTCTCAAAAAAAAAAAAAAAAAATACTTGCCTCAGGAAACACAGCTAATAATTATCAGAACCATGAATTGATCCAAGCCTGTCTCAATAGTTGAAGTTTTTTTTTGTTTTTTTTTGAGACAGAGCCTCTGTTTGTCGCCCAGGCTAGAGTGCAGTGGCGTGATCTCGGCTCACTGCAACCTCCGCCTCCCAGATTCAAGCAGTTCTCCTGCCTCAGCTTCCCGAATAGCTGGGATTACAGACGTGCGCCACCACGTCCAGCTAATTTTTGTATTTTTAATAGAGACGGAGTTTCGCCATGTTGGCAAAGCTGGTCTCCAGCTCCTGGCCTCAAATGATCTGCCCATCTCCGCCTCCCAAAGTTGTGGGGATTACAGGTGTGAGCCACCGTGCCTGGCTGCTGAGCTCTTATCTGTGTTAAAATGCTATAATTCCTGTCCTGTGATTTTTTTTCTTTCTTTTTTTTTAATTATACTTCAAGTTTTAGGGTACATGTGCACAACGTGCAGGTTTGTTACATATGTATACATATGCCATGTTGGTGTGCTGCACCCGTTAACTTGTCATTTACATTAGGTATATCTCCTAATGCTAGCCTTCCCCCCCATCTCACCCCAGGACAGGCCCCGGTGTGTGATATTCCCCATCCTGTGTCCAAGTGTTCTCATTGTTCAATTCCCTCCTATGAGTGAGAACATGTGGTGTTTGGTTTTCTGTCCTTGCAATAGTTTGCTCAGAATGATGGTTTATAGCTTCATCCATGTCCCTACAAAGGACATGAACTCATCATTTTTTATGGCTGCATAGTATTCCATGGTGTATATGTGCCACATTTTCTTTTCTTTTTTTTTTTTTTGAGACAGAGTCTCTCTCTGTCATCTAGGCTGGAGTGCAGTGGCGCGATCCTGGCTCACTGCAAGCTCTGCCTCCCGGGTTCATGCCATTCTCCTGCCTCAGCCTCCCAAGCAGCTGGGACTACAAGCGCCTGCCACCATGCCCAGCTAATTTTTTGTATTTTTAGCAGAGACGGGGTTTCACCATGTAAGCCAGGATAGTCTCGATCTCCTGACCTCGTGATCCGCCTGCCTCGTCCTCCCAAAGTCCTGGGATTATAGGTGTGAGTCACGGCGCCTGGCCGTGCCACATTTTCTTAATCCAGCCTATCATTGATGGATATTTGGGTTGGTTCCAAGTCTTTGCTATTGTGAATAGTGCCACAATAAACATATGTGTGCATGTGTCTTTATAGCAGCATGCTTTATAATCCTTTGGGTATATACCCAGTAATGGGATGGCTGGGTCAAATGGTATTTCTAGTTCTAGATCTTTGAGGAATTGCCACTGTCTTCCACAATAGTTGAACTAGTTTACAGTCCCATCAACAGTGTAAAAGCATTCCTGTCTCTCCACATCCTCTCCAGCACCTATTGTTTCCTGACATTTTAATGATTGCCATTCTAACTGGTGTGAGATGGTATCTCATTGTGGTTTTCATTTGCATTTCTCTGATAGCCAGTGATGATGAGCATTTTTTCATGTGTCTGTTGGCTGCATAAATGTCTTCTTTTGAGAAGTGTCTGTTCATATCCTTTGCCCACTTTTTGATGGGGTTGTTTGATTTTTTCTTGTAAATTTGTTTGAGTTCTTTGTAGATTCTGGATATTAGCCCTTTGTCAGATGGGTAGATTGTAAAAATTTTCTCCCATTCTGTAGGTTGCCTGTTCACTCTGATGGTAGTTTCTTTTGCTGTGCAGAAGCTCTTTAGTTTAATTAGATCCCATTTGTCAATTTTGGTTTTTGTTGCCATTGCTTTTGGTGTTTTAGTCATGAAGTCCTTGCCCATGCCTATGTCTTGAATAGTATTGCCTAGGTTTTCTTCTAGGGTTTTTATGGTTTTGGTCTAACATTTAAGTCTTTAATCTGTCTTGAATTAATTTTTGTGTAAGGTGTAAGGAAGGGATCCAGTTTCAGCTCTCTACATATGGCTAGCCAGTTTTCCCAGCACCATTTATTAAATAGGGAATCCTTTCTCCATTTCTTGTTTTTGTCAGGTTTGTCAAAGATCAGATGGTTGTAGATGTGTGGTATTATTTCTGAGGGCTCTGTTGTGTTCCATTGGTCTATATCTCTGTTTTGGTACGAGTACCATGCTGTTTTGGTTACTGTAGCCTTGTAGTATAGTTTGAAGTCATGTAGCGTGATGCCTCCAGCTTTGTTCTTTTGACTCAGGACTCTCTTGGCAATGCAGGCTCTTTTTTTGTTCCATATGAACTTTAAAGTAGTTTTTTCCAATTCCATGAAGAAAGTCATTGGTAGCTTGATGGGGATGGCATTGAATCTATAAAGTACCTTGGGCAGTATGGCCACTTTCACGATATTGATTCTTCCTATCCATGAGCATGGAATGTTCTTCCATTTGTTTGTGTCCTCTTTTATTTCATTGAGCAGTGGTTTGTAGTTCTCCTTGAAGAGGTCCTTCACATCCCTTGTAAGTTGGATTCCTAGGTATTTTATTCTCTTTGAAGCAATTGTGAATGGGAGTTCACTCATGATTTGGCTGTTTGTCTGTTATTGGTGTATAGGAATGCTTGTGATTTTTGCACACTGATTTTGTATCCTGAGACTTTGCTGAAGCTTGCTTATCTGCTTAAGGAGATTTTGGGATGAGATGATGGGGTTTTCTAAATATACAATCATGTCATCTGCAAACAGGGACAATTTGACTTCCTCTTTTCCTAACTGAATATCCTTTATTTCTTTCTCCTGCCTGATTGCCCTGGTCAGAAATTCCAACACTATGTTGAATAGGAGTGGTGAGAGAGGGCGTCCCTGTCTTGTGCCAGTTTTCAAAGGGAATGCTTCCAGTTTTTGCCCATTCAGTATGATATTGGCTGTGGGTTTGTCATAAATAGCTCTTATGATTTTGATATAGGTCCCATCAATACCTAGTTTATTGAGAGTTTTTAGCATGAAGGGCTGTTGAATTTTGTCGAAGGCCTTTTCTGCATTTATTGAGATAATCATGTGGTTTTTGTCTTTGGTTCTGTTTATATGATGGATTATGTTTATTGATTTGCATATGTTGAACTAGCCTTGCATCCTAGGGATGAAGCCAACTTGATTATGGTGGATAAGCTTTTTGATGTGCTGCTGGATTTGGTTTGCCAGTATTTTATTGAGGATTTTTGCATCGATGTTCAACAGGCATATTGGTCAAAAATTCTCTTTTTTTGTTGCGTCTCTGCCAGGCTTTGGTATCAGGATGATGTTGGCCTCATAAAATGAATTAGGGAGGATTCCCTCTTCTTCTATTGATTGGAAGAGTTTCAGAAGGAATGGTACCAGCTCCTCTTTGTATCTCTGGTAGAATTTGGCTGTGAATCCATCTGGTTCTGGACTTTTTTTGGTTGGTAGGCTATTAATTATTGCCTCAATTTCAGAACCTGCTATTCATCTATTCAGGGATTTAACTTCTTCCTGGTTTAGTCTTGGGAGGGTGTATGTGTCCAGGAATTTATCCATTTCTTCTAGATTTTCTAGTTTATTTGTGTAGAGGTGTTTTTAGTATTCTCTGTTGGCAGTTTGTATTTCTGTGGGATCGGTGGTGATATCTCCTTTATCATTTTTTATTGCATCTATTTGATTCTTCTCTCCTTTCTTCTTTGTTAGTCTTGCTAGCAGTCTATCAATTTTGTTGATGTTTTCAAAAAACCAGCTCCTGGATTCATTTATTTTTTTAAGGTTTTTTTGTGTCTCTATCTCCTTCAGTTCTGCTCTGATCTTAGTTATTTCTTGCCTTCTGCTAGTTTTTGAATGTGTTTGCTCTTGCTTCTCTAGTTCTTTTAGTTGTGATGTTAGGGTGTCAATTTTAGATCTTTCCCGCTTTCTCTTGTGGGTATTTAGTGTTATAAATTTCCCTCTACACACTGCTTTAAATGTGTCCCAGAGATTCTAGTATGTTGTGACTTTGTTCTCATTGGTTTCAAAGAACATCTTTATTTCTGCCTTCATTTCATTATTTACCCAGTAGTCATTCAGGAGCAGGTTGTTCAATTTCCATGTAGTTGAGCGATTTTGAGTGAGTTTCTTAATCCTGAGTTCTAGTTTAATTGCACTGTGGTCTGAGAGATAGTTTGTTATAATTTCTGTTCTTTGACATTTGCTGAGGAGTGCTTTACTTCCAACTATGTGGTCAATTTCGAAATAAGTGTGATGTGGTGCTGAGAAGAATGTATATTCTGTTGATTTGGGGTGGAGAGTTCTGTAGATGTCTATTAGGTCTGCTTGGTGCAGAGCTGAGTTCAATTCCTGGATATCCTTGTTAACTTTCTGTCTCATTGAACTGTCTAATGTTGACAGTGGGGTGTTAAAGTCTCCCATTATTATTGTGTGGGAGTCTAAGTCTCTTTGTAGGTTTCTAAGGAATTGCTTTATGAATCTGGGTGCTCCTGTATTGGGTGCATATATATTTAGGATAGTTAGCTCTTCTTGTTGAATTGATCCCTTTACCATTATTAATGGCCTTCTTTGTCTCTTTTGTTCTTTGTTGGTTTAAAGTCTGTTTTGTCAGAGACTAGGATTGCAATCCCTGCTTTTTTTTGTTTTCCATTTGCTTGGTAGATCTTCCTCCATCCCTTTATTTTGAGCCTATGTGTGTCTCTGCAAGTGAGATGGGTTTCCTGAATACAGCACACTGATGGGTCTTGACTCTTTATCCAATTTGCCAGTCTGTGTCTTTTAATTGAAACATTTAGCCCATTTACATTTAGGGTTAATAATGTTATGTGTAAATTTGATCCTGTCATTATGATGTTAGCTGGTTATTTTGCTCATTAGTTGATGCAGTTTCTTCCTAGCATCAACGGTCTTTACAATTTGGCATGTTTTTGCAGTGGCTGGTACCGGTTGTTCCTTTCCATGTTTAGTGCTTCCTTCAGGAGCTCTTGTAGGGCAGGCCTGGTGGTGACAAAATCTCTCAGCATTTGTTTGTCTGTAAAGGATTTTATTTCTCCTTCACTTATGAAGCTTAGTTTTGCTGGATATGAAATTCTGGGTTGAAAATTCTTTTCTTTAAGAATGTTGAATATTGGCCCCCACTCTCTTCTGGCTTGTAGAGTTTCTGCCAAGAGATCCGCTGTTAGTCTGATGGGCTTCCCTTTGTGGGTAACCCGACCTGTCTCTCTGGCTGCCCTTAACATTTTTTCCATCATTTCAACTTTGGTGAATTTGACAATTATGTGTCTTGGAGTTGCTCTTCTTGAGGAGTATCTTTGTGGCATTCTCTGTATTTCCTGAATTTGAATGTTGGCCTGCCTCGCTAGGTTGGGGAAGTTCTCCTGTATAATATCCTGAAGAGTGTTTTCCGACTTGGTTCCATTCTCCCCGTCACTTTCAGGTACACCAATCAGATGTAGATTTGGTCTTTTCACATACTCCCATGTTTCTTGGAGGCTTTGTTCGTTTCTTTTTACTCTTTTTTCTCTTAACTTCTCTTCTCGCTTCATTTCATTCATTTGATCTTCAGTCACTGATACCTTTTCTTCCACTTGATCAAATCAGCTACTGAAGCTTGTGCATGCATCACGTAGTTCTCGTGCCTTGGTTTTCAGCTCCATCAGGTCATTTAAGGACTTTTCGACACTGTTTATTCTAGTTAGCCATTCGTCTTTTTTCAAGGTTTTTATCTTCTTTGCGATGTGTTCGAACATCCTCCTTTAGCTCGGAGAAGTTGTTATTACCGATCGTCTGAAGCCTTCTTCTCTCAGCTCATCAAAGTCATTCTCCATCCAGCTTTGTTCCATTGCTGGTGAGGAGTTGCGTTCCTTTGGAGGAGAAGAGGTGCTCTGATTTTTAGAATTTTCAGCTTTTCTGCTCTGGTTTCTCCCCATCTTTAGGGTTTTACCTACCTTTGGTCTTTGATGATGGTGACGTGCAGATAGGGTTTTGGTGTAGATGTCCTGTTTGTTAGTGTTCCTTCTAACAGTCAGGACCCTCAGCTGCAAGTCTGTTGGAGTTTGCTGGAGGTCCACTCCAGACCCTGTTTGCCTGGGTATCACCAGCGGAGGCTGCAGAACAGCAAATATTGCAGAACAGCAGATGTTGCTGCCTGATCCTTCCTCTGGAAGCTTTGTCTCAGAGGGGCACCCAGCTGTATGAGGTGTCAGTTGGCCCCTACTGTGAGATGTCTCCCAGTTAGGCTACTCGGGGTCAGGGACCCACTTGAGGAGGCAGTCTGTCCATTCTCAGATCTCAAACTCCGTGCTGGGAGAACCACTACTCTCTTCAAAGCTGTCAGAAAGGGATGTTTAAGTTTGCAGAAGTTTCTGCTGCCTTTTGTTCAGATATGCTCTGCCCCCAGAGGTGGAGTCTACAGAGGCAGGCAGGCCTCCTTGAGCTGCAGTGGGCTCCACCCAGTCTGCTTTGTTTACCTATTCAAGCCTCAGCAATGGCAGACGCTGCTCCCCCAGCCTCGCTGTTGCCTTGCAGTTCAATCTCAGACTGCTGTGCTAGCAGTGAGCACAGCTCCGAGGGAGTGAGATCCTCCAAAGCAGGCGCGGGATATAATCTCCTGGTGTGCCGTTTGCTAAGACCGTTGGAAAAGCGCAGTATTAGGGTGGGAGTGTCCTGATTTTCCAGGTACTGTCTGTCATGGCTTCCTTTTGCTAGGAAAGGGAATTCCCTGACTCCTTGTGCTTTCCGGGTGAGATGATGCCCCACCCTGCTCCATGGGCTGCACCCACTGTCTGACAAGCTCCAGTGAGATGAACCTGGTACCTCAGTTGGAAATCCAGAAATCACCCGTTTTCTGCGTCGCTTACACTAGGAGCTGCAGACTGGAGCTGTTCCTATTCAGCCATCTTGGAACCTCCCCTCTGTTCTGTGTTTTTGGAGTCTTACAAATAATTCTGAGGAGGAGGGAGGGATGAATAGAAGGAACACAGTGGATTTTCTGTGCAGTAAAAATACTCTGCATGATAATATAATGGTGAATACATGATATTATACATTTGTCTAAACCCATCAAATGTGCAACAGTAAGAGCGAACTCTAATGTCAACTACAGACCCTTGGTAATGGAATGTGGGCTTATCAATTGTAACAAACGTGCCACTCTGGTGGGGGATGTTGATAATGAAGGAGGTTATGCATGTGTGGGGAAGACAATGTATAGGAAATCTCTGTACCTTCTGCTCAGTTTTGCTGTAAACCTATAATGGCTCTCAGGAAAGAAAAATTAAAGATAATGGGGAAAAAAGACTGCATGAAAAATACAAAGATGTTGGAGAGATCTACAGTAATTTAAAGCTTGACTGGGTCTAGAGGACCTATTCCTTAGATGCCTTTTATGACCTATCTTTGGAATCATACTCTCTTATTTCTGCAACAACCTACTGGCCACATAAGTCAGCCCTATCAGTGTGGGAAGAGACTACAGAAGGTTGTGAACACAGCACAGTATGTGGTCATTACTAGGGCTATCTTGGACCTCAATGCTTGGGAAATAGAAACAAAACAGATATAAATCCCTGTCCTCAGAAAGCTTACATTCTAGTAGAGGGAGCTGGACAATAAAAGTAAGCATGATGAATACTTAGTATCTAAAACACACTAATAGAGATGAGGGGGATTAGGACTGTTTGGGGGTCAGTTTGCAATATAAAATATGATGGTCAGGGTATGGTATGTCTCAGTAAGACTTTGAGCAAAGACAGACTGGTGAGGGAGTGAGCTATGTAGATGTCTAAAGGAAGAACATTCCAGAATACAGCTAGCACAGAAATCCTAACACAGAATCATGCGTGGTGTGCTCTAGGAAGAGCAAGAAGCCAGAGTTCCTGGAGAGGACTGAGCAAGGAGGAAGCAGGTCAGGGACACGAGGAGACAAGGCAGCCGAAGGTGGGGAGGATGTTTTGAGGCAGGAAAAGCATAGTGAAACCTTCAGACAACACTACATAGTTACAAATAACTAAGGAATACCATTAAGATAACTCACAAGTATACTTTGAAAAAAAATGAAGTCCAGGTGAAGTGTGCACCAATATTTTTAAAAAAGAAAAAATGTGAAGTAATTTAATTTTAACACCACACTTTTACAGCTGGGACTTTATCTTCATAAATTGCCTCTACTACGTAAAAACAGAAGTCTAGGCCAGGCGTGGCAGCTAGCTCCTGTAATCCCAGAGCTTTGGGAGGCCAAAGCAAGAGGATTGCTGGGGTCCAGGAGTTGGACACCAGCCTAGGCAACACAGAGGCCCCACCTCTAAAAACAAAGAAATTTTAAAGTCTCTAGTCCACTGAATTACTCTCTTTTGAATGGAAAGGATGCTTCCTTTTGTTTACTGACAACTCTTGATAATTTCCTATATTATGTCCACATAATAAACAGCACATCACAAATATGTACTCCCATTTCACAATACAGTATTTGTGAAAGAATTCACAATGTTAACATAGGGCATTTTGGTAAGCGGGAATTTACCAAATTTCTTTCCAGAGCATAGAACAGTTAGTTATTAGATTAGGGATTTATCAACCTAAGTGCCTACTGCAAGAAAGGTCAAATTGTGAATCAACTGCTTCAATTAGTTTCTATGTCCTTGAGGAGTCTTGCCCTAATATAGTTAACAGTAATGATTTCAAATAGGATGATCTACATTTCAGCCCTAAGAAACTAAAACTTTGTTCTGCTGTGAATTGTACTTTATTTCACATGCATTTTAACATATTTTATGTCTAATACATACTTCTAAAAATTACACAGTATTATTCTGCCTTAGCAGAGAGTTCACCTCCTAAGGAGGCAGTACTGGCAGTCAATTCTTTTGAACAACTTTGAATAAGTGAGCTGTGTCGTGGGGGAAGCCTCTGGCCCCAGATGCCATTTGGATTCCTGTTTCATCAGGGTGACTTGGCCTGCAGCTGATTGTGTGACCCGTATCGTCATGTCTCCCCTTCTCCCATGTCCCGGCTTCTACACTCTACCACCAATTGTGGTCTGTTGACTGGTAGCAGTCCCAAACTATATCAGTTTGTTTGTTTTGAGGTGGAGTCTCACTCTGTCACCCATGCTGGAGTGCAGTGGTGCGATCGCGGCTCACTGCAACCTCCGTCTCCCAGGTTCAGGCGATTCTCCTGTCTCAGCCTCCTGAGTAGCTGGGATTACAGGTGCACATCACCAAGCTTGGGGTTTTTTTTGTACTTTTAGTAGAGATGGAGTTTCACCATGTTGGTCAGGCTGGTCTCCAACTCCTGACCTCAAGTGATCCGCCTGTCTCTGCCTCCCAAAGTGTTGGGATTACAGGCATGAGCCACCACGCACAGACTATATCAGTTTGCAGTGAGATAAACACAGGAATTAAAATACGAGGAGTATCTCTTACATCTAAAATGCTAAAGGTGGCCGGGCACGGTGGCTCACATCTGATAACCCAGCACTTTGGGAGTCTGAGGCAGGCAGATCACTTGAGGCCAGGAGCTCGAGACCAGCCAGGCCAATATGGTGAAACCCCGTCTCTACTAAAATTACAAAAATTAACCAGGCATGGTGGCAGGGGCCTGTAATCCCAGCTATTCGGGAGGCTGAGGCAGGAGAATCACTTGAACCCAGGAGACGGAGGCTGCAGTGAGCCAAGATCGCACTACTGCATTCCAGCCTGAGTGACAGAGCAACAGTCTGTCTTTAAATAAACAAATAAAATAAAATGCTAAAGGTGAGGCTGAAGTCAACAGAACCAAACATGCTACCAAAGATGAGGAATTCTTAAACGGTAAATAAAATAGGAGATGAAATCATTGAATTCCGAAGCTTTAAGGAGATTAAAAGATTTAGCTGAGAGATAACAGTGACTGAAACAACAAGCTCTAGCCTGCCAGAGTTTGAATCTGGGCTCTATCATTTCTAGTTTCTCTAACCTTGGGCAGTTACTTTTATTTTTTAAGACGGAGTCTCCCTCTGTTGCCCAGGCTGGAGTGCAGTGGCATGATCTCGGCTAACGGCAACCTCTGGCTCCCGGGTTCAAGCGATCCTCCTGCCTCAGCCTCCTGAGTAGCTGGGACTACAGGCCCCTGCCACCATGCCTGGCTAAATTTGTATTTTTAGTAGAGATGGGGGTTTCACCATGTTGGCCAGGCTGATCTTGAACTTCTGACCTCGTGATCCGCCCACCTCAGCCTCCCAAAGTGCTGGGATTATAGGCTTGAGCCACCACACCTGGCCACAAAGTTACTTTAAACCAGAGAACTACCCAGGTGCCTTTACACTTTTTTTTTTAAGTGAAAGCAAGTTTGTTAAGAAAGTAAACGAATAAAAGAATGGCTACTCCATACACTTCCCTTCTTGTCTCCAATGGTAGAGGGCCTGTTTCAGTCATCACGTTCCACTACTTAACTCCTTTCATTCTGAGGACAGAAACAGTATCTAAAAAAGCATACAAACCATGATTATCTCAATGGAGGGGAAAAAAGGAGGGGGGTAGGGATGTGATATCTTCCATTCATAAGAACCCAGCTAACTAGAAGGGAACTATCTCAATCTAATAAAAGGCATTGATCTAGACATCTACATAAAACCAGTAGAGGCCAGGTGAGGTGGCTCACTCCTGTAATCCTAGCACCTTGGGAGGCTAAGACTTGAGCCCAGGAGGTGGGGACCAGCCTGGGCAATATGGCAAAACCCTGTCTCTACTAAAACACAAAAATTAGCCAGGTGTGGTGGTGTGCGCCTATAGTCCCAGCTACTCGGGATGCTTAGATGAGATCACTTGAACTTGAGAGGTTGAGGCTGCAGTGAGCCGTGAATGCACCACTGCACTTGAGCCTGGGTGACACAGCAAGACACTGTCTCCACAAAGCAAAACAAAAACACCTACTAGCAAACACTCTTGATGGAATATTCAATGCTTTCTTCCTCAAACTGGGAACAGGGCAAGGAGGTAAGCCCTTAATACAGGAACAGCACATGAGACCAAGCAAGTAAGGTACAAGTGCAAGGGAGGGAGCAAGTACAAGGATGTACTCCCACTCAGATGCCCACTCTACGCTTCCACTGCCCTGACGGTGCCTCCTTACATTTTATTACATACCTCACTTTAGTCACAGTCTGCTCTTACCTCTTCTCACCATGGAAGTCCTAACCAGTGGAATAAGGGAGGAACCAACCAACCACCCACTATTGGCAAAGTCTCATAAGTCAACATTTTTAAAGTTGCCTTTCTATAAACTAGTACCAGTTGGAAAAAGAAACCAATTCCATTTAGACTAGCATCCAGAAACCAAAAATGCTCAGGAATTAACAAAAAACTAGCCGGGCACGGGGGCTCACACTTGTAATCCCAGCACTTTGGGAGGCCGAGTTGGGTGGATCACCTGTCAGTTCAAGACCAGCCTGGCCAACATGGTGAAACCTCATCTCTACTAAAAATAAAAAAAATTAGCCGGGCATGGCGGCAGATGCCTGTAATCCCAGCTATTTGGGAAGCTGAGGCAGGAGAATCGCTTGAACCCGGGGAATTGGAGGTTGCAGTGAGCCGAGATCGCGCCTTTGTGCTCCAGCCTGGGCCACAAGAGCAAAACTGTATATAACAAAACAAAACAGAACAAAACAATTCAACTTAAATAATCCCATCAGGCTTTTAAAAAAAATTGAAACTGACAGGTTTATTGTCGTATTTATATCAGCGTCTAAAGGACAAAGTAATCTACAAACGTTAACAAAAGTAGACCACTTGACTTCAAGACTTTAAAGCTCAGCAATCAGTATTGTATGGGCACATGGACAGATAAAAGTGGATCAATGAAAAAGAATACACTCCAGAAGGCCAGGTGCCTTCTGGACACACCCAAAGTGGCTCTCGCCTGTAATCCCAGCACTTTGAGAAGCTGAGGTAAGCGGATCACATGAGGCCAAAAGTTCAAGACCAGCCTGGCCATCATGGCCAAACTCCGTCTCTAATAAAAATACAAAAATTAGTCGGGCATGGTGGCGTACGCCCGTAGCCCCAGCTACTTGGGAGGCTGAGGCAGGATTGCTTGAACCTGGCAGGCAGAAGTTGCAGTGAGCCAAGATCGCATCACTGCACTCCAGCCTGGGCAACAGAGCAAGATTCTGTCTCAAAAAAAAAAAAAAAAAAAAAAAAAAGCGAGAATATACTCCAGAAATAGATGGAGAAAAGAATCCTTCCCACAGTGTTAGAATAACTTGACGGGGGGAGAAAAATGAACCTCAAGCCCTACCCTACATCACTACAAAAACTTACTTGAGATTGATAATAGACCTAAAAACATAAAAGCTTAAACATTTTATGAGAAAACAATACCACCATAACAATCTGGAGGTAGGCAGATTTATTTAGAAAAAGTCCATTTAAAAATTGATAAATTAAGACTCCAGTGGAAACTTCTGCTCAAAACACTATAAAAAAAATCAAGAGTCAAGACACACAATGGGGAAAATATTTGCAAAATAACTGACAAGGAATTTTATTCAAAATACATAGAGTTCCTATAACTTGGTAATAAAAACGAACCTAATTTAAAAATACACACTCAAAGACATATTAATGGCCAATAAACACGAGAACGTGTTCATTAGTCAGAGAAATGCAGACTGAAACCACAAGATACCACTACATGCCCAGAAGTCACAATATTTGTGTGCAAATGTTCATAGCAGCTTTACTCACACTTGCCAAAAACTAGAAACCAATAAAATGTTCACTAACAGGAAAACAGATTAACAAATTATAGTATATTCATACAATCGAGTCCTACTCAGCAATAAGGACTGTTGAACCTCAACAATGTTTACGCTGAAAGAATTACAAAGCTCCAGGGAAGGAAATAAAAATGAACCCTAGTCTATGATGAAAACATTTGAGCTTGGTGGTGGTGGGAGATTGCTTAATTGCCTGGGTAGAGTAAGCTCCTTTTGTCCTGGTAAGGTGTGGGCAAAGGAGAACCACTTACCAAAATTATAACTTAGATGTGTGTGTGTATATATATATATATATATCTTTTTTTTTTTTTTTTTTGAGATGAAGTCTCACTCTGTCGCCTAAGCTGGAGTGCAGTGGCAATCTCGACTCACCGCAACCTCAGCCTCCCGGGTTCAAGTGATTCTTCTGCCTCAGCCTTCTGAGTAGCTGGGACTACAGGCATGCGCCACCACTCCCAACTAATTTTTGTATTTTTAGCAGAGACAGGGTTTCACCATGTTGGCCAGGCTGGTCTTGAACTCCTGACCTCAGGTAATCCACCCACCTTGGCCTCCCAAAGTGCTGGGATCACAGGCGTGAGCCACTGTGCCCAGCTGGATTTACATATTTCAATTTAAATAAATTTTATCTAAAAAGGGCATGTAGTTAGTAGACAGATATGCCTAACTAGAATGGTGTTGTTGAAACTGTATATAAAGGTTTAGTGTACCATTTTGTTTACTTTGTAAGTTTGAAAATTCTCCATGTTAAAACTGGGCGCAGTGACTCATGCCTGTAATCCCTACACTGTGGGAGGCCGAGGTGGGCGGATCATCTGAGGTCAGGAGTTCCAGACTAGCCTGGCCAACATGATGAAACCCCATCTTTACTAAAATTACAAAAAATCATCCAGGCGTGGTGGTGCGTGCCTGTTATCCCAGCTACTTAGGAGGTTGACGCAGGAGAATCACTTGAACCCAGGAGGTAGAGGTTACAGTGAGCCAAGATGGCGCCTCTGCACTCCAGCCTGGTGACACAGCGAGACTCCGTCTCAAACATACACACACACACAAAACCCTCCATATTAAGATGTTTACAAATCTAAAATCTATTGTCTGGGCCCCTAGGCCAGATATCCAACAATTTATCAGACATCCCTTGACAAGTCTGTTTCATGGTTTTCTTACCATCTTGAAGTCACATACCTCTAGCTTTGTGTTTCAAATGTCACCATAGGGTTCTATTGAGAATCCAGGAAAACTGTGGCTATTGCACAAGTCAAGATTTTTGTTTTTGAGACAGGGTTTCACTTTTGCTCGGGCTAGAGTACAGTGGTACAATCACAGCTCATTACAGCCTCAATTTCCTTTTATTTATTGTAGAGACAGGGTCTCACTATGTTGCTCAGACTGGCCTCAAACTCCTAGGCTCAAGCAATCCTCCCACCTCAGACTCCCAAACTTTTGAGATTACAGGTGTGAGCCATGGCGCCCAGCCCAAAGTTCAGTTTTGGAGTAAGAATTTGGACACTTGACCAGGTGCAGTGGCTCATGCCTGTAATTCCAACATGCTGGGAGGCAAAGGTGGGCGTATTGCTTGAGGACAGAAGTTCAAGACCAGCCTGGCCAACATGGTGAAACTTTGTCTCTACTAAAAATACAAAAATTAGCCGGGTGTGGTGGCACATCCCTGTAGTCCCAGTTACTTGGGTGACTGAGGCATGAGAATCACTTGAACCTGGGAGGTGGAGGTTGCAGTGAGCCGAGATCACGCCATTGCACTCCAGCCTGGGTGACAGAACAAAAACGTCTTAAAAAGAAAAAAAATTTTTTTTGTACACTTGCCATCATTCAAGGCACTAGCACAGAGGCCTGTGGAGGGCCCTAAGGGAAGAAAATCAGAAAATTCAAACAAACTAATGGAAATGTTTTAGGAAATCACAGGACAGTCTCTGAAAGCAGGAAAGGATGGAACCCAAATTAGCAGCACCTCTTCCATTATGACAAGAGGAAGGGCAAAGAAGATGAGATTGCAAAGCCTGAAGCCCGGAACCCAAAAAATCCATCACAATTGTCCATCCAGGAGAATAAAATCACATTTCCAGTTATGTGTCTGTGACAGAAACTTGGTGACTGCTTACTAATGAACCCCCAAATTCACTCACCTGTTTTTGGCAAATGAATCTTGTGAATTACATATTGCACAGATATGTAATATTTTGCTTTTCTAGGAACACCATCTGTTTTTAATGAAAATTGAGGAAATATTTTCTAACGGAAGCATATTCTGAGAAAGATCAGAATATACATTTTCATAAGATTTTTCAGCTTATTACATATTTGACTGTGGAACTAAAATGTTGCCAAATAAAGAAAATGACAAAGCCAAGTGTGATGGCAGAACCCTGCATTCCCAGCTACTTGGGAAGCTGCAGCAAGACTGCTTGAGCCTAGGAGTTCAAGGAAGCAGTATGCTATGATCGCACCTGTTAACAGCCACGGCACTCCAGCCTAGACAACAGAACAAGATCCTAAATTAAAAAAAATAAAGAAAATGATCAAGGTTATAAATTTTTTTCTACTTAATAGAAATAACCATGAATGAAATAAGGAAACTTATTTGAGTTTGATCATCCTCAACCAATGTTTTAAGAGTCTAGTCTATAATAAAGGTTGGGACCTAACACTTTTAAACTTCTGTCTAACTCCAAACTCATAAATACACATTGTTGTATTGATTTTAAACTTCAGACATGTAGTATTTGGTCAAGTAGGCTACTTAAAAAACAGGGCAACAGAAAAGTTTCTGAATGTCACTAGACAATTAAACTTTTATTGAAGCGTAAATTGTGGTACAGAAATACATTTCAACTGATTTAAGTCCAACACCAGTGAAAGGAGAAATTATGGCACCAAAACTTTCCCTCTTCTATCATACGATGATTTAGATTATGATTCAAACTACATTTCTCTTTTCTAGGCTTTGTCCCATAAAAATTTGTGCAGTTTTTCAACATTAGAATTCTTAATTCTATTGGAAACAAAACAAAACAAAACAAAACAAAAACAAAACCAAACCAGACCTCAAGTCAACAAATCTATTGGGATATTGTTTACGAACAAAGTCCACCTTAAGCATTGGTCCTCAAAACAGAGCTCCTCAAAATATTAGGTGCTGTGCTCATTACAGAATCAAACTGATCACACTGATTGAAAACTTCCTCAATGAAATTTTCAATCAACAACATGCTTCAAATAAAAGTCAAACAGTGTTCCAACCACTTGATTTCAAACCAAGTAGATTTTAGGTTTAGAAACACTAAAAAAAGGTGTTTCATTTATAAATACGGAAGGAACAAAAACATCACTGCATCAATCCAGAAATTATCAAAATATTTAGAGGACAAGAAATATAAAATTTAGTCAACTTTGCTGTTTTCTCAGTTCCTTAAAATCCCAGAGAATCTGCAAATATAGCTAAAAGGTACCAACTCTTGAAAGCCTATATTACTAGTCATTTCCCATTGAGTATTTTGGAATTTTATTATTCTATTTATTCATATTCTACTTATTTATAATGTATTCTGCTTTATGATGTTTATCTGAATAATCTGGACAAATTCTCATTCTGGGCAGTCATTCATTTCATCCTATGAATGCCATGGTAAGGGAAACACCGTAGTTAAGAGGAACAGATGAAGTCGGAACACTCACATGCATCACAGTCACAGAACTTTAAGTCACGAGATGGAAAAGACATTGATTCTGCTTTGGATCAAAGTTTATAGAACACTACTTAATGGAAACTAGTGGAAATGGCTGCTAAAGGAAAAGTTAAGGTGAATGATCCAAGCTGACTTGATTTACTGAATCCAGAACAAAATTATGCTAAATCTCTCTGGTAATTAACTAAATAAAAATGATTTTATACTACTACTAAGTTAGTAAAGGGGTGCTACTCATTAGACGCTAATCTCATTTACTGAGGAACACAGAATTGTATGTTTTCCACAGTTCAGCCAGTACACCCTAATCTCAATCTACAACTCTGGGTCTTCCCTGCTAACCAACTATTTTCCAAAAGAGCACATTACAATAAAAGAGAGGCTAAATTCCCATGCCCTTTAAAGAATATTAAGCCCAGGGACCATCTCCCCCATTCCCCATCTGGGGTATAGAATTAGTATATAAACCCACAGTGTTAACAGTGTATTGCTTTATTTGGGGTCTTGGGGGAGACACCAGGGAGAGGGAAGAAATCAAAGGACTATAAATGCAGGGTCCAATAATGTTAAAATAGCAAATATGCAAAATGAGTAACTGGAATCATTTTCTTAAGGACTCAACTCATGGAAGAAAAACTTTAATTGCTGTTTCCAAAAACATCAGTATGAAGTAGAAATTGGTTTCAATAACATTAGTAAAGAATATGTTCTAGAAAGTGGAGGTAACTGGATGTAAAATTCTGGCAGCAATTTAATAGAACAGTCCTAGAGGGTTAGGCTGAGGCCAACACCTAATGAGGACGAAAGCCTTGTCTGTGGGGAATTTTGGATGATACTTGGAGAAATATTACACTGTGCATAAACCAAATTGAGTTGCTTTCACAAGTGTTGTAAAGTTTCATATAGTAAAAGGTTTTTTCTACATGCACTTCAATTTCACAGCAAGAGTGGCAGAGAATACCTAAACACAGAAGAGAGCATTCATGCAAGATATCTAACTCCTTGATATAATAATGCATACAATTCAAAATGATTACACTATCATTACATCTAGGGCTTTCTGCAACTACACAGTGGTGGTTATGGAAAGCACTGCCCCCAGCATCGACATCTAGAAAGCATCCACCACCTTCTACATGTGTTCTCTTTTTGCGTTTTTTCTTCATTTTTCTTAATCAACTCTGCTGTTGTTGCTGCTTCTTAGCAAAACTGGTAAAAACAAAATTGTAATCATTGAACATAGCACTCTGGCAATCAAGACGCTTAAAACCTTCAATCTTCTGGGGCGAAGCAAGCACTGTGCGACATTTAGAACTCTGGGGGAAAAAATTAAATAACCGTTAGTGTTTGCAATCCAGAGAAGTATTTTCAACCAAAACAGTTAAGTGACAGACTTTTATCTTAATGAAACTAAGACATCTGAGTTATTTTAGCTGCCTTCTTATGTGCTGGAGGGGCCAGGGCATCTTATGGTTCCTCCCACCAGAGGCCTGTCAATAGCAAGACAGGAGGAACCCATCAGTTTGGCTAGACAGAAAACAAGGACTGACACAGGTCTAATGAAACAAAGCTTCTCAGCTACCAGTAACCTCAAACAATATTACTTCTGGATATCTGAGTGGCTGGTATATGTGCTATCTCAGAATACATCTTAGGCCTCACTGTCTCATTTCCTTTAAGATTTTAAAAATCAAATAACCTGATTAATAATAAAATATAAAATTACCTGATTAACAAACAAGGTGGTCACAAATTTTCCTGGCTTGAAGACTTCTACAACTTTCCTGATCAGGTCATCATAGGAGGTCTGACTTAAGTTTGTTTCAAAGCTAACATAAGAAAATTCTGGTTCTGGAGTGATGTGAATAGTCCAATAAGTTCCCTGAGAGAAAAAGTTCACAGTGTTAAGAATGGAAAGACTATTCACATTTAAATAATTATTGAAGCAATATATAACTACTCACATCCGATTTCATTCCATTCATCGAATACCCACAAGGATTGAACATTGTGGCATCAATGACAGAACCTGGTATCAGGTCACGAATTCCACTCTCCTGGGGGGGGAAAAAGACCGAGTTTAACAAGGGTTTGACAAATAAACTTCAATTGAGTCCAAAATTTAGTCCCAGGGTGGGAGAAGGGAGAGGACCAGGAAAAATAACTAATGGGTACTAGGCTTAACACCTGGGTGACGAAATACTGTGTACGACAAACCCCCATGACACAAGTTTACCTATGTAACAAACTAGCACTTGTTACCCTGAACTTAAAAGTTACAGAATGAAAAATAAAATTTAGTCCCCACGCAGAAGAGTCCAGCAACAATTATTACTAAAAATGCTTACACGAGTGACATCCTTTGCAGTAACACCATCTTTCATGTAGAACTGGTCCATAACTGCTGGGTCAAGCTCACTCATCAGAATTTCCAAGGTTTGATCTGGCTGACTGATTACCCGACTCTCTGGGAAATCCAGAGTATATAAGTACCTAAATAAAAATTAAAAATAGTTCCTAAAAATGACAATTGGCAGTTTAAATCTTACATAGGACAACAAAAATCCACAAAATTGCATTAAACATACCAACAGTCAGAATTCATACGTCCCATACAATATGCTGCTCCATCTGTTGAGGGAAGAGAACGCAAAATAAATATAACACATCCATTTAATAGGATGGTTTGTTACTACCCTTCCACAATAAGCAGAATGATACTATTTGCCACTTATTAGAAATGTCATCCATCAGTGGACTGGGCATAGTAGCTCATGTCTATAATCCCACCCCTTTTGGCAGGGAGGCAGAGGTGGGCTTGAGGTCAAGAGTTCGAGCCTGGCCAACATGATGAAACCCCATCGCTACTAAAAATACAAAAAGTAGCTGGGCGTGTTGGCACATGCCTATAATCCCAGCTACTTGGGAGGCTGAGGCAGGAGAACTGCTTGAACCCGGGAGGCGGAGGTTGCAGTGAGCCAAGATCACGCCACTCCACTCCAGCCTGGGTGACAAAGCGAGACGCCATCTCAAGAAAAAAGAAATGTCATCAGTGAAAGGAATGGAAACAGTAGGTAAATTCCCAGATAAGCAGGATCGACTGACTTGGCGGGTATTTGCAGTAAATACCCAACACTCTGATTAGCCTGGTTTGGTTTCATATTAGTAGATGTGCTAAGTTCAATTTTCATGCTTATGAGCGACTTTGTGCAAAGTTACTAAATTATCTTAGGTTTTCAGCCTTATCTAGGAAGTAAGGATGTTATCAGATAACCTTTGTTCCCTGACCTCTATAAATAAAAGCTTAGTAAATGGATGAAAGAAACCCTTACGAATTTCATTCAAGAAACACTAATTTACACTGTGCAATTTTAAAAAGCCAGGTCAATTATTATATAAAATGCTGGAGCAGAGCACTAGGCATTTTTCTGAAGGGAATCATATCCTTCTTCATATTGTCAAAGGACATTATGATCTGTATGTTAAGAACCACTGAGGCTGGAGGACTGCTAGAGGGCAGGAGTTCAAGACCAGCCTGGGCAACACAGCAAGATTCCATCTCTACTAAAAATAAAATAAAAATTAGCTGGGTGCTTGAACTCAAGAGTTTGACAATGCAGTGAGCTATAATGATGCCACTGCTCTCCAGCCTGGGAGACAAAGTGAAACTTGTCTCAAACAAAAACGCAAAAAGAACCACTGAGTGAGACATAAAGTAGAGTGAATGGCCAGATGAAGATGAACTCTCTCTATGCTGTATGAAAAATCAGAGGTGGCAGGTGATCAATTCTACATTTTAAAATTCCATCATTTAAACAGCACTGATTTATGATACACAATTATTTTTACATGTGTATACATAATTTGCAATAAGCTATTAATCTTAACTAAAAATATTTTATCTGATATTTTAATGTTCTTTATAAATTCTGCATATTTTGAATTACAAGCTATATAAAGATCACTACTGTACTCCCAAAACATCTAAGTCAAAGTAAATATGGACCAGGTGCAGTAACTCACACTTGTAATCCTAGCACTTTGGGAGGCCAAGGCAGGTGGATCCCTTGAGCCCAGGCGTTCAAGACCGGCCTGGGCAATATGGCAAAACCTTGTCTTTACTAAAAATTAAAAAAAAATTAGCCAGGTGGGGTGGCAAACATCTGTAGCCCCAGCTACTTGGGAGGCTAAGGTGGGAGGATCACTTAAGCCTGGGATGTTGAGGCTGCAGTGAGCTGTGATCACACCACTGCACCAGCATGGGTGACAGAATGAGACCCCTGTCTAAAACAAACCAAAAAACCCACAAGAAAAGCAAGTATTAGTGTGTGTAGAATGCTATATATGCATAAGTATGCTCTCATATAGAAAGATCTCTGAGGTTGCACTTTCTATCTTTAAGAAGACAACAGGTTTATATTTTATTTAAACTTACTTGGGAAAATTGCATTAAGAAACTCTATTTCTTCCTGGAAATTCCGGTGTGGGTACCCTTGGTGAGAAGGCTTCATGAAATTCTTACGAGAATAAAAGAAGCTCTTTATTAAAAAAGAAAAGAAAGAAAAAAAAAGATGACTTTAGATGTAGAATTCTATCACTTTTCGAAGCTAATCAACTATTGTCCACATATCAAAAACTCGGCAAAATCAAAACTCAAATATTTTAGCTTGGCATGGTAGCATATGCCTGTAGTCTCGCTATTAGGAGGCAGGAGGATCACTTGGCCCAGGAGTCCAGCCTGGGCAACATACTGAGGCCCCATCTCTCTCTCTCTCTCTTTTTTTTAAAAAGCCCAGTCTAGTGATGATGGGTCATAACAACTATTAACACCAAGTATATTCCTTTCTAGAACAGTAGTTTCTAAACTGAGCTTATTAATAGTCATATAAGCAAAAATTTGGGGGGAATAACATATTAGTTTTAAGCATCGGTTAAGCACACATTGCTTTAGATTTCTTACAAGGATCAATTCATAACAACAAAAACTGTATTGAGTACTAATGACAATCCATCCTTTCCTTATGAAGTTAAAGATTAAAATTCAGGCCGGGTGCAGTGGCTCACGCCTGCAATCCCAGCACTTTAGGAGACTGAGGTGGGTGGAACACCTGAGGTCAGGAGTTAAGAGACCAGCCTGGCCAACATGGTGAAACACCGTCTCTACTAAAAATACAAAAAAAATTAGCCAGGCATGGTGGTGGGCACCTGTGATCCCAGCTACTTGGGAGGCTGAGGCAGGAGAATCACTTGAACCTGGGAGGTGCAGATTGCAGTGAGCTGAGATCGTGCTATTGCATTCCAGCCTGGGAAACAAGAGCGAAACTCCATCTCAAAAAAATAAAAAATAAATAAAATGTAACAACTGCTAATCAGAAAATTATACCCTAGGTAAAAACACCTTAGTTCTTGAAAAGTATAAGAATTTAACTCAATACTGACTGTTGCTCTTCATCCTAACTCTTCATTATAAAGACTGGACAATTTCAGTAACGACATTTTTCTTGCTTTTCCTTCTTTTCTTACCATTTCTCTATTATTATAAGTAGCCATGTTAAGAAATTAACTACTGGAAGTGTCTGGCTTCTTCATTTCTTTCTCCCATTTGAATTTCATCCTAACTCATTCTCTGCTTCCTATTTTCTGCTGTTCTTGAGAATCAGATCTCTTCCTAAGGTATGAACACCTTACCACGTGTTTGCATGCATTGTAACAAAGGCAGTAAGTATATAAATTTATTTACTTCGCATATTACAGGATAAGAACGCTAACATTTATGCCTGAAAAATATTTAAATGTTTGCTTACTTACTTGAATTGAGTCAAACCCACTGTAATCCCTAGCAAGCTTCAACAGGGGAACCAGTGCTTTCAGCAAGAGGGTGGTACCACATGTCTTCAAAATGAAACGTCTCTTGGAGACAAACATGCTACTCTCACTGCAGTTGAAAAAAGTCACAATATTATAACAATACTAATGTACTACTGAGGGTGCAATCAACCAATTTAATTATCATTTACAATTTTGGCTAGTACTTTTAAATATTAGGATCTCAAGGAAGCAAGTAACACATTATTCTTTTCCTTTTCTAGTATACAAAACATCCCCAGGGCTTGGCACATGGTAAGCATTTTGATAAACATTCGTATATTCATAATATAAACTTAGTTTAAAAAAAAAAAAGAGAGAGGCCAGGCACAGTGGCTCACACCTGTAATCCCAGCACTTTAGGCGGCCGAGGTGGATCACCACGTCAGGAGTTCAAGACCAGCCTGGCCAAGATGATGAAACCCCGTCTCTACTAAAAATACAAAAATTAGCCGGGCACAGTGGCAGGCGCCTGTAATACCAGCTACTTGGGAGGCTGAGGCAAGAAAATCGCTTGAACCTGGGCGGCAGAGGTTGCAGTGAGAGGAGATTGCGCCAATGCACTCCAGCCTGGACAGACTGAGACTCCGCCTCAGAAAAAAAAAGGGGGGGAGGGGCTGTTTAGTCCAGTATCCCCCAGCAAGGCCCATCACAATATATACTATAAGCATTAAAAGTATTTATGGAATAAATTAACTCTGCAACTACAAAAAAGGTGATGAGCTTTTATATACCAATTAGACAACTGTATTTGTATAGAGAAGCTAACTTTCCCTTTGCCTGAACTTCTAATTAAGAGGTCCTTCTTTACCAATTGGGAGGAAAAGACGGCAAACACCTTGAACTGTCCGGTGAGGCTTCAAAACCTATGTCCTAGAAACATCCACGTTACACTAAATGTTTCCTTTTATACCATATTTTTAAGAATAATGTAAAAAAAAGGCTGGGCGCGGTGGCTCACGTGTATAATCCCAGCACTTTGGGAGGCCGAGGTGGATGGATCACCTGAGGTCAGGAGTTCAAGACCAGCCTGGCCAACATGGTGAAACCCCGTCTCTACTAAAAATACAAAAATTAGCCGGGCATGATGGAAGGTGCCTGTAATCCCAGCTCCTCAGGAGGCTTAGGCCGGAGAATTGCTTGAACCAAGGAGGCGGAGGTTGCAGTGAGCTGACATGGCGCCATTGCACTCCAGCCTGGGTGACTGAAACTCCGTCTCAAAAAAACAAAACAAAACAAAAAAACCCCCAGAACTACAACTGAGAGGAACTTAACTGTTTCACATTATGATTAGGACTGAAATTAGCTACCTAACACTTGTTTTACAGGACTTACCTGAGTACATAAGCTTCCTGCTTGTCAGTTTTTGTCACACTTATGATTGAACATTGCACATCCTTCAAAAGTATGTCCCACTCAGATCTATCATTTAACAAAAAAGTTACGATTAATCCACAATAGTACCCACCTACTCATAAAAATTACAAAGCTCACACTTTTTCTCATGAAGACCACATTTTTAATTAATATTGTACACCAACTTTTAGTTTCTTTCAAAATAATCTATATTGACACACCCAGATAAATGATAGGTATATTATGCTATATATGAAACAAAAATTGGTCATTATACTATGTATTTACAAATTACTTAAAGAAAAATAGGCAAAAAAATGTTCAAAGGTCCATAAACCAAGGTAAACCATTAACTAATCAATGATTACAGAAATTCAATGGGATACTTTGTCTATAAAATGTGCAGATTTTTAACCTTAAGAAACACTTAAAAAAAAAGAAGAGCATAATTTTACCAATCTAATTGGCATAGAAATTTAAAAGCCTGTCTGTCGGGACACAGTGAGTGATGTTACTCTTATAGCACTCACAAAAAACTGGAATGACTGCCAATTACAAGCATACCTAGAAGATTTTGGGAATACTACGCAGCTCTCCAAATGCAATGAGAAAGCCCGTTTAACAGGAAATGTGCAGTACAAGCAACCATAGCAATGAAGGTCATATGGACATGAAGAAACTAGTCTTAATTTGCCTGAGAATAGAATTAGGAAAGTGTTCATTCTTTCATTAGTGTGCCCATTATAAAAAGACAATGTAATTCCATGGAACAGCTTAACATGACAGATATTATTTTTTGAGACAGGGTCTCACTCTGTCGCCCAGGTTGAAGTGCAGTGGTGCAATCACAGCTCACTTCGGCCTTGACCTCCCAGGCTCAAGCAATTCTCTTGCCTTAGTCTCTCAGGTAGCTAGAACCACAGGCATGTGCCACCATGCCCAGCTGTTTGCCAGAAATATTTTTTAGGCCAGGCGTGGTGGTTCACGCCTGTAATCCCAGCACTTTGGGAGGCCAAGGCGGTGGATCACTTGAGGTCAGGAGTTTGAGACCAGCCTGACCAACATGGTGAAACCCTGTTTCTACTAAAAATACAAAAATTAGCCGGGCGTGGTGGCAGGTGCTTATAATCTCAGCTACTCAGGAGGCTGAGGCTGAGGCAGGAGAATCGCCTGTAATCCTAGCACTTTGGGATTGGGATGGCTTAAGCTCAGGAGTTTGAGACCAGGCTGGGCGATAGAGTAATACCCTGGTCTTTAAAAAAAGAAGAAAAATTTTTAAGCCTTATGATATCTGACAGGCCA
Source organism: Homo sapiens (assembly GCF_000001405.40). Classification (NCBI taxonomy): domain Eukaryota; kingdom Metazoa; phylum Chordata; class Mammalia; order Primates; family Hominidae; genus Homo; species Homo sapiens. Next base: position 110,886,268 of record NC_000006.12, on the reverse strand, counting down.
TTGCTCTACACTCATAAAAATGGCAAATCTTTTTTTTTTTTTTTTTGAGACTGAGTCTTGCTCTGTCACCCAGGCTGGAGTCCAGTGGCATGATCTCTGCTCACTGCAACCTCCACCTCCCAAGCAGCTGGGATTACAGGCACGTGCCACCACACCTGGCTAATTTTTGTATTTTTAGTGGCGACAGGGTTTCACCATGTTGGCCAGGCTGGTCTCATACTACTGACCTCAGGTGATCCGCCTGCCTCGGCCTCCCAAAGTGCTGGGATTACAGGCATGAGCCACCGTGCCCAGCCGGCAAATCTTTTGTTAACCAGATAAGACCTTTTGAGCGAAATCCAACAGCAAAATGTTTTTATTCGTTTGTATTAAAAAGCAAACACAACACCAAACATGCCTGGTAGAATTTTGTGCCTGTCTCACCATTTTGCTACAAGAAACTGTTACTGACCCATCTGCGTACCAATACCCATCCAAAAATCTTTAATGTGAAAGGCTTGCTAATGATTACAGAGCTGAGTTCCTGTATTAGACTATAACATGACTAAGCAACTTTTTTAAAAGAGCTACTAAAAAGTTTTAAGGTTCTTTAAAAAGGGTGCTAACAATTTGTTCATATATGGAAAGAATACATATGTGGGATATATACTGTGACAACCCTTGAAATTACCCCTGGCTTGTGTGGTGGCACACGCCTGTAATCCCAGCTACTCGGGAGGCTGAGACAGAAGAATCACTTGAACCCTGAAGGTGGAGGTTGCAGTGAGCTGAGATCTTGCCACTGCATACCAGCCTGGGCAACAGAGGGAGACTCCGTCTCAAAAACAAACAAACAAAACAAAAACAACAAAAACTTGGCCAGGCACAATGGCTCATGCCTGTAATCCCACCACTTTGGGCAGCCGAGGCGCATGGATCACCTGAGGTCAGGAGTTTGAGACCAGCCTGGCCAACATGGTGAAACCCCATCTCTACTAAAAACACAAAAAATTAGCTGGGCGTAGTGGTGGGCGTCTATAATCCCAGCTACTCTGGAGGCTGAGGCAGGAGACTGAATGCGGGAGATGGAGATTGCAGTGAGCCGAGATCGCACCACTGCATTCCAGCCTGGGCGACAAAAGTGAATCTCCATCTCAAAAAAATAAACAAACTACTCGTGGGAATGAAATCCTGCTTCACTTGACTAAGATAAATTTACAAAATCCTTGCAAAAATTATCTACTATTAAGACTCCCATTCCTGAATATGAAGGTAAATAAAAATATCCACTATGATTTAAGTATTAGAAACATTACAATTTCAGATTTTTAAAGAGCTTATCTAATTCAGGTCCATCAATAATGCTACCTGCTTAAGTCATCACCTACTGACTTCCCACTATAACTTATTCTTGCACATACTCCTTTTTACCCACTGGACGCACTAACAAATCCCACCCTCCCTTTCTCAGTTATATTCACCATTTCTATTAAGACTTTTAAACACGTTCCATGGCTGAACTAAACAGTGTAACAGTCTTTTCCTTTCTTATTTTTGTTTTCTCTTTTTTTAAAGGCTGTTGTGGCCAGGCACTGTGGTTCAGAGGCCAAGAAGGAAGGATCACGAGACCAGAAGTTCAAGACCAGCCTGGGCAACATAGCAATAGCCAGTCTCTTAAAAAGAAAAAAGGCAGCTGGGAGTGGTGGTGCAGGTCTGTAGTCCCAGCTACTCGGTAGGCTGATGTGGGAAGTTTGCTTGAGCCCAGGAGATGGAGGGTGCAGTGAACCATGATCACACCGCTACACTCCAGCCAGGGTAACAGAGCAAGACCCTCTCTTAAAACAAAGTATTCACCCTTACAACTTGTAGCACAGATACTTTAAAGTCTTGGTCCATGTCACCTTGAGGTTGGTGTCTGCTGTCTTTTCCTTTGAGATGTTAAGATTTTCCTGGTTTTGAGTATGTTGACTAATTTAGGATGGCATCCTGGATATTTTGACATGTTACATCATTCTAGGTCTTGATTTTTAAAAACTTTCAGCAGACAATCTGGTTTGGTTTAGGCTTCAAGTTTTTACTCAATGTTTCTAGGTTGTGTTATGGTTCCAGTGTCAGGTTTGTTATGAACTCCTTTGCTATGTTATTTGCATCTGCCCCACTTATTTGCCACCCAATGGCCAGGCTGGCCCTGGAGAGGCAGTCTATTGTGTATTCTAGTTTTCAAAGCCTCTGATGTGCTGTTTAGGGTCAGATCCATGCAAAATGGCTAAGGAGTGTTCATATAAAACTTTATAGGTTTACTTTCTTCAACCTTCCATAATCTCTCTGACAATGCCTGACTCACATAGGGGATAGGGGAAGGACTCTTCTTCATCCACTACCTATAAAAATAGGGCTTTGGCCGGGCGCAGTGGCTCACGCCTGTAATCCCAGCACTCTGGGAGGCAGGAGGATCACAAGGTCAGGAGATCAAGACCATCCTGGCTAACAAGGTGAAACCCCGTCTCTACTAAAAATAAAAAAAAAAAAAATTAGCTGGGCATGGTGGCGGGCACCTGTAGTCCCAGCTACTTGGGTGGCTGCGGCGGGAGAATGGCATGAACCCGGAAGGCGGAGCTTGCAGTGAGCCGAGATCGTGTCACTGCACTCCAGCCCTGGCTACAGAGCAAGACTCTGTCTCAAAAACAAACAACAAACAAAAAATGATTCCCTTCTCTCGTTGTTTTAGACATCTGCCTAACTGCCACAGCTGCTAAAGGCCTACAAGAGGATTGGGGCAGAATAGAACAAAACAAAAGCAAAAAAGAGATTTCTTCCACTCTGATTCAAAGGGGCCTCTCATTCTTTCTTTGCAGAGGAGAACTAGAGAGCCTTTCTTGGAACTATTTTTGCCTGCCCCTACTTTTCAGTTCTGGGTTTCTGGCAAGCCCAGGAGAAATCAGCGAGGAGATACCACAGGGGAAAAAAAACAGGAAATTCACTGCTGGTTCAGTGGAATTTAAAGTTCTGGCTTTCTTCTCCATTTCACCTGCTAAAATTTACTTCTCAGAGTCCTTGGATAGCTGCTCAACAATGCATTCTGTCCAGGGTTTATTAATTGCATTTTAATAAGAGAAGACAGTGTAGCATGCTTCTTCTGTAATGGCAGAGAAATAACCTTTTGTTTTCTGAGCCAGTCTCACTGTCACCCAGGCTGGAGAACAATGGCACAATCACAGCTCACTGCAGCCTTGGCCTCCCATGCTCAAAGAGATCCTCCCACCTCAGCCTCCCAAGTAGCTGGGACCACAGGGCATGTATCACTACACCTTACTAATATATTTTTAATTGTTTTGTAGAGATGAGGTCTCCCTATGTTGCCCAGGTTGGTCTCAAACTCCTGGGCTAATGAGATCCTCCCATCTCAGCTTCCCAAAGTGCTAGGATTATAGGCACGTGCCAACCCATTGGCTTCAAAATGCTCTTATACTCACTCATCATCAGTTAATAAAATTCTCCATTCAAACCTTTCCTCAACTAATAGTAATGCTCCGGTAATCAGAATTTTTCAATCATAGTATCAAAAGAAAGCAATTACTTTAAGCAACCTAGGACAAACAGTTAAACTGTCTATCAACCTAGTGATGATAAAGGCATTTACCAGAGCTACTAAGCTCAAGAAAAATAAATCAGAGGGCAAAATAGACGAAAGAAAAAAGTAGTCAATACAATGCTATACATGTACATAAAAGAGGTGAAAAACTCTGCAACAGCTGAAAATTTCAGCACAAATTATTTCTATCACATTTCTGTGGGAAAAAATGGCCTGCTTTTGTAAATAAAGCTCTACTGGAACCTAGCCACACCCATTCATTTATACATTGACTATGGTTATTTTCTCCCTATAAGGGCAGAGCTGAGTAATTGCAACAGACTGTCTGCCTTGCAAAATTTAAAATTTACTCCCTAGTCCTTTACAGAAAGTTTGCTGACTCTTGTTTTGGAGGAAAGGTTTTCAGTGGTCTGCTTTCTGATCAAATTAATGATGGAAAAGACAAAGTGCTTTATACAGTCGACAGAGCCATTTTTAAAATTAGGTTGCAGTGAGCCAAGATCGTGCCACTGCACACCAGCCTGGGCGACAGAGTGAGACTGTGTGTCAAAAATAGAAAAGATAGTATTAAGCTAGAATGTTTTATCAGGCTCAGTAGTGATAGTGGTCTTGTCTCTGCTTCACTCCCAAGTACACTACAAACTGAGACTTTGAAGCACTAGTCTATTATAAACTATTTATAAAACTGATCTATTTGGCAATCCTTGCTATTTAAAGAGTCAATAAATCAAATTGATGGATATAAAGCAGAATCAAGAGAAGCAAGATAGCAAGATGATTTTGGGATTTGTTCACATTACAGCTCACGTAATACTGATCTAGTCATTAGAAATTATTATAAAGCTATTCAAGCACACAATTTTTTTTTTTTTTGAGATGCAGTCTTGTTCTGTCACCTAGGCTGGAGTGCAGTGGTATGCTATCAGCTCACTGCAAACTCCGCCTCCCAGGTTCAAGCAAGTCTCCTGCCCCAGCCTCCCGAGTAGTTGGGACTGATTACAGGCATCTGCCACCATGTCAGGCTAATTTTTTTTTTGTATTTTTAGTAGAGAAGGTGTTTCACCATGCTGGCCAGGCTGGTCTCGAACTCCTGACCTCAAGCAATCCACCCGCCTCGGCCTCCCAAAGTGCTGGGATTTGGGATTACAGGCATGCACCACCATGCCTGGCCCGAAGCACACAATTCTTAGGTGGTTATAAAACACAAAGAAATATGTAGATTGAGTATTTCCTGATTTGAATTCCTTTTTCTCATCTTAAATGCCACCTCTCTGATCTAACTCAGTGGTTCTCAACTTGTAGTAATTTTGCCACCCAGAAGACATGTGGCAACATTTGGAGACATTTTTTATCACAACTGGGGTGGTGGTGGTGTTGCCAGCATGCAGTGGATAGAGGCCAGGGACACTGCTACACACGGTATAATTAACAGGATAGTCATTGACAACAGTGAATTATCTGAATCAAAATGTCAAGAATGCTGAGGTTGAGATACCCTAATTTCACTTAAAGACTAGATACTAAAATATTAAATATAATCAGAGATCATGATAAATGATCCCAAAGAAAAATAGATGTTCTATATTAATAACAGCACACAAATTGTATGTCTGAAAAACAACACTTTAGTGGCATGCCACATTTTATATTTAAAACATTTTCTTAGAGGCTGAGGTCTAATAAAAATAGAATTTAGAAATGTCTACAGGGACAAGATAATTATATTATAACAAGACTTCTCTATGTCGCCTGATTAAATGCATTTTGGGAGCCCGAGGCAGGCGGATCACTTGAGGTCAGGAGTTCAAGACCAGCCTGACCAACATAGCGAAACCCGCCTCTAGTAAAAATACCAAAATTAGCCAGGTGTGGTGGCGCAGGCTTGTAGTCCCAGCTACTCGTGAGGCTGAGGCAGGAGAATCACTTGAACCCAGGAGGCGGAGGCTACAGTGCACCAAAAATCACACCACTGCACTTCAGCCTGGGAGACAGAGCAAGACAAGCGTGTCTCAAAAAAAGAAGTAAATGACTGAGCTCAACTATCTTGAACAAGAGTCCCAAGCCTACATAACAGGGAAAAACATCGCTTCCACAAATAGTGCTGGGAAAAAATGGATGTCCACATGCAAACAAAATTAAGTTGGACTTTTACCTTACATCATAAACAAAAATTAACTCAAAATGGATCAACAACCTAAACATTAACAGCGAATAAAACTCCTAGAAGAATACATAGGGTAAATGCTTCAGGGCATTACATTTGGCAATGATTTCTTGGATATGACATACAATAAAATCAAAAACAGACAAATGGAACTTGAAAACCTAAAATGTAAACATTTCTATACATCAAAAGAAACGAGTGAAAAGACAACCTACAGAATAAAATACTTGCAAGTCACCTCATAAGGGGTCAATATCCAAAGCAAAAGACACACCTACACACAACTCAACAAAAAGTGATTAAAAAATGGACAAAGGGACCAGGGGCGATGGCTCAATCACTTGAAGTCAGGAGTTCAAGACCAGCCTAGCCAACATGGCGAAACCCTGTCTTTTACTAAAAATACAAAAATTAGCCAGGCATCGTGGTGCATACCTGTAGTACCCACTATTAGGGAGGCTGAGGCAGGAGAATCATTTGAACCTGGGAGGCGGAGGTTGCAGTGAGCTGAGATGGCACCACTGCACTCGAACCTGGGTGACTGAGACTGTCCAAAAAAAAAAAAGACCAAGAACTTAAATACAGAAGGATCCCATTAGTGCAGGGTTATGCTCTAATCACCTGAAAACTCAATACATAGATGCTATTCCCATACCCAGTTAGGTCAGACACTTTCTGAGGATGATGCCTGCAAATTTTTATTTGAAAAGCTTCCAGGTCATTAGATTACTCATTACTTCCTAATGTAAAACCAGCTGGTTTCAGAGTTCAGGTAATTTATCCAAAGTCACTGCAGCTTCTCAATTCTGCTCTTACCTCATATTTTTAGGTCTGTTTTAGAGGCTCTCATTACAGTACATTCATCAGGGTGCCTCTACCCCAGGTAGTAAGCAGTCTTTAGGTAAAAGGCATCCTAAAACCAGATCATTCTTGAGTAAAGCTAGACTGACCAGAAGTTAGATTCTGAGGGTGCCTTCCTGCGGCAGTGAATTCAGATAACCTGAGAAATAAGCCTCCTCCCTTTTGTTCAAAGATATGAACCTATTATCATCACATTATTGTTTCTCTATCTCAAATTTTTACCCCAAATCGGGATACTCCTCTCAGTTTTCTGCTACTTTCAACATGTGCTTCTTAAAGATACATGGTTTGTAAACAACAGTTGAAATATTTTCGTTGTTGTTGAGAGGGTTTCACTCTGCCACCAGATGGAGCGCACTGGTGCAATCTCATTTCGCTGCAGCCTCGATCCCCCAATGGCTCAAAAAAATCCTCCCACCTCAGCTTCCCGAGTGGCTGGGATGCAGACACGCACCAGGATGGACCAGCACGCACAGATAATTTTTCAATTTTTTTTGTAGAGTCAGGATTTCACTATGTTGCCCAGACTGGGCTCTCAAACTCCTTGGTCTCTCAGAGTGCTGGGATTAGACATGAGCCACCAAGCCCAGCCATGAAACCTTTTTGAAACTGCTGGGAGGAATGTAACGAGAAGCTTTATTCTTTAGCAGGAAGCATTTCTACTCTGAAACATTACACTAAAAGGTTTTTTGGCAACGGGTTGTAAATTCCTTCAATGTAAATTATTGATATTGCAATAATGCTGCATAATGATGTAGTCAAATAAGTCATGAGTTTGGGGAAAGTTAAGCTGAGGTATGACTATCTTTACAACTGCCCCAATCCTTTACTAAAAATTATGTTTTAGTTTATAAAATCTGAGTAAAGCACAGTAATAGGATTTCCAGTCCTGAAAAATCATTCTTTTCTCAGCAAAATTTTCTATTTTCTAACAGATTTCCTTCTTACTACTCTCACCCTCCCTAAAGCTGCCATGTCTTATAAAAAGCTTTTGTTTGTTACAGCACTTTGATCCAACAACTAAACCATTTTTTAAATGGTCACTGATTTTTATTCAACATCCGTAAAATCTGAAAAATCAGAGAAAACTGCAGGTTACCCCTAAGAAACCGCCTCTCCCTTAATTGTCCTTTATTCATCTGGATATACCTGGACTGCTGCTTTTCTCCAACAGTATTGTTTAACCCAAGCTATATCATAAAAGATTTTTCTTTGTTAAATTTCTCAGTATTACATAATTTGTTCACTTAAGATAAAATATCTTAAATGGTCTACAAGAGGGAAGCAGTGTTTAGTAAAAAGGTGTACATTCAGAAAAGATTCCAAGCATTAAAGCTTGGACTGATGAGCCAAGTTTGTTTAAAGTGTATTCCCTCACACCACACACAAAATCAATTCCAGATGGATTGCAGATCTAAATATGAAAGGTAAATATCGTGTAGGAGAAAAAAATATTTCAGACTTTGGGATGAGAAAACCGAGGGAAGTATGTTGTTTCCCAGAAGAATGCGTGAAAAAAGTTGGATATTTTCTCCCTTGAATTATACAGAACACTCCAGTGAAATCATCTGGGCCTAGATGATTGACTGATTCAAGTTATTTAGGTGTTCTAGGACTGTTTTGGGTTCTCCATTTCTTCTTGCATTAGTTTTGGAAAGCTATTTTTCCAGGATTTTTTTCTCCCTCATATCCTTATCTTGTTATCCTTGTCTTTAGCATCAATACTAATGCTCTCTTTGGACATTTAAGCCTTTCATTCTCTTAATCGTTTTTATGTCCCTATGTTTATTATGCTTTATAAACAGATTTGTTTAATTCCATCTGTTCATCTTTTAACCTACTTTTAGTTTATTCACATCTTAATAGAGCCCAGGAGGTCAAGGCTGCAGTGAGCCATGATCCTGCCACTGCACTCCAGCCTGGGCTATAGAGGGATCCTGTCTTTAAAGTGTTAAAGATAACAGTTTACGTACTACATATAACATATTAACTTATTTATTCTTCACAACTTCCATGAGCTATGTACCATTATTGTCTCCATTTTACAGATGAGGAAACAGCTCACACAGCTATTAAATGCTGTTTGAATTCAAATCTTGTTATTCCAGAGGCTATGCACTTAATCACGTCATTTGAGTAAAACATGTCACGCTTTATTCTTCTAGATGACCGATTATCCTTCCCTGGGGTCTCTGGGGCTGGCCCCATGTCCCCACCGACCGGACTCCGTCCATGATACTCTCTTTGCTAGGCTGTTGATTTTAGGTGATTCAAGGAACACCTACTATTTCAGGCTTTTTTAAACATCCTGGTAAATAACCTAACCACTTGAGTGGTCACTGAAAAATGTTCCAACGAAGGTTATCACGGGACCTTAGTTAAATCAACATATTTTTCAGTTCTTGCTTAACTTGCTTTATCTACAACAGTTACAATGTGGCAGTGTACTACCAATAGTTGTTCAATGAATGTTACATGTCCACAAAATGGATGGCACTAAATCATCTACACAAGGGAATATTTTGTCCTTCAAAGTTTAACTTTGGCCATGATTTTAAAAGCCACACTGGAGCAGTAAAACAATTTGGGCTGATTAAAGTACAAAGTAAAAAGGGTTCTTAAACATTTAAAGAAAGCAGGCTGCTTTGTAAAAAGCCTCTTCCTCCTCTCTCCACTTTGACTCAGGAAGCTCTAAACAGCCAAACCGCCAAGAACTTGGGGAGAACAAAATCTTCTTCCCTTTATTAAGAACATGTACTTACTATTATTTAAGGGCTCAAACATTTAAAAAGCCAAAGTGACAACTTCTGTTATTCGTTTTCTAGGACTGTTCTTACCCAAGATTTTCTAGGTTCTTGCCAAGATTTTCTAGGTTAATTATCCTGATCACAATCGTTTTACCAAACGTCTATCACAAATACCATCTTTCTCATCTGTGAAATGAAGGAAATACTAAGCTTCTCCATGACCAAAGTCCGCTTCCTATAATCTCACGTGAGCCTGGCACGTAGTAAGCGCTATAGACATTTTAAGTGTCACACGAAGCTTGAAAAAAATGAGACGTGTGACATTTTAGCTATGACTAGTATTTTTTTCTACAATGGAATCGTTCAAGATACACTGCTAGAAACCGGGTTTCCCGTCGTGCCTTAAAGTCTCGGTAGCACGTGTCTGCCTGGATTCCCTTTTCCAGTTGCTTTTTGTCAAGGGACAGCTCCAAGAACAGCTAACACTCCTAAAACGCCCATTGGTCCACACCCTGGGGCCAGGCTCTGAGTGCGGCCCAGGAGCCCATTGGTCGCCGCCTCTCAATGAAGCTGGCCACGCCAGTTACTCCGCTGCACCGCCACCCTAGCCGCACTCGTGCGCAGAGGAGCCAGGGATCCGGTGGCAGGGCCTAGGAAGGCCATTGGTGGCCACCGGTGCGACCGCCGCCAGGAACAAGGCCTAAGCATCCACGGGATCTCTGGGCTTTTATATAAGCATGGATTTCCACAGCAATACCAACTAAAACGCCTCTTCGGCGCGGTCAGCCCAAGTATCTCTCGCGTGACGGCCCGCAGTGGGAGTGGGCCCCAGATTCCTTTGCTCAAGCTTAAGGCATTAGAGGCATTATGTCCTGGGGCAGGCGGGCCTCCCTCCACCCGCACCTCTCCCGCCCCGCTCCGCCGGCTCCGTAGCAGGTTACACAACCCAAGGTCAAGAGATTGGGGAGCAGCCCCCAGCGGCCTCAGCGGCCGTGTCGAGGGCGGCCCCGGGGACTGCGCCGTCTGCCCAGCCGCCCCGAAAAGGCTCTGGCGCAGAGCATGTTAGGGGAGCGGTGGGGCCCCGCCACTGCGACATAACTGCTCCCGCCCAATCCCCGCCGCCCGAACGCCACATGCTGCCCGCGGCCGCCGCGGGTGGGAGGCCTCTTCGCCAGCCCCTCAGACAAGGCCGGGAGGGCCCCTCCTATCCGCGCCCGAGGCAAGAACAAGCGCCGCTCCCGCCCTCCATTCCCCGAAGCCGGCACGCCCGAATTAGCGCCTGACTAAGCCCGCCGAGCCACACCTGCCGGAGGCAACCCGCGCAGGCGCCCCCGACCCCCACCTGGGGCCCCTGCCGCCAACTACTACGGAGGGAAATGTCGGGAGGCGCGGGCCGCAAAACCACCCCGGGCCGCGCCGCCCGCCGCCCAGCGCGGGACGTTACCTGAGCACGCGGCCGCGCCGGCCTCCTCCCCTCCCCCAGGGCAATGCCAGGCGCGGCAACCACGGCGGGAGAAGCCGGCTCCGGCCCGCGTGGACATGGCCGCTCTCCCCCAAACCGCGCACCTTCCAAGGCCGCCGAAGCGACCCCAGGCCGCAGACTTGCCCCCAACTGAAAGCTGAGGGAACTCGGGCTCCACCCGTGGCTGGTGCCTCGGCGGCGGCGACAGCCCCCAGGCCCGGATGTCAGCGAGCGCCCCGGGGACCCACCTTGGGATAGTGCGAAGATCCCCAGATCCTTGGTTTGCGTCGGGCTGCTGCCGGGAGAACCAAACCTCCAGCAGCTTCTCGGTCCCTTCGAAAAAATGTGCAGCTTCCATCACCGTGAGACTAGCGAACAACCAACAACCACAGAAAATCAACTAAATTAAACCTCTTCTCCCGCCGCTGCCGCCGCCGCTGCGGATTGTTCCAGCTGTGTTACTAAAGTTCAGGTTCCTTTTTTTTTTTGCTATAATTTTATATTAACTTTTTTTAAAAAAAGGACTAATAAAATTTTCCCGGCTTTGTGTGAGCGAAAGTTGAACGTGAGTCTTTTGGAAATAGAGGCAGATACAGTTCAGTCTCTTGTATTCCGCTGCTTTCCCGTTAGAGAGAGTAGAGCGAGCGCTAGCTAATGTCGCCGGCCATACTGTGTAAGCGAGAGCGCTGCGTGAGCACCGCCCTTATATATCCCGGCTCCCCCCAAAAGACCAGGAAGTGACGCATCGTCCCACCTCCACGGCCTATAGCTGCTGCCGCCTGTCAATCACTCGCGGCCGAGTGGCGGCTGGCTGGCCGAGGGCCTGGCGGAGAGCGCGGGGAGCTGCCCACTGCGCTGCGGCTCGGGCTCTGGCCGGCTCCTGAGTGGGAGTTGGTGCTGTGATGTCCAGCTGGGGACTAGAAACCTCGGATCGAACGCAGAGTGGGTGGGGAGAGCGGGAACGGAATGAGGAAAGGCTGTGCAGAGCTGTTTAGAAAAAAAAAATGATTAGCAGAAAACATGGGTGGGTCCTTAGGGGTGTTGGCGGGGTTCAGCGGGGACGGTGGCCAGCGCTGGGTTGGCGTGGTGGTTTTGATCTTGTGCAGTTCACCGCGACTGCTGAGGTACTTGGCCATTCTTAAAAGTGTGTTTTCCCAAGGCGAACGCAGCCAGGCGTTAAAACTAAACATTTGTCCGTGACGCGCACGTTGCCAGGGGTCGAATTAGAAGGCGCTTTAATTCTGCTCACGCCTTGGCTGATGTGCGAATGAAAGCAGTCCTCGGCTGGTTTATACAATAGCCAGAAGCATTGTCTTCCTATTTCAGAAGAGAAAAGCAACGTGGCGCCCAGCCTTGGAGGGCCCCGGCTTTACCCACCTCCCACCGTGTGGCTCGCCATGCCTCCGAATTGGCTGAGCACAGCAGCCTCCGGGAAGCACTGGCAGCTCCGTTGCTCCATTAGCTCAACTGGTGGGAATTTATTCAGCAAAACTACTTCTAGAAACTGAATGTGTTAAATATAATCTGAACTTATTTGATCATGTTTTTCTTTGAATTTTATCAAGCTGATGTATTAATTGATGGAGGTTCTCCTTACCCCCCAAAATTTACAGTGCTATCTTCCCATGTGCTTAAGAAGGATTTACCTGGAAATTAATAAAACAGGGATTCCAGAGCTATCACTGGTGGTAACTTAAATAACTATCAGTCTAATATTTTATAAGTGTTAAGTATAAAATAGTCGTCAAGCCATGGTCAAACAGTTTAACCTCAGATGGCAAAACTGGTAACAAAGTTATTACTTTTACTTGGGAATATGGGAGGAAAAAAACCCAAGCTGACATAAAAATTGCTATTGTCACAAGACAAAAGGACTTTTCGCTATCATCCTTAGAAAAAAACTTTCCCCAAAGTGAAATAAGATGATGTCAACATGAAAAATCCACTGAAAAAGACATGGTTTGGGTTTGCACTCTAGATACCCTGTAGAATAGCTCTTGTCTTACAAGAACGTGGTTCACGTGTCTCCGTGAAACCTGTTGAAAGAAGCTATGTTGTGAGCTAGGTACATAAACTACTCTTGCTTTGTTTTGTTTGTCTGAGACGGAGTCTCGCTCTGTTGCCCAGGCTGGAGTTCAGTGGCGTGATCTCGGCTCACTGCAACCTCTGCCTCCTGGGTTCAAGCGATTCTCCTGCCTTAGCCTCCCGAGTAGCTGGGATTACAGGTGCATGCCAACACACCCGGCCAATTTTTGTATTTTAGTAGAGACGAGGTTTCACCATGTTTGCCAGGCTTGTCTTGAACTCCTGACCTCAGGTGATCTGCCCACTTCGGCCTCCCAAAGTGCTGGGAGGCCACCGCACCCAGCCCTCTTGCCATGTTTTATAAGCATCCAACTCAAACTGCGGATTGGGACAAAAGATAATAAATGTTGCTTATTTTATAATGATAAAAGAATGTGGTTACTCTACTTGGAATAAAGATAAAAGAAGTATTTCTGTGTTTTACAAGCTGTTCAATTATTTGATGGTTCTTACTGAAGAATCTGCCTACTAAACCACCTCAAACACTAATTGTGGTATAAACATAATTTGGCTTATAATTGCTTATAATTAGTTGCTTCTCAACTACTATTATGCTTTTTTCCCAGTGCAATTTAAGTTAATATAAAAGTGCCAAGAATCTTGGCAAAGTAAATCCTTATTAATTTGATATAGGATAATTTAAATAGTCTACCAACTGGATTGGTCCTTTGTAAAATATATCATTTTTCTTGTTATCTTGAAGCTCAAAATTCCTTGTATACTCTGGTTTCTCTTCAGATCATAGAAATAATAAAAATAAAAATCCCTTGTACTAAGTTGGTTAATCTTTGCTTAAATATTTTCCTGAACTCAATATGTCCAAAATACATTTACCATTATTTCTAAAATGATTTCCCTTCTCAGCCCCATTTCTATCAAGAGTGACCATCTTTCCCCCAGATTTCCAGTTTTTTAAAAATGCCTCATTGGCTATAGCACTTTGCACATAAAACACTTAAAGGACTCCCATTCACTAGGCCTTCTTAAGATACCTCTGATTGTACATCTTCCCTTTATTCTCTTTAGTAATCATTCCTATTAAGATCTTACTCAAATTTTAAAAAAATCCTTACTTGACCCCACTTCTACCTTCAGTTATCACCGAATTTCTCTGCTTCCCTTAACAGCAAAACTCCCTAAAAGATGTAAAGACATGTCTATATGTGTGGTCCCTACCTCCTCATCTCTCCTTCAAATTCTCCAAATGGGTATTTATTCCTAGCACTTGACTGAAATGGCAATTCTCAAGGCCCACTTTTTGCCAAAGCCAGTGGTTGCCAAAGCCATTGAGACCAGTGAATGGTCTCAATCCCCATTTACTCAATCTTTCAATGGCTTCTGACACAATTAACTATGCCTTCCTTCTAGAAAAAAGTCTCCAGGCTTTCGTGACATCTCTCTTTTTTGGTTTTCCTTGGAAATTTTCTTCCCAATGCTGCAGTGCTCTTGGCTATGCCTGTGTCCTCTTTTCTACATACATTTTCTCCCTAGGTGACCTACCTCATCCAGTCCATGGCTTTATGACCTGCCCATAGTATTAATGACTTTCAAATTTATATCTCCAACCCAGACATCTCCCTTGAATTTCAAACCTTTGAGACACTTGCCTGACTACTTGAATGCCTAACAAGCATATAGAAGCTAACATTATTAGAAAAGAGCTGTTACTTTTCACAGCAAAATCTGCCTCCTCCCCACAAAAGCAAAACAAATTACAAAAACTCAGCTGTCTTCAACTCAAGCTTTCCACTGACCTCTTTGTCTCCACTCTTATCTCTTCTTACCTCTTTATGGTCCACCCTTTACACAACAAATCACCTCGTTATACAGCAGTTGCTTAAACTCAAAATCATCAATGATTCCACTCTTTCCTGCATTGTCCTACATCCAACTCATCATTAGCCTTGTTGATATTTCTAAAACATTTCAAGAATTTGTTCTCTCTGTCTTCATTTCTACCACCACCCTAGTTCAGAGCACAAAATTAGCTCCCCTGAACTATTGCAGTAGCTTTCTAACTATAGTAGTGTTTGTCTTCACTTTGCCACCTCACTTGGTTTAACACAGAGCAGCTAGAGTGATTTTTTTTGTTTTAATTTTTTAAATGTCTCCATAGCCCAAGATGGAATGATGTTTTTAAAAAATAAGCCCAATTATGACACTTATTAAAATTCTCCAGGGGTTTCCCATTACAATTGAAATCAAAATTTCTTACCCTGGCCTTCAAACCCTTATTTGATTTGGTCCTGAATTAATTATCCTCCAACCTCATCTCTACCATTCACTTTCTGTACTCCATCCGTACTGACCTGTCTCCCTTTAGGTCATTTTCATTTATCTGAAATGCTCTTTCTCTCCCTCTTGGTATGGCTTATTCATTCTTGTCATTTAGATCTTAGCTTAAATGTTGCCTCTTCTGAGAAGTCACTAAGCTACTATAGCAAAGAGATCCCCAAATACAATAACTCAAAGATTAAGGTTTATTTCTCTCTCACATAACAGTACAGAGGTAGACAGGTAGTCTAGGGTGAGTAGGCAGCTCTGTTCCATGAGATCATTCAGGGAACCAGGTTCCTTCTAACCCATTTTGACCATAGAGTAAAGTCTTTATTCTCATTATTGAAGCTGGCTTAATCTGTCCACAGTCTAGCCTGGAAGAAGAGGAAAAAAAGAAAGGAACAAAAACCACTTTCCTTATAAAAACAAGATATGGAAACTTTTTTTGTTGTTTTTGTTTTGTTATTGTTTTTGTTTTGAGGCAGGGTCTCACTCTGTCACCCAGGCTGGGGTGCAGTGGCTCCATCTTAACTCACTGTTGCCTCAACTTCCCCGGGCTCAAGTGATCCTCCCACCTCAGCCTCCCACGTAGCTGGGACTACAGGCAAGTGCCACCATGCCTGGCTAATTTTTGTATTTTTAGTAGCGACCAGATTTCACCATGTTCCCCAGGCTGGTCTTGAACTCCTGGACTGATGATCTGCCCACCTCAACCTCCCAGAGTGCTGGCATTACAAGTGTGAGCCACCACACCTGGCCTTAGATTCAATTTAAAGTGACCAAGTAGTGTGCTGGAACTGGCTTCCTACTGTTTCTGAGAACTAATCGTTACACTCTCAGAAATTTGGGGAGTCAGTTGACATCACAGTGGTGGTTTGAAAGCAGCCATGTTGTGAGCATTTACATCAGTGAAATTGGCAAACTACAATCAGGGTTCTCCATACCCTCAGCTGGGTGATTGTTAAACACTTACCGGTTGTTAAACGTTTACCAGCATGCCTCTGGTTTCACAAATCTGTCACATTGATGGTGTTAAAAACATGGTTTTCTTGGCCAGGCACAGTGGCTAATGCCTGTAATCCCATCCCTTTGGGAGGCTGAGGCGGGAGGATTGCTTTAAGCCCAGGAGTTCAAGACCAGCCTGGGTAACATAGCGAGACCCCCCATCTCTATTTAAAAAAGAAGAAAGAAAAAGAAAACATGATTTTCTCTAATGTCAATGCAAGTTTTACTGCCCAAGGCTGTTGTGGGACTTCAGAGATTATAAGTGAGAAAAATGTTTTAGAAACTGTAGGCCAGGTGTGGTGGCTCACGCCTGTAATCCCAGCACTTTGGGAGGCCAAGACTGGTGGATCACCTGAGGTCGGGAGTTTGAGACCAGCCTGAACAAAAAGGAGAACCCCCGTCTCTGCTAAAAATACAAAGTCAGCCGAGCGTGGTGGAGCACGCCTATAATCCCAGCTTCTCGGGAGGCTGAGGCAGGAGAATAGCTTGAATCTGGTAGGCGGAGGTTGGGGTGAGCTGAGATCACACCATTGCACTCCAGCCTGGGCAACAAGAGTGAAACTCTGTGTCCAAAAAAGAAAAAAAAAAAAAGAAACTGTAAAACATCATGTAAAGATACAGTACTGTTACTGCAAAATACAGAAGAAATAGAAGCTAAAGTAATGGGCTGGGCGCGGTGGCTCACGCCTGTAATCCCAGCACTTTGGGAGGCCGAGGCGGGCGGATCACGAGGTCAGGAGATCGAGATCATCCTGGCTAACACGGTGAAACCCCGTCTCTACTAAAAAATACAAAAAAATTAGCCGGGCGCGGTGGCGGGCTCCTGTAGTCCCAGCTACTTGGGAGGCTGAGGCAGGAGAATGGCGGGACCCCGGGAGGCGGAGCTTGCAGTGAGCCGAGATAGCGCCACTGTACTCCAGCCTGGGCTACAGAGAGAGACTCCGTCTCAAAAAAAAAGAAGCTAAAGTAATGAAGAAAGAAACAACACTGTAATGCCTCAGATTACATTGAATTACATTAAATTTTTTTTTTTTTTTGAGAACGAGTTTCGCTCTTATTGCCCAGGCTGGAGTGCAATGGCGCAATCTGGCTCACCACAACCTCCGCCTCCCGGGTTCAAGCGATTCTGCTGCTTCAGCCTCCCGAGTAGCTGGGATTGCAGGCATACGCCACCACACCTGGCTAATTTTGTATTTTTTTTTTAGTAGAGTCAGGGTTTCTCCATGTTGGTCAGGCTGGTCTTGAACTCCTGACCTCAGGTGATCTGTCCACCTTGGCCTCCCAAAGTGCTGGGATTACAGGTGTGAGCCACCGCGCCTGGCCTTGAATTACATTAATTTAAGTTTAACTGTGAAACAAAAGTAACTATGTATAATCTGTCCCAAAAGCTGTTTGTCTTCTTTGGTGTAACTAATATGGATAGAGGAGATATACCAGAAGTGAAAATATAATTTTATTTGATAAGACTCTCCTCAATGTTCAGTACTGTATTTCAGTTTATCAGACATAGGTGAAAGACAAGTAACAGAAGGAAGTGAAACTAATAAGAGAGAATAAAAGGCTCAGAATATAACACATTTAGTGATAATGTTTCCCAGGATGAATTAAATATTTAACAGCAGATATAAGATTAAAAATAAGAAAAGACGTCCGGGCCCGGTGGCTCACGCCTGTAATCCCAGCACGTTTGGAGTCCAAGGCAGGCAGATCATGAGGTCAGGAGATCAAGACCACTCTAGCTAAAAAGGTTGAAACCCTGTCTCTAATAAAAATACAAAAAAATTAGCCAGGTGTGGTGGTGAGCGCCTGTAGTCCCCGCTACTTGGGAGGCTGAGGCAGAAGAATGGCATGAACCCGGGAGGCAGAACTTGCAGTGAGCCGAGATCGCACCACTGTACTCCAGCCTGGGTGACAGGGTGAGACTCTGTCTCAAAAATAATAATAATAATAATAAAATAAATAAGAAAATACAGGCCAGGTGTGGTGGCTCACACCTGTAACTCCAGCAGTTTGGAAGGCGGAGGCAGGAGGGTGACTTGAGGCCAGGAGTTCCAGACCAGCCTGGTCAACGTAGCCAGACCCATCTCTACAAACAATAAATAAATAAGAAAAGATGAACAATGAACTTAATGGAAATGGACAAGGCCATTTATAAGCAATGTGGTTGACCATTGTCCTAGCAAAATATGCCAATGTAATTTTCCATTAGTAATTACTCATTTTCATCAGTAATTAAATATTCAGTAAACAAAGAATTTGTAATGTGCTGTTTGCAGATTTTATGTGGTTCATGAACACTTTCATTATTTCAGTTTTAAAATATTTAACCAGACAGCCTCTATGAATGTTTTTAAATTTATTTTTTCTTTTGAAATTTTTTTAACTGCTTTTGAATTCTGCTTTCGTATTTACTTTTTTGTTTTGTTTTGTTTTGAGTGAGAGTCTCACTCTGTTGCCCAGGCTGGAGTGCAGTAGCACGATCTTGGCTCACTGCAACCTCCACTTCCCTGGTTCAAGCGATTCTGGAGCTTCAGCTTCTGGAGTAGCTGGGACTGCAGGCACCTGCCAACATGCCTGGCTAATTTTTGTATTTTTAGTAGAGATGGGGTTTTGCCATGTTGACCAGGCTGGTCTCTAACTCCTGACCTCAAGTGATCCCCCCTCTCAGCCTCCCAAAGTGCTGGGATTACAGGTGTGAGCCACCACACCTGGCCTGTATTTACTTTTTATGTTATAATCTCAACTATACTTATTCTGTTATTTAAATGATTAAAAAACTAATTGGGCTAGCACAGTGGCTCATGCTTGTAGTCCCAGCTATTTGGGAAGCTGAGGCAGGAGGATTGCTCGGAACCCAGGAATTTGAGGTTACAGTGAGCTATGATTGAGCCACTGTACTCCAGCCTAGGCAAGAGAGCGAGAGAGTCTCTAAAAAAAAAAAGAAAAAAAGAAAAGAAAAAGTAATTGTTTAGAAAGTGTTGTTGGGCCAGGCCCGGTGGCTCACGCCTGTAATCCCAGCACTTTGGGAGGCCGAGGCGGGTGGATCACGAGGTCAGGAGATCGAGACCATCCTGGCTAACACGGTGAAACCCCGTCTCTACTAAAAATACAAAAAATTAGCTGGGCACGATGTTGGGCGCATGTAATCCCAGCTACTCGGGAGGCTGAGGCAGGAGACTAGCTTGAACCGGGGAGGCGGAGGTTGCAGTGAGCCAAGATTGCGCCATTGCACTCCAGCCTGGGCAACAAGAGTGAAACTCTGTCTCAAAAAAAAAAAAAGAAAGTGTTGTTGGAGCTCAGAAACCGATACCACCATATATGGCTTGGTGAACTGAGGAAGTCTCAAAGTCTCTCTGACTTACACCCCTCCCTTCCCCCACCCTCTGAAAAACAGGAGTTCCTTTATCTTCCTAAGATCCAGACCATCAAAAAAAATTAATTTTTTTCTCCTCCCTGGAAGGCCAGGAATGTAACTACACCTGAACATAGCTTTTCACAGGATCATGTACAGTTTAATCCCTGTTCCCTAATCCATTCATTCTCCCTAGTAATAGAATTATTTTCCCTACTTCCACAACCTGTTTTGCTAGCGTGGTCTGTAAGCTTCTGAATCACAATGGGGGTGGGCGATGACTTGTGATTTTCCTCTTGTGCTCGTTGTGTACTTGTTAAATAAATTTGTATGCCTGCTCTTCCATTAAACTGCCTCATGACAGTGATTTTCAGTGAACCTTCAGAGGGCCAAGGGGAAAGCCCTCTTTTGATCCCTACAGTGTATAAAATATGAATTAAGGTGCATGTTAAAAAACCTTTACATTTCCATTTTATATTACATTTCCATTATTTTATGGAAATTGTAAAATAATCAGGAAATTATTTTCAGATATTTCCAAAAGCTGTATTTCCTGTAACCTTGATTATCTATTAAAACTTTAAAACAATCAATAAATGAACTAAAATTAATAAAACTTAAAATTAAAATTATGTAGATAAGGCTGAAGTTTTTTAATTTAATTTTTTGAAAATTTAATGAAGGCCAGGCATGGTGGGTCACACCTGTAATCCCAGCACTTTGGGAGGCCGAGGCGGGCAGATCACCTGAGGTCAGGAGTTCGAGACCAGCCTGGCCAACATGGTGAAACCTCATCTCTACTGAAAATTCAAAAATTAGCTGGGCATGGTGGCAGGAACCTGTAATCCCAGCTATTCAGGAGGCTGAGGCAGAGGAATTGTTTGAACCCAGGAGGTAGAGGTTGCAGTGAGCCGAGATTGCACCACTGCACTCTAGCCTGGGCAACAGAGTGAGACTCTATCTCAAACAAAAAAAAAGAAAGAAAGAAAAAAAGAAAATTTAATGAAAGCTTATTAAACATTTTAATAGAATTAAACTATCTGCAATTTGGGCCAGGCTCAGTGGCTCACGCCTGTGATCCCAGCACTTTGGGAGGCTGAGGTGGATAGATCACCTGAGGTCAGGAGTTCAAGACCAGACTGGCCAACATGGTGAAACCCTGTGTCTGCTAAAAAATCCAAAAATTAGCCAGGCATGGTGGCACACGCCTATAATCCGAGCTACTCGGGAGGCTGAGGCAGGAGAATTGCTTGAACCTGGGAGGTGGAGGTTGCAGTGAGCCAAGATCACGCCACTGTGCTTCAGACTGGGTGACAGAGTGAGACTCAAGAAAATAAACAAACAAAAAAAACTATCTGCAATTTTAACATTCCATGTCCCTTTTGCTACAAATGTGAAGAATCAGTATCATACTTTGTTACATCTATACAAACATTTAAGAATAATATAAAATTGCTCAGTTTTGCAAAATGTTCCTCAGCTACCCATCTGAAATTTCATCCTAATTTGTGGGCATCTCTGGTGTCCTAAGAAAAGCAAGAAAATGCTTGACACTAGGAAAAGATACTCTATTAAGCCAAAAGCTATTGCATTCACACTGAGAGGAAGAACTTATTTGACAAGCTAATTATTTTGTCTTTTATCTGTTTCTGCTGTTTGGAATCCTCCCCACATTCCAAAGCAAGGTCTTTCTCCTACTTCAACAGCTGCAGAAACCATAAAGCTTTATGGCATTTGTATTCGGTTGCCTTTTGTTTTGTAGACATAGAGCAAGTGATGTGAAGTGTTTCCCTGGGGTCTAATAGGTGTTATTTCCAGGAGTGGATGTTTAAGTTTGTAAGTCATACAATGCCAGCCTGTATGCTGGATTCCAAGTAACAAAGGTATCTGTGTGTTATTTTATAAACGCATTTTGGCATTTATTTGTGACAAGCCAGGTTAAGGGCAGGGGCCCCTCTTGCTGTGTCTAGGGGTGATGCTAGTCAGAGTTTACAAAATGAAGTCACAGAAACTCCCAACACTTCCCTAGTCTTTCTAGGCCACTGGTAGACAAAGTTAGAAAGTTAAGGGGTCCCATTAATCACTATTGTTGGGGTCCGACCCCATGATTGGGGTTCCACCAATCACTATCTCAAAACATCTGTCAGATTGAAATTTAAAAGCCCATGTTTTCTGAGGACAAATATTTATACAAATTCAATTACTGAGTTTACTGCTCATAGTAAGATTTTTTTGTATAAAACATTTATAATTTATTGGTCTTTTGGGGGAATTAGATGCTTCACCACTGTATTACAACTGAGCCATTATTTGTAGCTTCATCAACATTAACTGGTTCACTTTAATGATGCACTGAGGAATTAGTTCTTCCTGCAGAGATTTTTTTAAAAAGGACTTTTGAGAAGTGTGCAGGTTCCTTTTGTATATTTACAAAAGCTTTATTTACTCTTAATTTTTTTGTCATTTATAATGTTTATCTTCTTAAAATTAGTGGTAACTCAGGCTGGGTGTGGTGGCTCACATCTGTAATCCCAGCACTTTGGGAGGCCAAGGCGGGCGGATCACCTGAGATCAGGAGTTCAAGACCAGCCTGGCCCGTCTCTAATAAAAATACAAAATTAGCTGGACATGGTGGCGCACACCTGTAATCCCACCTACTTGGGGGGCTGAGGCAGGAGAATCACTTGAACCCAGGAGGCAAAGGTTGCAGTGAGCAGAGATCACACCATTGCACTCCAGCCTGGGCAACAAGAGCGAAACTCCGTCTCAAAAAAAAAAAGATTAGTGGTAACTGGTTTTGCTTTGTTTTTGGCCTTCATGTTTTTTTGGTTGGCTATGTGAAATACATTCCTGGACTTCTGCCCTCTTTATTTGTTCTTGGCTATTGTCTCTCACCAGGCCTTCAATGAACTTCTTAAGCTCCAGGTGATGCCATTTGTTTCATGGTAAGTTTTTAAGTCAAGTGTTATGGGAAATAAGTTCTTTAGAATATGTAATTTATAAATTCTTGGAGAAATCAGCCCTACACACCCTACCTTCTCAAAGTCTAATGTGTAATTATAGAAAGCAGAATCAGGCCGGGCGCGGTGGCTCATGCCTGTAATCCCAGCACTTTGGAAGGCCGAGGCGGATGGATCACCTGAGGTCAGGCGTTCAAGACCAGCCTGGCCAATATGGTGAAACCCCGTCTCTACTAAAAATACAAAAATTAGCCAGGTGTGGTGGCAGACGCCTGTGATCCCAGATACTCAGGAGGCTGAGACAGGAGAATTGCTTGAGCCCAGGAGGTGGAGGTTGTAATGAGCTGAGATTGTGCCTCTTCACTCCTGCCTGGGAGACAGAGCGAGACTCTGTCTAAAAAAAAAAAAAAAAAGCAAGCAGAATCAGGTTTATGTTTCCCAGAGTTAGGAAGCTTCTACTTTGTAGAAGTGAAGTAGCCCTAAGTAAAAGACATGTATCTACAATCGAGACTCATTCCAACTTAAAAAAACGAACTTGGGGGCCAGGCGTGGTGGCTCATGCCTGTAATCCCAGCACTTTGGGAGGCCGAGGCGGGCGGATCACGAGATCAGGAGATCGAGATCATCCTGGCTAACATAGTGAAACCCCGTCTCTACTAAAAATACAAAAAAATTAGCCGGGCGTGGTGGTGGGTGCCTGTAGTCCCAGCTACTTGGGAGGCTGAGGCAGGAGAATGGCGTGAACACGGGAGGCAGAGCTTGCAGTGAGCCGAGATCACGCCACTGCACTCCAGCCTGGGTGACAGAGTGAGACTATGTCTAAAAACAAACAAACAAAAACAAACAAAAACAAACAAACAAAAAACTGAACTTGGTTTTCCTATCGTGAGGACCACAAGTCCACAAGCCAAGAGTCTGCAATCAGTTTGTAATGCTTCAAGCTTAAATACTAATGTCAGATATTTGAGGAGAGCCTTCAACATTAAAGAGAGAGAAAGATAAATCAAAGTAAATAGGCCGAGTGCAGTGGCTCACGCCTGTAATCCGAGCAGTTTGGGAGGCCGAGGCAGGCAGATCACTTGAGGCCAGGTGTTCAAGACCAGGCTGGCCAACTTGGTGAAACCTCACCATCTCTACTAAAAATACAAAAATTAGCCAGGCGTGGTGATGCGAGCTGGTAATCCCAGCTACTTGGGAGGCTGAGGCATAAGAATTGCTTGAACCCAGGAGGTAGAGGTTGCAGTGAGCTCAGATCTCAACACTGCACTCCAATCTGGGCAACAAAGCAAAACTCTGTCTCAAAAAAAAAAAAAATAAGTAAATAGGCAAAAAAGGAAACCAGAGGAAACAGAAATAATGCAGGAAGTAGAAGGAAACTTCCAAGGATAAAAGACCATCATTATACCCCATACAAATAAGAGAAAGCACTCTATCCATTAAAAAAAAAAAAAAAACAGAACAATCACACAAAACCAGAATACTATGAATAAGGAGAATTCAGAGAACAAAAAAGAATGCTAGGAAATTAAAGCTAGGATTGCTGAGATTTTTTAAAAATTGGAGACTGGGCAACATAATGAGACTCTATCTCTACAATATAATAAAAAAATTAGCGAAGTATGGTGGCACCTGCCTGTAGTCTCAGCTACTCCTGGGAGAATCACTTGAACCTGGGAGGTGGAGGTTGCAGTGAGCCAAGATCACGCTACTGCACTCCAGCCGGGGTAACAAAGTGAGACTCCATCTCGAAAAAAAAAAAAAAAAAGATTTTAAATCTTTAATAGGTCACAATCAAAGAACAAAGAATCAGAATGCATTGAACTTCTCAACAGCAACATTGGAAGATTAAAGACAATGGAGCAACACCTTTAACATTTTGAGTAAAAATTATTACTTTATTTTTCATTTTGTTTTATTTAATCTTTTTTTTGTGTGTGTGATGGAGTCTTGCTCTGTTGCAAGAGCAAGTGGCTGGAGTGCAGTGGCGCAATCTTGGCTCACTGCAACCTCAGCCTCCCAGGTTCAAGCAATTCTCCTGCCTCAGCCTCCTGAGTAGCTGGGATCACAGGCATGTACCACCACGCCTGGTTAGTTTTTGTATTTTTAGTAAAGATGGGGTTTCACTATGTTGGCCAGGCTGGTCTCGAGCTCCTCACCTCAGGTGATCCATCCACTTTGGCCCCCCAAAGTGCTGGGATTACAGGCATGAGCCACCGTGCCTGGCCTATTTTATCGTATTTTATTTTATTATTTTATTTTTTGAGATGGAGTCTCACTCTGTTGCCCAGGCTGGAGTGCAGTGGCATGATCTCGGCTCAGTGCAACCTCTGCCTCCTGGGTTCAAGTGATCCTCCCACCTCAGCCTCCTGAGTAGCTGGGACCACAGGCACACGCCACTACATCTGGCTAATTTTTTTTTTTTTTTTTGAGACGGAGTCTCACTCTGTCACCCAGGCTGGAGTGCAGTGGCATGATCTCGGCTCACTGCAAGCTCTGCCTCCCGGGTTCATGCCATTCTCCTGCCTCAGCCTCCCGAGTAGCTGGGACTACAGGCGCCCGCCACTACGCCCGGCTAATTTTTTGTGTTTATAGTAGAGACAAGGTTTCACCATGTTAGCCAGGATGGTCTCGATCTCCTGACCTCGTGATCCGCCCACCTTGGCCTCCCAAAGTGCTGGGATTACAGGAGTGAGCCAGCGTGCCCAGCCCATCTGGCTAATTTTTGTGTTTTGTGTAGAGACTGGGTTTCACCATGTTGCATGAACTCCTGACCTCAAGTGATCCACCCGCCTTGACCTCCCAAAGTGCTGAGATTACAGGCCTGAGCCACTGTACCCGACCAGCCAATTAATAAAAGCAAGGGATCACCACAAATTTAAAAATCAGAAGTAAAATGTGATTGTTCTCTCTCTCTGTGTGTGTGTGTGTGTGTGTGTGTGTGTGTGTGTGTGGGTGGGTGTTTTGTTTTGTTTTTGTTTTTTTTCTGAGATGGAGTCTCGCTCTGTCACCCAGGATGGAGTGCAGTGGCATGATCTTGGCTCACTGCAACCTCCACCTCCCGTGTTCAAGGGATTCTACTACCTCAGCCTCCCAAATAGCTGGGACTTACGGGCACATGCCACCAAGCCTGGCTCATTTTTGTATTTTTAGTAGAGACGGGGTTTCACCATGTTGGGCAGGTTGGTCGCGAACTCCTGACCTCAGGTGATCCTCCCACCTTGGCCTCCCAAAGTGCAGGGATTACAGGCATGAGTCACCTTGCCCAGTATGTGTGTGTTTTTTTTTAATCACATAGAATGGTATTATAATTAGGGCAATAGAATGAAAATATTAAAGAATTGTTTAACTTCTGTTTATGGCTTATTCTGCACTCTTCTTATTTGAGAAAGATAAAAGCTGGAATAATTGGAACAATAAACTATGAGTATAAATATATTATTTCTCAGGATATATATATATCTTTTTCTTCTTACCAACAGAGGTTTTACTGCGTTTGGTCCACAGTCGTATTTCACATTATCTCATGGGGTAGGGCCCCTGGGTGGGGGTCCCTGTGCAGTACTCGGTGGGGCGTGTGGCCAGGGGAGACGGAGCAGTATAACTGGTCAGGCCCAGAAGGGGAGAAGGAGGGCTGGAGGCTCCTTAAAACCTACTGAGGGGCTGGGCATGGTGGCTCATGCCTGTAATTCCAGCACTTGGGGAGGCCAAGGTGGGCGGATCACCTGAGGCCGGGAGTTTGAGACCAGCCTGGCCAACATGGTGAAACCCCATCTCTAATAAAAATACAAAAATTAGCCAGGCGTGGTGGAGCACCTATAGTCCCAGCTACTTGGGAGGCTGAAGCAGGAGAATCACTTGAGCCAGGGAGGTGGAGGTGCAGTGAGCCAAGATCGCACCACTGCACTCCAGCCTGGGCAACAACAACAACAACATCAACAACAACAAAACCTACTGAGGCCACAGTGGAGGGGGTGGTTAGCATGGAGAAGGAGTCAGGCTTAGCCCCAACAACGCAGAATTCCACTTCCTTCTACGGGCCTCACTTTCCTCACCGGGCCCCAGGGCAGGTCTGAGGGTCTGAGGTCTGTTGGTTCTAGGGAAATGCAGCCACTTGGGAGCCTGAGATATTTAGCATTGTGGCCAGGCCCCCTTTCCCAGGGCACTCATTTCCCAGCACCCTCTCCACTGTCCCCGCCCCATTCCTCGGGGAAAAAAAAAAGTATTTTTCTTTTGTTAATACTTCCTGAAACTTTTGCGGGTACAGAAACCACAAACTGATTGGCTGACACAATGGGGAAGAGACAAGGGAACCGGAAACCTTCGGGGACTGGGTCCCTCCAAGCCCAGGTCTCTTCTCCCCAGCACTGCTCGGCCCACAGCCTGGACGTGCCAGCAGGGACCTTTACCCTACACGTATGGGGATACGGCTTTGACCCCTTACCCCACAGCCTGGTGGCTCAGTCCTGCGAAGGACCAAGGCAAGGGGGAAGAAAGACCTCCCTGATCCCACACCGCCACTCACAGACCCTGGGTTGATTGGCAGCACTGAACAGGTTAAGAAAAAAAAAGATGAAAACACAGAAAAACCCAGAAACTCAGACGGGGAGATGATATGGGGAGAGAGCGTGCTGGGAGCCTCAGTAGCCAGCCTCCTCCTGGTAGTAAGGGGGATATTCAGGGACCTCCCCCGAGCCTGCGCGCCCGAGGGAGCCCTGTCGGCCACTGTGCCTTCTGGGCAGAACTTGGGGTCATGTATCTGCCGGCCCAGGCCAAAGACCTGGCCGCTTTGCTTGGCGCCCTGCGTGTAGCCCATCTGCAGCGACATGGAGGAGTTGTCACACTTGTCGGTTCCCAGCTTGGTGTCAACCGGGTCCCGGAGCCGTCATGCCCACCTGGCTGGCACACTTGTTTGTACCCATCTGGAGGCTGATGGTTAAGTTGTCCATGGGGGGCAGGATGTGGTTCTTGGGGTCGTAGAGATGCCTCCTTGTGCTGTACGCGGTCATGCCCGACTGGCTGGTGCATTTGTTGGTGCCCATCTGCAGCCCGATGGTGCACTGGCCAGCCTTCATGGTGGCGTCGTCGAAGTTCGGCTCCTGCTTCTCCGAGTACTTAAGGCCGATGTCCACCCCGCTCTGCAGCCCCTTAGTCCTGGCCTTACTCACCAGGGCGAGAAGAGACACCTGCAGCTGCGTCATGTTCCCACTCTCAAACAGGTCGTTGGCATCGAACAGGTCCACGGTGTTCATGCCGTAGCTGACCATGGCCTTGATGAAATTGGAGAGGTTTTCTAGTTGGTGCCAGTTCTGCATGGAACGGTTGATCTTGAGGACTGAGCCCGGCTGTAGCTTGTTCATGAGTGTCCATAAACTAATCCCGTCCTTCAGGCCCTTCTGGAAGTCGGGGCCGATGGAGAGGCTGGTGAGTCCCTCGATCCAGCTGCGGAGCTCTACCTCCTTCTGGGGGTCATATTTGCACAGGAGCCGGTTCTTGATCTCGGCTGACAGCCCGTACGAGGGGTCCTTGTTGAACTGCGTGGAGCTCATGGCTGGCGCGCGCTGCGGCAGGATGGGATGGGACGAAACAGACGGCCTGGCAGGCGCGGGGCTGGGACGCACTCCTCTAGGGATATTTTTATGTGGTCTGGGCATGGTGGCTCACAGTTGTAATCCCAGCACGTTGGGAGGCCAAGATGGGAGGATCACTCGAGTCCAGGAGTTTGAGACCAGCCTGGGCAACATAGCAAAACCATGTCTCTACCAAAAAGAAAAAAAAATAATAAGTTATTGGGGCCTGGTGGCAAGCGCCTGTAGTCCCAGCTACTTGGGAAGCTGAGGGGGAAGGACAGCTTGAGTTCAGAAGTTCTAGGCTATAGTAAGCTATGATCAGTCTACTGCATTCCAGCCTGGGTGACAGAGCGAGACCCTGTCTCTAATTCAATCAATCAATCTATAGTGATATATATGTATATATATACCATCTATATATATATACCATCTATATATATATATATACACACCATCTATATATATATACCATCTATATATATATATACACACCATCTATATATATACCATCTATATATATGCCATCTGTATATATATATATGCCATCTGTATATATATATACCATCTATATATATATACCATCTATATATATACCACCTATATATATACCATATATATATATACCATCTATATATATATACCATATTATATATATATACCATCTATATATATATAACTTTTTTTTTGAGACAGAGTTTCACTTGTTGCCCAGGCTGGAGTGCAATGGCACAATCTCGGCTCTCCACAATCTCCACCTCCCCAGGTTCAAGCGATTCTCCTGCCTCAACCTCCCGAGTAGCTGGGATTATAGGCATGCACCACCACGCCCAGCTAATTTTGTATTTTTAGTAGAGACGGGCTTTATTCATATTGGTCAGGCTGGTCTAGAACTCCCAACCTCAGGTGATCCGCCCCCTTGGCCTCCCAAAGTGTTGGGATTACAGGCATGAGTCACTGTGCCCGGCTATAGTGATATTTTTATGTGGAGCTGAAGAACAAAAGCTATTCTGTTATCTGGACATAGGTTTTAGTTGGTTATTTATTTATTTTTTTGAGACAGAGTCTCTCTTTGTTGCCCAGGCTGAAGTGCAGTGGCAACAATCTGTGCTCCCCGCAACCTCCGCCTCCCAGGTTCAAGTGATTATCCTGCCTCAGCCTCCCGAGTAGCTGGGATTACAGGTGCCCGCCACTACACCCAACTAATTTTTGTATTTTTAGTAGAGATGGGGTTTCTCCATATTGGCCAGGCTGGTCTTGAACTCCTGACCTCAAATGATCCACCTGCCTTGGCCTCCCAAAGTGCTAGGATTACAGACGTGAGCCACTGTACCTGGCCAGACCACTCAAATTTTTAATAAACCAAACTATATGTGCCACACACAAATCCTGCCTTTTTTGGAATAAGGAAAATTAGCTGATATGATCTGACCCTTCTTCCCTCCAGAGCCTGAACCTCCAACTTGAGAGATAGAGACTGAAAAAGTCCAACTTAGAAAGTCCATTTCAGCCTATTTGGTGTCTAGGAATTTGAGATACTAATTGTCTTCTTCCTACCCACTTCCCCATCTCAGAAAATCTTCCCTGCCACAGAGTCCTTGGCAGGGGCAGCTATGCTACTTACCATTAGACCTTGTCTCCCTAGCCACAGCTGATGGGATCAGAGAACACCTAATCCATTCAGATGCTTTTCCCCCCCTTAACATGGGATGACTCACAAATCTGGGTGTCATCCTTGCGTAGTGACTATGCTTATCTTCTCTGTATTGGTCCAATTTTAGTATATGTGCATTTATACGAGCACCAATCCAATTCTTTTGCTTGCTAATTTGAACCCAGAGACTTCGACTTTGAGTAACTAGCTCAGTGGAGGACACCAGAGCTGGAGAGTCAGGTAGTGTGAGGAGTGGCAGCCATTTTTTTTGATGTATGCATGCTCATAAATGAGGAAATCCAGTCATCAGAGATAAGCCATAGCCTGGATGTGTCAACAGATGCAGCAACTGTACAATCCCAGAGAAAGGTGGAGAGAGTAGTGGTCTGACAACTTTGACATCTGTGACCTCTACTTGGGATCTGTGATCTTCCCCTCTGGATTTCTGATCATCCCCTTTTAATTAATTAATTTTTATTTATTTTTTGAGACAAGGTCTTGCTCTGTTGCCCAGGCTGGAGTGCAGTGGTGTAAGCATGGCTCAGTGCAACCTCAACCTCCCAGGCTCAATTAATCCTCCTACCGCAGCCTCCGGAGTAGCTGGGGCTACAGGCATGTGCCACGATGCTTGACTAATTTTTAATTATTTTTGGAGTTGGGGTCTCGCTATGTTGCCAGGGCTGGTCTCCAACTCCTGGACTCAAGTGATCCACCCTCCTTGGCCTCTCAAAGTGTTGGGATTACAGGCATGCATCACTGCGCCTGGCTCATCATCCCCTTTTAAGTTGGGTTAGGATACCTTTCTTTTACTTGTAACCAAAGAATACCTGATGGAACAGTTTTTAAAAGTCCATTTTTGTCACTCTACCTTTTTGCACCTTTCTCTCAGCCTCCAGATCCTACGGATTCCCTGTAATCTGTATAAACTGGTCGGGAGCAGGGAAATAGGGAGAAGACATTTCCTTGAAATGTCCTAGACAAGAGACACCTGCATCCTTCTAGATGCAGGAATTCAGGGGTTCTTCAAGCCTCAGCCTGGCTTGCAGCAGTTTTGGCAGCCTTTGGAAGGCACCAGATGGTCAGCCAAGTGATACATAATCTATGTAACTTTATGCCATTTATTACTTTATAATTGTATCAAACTATAATTTGTAAGCAAATTTTGTTTAAAAGCTATTAACTATGTTTTTCTAATTGTTTTGGTATACTTTTATAAAACAAGGCTATTAAATCCTGGTTGCAGGTTCCTAACCATCAATTTTTTGGTAGATTTAATATATAGTATATAGTTACAGAGTTTTAAGTACATGTGGAAATTTTCAGAAATTTCTCATTTATTTCTTTGATCTCAAGGTTCTTAAAAAGCTGGCATAGGCCAGGCATGGTAGCTCATGCTTGTAATCCTAGCACTTGGGGAGGCCAAGGCCAGAGGATCCAACAAGGCCAGGAGTTCAAGAACAGCCTGGACAATTCTCTCAAAAAAAAAAAAAAAAAAAAAAAAGAGAGAGAGAGAACTTTAAGCCATGCAATTAGAGAATGTGAAGATAATCTACCCAAGTAGATATTTATAAATAAACCTAACCTTCTCATTTTCCACATAACTAGTTTAGCATTATTTATTTGAAATCCACAATTGTAGTTTTCAACTCAGCAAAATCTCATATATACTGTGTATTTAGCACTATGTAATAAGAAAGCAAAAAATCAGGATCCTTCAAATATTACATACATAAAATTTATGAAACTAGGAGTTGCTACATTTCAATATAAACTCAAT
This sequence comes from Homo sapiens, assembly GCF_000001405.40. Lineage (NCBI taxonomy): Eukaryota > Metazoa > Chordata > Mammalia > Primates > Hominidae > Homo > Homo sapiens. The sequence goes on along the minus strand of NC_000006.12, from coordinate 110,854,789 downwards.
TAACGAATTTTTTTCCAGAGAATGTAAGAATTACAAACATTTGGCCGGGTGCGGTGGCTCACTCCTGTAATCCTAGCACTTTGGGAGGCCGAGGCTGGTGGATCACCTGAGGTCAGGAGTTCAAGACCAGCCTGGCCAACATGGTGAAATCCCATCTCTACAAAAATACAAAAATTAGCTGGGCATAATGGCAGGTGCCTATAATCCCAGTTACTTGGGAGGCTGAGGCAGGAGAATCGTTTGAACCCGGGAGGCAGAGGTTGCAGTGAGCCAAGATCGTACCACTGCACTCCAGCCTTGGCGACAGAATGAGACTCCGTTTCAAAAAAAAAAAGAAAGAAAGAAAAGAAAGGAGTGATTCTTTTATCCTTTGTACTCATTTGTTTTCCTTTTCATGCACCTTGCTGCCCTACATAAAAGTTAGTTGTAACTCATTTAAATTAAGGTCTCCAGTGTGAAGTGGTGTATTGCTTAACTGGACAGGGCTGTAACCTGAAGTGTAAGAAGGGGAGTGTCCCCATTTCCCAACACAGGTCTTTAGCAATAAAGGTGTGGTACCACCAGTGCTAAAGAATACTATTCTAGTTAAACGTGTTTGTGTTCTGCATCTTCCATTGTGCAGTACACTCTATTATTTATAAATTCTAATCCTTTAGTAAAGAAAAAAAGTAAGAAAGAAAAACAAAAACCACCACCCAAAACCAAAAGCCATCTACAGGCTTTGAAAATTCCTGGACATAAAGCATCAGTCACTGGATTTTCCTTCACCCCTGCCAAGTTCCACCGTCTCAGAACAGGCTTCCCAACAAGAGCTGGGAGAGCAGGGCAGGGAAATGTTGCTAAGTGACATAGGGTTTAGTCGTGCGATGGAGTATTAGAGGACACTTGACATTGAGCCTTGTGCTACTTCACAGCCATTCCACAATATAATGGAAGAGCTGCAATATTATGTAGATAATGGAGGATTGTAGACAGAGTGGCAAAATAGAGAATTCCTAGCTTCAACTGTTAGTTCTGAAAGGTCAGGTAGTTTAAGAATGATGTGTTTAGGCTGGGCGCAGTTGCTCACACCTGTAAGCTGAGCACTTTGGGAGGCTGAGGTGAGAGGATCGCTTGAGATGAGGAGTTCAAGACCAGCCTGGCCAACGTGGTGAAACCCTATCTCTACTAAAAATACAAAAATGGCCAGGTGCGGTGGCTCACGCCTGTAATCCCAGCCCTTTGGGAGGCCGAGGCAGGCGGATCATGAGGTCAAGAGATCCAGACCATTCTGGTCAACATGGTGAAACCCTGTCTCTACTAAAAAATACAAAAATTAGCTGGGCATGGTGGCTCGCGCCTGTAGTCCCAGCTACTCAGGAGGCTGAGGCAGGAGGGTCGCTTGAACCCGGGAAGTGGAGGTTGCAGTGAGCTGAGATCACGCTACTGCACTCCAGCCTGGGCAACAGACCGAGATTCCGTCTCAAAAAAAAAAAAACAAAAAACCCACAAACCCCAAAATTCGCTGAACATGGTAGTACACACCTGTAGTCTCAGCTATTCAGGAGGCTGACGCAGGAGAATTGCTCGAACCCTAGACGTGGAGGTTGCAGGGAGCCAAGATGACACCACTGCGCTCCAGCCGGAGTGACAGAGTGAGACTCTGTCTCAAAAAAAAAGAAAAAAAGAAAGAAAAGAAAAAATAGAAATGCTGTTGTATGCAGGCATACCTCAAATATATTGCAGAGTCAATTTCAGACCACTCCACAATAAAATGAATATTGCAATAAAGTGAGTCACACACACTAAAAAAAAAAAAAAAAAAAAAGTGCTTAATTAGCCAATGATGCAAGTTCAAAAAAAAGGGAAAGACTGATATGGCTGCTTATATCTCTAAAGTTTTCATGTTAGTTCCTTCCGCACCCCAGAATAATCTTAGGTTTAGAACTACTTAATTAACTAATTAATGAATTAAAATGTTTGTTCATTCAGAAAAATATTCATTGACTACCTATAAGGTAGAGTGTTGGGTCAAAGTATGAAAATTGACTCTTACGCTGATATTGTGAGGTTTGCATAAGAAGTTTGTTGTAAAAATGGAAAAGTATGGAGACCAAAGACAGCAATTCTTTGTATTGATTATTGTTTTATTTTATTTCTAAGACAAGGCAAGAGAATGTGCCTTTATTAGATATGACTATGGGTTCCAAAACTGATGTTTCCCAGTTGTTGAAGGAGGTGACCAGGAAGTCTTAACATGAATAGCTACATAATATTAAGAATTCATTATGGGCCAGGTGCAGTGGCTCACGCCTGTAATCCCAGCACTTTAAGAGGCTGAGATGGGTGGATCCTGAGGTCAGGAGTTCGAGAACAGCCTGGGCAACAAGGTGAAACCCTGTATCTACTAAAATACAAAAAATTAGCCGGACTTGGTGGCGTGTGCCTGTAGTTGTAGCTACTCGGGAGACTGAGGCAGGAGAATTGCTTGAACCCAGGAGGCAGAGGTTGCAGTGAGCCAAGATCGTGCCACTGCACTCCAGCCTGGGCGACAGAGAGAGACTCCTTCTCAAAAAAAAAAAAAAAAAAAAAAAAAAAAAAAAAAAAAAATTAGCCAGGCGTGGAGGTGCATGCCTATAGTCAGTAGGGAGGATCACCTGAGGCTGGGAGGTTGAGGATGCAGTGAGCCATGTTCCCACAACTGCACTCCAGCCTGGGTAACAAAGAGAGACTCTTTCTCAAAAAAAAAAAAAACAAAAAAATCTCGTTATGTTACAGAAGATTGCTAGAGTTCTGTTTTAAACCAAAGCTCTTGATTTTACTTTAAATAATTCAATTTATGCACATTTTAAAAAGCGTATTGTTAAGGTGAGCTGCACTTGTTACTTATTTTTTGCATATTCATTCACTATTCTGTGTCTAGGATATCCTTTATTTTTCTCCTGGCAAATAATGTGTCTAAGATAAATGAACAATGATCTTTATTAAGCACTTAATTTATACAAGCTGGGGTGATGTTAAACACTATGTGATTAGAACCAATTTTGAGGGCCAGGTGCAGTGGCTCACACTTGTAATCCCAGCATTTTGGGAGGCCAACGTGGGCAAATCGCTTGAGGTCAGGAGTTTGAGACCAGCCTGACCAACATGGAGAAACCCTGTCTCTACTAAAAATATAAAATTAGCTGGGCATGGTGGTGCATGCCTGTAATCCCAGCCACTCAGGAGGCTGAGTCAGGAGAATCGCTTGAACCCAGGAGGTGGAGGTTGCCGTGGGTGGAGATTGTGCCAATGGACTCCAGCCTGGGCGACAGAGTAACATTCCATATCAAAACGACAACAACAACAACAATGAAAACAACAACAAAAACAAACAAAAAACCCCACAACTTTTCAAAAAAGTACTTATGGCTTGGCATGGTGGCTCACACCTGTAATCCCAATATTTTGGGAGGTCAAGGCAGGGCGATTGCTTGAGCCCAAGAGTTCAAGACCTGCCTGGGCAACACAATGAGACCCCTTCTTTATTAAAAAATAAAAGAAAAGGCCGGGCGTGGTGGCTCATGCCTGTAATCTCAGCACTTTGGGAGGCCAAGGCAGATGGATCACCTGAGGTCAGGAGTTCAAGACCACCCTGGCCAACATGCTGAAACCTCGTCTCTACTAAAAAAATACAAAAATTAGCCGAGCATGGTGGCACATGCCTGTAGTCCCAGCTACTCGGGAAGCTGAGGCAGGAGAATTGCTTGAACCCGGGAGGTGGAGGTTGCAGTGAACCAAGATTGCACCACTGCACTCCAGCCTGGGCGACAGAGCTGGACTCCATCTCAAAAAATAAAATAAAATAACTTCTAAATATTATATAACCTTTTATTAGTTATAATGATCATATATTACCTCTGTATTTCAAAAATCATTTCTGAGTATTTAAATAATTAATCTCAAATAGAACTAGAACCAAGATGCCTTCTTTCCAAGTAATCACCACGCTCAGTCCTCAGTCTAGGCTTCAGTGAACTAATCAAGCAAATACTTAGAGCTACCTCCAGCTGCTCTGCTTTGAACATTAAACTCAGAATCTCTAGTCAAAGCCTTGTATTGGTAAAATTTGCCCAATTCAGTGTTACATTGCGTATTCCTTTAACACTTCAATGCATTCCCACAAATTTCCTAGGTTCCTATTAATAACAACTTGCAAGATTTTGCAATTATTTTGGTATGTAAAGCCTTATCTACTTGGAACACATATTTTAATTTTCTCCCCAAGGCACTCTGGGAGTGAACTGGTTTATGGAGGCAGGCAGGGATGGTTGGGGTGGGTCTTCAGGAGAACAGGCATCCTCTTGCAAGGTTACTGCCTTTGGAAAGGTTTAAACAGAGAAACCAGTTTTCTGAGACAGTGAAGGAGTTCTGTTTTCACCGGCAAGGGAGGGTCAAGGGAATTTGGGGGTATAAGATTCCCAGCTTCGCCTGAGTCCCCCCAAATATTCCCAACGTCTAAGAGTTTACCTCCTTCCCAATACCCTCATCTTAACATGAAAGACTTGATGAAGTTGTATGTTATGTTTTAATTCTATAATCTGCAAAATTAAATTTGGAGCTTTGTCTGTCAGGAAGTTGCAGGAAATCAGTTCTTTTTTTTAGTTTAATTTTATTGTAAATTAATGATTTATGGTTGTATATATGAAGAGATCGGCTCTTTTAACGTTATTGTGGAACTTCTCTGGGTCTCTATTCTTTGAACTGAGAGTTCAACTCCCTGTCATTTTCTTATTCTTTTTTTTTTTTTGACAGTGTTTTGCTCTGTCACCAGGCTAAAGTTCAGTGGCAAGATCACAGCTCACTGCAGCCTCAATCTCCCAGGCTCAAGAGATTCCCCGCCCCCCACCTCAGTTTCCCAAGTAGCTGGGACTACAGGTGCACCACCATGCCTGGCTAATATTTTAAATTTTTTGTAGAGATAGGGTCTTGCCATGTTGCTCAGGCTGGTCTTGAACTCACGGGCTCAAGCAATCTTCTTGCCTTGGCCTCCCAAAGTGCTAGGATTACAGGCGTTAGCCACTATGTTTGGCAACATTTTCTTATTCTTACTGAAATATTCTTCTATTCTCCAGTGCTCCTAGAAGAAATCATCTTGTCTTTTTGTTTGTTTGTTTTAGAAACAGTGTAAAGAGGTTTTTTTAAAAAAAATTGTGTAAATGTAACATTAGGCTAAATTATTTAAAGTCAATAAATCTTTATTCAAGGAATTCCATGTTGTGATTTGTTCCACTGTCCATCAAGGTGACTTTAGATCCTCTAAAGAGCTGGATTCAAAAGATTGATCTTCAAGTTAGCCCTTTTTAATGAAACTAATGCTAATTTTAATTCAGTTGTCCTGTCAGCCCATAATTCTTTTATTTTGGTTTCTGTCATCTTTTAATATGGATATACTGATGAAGACTTCAAAATTCACCAAGAATCTTTGGGATCTAATTTCTTCAGCCAATTTAAAGTCCTTTTTACTGTAGGTGGTGGATCTGCCTGGTTCTCAATTTGACACCCTCTCTTAACATGAATGAGTTCAAATCATATTTATTCCTAAGCGATCACACTCAAGAATAGTACAGATGTGTGGAATACGCCAATACCTTTAACTCCAGATACCATGTTCTCAAGATAAAAGCCTTTAAAACAAAAAGTCATTGTCTGTATCACGTCAACATGAAATTGGAATGCAAAATTAATACTGCTGAGGATTTCCCTCATATCCCATGCTGTTTAACTATCTCTTCTACAGTTCTAGAATCAATCATTTTTTATTAAGAGACAGGGTCTGTCTTTGTTACGCAGGCTGGAGTACAGTGGTGCCATCAAGGCTCAGTGCAGCCACCAACTCCTGGCTCAATCCTCTTGCCTTAGCCTCCCCTTCCTGAGTAGCTGCAACTACAGGTACATGCCCCAATATCCAGCTAATTTTTAAATTTTTGTGGAGATGAGGTGTTTGTTACGTTCTTGCCCAGGCTCGTCTTGAACTCCTGGCTTCAAGCAATACTCCCACTTTGGTGTGGAGATTGCAGGCTTTAGCCACTGTGCCTGGCCTGGGACCAACCTTTATGGCTATCAATACTCCATCAGTTAACTGTCTCAGGTATCATAGTATCCATTCTGATATGTATCAAAACTCATACTGAACAATGAGTTCTGGGTTGCAAAAGAAGATTTATTTTTTGCACCTTTCCTAAAGTCTTTGTCCACAAGTTAAACAAAAACATACATAAGTGCAGTTTTGTTGTTGTTGTTGTTTTTTGCTAACACGGAGTCTCACTCTGTCACCCAAGCTGGAGTGCAGTGGCATCATAGCTCACTGCAACCTCCGCCTCCTAGGTTCAACTGATTCTCCTGCCTCAGCCTTCCGAATAGCTGGGATTACAGGTGCTTGCCATCACACATGGCTAATTTTTGTATTTTTAGTAGAGACAGTGTTTCACCATGTTGGCCAGGCTGGTCTCAAACCCCTGACCTCAAGTGACTCGCCTGCCTCAGCCTCCCAAAGTGCTGGGATTATAGGCATGAGCCACCGAGCCCAGCTGAAATCATCTTGTCTTTGGCTATCTTTATTATCACATTAGACAAGTTCTTGAATTCTCAAAGCCTTGTCCTTTTCAAGCTCTTCATTCCAAACAAACACAGCTCATATTTTCAGGAATCATAATGTCATCATCCCATGATGTAATGGTTACTTGTGTTGACTTCACAAGGCTATAGTACCCAGTTAATCAAAAACTAATTTAGGTGTGGCTAGAAGGAAATTTGCTGGCCGGGTGCGGTGGCTCATGCCTGTAATCCCAGCACTTTGGGAGGCTGAGGCAGGCGGATCACAAGGTCAGGAGTTTGAGGCCAGCCTGGCCAACATGGTGAAACCCTGTCTCTACTAAAAAAAAATACAAAAATTAGCTGGGCATGGTGGTGTGCACCTGTAATCCCAGCTACTCAGGAGGCTAAGGCAGGAGAATTGCTCGAGCCGGGGAGGTGGAGGTTGCAGTGAGCCAAGATTGTGCCACTGCACTCCAGCCTAGGTGACAGAGCAAGACTTCATCTCAAAAAAACAAAAAACAAAAAACAAAAAACAAAAACAAAGGAAATTCGCTGAAGGAATTTTGTAGATAGGATAAGCATCTACAGTTGACTTTAAGTAAAGGAGATTATCATCCATTAATTATCTGGGTGGACCTTATTCAATCAGTTAAATAGCCTAAGAGCAAAATGGAAGTTTCCCTAAGAAAGAAGAAATTCTTTTTTTTTTTGAGACGGAGTCTCGCTCTGTCACCCAGGCTGGAGTGCAGTGGCGCGATCTCGGCTCACTGCAAGCTCCGTCTCCCGGGTTCACGCCATTCTCCTGCCTCAGCCTCCCGAGTAGCTGAGACTACAGGCACCCACCACCATGCCCGGCTAATTTTTTCTATTTTTAGTAGAGACGGGGTTTCACCGTGTTAGCCAGGATGGTCTCAATCTCCTGACCTTGTGATCCGCCTGCCTCGGCCTCCCAAAGTGCTGGGATTACAGGCGTGAGCCACTGTGCCCGGTCTTTAGAAAGAAGAAATTCTAACCTTGGGCTACAGTTTTAGCTTCTGCCTGAGTTTCCAGCCTAAGAGCCTGCCCAAGATTTCAGACTTGCTTAGCCAGCCCCCACAATTATGAAAGGTAACAAACAATTCCTTGCAATAAATTTATAAATTTATACACACACACACACACACACACACACCACACACACACACACACACACTCTCCTAGTTCTTTTTCTGGTAGAATCCTAATTGATATGCATGCCATGCATTCAGAGATAGCTACATAATTTGCTTGGTGCATTGCAAAGTGAAAAATGTAAGGACCTTGTATAAAAAGCAGAAAAAAATGCAATTAAGATACTAAAATATAAAGCATTGTTCTTTTTTTTTTGAGACAGAGTCTTGCTCTGTTGCCCAGGCTGGAGTGCAGTGGCGCGATCTCAGCTCACTGTGACCTCTGCCTACTGAGTTCAAGCAATCCTCCTGCCTCAGCCTCCCAAGTAGCTGGGACTACAGGCACACGCCACCACACCCACCTAGTTTTTGTATTTTTAGTAGAGACGAGCTTTCACCATTTTGGCCTGGCTGGTCTTGAACTCCTGACCTTGTGATCCACCTGCCTCAGGCTCCCAAAGTGCTGGGATTACAGGTGTGAGCCACCACCTGCCACACCAAGCCAACTTGAGATAATTTTTCTAAAAAGATTTAACTGTACATTTACATCATTTCATGTAAGTCTGAATTTAATCGTAAATGTTAATTTATACAATGGCATTTAATGTTTCCTCTGATAGTTTCTGTAACTTGTAGATGTCAGTCATATAAGAAATTAAAAGTGGCTTCATGTATATAATTCAGGATAGCTATTTATGCATTCTACTGTATATTCAATTAAAAGGAAAAAATTAATTTTAGATTTGTCTTCCTCATTAATGTTTTTTTCACCTGAGTTCCACATGAAAAGTGTTCTTTTCTGTTAAATGTGACAATCTTTAAATTCAGTTTTTGTTGTTGTTGTTGTTGTTTGAGACAGTCACACTGTCACCCAGGCTGGAGTGCAGTGGCGCGATCTCAGCTCACTGAAACCTCTGCCTCCTAGGTTCAAGTGATTCTCCTACCTCAGCCTCCCAAGTAGCTGGGATTACATGCGTGCACCACCACACCGGCTAATTTTTGTATTTTTAGTAGAGACGGGGTTTCACCATGTTGGCCAGGCTGGTCTCGAACATCTGACCTTGTGATCCACCCTCCTTGGCCTCCCAAAGTGCTGGGATTACAGGCGTGAGCCATCACGCCCGGCCTAAAATCTGTTTTTATTTGTATGCCTGTGAATATTTTCTTTGAAATGTTGCAGCAGGTTTCAAAACTGGTGTATTAGTCAAGGTTCTCTATAGGGACAGAACTAATAGGATAAATGTATATATGAATAGGAGTTTATTAAGGAGTATTGACTCACACGATCACAAGGCGAAGTCCCACAGTAGGCTGTCTGCAAGCTGAGGAGCAAAGAAGCCCATCCGAGTCCCAAAACCTGAAAAGTATGGAAGCCGACAGTGCAGCCTTCTGTCTCTGGCCTAAGGCCTGAGAACCCCTGGCAAATCGCTGGTATAAGTCCAAGAGCTTAAATAGAGAAAATTATTAGGAGTTTAATGACCCAACAGCAGGGTATTAAACTCAGTATGAGTCCCTTTTGAGACTAAGGCCTGGCCTGTATGCCCATGAAGCCAGCCCTGCATGAATTGCTAATATACTCATTTCACCATGTTTATGCTATGTTAGGTAAGCAACTCAATCTCCAAATTCCCTTTTTGATAGTCTGCTTACTATGTAATTGAGTCATGGGAGCAGATCTCTCATGAATGGTCTAGCACCATTCCCTTAGTGATAGGCAAGTTCTGGTTGTTTAAACGTCTGTGGCACCGGGCCAGGTGTGGTGGCTCATGTCTGTAATCCCAACACTTTGAGAAGCCAAGACAGGTGGGTCGGTTGAGGTCAGGAGTTGGAGACCAGCCTGGCCAACATGGTGAAACCCCGTCTCTACTAAAAATACAAAAATTAGCCGGGCGTGGTGGCTCACGCCTGTAATCTCAGCTACTTGGGAGGCTGAGGCAGGAGATCTCTTGAACCTGGGAGGCAGAAGTTGCAGTGAGCTGAGATCATGCCATTGCACTCCAGCCTGGGCGACAGAGTGAGACACCATATCAAAAAAAAAAAAAAAAAAAGGTCTGTGGCACCTCCCTCCTCACTGTCTCGTGCTTGCGCTTGCTTTCTCTCTCTCTCTCTCCATGTGATTTGCTGGCTTCCCATTTCACCTTCTGTGATGATTAGAAGCTTCGTGAGGCTCACCAGAAGCAGATGCAGGCACCACATTTCTTGTACTGTCTGCAGAACCTTGAGACAATGAAACATCTTTTCTTTATAAATTACCCAGCCTCAGGTATTTCTTTTTTCTTTCTTTCTTTCTTTCTTTTTTTTTTCTGAAATGCAGTTTTGCTCTTGTTGCCCAGGGTGGAGTGCAATGGTGTGATCTTGGCCTACTGCAACCTCTGCCTCCCGGGTTCAAGCCATTCTCCTGCCTCAGCCTCCTGAGTAGGTGGGATTACAGGCGCCTGCCACCACACCCGGCTAATTTTTTGTGTTTTTAGTAGAGATGGGGTTTCACCGTGTTAGCCACGATGGTCTCGATCTCCTGACCTCGTGATCCGCCCACCTCAGCCTCCCAAAGTGCTGGGATTACAGGCGTGAGCCACCACACCCAGCCCAGAAGAAGCCTTCATCTAGATATCATAAAAATACTAAACTTGGCCAGGCAAGGCGGCTCATGCCTATAATCCCAGCACTTTAGGAGGCCAAGGCGGGAGGATCACCTGAGGTCAGGAGTTTGAGACCAGCGAGACCAACATGACAAAACCCCGTCTCTACTAAAAATACAAAAACTAGCCAGGCATTGTGGCACATGCCTGTAATCCCAGCTACTCAGTCAAAAAAAAAAAAAGATTATAATTCTCTTTCTTTCTTTCTTTCTTTTTTTTTGAAGTAGGGACAGGATCTTGCTATGTTGGCTACACTGGTCTCAACCTCCTGGGCTCAAGTGATCCAACTTGGCCTCCTAAAGTGCTGGGATTACAGGCGTGAGCCACTGCACCTGGGATTCTTGTATAGGTGGATTACTGCTTATAGGAGGCAGGATAATGAATCCTTAAACATATCAATGTCCTAATCTTCAGAATCTGTAAATGTTAGGTTACATAGCTAAGGAGGATTTAGATTGCAGATGGAACTAAGAATGCTAATCAGCTGATTTTAGGGAGATTATCCTAGATTATCTGGGGAGGCCCAATATAATCCCAAAGGTCCTTAAAAGTGGAAAAGGGGCCGAGCTCCGTGGCTCACACCTGTAATCGCAACACTTTGGGAGGCCTAGGCAGGCAGATCGCTTGAGCTCATGAGTTTGAGACCAGCATGGCAACATGGCAAGACCCCACCGGTACAAAAAAAACTACAAAAATTAGCCAGGTGTGGTGGTGCACGCCTGTAGTCTGCTACTCAGGAAGCTGAGGTGGAAGGATCCACCTGAGCCCAGTAGGTGGAGGCTACAGTGAGCCAAGATGGCGCCACTGCACTCCAGCCTGGGTAATAGTGAGACCCTGTCTCAAAATAAATGAATAAATAAATATATTAAACATATTTATTTTATATTCTGTATCTAAAATTCTAGCATCTGAAGTTTTTGAGGCTGCTTCCAACTCATAGTACTTTATTTTCTTGTGTGTTTTTTGACTTTTTTTTTTTTTTCAAGATGGAGTTTCACTCTTATCGCCCAGGCTGGAGTGCAGTGGGGCCATCTCAGCTCACTACAACCTCTGCCTCCTCGGTTCTAGCGATTCTCCTGCCTCAGCCTCCCGTGTAGCTGGGATTATAGGCCTGCACCACTGCGCCCAGCTAATTTTTTTGTATTTTTAGTAGAGGTGGGTTTCTCCATGTTGGCCAGGCTAGTCTCCAACTTCTGACCTCAGGGGATCCGCCCGCCCAGGCCTTCCAAAGTGCTGCGATTTCAGGCGTGAACCACCATACCCCAGCCATTTTTTGACTTTTGACTAAAAGCATATGTTTTTTAGACTTTTTTTTGAGAGGGAGTCTCGCTTTGTCGCCCAGGCTGGAGTGCAGTGGCCCGATCTCGGCTCACTGCAACCTCTACCTCCCAGGTACAAGCAATTCTCCTGCCTCAGCCTCCCGAGTAGCTGGGACTACAGGTGCCCACCACCATGCCCGGCTAATTTTTGTATTTTTAGTAGAGACGGGGTTTCATGATATTGTCCAGGCTGGTCTCGAACTCCTGACCTTGTGATCCATCCCCCTCGGCCTCCCAAATTGCTGGGATTACAGGTGTGAACCACCACACCTGGTGGTTTTTTGACTTTTGACTAAAAGTTTTGGTTCAATATCTGTGGGAATTGTTTGAGGTCTAGGTTGAAGGGTGTTCTTCCAGAGAGGATTTTCTTTTCCTTATACTAGCTGTCTAGGGCACTACCAACCTAAGACCAACTTAATTTTCATCATAAAGTGTTTGGGACCACATAGACATTAAAAACTATGAAGGGTCTGAGATTCTACTCTGCCATGGTTAGCCTGCCACAGTTGCTTGAATGTTGGCAGAAAACGACTACTACTACTATTACTGCTAAGCTACTCTTTGGTCAGAGACAAATGACAGTTTATTACTCAAAGCAATAGCAGTAGTCAGAGTGTCAGCATTTGTGTTGGTTCTCCAAGTCCCAAACACAAAGTGGGGCAGGTGACATCTGTATATGCAGAGGGTTGTGTTATAGGAAAGGATCCCCAAATTTAGAGAACAAGAATGTTTTATAATGGACATTAAGCCTGCTGCCTTTTTCTCCCCAGCATAGATAGTCATTATCCCTGTCTTCCAATGCTGTAAGCATATCTGCCCCCTGGTCTGGAGGGATATACCATCTTTATCTTCCAAGCCTGCTTGCTATACAACTTGGTAAAAACATAGTGTGGAACAAAGGCAGTTAGTACTGCTGCTCACCAGATGGGCAGAAATGTGAGAGACTCATGAACACTCTCTTGTCTCCTATCAATAGGTAGTTTGAGTCTGGGCTATGAACCCAGGCTTGTATTTAAGCAAATGTTTTGCCGGGCTAGATGGCTCATGCATATAATCCCAGCACTTTGGGAGGCTGAGGCGGGAGGATCACTTGAGGTTAGAATTTCGAGACCAGCCTGGCCAACATGGTGAAAACCCATCTCTACTACAAATGCAAAAATTAGCCAGGCGTGGTGGTGCACACCTGTAGTCCCAGCTACCTGGGAGGCCGAGGCAGGAGAATTGCTCAATCCCAGGAGGCAGAGGTTGCAATGAGTTGAGATCATGCCACTGCACTCCAGCCTGGGGAACAGAGTGAGTCTCCATCTAAAAAATAAATAAATAAATAAATAAATAAAATAAAACAAATGTTTCATGTATTCTATCCAGCATTTTAATTTTCCTTTTTTTTTTTTTTAATGGGGGCATGGGAAGTTTATTCTTTGTATCTAACACACCTGAATAAAGGAGGGAAGCAATTTTTATCCCTTACGCAGCTTGTCCCTGCTACTGTGTCTTGCCTCCATTGGCTGGAGCCAGACCGCACAATCTAAACTTAACTCGACTGGCCAGAAATTTAAAATTTTCTTAAATAGGTAGAGGCAATGGAGAACAAAGGAAAAGAGGAAGTTGCTTACGAAAAGATTTAGAAAAGTAATAAAAATTCCCAAATAAGGAAGGGGCATAGGCTGCGAGCTGGGACATGCCCGTGAGCAAGCCCAGCACAGACATCTTGGTTAAAGTACAAGGACATTGAATGTACTTATTCCCTTATATCTAACAGCTACATAGGTTAGGGCTTAACAAAGAATTATTAGCACAAAGCAAGGAGGCTTGAAGGAAGTTAGTCTTTAAAAGAAACTATCATTTATAACACTTAAGATTTATTATTTAACAAGAAGGGAAACTTTGAAGAGGAACTTTTTACTTTCTATAGTGGAGAAACCCCATCTCTACTAAAAATACAAAATTAGCTAGGCATGGTGGCAGATGCCTGTAATCCCAGCTACTTGGGAGGCTAAGGTAGGAGAATCGCTTGAACCCAGGAGGTGGAGGTTGCGGTGAGCTGAGATCGTGCCATTGCACTCCAGCCTGGGCAATAAGAGTGAAACTCTGTCTCAAAAAATAAAAAAGTAGGATTCTTATTTTGCAGGATTGTTAAGGGAATAAAAGGAAACATTATAAAAGAGTGCCTATGACAGTGCCTGTGGTATAATGATGTATAATAGATATTGGTTTTTATCCCACAGTCCCTGGTTCATAACTCCCATATTCCTTGTTATAGTTTTTGTTATAATGCTGAGTGTGTTGGGCAGGCCTCAGGAAATGGAATCTCTCTGCCCTCCTGCCCTCCTTTCACTTGCCCCCTGAAGTGGGACTCTAATCTTCCCCCACCCCCCCAACCCTTTCTGACTGTGGGTCTTAAGACCCTCACCAGAGAGGGCCCTGCTCTATACCCTGGGAGAGTGAATACTGACATCATGAATTTTCCATAAAAACCCGAGAGGACTGGTTTCCTAGAGCTTCCCAGAGCTGAACTCCTGAATGTTCCTGAAGGGTGGCAGGCCTAGGGTGAACATGGAAGCTCTGAGCCCCTTCCCCCACACCTCGCCCTATGCATCTCTTCATCTGTATCTTTTGGAATATCCTATATTTTATAATAAACTGGTAAACGTAAGTGTTCTGTGAGCTGCTCCAGCAAATTCATTGAACCCAAAGAGTGGGTTGTTGGAACCCCACCTTGAAGCCAGTCGATCAGAAGTTCCAAAGGCCTGGACTTGGGACTGGTTTGTGAAGGGGGTGGTGGTCTTGGGGACTGAGCCCCCAACCCCTGGGATCTGACACTATCTCCAGGTAGACAGTGTCGGAATTGAATTGGAGGACACCCAACTGGTTAATAAAATAAAATTGCCAAGAAAAAAGCAAATGTAACTCTGGAACTATGAACAACTTAGAGAATCCTGAGAACGGCCAGGTCGGTGGCTCACACCTGTAATCCCAGCTACTCAGGAGGCTGAGGCAGGAGATCACTTGAACCCAGGAGGTGGAGGTTGCAGTGAGCCGAGATCGCACCATTGCACTTCAGACTGGATAACAAGAGGGAAACTCCATCTCAAAAAAAAAAAAAAAAAAAAAAGAGAGAGAATCCTGAGAACTTACTTCCCGTGTATAACAGCCTTATATGGGGGTGATATTAATTAATCCCAAAGCAGGCACATTTTTATGGAAATGTCCCAGTTAACTGAAAAACCTCATTTCCCAGCCATGTTGGCTAAGTACATTCTTTTCCGAACCTGATAGCCTCCTTGATAAAGAACAAAAGGTTGAACAGCCCTCAGCATTTATTCAGGTGGCTCACAATAGCCTAAGCTCCAATTATAATTGTCTTCCTGCATTTCAGCCACTCTGGCAGCATGGTAGATTAGATACAAGGAATAAACTTCCCATGCCCCCACTAAAAAAAAGGAAAATTAAAATACTGGATAGAATACATAAAACATTTGTTTATTTTATTTATTTATTTATTTTTTAGATTGAGGCTCACTCTGTTCCCCAGGCTGGAGTGCAGTGGCATGATCTCGACTGACTGCAACCTCTGCCTCCTGGGATTGAGCGATTCTCCTGCCTCGGCCTCCCAGGTAGCTGGGACTACAGGTTCACACCACTACACCTGGCTAATTTTTGCATTTGTAGTAGAGACAGGTTTTCACCATGCTTAGTTTATGGGGAAAAGCACCTACACCTTTGGTCAGAAACGTGTGTTATTGTGGTATGAGAGTAAAGAAAAAACATGGATTGAAGGTTTTTCTTAAGCAATGCCTATCACATAGTAGGTAGGCAATAAATGTTAGTTGACTTTCTTTTCCCTTTTCACTCCTTGCCTAGAGAGAATAACTTTTTTTCCTATCATTCAGTGTGTAGAAAACAGTGTTTTATAAATCCATGAGAAATGTCAGATATTAACATGGTTAACATTTGCACATGAATAGAAAAGATACAAATCATAAGTTTCCTTGAAGGATGAAACACAGTTTATAATACTAGAGATATACAAAAAAAGTTTAAATTAAAACAGAAGTTAGGGGCCAGGCGCGGTGGCTCATGCCTGTAATCCCAGCACTTTGGGAGGCTGAGGCTCGTGGATCACCCGAGGTCAAGAATTTGAGACCAGCCTGGCCGACATGCTGAAACCCCATCTCTACTAAAATACAAAATTATCTGGCTGTGGTGGCAAGCGCCTATAATCCCAGCTACTTGGGAGGCTGAGGCAGGAGAATCCCTTGAACCCAGTAGACGGAGGTTTTGCTGTTTCACTCAGGCTGGAGTGCAATGATGCGACCTCAGCTCACTGCAACCTCAGCCCTCCAGGTTTAAGCGATTCTCCTGCCTCAGCCTCTCGAGTTGCTCGGATTACATGCACCTGCCACCATGCCAGACCAATTTTTGTATTTTCAGTAGAGTCAGGGTTTCACCATGTTGGCCAGGGTGGTCTGAAACTCCTGACCTCAGGTGACCCACCCACCTCGGCCTCCCAAAGTGCCAGGATTACAGGCGTGACCCACTGCTCCCCGCTGGAAAGTAGTTGTTAACATAATAAAAATACAACTTTTAAGAGGTCCCTGGTGCTTCATACTAGCAGACCTAATATAGATGGAAAAGAGGTTGATTTGTTTTCTTCTTCTTTCATTGCTAAAACCCAGAGTTTGATAAGCTCTATGGAAGTGGATTATCTCTAATTCTTAAAAACTTTTGGTTTTTTTTTTGAGATGGAGTCTCACTCTTGCCCAAGCTGGAATGCAGTGGCACGATCTCAGCTCACTGCAACCTCTACCTCCTGGGTTCAAGCGATTCTCCTGCTTCAGCCTCCCGAGTAGCTGGGACTATAGGCACATGCCACCACACCCGGCTAATTTTTGTACTTTTAGTAGAGGCAGGGTTTCACCATGTTGGCCAGGCTGGTCTCGAACTCCTGACCTCATGTAATCCACCCGCCTCGGCCTCCCAAAGTGCTAGGATTACAGGTGTTAGCCACTGTGCCTGGCCAGAAAACTTTCATGTATCAGAGGATTTTTTTTTTTTTTTTTTTGAGACGGAGTCTCACTCTTGTTGCCCAGGTTTGGAGTGCAATGATACAATCTCTGCTCACTGCCACCTCTGCCTCCCAGGTTCAAGTTATTCTCCTGCCTCAGCCTCCTGAGTAGCTGGGATTACTGGTGTGTGCCACCACACCTAGCTAACTTTGTAGTTTTAGTAGAGACGGGGCTTCACCTTGTTGGTCAGGCTGGTCTTGAACTCCTGACCTCAAGTGATCTACCCACCTCTGCCTCCCAAAGTGCTGGGATTAGAGGTGTGAGCCACCGCCCCTAACCCAGAGGAATATATATATATATATATATATATATATTTTTTTTTTTTTTTTTTTTTTTTTTTTTTTTTCTGAGATGGAGTTTCGCTCTTGTCACCACGGCTGGAGTGCAATGTCACACACTTGGCTCACTGCAACCTCCGCCTCCTGAGTTCAAGTGATTTTCCTGCCTCAGACTCCCGAATAGCTGGGATTACAGGCACCTGCCATCACACTTGGCTAATTTTTGTACTTTTAATAGAGACAGGGTTTCACCATGTTGGCCAGGCTGGTCTTGAACTCCTGACCTCAGGTGATCCATCTGCCTCGGCCTCCCAAAGTACTGGGATTACAGGCATGAGCCACCGTGTCCATCCAAGAATATTTTATGTATCAATTATGAACCTGGTAAAACTTCTGCCAGAATTATTGTAACCTGTATAGAAAGCATGTAGACAACTGAAAGAAAATACTTTTCCTTTTTTTTTTTTTTTTAGTTTTAAATAGAGATGGGACTCTATGTTGCCCAGACTGATCTCGATCTCCTGGGCTCAAGTCATCCTCCCGCCTAGACCTCCCAAAGTGCTAGGATGACAGGTGTGAGTCTTTTTTTTTTTTTTTTTTTTTTTTTTTGAGACGCTCTGTTTCTCAGACTGTACTGCAGTGGTGGTATCAGACTGTAGTGCAGTGGTGGTATCACAGCTCACTGCAGCATCAAACTCCTGGGCTCAGGCAATCCTCTCATCTCAGCCTCTCAAGTAGTTAGGACTACAGGCACTTGCCACCACACCTGGCTAATTTTTTAGAAAAAATTTGTAGAGACAAGGTCTCATTATGTTGCCCAGGTTGGTCTCGAACTCTTGACCTCCAGCCATGTTCCCTTCTCAGCCTCTCAAAACATTGGGATTACAGGTGTGAGTCAAGGTGCCTAGCCTGAAAACATTGTTTCATATCTATCAACAGAGACCAACTCTTCACCAGCCTATAAATAATCTCAACTCGCTATTCCCACTAGGTTCATTTCCAGTAAAATAAATAAATACAAGTACATTAAAAAACCTAACAAAACAAACAACCTTGGTCAGGACAGAGAAAAGTACAAAAAGGTTTTCTTAACTAAAAACAAAAACAAAAACAAAAAACAAATAAACAAAACAAGCCAATTGTGTCTTACTTATGTTTTATTAAGATTTTAGAAAGAAAATATTAGCATAGAAGTTTCCTGTGAATTTCCTAAGAGCTTGAAACAAAAATAAATGATCAGAAATGTTTGGGAAATACTCTAAATGAAAATATTTTGTCAAATTTTTTATATTCCAGTATTTAGTGACTCTGTTATCTATATACTGTTGTGTAGTATTTTTTTTAACTTCACAATATAAATGAACATCTTTTTCCATCAACACAAACTAGATCTACAACATTCTGTTACATGGCTCCAGTGTAGCCCACTGAAAGGTTATATTATTATTTATTTATTTCTATTTTTTATGATAAAAACAGTCATAGCCAACATCATACATAAATTTTTTTAACACCTCCAAAGATGAGCATTGATTTTTTGTTGTTGTTCATGTATCTTTGCACACTTGTCTAATTACTTTCTTAAGACTTCTCAAAGTGGAACTGTTAGGTCAAAAGGGATATTTTTGTATTCCTATTGCCAGATTGCCTTCAGGAAAGATTATATAGGTTTATCTTCCCTTTGAGAATATATAACATTGTTCAATTTCCCAATCTTTAATGAAAACCGAGCTAGCTTCAGTGATTTTTTTTTTTTTTTTTTTTTTTTTGAGTCAAGGTCTTGGTCTGTTGCCCAGGCTGGAGTGCAGTGGCGCAATCACGGCTCCCTGCAGCCTCAGCCTTTCTGGGCTCAAGTGATCCTCCTGCCTCAGCCTCCCAAGTAGCTGGGACTGATTTTTTTTGGGGGGTGGGGTGGGGGGATGGAGTCTTGCTCTTGTTGCCCAGGCTGAAGTACAGTGGGATGATCTCGGCTCACTGCAACCTCTGCCTCCTGGGTTCAAGCGATTCTCCTGCCTCAGCCTCTTGAGTAGCTGGGATTACAGGTGCCTGCCACCATGCCCAGCTAATTTTTGTACTTTAATAGAGACATAATTTCACCATGTTGGCCAGGCTGGTCTCGAACTCCTGACCTCAGGTGATCTGCCCGCCTTGGCCTCCCAAAGTGCTGGGATTACAGGCGTGAACCACTGCGCCCGGCCTGATTTTTTAAATAATAGAATTTGCCAAGATTTGGAAGATCTGCATGACTCAGTGAAACACAATATTTTCCAATGACAAATGTCTGATGTCTGATGCTACAAATTAAGAAAAAGATTCATTCAAAGTGTAGGATAGACCAACGGATTTTAAAGTAACTAAATATAAAAACTTCATTACTATAGTTTCAGATTCCACATTATAACTAACTTTTGGGAAACACAGCACTTGTTGAGTTTTTATGTAGTATCATATAATAGTATCCACAGGCCGGGTGCGGTGGCTCATGCCTGTAATCCCAGCACTTTGGGAGGCTGAGGCGGGCGGATCACGAGGTCAGGAGATTGAGACCATCCTGGCTAATACGGTGAAACCCCGTCTCTACTAAAAATACAAAAAATTAGCCGGGCGTGGTGGCGGGCGCCTGTAGTCCCAGCTACTTGGGAGGCTGAGGCAGGAGAATGGTGTGAACCCAGGAGGCAGAACTTGCAGTGAGCCAAGATCGTGCCACTGCACTCCAGCCTGGGCGACAGAGTGAGACTCTGTCTCAAAAAAAAAAAAAAATAGTATCCGCATAATTATCTGAAAAGGCTATTAAAATGCCCTTCCCTTTTCTAACTATAGATTTTTTTTTTTTTTGGATGGAGTCTCTCTCTGTCACCAGGCTGGAGTGCAGTGGGGCGATCTTGGCTCACTGCAACCTCCACCTCCTGGGTTGAAGTGATTCTCCTGCCTCAGCCTCCCAAGTAGCTGGGATTACAGGCATGCACCACCACACCCAGCTAATTTTTGTATTAGCTGGGGTTTCACCACGTTGGCCAGGATGGTCTTGATCTCTTGACCTTGTGATCTGCCCTCCTCGGCTTCCCAAAGTGCTGGGATTACAGACGTGAGCCACAGTGCCTGGCCGCCAGATTTTTTTTTGGTGGATGCAGGGATCTCACTATGTTGCCCAAACTGATCTTGAACTCCTGAGCTCAAGCAATCTTCCTGCCTTGGCCTTCCAAAGTGCTGGGAGTATAGGCATAAGCCCCCACACTCAGTGAGATTTAAAAAAATGTATACTTAACCAAAACAACATATTGCAATAGAATGACTGCAGAAGCAGATAAGGAAATCTACCTGTAGTCTATACATTTGATATAGAGATGTAAAACAATGACACATTTCTCACTATTTTTATTTCTGTTTTGGAAAGCACAATTATTTTCATATAAACATGCTAGAATATTATTATTATTTTTTAGGAGATGAGGTTTTACTCTGTCACTCAGGCTGGAGTGCAGTGGCGTGATCATAGTTCACTGCAGCCTGGGACTCCGGGGCACAAGCGATCCTCCCACTTCAGCCTCCCAAAGTGCTGAGATTATAGGCATGAGTTATCATGTATGGCCTTGTTATTTCTGAATAATTAATAATTAACAAAAAAATTATCAACCAGCCTAGGCAACAAAGTGAGACTTCGTCTCTACAAAAAAACCAGACAAATTGGCTGGGCATGATGGCTGGCGCCTGTGGTCCCAGCTACACAGGAGGATTACTTGAGCCCGGGAAGTCCAGGCTGCAGTAAGCCATGTTTGCATCACTGCACTCCAGCCTGGGTGACAGTCTAAAAAAAAAAAATTGTTTTTCCTCATACACGAAATACTGATAACTATAAACCACATAAGCAAGAGTTCTTACGTTCCACAAGTCTTTGATATTATATTTTTATTTATTATCGTTATTTCTTTTCATAGAGACAGGATCTCACTATGTTGCCCAGGCTGGTCTCGAACTCCTGAGCTCAAACAATCCTCCTCCCTCAGCCTCCCAAAGTGCTGGGATTATAGGCGTGAGCCTCTGTGCCCTGCCTTTATTCTTCAGCTTTTAAGAGGGTAAAGAAAAGCAAAGGCCAAAGAGTTTAAGAGGAGTTAGTCTACTATGTGAGTTTTGTTTTAAAAAACAACTTTAATTAATCAAATTAATTTTTATAAAAGTATATAGGTATATATGCTGAGTTATACTTATAGAGAAATAAATAATAAAGTCACTGAGAAGATTTTAAACTAAACTATTCCTGAGAATATTTAATAGGCACATTGCAATTCTTTCTCCAGACTTACTGATCATGGCTCCTAGTTTCCATTTCAGTTTAACTGGCTCTTGGAATTAGTCTACCTGAAGTGTTCTTTTTTTCCCCCTGGTACATACAATCATTTTTGTTTAATTTTTCTGGATGTATTTGCATCATCAAAACTAGTGCTATATCCCAATTCTATCACCACATTCTCTTGGCCATTGTAGAAGGTAAATCAGAGCAGGAAAATACTCTGGACAACTGAAGCATTCTTTTATTTCACAAATTATGAATGTCTATGGAGTACTGTAAACTGCTAGGCACTATGTATTTCTTGGTGAATGAAATAGACATAGCCTTTGCCTTTATACTGTGATTCTTGCTTCTGGTTAAAAATAGGTGGATCAGCCGGGCACGGTGGCTCACGCCTATAATCCCAGCACTTTGGGAGGACGAGGCAGGTGGATCACCTGAGGCCAGGAGTTTGAGACCAGCCTGGCCAACATGGCGAAACCCCATCTCTACTGAAAATACAAAAATTGGCCAGGCGTGGTGGTGGGCGCCTGTAATCCCAGCTACTTTGGAGGCTGAGGCAGGAGAATCACTTGAACCTGGGAGGCAGAAGTTGCAGTGAGCCGACATCGTGCCACTGCTCTCCAGCCTGGGTGACAGAGTGAATCTCTGTCTCAAAAACAAAACAAAACCTAAAAAACAAAAAGTGGATGGAACAAACATTTCCTGTGTTTCTCAAGGTATCACTGAAATAGATTCAGAAGTACAAAGAGGGGTAATCTAAGAGTGAGAACACTAGAGGATGAGCTTTTAAAAATTACTATTCTGAGTGGTGATAAGTTAAAATTTAAAAAGTAAATAAAAATAAAGACAAATTATGTCTATAACACTGCTGATAGGTTTGTAGTAGCGTATAGGCAGCTATAGGTCTTGTCTACAAGGTTGGAGAGATGCAGGTGGTTTGTCACAGGCCTCTGAGAAGTTCTGGGGCTATCAGAGTTGGCACAGGAGGGAGTGCAGGAATAGACTTCAGAGTTGGGACATCAATTGAAGAATTGCATGTAGGCCAGGTGTGGTGGCTCATGCCTGTTATCTCAGCACAATGGGAGGCTAAGGTGGGAGGATTACTTGAGTCCAGGAGTTTGAGACCAGCTTTGGAAACATAGTGAGACTTCATCTCTACAAAAAATTAAAAAATTAGCCAGGCATGGGCTGGGCACGGTGGCTCATGCCTGTAATCCCAGCACTTTGGGGGGCTAAAGCAGGTGGATCATGCGGTCAGGAGTTCAAGACCACCCTGGCCAATATGGTAAAACCCTGTCTCTACTAAAAATACAAAAAAATTAGCCAGGTGTGGTGGCATGCGCCTGTAGTTCAGGAGGCTGAGGCAGAAGAATCGCTTGAACCTGGGGAGGCGGAGGTTGCAGTGAGCCGAGATCCTGCCACTGCACTCCAGCCTGGGCGACAGAGAGAAACTCCATCTCAAAAAAAAAAAAAAAAAAAATTAGCCAGGCATAGTGGCTTGCACCTGTAGTCCCAGCTACTTGGGAGGCTGAGGTGGGAGGATCGCTTGAGCCTGGGAGTTTGAGGTTGCAGTCAGCTGTGATAATGCCATTGCACTTCAGCCTGGGTGACAAACTGTGACCCTGTCTAAAAAAAAATAAATAAATTAAAAAAAGAATTGCATATAAAACAGTTGATTTTCTCTTATCCACTCCATTTCCCCTATGGGAAAAGTGTTGTCAAAGCAAAGCCATTAGACATTTAGCATCAAGCTGAAAACAGGAGTGGTGTTGTAAGACGAGAAATGCTAAGGTTCCCAATGCAAACATTGGCTCCTCAGAGGAAAGTGAAAGATGGAATTGACAAGAGGCCTTAAGAATCAAAGAGGTCCAACCTTTGACTAATGAGAGTCCTCAAGGCTGGGCGTGGTGGTTCATGCCTATAATCCCGGCACTTCGGAAGGTGAAAGTGGGAGGATTGCTTGAGCCCAAGAGTTAGAGACCAGTCTGGGCAACATAGTGAGACCCTGTGTCTATAAACAAAAAATAATAAAAATACTTTTTTTTTTTTTTTGAGACGGAGTCTTGCACTGTCGCCCAGGTTGGAGTACAATGCCACGGTCTCCGCTCACTGCAATCTCTGCCTCCCGAGTTCAAGCCATTCTCCTGCCTCAGCCTCCTGAGTAGCTGGGATTACAGGTGCCTGCCACCACGCCTGGCTAATTTTTTGTATTTTTAGTAGAGATGGGGTTTCACTATGTTGGCCAGACTGGTCTTGAACTCCTGACTTCGTGATCTGCCCGCCTTGGCCTCCTGAAGTGTTGGGATTACAGGCGTGAACCACTGCACCTGGCCATAAAAATACATTTCAAAAAATAAAAATGAGAGTCCTCAAAAGAGTTGCAAAATTGAGTAGTAAAGTAATGATCATGGAGAGAAAGAAAGTAAATATCAGAGAAAATAACAGAGCAAAACGAATTAAAAATACCCACACCCAGACACATGCTTGTGAAACATTAAGTCTCCAAGATTAAAGAATCCTCAGCCTGGGCAACATAGTGAAATGCCATCTCTACAAAAAAATTAAAAATAAAAATTAGCCAGGCATGGTGGTATGTGCCTGTACTCCCAGCTACTGGGGAGTCTGAGGTGGGAGAATTGCTTGAGCCCAGGAGGTCAAGGCTGCAATGAACTACCATCAGGCATTGATGACGCAGAGCAGATGAGCCCCAAACTGGGGCTTAGCCTGGGATAGTTCTTGTCTTTGCCCAGGAAAGAATTCGAGGGCAAGCTGGTGGTGTTAGACAGCAGCTTTTACTGAAGCGGTAGTGTATAGCAGCAGCAGAGGTACTGCTCCTTGCGGAACAGGGCTACCCCATAGACAGTGTGCCCAGAGTAGCAGCTCAGGGGCAGTTCTGCAGTCATATTTATACCCAGTTTTAATCACATGCAAATTAAGGGGCAGGTTATTTAGAAATTTTCAGAAAAGCAGTGGTAACTTCTGGGTATTGCCATGGCAATGGTAAACTGCCATTGTGCTGGTAGGCATGTCTTATGGAGGAATGCTTTTGGTACTTCTTCCTTGTTTTAGCCAGTCTTCCATCTGGTCTGGAGTTGAGTCCTGCCTCCGACCTGAGTGGCACTCCAGCTTGGGCAGCAAAGTGAGATCCTGTCTCGAAACAAACAAAAAATAGATCCTGGCCGGGCACGGTGGCTCATGCCTGTAATCCCAGCACTTTGGGAGGCTCAGGTGGGCGGATCATGAGGTCAGGCCACAAGACCATCCTGGCCAACATGGTGAAACCCCATCTCTAATAAAAATACAAAAAAATTAGCTGGGTATGGTGGCGTGCCCCTGTAGTCCCAGCTACTCAGGAGGCTGAGGCAGGAGAATCACTTGAACCCAGGAGGTGGAGGTTGCAGTGAGCCGAGATCGCGCCACTGCACTCCAGCCTGGTGACAGAGCCAGACTCTGTCTCAAAAAAACAAACAAACAAACACACAAACAAAAACAAAGATCCTTAACATTTCTATGGGAAAAATAGGACACTTAAAGTGAGGTTAAACAGATTTACAACACGTCTGAGCCACTGAATGTTAGAAAATACTGGATTAAAGCCTTCAGGGTTCTCAGAAAAATTAATTTATTTATTATTTATTTATTTTTGAGACAGGGTCTCACTCTGTCATGCAGGCTAGAGTGCAGTGGCGCAATCATGACTCACCGTAGCCTCAACTTCCCAGGCTCAAGTGATTCTCCTACCTCAGCCTCTCAAGTAGCTGGGACTACAGGCTCGTGCCACC
Source organism: Homo sapiens (assembly GCF_000001405.40). Taxonomy (NCBI): domain Eukaryota; kingdom Metazoa; phylum Chordata; class Mammalia; order Primates; family Hominidae; genus Homo; species Homo sapiens. Next base: position 110,829,708 of record NC_000006.12, on the reverse strand, counting down.
ATGCCTGGTTAATTTTTAATTATTATTATTATTATTTTTTGAGACAGAGTCTCCCTCTGTCGCCCAGGCTGGAGTGCAGTGGCACGATCTCAGCTCACTGCAAGCTCTGCCTCCTGGGTTCACGCCATTCTCCTGCCTCAGCCTCCCGAGTAGCTGGGACTACAGGCACCTGCCACCTCGCCTGGCTAATTTTTTTGTATTTTTAGTAGAGATGTGTTAGCCAGGATGGTCTCGATCTCCTGACCTCGTGATCTGCCCGCCTCAGCCTCCCAAACTGCTGGGATTACAGGCATGAGCCACCATGCCCGGCCGATGTCCGGTTAATTTTTTTTTTTTTTTGGTAGAGATAGAGTTTTGTCATGTTGCCCAGGCTGTTCTCGAAGTCCTGGGCTCAAGGGATCCGCCTGCCTCAGCCTCCCAAAGTGTTGGGATTGCAGGTGTGAGCCACTGCACTCAGCCGAAAATTCATTTTTCACTTAGGATTCTATACTCAGGCCAGGCACAACTGTAAAGAGGTCGGCACAGGGGTTGTTTGTTTGAGACGGAGTTTTGTTCTTGTCGCCCAGGCTGGAGTGCAATGGTGTGATCTCGGCTCACTGCAACCTCCGCCTGTCAGGTTCAAATGATTCTCCTGCCTCAGCCTCCCAAGTAGCTGGGATTACAGGCACCTGCCACCATGCCTGGCTAATTTTTGTATTTTTAGTAGAGACAGGGTTTCACCATGTTGGCCAGGGTGGTCTTGAACTCCTGACTTTGTTATCTGCACGCCTTGGCCTCCCAAAGTGCTGGGATTACAGGCGTGAACCACCGCGCCCAGCCAGCATAGGGCTTTAACAGCAGGACAGATGAAAGGCACCCAACCTAGTTGAGGGGAGGTAAGAGAAGACTTCCTGAAGGAGATGATCCTGAGCTCACCTTAGACCATGAGCAAACAGCTTGGTAAATCTCTTCAGTAAATTTCCCTGATCTAGATTAGACTGTGGTAAGAGAAATTTTACCTCCAGATTCAAATTTGACTTCCACATTGCTCATAAACTTATGATGAAGGGCATAAGCATTTAAATATAGTCATAATTTTGCTTAGTATTCCCATCACATATGCAGTGAACCTGACTTGCAAGATTTGCAGCTCAGTTCTCCTCATGACTAATCCGTTGATGCTGGGCACACCCACCTTTCCTTTAGACTTGGACAAACTGTTAAAACCATCACATTTTTCTTTTATTGCAGGTTTCTTTTTCTTTTTCTTTTCTTTTCTTTCTTTCTTTTTTTTTTGAGACAGAGTTCCACTCTTGTCCCCCAGGCTGGAGTGCAATGGCGTGATCTTAGCTCACTGCAACCTCTGCCTCTGGGTTGAAGCGATTCTCTCCTGCCTCAGCCTCCCGAGTAGGTGGAATTACAGGTGCCTGCCACCCATACCCGGCTAATTTTTGTATTTTTAGCAGAGACGGGGTTTCGCCATGTTGGCCAGGCTGGTCTTGAACTACTGGCCTCAAGTGATCTGCCCACCTTGGCCTCCCAAAGTTTTGGAATTACAGACGTGAGCCACCGGGCCTGGCCAGCCTCTCTTTTTTAAAATCATCCCATAGTTCACTTCAAAATCTCTTTTCTGAATAAAAATTAAAATGCCCAAGCTCTGTGAAATTAACATCAGCTTGATAGTGGGTTAATCAACTTTGTTTTTGTTTTGTAGCTTATTGTGTTACTGTGTGTATTATACATTTGAAGACATTCAATATTTTTCCACACACGATTTAGGAAAAAAATGACAATAAAAACAATAAAAGTTCTTATAATCTGTTGACAGAAAACACTAACCTAATGTTTAAGAATGAAATTTGTCTAACATGTTATGCTTTCACCATCAGAGTAGAGTAATACCACTAAAAGATGGAGAGGGTGTGTTTTAGCAACATTCTCGTAGTGTTTTTTTTTTTTTTTTTGAGATGGAGTTTTGCTTTTGTGGCCCAGGCTGGAGTGCAGTGGCACGATCTCAGCTCACTGCAACCTCCTTCTCCCAGGTTCAAGCAATTCTCCTGCCTCAACCTCCCAAGCAGCTGGGACTACAGGTGCCCCCCACCACGCCTGACTAGTTTTTGCCTTTTTAGTAGAGACGGGGTTTCACCATGTTGGCCAGGCTGGTCTCAAACTCCTGACGCCAGGTGATCCACCCACCTTGGCCTCCCAAAGTGCTGGCATTACAGGCGTGAGCCACCACACCCGGCCTCTTGTAGTTAGACTCTCCTTTATAGAAAGAAAACATGAGGTCCCAGTGCAGTGGCTCATGCCTGTAAACTTAGCACTTTGGGAGGCTGAGGTGGGAGGATTGCTTGAGCCCAGGAGTTAGAAACAAGCTTGGGCAACACAGTGAAACCCACCTTAAAAAACAAACAAACAAAAAAAACTGAAAAAAAAAAAGAAAGAAAAATATGAATAAGAAAGTCCTGTCCATGGATATCAAAGATGCCCTCCAATTCCCACTGAATGGCTTTTTCAGGATGGCCCCTCATTCAGTAACAGAGTCAAAGTTTGGACACAGCTTTGGGTTAAATGCTGTTCCCGTAAAATTTATGTTTACCTGGAACCTGTGAATGTGACCTTTATTTTGAAATAGGCTATTTGCAGATGTACTCAAGTTAAAATGAGGTTATGCTGGACTAGTGAGGGCCCTAAATCCATTATGACTAGTGTCTGTGGAATGAGAAGAGGGAAGTTTGGGCCTGGTGCAGTGGCTCAGGCCTGTAATCCCAGCACTCTGGGAGGCCGAGTCAGGTGGATCATCTGAGGTCAGGAGTTAGAGACAAGCCTGGCCAATATGGTGAAACCCTGTCGCTACTAAGAATACAAAAATTAGCCAGGTCTGGTGGTGGGCACCTGTAATCCCAGCTACACAGGAGGCTGAGGCAGGAGAATTGCTTGAACCTGGGAGGCGGGGGTTGCAGTGAGCCGGGATTTCGCCACTGCACTCCAGCCTGGGCCAACAAGAGTGAAACTCCGTCTCACAAAAAAAAAAAAAAAAAGAAAGAAAAGAAAAGGGAAGTTTGTTTACACAAATACAGAGGGAAGACGGCCATGTGGAGACAGAGATTTGAGTTATGCTGCCATAAAGCAAGGACTGCCGAGGCTTTCAGGCAACACCAGAACCTGGAATCTGCACAGAAGGATTCTCCCCTGTGGGCTTCAGAGAGATCATGGCCCTCCAGACATCTTGATTTCAGACTTCTGGCCTCCAGGACTGTGAGCTAATCAGTTCCTGTTGTTTAAAGCCACCCAGTTTGTGGCAATTTGTCACAGCAGCCTGAGGAAACTGACACAGGCATCAATCAAGCCCTTCTCATACCCTATCAGAAGGAGGCGGGCAACCCTTCCTTAGTCTGGGCTGCATCCTCATCCTACAGAGAGAAGTTTGATTCTTTTTTTTTTTTTTTTTTTTTTTTGGGATGGTGTCTCCCTCTGTTGCCCAGGCTGGAGTGCAGTGGTGCAATCTCAGCTCACTGCAACCTCCACCTCCCGGGTTCAAGCGATTTTTTTTTTTTTTTTTTTAATGAGACAGGGTCTCTGTTGCCCAGGCTGGAGTGCAGTAGTGTGATCATAGCTCCCTGCAGCCTCGAACTCCTAGGCTAAAGTGATCCTCCTACCTCAGCCTCCTGAGTAACTAGGATCACAGGGCCATTCACCATGCCTGTCTAATTTTATAATTTTTTTGTAGAGACGGGGTCTTACTCTGTTGCCCAGGCTGGTCTCAAACTCCCGTCTCAAGCAATTCTTCCACCTTAGTCTCCCAAAATGTTGGGATTACAGGTGTGAGCCACTGTGCCTGTCTAGATGTCTGATTTTTAATCCCACTGCCTCCCAGTCCTACTCCTCAGCTGTCCTGACAGCAGCTCTGTACTAAGTAGACTAGAATCTGTTTTCTGAACACTCTTCAAGCCTAAATCATCCTTATTTAAGGGAGCTTTGTTCTCAGACTTTTAATCAATGTTTAAGTAGTCTGAATATCACTCCTGGAAGAGTAACAGGTTTTTACTTGGCAGCAAATGCTCTGAAATCTGATTGACTAGATAACTGTTACTGGCAGACTAGAAAGCGTAAAGGCAAGGAAGCCCTCTTATACTTACTGAGGCAATGAACATGTCAATGGCAGTGGCAGTGGTACCTACATGTTCTCTGCATTTCATAAGCCCCGTGACTCTTGCATACATGGAGAAGGGGTAAAAATGACTATCAATCAAATATGGAAAAAAGAAAGCAGAGGTGGTTTAACATATACAAAGTAAGATTTAAGACAAAGAGGATGGAATGTTTCAGTGGGATCATTTGATCTTGATAAATGGCAAAATCGATACAATAGTCTCCTCTTATCCACAGCTTTGATTTCCATGGTTTCAATTAGTTACTAGTTACCCATAATACAGAACAATAAGATGTTAAGAGAAAGAGAGAGATGAAGAGAAAGAGGACCACATTCATATAATTTCTGTTATACGACATTGTGATAATTGTATTTTATTATCAGTTACTCTTGTTTATCTCTTAACTGTTCCTAATTTATCAATGAAACCTTATAATCATAGGTATGCATGTATAGGAAAAAGCAGTGTGTGTATATGTATTTGAAGATCAGTACTATCTGGGCTTCAGGGGGTCTTGGTGTGTATCCCCCAAGGACAAGGTGGGACTACTATACTGGGTATTGCAGTCTTTGCCCTCTATAGTCTTACAGACCTGAGGTTAAATCCTATCACTGTCTAACCATAAAACTACAAAATTATCCTCCTGGAGCCTCAGTTTTCATATAGGTAAAAAGGAGATAAAACATACCTTCCTCATAGGGCAGCTATGAGGCTTATATTAGCTAACGTATGCCTAGGATTCAATAAAAGTTAGCTCTCATGTTCACTCTACTTACTTTCCAAGAAACATACCAAAGCCATTGTTTCTTTCCTCAAGCCCTTTGCCCTTACCTTCAGTGCTTTTTTTTGTTACCAAAAACTTTATGCTCTTTATAAAATTTAATTTTTATTTTTTTGCCTTAAGCTATGATGTTTGAATGTTACCAAAAACTTTAAATCTATCATTTATTAAAATAATTTGGTTTCATTAAATAACTTTTTTAAAAACATACATTTTAAAAATTTCAATAGTTTTTAGGATACAAGTGGCTTTTGGTTACATTGGTGAATAGTATAGTGGAGATGTCTGAGATTTTAGTGCACTGGTCACTCAAGTAGTATGCATTGTACCCAATATGTCATTTTTTATCTCTTAATCCTCTCTCACCCTCCCTTTTCTGAGTCTCCAGTGTCCATTATATCACTCTTTATGCCTTTGTGTACCCATAGCTTAGCCCTACTTGTAAGTGGGAACATACAGTATTTTGGTTTTCCATTCCTGAGTTACTTCACTTAGAATAATGGCCTCCAGCCCCATCCAAGTTCCTCAAAAGACAGTATTTCATTCTTTTTTATGAATGAGTGGTATTCCATGGCGTATATATACCACCTTTTCCTTATCTATTCATTGGTTGGTTGATGGGTACTTAGGTTGGTTCCATATCTTTGTAATTGTGAATTATGCTGTGATAGACATAGGCATGCAGGTGTCTTTTTGATATAATAACTTATTTTCCTTTGGGTAGATACTCAGTACAGGAATTGTTGGATTGAATGGTACATCTACTTTTAGTTCTTTGAGAATTCTCCATACTGTTTTCCATAGAGGTTGTACTAATTTACATTCCCACCAGCAGTGTATAAGCATTCCCTTTTCACCACATTATTTTCATTGTCTTGATTCTTCTAATCTGTGAGCATGAGATGTATTTCCATTTGTTTGTGTCATCTATGATTTATTTCAGCAATGTTTTGTAGTTCTGTTGTTGAGATCTCTCACTTCCTTGGTTAAATATATTCCTAGTTATTTTATTTTTTTCAGATATTGTAAAAGGGATTGAGTTCTTCTAGAAAAGAACCCAATAGGGAAAAGACACCCTATTAAATAGTTTAGTTTAGGCATTGAGTTCTTTTCTAAAACACATCTCTAGCTCTCAAGGAACTAGAGATACAAGAATAAACCAAACCTAAAGGTAACAGAAGAAAATTCTTTTTCTTGAGTTCTTGATTTGTTCTCAGCTTGATCATTGTTGCTGTATAGGACTGCTACTGATTTGTGTGCATTTATTTTGTAGCCTGAGACTTCACTGAATTCATTTATCAAACTAGGAGTCTTTTGGAGTTTTCTAGGTATACAATCATATCAATAGCAAACAGAGATAGTCTGACTTTCTCTTTTCCAATTCGGATGCCTTTCATTCCTTTCTCTTGCCTGATGGATCTGGTTAGTACTTCCAGTACTACGTTGAGTAGAAGAAGTGAAAGTGGGCATTCTTGTCTTGTTCCAGCTCTCAGGGGAAATGCTTTCAACTCTTCCCCATTCAGTGTGATGTTGGCTGTGGGTTTATCATATATGGCTTTTATTATTTTGAGGTATGTTCCTTCTATGCCTAGTTTTTTGAGGGTTTTTATCATAAAGAGATGTTGGATTTTAGAAAATGCTTCTTCTGCATCTATTGAGATAATTGTATGCTTTTTTTTGAGACAGAGTTTTGCTTTTGTTGCCCAGGCTGGAGTGCAATGGTACAATCTCGGCTCGCCACAACCTCCACCTCCTGGGTTCAAGTGATTTTCCTGCCTCAGCCTCCTGAGTACTGGGATTACAGGCATGCGCCACTACGCCCAGCTAACTTTTGTATTTTTAGTAGAGACAGGGTTTCTCCATATTGGTCAGGCCGGTCTTGAACTCCCGACCTCCAGGTGATCTGCCTGCCTCAGCCTCCCAAAGTTCTAGGATTACAGGCATGAGCCACTGTGCCCAGTCTGGTTTTTGTTTTTAATTCTGTTTCTGTGGTGAATCACATCTATTGACTTGTGTATATTGAACCATTCCTGCATCCCTGGGCTGAAACCCACTTGGTCATGGAGAATTATCTTTTTGATGTGCTATTAGATTTAGTTTGCTATATGTTGTTGAGGATTTTTGCATCTATGTTCATCAGGGATATTTGTCTATAGATTTCATTGTTTTTTTAAATAGGATAAGATTTCTTTTTTTTAAAATGTCCTTTCCTGGCTTTGGTATCAGAGTGATACTGGCTTCATAGAATGAGTTGGGGAAGATTCCTTCTTTCACAATCTTTTGGAATTGGTTCAGTAGGATTGGTACCAAGAATGTCTGCTAGAATTTGGCTGTGAATCTTTCTGGCCTGGGCTTTTTTTTTCTTGGCAATCTCACTGCTTGTTATTGGTCTGTTCAGGATTTCTATTTCTTTCTCATTCAAACTAGGAGTGTTGTATATTTCCAGGAATTTATCTATTTCCTCTAGGCTTTCTAGTTTGTGTGCACAGAGTTGTTCATAGCAGTCTCAAATGATCTTTTGTATTTCTGTGGTGTTAGTTGTAATGTCTCCATTTTCATTTCTAATTGAGCTTATTTGAATCTTCTATTTTCCTGTTTTTTTCCCTTTCTGCCCAGGCTACAGTGTAGTGGTGTGATCTCGGCTCACTGCCACCTTGGCCTCCCAAAGTGCTGGGATTACAGGAGTGAGCCACTGTGCCAGGCCTTCTCTCTTATTTTCTTGGTTATTCTAGCTAATGGAATATTGATTTTGTTTATGTTTTCAAGGAAACACCTGTTTCATTGATCTTTTGTATTTTTCTTTCAATTTCATTTAGTTCTGCTCTGATCTTTGTTATTTCTGCTCTTCTGCTAGCTTCGGGTTTGGTTTATTCTTGTATCTCTATTTCCTGGAGGTATGATGTTAGGTTGTCAATTTGTGACCTTTCAGACTTTTTGATGTAGGCATTTAGCACTAAAAACTTTCCTCTCAGAACTGCTTTTGCTGTATCCCAAAGGTTTTGATATTTGATAACTTATGTCACTATTATTCATTTCAAATAATTTTATTTTATTTTATTTTGAGACAAGGTCTCATTCCATTGCCCACACCCACCTTTCCTTTTAACTTGAACAAACTGTTAAAAGCATTACATTTTTCTTTTATTGCAGATTTTTTCTTTTCTTTCTTCTTCTTCTTTTTTTAGATGGAGTTTTGCTCGTCTCCCAGGCTGGAGTGCAACGGCATGATCTTGGCTCACTGCAACCTCTGCCTCCTGGGTTCAAGTGATTCTCCCGCCTCAGCCTCCCAAGTAGCTGGGATTACAGGTGCCCGCCACCACACTCGGCTAATTTTTGTGTTTTTAGTAGAGACGGGGTTTCACCATGTTGACTAGGGTGGTCTCTTGGCCAGGCTGGTCTTGAACTCTTGACCTAGTGATCCACCCGCCTCGGCCTCCCAAAGTGCTGGGATTACAGGCGTGAGCCACTGTGCCCGGCTTGTCTCAGTGTGTTTATATGTAAATGGGAAAAATAGAACATGTTGGGTCTCAGAAAACAGAACTCCAAAATATGGCACTTTGGCATGTTGAACTAAAGCAGCAGCCTCCAGCTGCTGCCTCCATGCCGCCACCATTTCTCAATCCTCTGTTCCTCCCAAAGCACAGGATGAGGCTATTCTCTGAAGTTCTCTTATCTACATAGAAACTGAAACTGCTGTAGAAGAACACAACTTTTAATTCTCTCCCTGGAATTTCATTAACCAGCGAAGATTAAAACTCATATCACAAAGGAAGACACTGAAAATTAAACACCACAGTAGAGACCAGATGAACTTTGTCCCACACTATGTTCTGTTGTCTGGTCCCATTTAGTTTCTTATTTTATTTATTTATTTTTGAGACGGAGTCTTGCCCTGTTGCCCAGGCTGGAGTGCTGTGGCACGATCTTGCTGTGGCACGATCTCAGCTAACTGTAACCTCTGCCTCCCGGGTTCAAGTGATTCTCCTGCCTCAGCCTCCCAAGTAGCTGGGATTATAGGCATGCACCACCATGCCCTGCTAATTTTTGTATTTTTAGTAAAGATGGGGGTTTCACCGTGCTGGCCAGGCTGGTCTCCAGCTCTTGACTTCAAGTGATCTGCCCACCTTGGCCTCCCAAAGTGCTGGGATTACAGGCATCAGCCACCACGCTTGGCCCATTTAGTTTCTAATGATAATCATTTACTAACCATTTTGTGAGCATTGGGCCCACTCATTTCCCCTAAAAACGATTTACTACCAGCCGGGTGTGGTAGCTCATGCCTGTAATCCCAGCACTTTGGGAGGCCAAGGCAGGCAGCTCACCTGGAGGTCGGGAGTTGGAGACCAGCCTGATGAACATGGAGAAACCCCATCTCTACTGAAAATACAAAATTAGGCGGGCATGCGAGTGCATGCCTATAATCCCAGCTACCTGGGAGGCTGAGGCAGGAGAATCGCTTGAACCTGGGAGGTGGAGGTCGTGGTGAGCCAAGATCGCACCATTGCGCTCCAGCCTGGGCAACAAGAGCAAAAGTCCATCTCAAAAAAAAAAAAAGAAAGAAAGAAAGAAAGAATTTGGGGTGCGTCCATAGAGTAAAGTGAAAGCAAGTTTACTGGAGAAGTAAACAAAAGAATGGCTACTCCATAGGCAGAGCAGAGATATGGGCTGCTCCACTGAGTATACTTACAGTTATTTCTTGGTTACATGATAAACAAGGGGTGGATTATTCACAAGTTTTCTGGGAAAGACATGGGGATTTCCCAGAATTGAGGGCTTCTCCCCTTTTTAGACTCTATAGGGTAACTTCTCAAGTTGCTATGGCATTTGTAAACTGTCATGGCACTGGTAGGATGTCTCCTATAATGCATGCTAATGCATTATAACTAACATATAATGGGCAACAAGGAGACCAGGGGTCAGTGAGTAGACCAGAGGTCACCATCCTGGTTTTGGTGGGTTTTGTCTAGCTTCTTTACTGCATCTTATCAGTGGAGTCTTTATGATCTGTATCTTGTGCAGGCTTCCTATTTCACCATGTGACTAAAAACACCTAGCTTCCTGGGAATGCAGCACAGCAGGTCTCAGCCTTATTCTACCCTATTCAAGATGGAGTCACTGTGGTTCAAATGCCTGACAGTTATTTCTATCTTGATGCCCCCATAGGTACTTCCAATTCGACATGCCCCAACCAAGCTTATCTTTCTCTCAAAAATTGCTCCCATTCCTGTGTTTCCTAACTTTCTGAAATTTCTACCATATTGCTGAAGTCAAAATTCTCAAAGTTATCTTGGATTCTTCCCTCTCCTTTAGTCCCACATTTAATTAATTACTAAGTCTTGTTAAATTTTACTCCTAAATAATTATAGTATGTGCTTTTTTCTTATAGTGCTGCTCTTCCGTGGTTCAGATCCTTGTTTTTTGTTTGTTAGTTTGTTTTGAAACAGAGTTTCGATCTTGTTGCCCAGGCTGGAGTGCAATGGTGCAATCTTGGCTCACTGCAACCTCTGCCTCCCAGGTTCAAGTGATTCTCCTGCCTCAGCCTCCTGAGTAGCTGGGATTACAGGCATGCGCCACCACGCCCGGCTCATTTTGTATTTGTAGTAGAGACGGGGTTTCTCCGTGTTGATTAGGCTGGTCTCAAACTCCTGGACTGAGGTGATCCGCCCACCTCGGCCTCCCAAAGTGGTGGGATTACAGCCATGAGCCACTGCACCCGGCCCAGATCGTTGTTTTTACCGTCCTATTGCAATAGCTTCTTTGCTAGTCTCACCTTCCTCCAATTGAACCTGAACACTTTTGTCAGAGAATTTGCTTAATACTCAGGGCTGATTATAGTTCTCCTTAGCTCAAAAGTGTGTAATAGCTTCCTATTGCCTACAGAATTGAGAAAAGAAAAAAACTTTCATTTGAGGAATGTGAGGCCTTTTAAATTATAAGGCACAGAGAGACATTAAAATAATACAGGAATTAGGCTCGCGCCTATAATCCCAACACTTTGGGAGGCCAAGGTGGGCGGATCACTTGATGCCAGGAGTTCAAGACCAGCCTGGCCAACATGGCAAAACCCTGTCTCTACTAAAAATACAATTAGTTGGGCTTGGTGGCACATGCCTGTAATCCCAGCTACACAGGAGGCTGAGACAGGAGAATCACTAGAACCCAGGAGGCAGAGACTGCAGTGAGGTGAGATCGCGCCACAGCATTCCAGCCTGGGTGACAGAGCAAGACTCTGTCTCAAAATAAATAAATAAATAAATAAATATATATATAAATAAGATACTGGAATCAGGTGATACTTTCCCCTTGAGCTATGTATTCATCTCCTGAAATGCTTGCTATTGCCACAAGTAGCTACAAATTAATCCAATAATGCTGCACCAGATGCTATAACCCACACCCTATATCTTAACAATGTATAGCTCATTCATTAATCAATGTTATTCCTGTAAACCAATGAGAATTCCTCACAAACAACTTTGAGCCCACTTCCTATCCCCCTTTTTTTGCCTTTAAAAATCTACTTGCAACTGCTCCTGATTGGAGTGTACATTCAGGGCAACTTGTATCTATACTCCTGGGTTGCAATTCTAAAGCTTGGCTCAAATAAACTCTCTACTTATATTAATTTTGCCCCAGCTTTTTCCTTTTAGGTCGACAGAATAATGAAACCTAAAACCTCTCCCTGACATAAATAGCTTTTCATAATTTGACCTCTGCTTATCTGTTTAGTATTTTCTTATCCATTACTTTTTCCTGTCTTAATCTGTAATATTCAAACTAGTTGCATTTCTCAGAATATATGATGTTCTCTCATGATTTATGTACATGCTGTTCTACCTGAAATAATTCCTTGTTTCTTGCTCTTCGACTTGTCCTTCAAGTAAAGGCTTACTCATGCTTTAAATTTTGGCTCTCACTCAGCAGATGGGGCTGGAGTGAAAAAAAAATTTGGCTCAAACCTACCTACTTCATGAAGTCTACCCTGACTCACTTAGAACCCCGCCTATTCTACCAGTGCTCTTTTAAACCACAGTTTATTTTTAATTTGCTTGCATATTTGTTTTTTCAGGTTTAATTCCCCAATGGAAAAAGACTAATTTTTTTCCTGCTATCTCCAGCAGTTATTATAGTGCATGGCAACAAGAGCAACTGAGATTTTTCTTGATTAAAGATACCATTTTTTTTTGAGTCGGGGTCTTGCTCTGTTGCCCAGGCTGGAGTGCAGTGGCATGGTCTCAGCTCACTGCAACTTCTGCCTCCCGGGTTCAAGGGATTCTCCTGCCTCAGCCTCCCGAGTAAATGGGACTACAGACACATGCTACCACACCTGGCTAATTTTTGCATTTTTAATAAGAGGCAGGGTTTCACTGTCTTGGCCAGGCTGGTCTTGAACTCCAGACCTCGTGATCCACCCGCCTTGGCCTCCCAAAGTGCTGGGATTACAGGTGTGAGCCACTGCACCCAGCCTGAAGAGACTCAAGGTCTAAGGAAGTTTTCCAGGAGTGGGTGATGTAGCAAATAAGGTAAATCATTCCCCCTCCCACTAGTTTTCCAAGTTTCTTTCAAAACCTAGCAGGCAGTTCACTATTCTTTCCTTATCTACCACTTTGGGTAGAATTGACAATTCCCTTCTTTGTCCTCCTAATGAATGTGTTATGTCCTATCCTAGCACCAATCATGTTTAAGTGTGTATCCCAAACATTTGGGACATTAGGCTCACCATTACAGGGGAGGAAACCCTCTTAGGTTCTTCAGCTGGTCTATAAACTAAATTGATACCAGTCAGGTTAACAGGAGAAAAAGTTTTAATTACGTATGTATGCACAAGAGTCCCACAAAATATGAGACTCAAAGAAGGGCCAGATGTTTGACACTTATATTACATCCTGACCTCAAAAAGGAAGTGGGGCCCGGCATGGTGGCACGGACCTGTAATCCCAGCTACTCAGGAGTCTGAGGCAGGAGGATCCTTGAGCTCAGGAGTTGGACGCCAGCCTGGGCAACACAGCAAGGCCAGTCTCTTCAAAACAAAAGTGGGGTTTGGGGCTTCCAGGAGTGGTGGAGACAAGTTAAGAGAGGATAAGAGGAAAAAATGTCTAAGGTGAATAAAGGTTGACTTTTATGCAGATAAAAGTATCTCAGATGATACAAGTTGACTAGCAGCAGCTCTCTTTCTGGTAAGATTCCTTTAATTACGAAAATTTCCTTTAGAAATGTAAATTTCTCTTTACAAAGGAAGAGTTATTCTTTATTTTAGGCAGTAGTGGGATAAGTGAAGCATTTTCCTGTGTTGGCTGGATCTTAATTTATTTTGCTAAAAGACATCAATATGCCAGAGTGGCGTATTTTGGGGTGGCATATTCTGGACTCCTTCAGTTATAATTTGGGGTAGTGTGTCCTGAGCCCCAACACAATGAAATCAATCAACGTTCACCCTAACTAAAGGGGCTTTCTTAAACATTCTAGAACCTCACATCATGCATAGACCATAAAAAATCCTTTACAATTCAACCCAAAGGATCGTAAACGCGGCTTCCTCCAGGCACTTTTAATTGTCCTTAGACAGATGGCCAAAGCCTGGTTATGGGAACCGCATATGCTAAGAGAAAGCTGACTACAGCGCCAAGAAAATGATGATTGGCTGCTGGGGCTCAGAAGTTGCATGTTCTCCTCTGGCCAAGGCAGGCTCTAGGAAACTGCTGAAGGTTCAGTTTTTGAAATACGGTTTTTGCATCGTAAAGAAAAAAGATCAACCTATCAGGAAGAACCGAGCACATCCAATCACCAATCAAGAGCGGGAAAGAAGCCAAAGCCTGGGGATACCCACGCACCAACGAGGACGTCATTCTCCAGCCCCCGCCAATGAGCAGCGGGACGGGGGGCGGGGCAATAGGCGGACCCACTGCCCTAGAAAAGAAACAAGCTGCGGTACAACTGTCCTCACCAGCCCTCGCCTCCCGAGTCACTGCAGCCAACCCTTCAGCAAGGTGCTGATTTAATGCTTTCCATACTCTCTGCGTGGGGCTAGTTACAGTGAAGTATCCCCTTCCCACTAGAGTAAGGCACTTCTTTCCAGTGTCTCCCCGAGAACCGCAGAAAGCACACTGGAACTTCGAGCTTTCTACCTTCACAGGAACCGGGAGCCGTGCGCTACCTGAGGGGGAGGGGCGGCCCTGGTACGCAGGCGCGCATGCTTTGTGGGGGCGAGGCTGTGGTGGCCCGAGGTAACCTGGGAGCTGTATTTCTTACGCCGGCAAAACCGCCCAGGCCGCTGAGGCCTTCGCGACTTCATTTCCCAGGAGCCTCCGCGACCATGGGGCGGGCCAGTGAGTTCGCTAATGAGCTCGAGGAAGCCACGGCGCGGCCCACCAGGTTCCAAAACAAGGAAATGAAGGAGGGAGGCGGGACTGGGGGTGCCTGCGGGAGCCGCCGCCGCCGTCGCGGAGGAGGAGGAGGAAGAGGTGGAGGAGGTGGCTGCTGTGGCCGCCGAGGAGTCCCTTGCTGAAGGCGGACCGCGGAGCGGCGGGCGGCGGGCGGCGCGCGCGCGCGCGCGAGAGGCGGCTGTTGGAGAAGTGGAGCGGCGGTCGCGGGGGGAGGAGGAGGAGGGACTGAGCGGCGGCGGCCCCCGCGTCCCGTGCCTCTATGGGGGAAGCAGACAATGGATTATGATTTCAAGGCGAAGCTGGCGGCGGAGCGGGAGCGGGTGGAGGATTTGTTTGAGTACGAAGGGTGCAAAGTGGGACGCGGCACCTACGGTCACGTCTACAAGGCGAGGCGGAAAGATGGGTAAGAGCAGGGGCGGGAGGAGTAGGCTCGCTCGGGTCCTCGCCCTGCCCGCGACCTGGCGGGATGGGTGGGTCGGATCCCAGTCGGGCCGTGCCCGAGGGGCGAGGCGGAGGGGGTCGCGGGGTTGCGTCCGGACACCGACTCCGAGGGGCGCCCGTTCCGCCCGCCTCCCCCGCGCGGCCCCGTCGCGTACCTCGAACTCCCGCGGCGCAGCCCGGTCCGAGGCGTCGGTCCCGTCCCAGAGGGGCGCCCTCCGAGTGCTCGGAGACGGCGGGGGGACTCGAGTTGGGACCGCGGTGGAGGAGGAGTTTGTGGGGTCTAGTCTCTTGGGGGAACGCAGCGGGCAGGCAGAGCTCCGCTGCGGAGTTGCCGCTCCGGCCCTGGGTAGTGACGGTCGTTGTGGAACTTCCAATCGGCTGAGCGCCTCGCGGGGGCGGCGGTTTGAAACCTCGCCGGGGAGCCTGTCGGGCGAACGCGGCCTGGGGTCCTCGCCAGCCCCACGGCTCTGACCCGCTGGGCACCGCCGCCCCCAGCAGCGATCTCCGCCCTTCGGGCTGGCCGGCCCGTTGGCTTCTCTATGCAGTCCTCCCATCCCTGTTGTATGCCCGGCGTCCCGGGTTTCTCATTCTCACATTCTGAATTGCGTACCTTCCCCCTTCGAAGGAGACCTGATGGGCTAGCTGCGTTTCGCAAGCGGCAACTTAAGAGTTGGCTGAATTCTCTGCTACCCACCCTTTACCTTGCAGCCCCTTGGGTATCTTGGGTATTATGTCCTCCACTCCATCCTCTGCCAGATGACTGTGGGCTGGGGCTTATGGAGTACCTATATTATCAAGAACGGAATACGAAGTGACAGAGCTGGGCCTGAACCTTTGTTTTCCTAGGAGTTGAGGGAGAACTGTAGGAACACCTTGGGAAGCCTTTACTGGTTGTCCTCTTAAGAAGAGCTGGATAATGTACTGAGAATACCTGTCCTTTCTTGGTCCTGGAGGGCAGACAGCAGCTACAGCAGGACTGGTGGAACCAGCTTCCTGGCAGGAATTACCCTCCCCCAAAGCTAGGGACCCAGGAAGATGCCCTGTCCAGCATAGACTTTAAAGAGAGTCAAACTCTACGGAAGAGGATTGTAACGGACCATTTCTGAATAAAGTGATGATCAGCCACAATGACATTAGTAAAATTTGAAGTGCCGCTTATCTTTGTGCGTGCTGTTATAATTTGATGTGGTTGGTATATGAACTCTAGGACTAAAGTACGTTGTGTGCGTATGCACTAACTTCATAAAACAACTCTATTATAAAGTGTTTTGTCATAAGGTATCGTGAAAATTGCAAAGTGCTATCCAAGTGTAAAGGATTATTATTATTGCAGAATTTTTTTTTTCTTTTGTAACTGAACAGGCCTTAAGGTACTCAGTTGTTTCTCATAATTCCTTTAATTACCAGGTGTCCTTGAATGCTTATCATGGAATGTGAGATACTATAATTAACATATTTTGGTTTTGGAATATCCACTCCACCTGTTATACTAGTGTTCTTGTGGGAATTTTATCAGTTATATTTGGGGAAAGCACATCCAGTTTTCCGTTTGGACATTGTTAATAAATCTGAGGTGGGTTTTTCCCATACTCCTCATGCTAACTTTGTGGTATACTTTTGGTTTTAAAAAATGTATCTTAGTGTTTTTTTTGTTAAAATAGCTTTCTTTTATTAGGGAACTTTTGAGAAGTTAAAAATTCTGCTTCTGAATTGTATTTGAATAGTATGGGCTTACAACAAAAACCAGATAATTCTTGCTTCTATTCTTTTTGAATATTTTTCCCCTCTAATAAAGTACTTGATTCGAATACACTTCCTTTTTGAGTGAAATTTGTTAATTAGAATTAATAAAGCTTCTTTACTAGAGTAAGATTAGTTTGTGTGTCTTCAAAATATAATGCTTTTTTTCTAAAAAAAAAAAAAACCTCTCAGGATCTGAAAGCATTAGTTTAAATCACTGTATTACGTATAAGAAAAACCGTAATAAAGGCTTTTTTCCTGGATGAAAGATCTGGTTGAGATTTGCAACTTTACAGTAAACACCCACGTCTCTTGTGGGTTGGTAGTGGGATTAATTTTATGTTCATTGATACCAGCAATTTGAAAGAACATCTGTGTCCTTTGGGTTCATGTTAAATTTTTTTTTTTTTTTTTTTTTACTGTTTTAAACAGTGGGCAGATTTGCATAGTAAAGGATTTTACACTCCGATCATGGTAGATTACAGTTTAGCTCTTTCTAGATTTTATTTTGGTTAACTCAGAAAATGCATAATGCTATTTTAGGGAGCCAGAAATCACATAGGTTACATTAAAGATAAATGATTCTGGTATATATAATGTAGTATATAACCAAAACATTGTTCAGGTCTTTAGAAGAAACATTAGAAGAAATAAAATATCATTAGAAAAGTTTAATACTACAGTTAGCAAAATGTTATTTCCCTTGAAGTATGACTTTAGGCAATATTAATTATATCACAAATTTATAAGAGGCTGGAAATGCAAGATTTACATCTGAGTTTTTCACCTTTAATTAAAAATATTCTCTGGGTCGGGTGCGGTGGCTCACGCCTGTAATCCCAGCACTTTGGGAGGCCGAGGCGGGTGGATCACGAGGTCAGGAGATCGAGACCATCCTGGTGAACATGGTGAAACCCCGTCTCTATTAAAAATACAAAAGGAATTAGCCGGGCATGGTGGCGGGTACTTGTAGTCCCAGCTGCTCGGGAGGCTGAGGCAGGACAATGGCGTGAACCCGGGAGGTGGAGCTTGCAGTGAGCCGAGATCCCGCCACTGCACTCCAGCCAGGGCGACAGAGCGAGACTCTGTCTCAAAAAAAAAAAAAAGTTATTTGTTCACCTTTTTGTTTTGCAGGAAGAGAGGCTTTTGACCCAACTCTCCTTTTTATTTAATATTTATACTTTTGAATATTTTTTGTAGAGACCGGGTCTTGCTGTGTTGCCAGAGCTAGTCTTGAACTCCTGGGCTCAAGTGATCTTCCTGTCTCAGCCTCCCAAAATGCTGGGATTACAAGTGTGAGCCATCATGCTGGACCTCCAACTCTCTTTTACTTTAAAAAAAAAAAAAAATCCGGTTTAAAAGTTGTTCTTTTTTTGTTTTTTCGTTTTACAGACAGGGTCTTGCTGTGTTGTTCAGGTTGGTCTTGAACTCCTGGCTTCCCAAAGTGCTGGCATTACAGGCTCATGCCACCACACCCAGCCAAATGTTACTCTTGAAGAGAAACAAGTTCAGAATATTTCTGAACTTTTTAATACAAGCAAGAATTCATAAAATAAATTTTCTTCATTATTAAGAAGTCGCACATGACAATTTATGGTTACAAATTTCAAGACTGCATTTTTCCAGTTAGAAACATTTAAAAATTTGATCGATAAAGGAATATTGTTAAAAAGTTCTTTTGTTGGCCGGGCGCCGTGGCTCACACCTTTAATCCCAGCACTTTGGGAAGCCGAGGCAGGTGGATCACCTGAGACCAGGAGACCAGCCTGGCCAACAAGACGAAACCCCGTCTCTTCTAAAAATACAAAAATTAGCCGAGCGTGGTGCCTTGCATGGCTGACACAGCTTACAGAGTTTGTTTTGTCAGGGTTTCAAATGAGTGGTTGATGACTACATAACTTAATGTATGTCATGAAATTCTTCACAATGAGTACATGTAGATGCATATAGCTAATAGGTACAATAGTATTTGCCTGTGTTTGATGGGTTTTTCACAATCGGTTTGTAGTTAGATTATTGTATTTGCATTTTTGTTGGACACTTACAGAAGATTAAAGATTTGTCAGTATCATCAGAGGATTAGAACTTTCCAAAGTTTTAGATCATCTAGTTCAATTTCCTCTTTTTACAAATGAGAAACCTAGAGCTTTGAGAGGTTAACTGTCATGCTCATAGTGTCACAGCAGAGATAGCCTGTAATCCACATCTAACTCAAGAGTTCTTGCATTTTCCTTCCTAATACCATGGGAGGAAAAACAAAAAAAGGCCATCTTACCTCCAGTCTTGATAACTTACTGTATAAACCTTTTTGCATGCCAAAAGTGCATTTATACCAAAAAAAAATATGGAAAAGGGAAATTATCACATATACAGGACATTTACAAAGTGGGAGTGCAGGACTGTAGATTCTACTACATGTAGCTGCTGCTTTTCTTTTTTCTTTTCTTTTTTTTTTTTGAGATGGAGTTTGCTCTTGTTGCCCAGGCTGGAGTGCAATTGTGCGATCTCAGCTCACTGCAACCTCCGCCTCTTGGGTTCCAGCGATTGTCCTGCCTCAGCCTCCTGAGTAGCTGGGATTACAGGCATGCACCACCACGCCTGGCTGATTTTGTATTTTTAATAGAGATGGGGTTTCTCCATGTTGGTTAGGCTGGTCTCGAACTCCCAACCTCAGGTGATCCACCTGCCTCGGCCTCCCAAAGTGCTGGGATTATAGGCGTGAGCCACCTTACCTGGCCATGCTGCTGCTTTTCATCTGTTTTTTTCTTCATCCTCACTGTCAACACTTTTGGCCATTATTTCTGATTTGGATAGTAGCTGGTTGGTCTCTCACTATAGTCCAAGATCCAAATTGCTGCTAGTGTCATTTTCCTATAAAATCAATCATGTCATATCTCTTTTTGGAAAGCTATACGTTTGCTATGGCTTATACTATCAGATCCAATCTCATCTCTTTCTCTTCTCTCCTTGCATGATTCATACTTGAGACTTAGATCCAATTTTAATTCCTTAGTTTGTCATGTAAAGACATTTACATTCAGACCCTGAAGTCTGTAGTCTTTATACCTGCCACCATTTCTTTTTTCCAGTTGCATTTAAGCTATATACTTCTGTAGCATTGAACTCGTATTTTCTGGTACTTAAGTCCTTTCATGTCTCATTTTCTTTGTTCTACATTCACTTTAGAATGGTGTTGCTGTGCCATTCTTCCCTCCCCCTTTTCCCTTATCCTTACAAACCTGTAAAACTCATACTTCAATACCCAACTCAAATAGCTTTCCTCCTTGAAGCCTTCTCTTAATCACTCGGTGTACTCCTCAGCTGTGTTTCTACCCCTTTGTTCTTACATATGTAAAGTCACTGTAAGTGATACTAATATGCCTCATAAATTACTAGCTGCAAAAGGATCATCATTCTGTCCAGTGCCTTGTACAGAGTTGGTCACATAATACACAAAATTATATTCAATTAAAAATGCCTTTAATTGGTAAAGATGCTCCACTGATTTTAAAAGCAGACCAAATTCCTTTAAAAACGCAAGTTTATTTACTTTTCTTAAAAAACGAAGTTTTTAGTAATTGCTTTGAAAGCCTGAAATACAGTAATGTTATATGAAATAGGTGGTTAGATGTAAATACTTCTAATGTATTTTTTCTAAGAAATGTACTGCTTTTCCAAACAGTTGATAAATTTCTTTTTTCATTTTTTTCACTTGAGACTGTCTCACTCTATCACCAAGGCTGGAGTGCTGTCGTGCAGTCGTAGCTGACTGTAGCCTTGAACTCCTGGGCTCAAGTGATCCTCCTGCCTCAGGCTCTTGCGTAGCTAGGACCACAGATGCACGTGCTGGCTAATTTTTGTTGTTGTTTTGTAGAGACGAGGTCTCACTGTGTTCACTGTGTTGCCCAGGCTGGTCTCGAACTCCTGGGCTCCAGTGATCCTTCTGCTTCAGCCTCCCAAAGTGCTGGGATTACAGACATGAGTCACTGTGCCTGGCCCATTTCTTTTTTTTTTTTTTGAGATGGAGTCTCGCTGTCTCCCAGGCTGGAGTGCAGTGGCGCAGTCTCGGCTCACTGCAAGCTGCGCCTCCTGGGTTCATGCCATTCTCCTGCCTCAGCCTCCCGAGTAGCTGGGACTACAGGCGCCCACCACCATGCCCGGCTAATTTTTTTTTTTTTTTGTATTTTTAGTAGAGATGGGGTTTCCCCGTGTTAGCCAGGATGGTCTAAATCTCCTGACCTCATGATCCACTTGCCTCGGCCTCCCAAAGTGCCGGGATTACAAGTGTGAGCCACCACGCCTGGCCCCATTTCTTTGAACAGATATTAGATATTGCTAAGGAAAATAGGCATATTTTTGAGAAATAAATATTTTCTCTTAGGCCAGCTCTTTTAGAATTGCTAGACTAGTAATCTGTCTTCTGTGCTTTTACTAGCTATTTTATAGAGATGCTTAGAAAATACCAGTATTTAAATACATTTTAGGACAAATTTTGGTTTTATGGGTTTATGGTAAAAAATTAAGTATCTTTAACACTTAGTAAATGAAGTAGACATCTGTTTATGTTTAACTGGTTTGTCATTTTTGTAATGCAAGCCTTCAAAAACTTTTTGAGGCCTAAGGGAAATTAATGTGTTCTTTTTCAATGAAATTTGATAATCTAGAGCAGTGATCAGCAAACTTTTTCTGGCAGATACTAAATATTTTAGGCCTTTTGGGCTTTACTGTCTCTGGTGCAATTACTCAACTCTATTGTAGTGCCAAAGCATCGACAGATAATACGTAAACCAGTATGGATAAGGATGGCTGTGTTCCAGTAGACCTTTATTTATACAAATAAGCAGTTGGCTGAATTTAGTCTGCAGGCTATAGTTTGTTGACTCCTGGTGTAGAGCAGTGATGTCCAATAGAACTTTCTGCAGTGATCTGAAAATGTTTAGCATCTGTGCTGTCCAATATGCTAGCCACAAGCCACACGCCACACATAGGTATCGATTACTGGAATGTAGTTAGTGTGATTAGAAACTAATTAGTAGCTATCACATTGGACTGTGTAGGTTTAGAGTCTTTGGATGAGTGGCTTAGCAACAAATAATTCTCTGATCCATCAAGTGACCTTTCAATAAAAATGTTTAAATCAGGGTGTGGATAAATAGGAAAACTGTTATGTCTTTTTTCAAGTTACAGGAGAAATATTAAGGCTGAAATAGCTTGATAAAGCAAACCAATACTTGAAGAACTATCAATTTATGAATGGAATCAAGGATATTTAACTACTTTTTCAAAAAAGTATTTTATGGCCGGATGAGGTGGGAGGATTGCTTGAGCCCAGGAGTTTGAGGCTATAGTGAGCTATGATGATGCCATTGCACTTCAGCATGGGCAGCAGAACGAGACTCTCTTAAAAAAAAAAAAAGGTATTATAAAAAAAAGTTTGTAAATAGTATATGTGCGTAAAAATATACAATGTGGCTGGGCGCGGTGGCTTATGCCTATAATCCCAGCTCTTTGGGGAGGCCGAGGTGGGCAGATCACTTGAGGCAAGGAGATCAAGGCCAGCCTTGCCAACAGCGAAAACTCCGTCTCTACTAAAAATACAAAAAATTAGCCGGGCGTGGTAGTACACACCTGTAATCCCAGCTACTCGGGAGGCTAAGGCACAATAATTGCTTGAACCTGGGAGGTGGAAGCTGCAGTGAGCTAATATTGCACCACTGCACTCCAGCCTGGGTGACAGAGTGAGACTCTGTTTCAATAAAACAAAAATAACAAAAAACCACCAGTGTAACGTAAGTCATCCCTTTCCCAGCCATTCTTTCCCTTTTTTAGGGGCAGTCATTCTTGGTTGTCCTTTAAGAGGATTTTCTTTTGGGGTATGTGCATGTGTGTTAACTTAAAGATGTCATTAAATATGACATGCTAGTGTGCTGCACACTTTTCTATTTTTAGATCATGGCTCACTGCAGCTTTGGCTGCCTGGGCTCAAGCAAGTCTGTCTCTTGGGCTCAAGCGATTGTTTCACCTCAGCCTCCTGAGTAACTGGGACTACAGATGTGGGCCATGCCCAGCTTTTTTTTTTTTTTTTAAATTATTTGTAGAGATGAGGTCTTGCTATGTCTCTCAGTCTGGTCTTGAACTCCTGGCCTCAAGTAATCCTCCTACCTTGACCTCCCAAAGTGCTGGGGTTACAGGCATAAGCCATCATGCTTGGCCCTATTTTTATTTTTATTTTTATTTATTTAATTTATTTATTGAGACGGAGTCTTTCTCTGTCACCCAGGCTGGAGTGCAGTGGGAAGATCTTGGCTCACTGCAACCACCACCTCCCAGGTTCAAGCAATTTTCCTGCCTCAGCCTCCTGAGTAGCGGGGACCACAGGCATATACCACTATACCTGGCTAATTTTTTGTATTTTTAGTAGAGACAGTGTTCACCATGTTGGCCAGGCTGGTCTCGAACTCCTGACCTCAAGTGATCCATCTGCCTCAGCCTCCCAAAGTGCTGGGATTACAGGCGTGAGCCACAGTGCTTGGCCCATATTTTAAATCTTAAACATTGCTTAAACATTATGACATATCTATATACAGAGATGCCTTGTTTCTCTTAATAGTTTTGTTGTATCTCATTGTATTGACTTACATCATTGGCTGTCTCCAGTCTTGCTAGTACTAACACTGAAGTGAATATCCTAGTAAGCACAGCATTTTGTACCTATTAATGTGTCTGTAAGTTAAAGTCCTAGAAGCTGTTTACCTTTGGAAGTAATGGCTTGGAATGGTTTACTAATATGGTGATGTATAAGATAGAAATATCTGAAGACTGGAGATGGGGGGGTTGGCTAAGAATAAGGAAGTGAAATGTTAAGACAATAATAATTTTTTTTTTTTTTTGAGATGGAGTTTCGCTCTTCTTGCCCAGGCTGTTGTGTGATGGCACGATCTTGGCTCACCGCAACCTCTGCCTCCCGGGTTTAAGCGATTCTCCTGCCTCAGCCTCCCAAGTAGCTGGGATTACAGGAATGCGCCACCATGCCTAGCTAATTTTGTATTTTTTAGTAGAAACGGGGTTTCATCATGTTGGCCGGGCTGGTCTCAAACTCTTGACCTCAGGTGATCTGCCCACCTCGGCCTCCCAAAGTGCTGGGATTACAAGCGTCAGCCACTGCACCCAGCTGACAGTGATAATTAACACATAAAAATGAGCTATAAATCATTTGTTAAAGGAAGTACAAGTTACTTACTTTTTTTTTTTTTTTTTGAGAAGTGTTATCCAGGCTGGGGTGCAGTGGCACGATCTTGGCTCACTGTACCTCTGCCTCCTGGGCTTAAGCTACTTTCTCATGGCTACTGTTTTAGGAGCATGGAAAAGGCATGTCTCTGAGTTTTACATAGGAAGAGTAGATCCATGGAAAGGTTTTTAATGCAATCTATGTCAGTGTTGATGAATTAAGTATTTTTATTTTTTAAAGTATATAAAATATAGTGTCCTACATTTTTGAACTTAATATGCTAGACAAATAAGTTCATATGTGGTGTTATAAATTGTGTACAGTTGACTGTTGAACAGCAGGAGTTTGAACTGTGTGGGTCCACTTACACGCAGATTTGTGAAACCTGCGTATATGAGGGCCAACTTTTTGTATAGGTGGGTTCTCCAGGGCCAACTGCAGGACCTGAGTATATGTGGGTTTTGGTATATGCAGGGGTCCCAGAACCAACCCTTTAGGTATACTGAGGGACATCTATTTGTTTTGAAAAATTATTCTATAGTGCAGGGTTAGATGACAATATAGAAGATTTTAAAGCAATATATTACAATTTGTAATTTTCTTGGTGGTAAACTATTAGAGTATTTGGATGTTTAAAAACTAATGTGTTTTTTTAAAGATCAACTTGTTATAATGTTGTGACTATATAATATTAGTGGTACTTTGGGATTCTAAAACAAAGGGACAAGATGAACAACTAGCATGACAATTTCTTTAAAACCAGTAGTATCTAGAACCATAAAGGAGTAGCAGACAAAGCTATTTAAAGATTTTTGTCCATTTACAAATAGCTGATTAGTCCAACACTTCCTGTAATAGCTGTTTTGAATGTGCACTGTACAGGATAAAAGAGAGTCTCACGAGAGAAGACAGGATGTAATTCAGGATACAAGTGTGCAGCAGTAGTTATTTATTGAGGGTTTGAGTTCTTATCCAGAAGTGAGTGATCAAAGAGAAATAAAAACCTGTAAAGTCCTCAAATAACAGGTGTCTTTTTTTTTTTGTTTTGAGACGAAGTCTTGTTCTGTCGCCCAGGTTGGAGTGCAGTGGCGCGATCTCGGCTCACTGCAAGCTCCGCCTCCTGGGTTCACGCCATTCTACTGCCTCAGTCTCCCGAGTGGCTGGGACTACAGACGCTCGCCACCACGCCCGGCTAATTTTTTTGTATTTTTAGTAGCGACGGGGTTTCACCGTGTTAGCCAGGATGGTCTCGTTCTCCTGACCTCGTGATCCGCCCGCCTCGGCCTCCCAAAGTGCTGGGATTACAGGTGTGAGCCACCGCGCCCGGCAACAGGTCTTTATAAAATATCTTTAACTTGGCGGGGTGTGGTGGCTCACGCCTGTTATCCCAGCACTTTGGGAGGCCGAGGTGGGCGGATCACGAGGTCAGTTCGAGACCAGCCTGGCCAATATGGTGAAACCCCGTCTCTACTAAAAAATACAAAAATTAGCCCAGCGTGGTGGCACGCACCTACCCTGAGTAGTCCCAGCTACTCAGGGGTCTGAGGCAGGAGAATCGCTTGAACCCGGGAGGCAGAGGTTTCAGTGAGCCGAGATCGCGCCATTGCACTCCAGCCTGGGCCACAGAGTAAGACTCCATCTCAAAAATAAAAAAGAAAAAAGAATCTTTAACTTGAACTATAATATGTCTTGCTAAAGGAAAAATACACTCTTCTTATAGAGGCTTTAAACCTATTGTGTATTTTCTATTTAAAAACATTTTTTTCAGTGAGGGTTTGTGATGGATGATCTCAGTTACTAAGCTGAATGTGATTAGGGAATGGATTTATTTACCAAGTAGGCCAGTTAACTTTGTTTTGTTCTGTAGTTATAGAACAAAACCTATTCATGGCAAAGTGTTTTGCTGATATTTGTAGATATTTAAATTTGGACAGAAAGGTAAGTCCATGGTTTCTGGAAAACTCCCTCCCTCCGTCCCTTTCTCTCTTTTCTTTTCTTTTCGTTCTGTATTTCTTTCTTTCTTCTCTTTCTTTTCTTGAGACAGGGTCTTGCTCTTGTCACCCAGGCTGAAAGTGGTGCAGCCACAGCTCGCTGTAGCCTGGACTTCCTGTGCTCAAATGATCCTCCCATCTCAGCCTCTTGAGTAGCTGGGACTACAGGCATGTTACCACCATGCCTGATTAATTCTTGCATTTCTTGTAGAGACAGTGGATTTTTCCATGTTGCCCAGACTGGTCTCGAACTCCTGGGCTCAAGCCATCTACCCGCTTTGGCCTCCCAAAGTGCTGGGATTACAAGTGTAAGCCACTGCACCCAACCTCAGTGTAGTTATTGTAATTGCATTTTAAGAGTGACTTAAACACTGAGTAAATCCTATTATTTTAGGATTTAGGTGCAAATTTAAAAAAGGACTTTTCTGTTTTCTGAAAGGTTTTATGTAATTTGATCTTGTCTTACTTACAAAACCAGAATTCTATTAACTGATTTTTCAGCAATCTGTTGATCTTTGTTGTATATTTGTATCAAAGTGGAAATAATTTTATGCTATTAAAATTATGAAACAATGGTTACACATGGTAAAAAAACTTAGTATAGTTGTATATAAAATGAAAAGTAAAAGTCTAGGCTGGACGCGGTGGCTCACGCCTGTAATCCCAGCACTTTGGGAGGCCAAGGCGGGTGGATCACGAGGTCAGGAGATCGAGACCATCCTGGCTAACACAATGAAACCCCGTCTCTACTAAAAATACCAAAAATGAGCCGGGCATGGTGGCAGGCTCCTGTAGTCCCAGCTACTCAGGAGGCTGAGGCAGGAGAATGGCGTGAACCTGGGAGGCGGAGGTTGCAGTGAGCCGAGATGGCACCACTGCCCTCCAGCCTGGGCTACAGAGCAAGACTCTGTCTCAAAAGAAAAAAAAAAAAGTCAAAGCCTTCCTTCTTACTGTCTGTGCCGGAGGCTGTCCTTGTCACATCTCAGAGGTAACCAGTGTTAACCATTTCTGTTTAAGTTTTGCTGTTGCTTACTGTTGCTTACCATTATAACTTTAAATAATATGCATATAATTCTGCTTCTTGATTTATCAACTTTAGGCAATTTTTGTTAAGTTTCCATCAGAGAAGCTGAGCAATTTTGTGAAATCATACTACCCCCTTTTGTTTTCTCATCCTAACCTTCAAATTTATTGCTTCTATTTTAATTTGTTTCTAGTAAATACTTTTATGGCTTTAAATTATAAACTTAAATTTCTTTTTCATTATGTGTCAATTTAGATACTATCTCTGATGTCAATGTGAATTTTTTTCTTCTTTTAAATTTTAGATTTGGGGATACATGTGCAGGTTTGTTACATGGGTAGGTTTGTTACATGGGTATATTGCATAATGCTGAGTTTGGGCTTGTATTGAACCCATCACCAAATAGTGAACATAGTACCCAGTAGGCAGCTTTTCAACCCTTTTTCCTCTGTTTTTCCCCTTTTGGAGTCCCCAGTGTCTGTCGTTCCCATCTTTATGTCTGTGTGTACCCATTGTTTAGCTCCCACTTATAAGTGAGGACATGCGGTATTTAATTTTCTGTTTTCTTACTTATTTCACTTAGGATAATGGCCTCCAGCCCAACCCATGTTGCTGCAAAGGACATGATTTCATTCTTTTTTATGGCTGCATAGTATTCCATGGTGTATATATACCACATTTTCTTTTTAACTGTTGATAGACACCCAGGAGGATTCCATGACTTTTGTATTGTGAATAGTGTTATGATAAATATACGAGTGCAGGTGTCTTTTTGGTAGAATGATTTCTTTTCCTCTGGGTAGATACCTAGTAATGGGATTGCTGGGT
Organism: Homo sapiens; assembly: GCF_000001405.40. Classification (NCBI taxonomy): domain Eukaryota; kingdom Metazoa; phylum Chordata; class Mammalia; order Primates; family Hominidae; genus Homo; species Homo sapiens. The sequence continues at coordinate 110,802,159 of NC_000006.12, read as the reverse complement.
CAAATGGTAATTCTATTTTTGATTCTTGGAGGAATCTCCAAACTGCTTTCCACAGGGGCTGAACTAATTTATATTCCCACCAACTGTATATAAGCATTCCCTTTTCTCCTCAACCTTGCCAACATCTCTTGCTTTTTATTTTTGATAATAGCAATTCTGACTGGTGTAAGATGGTATCTCACTGTGATTTTAATTTGTGTTTCTCTGATGATTAGTGATGTTGAGTGTTTTCTCCCATGTTTTTTCGCTACTTGTATGTCTTCTTTTGAGAAGTGTCCATTCATGTCCTTCGCTCACTTTTTAATAGGGTTGTCTTTTTCTTATTTAAAAAAATTTAAAATAACTTTAAGGTTGGGTGTGGTGGCTCATGCCTGTAATCCCAGCACTTTGGGAGGCCAAGGCAGGTGGATCACGAGGTCAGGAGATCGAGACCATCCTGGCTAACACTGCGAAACCCTGTCTGTACTAAAAATACAAAAAATTAGCCGGGTGCAGTGGTGGGCACCTGTAGTCCCAGCTACTCGGGAGGCTGAGGCAGGAGAATGGTGTGAACCTGGGAGGCGGAGCTTGCAGTAAGCCGAGATGACGCCACTGCACTCTAGCTTGGGCGACAGTGCAAAACCCTGTCTCAAAAAAAAAACACACAAAAAAACCTGTAATTTATTTTACTTTTTTGAGACAGAGTTTTGCTCTGTCACTGAGGCTGGAGTGCAGTGGCATGATCATGGCTCAGTGCAGTCTCAATCTCCTGGGCCTAAGCAATTCTCCCACCTCAGCCTCTTGAGTAGCTGGGACCACAGGCGTACACCATTAAGCCTGGCTACTTTTTAAATTTTTTGTGGAGACAGGGTCTCACTATGTTGCCAAAGCTGGTCTTGAACTCCTGGGCTCAAGCAGTCCTCCCACCTTGGCCTCCCAAAGTGCTGCTGATTACAGGTGTGAGCCAGCTCCTTCCCCCAGCCCCCGGCCAATATTGCATTCTTGGTTTGGTTCTCAGCTTGAATGTTATTGGTGTATAGAAATGCGATTGATTTTTATATGTTGATTTTTTATCCTGAAACTGTACTGAAGTCGTTTATCGGGTCTTGGAGTCTTTTGAAGGAATCTTTAGGGTTTTCTAGGTACAGGATCATATTATCAGTAAATAGATAATTTGACTTCCTCTTTTCCTGTTTGGATGCCTTTCATTTCTCTCTCTTGCCTGATTGCTCTGGCTAGGGCTTCCAATACTGTATTGAATAGGGGTGGTGAGAGTGGGCATCCTTGTCTTGTTTCAGTTCTTGGGGGAATGCATCCAACTTTTGCTCTTTCAGTATGATGTTGGCTGTGGCTTTGTCATAGATGGCTCTTATTATTTTGAGCTATGTTCCTTCAGTGCCTTGTTTGTTGAGCATTTTTGTCATGAAGGGAATGTTAGATTTGTCACATGCTTTTTCTGTGCCAATTGAGATGATCGTGTGGTTTTTGTTTTTATTTCTGTTTATGTGGTGAATCACATTTCTTGATTTGTATGTGTTGAACCATCCTTGCATCCCAGGAATAAAGCCCACTTGATCGTAGTGAATTATCTTTTCAATGTGCTGCTGGATTTGGTTTGTATTTTGCTGAGGATTTTTGCATCTATGTTCATCAGGGATATTGGCCTGTAGTTTTCTTCGTTTGTTGTATCTTTGCCAGATTTTAGTATCAGGATGATACTGGTTTCGTAGAATAAATTAGGGAGGAATCCTCCCTCCTTGATTTTTTGGAGTAGTTTCAGTAGGATTGGTACCAGCTCTTCTTTGTACGTCTGGCAGAATTCAACTGTGAATCCATCTGGTCCAGGGCTATTTTTGGTTGGTAGGCTTTTAATTACTGATTCCATTTCATAACTTGATATTGGTCTGTTCAGGGTTTCAGTTTCTTCCTGGTTCAATCTTTAGAGATTGTGTCTTTCTAACATGAATGTTAAAGGAAGTAATACACCTTTCCCACTCTTTATTGCTACTTCCCAATTTTTAAAGTATAATGTTTGTAATAATGTTTGTAGTATTTTGGTGTATTCAGTGCTCTTTTGTCCGTGGGTTGATTCTAAAAAGTGAACACTTAAGCATTCAACAGCATTAAAATACTATGATTTTAAAATTTATTTACTGCTGAGTAGATGAATATGTTGAGACTCGTGGAGAAGGAAATGTAATCTTTAGTACAGTCAGCCCTCTCTATCTATGGGTTCTGCATCCACAGATTCAATCAACTGTGTGTTGAAAATATTCAAGGTCAGGTGCTGTGGCTCACACCTATAATTCCAGCGCTTTGGGAGGTCTAGGCGGGTGGATTGCTTGAGCTCAGGAGTTCAAGGCCAGCCTAAGCAATATAGTGAGACTTCGTCTCTACAAAAAAGTAAACAAAAAAACTAGCTGGGTATAGTGGTGCATGCCTGTGGTCCTAGCTAACTTGGGGGCTGAGGTGGGAAGATCACTTGAGCTGGGGAGGTTGAGGCTGCAGTGAGCCGAGATTGTGCCATTGCCATTCAGACTTGGCAACAGAGTGAGACCCTGTCTCCAAAAAAAAAATTAGAAAAAACTCCAAAACAATAAAAAATAATGCAAATAAACCCAGCATAACTATTTATAAAGTATTTACATTGTATTAAGTATTATAAGTAATTTAGGGATGATTTAAAGTATACGAGAGGATACATATAGGTTATATGCAAATACTGTGCCATTTTATATCAGGGACTTGAGCATTCTTGGATTTTGGTTTGGAAGGAACTGAAACCAACCACATGGTCCGCATACTCCTCCCCACACCATACTGAGGGATGACTGTATTAAATAAGTGCTGCTTGAAACAGTGTTCCAGGTATTAAGGCCTAATTGTTGATGATAATTTATTCTGCCTTTTCTTCAAGTCTTCTGGGTCATATTCAGCTAGTAGTTTTTCTTTGTATTCTATGTGTGGTTTTTCTTGGATTCTTTTCTTTTGGTTGTTTTTAGATGAGGAATTTTTTTTTTTTTTTTTTTTTTTTTTAAATACAGGGTTTTACTCTTAACACCCAGTTTGGAGTGCAGTGGCATGATCACAGCTCACTGCAACCTCAACCTCCTGGCTCAGGTGATTCTCCCACCTCAGCCTCCTGAGTAGCTAGGCTTAAAGGCACCCACTACCACGCCTGGTTGATTTTTGTATTTTTTTGTAGAGACAGGGTTTTGCCATGCTGCCCAGGCTGGTCTTGAACTCTTGGGCTCAGGTGATCTGCCTGCCTGAGCCTCCCAAAGTACTAGGATTACAGGCGTGAGCCACCGTGCCTGGCTGAGGATGTCTTTTTAAGTAGCATTTTCATATAGGATGTGTAGATTTTCTGAGTTCTTGCATGTCTGATAATGTATTTTGTTCTCATACTTGATTGATAGTTTGGCTGAATTAATACTTAAATATTAAGAATTTTTTTTTTTCTCAGCATTCAAAACTATTGCTTCATGTCTTCTGGTATATCTTGTTGTTCCTGGGAAGTTTCTTTCTTTCTTTTTTTTTTTTTTTTTTTTTCTGGAGACAGAGTCTCACTCTTGTTGCCCAGGCTGGAGTGCGATGTCGCGATCTTGGCTCACTGCAACCTCTGTCTCCCGGGTTCAAGGGATTCTCTTGCCCTCAGCCTCTTGAGTAGCTGGGATTACAGGTGCCTGCCATCATGCCCAGCTAATTTTTGTATTTAAGTAGAGATGGGGTTTCACCATGTTGGCCAGGCTGGTCTCAAACTCCTGACCTCTGGTGATCCACTTGCCTCGGCCTCCTAAAGTGCTGGGATCACAGGCAGGAGCCATCATCCCTGGCCAGGAAGTTTCTTTTTTCAAACTTGTATTTTTCCTCTCCAGAATCTCTTAGGATTTTTTACTTTTTTTGTTTTCCTCATTTTTCTTTAATACAGTTGCCATCTTACATAATGTACTATTAAGTGCCTTCTTAATAGCTTCTAATCTACCCTTCTGTTACACTGGGTGGCATCCTGGGATGGAACTCTTGTTACCACTCATGTTTGTGGAGTACTGTTCTTTAGTACGGTACATCTGACTCATATGGTCAGGCCATATAATTCATGGGTAGTGGTATTAATTTCTATAACTGAATTAATGCACACATCCAAACCATATATATTTCTTTCTTTTTCTTTCTTTTTTTTTTTTTTTTTTTTTGAGACGGAGTCTTGCTCTGTCGCCCAGGCTGGAGTGCAGTGGCGCAATCTTGGCTCACTGCAGCCTCCGCCTCCCAGGTTCAAGTGATTCTCCTGCCTCAGCCTCCCGACTAGCTGGGATTACAGGCATGCACTACCACACCTGGCTAATTTTTGTGTTTTTAGTAGAGATGGGGTTTCACCATGTTGGCCAGCCTGGTCTCGAACTTCTGACCTCAGGTGATCCACCCGTCTTGGCCTCCCAAAGTGTTGGGATTACAGGTGTGCGCCACTGCGCCCTGCCTATATATTTTTCAACTTAGAGTTCATACAAAGTCTGTTTCCTTTCTATAGTAGCTATTGCTTCAGATTGTGGTTTAAAAATCCAAGAAGTGGGAAGAATGTCTTTGTTTGTTTTCATTGCTGCTTTCTTCCTTTTTTCTTTTCTATCTTCCTTCCCTCCATTTTCTTTCTTCCGTTCATTTCTTTCTTTCTTTTTTTCTTTCTTAATAAGAGGTTAACAGAAATGGGTTATTAAGGAAATCAAAGTCTAGTAAATGTTCAAAACATGAGATCAGAGTAGTCACAAACTCTTCTTTGTAGTGATGTTAAATTACTGACAAATGTTTTTTGAATACAGAAAAAGCCTTTTTTTTCTTTTTTTTTTGAGACGAAGTCTCCCTCTGTCGCCTAGGCTGGAGTGCAGTGGCGCGATCTCGGTTCACTGCAACCTTTGCCTCCCAGGTTCAAGTGATTCTCCTGCCTCAGCCTCCCGAGTACCTGGGATTACAGGCACCTGCCACCGTGCCTGGCTAATTTTTGTATTTTTAGTAGAGACAGGGTTTCACTATCTTGGCCAGGCTGATCTTGAACTCCTGACCTCGTGATCCACCCACCTTGGCCTCCCAAAGTGGTGAGATTACAGGTGTGAGCCACCGTGCCCAGCCAAAAATCCAATTTCTTATTTCAATTTATGTGTATTTTTTTTTTTTTTTTTGAGATGGAGTTTTGCTCTGTTGCCTCGGCTGGAGTGCAGTGGCACAATCTTGGCTCACTGCAACCTCTGCCTCCTGGGTTCAAGCAATTCTCGTGCCTCAGTCTCCTGAGTTGCTGGGATTACAGGTGTGTGCCACCACGCCTGGCTAATTTTTTTGTATTTTTCGTAGAGACGGGATTTCACCATGTTGGCCAGGCTGGTCTCGAACTTCTGACCTCAAATGATCATCCACCTTGGCCTCCCAAAGTGCTGGGATTACAGGCGTGAGTCACCGTGCCTGGCCATATATGTATATTTTTTCTCACAGCTGAGGCAAAGATCAATTTATGTGTATTTTATTTTTATTTATTTATTTATTTATTTGAAATGGTCTCACTATATTGCTCAGGTTGGGGTGCAGTGGTACGGTCTCAGCTCACCGCAACCTCTGCCTCCTGGGCTGAAGCCATCTTCTGATTTTAGCCTTCCGAGTAGCTGGAAGGTGCATGCCACCATGCCCAGCTAATTTTTGTAGTTTTTGTAGAGATGGGGGTGTCACCATGTTGTGTTGGCTGGTCTCAAACTCCTGAGCTCAAACAGTCCACCCACCTCAGCCTCCCAAAGTGCTAGGATTACAAGCATGTGCCACCACTCCCAGCCTGTATTTTTATTTATTTATTTGTTTGTTTGTTTGTTTGACGGAATCTCACTCTGTTGCCAGGCTGGAGTGCAGTGGCACAATCTTGGCTCACTGCAGCCTCTGCCTCCTGGTTCTAGTGATTCTCCTCCCTCAGCCTCCCAAGTAGCTGGGACTACAGGCGTGCACCGCCATGCCCAGCTAATTTTTTGTATTTTTAGTAGAGACCGGGTTTCTCCATGTTGGCCAGGATGGTCTCGATCTCTTGACCTCATGATCTGCCTGTCTTGGCCTCCCAAAGTACTGGGATTACAGGCGTGAGCCACCGTGCCCAGCAGTCTGTATTTTATTTTTGAATAATTATGTGTTGTTTGGACATAAGTAGTTACTAAATTACTTTACCTAATTATGTAATAAATGGAATCATTAGGTATTTCCTTTGCCGTAGGGTCCTGTGAACAAATTACTAAGATACTAAGGGTTCTGTGAATGAGTTTAAGATCCTCTAACTGTAGATATGATCAGTGTTTATCTATATTATCAATTTTTTTTAAGAACTTGATTTTTAGTGGATGTTTATACTCTTATATGAATATGCAATGCTTTACTGAACTCTCTCTGCTTGTTGAACATTTAAGTTTTTCCTAATATTTTGATAATATGTGTAATACTAATAGCTGTTGTTGTGTCTAAATCTTGGTCCTTAATATCTAATTCTTTCCTTAAAATAGCGTCTTATAAGTTAATTTGCTGTGTCAAAGGGTATTAGTTGTTTAAGGCTCTTAGTATTTATAACCTAATTTTTTCATATATAGTTTTCTCCACTACTACTAACAATATATAAAAAGTGCCCCTCATCTCAACCTCAGTGGCTGTGAATGTTCTTTATCACAATTTGACAGTTGAAATGGTTTCTGCTTTAGCATGATAGTAATTAGAGCTGTTTCTCTATGATTTTCCTACATCTGAGCTAAAGATCTTACCAGTCTTACAATTTACATCTCTCTTAGCTCCTAGGACCTGTAGTTCATGGTTGAGGTACCACCCCTCTTCCAACCTCACTAGTCTTTACCCATTTTATAGTTGGTAATTATTTTTGACTTACTAAAAAGCAGGAAGTTTAAGCTGGGCATGGTGACTCACACTTGTAATCCCAGCACTTTGGGAGGCCAAGGTGTGTGGATTGCTTGAGTCCAGGAGTTCCAGACTAGCCTGTGCAACAAGGGGGAACCCTGTCTCTACAAAAAATACAAAAATTATCCAGGCATGGTGACATGCACCTGTAGTCCCAGCTACTCAGGAGGCTGAGGTGGGAGAAACACCTGAGCCAGGGAAAGTTGAGGCTACAGTGAGCTGTGATCGCACCACTGCACTCAAGATTTGGCGACAGACTGAGACCCTGTCACCAAAACAAAACAAGACAGCAGCAAGTTTTCCTTGGAATATTTTATATTTATCTAATCTTGTCATCCACATTTTTCTACTTTTATGTTAAAGATATGTTCTACAATATAATTTACCAGGAAGTTTTCTAGTCATCTTAATTTCCTACTCTTAATTTTTATTGGAAGAATGGGTGATTTTTTTTTTCACAGATATATATATATTATTCTGAAAAGTAGTGAAGAATAAACAAAGTTTCATGTTGTGTTTTGGTATAGAAATTGTTAAAAGCATTTTAAAAAATATCAGGCCAGGCGTGGTGGCTCACCCCTGTAATCCCAGCACTTTGGGAGGCTGAGGCGGGTGGATCACGAGGTCAGGAGATCGAGACCATCCTGGCTAAGATGGTGAAACCCTGTCTCTACTAAAAATACAAAAAAAATTAGCTGGACGTGGTGGTGGGCGCCTGTAGTCCCAGCTACTCGGGAGGCTGAGGCAGGAGAATCACTTGAACCTGGGAGGCAGAGGTTGCAGTGAGCCAAGATGACGCTACTGCACTCCAGCCTGGTGACAGAGTGAGACGCGTCTCAAAAAAAAAAAAAAAGTTTCAAACTACTGGAGAGAGGAGAGTGCAAATCTAGCTGTCATTTAACACTGGGAAGAACAGGCCAGGCGCGGTCGCTCACAGGTAATCCTAGCAATTTGGGAGGCCGAGGTGGGCGGATCACCTGAGGTCAGGAGTTCGAGACCAGCCTGACCAAATATGGTGAAAACCCATCTCTACTAAAAATACAAAAGTTAGCTAGGCGTGGTGGCAGACGCCCTTAGTCCCAGTTACTTGGGAGGCTGAGACAGGAGAATTGCTTGAACCTGGGAGGCAGAGGTTGCAGTGAGCTGAGATTGCGCCACTGCACTCCAGCCTGGGTGACAGAGCGAGACTCCATCTTAAAACAAACAAACAAACAAAAAAACTGGGAAGAACACAACTATGCTGTTTATCGTGTGTGGATTTGTCATTCTGGCTTTGTGCAACAGAAAAACCAATATTGTACAAATAAGATGTTTATTTTCCTCTTGTAATGAAAGGTCCAGAGATGGGGCATGCTGGGCTGGTGCAGTTGTGCCAGGATATTAACAAGTATTCACCTCCTTTCCTCTGTCTGTTCAGTGGTTTTTGTACATGTGGTCCCAAATGATTGTTATGCCTCCAGGTATTTCTTTCACATTCTAGTCAGGAAGAAGGGGAAGAGGCAAAGGCTGAAAGGCAAAAGAGACTGTGCCAACCAAATGGTAAGCAAATGCCTTCTATGGATTAGAGGAACACAAGGGAAAACAGGTTGTGAATGGCTCTGGGGAAGCCAGTCAGTAATAGTCTCTGCCACAGTGTGGAACAAAGGGTTCAATGAAAGGTGGGAAAGAAATCTTTGAGTTAATGTTAAGCAGTTAAAACCCACATTCTTAATGATAAGTACAATTTATGAACTATAACTGTCTCCCACACTGTGTAAAGACTTTTCATAATCAACCAAAACACATTTTGTTGACTTTCATGTCCATGTAAGTATAAAGACTTAACATTTAGGATAATTTTTTTTAAGCAAAGCCTTATAATGCTGATGTTGTCCTTATCTTTTTAGATAAGTGATAGGAAAACACCACAGAGAAATTTGGTATTTATAATAGTGAAGAGAACAGAGTCATATTAGATTTTACCTTTGCTCTAAGCCAATTAGCCAAGCCTCCTTGTTTAGTTTACTGTCACAAAGACATTTTCTTTTTCAGCATTTGAATAAACAGTATTTTTTGGGGACTAAATGATTTGAATAATGTTTATTCCCTCTTAACAAACTACTCATATTTTCCGTTCTCGGGGAAGGATTTTTGCTCCTGATTCCTAGTAAATATACATACAAAGGAAAAACAAACTGTGATGTACCAAAATCTTTTGAAAACCTATTTCAAATCTCAGCTAATAAATACTGTCTAGCAGTGGGATTCTGGTAGTTAAATAATCTCTCTGTATCTCAGTTTCCCCATCTGTAAGATCTGTTGGATGACAAAATACTCCTCACTGATTGTTGCGAGGAGTAATTGAGTCAAAATGTATAAAAGTCTCCAGCAAAGCATTAGTTTATTTATTCGCTAAATCTGTATAGAGGGGTTTCAATGATAAATTTCCCTGAAGGTTAAGTTAGTAAATAAAAAGGGTAGATATTGAGTAAAAATTATAGTCAGTTTTTTGAGAGTGAGGATTAATCTGGTTAGATTCAGCAGGAAGATAGAATTTTATCCACATCTGTAATGAATTGTTATAAAAAAGTATTCGCCATGAATGTCCATCCCTCGCCTGTCGCGGCGGGTGGATCACCTGAGGTCAGGAGTTCGAGACCAGCCTGGCAACATGGCAAAACCCCGTCTCTACTAAAAATACCAAAATTAGCCGGGCGTGGTGGCACGCGTCTGTAATCCCAGCTACTCGGGAGGCTGAGGCAAGAGAATCACTTGAACCTGAGAGGCGGAGGTTGCAGTGAGCTGAGATTGTGCCACTGCAGTGAGCCGAGATTGTGCCACTGCACTCCAGCCTGGGTGACAGAGCAAGACAACAACAAAAAAAGTTTATTATATTAGGAAAGAAAAATTGGTTTGATGATGGGCTCTTTTACTTTAGCCTTGAAAATAAAGAAAAAAGGTAAAGGAGAAGACCTTATCTTTTCTCAAATTAAATTAAAAAAATAAATAAAGGGCCAGGCGCGGTGGCTCACGCCTGTAATCTCAGCACTTTGGGAGGCCGAGGTGGGTGGATCACAAGGTCAAGAGATCGAGACCATCCTGGCCAACATGGTGAAACCCTGTCTCTACTAAACATACAAAAATTAGCTGGACATAGTGGCACGTGCCTATAGTCCCAGCTACTTGGGAGGGTGAGTCAGGAGAATTGCTTGAACCCGGGAGGCAGAGGTTGCAGTGAGCTGAGATCATGCCACTGCACTCCAGCCTGGCAACAGAATGGGACTCCGTCTCAAAAAAAAAAAAAGTTTAAGAAAAAATTAGAAAACATGCTGGGTGGCTGGGCTTGGTGGCTTATGCCTGTAATCCCAGCACTTTGGGAGGTTGAGGTGGGAGGATTGCTTGAGGCCAGGAGTTCAAGATCAGCCTAGACAACATAGCGAGACCCTATCTCTAAAAATAATAATAGTAATTATTATTATTTAAAAAACCAAGCTGGGCACAGTGTGTGTGCCTGCAGTCTCAGCTACTCAGAAGGCTGAGGCAGGAGGATCGCTTGAACCCAGGAGTTTGAATTCAGCCTGGGCGACATAGTGAGACCTTGTCTCTATAAAAAAAAGAAAAATTAGGAAACAAAGATAAGCAAAAAGAAGTAAAGTTATTCATAGATAACCATTATGAATGGTGTGGTATGTTTTTCTACACTTCTTTCTCAGGAAATACCTACTTTTCTCCAAAATGCAATCATATTCTACATACTTTTTAGTAGCCTGTATTTTACATTTTACAATATATAATGAATATTTTTCCATTTTACTAAACCTTCTTTTCCAATAGTTGTGTTCTGTCCTTTTTTCCTAAAGAAAATCTATACCATTTACATCTACAACCCTTCCATCAATAATATCTTTAATTATATGCAGTTATTCTTGTGAGTATGGGTAAAAATCTGCTTTCTGACCTTCTTTCCTCCCAAAATCACTGTTCTACATTTTTCTTTTCTTTTACTTTTAAAATTTGATTCTATTTTTCTTTTTTTCCATGACAGATCAGAACCAGTGTTCTACATTTTTATTTAATTAATTAATTAATGAATTAAATTTTTTTTTTTTTGAGACGGAGTCTCACTCTGTCGTCCAGGCTGGAGTGCAGTGGTGCGATCTTGGCTCACTGCAACCTCCGCCTCCCAGGTTCATGCTATTCTCCTGCCTCAGCCTCCCAAGAAGCTGGGACTACAGGTGCCTGCCACCATGCCCGGCTAATTTTTTGTATTTTTAGTAGAGACGGGGTTACACCATGTTAGCCAGGTTGGTCTTGAACTCCTGACCTCGTGATCCACCTACCTCAGCCTCCCAAAGTGCTGGGATTACAGGCGTGAGCCACCGCACCCGGCCCTTGTTCTACATTTTTAATAACTATAGTCTGTATACATGTACCTTTATTTGTTTAACCAGTTACTCTGTTGATTGATGCTTATTTATAACTTTTTATTATTATAAATAGCACTGTGATCAACAGATGTCCAGTTAAAACTTTGTTTTTCTGAAAGAGAGAACTTTCTAAAGTAGAAATATGTAGAGGGATAGGAAAGAGTATGTAAATCAAAATGTACTTTAATTTGTCATGATAATTACTATAAAATTTCAAAGTGAATCTGTGGATCAATTTCTTATTACTATATTGGTTTACATAAAGTAGGAGTTTTAATAACCTATATAATTTATTTTTTATTTTATTTTATTATTTTTTGAGACAGAGTCTTGCTCTGTCACCCAGGCTAGAGCGTAGTGGTGTGATCCTGGCTCACTGCAACCTCTGCCTCCCAGTTTCAAGTGTTTCTCATGCTTCAGCCTCCCCAGTAGCTGGGATTACAGGCACCTGCCACCACGCTGGGCTAATTTTTCTATTTTTAGTAGAGATGGGTTTTCTCCATGTTGGCCAGGCTGGTCTTGAATCCAGACCTCAAGTGATTTACCTGCCTCCGCCTCCCAAAGTGCTGGGATTACAGGCGTGAGCCACCATGACCAGCCTAAGAACCTATATAATTAAAAACTTAAAAATCTCCTCTTGGATGTACTTACGGGTAGCAGTATAAATACAACATAAGCGTTTAGAGCTATGTGGAATCTTATCTGGTTCAAATTGCTTGCCTCAGAAGAAGTCCAGAAATATACAATGCCTTCCTTAATATCACATAATATGTTTCAGCATCTGATATATTGGTGCTGAGTACATGAATAGCTATATATTGGTTTTTCTAACTCCTACCCCAACGTTTAAGTCTGTAACAGGATTTATAAAGATAATGAGAACTACAGTTGCTCTTTGAACAAAATTTGAACTGTGCAGGTCCACTTGTACCTGAACTTTTTCTGATAAGTATGTAGAAAAATTTTTTGGAGATTTGCAACAATTGGAATAAATTGGTAAATGAATTGCATTGCTTAGAAATATGGAAAAAATTAAGAAAAAATTAGGTGTGTCATAAATGTATAAAATGTATGTAGATACTAGTCTATTTTATCATTTACTACCATAAAATAGACACAAATCTATTATAAAAAGTTAAAATTTGGCCAGGCATGGTGACTCATTCCTGCAATCCCAGCACTTTGGGAGGCCAAGCTGGAAGAATTCCTTAAGCTGAGGAGTTTGAGACCAGCCTGAGCAACATGGTTAGACCCTGTCTAAAAATAAAGTTAAAATTTGGCTGGCATGGTGGCTCACGCCTGTAATCCCAGCACTTTGGGAGGCCGAGGCGGATTAATCACAAGGTGAAGAGATTGAGACCATCCTGGCCAACATGCTGAAACCCCGTCTCTACTAAAAATACAAAAATTAGCTGGGCGTGGTGGTGCATGCCTGTAGTCCCAGCTATCTGGGAGGCTGAGGCAGGAGAATCTCTTGAACCCAGGAAGTGGAGGTTGCAGTGAGCCAAGATTGTGCCACTGCACTCCAGCCTGGTGACAGGGCAAGACTCCACTTAAAAAAAAAAAAAGTTAAAATTTATCAAAACTTAGGCACAGAAACACTTAAAGACCACACATGATGCCATTTGCAGTCCAGAGAAATGTAAACAAATGTAAAGGTATAGTACTGAATCATAACTACATAAAATTCACTGTTGTACATACTGTACTACTTAATATAATAATTTCATAGCCAATTCTTCTTGCTATTGCTGTGAGCTCAAGTGTTGCAGATACACGCTTAAAATGCTATGTGATGCTAATCATCTCCACATAAGCAATTTGTCTCTCTGGTAAGTTGGATGTAGCAGTAAAAAGTGATCACTTGTGGTTCTTGTGTATTTTTCATCATGTTAAGTGGAATACTGTAAAGTTTGAATAACACCATGGCACCCATATGGAGTGCCACTAATCATGCCAGAAGTGCTCCCAAGAAGCAGAGAGAAGTCATGACATTAGAAAAAAAAAGTTCAGTTCCTTGATATGTACTGTAGATTGAAGTCTGCAGCTGCAGTTGCTCACCATTTCAAGATAAATGAATACAGCATAAGGATCATAAAAAAAAAGAAAAAGAAATTTGTGAAGCCATTTCTCCAGCTATGCCAAAAGGTGTAAAAACCTTGCACTTTTTGCTAAATAACTTTTTATCTTGTATTGAAAAGATACAGCTTCTCTGTGGGTGCAGGATTGCTATAAGAGAGGCATACCTATAGATTCTAATGTGATTTGAGAAAAAAAGAATTCATATGACACCTTATAGCAAAAGAAAGGTGAAGGATCTAAAGCTGGAGAATTTTATGGCAGCCAAGGATGGTTTGATAATTTTGGAAAGAGATGGCTTTAAAATTGTCAGGATAGGCTGGATGTGGTGGCTCATGCCTAGAATCCCAGCACTTAGGGAACCTGAGGCAGGAGGATCTCTTGAGACCAGGAGTTTGAGACCAGCCTAGGCAACATAATGGGACCCTGTCTCTTAAAAAAAAAATTAGCCAGGCATGGTGATGCAAACCTGTAGTCCTAGATATTTGAGAAGCTGAGGCAGGAGGGTCACTTGATCCCAGGAGTTTGAGGTTATAGTGAGCTATAATCTTGCACCACTTCACTCCAGCCTGGGCATCAGATCAAGAGCCTGTCTCAAAAACAAACAAACAACAACAACAAAAAAACAAAAAACAGGCCAGGTGTGGTGGCTCACACCTGTAATCCCAGCAATTTGGGAGGCCGAGGTGGGCAGATCACGTGAGGTCAGGAGTTCAAGACCAGCCTGACTAACATGATGAAACCCTGTCTCTACTAAAAATACAAAAATTAGCCAGGTATGGTGGCGCACGACTGTAATCCCAGCTCCTCAGGAGGCTGAGACAGGAGAATCATTTGAACCCGGGAGGCAGAAGTTGCAGTGAGCCGAAATCACGCCACTGCACTCCAGCCTGGGCAACAGAGCGAGACTACGTCTCAAAACGAAACAAACAAACAAAAAAACCGCAAAACCCAGTCAAGATAACAGTAAATGCAGCAGATAAGTTCCCAGATGCCAATAAGGAAATCACTGAATTATGGAAGCTCAAAACCTGCCAGGTGTCATGGCTTACGCCTATAAATCCCAGCACTTTGGCAGGCCAAGGCAGGAGGATCACTTGAGCCCAGGAGTTTGAGACCAGCTTGGGCAACATAGTCAGACCCTGTTGCTACAAAAAAATAAAATAAAATATGGTGGCACGTTACCTAGAGTGTCAGCTACTTGTGAGGCTGACGTTGGAGAATCCCTTAAGCCCAGGAGGTAGAGGCTACAGTGAGCTGTGATTGTTCCACTGCACTCCAGCCTGGGTGACAGAGTGAGACCTTGTTCCCCTCTCCAAAACAAAAAAACAAAACAAAACAAAAAAAACATTGAGGAGAAAGGATATCTGCCTGAATAGGTCTTTGTTTGTTTGTTTGTTTTAGACAGAGCCTTGCTCTGTCACCCAAGCTGGAATGCAGTGGCACAATCTCCACTCACTGCAAACTCTGCCTCCCAGGTTCAAACGATTCTCCTGCCTCAGCCTCCCAAGTAGCTGGGATTACAAACATGCACCACCATGCCCAGCTAATTTTTATATTTTTAGTAGAGACAGGGTTTCACCATGTTGGCCAAGGCTGGTCTCGAACTCCTGACTTCAAGTGATCCGCCCGTCTGGACCTCCCAAAGTGCTGGGGATTACAGGTGTGAGCCACCGCGCCTGGCCCTGAATAGGTTTTTAATGTGGACAAAAGGGCCTTATTCTGGAAAAAATGCCACAAGGAACATTAATTAGTAATGAAGCAAGCCCCAGGATTTAAGGCAAGAAGGGATAGAAGGATAGAATTGTACCATTGTGTGCAAATGCAGTTTGGGTTTATGATTAGGACTGCCCTTATCTATAAAGCTGCTAACCCCTGAGCCTTGGAAGGAAAAGATAAACACCAGCTGCCAGTCTTTTCATTTTACAAAAGAAAGTCTGGACAATGAGAACCCTTTATCTTGATTGGTTCCATCAATGCTTTGTTCCCTAAGGAAGTACCTTGCCAATAAGGGACTGCCTCTCAAAGTTCTTTTGGTATTAGACAATGCCGTGATTCCCCATAGCCCAATGAGTTCAACACTAAAGGTGTTGAAGTGATCTATTTGCCCCCAAACACATTTCTAATTTAGCCTGTAGATCAGTGGGTCATAAGACCTTTAAGGCTCATTACACGCGGTACCCTATGGAAAGGATTGTCTACATTATGAAAGAGAAACCCAATAGGGAGAACATCATGAAGGTCTAGAAGGATTGCACCATTTAAGATGCTGTTGTTACAGCCACAGAAGCCATCAAGCTCAAAACAATACATTCCTGCTGGAGAAAACAGTGCCCAGATGTTGTGCATGACTTCACAGGGTTTATGACAGAGCCAGTTAAGGAAATCATGAAGGAAATTGGGGGTATGGAAAAAAAGATGGAGTGAAGGGTTTTAAAATACAGATCCGAGAGAATTAAAGACCTAATAGATGGCACACCAGAGGAATTAATAAATGACTTGATGGAGATGAGTGCTTCCGAACCAGTACCAGATGATGAGGAAAAAGACACACAAGAAGCAGTGTCAGGAAACAAATTGATGTTAGACAAGCTGGCAAAATGGTTCTGATTATTTAGGCTGCTTTGGACTTCTTTTACAACATCTCCTCTTCTATGATACAGACACTGAAACTAAAGCAGACGGAAGAAGGAATGGTACCATACCAAAACATTGCTAGAGAAATGAAAAAGCAAAAAAGTCAGGCAGAAATTATGATGTATTTCTTTTTATTTTCCTTTCTTTTTTTTTTTTTGAGATGGAGTTTCGCTCTTGTTGCCCAGGGTGGGGTGCAATGGCTTCATCTCGACTCACGACAATCTCTGCCTCCCCGGTTCAAGCGATTCTTCTGCCTCAGGCTCCCGAGTAGTTGGGATTACAGGCATGTGCCAGCACGCCTGGCTGATTTTGTATTTTTAGTAGAGACGAGTTTTCTCTATGTTGGTCAGGCTGGTCGCCAACTCCCAAACTCAGGCGATCTGCCTGCCTTGGCCTCCCAAAGTACTGGGATTACAGGTGTGAGCCACCGCGCCCGGCCTATGATGTATTTCTATAAAGTTACACTAAGTGTGCCTGCCTCTTCTGTCTCCCCTTCTACCTCCTCCGCCTCTGCCATCCTTGAGACAGCAAGACCAACTCCCCTCTTTCTTCTCAGCCGACTCAATGTGAAGACAATGAGGATGAAGAACTTTACGATGATCCACTTCTACTAATGAATAGTAAATATATTTTGTCTGTCTTATGGTTTCCTTCGCATTTTCTTTTCTGTAGCTTACTTTATTGTAAGAATACAGTATATAATAAAAATAACATACAAAATATATGTTAATTGACTATTTATGTTATCAGTGAGGTTTCCAGTCAACAGTAGGCTATGAGTAGTTAAGTTTGTGGGAGTCAGAAGTTGCATGTGGGTTTTTGACTGTGTGTGGGGTAAGCGCCACTAAGCCCTGTGTTGTTCAAGGATCAACTGTTTGCCTGTGGAGCAAGCAATGATCTCTAATGAAGGGAGACTGATGAAGGCAAATTGGCTATCAAAAATTGTCAGAATGTACTTTTCTATAAACATTCTAGGATATTGACTGATTGATGAATTAGTGCATTTTCCATAAATGTTTGTTTAGGGCCCTCTAGCCAGGGGCTTTTTTTTTTTTTTTTTTTTGACAATTCAGTGGTTTTTAGCATATGCACAGGATTGTATAATTATCACCATTATCTAATTTTAGAACATTTCATCACCACAAACACTCTGTACACATTAGCAGTCACTCCTCATTTCCCTGGTATCCTCTAATCAACTTTTTGTGGCTTGTCTATGGATTTGTTTATTCTGGACATATGTAAAAATGAAATCATACTATATATGTTATTGTGTGTCTTGCTGCTTTTACTCAGCATAATCAAAGTTCACTCATATTGTAGCATGTATGGGTATATCATTCTTTCAGATGACTGTGTGGATATATCACGTTGTATTTATCCATTCATCAACTGATGAACATTTGATTGTTTCCACTTTTAGGCTATTATGATTAATGCTGGTATGAATATTTTTGTAGAAGTTTTTGTTGGGCCATATGTTTCAGTTCTCTTGGGTATATATCTAGGAGTGGAATTGCAGCATAATATGTTAGCTGTTGATGTTTAACCTTTGGAAGAACTACCAGCCTCTTTCCCAAAGCAACTGTACCATTTCACATTTCCACCTGAAATGTATGAGGGTTTCAGTTCTCTACATCCTTGTCAGCATATGGTATTGTCTATCTTTCTGATTTTAGTCATCCTTGTGGGTGTGAAGTGGTAGCTCACTGTGGTTTTGATTTGCAGTTCCCTAATAACTTATGATGTTGAGCATTTTTTCATGTGCTTAGTGACCATTGCATATATTCTTTGGAGAAATACCTATTCAAATTCTTTGCTCATTTTAAAATTGGGTTGTATTTTTATTGTTGTAAGAGTTCTTTTTATATTCTTAACATTGTGCTCTTATGTGATGTATAATTTGCAAATATTTCTTGTTTTTTTTGAGTTGCCTTTTCACTTTCTTTTTCTCCTTTCCTTTTTTTTTTTTTTTTTTTGAGACGAAGTCTTGCTCTGTCACTCAAGCTGGAATGCAGTGGTGTGATCTTGGTTCGCTGCAGCCTCTGCCTCCCCAGCTCAAGCAATTCTCTTGCCTCAGCCTCCCGAGTAGCTGATATTACAAGTGTGCACCATCATGCCGGCTAATTTTTGTATTTTTAGTAGAGATGGGGTTTCACCATGTTGGCCAGGCTGGTCTCGAACTCCTGACCTCAGGTGATCCACCTGCTTCGGCCTCCCAAAATGCTGGGATAACAGGCGTGAGCCACCGTGCCCAGCCTGCCTTTTCAATTTCTTGATGATTCACTTCTTTGATTTTGTGATTCACTTTGAATCACAAAAGTTTTTAATTTTGATGAAGTCCAATCCATCTCTTTTTTTTCTTTTGTTGCTTGTGCTAAGAAACCACTGCTTGATCCAAGGTTGCAAAGATTTACTCCTTTGTTTTCTTCTTAGAGTTTTGTGGTTTAAGCTCTTATATTTAGATCTGGAAGTGCTTTTTTTTTTCTTTTTTTTTTTTGAGACAGAATCTCACTCTGTCACCCAGGCTGGAGAGCAATGGTGTGATCTCGGCTCACGGAAACCTCCACCTCCTGGGTTCATGCGATTCTCCTGCCTCAGCCTTTGGAGAAGCTGGGATTACAAGTGTGTGCCACCACGCTCAGCTAACTTTTGTATTTTTAGTAGAGATGGAGTTTCATCATGTTGGCCAGGCTGGTCTCGAACTCCTGACCTCTAGTGATCTGCCTGCCTTGGCTTCCCAAAGTGCTGAAATTACAGGTGTGAGCCACAGCACCCAGCTCAGATATTCTTAGTGTTTTCAAATTTAACTTTGTTGTGCTTTTACTTGATGTGGAAATTTGCAACACTTGAAGTAAAGCTATTACACTCCGAAAAGTTGTGCAGCAAATTTAATGATGGTCCTTGCCCTATATTTGTCTGCTGTTCCTGCCCCTACCCAAAGTTAGTACTCTGCATTGTGCTGCCTCCTCCCATGTCATCTCTCAGGCTATGGATGCAAAGTGTCATTTTATTTTATCCTTTTAAAAACATCAGTTACCCTGACCAGAAGGAAAGAATTTAGTATGTTGGTATAATGGTGGGACTGTAGGCCGCAGACTGTAGGAATAGTGTGCTGCAGGTGAGCAAGTGAAACTTCATTCTTAGATTAATAATTTATGATAGCTATTAGTGGGAGATAGATTGCTTATATGGAACAGACTCAAGATTATTGTTTAGTCTATGCAGAGGAAGCAAAATGTATAAAATTGTGGAGGAAAGAACAACAGCAAGTCATTCAGGATGTCTAGAGCAAATACTCAGGATGGAGGTTGGAGATGCGTTTGAGAGAGAGGGAGAGCATGATAATGTGTGCCAGGCTATAGAATTTGGTGTTTAACCTGATGGAGAAAGGGAGTAATAGATTCCAAGTGGAATAAATTATTTTAGTTCCCAAAATGGAAATAGTGATTTTTTTTTCTGATTGTAAAGGGAATACATGTTTGTCATAACATGCAAACAAGTAATAAAAAAATAGGCAGTGAAAAGTCCCTGTAATCCCATTCACTAGAGATAACCACTGCTTAACAGTTTGCTGTATAGTTTTACAGAGGAGAATTTTGTGATCAGTTTTGCAGCAGTGTGGTTGGTGGAAAGGACAAAAGTTGGATGACATTGGAAGTAGATGGCTGTTAGGTCCAAATAGGAATGACGAGGACCTGTTTCTTAGTGGTAGCTGTGGGGGTAGAAAAGGTGCAGAACTGGGGAAAAGTTCAAGGGATTTATTTAGGAGCTAGGATTCAGTGATCAGTTTGGCAACTGAGTGAAGGACTGATAAGTGGCCAGGATGAGAGTTGATTGGATTTCCCAGAACCTGGGACCAAACTGTGACATCATTTGAGCAGGCATAAAAGGGACAAATAGCAGTTGTTGCTAGCAGCATAATTTCAGAGTGGAAAGTCTGTCCTTTTGTTCTTATTTTCCTCCTGTGTTTCTGGGTTTATTTAGAAGGGGAGGGTACAAGTAAGAATTCAATTTTGTTTGGACAGATAAAAGCTATTATATCATGCCCTTATCTCTAATTGTTTCTTTTATTAGTTGAGTATAGCAGATTTCTTTGAGAAGTTGCTTCTGTTTTGGTGTGTAATTATAGCATGAGCTTTTAAACTTCACAAAGTTTATCTTGGAATCTTTACAATTTTATTCTGGGGAATTGGGATTGCGGTGAGGGAGCCACTTTGGCAAGTTATTGACAGAGATTCTTTGACTCTAAAGTAAGAGCTGATTGTATCTCTGAATAGGTTTTTTTTTTTTTTTTCATTTGAGACAGGGTCTCACGTTGTCACCTAGGCAGTGACATGATCTTGGCTCACCGCAGCTTCCACCTCCTGAGCTCAAGCAATCCTCCCACCTCAGCCTCCTGAGTAGGTGGGACTACCAGGATGTGGCAACACGCCTGGCTAATTTTTGTATTTTTTTGTAGAGATGGGGTTTCACAATGTTGCCCAGACTCGTCTTGAACTCCTGAGCTCATGCCATCTGCCTGTGTTGGCCTCCCAAAGTGCTAGGATTAGAGGTGTGAGCCACTGCACCCAGCCCGAATCGGGTCTTGCTTTCACCAAGTTCTGCTATGTTTCTTATTCCTGGGAACAGGCAACTGTCTGATATAGTTTGGATATTTGTCCCCTCCAAATCTCAGGTTGGAAATTGATCTCCGGTGTTGGAAGTGGGGCTAACTGGGAAGTGTTTGGGTCATGGGGGCAGATCCCTTATGACTGGCTTGGTGCTGTCCTAGGTAATGAGTGAATTCTTGCTCTATCGGTTCCCAGGGAGATCTGGTTGTTCAAAAAGAATCTGGGATATCCCTCCTCTCTTTCTTGCTCCTTCTGTTGCCATGTGACACACTGGCTCCCCTTCCCCTTGTGCCGTGATTGAAAGCTTCCTGAGGCCCTCATCGGAAGCAGATGCTGGTGCCATGTTTCTTATATGGCCTGCAGAACCATGAGCCAAATAAAATTCTTTTCTTTATAAATTAGCCAGTTTGAGGTATTCCTTTATAGCAACGCAAAATGGACTAATACACTAATATCTCACACATTTTCTGTCCTTACAACTTTTTGGATGGTTAATCAAGATAATGTGCATAAAGAACTACATAATGCTATGTAGTAGGCACTAAAAGACACTGGCTTCTTCTATCTTACCTAAGAACAAACTTGAGATTATAAAAAAATGAAAAGTTAAAATCTCTTTCTTGCAAGTTTCATTTTTCCTTTAAAAAATTTTAAAAGTATATCTAAATGCCACCTCCTGTCTGCTTTCTCATCTCTGGAAGATGGGAAATCTTCCAGAGATGAGAAATGTCCATGATACTCCTCCTTTGCACTCATAGTACCTTGGAACATTCTTCTTTCAAGCAGCTCATCATTCAGTATTTTAATTGTGCAGTACAATGCCTGGCACATAATTGATCCTCAATAAATATTTGTTGTAGAGATGTCTTGAAATGAGATAAAATGTTCTCCATTGCCTTCTCTTGAACAGCTGAACAACCGTACTGAAAAAAATAGGTTTGTTTATCCACTCAGAAGCTTGGTTTGTTTTGGAAGAAAAATGGTATTTTGTTAGGAAGTTTAAGTATTACCGTCTTAAAATAAATTTAAATAAAAAAAAATAAATTCTGATGTCTTCTGATATATACCTTGATAGAAGATTTTGTGTTGTGATTTGAAATGAAGGCAACAGTGTGACTTTTTTTTTTTTTTTTTTTGAGACAGAGTGTCACTCTGTCATCAGGCTGGAGTGCAGTGGTGCGATCTTGGCTCACTGCAACCTCTGCCTCCCAGGTTCAAGTGATTCTTCTGCCTCAGTCTCCCGAGCAGCTAGGATTACAGGTGCATGCCACCACGCCCGGCTAATTTTTGTATTTTTTTTTTTTTTTGAGATGGAGTCTCACTCCGTCGCCCAGGCTGGAGTGCAGTGGCGCCATCTCTGTTCACTGCAACCTCCATCTCCTGGGTTCAAGTGATTCTCCAGTCTCAGCTTCCCGAGTAGCTGGGATTACAGACATGTGCCACCACACCCAGCTAATTTTTATATTTTTAGTAGAGACGGGGTTTTGCCATGTTGGCCAGGATGGTCTCAATCTCTTGACCTTGTGATCTGCCTGCCTCGGCCTCCTGAAGTGCTGGGATTACAGGTGTGAGCCATTGCGCCTGGCCTAACTTTTGTATTTTTGTAGAGACAGGGTTTCACCATGTTGGCCAGGCTGGTCTCAAACTCCTGACCTCAAGTAATCTGCCCACCTCAGCCTCTCAAAGTGCTGGGATTACAGGTGTGAGCCACAGCGCCCAGCCTCCTTTAAGTGCTTGAGAATATGAGATTTTAAAAAATTTATTTATTTATTGTAGAGATGGGGTCTTACTGTTTTGCCCAGGCTGGCCTCAAACTCCTGAGTTCAAGTGATCCTCTTGCCTCAGCCTTCCAAAGTGCTGGGATTACAGGCGTGAGGCACCGTGCCCAGCCAAGGTCTTTGAAGTACTTAAGAATGACTGTTTCTCTGAACTTCATTTATTCATCTAACATTTATTGAGTTCTTCTTTATGCCCTAGTCTAGACCTTGTGCTAAGGGCTATGGAAAGTCAAAGAGTTACAAATCGTTTCCTATCCTCAAGACCTTTCACTTTGATGACAGAGGAAGACCAAAACATCTCCACATTACATTATAGTTTCATAGGTAAGGTAAGCACAAAGGAACATTGTCCATTCATATTTGGTACACGAGTTTGTTGTTTATGCCTGTGTATAGGGTGAGTGCAGCAGGAAAGCTTTTTGGAGGAGCTGAGACTTGAAGGATACATGGAGAAAGACTGGGGAAAGGCATTTATTCCCAGCAAAGTGTATATACCTGTGCAAAGGCAGGGTGGTATTAGAAGTCTATAATTGGTTCTTTATGGCTGGAGGTAAGGCTGCAGATACAAGCAGAGGTCAAAGGAATCATGAAAGATAAGGAATCATGTGCCAAGATAAGGAATTTAACGATTCTGATTTGTATTTTAGAAAGATCACTGATACAGCAGTGTAAAGGTGGGTATATTAGATTTAGGTTCACCTACAGTACAAAACAGGTGGTCTCAACAAAATAGAGGTATATTTCTCACACTGAAGTCCAGTTTTGGCATGATGACTGTAGGATCATCAAAGACCTGAGTTCCTTCTGTCTGCTTGACTGTCCCTTGGCACAGCTTCCATTACCCTTATTGTCCAGAATGACTGCTGGAGTGCCATCCACCATATTTGAACTACAGACACACTTCTAGCTAAGTTCCCTTTAAGTAGCTATCTTGGAAGTGTCTCATCCAGTGACTTCCACTTCTAGCTAATTGACCAGTCGTAGCAGCGAGGAAGGCTGGGAAATGTACACTTCACCTGGATACATGCCACCCAGAATAAAACCATGGTCTGTTCCTAAGGAAGAAAGGGAGAATGGGTGTATGCTAGGCAGCCAGTAGTGTTGCCACAAAGAGGATGGATAATGGAGTTAGGGAGAACAATTTAGTACAATTTACCCAAGTAGTAATACGTGTGATTGCTTACACAAGACTGGTTTGGTTAATAATGCAAGAATTGAAACTCTGTACTAACTCTGAGTAAAAGCCATTCTGCTGGGAAACCTAGAGGACTCCAGTGGTTATTTTGATGACATAACTGTTTTAGTGGGGCAAAAATTGTACTTTAATTATTTTAACCTTTGAATTAAAAGACTTCCAATTAAACTTTTAGTAAAATTAAATCAGTACTAAAGAGAATTAATGTTTTTAAGAAAGACATTGATAGGAATTCCTTTTTTAAAAAAGTGTGTAGTATGATTTTTAAAAACTATATGACAATATACATTAAACGGGTTTACAGTGGTTTTTTGGGAGATGAAATAATTTTATTTTTCTTTTTTGCAATTCCTTTTTTAGATTTTCTATACTTAGCACATGTTACTTTTTTAAAAATTGTGATAAACATAACAAGAAATTTACCATCTTAACTATTTTTAGGTATACAGTTCAGTGGGATTGAGTACATTCATATTGTTGTGCTACCATCACCACCATCCATCCACAGACCTCTTTCATCTTACAAATCTGAAACTCTGGACCTATTAAAGAATAAGTGCCCATTCTCCCCTTCCCCCAGCACATGGCAACCACATTCTGCTTTCTGTCTCTATGAATTTGACTACTGTACCTACCTGATGTACATGGGATCTATAGTGTTTGTCCTTTTGTGAGGGCTTATATGACATAGCATAATGCCTTCAAGCTTGTTGTAGCATGTGTCAGAATTTCCCTCCTTTTTATGGCTAATATTCTGTTACATGTATATGCTACCAATTGTTTGTCCACTCATCCGTTAAGGGAAGCTTGGATTGCTCCCACATTTTGACTACTGTGAATAATGGTGCTACAAACATGGGTATAGAAGTATCTCCTTGAGTCCCTGCTTTTCGTTCTTTTGACTCCATACCCAGAAGTGGAACTGCTGGATCATATGGTAATTCTCTGTTTAATTTTTTTGATGAACCACTATACTATTTTCCATAGCAACTGCACCATTTTATGCTCCTGCCAACAGTACACAAGGATTCCAGTTTTTCTACGTCCTCACCAACCCTTCTTATTTTATTTTATTTTTTAGTTTTTCCTTTTTTAGTTTTTTGATAGTAACCATCATAAGGTATGAGGTCGTATCTTATTGTATTGAGATTTTAAAGTTTACAAAATGTTTGAGTGAGTTATGTAACCAAATGACAGCAAGTTTAAAAAACTGAAATACTTAGTCTTGCTACTCTTACACCAATATTATTTGTTATTCGGATATATTGATTTTAAATTTTAAGGCCTTTTGTTTTGAAAAAGTTCTAATTCTTTTAGTTTCATATCACATTTCTCATTTTGTTACATATTTTATACAACATCATTTTAATTGGAATTTTCTGAGAAAATGTTGCATATGCTGAGGAATATATAGCATGATTGAATACTTGAGAACACATATAATTGTTTGGCTTCTGACATATAGATAGATGCCGGTTTGTATGATTTTAATTTCATAGGCTGGATGATGTGGTGACGAAGAACATGTTTCTGGGAGTGGTCTGGGTTTAACTTGCCACTTCTGGCTGCTTGCTTTTGGGCAAGTTTCTTAAATTCCCTGTGTCTCATTTCTTCATCTTTAAAGTATAATAGTACCTATCTCAGAGTTGTGAAGACCGAATGAGTTAGTGCTTGTACAACTCTTAGAACTGTGCCTGGCACATCAAACATTCTATGTAAGGCTTTGCTGCTATTATTGTTTTAATGGATGGGAATTTATCTCTTTGGTTTTCAGGATTATATGTAATATTCAAGTAGTCACTGTGTTTCAACATAGTATGTCAAATGCACTTAACTTAGAATGTCACAAGCACTGCTTTAGAGGAGGGTGCAGTCTAGAAGGCTGTTTGGGAATTAAGAGAAGATACAGCTGAGGCTGGGCATATTGCTAAATTAGTAATTTGATATAATCATCTCTTGGGGACTGTGCTCTTCTGGCTGCCATTTAGCTTTCACAACTAACTATTCTAGGCTCTTTTGGCCAGCTCAAACTTTTGATTGCTTCTTCAGGCTTCCTTACACAGCTCCCCAGATTATTTGGCTGGGCAAAGAATATTTTTCTCTGGTTCTTTTTTTTTTTTTTGAGACAGAGTTTCAGTCTTGTTGCCCAGGCTGGAGTGCAGTGGCACGATCTCGGCTCACTGCAACCTCCACCTCCCAGGTTCAAGCGATTCTCCTGCCTCAGCCTCTCGAGCAGCTGGGATTACAGTTGCATGCCACTGCGCCCAGCTGATTTTTGTATTTTTAGTAGAGGCGGGTTTTTGCCATGTTGGCCAGGCTGCTCTTGAACTCCTGACCTCAGGTGATCCACCTGCCTCAGTCTCGCAAAATGCTGGGATTACAGGCATGAGCCACTGCGCCTGGCTATTTTCTCTGGTTCTTAGTTAACAGCTTTTGTTAAGTCGCTAATTTAAATAGAATGCACTGGCTTAAATTTTTGCATAAAATAGCACTCTGTGATTTATAACATTTTTAAAAACCTTGTTTCACTGATATTCAGTATAAATCTGAGAGATGGTGAAGGTGTCCTCATTGAACAACTCTGGTTATACTGAGGGATTAAGTGCCTGATGTCACAAAGCAATTAAATGAGCTACCTTGGATTTGAACTCAAGTCACCTGGCTTCAGGGCCAATGTTTTAAAATACTGTTTTTTCCTTGACGTGTCATCAGATTTTAAGACAATACTTTGTTCCTTCTTTCCTAATTATTTGATGATACTTTTAAAGATTTCTAAATATTCCATGAAGATAATATGCCTCTCTCTTTTAAATTTAACAGCTGATAAAATTTATCTGATTCATTTTTCTCATACATCAGCTATGTTTTGTAGTCTTTTATCCCTATTACCAGAAAAGAATGAAATAAAATCTGAGATCTAAATATTTTACCTGATTAAATCCTTAATTTTTTACATGAATGTTTTCTGAAAAGCCTTTCATATTTCATGATTATTTTTATTTTGATATTGGAACAAGGTAGATTTCTCCCATACTGCCTAGCATATGTAGTACCTTGCTTATTTCAACATTACTGTCAGAATTAAATTAAATTTTGCCACTAGAATAGCTTTACAGTGCTACTTTCTCCTTTTTTCTTTTACGTTGTCCTCTTCTAGGTCTGTTTTTAATTGCTTTTCTCCAATATTCCCAATAATTTCTGGTTCTAAGAAGAGAATGTACCTTGAGCTGCAGGATTTGCCATTCTCTATTTTGTGAAGTATATTTTTCCACCTAATTTCTTTTATTTTTTCTTTTCTTTCTTTTTTTGAGATGGATTCTCACCCTGTTGCCAGGCTGGAGTGCAGTGGTGTGATCTTGGCTCACTGCAACCTCCGCCTCCAGGGTTCAAGCAATTTTCCTGCCTCAGCCTCCCGAGTAGCTGGGACTACAGGCGCATGCCACCACACCCAGCTAATTTTTGTATTTTAGTAGAGATGGGGTTTCACCATGTTGGCCAGGATGGTCTCGATCTCTTGACCTTGTGATCTGCCTGCCTCGGCCTCCCAAAGTGCTGGGATTACAGGTGTGAGCCACCGCACCCAGCCTATTTTGTATTTCTTTTGAAATAGGGTCTTGCTCTGTCGCCCAGGCTGGAGTGTAGTGGTGTGATCAGGACTCACTACAGCCCCAACCTCCTGGACTCAGGTGATCCTCCCACCTCAGCCTCCCAAGTAGCTGGGACTACAGGTGTGCACTGCCATGTCCAGCTAGTTTTTGTATTTTTAGTAGAGATGGGGTTCGCCCTGTTGTCCATGCTGGTCTTGAACTCCTGAGCACAAGCAATCCACCGGCCTTGGCTTCCCAAAGTGATGGGATTACAGGCATGACCCACTGTGCCCAGCCTTTAATTTGTTTTATATTCTTTATATAATTGTCCCTTTATCTGTGGTTTTGCTTTCTGCTGTTTTAGTTACTGACTTGTGGTCTGAAAATATTAAATGGAAAATTCCAGAAATAAAGATTTCGTGTTTCAAATTGTACCCATTTTGAGTAGTGTGATGAAATCTTGTGCTGTCCAGCGCTGTCCTCCTCTGTCCCTTTGGGGACATGAATCATCCCTTTGTCCAGTATATCTATGCTGTAGACACTACCTGTCACTTAGTAGCCATTTTAGTTATTAGATTAAAAAACAGTGTGTATAGGGTGTCTGGTACTATCCCAGATTTCAGGCAGCTACTGGGGGTCTTGGAACGTATTCCCCATGGATAAGGGGGGACTACTGCATATGTATTGGCTCTCACATAATTTAAAAAGTTGAATTGTTACTTTCAGTGTATATAAATTCATACTTTATTGCTGCATTAGTTTTTCCAATAGTATAAATTGGTTCTTTTCGTAAGAATATAATTAGTTAAGGCTCAACTTTTGGTCTTTTCATACAATAAGCTGCATTATATATAATTAATTGTGAATGTTACCTATATATTGTTGATATGCTCATTGTCAAATCTAAAATCTGAGTTCCTTGGCAGATATGTAGACTTGTGATAGGCATTTGGCATTTTATGTTTTGGGCAGTGTAACTTTAAATCTACATAAACTTCTCTGCCTTTTGCCTCTGCTGTGTTCATAGATTCCAGGAGGGCTTCGTGTATGGACCTCAAGCGTTGGAGGTAGCAGACTTTTCAGCAGAAGGTAAAGCAGAGTATTGCCTTCTGGTGTCATTGTGTGTGTGTGCTGGGGTGGGTATGTGACAGGTGAGAGCTTTTCACAAGTGTAATCACTAAGTAATTTATAATGATGCATTAAATGATTCACTTTCATAAAATTTAAAACCAAGATAATACCCGTACAATTGTATTCAGTATTACTAAAATTCATTAAAAAAAGTAACATTTAGATAGAACTAAAGACTCTAAATTTCACTTCTTTGCCATTAAGAAATAGTAGGAGTGAGTAGGAAAACAGCATTAGTATAATGTATGCTATATACCATGTAATTTTCTCAGACCTAGCTTTACTCTGATTTCTTCGTGGGAACTTGTCCAAGTCATAATTCATATGCTGCTCCTTTTACTGAAAAATTGCTTCACAATAGAGGGGCAGCCTAATCCATGACTCATGACTGGAAGATAGGCATTCATGCTATAGGTCCCATTTGCCAGAAATGTTAGTTTCCAATATGCTAGTTACCTGTCTCTTGATAACTTGTTTTTTTTTTTTTTTTGAGACAGAGTCTTGCTCTGTTGCCAGGCTGGAGTGCAGTGGTGCGATCTTGGCTCACTGCAACCTCCACCTCCTGGGTTCAAGTGATTCTCCTGCCTCAGCCTCCCAAGTAGCTGGAACTACAGACACGCACCATCACGCCCAGCTAATTTTTGTATTTTTATTAGAGATGGGGTTTCACCATGTTGGCCAGGATGGTCTTGATCTCTTGACCTCGTGATCTGCCTGTAGTTAGTTCTCATCCCACACACTTGTAAAATATGTTTTTATAGAGACCTTTTTTTTTTTTTTTTAAGAGACGGGGTTTCCCCATGTTGCCCAGGCTGGCCTTGAGCCCCTGGGCTCAAGCGATCTGCCCGCCTTAGCCTCCCAAAGTGCTAAGATTATAGGCATTGGCCACCACGCCCTGCTATGGAGACCTTCTTAATGAGTCTCTCTTTTTTTTTTTTTTTTTGGGACAGGGACTCACTATTTCCCAGCCTTGAGTGCAGTGGTGCCATCACAACTCATTGTGGCTTTGACCTCCCAGGCCTAAGCAATCCTCCCACTTCAGCCTCCCAAGTAGCTGGGACCACAGGCTCACGCCACCACACCTGACTACTTTTTAAGTTATTTGTAGAGACAGGGTCTTGCTTTATTGCCCAGGCTGGTCTGGAACTTGTGGCCTCAAACAACCCTCCTGCCTTGGCAGTTTTGTTTTTTATTTTTAGAAAGAGATCTATAGCAGCTAACAATGTACTCTTAGACATAAAGTTAGTAATGTGACTAGTTTTTAGATAGATTCTGAATGGGAATCAGAGGAATGGTTTTCTTAGGGGCTTCTGGAAATTATAGTTGTTTAGATACCAAGTAAGTGTGATATGGTTTGGCTCTGTGTCCCCACCCATATCTCCTCGTCTTGAATTGTACTCCCATAATTCCCACGTGTTGTGGGAGGGACTCGGTGGGAGATAATTTGAATTAAGGGGGCGGTTTCCCCCCTACTGCTCTCATGGTAGTGAATAAGTCTCATGAGATCTGATGGTTTTATCAGGGGTTTCCGTTTTTGGATCCTTCTCATTTTCTCTTGCTGCCGCCATGTAAGAAGTGCCTTTTGCCTCCCGCTGTAATACTGAGGCCTCCCCAGCCGTGTGGAACTGTAAGTCCAATTAAACCTCTTTTTCTTCCCAATCTCAGGTATGTCTTTATTAACAGCATGAAAACGGACTAATATAGTAAGTTGGTATCAGTAGAGTGGGGCGCTGCTGAAAAGATACCTGAAAATGTGGAAGTGACTTTGGCAGAGGTTGGAACAGTTTGAAGGGCTCAGAAGAAGATAGGAAAATGTGGCAAAGTTTGGAACTTCCTAGAGACTTGTTGAGTGGCTTTGCCCAAAATGCTGATAGTGATAAGGACAAGGTCCAGGCTGAGGTGGTCTCAAATGGAGATGAGGAACTTGTTGGGAACTGGAGCAAAGGTGACTCTTGTTATGTTTTAGCAAAGAGACTGGTGGCATTTTGCCCCTGCTCTAGAGATTTGTGGAACTTTGAACTTGAGAAAGATGATTTAGGATATCTGGCGGAAGAAATTTCTAAGCAGCAAAGCATTCGAGAGGTGACTTGGATGTTGTTAAAGGCATTCAGTTTTACAAGGGAAGCAGAGCATAAGAGGTTGGAAAATTTGCAGCCTGACAATGTTATGGAAAAGAAAAACCCAGAAAATGGGAGCCAGCTGTAAAAATTAGCATAAGTAACGAGGAGCAGAATGTTAATTCCCAAGACAATGGGGAAAGTGTCTCCAGAGCATGTCAGAGATCTTCAAGGCAGCCTCTCCCATCACAGGCCTGGAGTCCTAGGAGAAAATGGTTTTGTGGGCTGGGCTAGGGGTCCCTGTGCTGTATGAAGTCTAGGGACTTGGTGCCCTGCATCCCAGTCACTCCAGCTGTGACTAAAAGTGGCCAAAGTGCAGTTCAGGCTGTTGCTTCAGAGGGTGGAAGCCCCAAGCCTTGGCAGGTTCCATGTGGTGTTGAGCCTGTGGGTGCACAGAAGTCAAGAACTGAGGTTTGGGAACCTCCATCTAGATTTCAGAAGATGTATGGAAATGCTGGATGCTGAGGCAAAAGTTTGCTGCAGGGGCGAGGCCCTCATGGAGAACCTCTGTTAGGGCAGTGCAGAAGGGAAATGTGGGGTTGGAGCCCCCACACAGAGCCCCTAGTGGGGCACAGGCTAGTGGAGCTGTGAGAAGACCTCCAGACCCCAAAATGGTAGATCCACTGACAGCTTGCACCATGCACCTGGAAAAGCTGCAGACACTCAACACCAGCCCGTGAAAGTAGCCAGGAGGGGGGCTATACCCTGCAAAGCCACAGGGTTGGAGCTGCCCAAGACCATGGGAACCCACTTCTCACATCAGTGTGACCTGGATGTGAGACCTCGAGTCAAAGGAGATCATTTTGGAGCTTTAAAATTTGACTGCTCTGCTGGGTTTCGGATTTGCATGGGCCTGTAACCCGTTTGTTTTGGCCAGTTCCTCCCTTTGGAATGCCTGTATTTACCCAATTCCTGTACCCCATTGTATCTAGGAAGTGACTAGCTTGCTTTTGATTTTACAGGCTCATAGGTGGAAGGGACTTACCTTGTCTTGGATGAGACTTTGGACTGTGGACTTTTGGGTTAATGCTGAAATGAGTTAAGACTTTGAGGGACTCTTGGGAAGGCATGATTGGTTTTGAAATGTGAGGACATGAGATTTGGAGGGGTCAGGAGTGGAATGATATGGTTTGGCTCTGTGTCCCCACCCAAATCTCATCTTGAATTCTACAGCCATAATTCCCACATGTTGTGGGATGGAGCCAGTGGGAGACAATTTGAATCATGGGAGCAGTTTCCCCCATACTATTCTTGTGGTAGTGAATAAGTCTCATGAGATCTGACGGTTTTATCAGGGGTTTCTGCTTTTGCATCCTTCTCATTTTCTCTTGCTGCCACCATGTAAGAAGTGCCTTTCGCCTCCTGCTATGATTCTGAGGCCTCCCCAGCCATGTGGAACTGTAAGTCCAATTAAACCTCTTTTTCTTCCCAATCTCGGGTATGTCTTTATCAGCAGCATGAAAACGGACTAATACAAAGTAGCTGCATATTATATCATATATTTAGGATATACACCTTATGTGAAGTTGGATAGTATGTATTTATGAAATCTCTACTGTGTGCCCAACACAGGAGCACACCATTTTACAATGAACCAAGTTTCACTATTCTTTCACTTCCTCCTATTCAGAGAAGCTATTTTTTTTAACTAGAAGAGATAGGTGAATTTCAGGCTATTTATTGGGGTAAGCTACAATTTTACTTCCCAAACCTTTTTGCCTTTATTTTACTTTTTTCAGTGGCTATTTTGAGGATATTTTCTCTTTACCAATAATAGGTTGGAAGCAATTTAAAGCCTTTCATACATTTGCAGGCTAGTTGGCCATTTTCATCACTGTTGAATTATGCATTCTTATATTTGTTTAGCTAATCTGACTGTGGTGTATTTTGCTACCAGTTGAGAATCTCAATAGAGTATCTGTATCAAGACATAGGAATACTCCTCACCCAGCTCCCAACTCCAACTCAGTTTCTATGAGAAAGATGAGATTAAATGGATGGTTATGAAAATATTAAAAAAATTAATTGACTATTTTCTTGAGCAGTTTTAGGTTTACAGAAAACCTGGAGTAGAAAGTAGAGTTCCCATATACCACCCCCTGCTCCCCAGTTTTCCCTATTATTATTATTATTATTATTTTTTTTTTTTTTTGAGATGGAATCTTGCTCTCTCACCCAGGCTAGAGTGCAGTGGTGCCATCTCAGCTCATTGCAACCTCCAGCTCCCGGGTTCAAGCGATTCTCCTGCCTCAGCCTCCCTAGTAGCTGGGATTACAGGCATGTACCACTATGCCCGGCTAATTTTTGTATTTTTAGTAGAGACAGGGTTTCACCATGGTGGCCAGGCTGGTCTCGAACTCCGGACCTCAGATGATCCACCTGCCTCAGCCTCCCAAAGTGCTGAGATTACAGGTGTGAGCCACGGTGCCTGGCCAATTTTCCCTATTATTAACATCTTGCTTTACTGAGACACATTTGTTAAAATCAATAATTCAGTATCGTTGCATTATTGTTAACTAAAGTTCATAGTTTACATTAGGGTTTTTTTTTTTTTTTTTTTTTTTGAGACAGAGTCTCTCTGTCACCCAGTCTGGAATGCAGTGGTACAATCTTGGCTTACTGCAACCTCTGCCTCCAGGGTTCAAGCAATTCTCCTGCCTCAGCCTCCCGAGTAGCTGAGACTACAGGCACGTGCCACCATGCCAGGCTAATTTTTCTGTATTTTTAGTAGAGATGGGGTTTCGTCATGTTGGCCAGGCTGGTCTCAAACTCCTGACCTCAGGTGATCCACCTGCCTTGGACCCCCAAAGTGCTAGGATTACAGGCTTGAGCCACCATGCCTGGCCTTCATTTGGGTTTGCTCTCTACACATTAGGTATATTCTATGGGTTTTGATAAATGTGTAATGATATGTATTTAACCATTACAGTATCATACAGAGTAGCTCACTGCCCTAAACATCACCTGTGCTACACCTTTTCATCCCTGGTTCCCTCCCTGCAAGCCCCTGACAACCACTGATCTTTTTCTGTCTCTACAGTTTTGCCTTTTCCAAAATGTCATAGAGTTGAGTATGTAGCTTTTTCAGGTTGGCTTCTTGCACTTTGTAATATGCATTTGAGAATCCTCTATGTCTTGTCATGGCTTGATAGCTCATTTCTTTTTAGTGCTGAATAATGTTCTATTTCTGGACATATCAAGTTTATCCATTCACCTACTGAAGGATATCTTGGTTGCTTCCAGCTTTTGGCAATTATGAGTAAAGCTGCTATAAACATTTGTATGCAGGTTTTTCTTTAGACATGTTTTCATCTTCTTTGGGTAAATACCAAGGAGTGCAGTTGCTGGATCACATGGCATGAACATGTTTAGTTTTGTAAGAAACTGCCAAACTGTCTTCCAAAGTGGCTGTACTACTTTGCATTCCCACCAGCAATGAACGAGCATTCCTATTGCTCCACATCCTTGTCAGCATTTGATGTTGTCAGTGTTTTGGATTTTAGCCATGCTAGTGGGTGTACAGTGGTGTGTTTTAATTTGCAACCTCTAATGACATGAGAGTTGAGCATCTTTTCATGTGTCCTATTTCCCATCTGCATTTCTTCTTTGGTGAGGTGTCTGTTCAGATCTTTTGCTTATTTTTTAATTGAGTTGTTTGTTTTCTTTTTCTTTTTATTTTCTTTTCAGAGCTCCTCTCAAGAAAGGAGGGCTGTCTGTTTTCTTATTGTTGAGTTTTAAGAGTTCTTTGTTTATTTTTGATACCACTTCTTTATCAGATATTTGTTTTGCAATTATTTTCTCCCAGTCAATGGCTTGTATTTTTGCCTTCTTGAAAATATCTTTCACAAAGCAAAAGTTTTAGTTTTACTCAAGTCTAACTTCCCAAATTTAAAAAATATTTTTAATTGATATATAATGATTTTACATATTTATGGGGTTACATGTGATACTCCAGTACATGTATACAATGTGTAATGATCAAATCAGGATAATTAGCATATTCATCACCTCAAACATTTATCATTTATTTGTGTTGGGAACATTCAAAATTCTCTCTTCATGGCTGGGTGCTGTGGCTCACACCAGTAATCCCAGCACTTTGGGAGGCTGAGGAGCGTGGATCACCTGAGGTCAGGAGTTCGAGACCAGCCTGGCCAACATGGTGAAGCCCTATCTCTACTAAAAATACAAAAAATTAGCCAGGCATGGTGACGTATGCCTGTAGTCCCAGTTACTTGGGAGGCTGAAGTGAGAGAATTGCTTGAACCTGGGAGGCGGAGGTTTTTGGCCAGGCTGGTCTCGAACTCCTGACCTCAGGTCATCTGCCCACCTCAGCCTCCCAAAGTGCTGGGTTTACAGGCTTGAGCCACTGCACCTGGCCAATTATTATTAACTATAGTCACTCTTCTGTGCTATGGAACACCAGAACTTATTCCTCCTATCTGTGATTTTGTACCTGTTAACCAGCCTCTCCTTTTCTCCCCATCCCCTGGCCCTTCCCAACCTCTGGTAACCACTGTTCTACTTGGTACTTCCATGAGGTTAACTTTTTTTTTTTTCCTATTTATTTATTTATTTATTTTTGAGGCAGAGTCTCACTCTGTCGCCCAGGCTGGAGTGCAGTGGCACAATCTTGGCTCACTGCAACCTCCACCTTCTGGTTCAAATGATTCTCTTGTCTCAGCCTCCCGAGTAACTGGGACTAGAGACACGCACCACAATGCCCATCTTATTTTGGAATTTTTAGTAGAGACAAGGTTTCACCATGTTGGCCAGGCTGATCTCGAACTCCTGACCTCGGTGATCTGCCCACCTCGGCCTCCCAAAGTGCTGTGATTACAGGCATGAGCCACCATGCCCAGCCTTATTTGTTTATTTTCTTAGAGACAGGGTCTCACTATATTGCCCAGGCTGGTCTGGAACTCCTGGGCTCAAGCAGTCTTCCTGCCTTAGCCTCCCAAAGTGCTGCGATTACAGGCATGAGCCATTGCACTAGGTAGGATCAACTTTTTGTACTCCTACACATAAGTGAAAATGTGGTATTTGTCTTTCTATACATTGCATATTTTACTTAAAATAATGCCCTGCAGGGTCAATGATGCTGCAAATGACAGGATTTCTTTTTTCTTTCTTTTTTTTGAGACAGAGTCTCGCTCTGTTGCCCAGGGTGGAGTCCAGTGGTGTAATCTGGGCTCACTGGAACCTCTGCCTCCCGGTTTCAAAGGATTCTCCTGCCTCAGCTTCCTGAGTAGCTTGGATTACAGGGGCCTGCCACCACACCCAGATAATTTCTTTTGTATTTTTAGTAGAGATGGGGTTTCACCACATTGGCCAGGGTGGTCCTGCACCCCTGATGTCAAGTGATCCGTCTGCCTTGGCCTCCCAAAGTGCTGGGATTACAGGTGTGAGCCACCATGCCTGGCCTGCAAATGACAGGATTTCATTCATTTGTAGCTGAATAATTTTCCATTATATATATGCCACATTTTCTTTATCCATTCATCTCTTGAAGGATGTTTAGGTTGATACCTTATCTTCAGTATTGTGAATAGTGCTGCAATAAACATAGGAGTGCAGCTATCTCTTTGACATACTGATTCTCTTTCCTTTGGGTATATACCAAGTAGTGGGATTGCTGGATCATATGGTATTTCTATTTTCAGTTTTTTGAGGAATGTTCATACTGTTTTCCATAATGGCTGTATTAATTTACATTCTCACCAACAGTATATAAGAGTTCCCCTTTCTCTGCCTCCTTGCCAACATTTGTTATTTTCTCTTTTTGATAATAGCCATTTTAAACTGGTGTGAGATGATATATATCATTGGGGTTTTGCATTTCTCTGATAATGAGTGATGTTGAACATTTTTCGTATACCTGTTCGTCATTTGTATATCTTTCCTTGAGAAATGTCTATTCAGATCATTTACCTATTTTTTAATTGGATTTGGGTGTTAAATTGTTCAATTCTCCCCATGTTATATTTATATATATAATATTCCCTTCCCCTCCCCTCCTTGTCTTTTTTTTTTTTTTGAGATGGAGTCTTGCTGTATCACCAGGCTGGAGTGCAGTGGTGTGATCTCGACTCACTGCAGCCTCCGCCTCCCGGGTTCAAGCAATTCTCCTGCCTCAGCCTCCCAAGTAGCTGGGACTACAGGCACGTGCCACCACACCCAGCTAAGTTTTTGTATTTTTAATAGAGACGGGGTTTCACCATGTTGTTGGGCAGGATGGTCTCAATCTCCTGACCTCGTGATCCACCCGCCTCGGCCTCCCAAAGTGCTGGAATTACAGGCGTGAGCCACCGCGTCTGACCTGTTCTCTTCTTTTCGTTGATATGGATTCTCACTCTGTCACCCAGGCTGGAGTGCAGTGGTGTGATCATAGCTATTTGCAGCCTCAACCTCCAGGGCTCAAGTGATCCTTCTTCCTAAAATGTCAAAAATTTTTAATTTTTTGTAGAGACGTGGTCCTGCTATGTTGCCTAGGCTGGTCTCAAACTCCTGGATTCAAGCAATTCTCCCACTTCAGCCTTCCAAAGTGTTGAGATTATAGGCATGAGCCACCATGCCTGGCTCTTTTTATTTTCTTTAAAGTGCCTTTCACAGAGCCTAAGTTTTTCATTTTAGTCAAGTCCCACTTCCCAAATTAAAAAAAAAAAATGAATTGTGTTTTAGTACTGTAAACCCAAGGTCATCTAGGTTTTCTTCTATGTTATCCCCTAAAATTTTTATTTATTTATTTATTTATTTATTTATTTTTGAGATGGAGTTTTGCTCTGTTGCTCAGGCTTGTGTACAGTGGCACGATCTTGGCTCACTGCAACCTCTGACTCCTGAGTTCAAGCAATTCTCCTCCCTCAGCCTCCTGAGTAGCTGGGGTTACAGGTGCCTGCCATCACGCCCAGCAAATTTTTGTATTTTTAGTAGAGATGAGGTTTTGCCATGTTGGCCAGGGTGGTCTTGAACTTCCGACCTCAGGTGATCCACCTGCCTCGGCCTCCCAAAGTACTGGGATTGGAGGCGTGAGCCACCGTGTCCGGCCTTCTCTAAAAATTTTATAGTTTTCCATTTTATATTAAGTCAGCAGTCCATTTTGAGTTAATTTTTGTGCAGGGTGTAAGGTCTGTGTCTAGATTCTTTTTTTTAGCATATGCACGTCCAGTTGTCCAGTGCTAGAACTAGCACTGTATGTTGAAACAACTTCTTTCTCCATTGCTGTTCCTTGTTCCTTTGTCAACGAACATGTGAGTATATTTGTGTGAGTCTATTTCTGAGCTCTCTATTCTGTTCCATTGATCTATTTGTCTTTTCTGTCACCAATATCACACTGTCTTGATTACTGTGGCTTTATAATAAGTCTTGAAGTTGGGTAGTATCAGTCTTCCAACTTTGTTCTTCTCCTTCAATATTGCATTGGTTATTCTGGGTCTTTTGTCTTTCCCCATGAGCTTTAGAATCAGTTTGTCAATGTCCACAAAACAGTTGGCTGGGATTTTGTTTGGGATTATGTTGTATCTATAGATTAAGTTAGAAAGAATTGAGCTCTTGACAATATTGAGTCTTCTTAGACTTATATGTGGAATATCTCTCCACTTATTTAGATCTTTTTTGATTTGTTTTATCACAGTTTTGTAGTTTAAGTTTTCCTTATATATATTTTATACTTTTGTTAGATTTATACCTAATATTTCTTTTTTGGGTTGCTAATGTGAATGGTATTGTATTTGTAATTTCCAACTGCAATTTTTTATTGCTGGTATATAATAAAACAATTGACTTTTTATATTAATCTTGTACCCTGCAATCTTGCTATAATTGTTTATTAGTTCCAGGAGTTCTTTTTTGTTGATTCTTTGGGATTTTCTTCGTAGACAATTACGTCGTCTGTGAACAAAGTTTTATTTTTGCCTTTCCAATCTGTATACCTCTTATTTCCTTTTCTTGTCTTATATTAGCTAAGACTTGCAGTCTATGTTGATTAAGAGTGGTGAGAGCAGGCTGGGCGTGGCGGCTCATGCCAGTAATCCCAGCACTTTGGGAGTCCGAGGCGGGCGGTTCACCTGAGGTTGGGAGTTTGAGACCAGCCTGACCAACATGGAGAAACCCCTTCTGTACTAAAAATACAAAATTAGCAGGGTGTGGTGGCTTATGCCTGTAATCCCAGCTACTCGGGAGGCTGAGGCAGGAGAATTGCTTGAACCTGGGAGGCGGAGGCTGCAGTGAGTTGAGATCGCACCACTGCACTCCAGCCTGGTGATAGAGCAAGACTCCTTCTCAAAAAAAAAAAAAAAAAAAACATAATAAGAGTGGTGAGAGCAGACATCTTTGCTTTGTTTCTGATTTTAGGGGGAACGTGTTTAGTTTCTCTCCACGAATTATAATAATCTCAATATATTATTCTATATTTGGTAGTATAAAAATTGTCAAGTACTGCTTATATCAGATCATAGGAGCACTCCATTCTCTTTCCCTCCATTCCTTCACTTTGCCTTAACTTTTATGAGAAAGATGGGATTAAATGGATGGTCATAAAAGTTTTTTAAATTATGGGATTCAGGCAGTTTTAATATATAATACCTTCTATTTTCTTTAGTTTCTCTATTCTGAACTTCTGGAGGGCAAAGACTATACCTCAGTATATTGTTGCAAGCGTTGTAGTTCCCAATATGTACTACAATGCCCTGTTGAATGTAAAACCTAATTCTAGACTCTTACTGTAAACCTCTATCTTATTTGAAAAGGCAGATAGCCAGTGAAGTCAGTCATCTAATCGGTTAATCAATTCATCAAATATTTGATTGTTAGCTCCAAGGTATTACATTGGCTACAAAGATACACATGATAATGATACTTCCTCTCTGGAAACTTATTATTCATATAAGAATAATTTCAAGTGCTGTGTTCCATTTTTACTGATATGTATTTGTCAAAAACTCATATTCCTGTATCTCTTCCCAAGTATTCTAATTGAAATGCCTATGTGTGAACTTCTTCCATAGTCCCTAAAAGGTTTACAATTTTGTTGGAGGAACTGATATTAATGAACCTATAATAGGTGCTGGACACTGTGCTAGGTGCTTTACGTATTCTGCCTTATCTCATTTATCTTCAAAGCTGTTGAATAAGGTAAATATTCTTAATTTACAGGTGCAAAAACGATAATATGAAGGTATAAGTAACCTATTCGCTGTGTGACTTAGTGGGATAGGTATATGAGGTATATAAGTCCATAGCCCAAGTTCTTTATGTCACACACTATGGAAAAGTTACCATACAAAGTGGTATATGATGAATGCTACTTGTATAGTGCATACACATGCTTGGTGAATGCAGAGAAGAGAGCTTTGACCTCAGGCTAGGGTGTTCACAAAATTTCTGGAAAGCTTAATCTTGTCTGATAGGAGGAATAGGAGGAAAGAGAGATCAGGGAAATCAATCAGTGAGAAGAAGATGGAGGGCCAAAAACAGTGAATATTTTGTGATTGACAGTATACAAATTTCTACTGTGGCAGTAAAATACACTAGAACAAATTTTGTCTTTTATTTTCAATGAGGATCCTTCTTCTCCATTTTTCTGTTAAACAAAATAATTTTTCCCTAATTTGCTTATGGGGTATTGGGTATGAGAAAGTAGATCACAGAACCTTTGCATAACTCCAGAGTTATCAGTCCCCAAATTCATCTTTTTCCATTGGATTAGCACAGTCAGGGCAGCAGTAATTGAGGGAGCAAAAGCCTGGGGGGAAAATGGAAGATCAAAGGAATCCTAAGAAAAGGATTTTCCTAGTGTCAAGTGTATTTTATTTATCCCTTCTCCATATCTCAGTTGGTTAAGTACCTCACAAATACCCATAAATATGTGAAAAGCTGTGGAGTTACAGAGGCTTGTAGGAGGCATCATTGCTTTCAATGAACTTAGTATTTAGTTGGAAAGACAAAAGTAAAGTAAAATAATTGGTAAACCACTGAGCATCCTTAAGTGAAATTTAAATGAAAAACATCCTTAAATGATGTTTTTCAGGATTCTTTTCTCCTAGTCTCATGACTTCAATTTCTAAATACTTTCACATCTCTATCTCTAGTCCACATCTCCTGTCTAAACTATATGTGTGTCCAGACGCCTTTTGGACGTCTTGGTTTGCACAATACCACAGTCTTCTCAACTTATTTAAAACTTGCCCAATCTGCTCTTCTTAACTCAGTGAATGGTATCACCATCACCCATTGCCCGAGCTAGACACTGGGAATCAAGTTTTTGCAGTTCTTTCTCTTGTTTCTTCACCACATGTTCTGTTGACACTGTTTCCTAATTACCTGTAAGATCCATCCACTTCTTTTTATTGCCTCTGCTACTATCCTAATTTAGACTATAGCCACCTCTCATTTAAATTATTTGCAAAGGCCTCTTAACCAGTTGCCTGTGCTATCTTCACACCTTCAGACTACAAAAATCACAGATTGTGTGCTGGGCAGGGTAGCATGTACCTGTGGTCCCTGCTACTCTGGAGGCTGAGGCAGGAGGATGACTTGAGCCAAGGCATTCGAGACCAGCCTGGGCAACAAAATGAGACCCCCTCCTATCAAAAAACAAACGAAAACACCAACCCAGATTGCTTAAAATCCTTACCTGTGTTCCTACTTGTTCTGCTTCATCTGGCCTTCTTGCTTCTCCAGCTTTAACTTGCTTTCCCCTACTTGAAACCAGCCTTACTGAACTTCAGATGTATCGTGCTGTCTTGCCTGTGAGACTGGACAGGCATATTCCCCGTCTGAGAAGGGAAATAATCACTATAGCGATTAAAGCACAGACTCTTTAGCCAGACTACTTAAGTTTGAATTCTGGATCGCCACTTAATGAGCTTTGTGATATAGAGCGAGTTACTTAGTCTACCTGCTTTCAGTTTCCTCATCTGTATAATGGGGATGGTTAATAGTACCTGCTTCATAGCACGTTGTAGGGATTGTAAGAGTTTTGTATGCTTTGAGACAAGGTCTCGCCCTGTCGCCCAGGCTGGAGTACAATGATGTGATCACAGCTCACTGCAGCCTTGACCTCTCAGTTCAAGCTGTTCTCCCACCTCAGCCTCCTGAGTCACTGGGACTACAGGCATGTGCCACCATGTCCAACTCATTTTTGTATTTTTTTGTAGCGACAGGGTCTCATTGTGTTGCCCAGGCTAGTCTTGAACTCTTGGGCTCAAGTAATCCTCCCGCCTCAGCCTCCCAAAGTTTTGAATTAACAGGCATGAGCCACTGTGCCCAGCCTAAAAGAGTTAATATAGTTGAGGCTTTTTTTTTTTTTTTTTTTTTTTTTGAGACAAAGCCTTGCTCTGTGGCCCAGGCTGGAATGCAGTGGCACAATCTTGGCTCTCTGCAAACTCCACCTCTCAAGTTCAAGTGATTCTTGTGCCTCAGCCTCCTGAGTAGCTGGGACTGTAAGGCACGTGCCACCATGCCTGGCTAATTTTTGTAGTTTTAGTAGAGATGGAGTTTCACTATGTTGGCCAGGCTAGTCTCGAATTTCTGGCCTCAAGTGATCTGCCTGCCTCGGCCTCCCAAAGTGCTGGGATTACAAGTGTGATGCACCGCGCCTGGCCTAGTTGAGGCTTTTAGTCGGTCCCTGCCATATAGTAAGTACCATACAAGTGTAGCTATTATTATAAATCTTATTGTAAATGTGTTGTATTGGATAGTATTACTTTTTGTTTTAATGTTGATTTAATGGTAAATGGAAAAATGCTGTTGCCCTCCATAAGTTCCCAGTTGATTGGCTCATTATTATTGGTATTTATTCTGCTTTGGCAGTAGCTTTCTTTTCCTAACTTCTTGTTTTTCAGCTTTTTAGTGACTAGAATTTGGTCTTGGGTTGGCATTTCTATGAAATGGATCATTTAACGAGGTCAGGTTAACCTGACCTTTCATACAGGTGAATTCAGGTCAATTTATATGGAAACTTTTAAAAGAAAATGATTATTATACAAGTAGTTAATATTCATTATGGAAAAATCAAAAAGTATAGATAAGCATAAAGAAGGAAATAAAATTATCTCCAGTGTTAATATTTTATTTTACTTATTTATTTATGTTTTAGAGCTGGGTTTTGCTATAATGCCCAGGTTGGCCTTGAACTGCTGGGCTAGAGTGCAATGGTGCGATCATAGCTCACTGCAACTTCGAACTCCCAGGATCAAGCTATCCTACTGCTGCAGCCTCCTGAGTAGCTGGGACTGCAGGCATGTGCTACTATGCCTGGCTAATTTATATATATATATATATATATATTTTTTTTTTTTTTTTTTTTTTTTTAAGACGGAGTCTCACTCTGTTGCCCAGGCTGGAGTGCAGTGGTGCCATCTCGGCTCACTGCACGCTCCACCTCCTGGGTTCACGCCATCCTCCTGCCTCAGCCTCCCGAGTAGCTGGGACTACAGGCACCCGCCACCATGCCTGGCTAATTTTTTTTTTTGTATTTTTAGTAGAGATGGGGTTTCACCGTGTTAGCCAGAATGGTCTCGATCTCCTGACCTCGTGATCTGCCTGCCTTGGCCTCCTGAAGTGCTGGGATTATAGGCGTGAGCCACCATGCCTGGCCAAAATATTTTTTTAGTTTTTGTAGAGACAGGGTCTTGCTACGTTGACCAGGCTGGTCTCAAACTCCTGGGCTCAAGTGATCCTCCTGCCATGGCCTCCCTAAGTGCTAGGATTACAGGCATGGGCCATTATACCTGGCCCATCATTTTTTTTTTTAAGTATTTATTTTTCATTGATATTTATATTTGAGATGATTTCATGAAGACTTAAATCTTAAAATGCACCTAAGGGGAGAAGATTTTTGATTCAGTACTGTCTGATCTGATGATCTAGCTCTATCTGATCTGACAGGGTGGGATTTAAGAATGGCAAAATATTTATATTTTTCTCCTTCCCTCCAGAAGGAGGTACTTGCTTTTAGGTGAATTTCTAGATATAATTACCTTTACAATAAAAATACTGATGTTTGATCATCACTGTCATTTTAATTTTATTTTTCAGAATATATATATTTTTATCTTTGGAGTGTAGTTAAAAGACAGTTTTCTAGATTTTCTTATTACTGTGAAAATATTTTTTAAAATGACCAAGACTAATGAACAAGTTTATTTTGGTAACATGTTTAGTTCCTACTGTTTGCAAAGTACTTAGCTCCTAGAGAATATACAGAAATGAGCAAGATAGTCTCCTTCCTCATTTGGGGATGGGGTAAGGGAGATGAATCAATTCTAACTAATTATAATAAAGTATGGTAAGGTCCTTGAGAGAGTATTGAACAAAGCGCTTGCTCTACTAGTGATGCTCTCACAAATGTCATTAACTGTTAAATTCGATGAGCTCTTTTCCATTCTCTCCTATTTGACCTTGCTTCTACATTTGACACTTTTGCCCACCTACCCTTTAATGCTTGTTTCTTTGCTTCTGTACACCCCTTTCTTATTGTTTTTCATTGTTTTTCTTTTTAACTCCTTTTTGTTGCGGGGAGGTGGGGGACAGGGTCTTGCTCTGTAGCTCAGGCTGGAGTGTGGTAGCGCAAACATGACTCACTGCAGCCTCAACCTCTTGGGCTCAAGCGGTCCCCAACCTCAACATCCTGAGTAGCTGGGACCACAGGTGAGCACCACCATGCACAGCCAATTTTTAAATTTTTTTTAGAGATGGGGTCTTGCCACGTTGCCCAGGCTGGTCTCAAAACTCCTGGCCTCAAGCAATTCACCCACCTTGGCCTCCTAAAGTGCTGGGATTACAGATGTGAGCCACCATACTCGGCCTTCTCTTTAACTCTTTAACTGCTGCTTATTCGTTATTTCTCTCTTCAATTTTGTTATTAAGAAAAGTTCTGTAAAAGCAGAAAAGTTTACTTTAGAACAGTGAACACCTACATTCAGCTGCCTTGAATGCCTAGGTTCAATTGTTATTATCTTTCTATAAGTGCTTTATTTCTATGTACATATATGAATGGTTTTTGATGTACTTGAACAAC
Source organism: Homo sapiens (assembly GCF_000001405.40). Classification (NCBI taxonomy): domain Eukaryota; kingdom Metazoa; phylum Chordata; class Mammalia; order Primates; family Hominidae; genus Homo; species Homo sapiens. Next base: position 110,757,696 of record NC_000006.12, on the reverse strand, counting down.
CTGAAATTAATTTGTTGTTGTCATTACATGTCACACACAAATAGTTGAACCTATATCTCTTAAGAATAAGAACATTTGCTTGCATTACCATACCATTATCCTATATTTGACAGTTAATAAAAATTAAAAAATAAAATTAACCATATCATAATAATATTATGTAAATTCTGGTTCATAATTAAATTTCCCCAGGTGTCCCACAAGTAAACTTTTATAGCTATTTTTATTTGAACCACAATTTAGTCAAGTGTTTCGTGCATAGTATTTGATTGTTATATGCTTTGAGTCTCTTTTCATCTAGGTTATCCTTTTTTATGGCTCTCCTTTTCTAAGGGGAGGGGAGTCAACCCAATTTTCTTAGCATATCCCACATCCAGATTTGCTACTATCGGGGAATTTTAATAGTTTCCCTTTCTTCAGCCTTTTGTAGGATGGTGTTTACTGAAGAAGGGCGCCTGTGGCATGGGTGCTGTGAATGGGTTATGGGTCCTGTTAATTAATCCTCTAAATTCTTTGGCAACCAGTGGGGTTTAGGGCAGTGGAAGCCCATGGGTCCTTTTCTCTCTGCCCGTGTGTGGTTTTGTCTGTTTCTACCCTGGTGTCCAGAGTAGAAATAATAGCATTATGTGAGTGCCATCATGTGAAAGAGGTTTGGTTGCACTGACCACTATCTTTAGCCCTTTGGTTCTGTGTTCTTTCCCTTTGTGATCACAGTTACTTCTGTGGTTTTAACAGTCACCTCTATGGAGATGTTCTCTTTTCTGAACTCCAGTTCTGTTATTTTCTTTCATTCATATTCTACTGCCTCTTCAGTTGCTACTTCAAAATCAACATGTCCAAAACGAATTTATTCTCTACTTCCAAACTAGCCCATTGTCAGTATTATTTTTTCTTTTTTGTAAATGGACTTAATTTCACTGAGACAACACTTTGACTAGAAATCTCAGTTACCTTCAGCTGTTCTTTTGGCTGTCTGCCCAAGAAACATATATATACACATACACACACACACACGTAAATATACACATACATATATACACAAACATGTGCACACATATGCATACATATTCATTAAATATTTCTTGAATGCCTACAATGTACCTAAATATATTTGGCCACAGTAGATAATTTTTTTTTTTTTTTAAGACAGGGTCTTGCCCAGGCTGGAGTGCAGTGGCGCAATCTTGGCTCACTGCAACCTCCACTTTCCTGGCTCAAGTGATCTTCCAGCCTCAGCCTCCTGAGTATCTGGGACCAAGGGGCGAGCCACCACACCCAGCTCATTTTTGTACGTTTTTTTTTTTTTTGAGACAGAGTCTCGCTCTGTCTCCCAGGCTGGAATACAATGGTGCAATCTCGGCTCATTGCAACCTCTGCCTCCCGAGTTCAAGTAATTCTCCTGCCTTAGCCTCCTGAGTAGCTGAGACTACAGACACGCACCACCATGCCCAGCTAATTTTTGTATTTTTAGTAGAGACAGGGTTTCACTATGTTGGCCAGGCTGGTCTTGAACTTCTAACCTCAGGTGATGTGCCTGCCTCAGCCTCCTAAATTGCTGTGATTGCAGGTGTGTGCCACGCCTAGCTAATTTCGTATTTTTAGTAGAGACAGAGTTTCACCATGTGGCCCAGGCTGGTCTTGAACTCCTGATCTCAGTGATCTGCCTGCCTTGGTCTCCCAAAGTGTTGGGATCACAGGCATGAGCCACCGCATCTGGCCATAATAGATATATATTTTTTTCTCTGAAATGCCTCTTGAGTCCATTCCCTCCATTCTGACTACATTTACTCTAATTTTGGCCCTCATCCACCCTCCTCAAACTTCTACATTGATCCCCCTGCCTCTGGCTTTAAATCTTCTGATCTACCCTGCATACTATCTGCTTACTGAGAATACCTGTTTGATCATGTTTCTCTTGCTGGAAAACCTCTGATGGCTTTCGATAGTACAGGAAAAGTGCCAAGTTTTCAGCATACCATACAAAACTATGCTGATTCTGTCTGCTTTGCTCTTTTCTTGTGTTTTTTCACCTCTTGTATTCTAGCTGTATTTGTCTTTGGCTAATTGCTTGGATATAGCATGGATCTTAATCTTTGGACTTTGTCCACACGTTTCTGGTGTCTATAAGGCCCTGTCCTTTCCTCCTTTGCTCAGTGAAATCCTGCTTATCTCTCGGGACCCACTCAAATGTTCCTTTGAAAATTGTTTACCTGATAGCAGTCCCTGTCTATCCCCTCCACCACAACCAAGCCCTTCTATTCACTCATTATCTGATGTTCTTTGCATGTTTTTCTGTTATAGCATTTATTAGATTGTACCCTTTGCTTGTGTGTCTCTCTGTATAAAGACTCACAAGGGGCTAGGCATGGTGGCTCACGCCTATAATCCCAGCACTTTGGGAGGTGAGGCAAGCGGGTCACCTGAGGTCAGGAGTTCGAGACCAGCCTGGCCAACATAGCGAAACCCCATCTCTACCAAAAATACAAAAATTAGCTGAGCATGGTGGTGCATGCCTGTAGTCCCAGCTACTTAGGAGGCTGAGGCAGCAGAATAGCTTGAACCTGGGAGGCGGAGGTTGTAGTGAGTTGAGATTGTGCCACTGCACTCCAGCCTGGGCAACAAGAGCGAAACTTCATCTCAAAAAAAAAAAAAAAAGGATTCACAAGGGAAGGGATCAGCTCTTTCTGAAATTCCATCTCAAAAAAAAAAAAAATTCACAAGGGAAGGGATCAGCTCTTTCTTCCTCCTGTTCCTGGAACCTAGCACAGTGCTTGACACATGTTATGTGCTTAGTAACATATTTCTGAAATAAATGCCTCACATCACTTATTATATTACCTTCTGTTGCAAGTAAGTCTGACTTAAGATTCATGAATTCTCAAAGTAAGATAATGTTTTCTATAAAAAATTTAGTTTAGGCCAGGCAGGGTGGCTGACGCCTGTAATCCCAGCACTTTGGGAAGCCAAGGCGGGTGCATCACGAGGTCAGGAGATCGAGAGCATCCTGGCCAACATGGTGAAACCCTGTTTCTACTAAAAATGCAAAAAAATTAGCTGGGCATGGTTGCGCGTGCCTGTAATCCCAGCTACTTGGGAGGCTGAGGCATGAGAATCGCTTGAACCCAGGAGGCAGAGGTAGCATTGAGCTGAGATTGAGCCACTGCACTCCAGCCTGGTGACAGAGCGAGACTCCGTCTTGAAAAAAAAAAAAATTAGTTTAACTAAATATTTACTAATGATTGCAGTCTATTAATCATTAATGTTTTAAGCCTAAGCCTTAAAAGCAATGCCTGAAGTCTTAAGCATTACTGCAGATACATTTTTTAAAAATTCATTTCCCAGCAATAAGAATTTGCCATTTTTAGGCCAGGTGCGATGTCTCAGGCCTGTAATCCCAACACTTTGTGAGGTGGAGATGGGAGGATTGCTTGAGTCCAGGAGTTTGAGATCAACCTGGGTAACATAGCGAGACCCTGTCTTAAAAAGTAAAAAATAAATAATTAGCTGGGTGTGATGACCTGTGCCTGTAATCCCAGCTACTTGGGAGGCTGAGGCGGGAGGATTGCTTGAGCCTGGGAGGTTGAGGCTGCAGTGAGCCGTGATTACACCACTGCACTCCAACCTGGGTGACAGAGCAAGACCCTGTCTAAAAAAAAAAAAAAAGAATTTGCCAATTTTAGAAACAAATTAAGCATTAAATATTGATGATATGTAGTAATATATTTACCAATGCAACATTGAACTTGAGATTTTGGAAGTGCACTGACAGTTCAAGTAGTTGTTGACTAAAAAGTAAGAAGCTTGGGGAAATATTATCAACATATCCTAATTAATAAGATTTGAAGCATTAGTGGACCACTGGTGAAGTATATTGATGTGCAAATTCAATTCAGTAAATTGTTTTTCATTAAAACTCTCCAAGATATGGTTGCATACAAATGTCAAATAAATATGAACACCTTAAAAAAAAAGAAATTATACAATTAATTCATCAATTAAAACATTATTCTAAGCCAAGCATTGTGGTTCACCCCTCTAATCCCAGCACTTTGGGAGGCCAAGGCAGGAGGATCTCTTGAGCCTAGGAGTTTGAGACCAGCCTGGGAAACATAGTGAGACCCCATCGCTACAGGAAAAAAAAAAAAAAAAATCCAGGTGTGGTGGTGCACACCTATAGCCTCAGCTACTCTGAAGCTGAGGTGAGAGGATTGCTTGAGTCTGGGAGGTCGAGGCTGTAGTGAGCCATGATCGCGCTACTGCACTCCAATCTGAGTGACAGAGACCTTGTCTAAAAAAAAAATAAAAAATTATTCTAGTTGTTTTGAAAGTTTTTTTTGGCTAAACTAATAGAGATTTCTAAAATTTTATAATTTTAGAGCTTTTAAAATACTAAATATTTATCTGACTTGGAATTCTAAATGAAGGAAATAGTATATAATGAAGATCATTTTTAAGAGAAAGATAACTAGCTAGGTGTGGTGGCTCACGCCTGTAATCCTAGCACTTTGAGAGGCCAAGGTGGGCGGATTGCTTGAGCCCAGGAATTCGAGACCAGCTTGGGCAACGTGGCACAACCCTGTCTCTACAAAAAGTACAAAAAATTAGCCTGGTGTGGTGGAGCATGCCTGTAATTCCAGCTACTTGGGAGGCTGAGGTGGGAGGATCATCTGAGCCCGGAGGTCGAGGCTGCAGTGAGTTGAGGTCGTACCACTGCCTTCCAACCTGGGTGCCAGAGTGAAGCTCTGTCTAAACAAACAAACAAACAAATAAAAAACCAAAAACAAAAAAAACCCGAGATAACTAGTCAATCAGTTTGTAAGAAAAAGGAGTAGGCTAGGTCAGTGGCTCATACTTGTAATTCCAGTACTTTGGGAGGCCAGGAAGGAGGATTGCTTGAGGTCAAGAGTTTGGGACCAGCTTGGGCAACATAGTGAGACCCTGTCTCCATACATACACAAAAACAGGAGTAAATAAAGGTAGTCTTTCTAAGAAATGAAAGCAAAGACATAATCAAACTGTTGTCACATTTTCATGTTGCGAGGGAATTCTTAAGTTGAATAAAGAAGAATAGTACTGTATTTTGGTGATGTTTAGAGATAGAATAGGTGAAATATTTGGTGGATGAAAGCATAATTTTTGAAGCACATTTTTGTCAGAAAAGGAAAGGAAAGCATAAAGAGTGTGCTAGTATTATCTGACATCATTCATTAATAAGAAGAAAACAAAATAATAGCAGTACCTTATGTTGGAAGATTTTAAATGTTTCAGAATTACTTTAAAAGACTATTCAAACTAGAAAAATTCTTGATATTAAAGTGTTACGACATTGAACTATTTATAAATGAAATGGAAAGATGTCTGGGATTTGTTTCAAAATAATTAAGAAAAGTAGAGGCAGTAGAAATAAGGCTGTCCACGAGTTGATAATTGTGGGATGGGTACATGCAGCATTACTGTCATTTATTTATTTATTTTTGAAAAATTTCATCATAAAAAATTTAAATATGTTATTATGTAATAAAGAATACTGTTTCCAAATAAGGGATCATTACTACTAGGCTGGCTGAATATTGGGCTCATGATGATACTGAATAATTCAGAATGATACCCATATGAAACAAGATGATCTTTTTTTTTTTGTTATTTCAAATTTTTATTCCACATTGTGTTTTAAAATTATTTTTCCATGTTGTGGAAGCCTCCTACTCGGCTAAGCCAAATCATCACATAATAAAGGAAAGGGATACAACATTGATTTATTTCATCATTCTTCTTGAAGAAAAAAATAGTTGGCTCAGATGTCATATGATTTGAAGAATGTCTTTTTTTTTTTTTTAATCTGACCAATGGATGCACATCACATAGTTTGAAGAATGTCTTACTAGTAACACCTAGTTGTAAAAACTGGTAATACTGTCTTATTTTAGATACTGTATTTCTGATGATTTCATGATTTGAATTTGACTCATAAGGTTTAGAAAAAGCAAACTTCATAGAATTGTTTGTCTTCTAAGGCAGTGGTCTCCAACCTTTTTGGGACCAGGGACGGGTTTCGTGGAAGACAGTTTTTCCACAGACCCAGCAGGGTGGGGATGGTTTCAGGATGATTCAAGTGCATTACATTTATTTTGCACTTTATTTGTGTTATTATTACACTGTAGTATATAATGAAATACAACTCACCATAACGTAGAATCAGCAGGAGTCCTGTGTTTGCTTTCCTGCAACTAGATGGTCCCATCTGGGGGTGATGGGAGACAGTGACAGAACATCAGGCATTAGATTCTCATAAGGAGCATGCAACCTGTCTCTTGCACGTGCAGTTCACAGTGGGTTTTGCACTTCTATGAGAATCTAATGCCGCCACTGATCTGACGGGAGGTGGAGCTCAGGTGGTAATGGGTGTGATGGAGAGTAGCTGTAAATACAGATGAAGCATTGCTTGCTCGCCCACCACTCACCTCCAGCTGTTCAGCCCTGTTCCTAACAGGCCACCAACTGGTAGGGATCTGTGGGCCAAGTGTTGAGGACCCTGTTCTAAGGGATATGAAAGAGAAGTATTGGGCTGGGTGTGGTGGCTCATGCCTGTAATCCCAGCACTTTGGGAGTTCAAGGTGGGTGGATCGCTTGAGGCCAGGAGTCGAGACCAGCCTGGCAACATAGTGAAACCCTATCTCTACCAAAAATACAAAAATTAGCTGGGCGTGGTGGCATGCGCCTGTAATCCCAGCTACTCCAGAGGCTGAGGCAGGAGAATTGCTTGAACCAGGAAGCGGAGGTTGCAGTGAAGCCAAGATTGCACCACTGCACTCCAGCCTGGGTGACAGAGTGAGACTCTGTCTCAGAAAAGAAAAAGAGAAGTATCTTCAGAACTGTTTCCTTCCCTTCCTCCCTCCCTCCAGTTCTTTCCTGGGCACTCAAAAGTCTTCTTATCTATGTGCTACTTCCTCTAGGCAATATCATCACATCTATGGATTCAAACCTTTCAGTCTGAAACTCTGCTATAGTAGACGCTTAGTAAATAAATATCTTCAGGACATCTCCTTTTTGAACTTCCGAGATATTTTCATTTTTGGTTGGGGTTTCTTTCTATGTAAAGGAATCATTTATAAGCTACAGAATCTTCTGAGATCTGATATGAACCTTGTTCTTAGTGGCATCATCCTTGCATCAGCCAAGCTCAAAACCTCAGACTCATCTTTGACTCTTCCTTCTCAATCTTTTCTGTTCATTTGGTCCCATCAATTCCTCCTTTAAAATGACTATCACAGGTGTCCCTTCTTTTCTCCTGTCTTATTACCCCTCTGTCATGAAGAATTGGAAGAGCTGGTCTTAGCTCTGCCTCTGGCTGCTGGCCTAGTTTCTTCATCACTGAAGTGAACAGATTATACAGGATTGTCTTAGATCCCTTTCAGAGCTAACATTCTGTTCTACTCATCCAGGTTTTCACCTTCTCACACTTACATCACAGTAACTTCCTAATTGTTTTTCATCCCTTTAATCTTAGTCCTCTCTAATAAGATTAACCTTCATATGTAATTTTCATTGCTTTTAGGATAAAATCTTAGGTTTCCAGGTCTTCATTTAGGTCATGTCATCATTTCTTTGGTTAATGGTGTGATCATTTGGCTGGGCGCAGTGGCTCACGCCTATAATCCCAGCACTTTGGGAGGCCAAGGCGGGCGGATCACCAGGTCAGGAGTTCGAGACCAGCCTGGCCAACATGGTGAAACCCCATCTCTACTAAAAATACAAAAATTATCTGGGTGTGGTGGCGGGCACCTGTAGTCCCAGCTACTCTGGAGGCTGATGCAGAAGAATGCTTGAACCTGGGAGGCGGAGGTTGCACTGAACTGAGATCATGCCACTGCACTCCAGCCTGAGCAACAGAGCAAGACTCTGTCTCAAAAAAAAAAAAAATAGTGTGGTCATTCATATGATGAGGCAAAATAATGATTTCTGTTTTTTGCACAGATGTGTGCTTTTTATATTTTCTACTCTCTATAGAATTGTTTGCATCAAAAATTTTCCAGAGCCAGGAGGGCGCGGTGGTACAGGCCTGTAATCCTAGAACTTTGGGAGGCTGAGGTGGGCGGATCACTTGAGTTCAGGAGTTCGAGACCAGCCTGGCCAATATGGCGAAACCCCATCTTTACAAAAAATACAAAAATTACCTGGGTGTGTGGTATGTGCCTGCAGTCCCAGCTACTTGGGAGGGTGAAGTGGGAGGATCATCTGAGCCCATGAAGTTGACACTGCAGTGAGCCCAGATCGTGCTACTGTACTTGGGGGACACATTTGTCTCAAAAAAAAAAGGAACATAGTGTCTCAGATGGAAGACCTAATAGAATTGGTCTGTGTCAAATTTATTTGTTCTATTTTGTTACGTAATGTTCACATCAAACAATTGTTTTTCATTGTGACTGCTGAGAGTGAAGTTTTCATGGTGTTGCTACATGTTATAGACATATAGAAGAAACATCTTGATATTTAAAAATTCTATATAGCATTTATCCATGTTTATAGTACAAATACATGTATTTTTAATTCTTCTGGATGCATTTAGTAAATTCCTCTGATTAATTTCAATATGCAGTTGCTCTAATCATACTATCTAATATACACGAAAATGTAGAAAACAGTTTCTCTGAAGGCTTTGGAATTGCTTTGTCTATCTTTATGTTATTTAGAAATAAAAGTAATTTGGAAATGAAATAGTTTTAAGGAGGAACTAAGCTGCCTCTAAAAGCTGGATTATCATAGCAGTGTAGGCTAGGCAGGTTCACCTGCTTTTCAGCTTTGTCATGTAAAATAAAAAATTGTTCTTTTATGATATTTAATATTACATGTGCCTGAAACATCTAAGCTGTGAGGTATGAATTCCTCTACTTGGAGGAACTCCTGGAGAGGGGCACTCACGTGGGATGAGAGCAATAAAGCTTCCCTGTCTCATGTGCCTAATCATTGAAATATTTCTAGACGTTGTGTTAAAGGATGCATGTTTTGTCTTCAGACTAAGGTGTTGGCATATGCCCAAAGATTGGCATTCACGTAGTACAGTGCCAAGAAGTCCCATATGCCCTCTGGGACCTTGCAACTTCTTCATATGGTGAACCTTAGAGATGCTGCATCATCACTTACCATCTGACAGTTAGTTTACAAAGAGAAATAGTAATGATATATGTACTTTCTTTCATTCTCAATTTAAATGTTGCAAATAAATCTTAAAATTGCAAATTTTTTAGTATTTTATTTTAGCAGGTGGAAGTTATATTTAAACTTATTAAGTGAAATAATTACTGGGTTTGTTCCTTGTTCCTGTCCACATAATTTAGAGTAAAAGGCCTATGCTCAGTCTCTTCTGTTCAAGCTTTCAAATTCCTTTGACAGCCTGGATGTGAAATTCAAAAGCCATTAATTTGATGTGTTAATTTTGCACTTTTTGACTTACTGCAAAGATCTTATAGTTTCCATAGCAACTATAACCTATCCAGATTGTGTAATATTCTTTACAGTATTAAAAATAAAACTATGCAATTACATGAGCTTCTGGACTACTTTGTCTAGGGGAACTGAGGATTGAAATGTTTCTGTTGAAAAAATTATAGTTTCATGTGAAAAATTTTTTAGAAAGCTTTTATAATTTTGTTTCAAGAATACATCAAACTTAAATATTTAGCAATAGATACCTGATAGATAACTTAATTATTAAATGTATAAAATTTACATCGTAAGCATTGTGTTGAGCTTCTCAGGCACATGTGCTCTCACTCTGTACCCACAAATACATTTAAGGCACAGGAGGGACACTTGGCTTTGATTACATTCAATCACCTGCAGTTTATGCTTCTTAATGGCTTCTGAGTGGTCTGAAAAAGTCTGGTTTTATGTCTGGGCAAAAAACAGGATGGAGAAAAAGGAAAAAATGATCATTTAAACTTTCCTTATTTTTGACTTTGCTTTTTAAAACATGCCTGAGCTATCACTTTGAAAATACTAAAGATTGTTTTAGTAGGTATTCTCAGAGTATCAATTTATTTTGGCTTTTTAAAGGCAATATAATATTAGCACTAAAGTTAGTTGACATAACTTCCTATATCTTAACGTAACTGTTAATTTTTTGTATTGCCTTCAACATATTTGTAGATGTATATTTTTATATAGTATAATTTGTGTATTTTCTCAGTAGTATATGGTAAATATTTTCCATGTTTCTAATGACCTTCTAGCCATCATTTAAAAAATTGCATCATAGTCCATCTTGTTGACATACCTAGTATGTTTTATTTGTCAAAATACTGTTTAATTATTTCCTGAATGCTATCTGTTGGAAGAAAAATGGATATAATTTTCAAACTCATTGTGAGGGAAAGTAACCATAACTCAATTATTTGCTTGAAGATGATTGTGAAAATCTTCAAAAGGGATTTAAAATGGTGTTTTAAAATGTGGATTTTGAATAACATCCTAAACTGCTCTATCTGCAGGTAAACATAGAATGGGGAAAATGAGGAATAGCTAAGACAGATGTGGCACTACTTTGGCGCTATATTTGACAAAAACATCATGACATGGTGATACTTTGCTGAGGCTCTAATATGATCAAAAGACAAAACTTGGAAGGCATGGATTTAACTTCTCTTATAAGAACAGCTCACAATATGAACTATAGTTATGACATTCAGCTGAGACCTTTGTGTGGCTGGTTCTGGTATCAGCACCCTTGAGAATGCTTACTGTACTTACTGTATTGTACTAGCTGCTTATCTCATACTGTTAATATTTTAACAGAATGTTTCACCAGATTTTGAACTGCTGTATTCTCTTGGTTAAGCAACTTAGTAACTGTTGGGATTTCCCAGGATTCCTAATACTATGTCCATTGTTTGAAAAATCCACTTTAACTACTGGGTTTCTCCTAGTGTTCCTGAGAATGACATGTTGGTGGCTAGAGCTTTGAAATCTTTAAAAGGCTTTTGATTGAGGTCCTCGGGCTTTTGAATGTCCCCATGCTAGGTGAGATACAGTGTGTTTTAGTGGGTTATGATTCCTATAAAGCTTCTTATACTATGAAATTACTTTAAATGAATCTGGGAGTTTATGTCTGTCAGTTTTTTATAGTGAATGTCTATAACAGAATGCTTTTGTTGACTCCAGGTAATTAAGACAGGAGTGGAATTATCTTGCAATATGTTTGAGTTTATATTTATGCTTGTTTACTCTTTGAAACTAGTGCTGTGTTTAGTATCCTGTTCTGTTTCAATTTTGAATTTTGTGTTTTCGCTGTGTCTGATGTTTTCATTGTGACATGAATTTCTTTTGGTATCTCATATTTCTGTAGTTGAAATATTATCAAAAATAATAAGCAATACATGGTATAATGAGAATGTTTACATATCACTGAGAAATTAAGTGCATTTCCATTGTTTTTGTAGTTATAATTTTGAATCTGAAAGTGATATATGGAAAAATGATGTTTTTTTGTTTATGTGCAGAAAAGATGAAAAGGAATATGCATTGAAGCAAATTGAAGGCACAGGAATATCCATGTCGGCTTGTAGAGAGATTGCAGTAAGTGGATACAAATACAGTTATTTATTTTATTATTGATATTGGGTGATGATTTATTTTAATATAAAAGTTTCATTAATATATATAATGAATGTTTATTTTACATATGTTAGTTTAAGAATATTTTATGTAGAGTGAGAAAATCTGCATAAACTTTTTATTTTATTTTTAAATTTTGAGACAGGATCTCATTTTGTTGCCCAGGCTGGAGTCCACTGCAGCGTGAACCTCCTAGGCTCAAGCGATCTTCCTGCCTTAGCCTCTCGAGTAGCTGGGATTACAGGCATGTGCCACCACACCTGGCTAATTTTTTAATTTTTTTGTAGAGAAGAGGTCTCCTTGTGTTGCCTAGGTTGGTCTCAAACTTCTGGGCTCAAATGATCCTCTCTCCGTGGCCTCCCAAATTGCTGGAATTAAAGGTGTGAGCCACCATATGTAGCCCATAAACTTTTTAGTTACTTGAAAGTCATCTTTGAATATCCTCTTAATGATATTTAAGATTTGTGATCTCAGAAATACTGAACAAAATGATTTAATTTATTAAAATTGTGATGGAATTTTATTTTAATTAGTAATTTAATTAATGTCTATTTTTCTGTAGCTTTAGGACTGATAAGGTCTTTATAGAGGAAGGGGTCATACTATTAAATCTTATTCATTTTAAATACTATTTCTGAAATATATAATATAGTGAGATGTTATTAGTCACCAGAAAATAAGACCATTATAATAATAGGATAATCCCTTAAAGAAAATAGTTCCCTGTTTTGGTCTTTATATATCATACTAGTACATTTAAGAAATGATTGTTCACAAGAATACTAAACATTTAATGAGTGTGTACTAGATACCAGGCTTACTAAATGGTTTCAAGTATTAATTCACTTAATTTTCACAACAATCTGTGAAATAAAATTTTAATATCCCCATTTTACAGATCAGAAAACAGAGGCAAAACTAATTATAGCTCAGAAGGCTTACTATTATATTACCTTATTTTAGTTCTTCAGTAAAGATTGCTAATTAGGGCTTTACCATAATATCACATCTATTAGAGATGTTTGTCTCTAAATTGTTAGAAATTTATTTAAATAATTGTTACTTAATAATTGTTAAATAATTATATTGTCCGTATCCATTAGGGATTTCTCTCTCTAATTTAATAACTATTACATATATTGCCCACAGTTCCATGTTTCTGCTTCACCTGCATGGAAACACTCCTTCATCGCTTTTAGTCATAAGAAGTGTGGTGCAAAGAACACATGGGGTGGGAAATCTCTAGACCTGGATGTCTGTCTGCCTTAGTAGCTAAGTAGTGATCAGTTCCAGTTTCATCTGTTAAATAAGGGAACTATTAGGTCTCTTCTAATCATACCTTCTTTAATTCTAGAATGGGAGCCTCTCCCTGGACTGTGTGTACTTTGAGGGGCAGACCTTGTCTTTTTATCTCTAGTTCCTACCATAGTGTCTGACATAGCAAGTGTGCTATAAATGTTTCTTGAATAAATAAATGAATGAACAGAATGAAAAAATTCTACCAGTGGTCCACAATTCTAAGTTTGTGTTACTTTTATTTTTAAATTTTTTTTTAGAGACAAGGTCTTGCTCTGCCACCCAGGCTGGAGTGCAGTGGCTTAATCATATCTCACTGTAACCTTGAACCCCTGGCCTCAAGCAATCCTGCCTTGGCCTCCCAAAGTGCTGGGATTGCAGGCGTGAGCCACCATGCTTGGACCTATGTTTGCTTTAGGATGCAAATTGTTTGAAAAAATTCTAATTTGGTGATTTTCCATTGATTATAAAGTGGTATTTGTGGCTGGGCATGGTGGCTCACACTTATAATCCCAGCACTTTGGGAGGCTGTTGGGGGGGTGGATCACCTGAGGTCAGGAGTTCGAGACCAGCCTGACCAATATGGGGAAATCCCACCTCTACTGAAAATACAAAAATTAGCTGGGTGTGGTGGCATGCGCCTGTAGTCCCAGTTACTCGGGAGGCTGAGACAGGAGAATTGCTTGAACCTAGGAGGTTCAGTGAGCTGAGATTGTGCCACTGTACTCTAGCCTGGGTGAAAGAGCGAGACTCTGTCTCAAAAAAAAAAAAAAAAAAAACGTGGGGAGGTATTTGTAATGTTTTACCAGATAAGCATTTGGTAAGTGATTTGTCACATTTTAAAATCCTTACATGTTATTATATCAACCAATATAAATATTATTGGTGGGCTATTTTTCTATGTTAGAGTACCATAATTTAGCACAGCATTTTCAGCCCTACCTTCCATGAATTAATTGGGTAAATAGCTGAAATTTTAGGTATTGATTAATAGGAAGTGATAACTCAATTATAAATGTCCTTTTTGAAACAGAGACTTCTATGTGCCAGGGAATCCATGGGCATGTGTGTCTTTATATAAATTTGGAATGTGATGGAGAAACTTAACTCTTAAAATCTGTTACAGCCTTCATTCTTTTTTTTTTGTAGGAGACAGAATCTCACTCTGTCACCCAGGCTGGGTTGCAGTAGTGCAATCTTGGCTCAGTGCAATTTCCGCCTTCTGGGTTCAAATGATTCTCCTGCCTCAGCCTCCCAAATAACTGGGATTACAGGCGTGCACCACCATGCCCAGCTCATTTTTTGTATTTTAGTAGAGACAGGGTTTCACCAAGTTGGCCAGGCTGGTCTTGAACACCTGACCTCAAGTGATCCACCCGCCACAACCTCCCAAAGTGCTGTAGTTACAGGCATGAGTCACCACTCTCAGCCATAGCCTTCATATTCTTATTGAGAGTTTGCCTAATAGAACTTTAGAAAGTGTGCAGTTTCTAGGTTGAATAGCATTTTATCAGTACTCTAAATACTTAACCCCAACATGATAGGGATTTTCACACAAGTTTACCATGGATGGTATTGCACAGTGACTGTGCACATATGTCTTATACATTAAGCCCACTAACACAATTTTATAATTATTGTTTTATTGGGGGAACCAGCTCCTAATATTTCAACGTATGTTCTTTCTATTTTCCGTAAGTGTCAGCCGGTCTGAGAAATAAAGAGAAAGAGTACAAAGAGAGGAATTTTACAGCTGGGCCTCCGGGGGTAACATCACATATCGGTAGGTCTGTGATGTCCCCTGAGCCGCAAAACCAGCAAGTTTTTGTTAGGGGTTTTAAAAGGGGAGGGGGTATACATACAGGGAGTAGGTCACAAAGATCACATGCTTCAAAGGGCAATAAAGATCGCAAGGCAAGGGCAAAATTAGAATTACTGATGAGGGTCTATGTCCCGCTGTGCACGTATTGTCTTGATAAACATCTCAACAGAAAACAGGATTCGAGAGCAGAGATCCGGTCTAACCAAAATTTACTGGGCTGTAATTTCCCAATCCTAGTAAGCCTGAGGGTACTGCAGGAGACCAGGGCGTATTTCATTCCTTATCTCAACTGCATAAGACAGACACTCCCAGAGTGGCCGTTTATAGACCTCCCCCCAGGAATGCATTCTTTCCCCAGGGTATTCCTTGCTGGGAAAAGATTTCAGCAATATCTCTCCTACTTGCACGTCCGTTTATAGGCTCTCTGCAAGAAGAAAAATATGGCTCTATTCTGCCTGACCCCGCAGGCAGTCAGACCTTGTGGTTTTCTTCCCTTGTTCCCTGAAAATCACTGTTATTCTGTTCTTTTTCAGGGTGCACTGATTTCATATTGTTCAAACACACGTTTTACAATCTATTTGTACAATAGTGGTCCTGAGGTGATGTACATTCTTGGCTTACGAAGATAACGGGATTAAGAGATTAAAGTACAGACAGACAAGAAATTATAAGAGTATTATTTGGGAACTGATAAATGTCCATGAAATCTTCACAATTATGTTCAGAGATTGCAGTAAAGACAGGTGTAATAAATTATAAAAGTATTAATTTTGGGGACTGATAAATGTCCATGAAATCTTCACAATTTATGTTCCTCTGCTGCGGCTCCAGCCGGTCCCTCCTTTTGGGGTCCCTGACTTCCCGCAACATTGTTTTATGTATTTGTCCTTTACATCATATTGAAGAAAAGAGTTACAGACAAAAATACATTTATGATTTCTTTTCTCTTTACCTATGTCATTATTTTTACTGGTGTTCTTAATTTTTTGTGTGGATTTGAGCTACTGTATAGAGTCCTTTCATTTTAGCTGAAAGCCTCCTGTTAGTATTTTTTTGTATATCAGGTATACCAGCAATGTATTCTTTCAGTTTTTGTATCTGGGAATGTCGTAATTCTTTTTCTGTCTTACCCAGCTCTTCTTGAGTTTTGCAGTATTAGTGTTGTTGGATGTAGAATTCTTGGTTGATAGTCTTTTTCTTTCACACTTTGACTGTGTCATCTCTGCTTTCTGGCCTTCGTGGTTTCTGATGAGAAATCAACTGTTAATCTTGAGAATCCCTTGTATATGAAGAGGGTTTTTTTTTTCCCTCTTGTTGATTTCAAGATTCTGTCTTTGTCTTTGGCTTTGACAGTTTGCCTATGATGTGTCTTGGTGCGGCTTTCTGAGTTATCTTACTTGGAGTTTGTTGAGCTCCTTGGATGTGTAGATTAATGTTTTTCATCAAATTTGAAAAGTTTTCAGCCATCATTTCTTTTTTTTTTTAATTTATTTTATTTTATTTTGTTTGAGACAGGATCTCACTCTGTTGCCCAGGCTGGAGTGCAGTGGCATAATCATGCTCGCTGCAGCCTTGACCTGCTGGGTTTAAGCAATTTTACCACCTCAGCCACCCAAGTAGCTGGGACTGCAGGTATGCACCACCATGCTCAGCTAATTTTTTTTTTTTAATTTTTTGTAAAGATGAGGTCTCACTATGTTGTCCAGGCTGATCTCAAACTCCTAAGCTCAAGTGATCCTCCTGCCTCATCCTCTCAAAGTGCTAGGATTACATGTATGAACCGCTGCACCCCACCACAGTCATCATTTCTTCACATAATCTTTCTTTCCTTTCCTTTCTCTCTTCTCTTATTGCAGCTCTCATTATACATATGTTTATAGGCTTCATGGTGTCCCATGGATCTCTCTCCAAGGCTCTGTTCATTTTTCATCATTCTTTTTGTTGGTCAGACTGGATACTCTTAATTGTCTGTCTTTAAGTTTTCTGATTCTTTCTTCTGCTGTTGAGCCCCTCTGGTGAAATTTTCATTTTAGTTATTATTTGTTTAGTTTTCCTGGTGGTGGAAGGACAGAGTATATAAGGGAATTGAGAGTCAGAGAGGCTAAGAGGGACTGATAGATTGGGGAGAATGGAGGCAACACCATAAAGAGTAGATAGGGCTTGTTCTCTGTCATCTTCCTTCTACATACCATTATATTACCTAATGCCTAGTATTTTGTAGTTCATATAGGCACACATAGCTGAGAGGATTTTAAGGCGGAAATAATTAGGAATGAACATTTCACTCATTACTTTAAAACTTGGGACTATGATTGCAGAATAACTGTTGAGGATATAGTGGGATGCTGGGAAAATAAGTTAAAGAGCTTGTAATCATGGAATAAACTTGGAAGAAGTACAAGTTTACAGAAAGGAAAAACGTTTAAGAATGAAATGTGTTATTACCTCGTCTCACTAAAAAAGAATGTCATGTCACGTTTTAATTTCATTTGAACCTTATTGACCAAAGGCTAATTATAACCTCATACCTTTGTACAGTGCTTTACACTTTACATTATGCCACAACAGGAAGTAATTCTGGGTGATTAAAATACCAGGATCATGTGAACGTCAGCATTTTTAGCCTGGGATTACAGGGAAGTTCTAATATGAAGTCTATTACATTTGTGGCCTCTGTGATCTTAAGGTTGGTAGGTTGAAAACGTGGTAAATGCTATTAATTCAACCATTAATTTGTTTTGCGATTATGAGATTAAAATATGTTTGTCGTAAAATTAGCAGACAATATAGAAAAAGGCTGGTAAAAGTACCTGTTATGTCAACACTCAAAAGTAATCATTTTTTTTTTGTATATTCTTCTAGACTTTTTTCTTTGCAAAAATACAGAGAATTTTTCCCCCCACAAGAGCAGAGAGTCCATTAATTTTCATGAAATATAATTTAATCTGGAATAATACAAATATAAATTTCAAATTTATTAATCATTCTAGTTTTGTAGGATATAAAGATTATAAGATTATTACCCTTGAGTCTAGGTGTGGTGGCCCCCACCTGTAATCCCAGCACTTTGGGAGACTGAGGTGGGATGATTGCTTGAGGCCAAGAGTTTGAGATCAGCCTGGACAATATTGTGAGACCCTGTCTCTATAATAATAATAATAATAATAATAATTAGCTGGGCATAGTGGCACTCACCTGTAGTCCTAGCTACCTGGGAGGCTGAGGTGGGAGGATTGCTTGAGTCCAGGAGTTAGAGGTTACAGTGAGTTACGATTGCACCACTACACTCCAGCCTGGGTGACAGAGTGAGAACCCCATCTCAAAAAAAAAAATGTATATATATAAAATACAATAAAATATTATTACTCCTGAGTACTTCTAACAACATCGAGATATTTCCAAATGAAGTGAAGAGTGGCTGAAGGGAAAATTAGGGGGAAGTAGGGTGAAGGGCATAGGTTGAGGAGGTGTCTTAGTCTGTTTGGGCTGTCATAACAAAATACCATAGACTTGGTGGCTTATAAACACCTATTTCTAACAATTCTGGAGGCTGGGAAGTCCAGGATCAAGGCCCATTCAGTGTCTGGCCCATTCAGTGTCTGGTAAGGGTCCACTTCCTAGTTCACAGATGGACGGCTGTCTTCTCCCTGTGTCTCCACATGGTGGAAAGCCAACCATTTCTCTCGGCTCTCTTACATAAGGGAACTAATTCCATTCATGAGGGCTCTGTCCTCGTGACCTAGTCACCTCCCAGAGGCCTCATGTCCTAATATCATCACTTTGGTTAGGGTTTAGGATTTCAACATACGAATTTGGGAGGGCAAGGGGCATAAACATTCAGTTTATTGAGGAGGGAAGAGAAATAGGGAAATACTGACTTCTTCAGACTGCTGGCAGCAGCAGTCTGGCTTGGGTTGCTGATTAACTCCACTTCCTCATTCACCTCTGCTCAGTTCTTTCTCAGTGTATATATCCATCAATATCCCAGCATTGATGTTTCTGTGGTGAGAGGCAGGATCAGCTGAAAGGGGCTGTCACTTGCAGTTCTTCCACATAGTGCCCAGCAGGCAGGGTGGAGTGGAGCAGCACTTTTCCTTCTTTCTTTCTTTTCCTCTCTTGCCACCATGGTGGTGTAGCAGGCTGCTTTGTAAACTTCAGTGGAATCCTTGGAACTTTCCTCTTGGCATAAAGGAATAAACCTTTGCTTTTTTAAATTTATGAAGTGGAATTGATAGAATGTATGTTTGCTGAGGATTCCTCTGAGAAAAACTCTAAAATGTCTATAAGCCAAGGCTCTAATTCTTTTTAATTTAATTTCTACCAAGCTTAAAATTATTTTATTAAATTATATGTATAGTGAGAAATATCTATTTAGTTTTATTAAGATTATTTAATTACATTATCTCAGTTGTTTTTATATTTTGTTTGGTTGTTTATTTATTTATTTTTGAGACAGAGTCTTGCTCTGTCACCCAGGCTGGAGTGCAGTGGCGCGATCTCGGCTCACTGCAACCTCCGCCTCCCAGGTTCAAGTGATTTTCCTGCCTCAGTCTCCTGAGTAGCTGGGATTACAAGCATGTGCCACCATCCCTGGCTAATTTTTTTTTTTTTTTGTATTTTTAGCAGAGATGGGGTTTCACCGTGTTGGCCAGGCTGGTCTCGAACTCCTGACCTCAAGTGATCTGGTCACCTTGGCCTTCCAAAGTGCTGTGATTACAGACATGAGCCACCACACCTGGCTTGTTTTTATGTTTTACACTGAGTGCAAGTTTCTTTTTCTTTTTAAATATGCGTGCAACTTTATGAAAGTATAGATTAGTGGAAATAGATGTGTGAATCAAGTATTTTACCTTTTCTGTGAAAGGGACAAAATCAAAGTTTAGTACTGAGATTTTTGTAAAAAACACTCAAAGTAGAAAAAGAATTTTTTTTTCAGACTTTTAACATGATGTTCTGTAACAGTTATTTTCTTTAAAATTTGGTATGGTGTTAAGAGAATAGAACTAAGTAAATGTGAAATTTCCCTTGAGCAAGATCTGTTCTTTGGTGTGATCCTTGTGTTTTCCTTAAAAACAAACAAAAATTTTACTTTTGGAGTTGAAGACTCAGCATGGATATTTCCTTATGAAAAATGTGGGTTTTTTTTCCTTGCAATATATGGTGATAGTTAATATTTTTCTCAAATATATATTTAGCTTCCTTGGCAAAATAAAGACTTTCTGCCAACTCCTATACTTAAAAATGAAATCTTGTAAGAGTTTGGGATTGGAGTTTGCTATTATTTTAGGAGGATTCTGGGAAACTAATACAAGGTCAGTGCCTAGGGAGGAACTACACTGTAGCATTTTTTATTTCCTTTTAAGACCTGAAAAGGTACAAGGAGCCAGCGAGCAAATAGAACCTCCAGTCCTATCGTGTATCTGTCTGTTGTCTGCTCTACTATGCCTGTTAAGTCATGAGACTCTTGGAAGATGTGTGTGTGTGTGTATGTATACACCTATTGGACTATTTTTCAAGCTACTATGTTTCCTATGAGAAGACTAAGTGACATATTTTTGTATTGTCAGAAGGTGATTTAAACACCGATTATTGCCAGTAATAGAAAAGAGGTGGGCCATACAGGTTTCTGGGGTTTTGTTCCTTCTCACTTTTGTGTTACTCACTTTTGTGAGAAGGAACAGTTTGAAAAAAGATATCAGCTTTGCTCATCAGTTTCTGATGTGTGTGTGTATTTGTGTGTGTGTTATGGTAAGGGAAGATGGGATGGTGTGGTAACACAAGTCATAGATGTAGCTGAAAACTTTTCCATTTCCGCCACCCTAAGGGAATAGACTAGTTAGCTGTTAGCACAACCTTTAGGCTCTTGTGGTAGCTGCAGATGCTTTCCTTCTTTGAAGAATTGGTGGCTTATGATGGAAAAGTTGGCTTTCTGCTGTGTCAGTATCCCTCCCTACTGAGTACATCAGTAGAGTTATTTTAGTTCTCCTAAAAATATAAAAATTATCAATTTAATATTCTTGCTCTAAGCAGTTAGATTTAATTGGCCATTAATTCCCTATTTTTAGTGTTTATTTTTCTCTTGAATAATATTGAAGCAAAGTTGTGCTAGTGATATAAATGCAGAGTGAAGAAAGACTGAAAATAAATCTGATACTGGTATGTGAGGGGCTTGGCTCCGAGTCTGAATATAAATGTGCAGTAAATGGTGCTGGTTTTTGTTGTTGGTATTATTATTGGTAATAACTTTTTCCCATTTAAACTCTAAGCAAAGAAAATAGCTTAACTTGTTTTCACTGTGGTCAAAGTAAGTTATTCTTAAGACCATAAATTTCATTTTAAAATGTGTTCTTATAGAAGATACCAAACTATAAAATTTAACATAAACTTAGTAATTCTAGATTAAAAATAGGAGATTGAAGTGATAAAACTAAAAAAAGATATATTTTTAAATATGCCTTTGGCTTCAGATCGTAATGTGGGAAAGAACTTGAACTTTGGATTCAGATAGACTTGGGGTTGTATCTGGATTCCACTATTATCCTGTACATCTTTGGCAAGTTACTATTAGTACCTGGACCCATTTGCTAGGTAGCAATAGAGATGAAGATTTATTTATTTATTTATTTTGAAATGGAATTTTGCTCTTGTTGCCCAGGCTGGAGTGCAATGGCGTGATCTCGGCTCACCTCAACCTCTGCTTCCTGGATTCAAGCGATTCTCCTCTCTCAGCCTCCCGAGTAGCTGGCATTACAGGCATGCGCCAGCACGCCCAGCTAATTTTGTATTTTTAGTAGAGACAGGGTTTCTCCATATTGGTCAGGCTGGTCTCGAACTCCCAACTTCAGGTGATCCACCTGCCTAGGCCTCCCAAAGTGCTGGGATTACAGGCGTGAACTACCACGCCTGGCTGAGATGAAGATTTTAAAGGGGAATCAGGTATGTTTTGATTTGCTAGTAAGGCTGGCACTGCTGAGGGAGTATGCCGTGCAGCAGTTCACAGGTTCCTCAGATTCTCAGAATCTCTTTCCTTGCTGAACTTTCCGGTCATTCTCAGCTCCACCCTCTAACTGCAGTATCAACTGAATCTCATGAAATGTTTTGGCGAAGCACTTCTTTCCAAGGATGTCAAAAATCTTCTGAGTTACCAGGAGGAAGTGGTTGCCTGTCAGGGCAGAGTCTTACTCTTGCATATATTTTAGTGATATATACTATATATAAACTCTTGGATTACAATATGGATGAGTTCTACTTTTATTCTAGTTTGTTCTTCAGGCTACTTATTCTGCTTAATTTCGGTTTGGAATTAAATATCTCAGTCTGTGCAACCTGTTTTTTAGTTTCTTGATTTAGAAGAATTATTAATCCCATAAGCAACTGTCAATAGAATGTATCTAATTCCTGTGAATCTTAGTTTCTTCATGTCTAAAATGGGGGATTTTTGGCATAGATTCACTATGACTTCATGAAATTTAGCTCAGAGTTTGTATCTGATATATTCACTATTGAATCCTTGGAATCTGTCTATATGGTGCTTGGAACAAAGTGGGCTGTTAATAAATTATTAAATAAATGCAAGAATTTACTTGAAATTGTTACTTTAACAATATTAGTAACATTATAAGGGAGTGGTATTTGTTTTGATAAAGTTTTTTTTTGTAGTAGAAGATTTTAAACTTTGTGTTCAGGCATATTCTTATTTGAAATATAAAATTAAAATTTGTGTGCTGGGCGTGGTGGCTGATGCCTGTAAACCCAGCACTTTGGGAGGCTGAGGCAAGAGGATCGCTTGAGCTCAGGAGTTTGAGACCAGCCTGGGCAAAATAGCAAGACCCAGTCTCATTAAATAAAAAAAAAAAAGAAGATTAAAAATTAAATTTTGTGGACTATTATCTAAAATTTTTGATCCATTCTGATTTTCCTTTCCATAACCATGTGTGATTTAATGAATAAGGGGTGGAAAATAGTCATTTGAATATACATTACTTGAATAGGAATTTGAGGTCATTACTAATCAAGTAATTATTTGAATAATATTTACTATTGTACCAATTACTATTCAAGTAATTTAATTTTGCATTTAATATTTGAGTATCTATTATAATCTAGGCATTGTGCTAAATGCTGAGGATGTAGTAGTGAATACAGTTTTTCCCTTTCCCTCAAGAAGTTTATAGTTTTGGAGGAGACAGACAAGAAAGCCATTTTCAACACTGTATAATCAAGACTGTGACAAAGTTAAGCACAGTGTGCTGGAGAAGCATCCAGCTCATACTTGGCAGTCTGGGAAGACTCTTTGGGGATTTTGTGGTAGCATAAATTTCAAAGCCTAATAGGGGCTAGCCAGGTGGAGAAGGGAGAATGTAGAAGGATATTTGGTCTGAAACAGCATGGAGGAAAGCCCAGACATGAGAGAGAGAGAGAGAGAGAGAGAGAGAGAGAGAGAGAGAGCAGTGCTCACCCTCTTAGTTTTATCAATAGTATTTGAGGAGTTGACTGTTTTAATTCCTTTAAGCCTACCAAACTGTAGTTATTAAAACAGCAATGTGTAAATTTTTGTTGTGTTCCACAAGTAAAATTTTGGGGCTTATTTAACTGCTGCAACTAGGGTTACCCTCACTAATGTGTGGAGAATAGAGGTACCGTTAAAAGTTGATGAAATGGCTGGGTGTGGTAGCTCACGCCTGTAATCCCAGCACTTTCGGAGGCTGAGGCGGGTGGATCACTTGAGCTCAGGAGTTGGAGACCAGCCTAGGCAACATGGCGAAACCCCATCTCTACTAAAAATACAAAAATTAGCCTGACGTGGTAGCGGGTGCCTGTAATCCCAGCTACTTGGCAGGCTGAGGCACGAGAATTGCTTGAACCTGGGAGGTGGAGGTTGCAGTGAGCCCCTGTCCTCCAGCCTGGGTGACAGAGGGAGATTGTCTCAAAAAAACAAACAAAAACAAAAAAACCAAAGTTGGTGAAACAAAAACTTATATGAATAATAATTTTTAAAGTAAACAGTAGATGAACTAAAAATGATCAAAAGGAGAGGAATGCTGGAAATGGAAGGTAAATGAGCTACAGTTTCATCCATTATACCGGAAAATCAATAATGCTTAAAGTTGGTAAGTCAAGAATAGTGGTATAAACACTTGAAGATAGAAAATACTCAAACAAAAACCAGAAAAAGTTAATAGTTGCATATGGGAAAGGTGAAGTATGGGTCAGAGGATTATTTATTTGATTATAATCTCTGCTATGTTTTTTGTGTTTTAGCGATATATATAAAATATATTAAAATAATTTAATAATTAAACTGAACTAGATTTTAAAAATATACTATACCTCCACCAGAATGGCTAAAATGAAGAAGACTGATAATACCATTGTTAATGAAGTTATGGAGTAACTGGTACTGATGGAAGCATGAAACGGTATAGCCACTTGGGCAAAAAGTTTGCAGTTTCTGATGAATTTATACATATACCTATTGCATGATCCAGCAATTCCATTTTTAAGTAATTTGTACCCAAGAGAAATTAATGCACATGACTACAAAAAACTTGTACAAGGATGTTCATAACAGCTTTATTCATAATAGCCCCAAACAAGGGAAAATCCAAATGTTCAGCCATAGGAGAGTGGATCAATAATTTATGGTGTATCCATAGACTGCATTAATATTAAACTCTAAAAAAGAAAATTGATGTACTTAATAACATGGATGAATCTCAGAAACATTAATTTAAATAAAAGAAGCCAGATACAAAATAACACATATGGGTATGGTTTTATTTATATGAAATTTAAGAGCAGACAGAAATACGTATTGTGATAGAAATCAGAATAGTGATTGCCTTGGGTGGGCAGGAGGGTTGAGTGGAAAGGAGTTCACAGAAACTTTACAGGGTAATGAAAATGTTGTATGTCTTCTGTTGCCCAGGCTGGAGTGCAGTGGCGCCATCTCAGCTCACTGCAACCTCCACCTTGCTGGGTTCAAGCGATTCTCCTTTCTCAGCCTCCCAAGTAGCTGGGATTACAGGCGTGCACCACCACACCTGGCTAATTTTTGTGTTTTTAATAGAGATGGGGTTTCACCGTGTTGGCCATGCTGGTCTCAAACTCCTGACCTCAAGTGATCCGCCTGCCTCGGCCCTCCACAAAGTGCTGGGATTACAGGTGTGAGCCACCCTTCCTGGACAAAATGTTGTATATCTTGGTTGGTGGTTACACAGGTGTTTATATCTGTCAAAATTCAAGCTGGTCACTTAAGACTTGTGCATTTTGCTGTATGTAAATTGTGCCACAATAAAATACTAGTAATATAAAAAATACAAAATAAAGACTAGAGAGATTGGTTCTTTAAAGGAATGGGAAAAGTCTAATATGGTTGCAAGGAAGAGTTGAGGGTAGAAAGGTTAAAATGTTAGCCTGGGGCCATCTTGAATGACTTTTTTTCTTGCCTTGTTGCCCACGCTGGAGTGTAGTGGTGTAATCTCTGTTCACTGCAACCTCTGCCTCCCAGATTCAAATGTTTTGTGTCTCCTGGGTTCAAGCGATTCTTGTGCTTCTTGTGCCTCAGCTTCCTGAGTAGCTGGGAATACAGGCATGCACCACCATACCCAGCTAAATTTTTTTTGGTATTTTTAGTAGAGACAGGGTTTTGCGCCGTGACAGCCAGGCTAGTCTCAAATTCCTAACCTAAAGTGATCCACCTGCCTCCATCTCCGAAAGTGCTGGGATTACAGGCATGAGCTACCATGCCCGGCCCTACCTTGAATGACTTTGTAAAAATGGAGGAATTGGTGAGAAGTATTTGAGATTTAAGAGAGATTTAGGAAACAAACCTTTTAGTGATGATTTCTCTGTTAGCTAGATGGCGCAGTTTACTGAGCAAAAGAGCCAAGGTGGGTGGGATGGGAGGGTTGGGTAAAAATGGTGACCTGAATTTCACAGATCTGATTACTTAGTTTTGGGAAAGATATAGAAGATTATATAATAGTAATATTACAACTAGAAATATAATAGTACTATCACCTTTCAAGGCATTATTATTGTGTAAATTATTGTGTGTCCCCTTCTGTTCCAGCTATTCATTATCCCTTCTCATTTGTCTTTATGAAGAGATACATGATTTGCCATTCATAGTCTATACAAAATACAACTATTGAACATTGGATAGTCTATGCAAATAGGATAGTCTATGCAAATAGGATAGATTGAATGGTTTTATTCAAGAGAATGACTGTCAGTATAAGTCTCCATATTTAATTTTAATGGCCAGTCATGTAGTATTGAAATAGCCAGTTAGACTCTTTCATGAGAGAGACTGGAAAAGACCCAGTGCTAGTATATTTTTCCTTTCTAAAAATTGAGATACAATTCACATACCGTAAAATCAGTCCTTTTAAGTTATATAATCCATTCATTTTTAGTGTTTTCACACGTCGTGCAACCATCACCACTGTCTCATTCCAGAACATTTTCATCATCCCACAAAGAAACTCTGTACCCAGTAGTAGTCATTTCCCATTACCCCTTCCCCTCCCCAACTCAGCCCTTGGCAACCACTAATCTAAATCTACTTTCTGCCTCTATGGATTTGCCTATCCAGTATTCTTTTTCAATTAGCCAGTCTCCAGCATCATCACAGCCAGTGATCCCACACTGAAGGTTGTGAAGATTGTTTTTCCTTGAGTCATTCTATAATCCAGTGATTTTCAGATTTTATGGCCCTACGTATCACCTGGGGATCTTGTTAAAATGCTAAAATGCAGATTCTCATTCAGCAGGCCTGGGAAAGAGCTTGATATTCTAAATTAATTTCTTTTCTTTTCTTTTCTTTTTTCTTTTCTTTTCTTTTCTTTTCCTTTCTTTTCTTTTCTTTCTTCCTTCCTTTTCTTTCTCTTTCTTTCTTTCTTTTTTTTGTTTGAGATGGAGTTTTGCTCTTGTCGCCCAAGCTGGAGTGCAATGGTGCTATCTCAGCTCACTGCAACCTCTGCCTCCCAGGTTCAAATGATTCTCCTGCCTCAGCCTCCCAAGTAGCTGGGATTACAGGCATGCGCCACCATGCCCGGCCAATTTCTGTATTTTTAGTAGAGATGGGGTATCACCATGTTGGCCAGGCTGGCCTCGAACTCATGACCTCAGGTAATAGGCCTGCCTTGGCCTCCCAAAGTGCTGGGATTACAGGTGTGAGCCACTGTGCCCAGCCGATACTCTAAATTTCTAATAAGCTCTTAGGTAATGCTGATGCTGCTGGTCCAAAGGTGACACTTTGACTACTGAGGTTCAAAGATGCCTCAGAAGAAGAAGAAATTTAATTACAAACATACATGAATTGTTGAATAGCAGCTGGTACTAATCTAGAAAAATTATTCCAATCTGTTGAGTTTAATAGTGTTTCTTTGTTAATTGCCTTTCAAAGTGATTACTTCTCCCCTACATCGTAACTATCTACATGTTATGGGACAGTTTATGGGCTTATTTGTATCCATAATTATGTTAGTGAAATCAAATAGTAAAGAAAGCTGAGTTAGAACCTGTTCCACAAGTATAACTTTGTTGTTTAAACTTCTTCTGATATTCAGCTCTAATTCCTTTTTGAAAGAAACTTTTCTACAGATTTTGTGTTAGATTACTGGTAGTCTCAAATGAGTTCTCTAACCATCCAATTCTGCATGGCTTCCTTGCATTGTCTTTGGGTTGATTAGGATTGCCAGGAAGTAAAATAGCCACTATAGCTACTTCCTTTTTCAAGTCATTCAAGTTAAGCTTAATGTAGAAAAACTTCGTGAGATTTCATTAAAATTCTTCCCTACTCTCCAATTGGAGTATAATAAATCCAATCAAGATAGGCTCTGGATTTTGCTGTTAGTACTCCAATGAAGGCAGAAATGGGGACATAGCAAACTACAGCAAGGCTTATTTTATACCAGTACAGAGCCTTGCTTATAACAGTGGAGGTATGTAGCTATTTAGTCTTGGGCCATCTATTACTCTCAGTCTGAGACCCAGTTATACAACCCAGTTGTATAACTCAATGGATTAATATTTCCAAATTAAATAAAACTGAATTGGGTACAGTATTGTGCTCCTGTAGTCCTGGCTACTTGGGAGGCTAAGGCAGGAGGATTGCTTGAGCCCAGGAGTTTGAGGCTGCAGTGTGCTACATTTGTGCTTGTGAATAGACACTGCACTCTAGCCTGGGCAACATAGCAAGACCTAGTCTCAAAAAATAAAAATAAAGTCTAGGCGTGGTGGCTCACGCCTGTAATCCCAGCACTTTGGGAGGCAGGTGGATCACTTGAGATCAGGCGTTCAAGCCAGTCTGGCCAACATAGTGAAACCCCATCTCTACTAAAAAAAAAAAAAAAAAAATACAAAAATTAGCTGGGCCTGGTGGCATGTGCCTGTAGTCCCAGCTACTTGGGAGGCTGAGGCATGAGACTCACTTGAACCCAGGAGGCAGAGGTTGCACTGAACTGAGATTGTGCCACTGCACTACAGCCTGGCTGGCAGAGCGATACTCTGTCTCAAAAATAAATAAACAAACAACAAAATAACATAAAATAAACTCCGTTTAATTTTTCCACTGTTCTTTATCTTAGTGTAAAAGTGTCTTAATATTTATCATAGTATGAGTACACAGTTTTTTTCAGTAACCTCTTGTCCAATAGAAGGTAGACATTTTAAATAATCAACATATATTTATTTAGTTCTACAAGCAATGGTTTGGGGGAGCAAATTCAGTTAACGGTAAAAAGCATGGGTTTAGTACCTGACAGATTTAGGTTCCTGTCCTAGCTCTTTTACTTACTAGGTCTGTGATCTTGTATAAATTACTAATCTCTTTTCACCTGTAAAAATAGGGAGAATAATAATTATTTATCTGTGGAAAGCACTTAACATAGTGCCTGGCATATAGGGTTCATTAAATATTAGACTATTATTATTAATCATTCAGGAGGTATACATTGCCTATTCTATGTGCTAGGCACTGTCTTTCAGAAGAGATTGTTAATGAACAAATATTCACACGAATATTCACACAAGATGATAAGAGCTAAGGAAAAGCTAGTATCATGGCAGGATAACAAGAGAAAGATTATCTAACTTTAGGGCATCAAGGAGGATTTCCCCAAGAAAGTAACATTTGTGCAGAGATTTGAAGGATGAGTGGGAGCTCATTAGGCAGAGTAGAGGGAACATTGTGTATAAGCATGACGCAGCATGCCACATTTGAGAGTATAGGAGATGCTGGTGTGCCTGAAGTGATGAGTGAGGATGAAAGTGACCTGAGAGGGGAAGACCCCCTAACAGGGCCAGGTCACATGCAGCTGTGTGGGCTGTGTTAATGATCTTGGGTTTTAGCAGGGAAATGACACAGTCAAATTAGTTTTTTTTTTTTTACCACTCTGACTATGGTATCAATAGATGAGAGTAAAGATAGAGGAGAAGATGTAGGGAGAGTAGTTAGAAAACCTCTGCAGCAATCAGACTAGGGAAGATAGACAGAAGTGGAAAAAAACTTAGAGATTTTTCCTGAGGGCAGATGGGTAGAAATTGATGAATTGGATATAGGCAGCAAGGGAGAGAGGTGGCAAAGATTTCCGTTTTTTCTGGCTTTGGCAGCTAATTTGACTTCTAATAGATAGCATGTGCTCTTTCTCTCTCTCTCTTTTTTTTTTTTTTTTGAGATGGAGTCTTGCTCTGTCACCCAGGCTGGAGTGCAGTGGTGCAATCTCAGCTCACTGCAACCTCCGCTTCCCAGGTTCAAGCAATTCTGCTGCCTTAGCCTCCTGAGTAGCTAGGATTACAGGTGCACGCCACCATGCCCGGCTAATTTTTGTATTTTTAGTAGAGACAGGGTTTCACCATGTTGCTCAGGCTGGTCTTGAACTCCCGACCTCGTGATCCCCCACCTTGGCCTCCCAAAGTGCTGGGATTACAGGTGTGAGCCACCATGCCTGGCCTTTCTCATTTTTTTTTTTTTTGAGACAGGGTCTTGCTCAGTTGCCCAGGCTGCAGTGCAGTGGCAGGATAATAGTGCTTTGCAGCCTCGATTTTCTGGCCTCCAATGATCCTCTTCAGTTTCCTGAGTAGCTGGGCTGGGACAATAGGGATTTACCACTATGCCTGGCTAATTTTCTTTCTTTCTTTCTTTTTTTTTTAGTAGAGATGAGGTCTCGGTATGTTGCCCAGGTTGGTCTCAAACTTCCGGGCTCAAGCAGTCTGCCTGCCTTGGCCTTCCAAAGTGCTGGGATTACAGGTGTCAGCTCCTGCACCTGGCCCAGTCGCTCTTCTTGAGAGAGGAATTCTAGAAGAGAACTAAGATGGAGAGGGCAGACAGAGATTTTCTTTTAAAAAAGACATCTTGAGTTTGAGAGTCCATTGAAACATTTAAGAGGAGGAAGAGACAATTATGATCTCAGTAATGAAGAGGATTATACAAGAGCAATATATGACATGCTTCTTTCCATCATGAACCTTATATGCTGGTCCAGAAGATAAGACACATTTTTGAATATAATTAATACTACAAGACTGTGATTGAAGGCATTCTGAAAGAGTAGGTACAGTAAGTGGAGTGAGGCCACTTTGGACATGATGATCTCAAAGTTTCAAAGATAAGGAAATACTTAAGATGGGCTTTAAAGGATTAGTAGTGTGGGAGGGAGGGAAAAGCACTCTAACAGTAAATGGAAAAATAGGTAGTTAGTGAAAGGGGTATGGCGAGGGTCTGGGTGGTTAGTTACTAGTTATAGAGCAATTTAGTATTCATCATAGCTCAACCAAGAATCTTTTGTATGTAATAATTTGACTTTTATAATGTGTTTTCATATATCTCATGAGAAATGGTCTTATATAACCTAATTCTGTCTTATGTCTCTGTCTTTCCTACTTATTGAAAAGTTCATATTATTGAAACCCAGTATTCTATTGTTGACCTATAATAAAACTATAAATATTATTCTCTGACAGAATGTTATGAAGATGTGCCACTGAATAATAGTTGTTCTTTCCAGCTTGATTATCTTAGAGGAAAAATGGCATGTGATTTAATTTATACGAGAGTACCTTGTAGACTTTATGGGATTATGAAAATGCAAAGTATTATTATTAATCCTTCCATATATTCCATGTTACTCTTCAGAACTTAGAAGTAAATATTTTTTGCTCTGTAGCAAAATGACTGCAATCAGTGGACTTTTTTCCAGCACCTTTGTAAAGTCTGGAGTCTAAAAAGCCCAGCTCTCTGTAGGCCAGGTTCATTTTTGGAAGTGTGTAGTGATCTATCTTTCCCACTCAATTGTGGTTTTGTTTGCTATTAACAAAAATATAGTTTTTTTGTTAACAGATAAAATTATAAGTCCAAACCACTAGTTCAAAATATTTTTCTAAATTAATTAAGATTTAAGATCCCTCCCCACCCTATTCACTTAGGTATCTATAACTGGGGCCATTTTCTAAATGGAACCTTTTCAGGCATTACTTGTATATCAATTATTACTTAATAATCCCCCCATTTTCTTTAGGCTTGAGTTGAAAGAACACTTATATTTGATTCAGATGGCTTTCTAGGACTATGAATAGAGATAGTGTTTCAGAGTTTCAACACACATCAGTGTCCTTTCCTTTCTGATTTTCTGGGACAAGGACCTGGTAACATCTGTTTATTCTTACTCAAAATGCTTGCATTAATTTACCTTTGCTAATTATCTCCTAAAGTATTCCCTAATACTTTCCTTCCCATCTACAGAAAAAGTATGTGAAATGCTTTTGCTGCATGATTATAACATGATTATAACAGTTGCATCATGAAATACTAGGATTATCTTTTTTTCCCAATCAGATAAGATAGTTTCCTTTCATTTTTCTTTACCTTATTGTTCTTTGAAGCTACTGGTGTTTTAAAAATGGTATTAAAATGTTGTTCCCATAGCAACACCCTACTAGTTTCTTATGGAAAACATGGCGTGTTTTACAAGTTGGATTGAAAAAAAAAGAAATGCTTTCTGAAAGAGTTTATTTATAAAATCAAGCCCATAGAACATAACTGTTTATTTCTTTTAGAAGCATTGTTAAGCAGAATGTAACAAAGGATTTTACACTTTGATGTAAATAAAGTGTGTTTCCTATCTTGCTTATGTAAAAGTTTATCTTTGAATTTGTATTAAGTCAACATTTCCCCTCTCATAATTAGACTTGAACAATTTAAATAAAAAACTTAAGTACTGCCAAATTTTAGTGAAATAATTTCTAGGTTCTATTTAAAGGTGCTTATTGTCTGTACCCAGAAGCTGATTGGCTGCTTATGAGACTGTTAGTGCAATGCCCATATTACCCTTGTGATGATTTCTCAGCCAATTAGGCTGCACGAGGGATGATGGATTTTGTTCAGGATCTGTTTCTCTCTCTCTCTCTCTGCCCCTCTCTCTCTGTCTACTGATTTTGTAAAATCAATGCTAAGATATTTTAAATCTTTTTGCATTTAAATTATATAAATTGTGTTACCCATTTTATGCTGTTTCTTACTATCTGTGTTTAGTAATATTCAGTTTCATCTCAACATTTGAGTCATTATTTTTCTGAGAGGGTTTAGGGAAGATATTATATTTATAATTAAAATTATTAATCCCATGTTTTCCTCTTCTGTTTGCTTAGTTCTCTCTCACTAAATTTAGTTTAATTTCTATTACCTCAGTCTTTTGGGATTTTTTAACATCCAAAAGCATTATCTATTCCATATTCTAGTTTGGCTACTGTTCTCTATCCTTTGTTGCTGTGGTTTTTGAAAGCTACAGAGCCATAAGATATCCTTTGAAACTAACATAAATTATATTTTATGGAGATTAGAGATTTAATGTACTTTAATTATTTGCTCATTCAACAAATTCCAGATGCTGGAGATATAATAGTGAAAAATGCATACAATAATAATTCTGTACTTTTGGAGCTCACATAGTAGGTATCAGTTGGAGACACTTTGATTTTGCTTACTTGGTTGTATTCATTTCTGTATTCACAGTGCCATTTTGAAAGACTCCAATAGCTGGTACCCTTCCCATATCTGTATAATTTAGAATTCTGAGTAATTTTGTATATTTCATTTTCCACCTAGGTGTTTATATATTAATACTTCTGATATTGCACTGTAGTTTTAGACATACTTAATTCCGGCACAGAAACAATAAAAAAAAAAGATCTTATCTAGCTATCTAATAAATTTAGAAGAGATCTTTTATGTAATAGTTGAAGATTCACCGTACTTGATTGCCAAGTCTTCTATGTTTTTTCTTTCAAAAAGCTTTTCAACTTTAGCTTTTTCATTTTTACTTTTAGTGCACCTTTATTATCTTGTTGTGCCTAAACTTTAGTGTCTGTTCTCCTTGCCTCTCTGCCAGCCTATCCTAAACAAAGCCACTGGACTGATCTCAAATTTTAGATACAGTTGTGTCACTATTCTGCTCCAGAACTTTTCCAGGTAGACCGAGAACCATACAGTAAAATTTGGGGAGGAAGATTGGACAGTCCACCTTGGTGTCCCTAAGGATGAGCAGGGCAGTGCGGTCAGTCATACTCCCTTACCACATTATGTACTTGTTTTGTTGGTATTTTTTTTTTTAAGGTGGAGTTTCGCTCTTGTTGCTTAGGCTGCAGTGCAATGGCGTGATCTCAGCTCACTGCATCCTCCGCCTCCCGGGTTCAAGTGATTCTCCTGCCTCAGCCTTCCCAAGTAGCTGGGATTACAGGCATGCGCCACCACGCCTGGCTAATTTTTGTATTTTTAGTAGAGACAGGGTTTCTCTGTGTTGGTCAGGCTGGTCTCGAACTCCTGCCCTCAGGTGATCCACCCGCCTCGGCCTCCCAAAGTGCTGGGATTACAGGCATGGGCCACTGTGCCTGGCCCTATAATGGCTAGTTTTTAAAATTACTTTCTTTTAAACTAGTTTTTTTTTTTTTTTTAAGAATGTTGGTATGTTTTCCAGTCTTAGCTTGTGCAGTAAATGATTACTATCAATTGTAGACCACATATAAAAGATATATTCAGTATTATTGGATTTTGTTAATCATTTTTTTCTAGATAACGGGAAGAGAATATTCTACACTTGATCTTAGCCAAAAGGCCGAGAAGCGATGAGAATATTCTAATACTCAGCAAGGGAAGAAACATCACAATTTGTATTAACAATTTAGCTAGCTAGCATTTAAGCCTGTGGGCATGGCTTTGTTCATATAATTTCTGTGAGACTTATTTAAGAGCTGAAGTATAAAAAGGCCTTTAATTGTCATTTGTGAAAATCAGGAGTGATTAGTGTAAGTTTGTTTTATTTAGAACTTTTGGTGGTGGACACAAGAGAAAATCCGTATGTAATTTTATTGCATTTACTTTGTTGGTATTTTGTAGGTCAGGAACCTAGCATTGTTTAGACTAAAAAATATCCAATTTTAGAGATGGGGTTAACTTTTTCCCCTAATATATTTATTATTGTTAATACTGCTGTTTAACACTCATTCCAAAACTTAGTGGCATGAAACACTTTTTATTATGCACATCGATTCTGCAAGTTGTGCCCTCTGAAAGGGCACAGTGGGGATAGATTTTTCTCAGCCATGTGGTGACTGGGATCTCAGTTGGGAAGACTGGAAAGTTGAGATTGACACACTTGACTCCTGGGGGCCAAAATAGTTTGATGGCTTTTTCACCAACATGTCTGGTACCTAGGCTAGCATTGTTGACCAGACTGCCTTCATGTGGCCTTGCTTGTGTATAACCTGGCGGCCTCGAATGTTAAAGTGAACAAGGACAAATCTGCGTTTTTTTTTTTGTTTTTTGTTTTTTTTGACAAAGCCTTGAAAGCTGAGCATTGTCATTTCCACAGCCTTCTATTGGTTACAAGTGCACACTCAGACAGAGGAGGGGAATTAGACTTCACCTCTTGCTGAGGGAGTTGACAAGGTTTTGGAAGAGCCTGTGGTACAAAGATACTGTTGTGACCATCTTTAGAAAAGACATTCTGTCACAATAGTTAAATAGTTGCCACTGTTGTTTGTTTTGAATATGTATTTTATAATAACATTAGAGATAGAAGATCAGGAATCCTTTTTTTTTTGAGATAGGGTCTCACTCTGTCACCCAGGCTGTAGTACATTGGCACGATCATGGCTCACTGCCACCACAACCTCCCCAGACTCAGGTGATCCTCCCTCCTCAGCCTCCTTAGTAGCTGGGACTACAGGCATGTGCCACCATGCCTAGCTAATTTTTGTAAGGACTGGGTCTCCTTATGTTGCCTAGGCTAGGAATTCTTTATCTTATTCCAGGACTTTGAGGAGAGGTCTGTAAACTGAAATTTGACAGTATTTTTTTAGAAAGTATTTTTTAAATGTATTTTCCTATTAATTTGAAAATTAAATATTTAAAACTTTTTTTTTTTTTTTTAAACAAAGATGAGATCTCACTATATTGCCTAGGCTGGCCTCAAACTCCTGAGTTCCACTGATCCTCCTGCCTTGGCCTCCCAAAGTGCTAGGATTATAAGCATGAGCCACCGTACCCGGCCAAAACATTTTTTTTAAGTCAAAATTGCTTAGGAATTTGTTTCCCATCTCTTACTTTAAATAAGTATAGGTTGCTTATTTTGGCAGCACTAAAATTGGAATGATACAGAGATTAGCATGGCCCCTGTGCAAAGATGACATGCAAATTTGTGAAGAGTTCCATATTTAAAAAAAAATAATAAAAATTTAAAAACTCCACAAGTGTAGGGTATTGTGGATTGCTAGCATATCCATTTAGATTATGTGCAGTTTTAATTATTGCTTTATGTGAAGACTGTATAAAACAGTTTTCCATTGAGAGGAATCGTTTAAAATTTGCCATGTCATATGTTATTTATGCAGGTTCTAGTTTAAATCTAAAAAAATCCTACACATACACAGATAAGAGAAATTATAAGAAGAAAAGAAAAAGTAGGATAAACTTGTGTGTCCTTTGATCTTACTCTTTTTTTTTTGAGATGGAGTCTCACTCTGTTGCCCAGGCTGGAGCGCAATGGCGTGATCTCGGCTCACTGCAACCTCTGTCTCCCTGGTTCAAGTGATTCTCCGGCCTCGGCCTCCCGAGTTGCTGGGATTACAGGCGCGCACCACCACGCCTGGCTAATTTTTGTATTTTTTTGTAGAGACGAGGTTTCACCATGTTGGTCAGGCTGATCTCAAATCCTTGATTTGTGATCTGCCTGCCTCGGCCTCCAAAAGTGCTGGGATTACAGGCGTGAGCTGCCATGCCCGGCCTGATCTTACTCTTAAGAATGAATGTGCAAGGAAACACAAGTCATGTTTTTCTTATCTGGCAAGGGTTTTATTAATGGAAGCAAGAGGCCAACAAAGCTGAAGAAACCCTTTTATGTGCCTAGCCAGAAACTAATGGGCCTTGGGAATCCTTTTATCTGGTAAGAAGGTGACTTAATTTGAAAAGGCTGGGAACCTTACCTAAACTTGAATTTGCGCCCCCACAAAAGTTATCTTAGAAAATCTTGCAAGCAAAAGAAGTGATATGGTTGGAGAGGCCTTGGTGAAGTCCTCCAAACTCTGGATGGTTTGTGGTTGGGTGCAGGGGAAAAATGAAGGCCTCTAACATATGATATTACTCCTCTAGAATTGTTGACTTTTTTATTTCCTTGGAGTCTCTCAAATCAAGGTTTTATTAATTAATTAATTAATTTCTATTTTTATTTTTTGAGACAGTCTCACTCTGTCACCCAGACTGGAGTGCAGTGGTGCAATCTTGGCTCACTGCAACCTCCGCCTCCCGGGTTCAAGCGATTCTCCTGCCTCAGCCTCCTGAGTAGCTGGGACTACAGGCGCCTGTCACCACGACCAGCTAATTTTTTTGTATTTTTAGTAGAGTCGGGGTTTCACCATGTTGGTCAGGCTGGTGTCAAACTGCTGACCTCAGGTGATCTGCCCACCTTGGTCTCCCAAAGTGCTGGGATTACAGGTGTGGGCCACCACGCCTGACCCCAAATCAAGGTTTTACAGGAATTGGCAACTGTGACATTTGACGTGTATAGCATGTAACCAAATGAAATTTTTTTTTTTTTTTTTTTTGAGACAGAGTCTAGCCCTGTTATTCAGGCTGGAGTGCCAGTCGTGTGATCTCAGCTCACTGCAGCCTCTGCTTCCCGGGTTCAAGCGATTCTCCTGTCTCAGCCTCCCAAGTAGCTGGGACTACAGGTGTGCACCACCACACCCTGCTAAGTTTTGTACTTTTGTTAGAGACAGGGTTTCACCATGTTGGCCAGACTGGTCTCGAATTCCTGACCTCAGGTAATCTGCCTGCCTTGGCCTCCCAAAGTGTTGGGATTACAGACATGAGCCACCCTTGCCTGGCCCAAATGAAATTCTGATGTATCTTAGTGAAGCTAGCTTCTCTTTTTTGTCGTTTAACAGCATGCTAATGCCATCAAATAATTACTGTTTTGTGAACACATTTTGGAAACTGGAAAGACCATTGAGACGTAAAACAGTGAAAAGTGGCTTGCCAGCAAAACTGATTGAGTACCTGACAGCACATCTGGTTTTGCTGCTTTGGTGAAGGGAGAAGCTCCACGAGCCACTATGAATCATTGCTTTTACATTGGCATCAAAGACTCTGCCAAAGATCGTGAAAGAAGTCTTGTCTAAGGTCTCTAAAGTCACATTTTAACCTAGTCAGGGCTTTGAATCACTGCCTTGTCAAGAACTTCTCTTGAGAAATAGGAGAGGATTATGAGGTTATTTTCTATTGCAGAGAAGTTCATTGATTCTGTAAAGAACAAGTATCAAAGTACTGGGAATTCTGGTTCTCTTTGCTGCTACATGACTTCATGAATCAGGGTTTTCAGAACACTTGGGGCAATCAGTTGGATTGTTAAACCCACTGCCATGGCAGAGCACAGTGGCTCATGCCTGTAATCCCAGCATTTTGGGAGGCCGAAGCAGGGGGGGGGTGGGGGGGGGGGGGCGGATCACAAGGTCAGGAGTTCAAGACCAACCTGACCAACATGGTGAAACGCCGTCTCTACTAAAAATACAAAAATTAGCTGGACATGGTGGCGCATGCCTGTAATCCCAGCTACTCAGGAGTCTGAGGCAGGAGAATCGCTTGAACCTGGGAGGCGGAAGTTGCAGTGAGCCCAGATTGCGCCACTGCACCCCAGCCTGTGTGACAGAGTGAGACTCTGTCTCAAAACAAAACAAAACAAAAAAACCATACTGCTTACTATTCTAACTCTTTATTTAAGAGAAACAGTAGCAGCTTTCTAATTGAAATAGGTTTTTGTGGAATCTGTTTTTATTTTCCTTTAACTGTATTATCTTTTCTAGTCTAAGCATCTTTTTTACATTAGGAGAGTTTAATCTGTTTACATGAATGTATTTATTCATATGTTTAGATTTATTTATTTATTTTTTGAGTTGGGGTCTCACCCTGTCACCCAGGCTGGAGTGCAGTGGTAAGATCATGGCTTACTGCAGCTTCCATCTCCCATGCTAAAGTGCTCCCCTCACCTCAGCTTCCCACATAGCTGGGACTGCAGGCATAGGCATAGTGGGACCCTGTCTCTACCAAAAATTTAAAAATTAGCCACCATGCCTGGTTGTTTTTAAAATTTTTTGTAGAGACAGGGTTTACTGTGTTGCCCAGGCTGGTCTCAAAACTCCTGGGCTCAAGTGATCTTCCTACCTCAGCCTCCCAAAGTGTTAGGATTATAGGCATGGGCTACCGCACCTGGCCTAGAATTATTTCTGCTATCTTGTGGTGTTTTTTGTCTCATGCTTTCCCTCCACCTTCTTTTCTGACTTGTGTAACATTAATTGAATTTTTCTTATTTCTTTTTTCTCCCTGAACTAATGATTTGAAAATGACTTATACTCTTTCTAATTTAGTAGTTACGCTTGCATTTTTACATACATATTTGACTTAAATATTCGAGTCCTCCCAGCTTCTGCCAGAGTAGTACAAGGACTTTAGAACTCTTTACCTCATATCTTTCCCTCCTGCTATTTCTTTCTATTATTTTAGCTCTACCTTGTTTTCACTTAACTGCTCCACACTCTACCCCAACTTTATATATTTTAGTTCCTTTACAGTCAGGGCTTATTTGGATTGACGTATATGATTTTGCTTTTTTGCATATACTCCTTATTTTGGTATATCTTTTAGTGATTCTTTCAGCAACTATCTGTGAATGGCAATTTTTTTCACTTGTTGCCTGAAAATGTCTTTATTTTGCCCTCATTTTAAAAAATATAATTTAGCTTGATAAAGAATTAGAAGGGTTTTTTTTTTTTTTTTTTGGACTTTGAAGATTTCTCCGTGGTTCTCTGGCTTTGGTTATTGCTGATATGATGTCAGCCATCAGTGTAATAGTCTTGCCTTTCTAGGTAAATTTTTCTCTCTGTGTGTGATTTTAAGGTTTTCTCTTTGCTTTTGTTCTACACACTATACACAACACAATCCCAGGACATACAACAAGCTTCCTTACTGCCTCCCCAGGCCAGGCCAGTTGATAGAGTTTTCCTAGTCTTGTTTTCACTGACATAGTAGCTCTTCCTAGGGCTCTGGACTCTGCAGGAGGCTAATTCCACACCTCGAATATATACACCTAAGGCGTCGTCATCTGTTTTTGAGTGGCGGTTTAGACCCCCAGCTTCTAGGGCCTATATCCAAATTTCAAATCCTCCTGGGCTTTATACATCAGCCCACTGCATTATTTTGGCTTTCATTTGTTCCTGGTACCTGGTGTCTTAGTCCATTTGGGCTGCTCCAACAAAACACTTTGGACTGGGTAACTTACAGGCAACAGAAATTTGGGGTCAAGATCAAGGTGCCGGCAGATTGGGTGTCTGGTGAGGGCTTGCTCTCTGCCATCATAAATGGAGCCTTTTTATGGTGGCCTCACGTGGCAGAAGGGACAAACAGGCTCCTTTAGGCCTGCTTTACAAAGGCACTAATCTCTGTAATCCCAGCACTTTGGGAGGCCGAGGCGGGCAGATCACCTGTGGTCGGGAGTTTGAGACCAGCGTGACCAAAATGGAGAAACCCCATCTCTACTAAAAATGCAAAATTAGCTGGGCATGGTGGTACATGCCTGTAATCCCAGCTACGTGGGAGGCTGAGGCAGGAGAATTGCTTGAACCCAGGAGGCAGAGGTTGCGGTGAGCCAAGATCGTGCCCTTGCATTCCAGCCTGGGCAACAAGAGCAAAACTCCACCTGAAAACAAAACAAAACAAAAAAACAAAGGCACTAATCTCATTCATGAGGATGCCACCCTCTGAACTTAATCACCCCCGAAAGGCCCCACTTCTTAATAAAACCATAGTAACCAGGAATTTTCCTTTTTGACTTTTCACATGTACCGTTTAAAATGTGTTTAATGAGGGAAATAAAGAAAATGAGACAGTCTTGAAAAGATGAGTCATAATGGAATTAGAGACCTTTGAAACATGGAGAATTTATTTCTCTATCTCATGAGATTTCTGGAGCGTTAGTATAAATGTATATACTACAAATGTATGTACTACCTGTCAGTTGAAATATATAATATGTCCACAGCTCTAAGGGCTCATTGACTGATTGTCTGCTTTATTCCATAAAAAGATTTAAAGTGGTATTTTGAGATATATATATCAAAATATATCAATGTATATACAGGGGCCCAAGTATATCATTCATAAGGGATATATACATATGTATCTATATATGTGATATATAGATATATATCATATAAGCACTCCTGTATAAAAAAATAAAGCAAGCCACAAAACTCATACGTTCTATTTATTCATTTATTTATTATTTATTTTTGAGAGAGAGTCTTGCTCTGTTGCCCAGGCTGAAGTGCAGTGGCATGATCTCAGCCCCAACCTGTGCCTCCCAGGTTCCAGTGATTCTCCTGCCTCAGCCTCCAGAGTAGCTGGGACTACAGGCACATGCCACCATGCCCAGCTAATTTTTGTATTTTTAGTAGAGACGAGGTTTCACTGTGTTGGCCAGGGTGGTCTCAAACTCCTGACCTCGTGATCCGTCCACCTCGGCCTCCCAAAGTGCTGGGATTTTAGGCGTGAGCCACTGCACCCTGCCACATTCTATTTATTAAAAGTGTCAATCACTGGACCACTGGATCACTGGACCAATATATATATTTATTGATATATTGATATACAGAGAAGAATATATAGAGAGTAGAGATACACGTAGATCTCTTTCTCTCTCTTTGTTCTCTATATATCTATATCTATATATCCCTTATGAAATTACCTGAGCACTGTTTCATGTTTAACTTGAGGAATTTTTCAAAGCCTGGGACTATTCTAGGCATGTTCAGATAATGTTTGAATATTCTAGAAAGATTATTTAATACTTCTATAATCTTTTTGTAGAAAGATTCTTTGCCATGATCTAAGACAGTGGTTTTCAAAGTGTGGTTTCCGAGTCCTCAGCACCAGCATCACCTGGGATCATACAGTGTGTACTGTTCCTAAGTCATTTGTTAGGTTTTTTTTTCTTTGTTACAATTTTTCAATTAAAGTTTGATAAAATATTTGAACTCATAGGTGGTCCAGTGATTAATACTTTTAATAAATAGAAAGTATGAGTTTTGTGGCTTGCTTTTTTTTATATATAGAAATGCTTATTAATTCTACAGTGTAATATCATGCTACGTACTCTAATAAAAATTATGTATGTGTTTGCATATTTATGTTTTCCTTATACTTGAGCATCCTTCATTTTTAAAAGAACATTTTTTAAAGTTAAATGTTAGATATGGAATTAAAGAAATATGTTATATCTTTAAATTAATTATCTTATTTTAAAAATAATCTGCCTACCCTAAGCTCAGAAGAGAAATTATAATATTAGTTATGTGATTCCTCTTAATGAGCCTCATGGATTTAAAACATAATTAGCATTGTTACACTTCCTTCCAGACAGAAAATGCGTGCTTTGTTAGTAAATGTAGTATGCTTTTGTTCATGAAGAATGCCATTAAGTAGTGCCATACTATTTTAGGGTGCTTATAAAAGAAGGATGTTCCGTTGTTTTCTGTTACTTAAATCATATAAAAATGTTTTGAAATGCAAACTGCTTGATGTTTTAGGATTCAGAGACTTTGATGATCATTTACAAAAAGTTTCTGCCGAAGATGGCAGGGTGTGATGGCTCACGCCTGTAATCCCAGCACTTTGGGAGGCCGAGGCAGGTGGATCATGTGAGGTCCACGAGTTTGAGACCAGCCTGACCAACATGGCAAAACCCCATCCCTACTAAAAATACAAAAGTTAGCCAGGTGTGTGGCGCACGCCTGTATCTCAAGTACTCGGGGGACTGAGGCAGGAGAATCGCTTGAAGCTGGGAGGCAGAGGTTGCAGTGGGCCAAGATGCCCCGCAGCACTACAGCCTGGGCAACAGAGCGACTAGTCTCAAAAAAAAAAGTTTCTGCCAAAGAACTGAATACACAAAATGAATGACAGAGTAGTTAGTACCATTGTAAAGACATTAAAGACTCATTTTCTGTCTGATTCTTAAATATTTAAACAAAGCCCCATATAGCGCCTTAAATATAGGAGTGTTCAGAAAATGTTGGTTTAGTTTAAATGACCAAGTTATTTTTGACCCTATTAGTCTATTAGCATAATGTTGTCTTTTTCACTTAATGATTAAGCTACTTTTAGGTATGTTAGGTATCATGAGCTGGTCCTCAGTGTCCTAGAGAGCATTATAAGATGTGAATTCAGAGGAGGGTGAGGAAATGTTAAACGTTAGCAAAATGTGGCTAAAACCAGTCTGCAGACTTGAAGAATTCAAGAAAAGGTGATTGCCTAATAGATTTAAAAATGAATATTCACAAAAAAGAAACCCCATTAAAAACCGGGCAAGGGACTTGAAAAGACATTTTTCGGCCAGGCATGGTGGCTCACGCCTGTAATTCCAGCACTTTGGGAGGCCGAGGCAGGCAGACAACCTGAGGTCAGGAGTTCAAGACCAGCCTGGACAACATGGTGAAATCCCGTTTCTACTAAAAATACAGAAATTAGCCGGGCGTGGTGGCGCATGCCTGTAATTCCAGCTACTTGGGAGGCTGAGGCAGGAGAATTGCTTGCACCTGAGAGTCAGAGGTTGCAGTGAGCCGAGGTTGTGCCACTGTGCTCTAGCCTGGGCGACAGAGTGAGACTCCATCTCAAAAAATTAAAAAAAAAAAAAAAAAAAAAGAAAAGACATTTTTCCAAAGAAGATATATGAATCACCTTTAAGCACATGAAAAGATGCTCAACGTCATTAATTATTAGGAAAAGAAATGCAAATCAAAGCCACAAGATACTACTTCACACCCATTAGAATGGTAATAATAATAACAAAAGGGAAATAACAACTATTGGTGAGGATTTAGAGACATTGGACCCCTCACCCATTGCTGTTGGGAATGTAAAATGGTACAGCCACTATAGAAAACATTTTGGTGGTTCCTCAAAAAGTTACCATATGACCCAGGAGTTCCACTTCTAGGTGTATACCCAAGAGAATTGAAAACAGATGTTGAAACAAAAACTTGCATGTGAATGTTTATAGCAGCATTATTCACAATAACAAAAAATTAGAAATAACTGTCGTATCCATCAGCTGATGAATGGATAAACAAAATGTGCTATATCCATATAAGGGAATATTATTCAGCCATACTGGCCACACATGGATGAACCTTGAGAACATTATGTGAAATGAAACAACCCAGACACCAAGAGCTATATATTGTATAGTTTCATTTATATGAAATGTCCAGAGTAAGCAAATCCATAGACATAGCAGATTATTGGTTGCCAGGGGCTGGGATGAAGGGAGAATGGGGAGTTGTTGCTTAATGGATATGCTGTTTCTTTTTGGGGGTGATAAAAATGTTCTGGAATTATATAATTGTGATTCTTACACAACGTTGGGAATATACTGGAAGTCACTGAATTCCATACTTTAAAATGGTGAAGTTTATGTTATGTGAAATTTTACCTCAGTAAAAAGAAAGAATACTCAGTAAGGTTTTCTTTAAGACAAATTTTTTTAAGTTTAAAACATTTTAAAATTTTTTGTAGAGATTGGGGTCTTGCCATGTTGCCCAGGATGGTCTTGAACTCCTACCCTCAAGCAGTCCTCCTGCCTCAACCTCCCAAATGCTAGGATTACAGGCCTGAGTGCCCAGCCTATAATTCTTTTCTTAGTAAAATATTACCAAAGTAAAAAATTTAAAACTAAAGGGAATTTTATTTCAATATTGTTGTTTTGTGCTTAGAAAAATTACAAAACGTTATGTTTGGTGAAAATATATAGAAATCAGCCTGGGCAACATAGTAGACCCCATCTCTACAAAAAATGAAAATATTAGCTGGGTGTGGTAGTAGTCCTAGCTACTCAGGAGGCTGAGACAAGAGGATCACTTGAGCCCAGGAATTTTTTTTTTTTTTTTGAGACAAGAGGATCACTTGAGCCCAGGATTTTTTTTTTTTTTTTTTTGAGACAGAGTCTCTCTCTGTCACCCAGGCTGGAGTGCAGTGGCGCGATCTCAGCTCCCTGCAAGCTCCGCCTCCCGGGTCCACGCCATTGTCCTGCCTCAGCCTCCACAGGCATGCAACATCATACCCAGCTAGGAGTTTTGCTAGTTACAAACAACCCTAGGATAAATCACCACAAGGTAGTCTCATGCAGGGTATTTTATTGTGCCTAGTATGTTGCTTTTTTTTTTTTTTTTTGAGATGGGATCTCACTCTGTCATCAGGCTGGAGTGCAGTGGCACGATCTTGGCTCACCGCAACCTCCAACTCCCTGGTTCAAGCGAGTCTCCTGTGTC
The DNA here is from genome assembly GCF_000001405.40 of Homo sapiens. Lineage (NCBI taxonomy): Eukaryota > Metazoa > Chordata > Mammalia > Primates > Hominidae > Homo > Homo sapiens. Next base: position 110,713,097 of record NC_000006.12, on the reverse strand, counting down.
AGCCTCCTAAGTAGCTGGGATTACAGGCGCGCGCCACCACGCCCAGCTAATTTTTGTATTTTTAGTAGAGACGGGGTTTCACCATGTTGGCCAATCTCCTGACCTCATGATCTGCCTGCCTCAGCCTCCCAAAGTGCTGGGATTACAGGTGTGAGCCACCACACCCGGCCATATGTTGCTTTTTAACTGTGATGAACAGTATGTCTCAAACTGTTTACACTTTCCCTGCCATCTTATTCTGAATCTACTTAACTTCTTACCGTTAGTTTCATACATGCCTTTCTGACCTGAAACTTTATTCTGTTCTATTGGCACTAATTTTTGACTCTCTTTAGCTAACCTACTCCTTTAATGACATGGTTTCTAGCCACTGTGGATAAATATCCTGTTTATCCTGCTTCGCCACACTCCTGCTGGCTTCCCTAGATCTTTTTACGTTTCAGCATCTCTGCATCCTCTGCCTTAGCAAGGAAACCTGGGCGGCAAGAACCCCAAAGACAAGAGTGAAGTGGGATGGGGAATGAGAATGAGATCTAATAAGGCAAAGGCCCAGACTTCTTTTGTGAAATCCACTAGAAGAGAAATTGTCCATAGCAGTTAGTACTATAGTTCCATAGAAGTCTGCTTTTTCTAAAGATCAAACATTATTTAATGCTGATTCAGTATCTTTATCTAGTAAATTGATGTTTCTATCCAACGTAGAACATATAGACTATCTTGAGGGTGGTGTTTCTTTCCCAAATTATGTTCCATAGAGTATTAGTACCTGGAAATGCGAAAAGAAGCTCTGCTTTGGAAGAGAGGAGAAGATTCTATGCTCAAATATATTTAGCAAAGTTTGCTTACCTGTTCTTGGAGGCCCATAACACCTTAGCCTGTTAAGTGCTGTATTACTTACTCAGTCAAGAAACCTGTTGGAGTCAGCATTTCCCAAACTTATTTGAACTCAGAACTTTTTTTACAGGAGGAGTAGCCTGTCTGTTAATGGCCTACATAACATCATTTGGGGAGACACTGTCCTAGAGCATTGTAAATTTGTGTCACTGCAGTTAAAAAAGTAGCCAATCTTACTAGCTAGTACCAAAAACTACCTGAAGTTCGTTGTAATTTATTTATTTATTTTTTGAGACGGAGTCTCGCAGTGTCACCCAGGCTGGAGTGCAGTGGCGCAACCTCTGCTCACTACAACCTCCGCCCCCCAGCCTGGGTTCAGGCAATTCTCCTGCCTCAGCCTCCCAAGTAGCTAGGACTGCAGGCACCCGCCACCACGCCCGGTTAATTTTTGTATTTTTAGTAGAGACAGGGTTTTGCCATGTTGGCCAGGCTGGTCTCAAACTCCTGCCCTCAGGTGATCCACCCGCCTTGGCCTCCCAAAGTGCTGGGATTGCAGGCGTGAGCCACTGTGCCCAACCCATTGTAATCTATTTACTATTCATGTTATATATTAGTTCATATATAAATTCTCCATCAAGGTAGACCTGATATTTTCCTTTGACTTACAAGTGTCATATTGTTGTCTTCCAGCGATTTTTTTTTTCTTTTTGCTACACAAAAATATTTCTTGAGGTTTGAATAAAGCACTAGGACATTCCTGGTTTTAATTGATACGTAAATTTGTTTACCTCTTTTAAAACTGTTGTATGTAAGAGTACATTTGTTGATCCTGGTATAAAATGTAAGACTTAAATAATTCAAATACCCTTTTGAAATCCAAATAATGTCTTCATTTACTAAGGATATTGTCAAGCCAAGCTCTTCTTTAAGAAAGTAATTAGCTTTAAATGTTGAAGGTATAATTAATAAATAAGCACAATTTATTTCTTTGTTAACCCCTCTCTACAGAAAATAGCTGACATTCAGTGTCTAACCATTCTTAACAAAGAAATATGTAGACATTAATATTTTATATCACAATATATTCCTAAGAAACCTATTGTAGGTATCATTCCTCTTTTCATTAGGTTTTATTAGTGTAGGATTTTGGCTTTTTCGTGTACTTGAATTTTTTTTCTCCATAAAATAACTCATTTATTACATTGCTTTTCTTGCTTTTGAGAACTTTATAGTTTTTAATGGATGTCTCTAATATTCATAACTGATTGTAAGCTCTTATTATAGACGATATGAGATTAGATCAGTTGCGGCTAACCCCTCTGCCCTTTTTGTTGTTTTTTACATGCAATATAAGAATCTAATGCAGAAATGAAGTCTGTAGCCTTGTAGATTAGATTACCCTTGTGTCTTCTACGGGAGGGAGGATATGGTCTGAATGTTTGTGTCCCTCCAAAATTCATATGTTGATATCTTAGCCTTCAAGATGATGATATTAGGAGGTGAAGCCTTTGGGAGATGATTAAGTCACTACAGCTTCACACTCATGAATGAGATTGGTGCCGTTATAAACAGGACCACAGAAAGACCCTTTCCCATTCCACCATGTGAGGTTACAGTGAGAAGATGGCAGTCTCTGAGGAAGTGGCCCTCACCAGACAGCAAATCTCCTGGTGCCTTGATCTTGGACTTCCTGATCTACAGAAATGTGAGAAATAAATTTCTTTTGTTTATAAGCTAACCGTTCTATGGTAATTTGCCATAGCAGCCCAAACAGACTGAGACAAAGGGTATTATTATATTTCCATTTAGGCTTGCTATGTCTTTTGACTGATGATCCCAGGTTCTTTCATAGTTGTTTCTGTGTTTGGCTCCTGATCCTTTAGACAAGTCAGCCAATTCTGGCAGTGATAGAACATAATGGTTTCAGAGCCTCTCCCACATAAGACAAAAATGACTCCCCGGTGAGTTGCTGAAGAGCCAGAACAGATCTTCTCTCACATGAGTCTTGACACTTCGACAAAGCATGAAGTGAAGGCTCATATAACAAAACTGTGTTTGGTTGAGTTGGCTTCAAGATTAGTTTGTTATAAATGACTACTTTTCTATTGCTTTTACTTTTTCTTGTCATGAGCCGCCTTTCTTCTTAAATGGTGTTTAGTACTTTGCATTGTTATGTGTGATCTACCAGTTATATACCATACTTTCAATTCTGTATATATTTTATTGACTGAAAAGAGGGAGTTTGAGTATGAAATTATAATTGATACTATAGTCTTTTTTGTGATGATAAATTTCTAAAGTCAAACCTATTTATTAGCTTGGGAAAATAATACATAGTGATATTCAGATGTGTCACTAACACATAGATGATTTGTGTATAAGAAGTTTTATTTTAATTTTATTAGGTTAGATTCTACCCTTGTATATATATTTTGATGGTGTGTAAACATTTCAAGAATACTACAGCTTCTTAAAGTAGGGTTTCTAGCATGATTGTGAATTAGAATTACATTAGAATTTCTATTTTTTAGTCTTTATTCATTCTGTAATTACATGTGGGTTGTTATTTATTATCTTGCAAATGTAAATGGAAAATACATTTTTCCTTTCTACCTCAAAGAAATTGCATTTCCATGACTAAAGATCCTGTAGAAAGTCTATTTGCTATTTACATAATAAATTTGTAACAGTTTGCTATTTCTTGCTTATTACATTGTGACCCTTAACTAAGGCAAACCTTTCTTTTTTTTTTTTTTTAATTATACTTTAAGTTCTGGAGTACATGTGTAGAATGTGCAGGTTTGTTACATAGGTATACATGTGCCATGGTGATTTGCTGCACCCATCAACTCGTCATCTACATTAGGTATTTCTCCTAATGCCATCCCTCCCCCAGCCCTCCACCCCTCGATAGGTGTTATTTCTGAGGCTTCTATTCTGTTCCATTCATCTGTATATCACACTCTGTTGAACAGGAGTGATGAGAGAGGGCATCCTTGCCTTGTGCCGGTTTTCAAAGGGAATGCTTCCAGTTTTCAGTATGATACTGGCTGTGGGTTTTTATAAATAGCTCTTATTATTTTGAGATACCATCAATACCTATTATTTTGAGGTTCCATCAATACCTAGTTTATTGAGGTTTTTAGTATGAAGGCCTTTTCTGCATCTATTGAGATAATAATGTGGTTTTTGTCATTGGTTCTGTTTATGTGATAGATTACATTTATTGATTTGCGTATGTTGAACCAGCCTTGCATCCCAAGGATGAAGCCGACTTGATCATGGTAGATAAGCTTTGGATAAGCTTTTTGATGTGCTGCTGGATTCGGTTAGGCAAACCTTTTCTAGGTGCTTATTTCTTAAGCAGATTTCAAATGGAAAAGTAAAGAGAGCCAGTTGAGATATCAAGTTGTTACTTAAAACCATTTGAAATGCCTATAAGCTTTAAAAGCTTTTACTTCTTAGTCCAAGGTGGTGAGTCATCTTTCACCCTCTTACCAGTTTTTTGCTGAAACACCCAAATGATAGAATGCAGAAGAATTTACATCACCCTTGCAAAATTAAAAAAAGTTTTCACTCACAGTGTCATGTTGAAGAGCTTTGGTAGAAAACAGTAAAGTAAGAGTAGAGGGAAGTTACACATCAGCCTGCCCATTGTTAGCCAGCACACTTGAGGGAAACTTGCTTAGAGGTTGGTCGGAGAGCCTGCCCTTCCATACAAACCTAGTAACATATGCAGGCTGGGAGCTGGGGCTGGAAACAAGAGTAGGAACAATGATGTCTGCAGGTAAAATCTCTGTAGGTAAAATCTCTATTCTCCTAGCCTAGGTGGAGCTATAGGGGGAGGGAACCAGCTCTCCAGTGCACATCCTATGTGCTGCAGCTGCAGGGTTAGCAGAAATCACTGTGGAGGGTGGCCTTCAGGAGTAGGATAGAGAGGGGCTCCAATATCAGGCTGAAGTGGGAGGCCATGCCCCAAGATTCAACAGTGATCTGCATGGTCTGGAACAGTGTGGACCAGCACCGTTGAATAGAACCCTTGGCAATGAGGGAAAGTATCTGTACTGTCCAGTGTGGTAGTCACTAGTCACAAGGGCTTTTGAACACTTGAAATGTAGCTAGAAACTGAATCAGTACCAAAAGCCTGAAAAGAGCGCTTTCCTCTTTTGGGTATTTTTATCTTAAGGAGTTAATCATGCAGATGTACACACTATTCATTATAGCATTGTTTATAATATTAAAAAACATACTATAATATTAGAGTAACATAAACATACTATTTATTTATTTTTGAGTCATAGTCTCACCGTGTCGCCCAGGCTGGAGTGCAGTGGCATGATCTCGTCTCACTGCAGCCTCTGCCTCCCGGGTTCAAGAGATTCACCTGCCTCAGCCTCCCAAGTAGCTGGGACTACAGGTGCCTGCCACCATGTCCAGCTAATTTTTGTATTTTTAGTAGACATGGGGTTTCACCATGTTGGCCAAGCTGCTCTCAAACTCCTGACCTCAGGTGATTTCACCTGCCTCAGCTTCCCAAAGTGTTGGGATTACAGGCATGAGCTGCTGCGCCTGGCTGAAATATACTATTTAAAGCAATTTCATACCCTGGCAGTGGAGTACTATGCAGCTGTTAAAACTGCTGTTGTAGATAGGTATTTGTTGACAGAAAAGTTGTTTACAATATGCTAAGTGAAAAAGGGCTGGTTACAAAACTATGTGGTTAGTGTGTTCCCATTTTTTAGTGAAAATATTGTATGTTTGTGTGCATATACAGATAGATGATATGATCTGTATCCTGGTAAAACACATCTTTGGATACAGGTATCCAGGTATCCAAAGATGTGTTTTAATGCCTGTTCTGCCATTTATTGGCTGTGTACTTAGCCTTTCAGCCTTCTCAGTTTTTTTGTTTTGTTTTGTTTGTTTTTGAGACAGAGGCTCCCTCTGTCACTCAGGCTGGAGTGCAGTGGTAAGATCTTGGCTCACTGTAGCCTCTGCCTTCCGGGTTCCAGTGGTTCTCTTGCCTCAACCTCCCAGGTAGCTGAGATTACAGGCATGTGTGACTACGCCTGGCTAATTTTTGTATTTTTAGTAGAGATGGGGTTTCACCATCGTCTCTACTAAAAGATTGTCATTGTTTGGCCAGGCTGGTCTCAAACTCCTGACCTCAGGTGATCGGCCTGCCTCAGCCTCCCAAAGTGCTAGGATTACAGGTGTGAGCCACCGTGCCCGGCTGCCTTCTCAGTTTTTTTTTTTTTTTTTTTAACTGTAAAAGAGAGATGTAAAAATAATGTCTTCTGGCCAGAACTGCCATCTTCCACTTTGCCAAATTGACAAAGGGAAAGAGGAGTAGCACTGCTATATTTTCTTTAAAAATATAGCCTTTTAGAAAACGTGGAGTTATTCCTTTGGCCACATACATGTGAATCTACAAGAAAGGTGATATTGTAGACATCAAGGGTATGGGTACTATTCAAAAATTTCAAACAGGAGTGTCCCACAATGTTACTCTGGCAAAACTGGAAGAGTCTATCAACAGTGTTACCCAGTGGGCCAGGCGCGGTGGCTCACGCTTGTAATCCCAGCACTTTGGGAGGCCGAGGCAGGTGGATCACAAGGTCAGGAGATCAAGACCATCCTGGCTAACATGGTGAAACCCTGTCTCCACTAAAAATAGAAAAATCAGCTGGGCGTGGTGGCAGGCGCCTGTAATCCCAGCTACTTAGGAGGCTGAGGCAGGAGAATGGCATGAACCTGGGAGGCGGAGCTTGCAGTGAGCTGAGATCACGCCACTGCACTCCAGCATGGGCGACAGAGCCAGACTCTGTCTCAAAAAAAAAAAAACAAACAAAAAAAAAACAACAGTGTTACCCAGCATGCTGTTGACATTGTTGTAAACAACAGGTTGGCTGGGCATGCACGGTGGCTCACTTCTGTAATCCTAGCACTTTGAGAGGCTGAGGCAGGTGGATCACCTGAGGTCAGGAGTTTGAGAGCAGCCTGGCCAACATGGTGAAACCCCTTCTCTCCTAAAAATACAAAAATTAGCTGGGTGTGGTGGTGGGCGCCTGTAATCCCAGCTACTCGGGAGGCTGACACAGAAGAATCACATCAACCCAGGAGGCAGAGGCTGCAGTAAGCAGAGATCACGCCATTGCACTCCAGCCTGGGCGACAGCAAGACTCCGTCTCAAAAACAAACAAACAAACAAGAAAACAAAACAGGTTAAGGTCCAGATTTTTTTTATTATTATTATTTTTATTTTTTATTATACTTTAAGTTCTGGGATACATGTGTAGAACGTGCAGGTTTATTACATAGGTATACATGTGCCATGGTGGTTTGCTGCACCCATCAACCCATCATCTACATCTGGTATTTCTCCTAATGCTATCCCTGCTCCCTACCCCTGACAAGCCCCAGTGTGTGATGTTCCCCTCCCTGTGGCTATATGTTCTCATTGTTCAACTCTCACTTATGAGTGGGAACATGTGGCATTTGGTTTCTGTTCCTGTGTTAATTTGCTGAGATATTTCTCTTAATACTGAAATTGTTATCTGTTTCCGCTTCTGGGAGGAAGGTAATCTTTCTTGGTTTTCATAACAATATCCTCTCCTGAGAGAAGGATGCTTCGCTTCTGTGAACGTACCTTCGGAGTCTGTGTAATCCTGTGCCTTAAATAGCTCTTTTTCAGACGCTTATAATGTTTTTATTTTCCAAAAGAGCTCTCTCCTGAATGCCCTTCCCATTTGCTCCCTTACAATGCTTCTGGGCAATCTCTTCTCTATGTTTATGACTCCCAAGTTCTTTACCTGCAGTTGAGCACTCTCTCCTGAGCTTCAGATCCAGATAACCAGGATCACTAACTGTATGCCCCATGAACATCTTGAGCTCATCACATCTGATACTAAAATCTACATTTCTGGCCAGGCGCAGTGGCTCACGCCTGTAATCCCAGCACTTACGGAGGCCGAGGCAGGTGGATCACCTGAGGTTGGGAGTTTGAGACCAGCCTGACCAACATGGAGAAACCCCGTCTCTACTAAAAATACAAAATTAGCCGGGCGTGGTGGCGCATGCCTGTAATCCCAGGTATTCGGGAGGCTGAGGCAGGAGAATTGCTTGAACCTGGTAGGCAGAGGCTGCGGTGAGCTGAGATTGTGCCATTGCTCCAGCCTGGGTGACAAGAGTGAAACTCCATCTCCAAAAAAAAAAAAAAAACTACATTTCTTCACACCTTAAACCTGTAATGCTTTTCCTTATCTCTAAATTGTACCACCATCTTTTTGGTTGCTTGTACCATCCTGGGTCATTTTCCCTCAGCCTATCAATTACTAAATCCTATTCACTCTTTCTTGCCCTCTTTTTATCTAACCCCTCCTTTCTATTTTTATTGCCATTGCCCATGCCAGGTCCTATTCTCCCTCCCTCCATCTCCCTCTCATTGCTTCCAGAATTAGCCTTGGCCTATGATCCCACAGTCCTGGGGCACGTGTAGATTACCTGAATCTATATAGTTGTAGAACACATGCCCTGAACAACTTTTGACTTCTGGGTTATATGAGAACTTAAAAAGATAACTAAAAAGATTTGTTGATATTGACTGCATTCATAACATGGAATGACTTTACACTTTACCAAATAGTTAATATAAGTGTATGTAAAAATAGGTTATGTATAAAAAAGATAAATAATACAAGAGATCATTTGCTGACTTCCAAATGAGTGGTATAGATAATCCCCATAGGGATTTGGAAGAGTGAGAGATCATTAAGAGTAATGGATTTAATGAATGGAAAGGAACAAAGGAAGTAAAAAGCAGACAAGGGTTGGTGGGGAGGAGGGGTGGAGAGTTGGATAAAAGGGAGAAAAAGATAATGTAAGGTAAGTAGTAAAGATACATGACATTGGGGTTCATGAAATTAAAAAAAGATAGGGCTTCCCAAGGCTGCTCTGACTGCAAAATACACAGTACATGGTTTGGTTGCTGTGTTAATGAAAATAAAGTCTTTTGATTTCATACTCCACTAGTCCTTTAATTTTACTTAATTATTGACTGAACTATGTTCCCAATCCTGGCTAGTCATTTTGGAGTTATCTGTCTTGACCAAACAGGAGATTGGGCAATAGATTGTGTTGTAATCAGAACAAACACATCCTTTGACACCAAAAACAACAACTTAAAATGCATGCCCTGATTATTGTTGTATGTATATTTGAACTATGTGGTCTTCTGTCAATATTCTGGAATTTTCAGATAGCCTAGCATTTTAAAAATTTATTATTTTGGTGACCTCTTCATAGGTAAACACTCTAACTTTAATTTCAAGCTTATCTATTCCAAAGACATGAATGTGTATAATTTATAATGTGGGACTATTCTAAATATATGTATATAGGTTCATTTTTAATTTTTATTTTTTAGAAACAGGGTCTTGCTCTGTCAATGAGGCTAGAGTGCAGTGGTGTGATCATAGCTCACTGCAGCCTTGAACTTCTGGGTTCAAGCAATCCTCCCACTTCAGCCTCCCGAGTTGCTGGGACTACAGGTGCATGCCACCATACCTGGCTAATTTAAAATTTTTTTGTAGAGACAAGGTCTCCCTGTGTTGTCAAGGCTGGTTTTTAATGCCTGGGCTCAAGTAGTCCTCCTTATTTGGCCTGGTAAAGTGCTGGGACTAGATGTGTGAACCACTGTGCCTGGCAGGTTCATTTTTTCAGTTTCATTCAAATCAGTGTATGTTGTATAGCTGTCCTTTTAGAGTTTTGCCTCTGAATTTTCAGAAATTATGTATTTTCTCCATTATCATTTCAATTAATAGTATTTTTTGAAATTGGTCATACTAAGAATTGACATATAAAAACTCCATTTAACATAAAATCATTCTTGGTTTTGAAATATTAATTATAACATAATTAATATATTTCCCTAAGCACCCTATTCAAAGTACTGCTAACATAATATCTTAGAGCAGTGGTTTTCAAACTTTGAGTCAGCTTGCCTATTCTTGGTCTGGCTCTTTCTTGCTCATAATCTATGATGTGCACTGGTGTTTTCAATTATTTTCTATTTTAGTCCAGTTCAGGTTATTTCACTTGCCGGGGGTAGGGTGGGGGAAATGCTGGTTTCAACTGAATAGATGGATTTCATGATTCACTAATGGGTCATAAGATGCAGTTTGAAAAACAATACCTTAGAGTAGACTTTTACAAAAAATAATTTGAAAAATACAGAGCAACATAAAGTAGCAAACCAAATTTGATTCACCAGTTAACTCCTGTTGACATTTCAGAAATAGAAATATATGCATAATAAGAATTCAAACAATATCACAATTGCTATTTGTTATATTAATACAGAAAGATACAAAATGAAAAATGTTAAACCTTTGTCTTCTTTAACACCTGGTCATTCTGCACAAAAGTAGCTAGTAAAAATGGCTTCTTATAATGACGTTTTTTGTGCATGTACCATTACATATGTATCTTTTAAAAATACCAAAGAGATAGATATATATATTCTTTTCCATCTTTATCACTTAATATTATGTCTTAGTGATCTTTCCATATCGACAATACAGATCTTATTTTTTTAACCCCCAAGTCAAAGGTCATTTTTTAAATTTATTTTTATTTTTGGTCAGAGTCTTTCTCTGTCTCCCAGGCTAAAGTGCAGTGATGCGATCATGGCTCACTGCAGCCTCAAACTCCTGGGCCCAAGCAATCTTCCCATTTTAGCCTCTCAAGTTAACTAGGACTACAGGTACATGCCAACACACTTGGCTAATATTTTTAATTTTAATTTTTTTTTTTGGTAGAGCTGGGGTTTTACTATGTTGCCCGGGCTGCAGTGCAGTGGCACAGTCACAACTCTGTAGCCTCAACCACCCAGGCTCAAGCAGTTGTCCAGCCTCAGCCTCCTGAGTAGCTAAGACTACAGGTATGAGCAACCATGCCCAGCTAATTAATTTTTTATATTTTGTAGAGATGAGGTCTCACTATGTTGTCCAGTCTGGTCTCAAAATCCTGGGCTCAAGCAATCCTCCTACCTTTGCCTCCCAAAGTGCTGGAATTACAGGCATGAGCCACCTGGCCTCTTATTTATTTTTATTTTTATTTTTTTGAGACAGAATCTTGCTCAGTCACCCAGGCTGGAGTATAGTAGAACAATCTCGGCTCACTGCAACCTCCACCTGCCGGGTTCAAGTGATTCTTCTGCCTCAGCCTCCCGAGTAGCTGGGACTACAGGTGTGTGCCACCATGCCTGGCTACTTTTTGTATTTTTAGTAGAGATGAGGTTTCACTGTGTTAGCCAAGCTGGTCTCGAACTCCTGACCTTGTGATCCACCTGCCCCGGCCTCCCAAAGTGCTGGGATTACAGGCGTGAGCCACCGTGCCTGGCCCATCCACCTGGCCTCTTATTGCATTCTTTTTTAATGGCTATATAATATTCCACTGTAGGGATGGACTTTAATTTCTTCAACCAGTTCCTTATTGATGCTGTCTGGATGCTCTTAAGCTTTAAAATTTTTCCCAATCTGATCAGTGAAAAATATGTCTCCATTGCTTCAATTTGCATTCTTCAGTTGAGATAGTCATATTGTTAGATAATTTTTGACTATTTTAATTTATATTTATTTTTGTGAAATGTCTGTTCGTATTCTCTGCGCATTGGACTCTGAAGGGTTTTCTATTTTTCTTTTTTTTTTTTTGAGACAGAGTCTTGCTCTGTTGCCCAGGCTGGAGTGCAGTGGTGCAATCTCGGCTCACTGCAGCCTCTGCTTCCCGGGTTCACGCCATTCTCCTGCCTCAGTTTCCCAAGTAGCTATAACTACTGGCGCCCGCCACCATGCTCGGCTAATTTTTTTTTTTTTTTTGTATTTTTAGTAGAGATGGGGTTTCACTGTGTTAGCCAGGATGGTCTCAATCTCCTGACCTCGTGATCTGCCCACTTTGGCCTCCCAAAGTGCTGGGATTACAGGCTTGAGCCACCACGCCCGGCTCCATTTTTCTTTTTCTTTTTTCTTTAACAACTGGTAATTAATTAATTAATTTTTTTTGAGATGGAGTCTCGCTCTGTCACCCAGGCTAGAGTGCAGTGGCACGATCTCGGCTCACTGCAACCTCCGCCTCTCAGGTTCTAGGAATTCTCCTGCCTCAGCCTCCCGAGTAGCTGGGACTACAGGCGCCTGCCACCACGCCTGGCTAAGTTTTTATTTTTAGTAGAGACGGGGTTTCACCATCTTGGCCAGGCTGGTCTCGAACTCCTGACCTTGTGATCCATCCGCCTTGGCCTCCCAAAGTGCTGGGATTACAGGCATGAGCCACCGCGCCCGGCCAATTAATTTATTAAAATAGTTGACTTAAACATCTGCATTGGTGACTTCAGAATCGATTCCTGGCGCAACACTGATGGAAATAATCTGCTTGACAATCTTGGAAGGACTGTGCAAGTCAGTGAGTCACTTTTGGATTCTCATCTGGAAACCATCCCAGTGCCTTAGAACTTTCACCACAAGGAGTTTTTCTTGTAGTGATTTTCAGAGTCTTGGTAGGCATACAGACTGGTCCTTTTACTTGAGATTTTTAAACTTTTTGCCTGTGATCAAGTCAGCACACACCTTCTCCAGGGGTTTTATTCTAATTCCATGAACCACCACCCCTGGCTCCACAGCTGTTTTTCTGGTATCTTTAAAGGCCATGGATGTGGCACAGCTTCCTTACTGACCTGTTCCTCAGTGAGAGTGAACAGCATTGAGTCATGAGCGGGAGTGGCAGACCAGAGCTCTCCAGCACCTGTGACCACATCTTTCTCAAAAAAAAAAGCTGAATTTTATAAGCTCTATAAGCTAGCAGTCCCCAACCTTTTTGGCACCAGGGACTGGTTTTGTGGAGACAATTTTTTCACATACCGGGGTTCGGGGGATGCTTTCTGGATGATTCAAACACATTACATTTATTATGCACTTTATTTCTATTATTACTACATTGTAACATATAATGAAATAATTATACATCTCACCATAGTGTGTAATCAGTGGGAACTCTGAACTTGTTTTCCTGCAACAAGATGATTCTATCTGGGGGTACTGGGAGACAGTGACAGATCATCAAGCATTAGATTCTCATAAAGAGTGCACAGCCCACATCCCTTGCACATGCAGTTCATAATGGGGTTCGTGGTCCTATGAGAATCTAATGCTGCTGCTTATCTGACAGGAGATAGAGCTCAGGTGGTAATGTGAGCAGTGGGGAGCAGCTGTAAATACAGATGAAGCTTCGCTTACTTACCTGCTGCCCACCTCCTGCTGTGTGGCTTGTTCCTAACAGGCCATGAGCCAGTATGGGTCCATGGCCCAGGGGTTAGGGACCCCTGCTGTAAGTCAGCAAATTAGCCGTCTACTTTCTTATGACTTGATGATTTCCAAACATTTTGTTAGCTTTTTGACTTTGTTCAGGATGTATTTTCTGTACAAGATAGTTCTGTAGTCAAATTTATTGACCCTTTTCTTGTGTATTATATTTTTAATATTTTAAAAATTTGAATAGCTTGTGGGGTACAAGTAGTTTTTGGTTACATGGATGAATTATATAGTGGTGAATTTTGAGATTTTTAGTGCACCTCATACCCGAGTAGTGTACATTATAACCAATATATAGTTCTTTATCTCCTCCCACCCTCCCTTCTTCTGAATCTCCAATATCCATTATAACACTTTGAATACTTTTGTGTATCCATAGCTTAGCTCCCACCATATGGTATTTGGTTTGCCATTCCTGAGTTATTTCACTTAAAATAATGGCCTCCAGCTTCATCCATGCTTTTTTTTTTTTTTTTTGAGACGAAGTCTTACTCTCTTGCCCGAGCTGGAATGAAGTGGCATGATCTTGGCTCACTGCAACCTCCGCCTCCTGTGTTCAAGCAGTTCTCCTGCCTCGGCCTCCCATGTAGCTAGGATTACAGACATGCACCACCACAACCAGCTAATTTTTGTATTTTTAGTAGAGACAGGGTTTCACCATGTTGTCGAGGCTGGTCTTGAACTCCTGACCTCAGGTGATCCACCTGCCTTGGCCTCCCAGAGTGCTGGGATTACAGGTGTGAGCCACTGTGCCCAGCCCCAAGTTTCTGAAAAGACATTATTTCATTCTTTTTTATGACTGAGTAGTATTTCATGGTGTATATATACCACTTTTTTTTTTTTTTTTTGAGACAGGGTCTCACTTTGTCACCCAGGCTGGAGTGCAGTGGCATGAACATGGCTCACTGCAGCCTCGACCTCCTGGGCCCAAGCAATCCTCCCACCTCAACCCCCTAACATACAGGTATGTGCCACTATGCCTGGCTAATTTTTTGTAGAGATGGGGTTTTATCATCTTGCCCAGGTCAGTCCTGAGCTCCGGAAATCTGCCCACCTTGGCTTCCCAAAGTGCGGGGATTTCAGGTGTGAGCCACTGCACCTGGCTATCTACCACATTTTCTTTATCCACTCATTGGTTAATGAGCACTTAGGTTGGTTCCATATCTTTGCAGTTGTGGATTGTGCTGTGATAAACATATGTATGCAGCTGCCTTTGATATAATGACTTCTTTTTCTTTGGGTAGACACCTGGTAGTGGGATTGCTGGATTGAATGGTGGATCTATGCTTAGTTCTTTAAGAATTTTCCATACTGTTTTCCATAGAGGTTGTACTCATTTACATTCCAACCAGCAGTGTTAAGTATTCCCTTTTCACCATATCCACAACAACATCTATTGTTTTTTGGCTTTCTTAATGGCCATTCTTGCAGAAGTAAGGTGGTATCTCATTGTGGTCTTCATTTTCATTTCCCTGATGATTAGTGATGTTGAGCATTTTTTTCATATATTTATTGACCATTTGTATATCTTCTTTTGAGAAATGTCTGTCATTTGCCCACTTTTTGATGGAATTATTTGTTTTTTTTTTCTTGCTGATTTGTTTGAGTTCCTTGTAGATTCTGGATATTAGTCCTTTGTTGGATGCATAGTTTGCAAATATTTTCTCCCATTCTGTGGGTTGTTTACTCGTGATTATTTCTTTTGCTGTGCAGGTACTTGTTAGTTTAATCAGGTCCCATTTGTTTATTTTTGCTTTTTTTACATTTGCTTTTGGGCTTTTAGTCATGAATTCTTTGCCTATTCCAATGTCCAGAAGGGTTTTTTTAAGGTTATCTTCTATAATTTTTATGGTTTCATGCCTTAGAGTTAAGTCTTTGATCCATCTTCAGTTGATTTCTGTATAAGGTAAGAGATGAGGATCCAGTTTCATCTTCTACCTGTGGCTTGTGAATTATCCCAGCACTTTTTGTTGAATAGGGTGTCCTTTCCCCACTTTATATTTTTGTTTGCTTTGTCGAAGATCAGTTGACTGTAAGTATTTGGCTTTATTTCTGGGTTCTCTATTCTGTTCTGTTGGTCTGTGTGCCTATTTTTATGCCAGTACCATGCTGTTCTGGTAACTATAGCCTTGTAGTATAGTTTGAAATTGGGTAATGTGATGCCTCCAGCTTTGTTCTTTTTGCCTAGTCTTGCTTTGGCTATGTGGGCTCTTTTTTCATTCCATATTAATTTTAGGATTGCTTTTTTTTTTTAGTTCTGTGAAGAATGATGACGGTATTTTCATGGGAATTGCATTGAATTTATGGATCGCTTTTGGCAATATGGTCATCTACACAATATTGATTCTACCCACCCATAAGCAGGGGATGTGTTTCCATTTGTTCATGTCATCTATGACTTCTTTCAGCAGTGTTTTGTAGTTTTCCTTGTGGAGAGCTTTCACCTCCTTGGTTAGGTATATTTCTCCCTTGGTTAGCTATATTCCTAAGTATTTTTATTTTATTTTTTTGCAGCTGTTATAAAAGGGGTTGAGTTCTTGCTTTCATTCTCAGCTTGGTCACTGTTGGTGCATAGCAGTGCTACTAATTT
The DNA here is from genome assembly GCF_000001405.40 of Homo sapiens. NCBI lineage: Eukaryota > Metazoa > Chordata > Mammalia > Primates > Hominidae > Homo > Homo sapiens. The sequence continues at coordinate 110,697,311 of NC_000006.12, read as the reverse complement.
GTGTACATTGATCTTGTAATTTGAAACTTTATTGAATTTATTTTTTTATTTTTATTTATATTTATTTAATTTATTTATTTTGAGACAGAGTTTCGCTCTTGTTGCCCGGGCTGGAGTGCAATGGCTCAATCTCAGCTCACTGTAACCTCCGCCTCCCGGGTTCAAGCAATTCTGCCTCAGCCTCCTGAGTAGCTGGGATTATGGGCACCCACCACCATGCCCAGCTTATTGTTTGTATTTTTTTTTTTTTTTTGAGATGGAGTTTCGCTCTGTCACCCAGGCTGAAGTGCAATGGCGTGATCTCAGTTCACTGCAACCTCCACCTCCTGGATTCAAGCAATTCTCCTGCCTCAGCCTCTCGAGTAGCTGGGATTACAGGTGCTCACCACCACACCTGGCTAATTTTTGTATTTTTAGAAGAGACGGGGTTTTGCCATGTTGCCCAGGCTGGTCTCAAACTCCCGGCCTCAAGTGATCCGCCCCACCCTCAGCCTCCCAAAGTGCTGGGATTACAGGCATGAGCCACTGCGCCTGACAATTTTTTGTATCTTTAGTAGAGGCGAGGTTTTGCCATGTTGGCCAGGCTGGTCTCGAAATCCTGGCCTCAGGTGATCCGCCTGCCTCAGCTTCCCAAAGTGCTGGGATTACAGACGTGAGCCACCACACCCGGCCTAGTGAATTTATCAGATCTGGGAGCTTTTTGGATGCATCTTTAGGGTTTTCTAGGTATACAATCATATCAGCAAGCAGCGACACTTTGACCTCCTTTTTACCAATGTGGATGCCCTTTCTTTCTTTCTCTTGTCTGATTGCTCTGGCTAGGACTTCCAATACTGTGTTGAATAGAAGTGGGGAAAGTGGGTATCCTTGTCTTGTTCCAGTTTTCAGTGGAAATGCTTTCAACTTTTCCTCATTCAGTATCATGTTGCCTGTGGGTTTGTCATAGATGCCTTTTATTACCTTAAGCTATGTTCCTTCTATGCTGATTTTGTTGGTGGTTTTAATCCTAAAGGGATACTGGATTTTTTCAAATGCTTTTTCTGCATCTATTGACATGATCATATCATTTTTGTTTTTAACTATGATTATGTGATGTATCACATTTATTGGCTTGCATATGTTAAACCATCCCTGTATCACTGTTATGAACCCACTTGATCATGGTGTATTATCTTTTCGATATGCTGTTAGATTTGGTTAGCTAGTATTTTGTTGAGGATGTTTGCATTTGTGTTCATCAGGAATATTGGTCAGTGGTTTTCTTTTTTCAATATATCCTTTCTTGGTTTTGATATTAGAGTGATATTGGCTTCATAGAATGATTTAGGGACGATTTCCTCTTTGTCTATCTTTTGTAATAGTTTCAGTAAGATTGGTACCAATTCTTCTTTGAATGTCTGATAGAATTCAGCTGTGAATCCATCTGGTCCTGGACTTTTTTTGTTGGTAGTTTTTTTTTTAATTACTATTTTAATCTCAGTACTTGTTATTGGTCTGTTCAGAGTTTCTATTTCTTCCCAAGTTAATCTAGGAGGGTTGTATATTTTCAGGAATTTACCCATATCCTCTAGGTTTTCTACTTTGTGCGCATAAAGGTGTTCATAGTAGCCTTGAATAATCTTTTGTATTTCTGTGGTATCGGTTGTAATATCTCCAGTTTCATTTCTAATTGAGCTTATTTCGATCTTCTCTCTTCTTTTCTTGGTTAATCTTGCTAATGGTCTATCAATTTTGTTTATCTTTTCAAAGAACCAGTTGTTTCATTGATCTATTGTAAATTTTTTTGTTTCAATTTTATTTAGTTCTGTTCTAATCTTTATTTGTTTTCTTCTGCTAACTTTGGGTTTAGTTTGTCCTTGTTTCTCTAGCTCCTTGAGGTGTGACTTTAGGTTGTCAGTTTGTGATTTTTTCAGACATTTTTAGGCATTTAATGCTATGAATGTCCCTTTTAGCAGTGCTTTTTCTGTATCCCAGAGGTTTTGCTAGGTTGTGTCACTATTATCGTTCAGTTGAAAGAATTTTTAAATTTTCATCTTGATTTCATTGTTGACCCAAAGGTCATTCAGGAGCAGATTATTTAATTTCCATGTATTTGTATAGTTTTGAGGCTTCCTTTTGGAATTAATTTCCAATTTCCTTTCTCCTTTCCTTTCTTCTTTCCTTTCCCCTTTCCCCTTTCCCCTTTACCCTTTCTCCTTTCCTTGTCCTACTCTCTGGCTCAGACTGGAGTGCAGTGGCGCCATCTCAGTTCACTGCAACCTCTGTGTCCTGGGTTAAAGTGATTCTTCTGCCTCAGCCTCCTGAGTAGCTAAGATTACAGGCACCTGCCACCATGCTTGGCTAATTTTTCTATTTTTAGTAGAGATGGGGTTTTGCCATGTTGGCCAGGCTAGTCTCGAACTCTTCACCTCAGGTGATCTGCCTGCCTTGGCCTCCCAAAGTGCTGGGATTACAGCCATAAGCCACCATGCCCAGCCAATTTCCAATTTTATTTTACCATGTTCTGAGAGAGTGCTTGATATAATTTCGATTTCCTTAAATTTACTGACACTTTTTTGGGGCCTATCATATGGTCTGTCTTGGAGAATGTTCCATGTGCTAATGAAAAGAACGTATTCTCCGCAGTTGTTGGGTAGAATGTTCTGTAAATATCTGTTAAGTCCATTTGTTCTAGGGTATAGTTAAAGTCCCTTGTTTCTTTGTTGACTTTCTGTCTTGTCTAGTGCTGTCAGTGGAGTATTGAGGTCCCCCACTATTACTGTGTTGCCATCTATCTCATTTCTTAGGTCTAGTAGTAATTTTATAAATTTGGGAGCTCCAGTGTTAGGTGCATATATCTTTAGGATTGTGATACTTTTCTGTTGGACCGATCCTTTTATCATTATATAATGTCCGTCTTTGTCTTTTTAAACTGTTGTTGCTTTAAAGTCTGTGTTGTCTGATATAAGAATAGCTATTCCTGCTGGCTTCTAGTTTCCTTTTGCATGGAAACATAGTTTCCTTTTGCATATCTTTTTCTACTGCTTTACTTTAAGCTTATGTGAGGCCTTATGTGTTAGGTGAGTCTCTTGAAGACAGCAGATACTTGGTTGGTGGGTTTTTATGCATTCTGTCATCCTGTATCTTTCAAGTGGAGCATTTCAGCCATTTACATTCAACATTAGTATGGAGATGTGAGTTACTGTTCCATTCATCATGCTAGTTGTTGCCTGAACACCTTGTTTTTTTTTTTTTTTTCATTGTGTTATTGTTTTGTAGGCCCTGTGAGATTTATGCTATGAGGAGGTTCTATTTTGGTGTATTTTGAGGTTTTTGTTTCAAGATTTAGAACTCCTATTAGCATTTATTGTAGTGCTTGCTTGGTAGTGGCGAATTCACTCAGCAATTGCTTGTTTGAAAAATACTTTATCTCCCCTTCATTTATGGATAAATATTCAGGTTTCTCAGGCTATGGGTGGGGCCATTGAGCTCCCAAGCATTTATGTCTTTTGTCTTCAGCTACTTGGGCAGGTAGAGAAAAACCATCAGGTAGGGGCAGGGTTAGGTGGGTCTGAGCTCAGGGCAGGACTTGCTGTGGCCAGTATGGGGGATGGGGTGGTTCTTAAGCCAATGGGATTATGTTCCAAGGGGAATTATGGCTGCCTCTGTTGTGTCATTCAGGTCACCAGGGAAGTAGGGGAAAGCCAGCAATGACAGGCTTCACCTAGCTCCCACACAGCCAGCAAGGCCAACCTCATTCCTGTTGTGCCCCACTAACAGCACCAAGTTTATATCCAGGCAGCCAGCCTATAGGGCTGCACTCTCACCCCAGGGCATAACTCCACTGAGAAAGCAAGCAGGGCTTTCCAGCCTTGCCCCTTCCCACCTGCCGGAGACCGGGAGTGCCTGCAGGGCTCTTTCCACTGCTTCTTCTACTTTTATATTTTGCTTAGCTCACTAAATCCAGTTCGGCTCTAGGTAAAGCTAAATCCTTCTCCCATGATCTGGATTTTCAGGTTCCCCAGTGAGGATATGTGTTTGGAGGCAGACTTTTCCCTCTCTCACACTTTTGGAACTGCAGTGGCCAGCTGCTTCTTTCAAAGGGTCTGTGAATTCTTTCAGTTTTCCTGGTACGCTCCTGCAGTGAGTGGTTCTTGGAGCAAAAGTTCACGGTGTGAGTCTCCACACGCTGTTCTGTCTGTCCAAGTGGGAGTTCCACATTAGTCCTGTCTCCTATCCGTCAGATTTTAACGCTTTTGCTCACTTTTGCTTTACATTTGTGTGGAATATCTTTTTTCACCCCTTTACCTTGGGTTTATTATTATTATTATTTTTTGAGATGGAGTCTTGCTTTGTTGCCCAGGCTGGAGTACAGTGGCGTGATCCTGGCTCATTGCAACGTCCTTCTCCCGGGTTCAAGTGATTCTCCTGCCTCAGCCTCCCAAGTAGCTGGGATTACAGGTGCCCACCAACATGTCTGGCTAATGTTTGTATTTTTAGTAGAGACAGGGTTTTGCCATGTTGGCCAGGCTGGTCTCAAACTCTTGACCTCAGGTGATCCACCCACTTTGGCCTCTCAAAGTGCTGGGATTACAGGCGTGAGCCACTGCGCCCAGTCTCATGTTAACTTTAGAGAGCCTGTTGACCGACTATATGCCTTTATGATGACCTTTTTGCAATGAATTTTCCAGGAGTTCTTTGTGCTTCTTATATTTGTATATCTAAATCTCTAGCCAAAGGCCAGGAAGTTTTCCTCAATTATTCCCTCAGGTAAGTTTTCCAAACTTTTTATTGTCTCTTCTCCCTCAGGAACACCAGTTATTTTTACCTTTGCCTATTTTACATAATCTCATATTTCTTGGAGACTTTGTTCATTTTTCAAATTCTTTTTTTTTTCCTTTTGTGATTGGGTTAGTTCAAAAGCCTTAGCTTCGAGCCTGAAATTCTTTCTTCTACTTGTTCTAGTCTATTGTTAAAACTTTCTACTACATTACATTTTGTAATTCTGTAAGAGTGTCTTTCTTTCTTTTTTTTTTTTTTGAGACGGAGTCTCACTCTGTCACCAGGCTGGAGTGCAGTGGCATGATCTCAGCTCACTGCAACCTCCACCTCCTGGGTTCAAGAGATTCTCCTGCCTCAGCCTCACTGGTACCTGGGACTACAGGCGCTCACCACCATGCCCAGCTAATTTTTGTATTTTTAGTAGAGACTGGGTTTCATCATATTGGCCAGGATGGTCTTGATCTCTTGACCTTGTGATCTGCCCGCCTTGGCCTCCCGAAGTGCTGGGATTACAGGCATGAGCCACCGCGCCCAGCCAGTGTGTCTTTCATTTCCAGAAGTTCTGATTGATTTTTCTTTCTTTTTTTTTTAAAATAGAGATGGGGGGCCGGGCACAGTGGCTCACGCCTGTAATCTGAGCATTTTGGGAGGCCGAGGCGGGTGGATCACAAGGTCAGGAGTTCAAGACCAGCCTGACCAACATGGTGAAACCCCGTCTCTACTAAAAATACAAAAATAAGCCCGGCATCGTGGCATGTGCCTGTAATCCCAGCTACTCAGGAGGCTGAGGCAGGAGAATCACTTGAACTCAGGAGGCGGAGGTTGCAATGAGCCAAGATCATGCCATTGTACTCCAACCTGGGCGACAGAGCGAGACTCCATCTCAAAATAAAAAGAAAAAATAATAATAATAAAATAAAATAAAATAAAATAGAGATGAGGTTTTCTCATGTTGTCCAGGTGGGTCTTAAACTCCTGAGGTCAGGTGAACCGGGAGCCTGCCTTGACCTCCCAAAGTTCTGGGATTACATGTGTAAGCCACTGCACCTGGCCTAGGTTTTCTTTCTTTTTTTTTTTGAGACGGAGTCTTGCACTGTCGCCCAGGCTGGGGTGCAATGGCATGATCTCAGCTCACTGCAACCTCCACCTCCTGGGTTCAAGCAATTCTCTTGCCTCAGCCTCCTGAGCAGCTGGAATTACAAGTGCCTGCCACCACACCCGGCTAATTTTTTGTATTTTTAGTAGAGACGGGTTTTCACTATGTTGGCCAGGCTGGTCTCGAACTCCTGACTTCACGATCTGCCCACCTTGGCCTCCCAGAGTGCTGGGATTACAGGTGTGAGCCACCCCATCTGGCCTCGGGTTTTCTTTAAGATGTCTATCTCTTAGAAAATTTTTCATTCATATCCTGGATTTTTTTTAAAAAATTTCTTCATGTTGGTTTTCACATTTCTCTGGAATCTCCTTGAGTGGCTTAATAATTAACCTTTTGGATTCTTTATCTGATATTTCGAATATTTCATCTTGGTTTGGATCCATTGCTGGAGGGCTAGTGTAATCTTTTGTGGATGTTGCTGAGCTCTGTTTTATCATATTACCAGAATTATTTTTCTGGTTCCTTGTCATTTGGGTAAACTATCTTTCCTAATTATTCTTGAATTTATTTTTTATTTGACTTTTTATAAAATTTCTTTTTCCCTTCCTTAAGGATGTGACTTTAATGTTTATAGTTTATTATAGCCTAATTTGGCTTTTGGTATTTTCAGGGGTGATGACTCTATATGAGTTCTGTCATTATAGAGAGTCTTTGATGACTGTCTCAGATGCTGGTTGTAGTAGCAATGTGCTCAGTGTGTGAGCAAATTCATTGTCTCCTATAGGGTTGGAATGGCAGTGGTCTCTTGAAGCTTATCTTATTCCTTTGTGGTGTGGACTTACTTATTTATTTTTTCCCCAGTATTTTATTTACTAGGGTGACTATTTTAAGCTTCAGGCCAGTAGGGGAGGTGTCCTTGGGTAGAAACCCATTGTGCTCAAGCAGTTGGGTAAATGCAATAGCCAATGATGGGCAGAAGTCACAGCCTTGTCAGAGGTGGCTGGGGAAGCTTTCAGTGGAATGCACTGAGGTCTTACGGGGGAAAGGTGGGAGCCATCTCAGCTCCCCTGCCAGGTCAGCAGGGAAGCTATCTATCTCCTAGACCCACTTCTGACCCAGTAGTCTGGCTATTTATCAGATGGGCGCTTCTTCATCTGCAGGAATGTTGATGTTCTGAGTAGAGAGGAGTTGTGACTCTACCTCTTATGCAAGCCTGAACCTGGCAGATACTCCTCCTGTGGGGATGCAGTCACCATGAAGAGTTCCAGAAAGGCTGTCTATAGGTGCACACATACTGAGCTCCTGTGGGGGAAGCCCTAACTGTCTGCAGTGTTGAACGAGGGGGAATAGAAGTCCCCTTCTCCAAGACCCTTCATGAGCACCAGGGCCACCTGACTGTTGGGGTAGAGCTGCAGACTTTCCCCACTGAGCCCAGCACTGCAACTATGCCTCTGCTGAAAGAAATTTACCACTAGTGGAAAGATCTGGGACTCAAAGCCTGCTGTCGCAATGATTTTGTCCCACGGGATGTTCCTTTGATATGGTGCACTTCCCCTTCCCCTAGGAGTAGGAGTCCCTGAGAGCCAGATTACTGTGAATGCTGTTGCTCCTGTGGGTCTAGCTGCCCAGTGGGGCTGCCACACTCCAGGCTGGTGCTGCAGAATGTCTGCAAAGAATCCAGTGATGTGACCTGTCCTCAAGTCTTTCAGCAGTGGGTACCAGCACCAAGTCTGATGAGGGTGGCCGGGGAGTGACGCAGACTCCGAGATTCCTTAGATATAGATAGCCTTAGTATGTTGGCTTTCTCAAATGCTGATTGTAATAGTAATGAACCTGTCATGTGGGCAGATTCAGGACCTCCTGGTTAGGCAGAGTGGTACAGGCAGTGGTGATGCACAAGTTTTTTCCTTCCTGGCCACAATGTCAATGTTATTCTACCTGGAGATGCTTTAATGGACTGTGTTGATTGGCCTCTAGCCAGGAAGTGACGCTTGCAAGAGAGCACCACCTGTGGTAGTAGTGGTGGGATTTTTACTTGCCTTGTGTTACCCAGGGGAGGTACTCTGATTTTTCAGGTGATGGGTGGGGCCGAAAAGCTCCCAGAAGTTTTTGTCTTTTGTGTTAAGCTACCAGGGTGGGTGGAGGGGCAAAGCCAGGTGGGGGCTCAGTCAGGTAGGTCTGTGCTCTGATTCCCTGCATGCAAGGAAAGCAGCGGCCTCTGTGGGAGTCAGGAGGTGGTTCTCTGGCCTCTGGGGTAATGTTCCAGAGAGGAACATAGCTGCCTCTGCTGCACAGAAGAGTTCATGCAGGGAGTGGGGAGTAGTATGCGGCAGTAAGCCCCACCCAGTTCCCATGCACTTGGCAAGGCAGATCTGACACCCACCGTATTCTGCTAGCAGCAATGAGCTAAGTTCAGGCTGTGTATGCTCAGAACTCAAAACTGCCCCAGGGTATAAGCCTTACCTGGAGATAGCAACTGCCCCTCCCAGTCTGCTGGCAAAGCCAGGGCACCCAGCTCCTGCACTCATGGCTGCAGCACACTTCCCACTCGTCGCCTAGTTCTGGCCAAGGGGGTTTGTCCCCACTTGAGGTTACATTGTGAAATTCAGTTGAGGGCTTCTTTCAACCTGCAGCCACTGCCTGAGTTAGCTGGCTGACTTCCACGAGGTCCCCTGTGAGGTAGAATGGCTTCCCTCAGTCTGCATTGGAGAATGCATGCAAGGCTCTTCCCACTGCTGCTCCTACCTTTCTATTCCTCACCACTCCCTAAATCAGCTCCTGTGCTGGGTGGGGTTAAGGCCCTTCTCTGTGGCCTGGATTTCCAGGTTCCCTGGTGGGGATGTATATCTTGGAGGCAGTCTTTCCCCTTCTCACACTCAGGAGACTTACAGTTTTTTGCCTGGTTCACGGTGTAGGCTGCAGCCTGACACTTCTTTCAAAGGGTCTGTGGATTTTTTCAGGTTTCCTAAGTTCCTGCGTTGCTTCTTGGAAAAAAGTTCCCAGAGTGAGTCTCTACACACTATTTTGTCTTTCCTAGTGGGAGAGGCATGCTAACACTGCCTCCAATCTGCCATCTTGGGAAAAAAAACTTCCCTGCATTTTATATATATATATATAGTTTTTTGTTTTTTTGGACATGGAGTCTTGCTCTGTTGCCCAGGCTGGAGTACAGTGGCACGACTCCGGCTCCCAGGTTCAGGTGATTCATGCCTGGCTAATTTTTTTATTTTTAGTAGAGATGAGGTTTCGCCATGTTAGCCAGGCTGGTCTCAGACTCCTGACCTCAAGTGATCTGCCCACCTTGGCCTCCCAAAGTGCTGGGATTACAGGCATGAGCCACCATGCCCGGCCTTCCCTGTGTATTTTATTTAAAAGAACCTTTCCCCGTTGTGGGTGTTTGTTTGAAGTGTATCGAAGTATGTGACCAGAACTTACACTGGAGAACATTTCAAAGAGGAGAGTGTATGTGAGATTTGACCCCTCCCTGCAAAAAATATGTACATAATTTATTTTCAAGCAGCTTTGAATAGACAGTAAATATCAAAGCTTAGAAATTCAAGGAAAGCTTACTTTCAGATTAATGTTGTCCTTAGGTGCACTGCAAAACACAAAATTATCGAAAGTTATGGTGTTACTTATTCTTCATTATTATAATTTAGTGATTTCTAGATTCTTTTTCTAGTCATTGTTTAACATTTACATAAAAGCCACACATGTAATAATATAGCTCTTTTAAAAAATTAAAGTTATCACTCTTAGTGGAAATACCATTTTTAGGATTTATTGATTAAAATTAGTAAATGCTTAGTATAAAAGAAATCATTTACTTCATTGTGGAAGCTCATCCCCCTCTGTGTTTTCTCATAACACGTACCCAGTTTTCTTAGCAGAGTGGGAAGGAAGTGGCATTTTTGTTTAATGGAAACAATACAGTAACTATTTCCTGGACTGTATTTGGGTCAGATCATTTAGCTGCTTTCCTTATTACTACTGTTAAAATTCCTGTGAGGTCTTCAGGAACTACAAATGGATAATTTGTCTGAGCCTTGACTTCACTGTGTTTATCTTCTCTAGAAGCATAGTGATCTAAAATACATTGAATCATTGGTACTGGTAATTTAGCCATTAATAATTAAAACCCTTGGCTGTAATTTGTTAAAGTTAGTACCATTTCTTGTGTCTGGGGTGGGGTGTCTGACCACTGATAATGCCCAATGTCCTGAAAAGTGGAACTTTCAACATGTGTTAGGTAAGTTCCATCAGAAAGCTGACCTCCTCCTCTCCCTTCAGATCCTCAGCCAGTGCCATCTGGGAGGTAGAGAAAGGTATGAATTCTAGGGGGCTTTACCTGATAGCTTGTTTAGTAAAAGCAGAAAATGCAAACTATATATTTTATTTTTAATTAATTAATTTTAAATGTAGATATGAGGTCTCACCCATGTTTCCCAGGCTGGTCTTGAATGCCTGGGCTCAAGCAATCCTCCTGCCTTGGCCTCCCAAAGTGCTGGGATTACAGGCACGAGCCACCGCACCTGGCCGAAACTATGTATTTTAGAAGTGTAAGTTATAAAGATATGGGTTAGGTATAAAACCAAATAGCCCAAGTTTGCACTGACATAAAACTAAGGTTTACTATGGCCACATAGGATAAAATTACACTTTATTATGCTTAATTAATCAAATGTCAATTTCAGATTATTTTTCAAACCTATGATTATTTCCTTGAGAAATCTAATTTTTTTGAATATTTTTGTAGGTGCTTGATAATGGCAGTTTTGAAAATAATATTTTCTCAATATGGAATAAATTTCATTTAACCAACGTGTTTGAAAACCAGTTCATGTACTGTTACTTTCATTTACTCATCTAAAATTTGTTGAGTCTCTACTTTGTTAGGTCCTGTGCTAGATGATTTTATTAATATTCATATGGAAAGATAAGAGATACACCCTATCATGTAGTGATGGAAATCTGCCATAGCAAATTTAGAATAAAGTAGGGATTTTATCTGATGTTTGCACCCAGAAGATGAATAGTTAAGGAGTTCTTTTAGCGTCTGTGTATTCATGATATAATGAAAATAACTGCCAGCACTCATTTCTGCTGATTAATGCTCAAATTCTCAATTTCCTCTTCTTTCCAATAAGGCACACTTCCTAAGGAGCATCTTTTCTGACTTTCGTGACTAGGTTAGGTTTCCTACATATGCACTCTGTATTTTTCCTTAATAGCCTCACCATAACTGTAATTTAAAAATTGTCCATTTTGTCTCCTCTTCAGTTCCTTTTAGGCTGTAAAGTCCCCAAGGCTCTCAGTGCCTCAAATATGCTTGGCACTCAAATGTTTTCTAATGGTAGATTTTTAGACTTTTTTTTCCCATTGCTATCTGCTGGGTATTTTCCATCATGCTTCTGCCTCATTCCCATGTCCCAGGGCAAGGCTTCATGGGACGTAATGGGCAGAATTCTGTGCAGTGACGACTTAGAAGCCAATTCATGATGATTGCATATGGAGCATCCTGAAGGTAAAGGCCATACATACGCCAATTATGATACTCCCTTTTGCAGGGGAAAGCCCACTTGTCCTTAACTTGATCTTAGTCACCTGCCATATTTTTGGTTAAAATCTTTACAGTATAGTTTTAGCTTGAGCCTCAGGTCCTCCAAAATAAATTATTTACAGGAAAAATAGTTTTAGCCTTTGGGGTGAATAGCTTTGAATGGTCTATTTAGGAGTTTTAACTTTGAAGCCATCTAAAATTTCGAAGTAGGAGAGTTAACAATTTATCAGACTTTTTATCTTAGGAAGATATTCTGATGTCAATACATAGAGTATATTAGAAGAGATAGGAGATGGATTATCACTTAGCCAACATTTGTTGAAAATCTACATGTGTTTGGCTTGTGCAAGACAATGGAAATGTATAGATGGAAGACACAGTCCCTGCATCTTACAATCAGTTAGGGGGAGACAATTATACTATGTCATAACTTTATTTAATTAGCAGTGTGTTAAGGGTAATTCAGTATGGATGGGAACATAGAAGAGACACTTCAGAAGAAGAGTTTCAGGGAAGGCCTCTTAGAAGAAGTGATAAATGAGTTCTTTCTAAAAAGTAAGTAGGCATTTATCAGGCAAAGAAGATAGGAAATATGTTTCTGTACCTTTCTAGGCAGAGAGAAGAGCACCTGTGTATATACTAGTTAAGGGTTTATTTTAATTATTAAGGTGAGAATTAATGAATGATATTTAAGAAGCAGAGTATGTAGCACTTGGTGAGTGAACACTGGTTATAAGGTTTTCTTTTCTTTTTTTTTGAGACAGAGTTTCGCTGTGTCGCCCAGGCTGGAATGCAGTGGCACAATCTTGGCTCACTGCAACCTCTGCCTCCTAGGTTCAAGAGATTCTCCTGCCTCAGCCTCTTGGGTAGCTGGGACTACAGGCACAAGCCACCATGCCTGGTAATTTTTGTATTTTTAGTAGAGATGGGGTTTCGCCATGTTGGCCAGCCTGGTCTCTAACTCCTGACCTCAGGTGATCCACCTGCCTCAGCCTCCCAAAGTGCTGGGATTACAGGTGTGAGCCACTGTGCCTGGCTGATGATAAGGTTTTCAGCCTGCCTTGATGATTGGGAAATGTTGGCATCATTGCAGGTATAGTAAACACACTAGGAGGTAAAGTTGGGCAAGTGATACTCAGTTTTGGATCTGTGGATTTTGAGTTACAGTGGGATATTCTCTTGGTTGTATTGTATGATGCATCTTGGGAAATTGATGTCAGTTTAGGAGTGACATTAGGGCTAGAGATTGAGATTTGGGATTCTCCATAGAAGGAGCAGCTAAAGCTCAGGTCCATGGGTAAGATGTTAAGAAAAACTGTGGAATGGAGAAGGACAAGAAAACTAGGGACAGAATTTGGAGAATAAGTCGATACTTTTTTCTTTTAAGCCAGAATCTAAATAAGGAATTTTAGGTTAGTTTCACCCACGTCCCCCACCCCTTATTCCCCACCCCCCACCCCACCATTCTATTTCAAGGAGAGAAAAGGATAAATAAGAAGGACATAAACATTTGTTAGTAGTTGATTATCGAAATCCCAAGGGACTGAAAGACTGCCTAGGGTCTTATAGCAATGCAAAATCAACAACAACAACAAAAATAAATAAAGAAGACTACATAGAGTCAAATGCAAATTTCATTTTGTTTAACTGTCAAGGTAGGAAGGTTTTTGACAAGGAGGGTTGCAAGCAAAAGTTTACTTAATGAATCAGTAAATGAGTTAGAATACCCCTCAGAATTCCAGGTAATTAAGATTTTACTTTGTAAACTCTTTGTTTTAGTTTGTATCTGTTTCATTTTTCATATTTAAATTGTGTATATTCAGAGTGCCCTTGATTTATAAGAAGTATATCCAATTTTCTCATGGGATATGTTAATAAAAGATTAAGGCTGGGCATGGTGGCTCATGCCTGTATTCTCGGCACTTTGGGAGGCTGAGGCAGGTGGATCACCTGAGGTCAGGAATTTGAGACTAGCCTGGCCAAGGTGAAACCCCATCTCCACTAAAAAAAAAAAAAATACAAAAAATGAGCTAGACATGGTGGCATGTGTCTGTGATCCCAGCTACTCGGGAGGCTGAGGCAGGAGAATCACTTCAACCCGGGAAGTGGAGGTTGCAGTGAGCTGAGATCACGCCACTGTACTCCAGCCTGGCAACAGAGTGAGACTCTGTCTCCAAAAAAAAAAAAAAAAAAGATTAAATACTTATACTAAAAAAGAATAGGTATGCTCTCATAGTCAAGGAGATGTGAATTTCTTATTTATCGCAAAGCTTACTTGGTTTCAGATATCTCTCTTAGACCAAGTACATGCAGAATTTAAAAGTCAGAGAGAAAATGAAACCAGATTGTTGAAAAATGGGAAAGGAAATAACTTTCATATAGCCATTTTATTATTATAGAAACTACTAAGTGGGTGTTTCATGGACTTTGGCAAGGAAATGCTGTGGCATTTTCCAACTCAGCCTCACTCTCTAAGTATCTCTGATGTCAAAGCTAACCGGAGTGGTTAGCATTGAAATTTTCACTTAAGTACAACAATGACAACAGCCACTGTTTATCAAGAACAATGCCAGGCATTCTACCTGGATTATCCGATTTACTCTTCATAACATTCTTGCAAATAGTGGTGGTTAAAAATGATAATAAAAGCTATAATTTGTCAAATGCTTAATTCGTTCCAAGCATCGTGCTATGTACTTTTTTTTTTTTTTTTTTTTTTTGGAGACAGTCTTGCTCTGTTGCCCAGGCTGGAGTGCAGTGGCACCATCTTGACTCACTGCAACCTCCGCCTCCTGGGTTCAAGTGATTCTCCTGCCTCAGCCTCCCGAGTAGCTGGGACTACAGGCGCCCACCACCATGCCTGGCTAATTTTTGTATTTTTAGTAGAGATTGGGTTTCACCATATTGGCCAGGCTGGTCTCGAACTCCTGACCTCAGGTGATCCACCTGCCTTGGCCTCCCAGAGTGCCAGGATTAGAGGTGTGAGCCACCGTGCCTGGCCCACTGTGCTGTGTATTTAATCTATTTATATTAATTTATTCTTTGTGGAAACTGTTTATGTTTGTAAGTAGACATCTTATTCTTCTATGAGATTCAGAAGAGTTAAGCAACTTGCCTTATGTCTTAACTGCTGCTAGTAAGACAGGATTCAAACTCAGCCTCTGATTCTAAAACCTATATTTTTTGCATTTTACTTACTGCCTCACTGTCATTTCAACTGGGTGGCAAAGGGGAACATTGACCTCCCTGGAGCTTATGACTGGTAACCAGGAAGTGTCACTGAAGTAAAATGAAGCAGAAGATTTAGGGCCACCTTGAACCAGAGCTGTGTTAGTCTGTACAGACCCCTTTTCAGAGTATGAGTGCCACCTGCTGGAAGGTTATGATGAATCTCATGTGTTTATAAAGAGCAGCTTCCAAAAGGCCTGTCGTAGGTGTGAAAGTGTCAACTTTCAAATACTAATTCTTAATTTACAGTTTTAGGAGTATTGGAACATTTTGGAATTAGGCAAATCTCCTATTTGCCATAAAACACCCTACTTCATTTACCTTCAGTTCTTTGGGAAGGGGAAAGAGGTGTTAAGACATTTTAAAAAATGATACTCAGTGCTTTCTAAAATAAAGTCGGTGATACTGTTCTCACTGAGGGGAAAGATTGATGGTCAAATGAATCACACTGTTACTTAAAAGAGATCAAAAAAGAATAGAAAATTGGATTTACTTTGAGATAAGTGAGTAATTGAAGTATAAGAGGATCTTTCCATTCAGAATGCCCTTGAAAAAGGAGTCAGGGACCCATGAGGGCATCATAGACTTGGAGAACAGAAAGTGAAAAGGGAAGAAAGATGTATACATAAAAATACGAATGGATTCTGGAATTTTTAGTCTAGTACAGACTCTCTAAATTGAGTCAGGATCTAGAGAAAGTTTAGAATTCTAACTGTAGATTATTTTACATTTAGGACAGTGAAAAGTGGACACTTTAAAAATAGCTACTTACATGCTTTGAAAGGAGCTCAGATAAAATATTGGCATGTTCATTGAACATTCTTCATTAGGCTCCAGTGGGATCATGTTACTATGCTGTGAGTATCTGGCATGGAAGATGTTATCATATAATATGAGACACAGGAAAATAATGGTCTACTTAATTGCTGTTTAAGTATGATTACACGTATTTGTAGTTGTATGATGTCATGTTGAACAAACATTTGTTAGACAAGAGATTAAAGTCCGTTGGTAAAATCTGATTTTGCCAAGAGATGGGGAAAGTACAAGTATGGCCATCTCCTTTCACTGTGTCCCTTCTCAGATAACCATGTAAAAAGAAGCTGAGATAGTATGATAGTGTCTTATTTTGGTAGGTGGATTTCTGGAAAGTTCTGTCTTCTGGTGTGTGTATGTATTTGTTTTTAAATTATAAGAGTAATGCTCATTGAAGAAAACTTGTAAAATAGAAAAAATAGAAATATAAATTATGCATAATCTCACACCCAGAAATAACTATTGTTAATGTTTTGGCATATTTCTGTTTGTTTTTTGTTTTTTTGAGACAGAGTCTCACTCTGGTGCCCAGGCTGAAGTGCAGTGGTGCGATCTTGGCTCACTGCAACCTCTGTCTCCCGGGTTCAAGCGATTGTCCTGCCTTAGTCTCTCGAGTAGCTGGGACTACAGGCATGCGGTACCACGCTCGGCTGATTTTTGTATTTTTAGTAGAGACGGGGTTTCATCGTGTTGGCCAGGCCAGTCGTGAACTCCTGATCTCAAGACATCAAGTGATCTGCCTGCTTCGGCCTCCCAGACTGCTGGCATTACAGGTGTGAGCCACCACGCCCAGCCCATTTTCTGTTATTTATATCTCTTTATATTTTATTTTATTTTATTTATTTATTTATTTTGAGACAGAGTCTCACTCTGTTGCCCAGGCTGGAGTGCAGTGGGACGATCTCTGCTCACTGCAACTTCTGCTTCCCAGGTTCAAGTGATTCTCCTGCCTCAGCCTCCTGAGTAGCTGGGATTACAGGCATATACCACCACACGTGGCTAATTTTTGTATTTTTAGTAGGGACGGGGTTTTGCCATGTTGTCCAGGCTGGCCTCGAACTCCTGGCTTCAAGTGATCTGTCCACCTCGGCCTCCCAAAGTGCTGGGATAACAGGTGTGAGCCACTGCACCCAGCCTGTGGTCCTTTTACATTATATCACAACGTTATAGTCTTTCCTCGAGTAATTAAAATATTTTAGTATATATATTTGAGGCTACAATATGTGGCTATTTACCATAATTTACTTATCAGTTTTCTTATTATTGAACATTTAGGTTGTTTACTGTTGTTGTTCATTTGTTTCTTTCAGTAAACAACAGTAGGAAAGTTAACTTCTTTGTTTTTTTCAGTAAACAGAGGTAGTGAATACACTCTTGTGTGATGTTTATCTAGAGCCTAGCATTTTCTTAGTAAACTGGCCTTGGACATAACTACTAATAAGGTTAATATCTGCTTCACTTGTGTTCCCCTGTGTCCCCTGTTCCTTTGTGTTATTTTCTTTAGGATTTTGTAGCACTTATTGTGCTCACAGCCCTTTCAGGAAATACCCTCATAGCACTCCTTTGCTCTTCGAATTATACACCAGGTTAAAGATCCCATCCTGAGATATTCAGAGCTGTGTTGCTGCTCTTTACCTCAAGCCAGCACTCTTATTCTTCTGGTAGAGTAGGTGCTAATTTAAAGAAGTCTTCCTTTTTAAGCCTAAAGTAAATGGAGCTTGTGGAGGCTTAGCGTCCCTGGAATAATTATTTTAGATATTGTCTATTCAATTTGTTGAAAACAAAATCATTTAAAACACCTTTTGAAAAAGAATAACTTATGAAAGGGTAGCAAAGTTTTATTAGGTTACAGGCCATTACTGGTTATTTTGTGAGTAAGAACCGGTTGAGTAGATTTAATTTATTTGACAAATATTTATTGAATGCTTATTATGTGCTAGGTACCATTTTATGCATTGGAGATATAAAGTCAACAAATACCTTTGCCTTCATGGAGCTTATATGTTAGTGGAGAGAGACAGACAATAAATAACATATAAACAGTTTCATGTCCATTTAATAGCTTCATGTCAGACAATAAACAGCTTCTTGTCAGTTTAAGTGACATATTTCTGTACAATGAGTATTAAATGATTGTTTTCAAAAAAGGTAAAATTATGACTGTTATACAGGTATAAGATGAACACATTTTAATGATTTTATTTAACTTTCTTTTTTTAAAAAAATTTTTTATGTTTTTAGAGACAGTTTTGCTCTTGTTGCTCAGGCTGGAGTGCAATGGTGTGATCTTGGCTCACTGCAACCTCCGCCTCCCAGGTTCAAGGGATTCTCCTGCCTCGGCCTCCTGAGTAGCTAGGATTATAGGCACCCACCACCACGCCTGGCTAATTTTTGTATTTTAGTAGAGATGGTGTTTCACCATGTTGGCCAGTCTGGTCTCAAACTCCTGACCTCAGGTGATCTGCCCTCTTTGGCCTCCCCAAGTGCTGGGATTACAGGCATGAGCCACTGTACCTGGACTTTTTTTTTTTTTTAGAGACAGGGTCTCACTCTGTCACCCAGGCTGGAGGGCAGTGGTACGATCATAACTCACTGCAGCCTTGAACTCGTGGGCTCAAGCAGTCCTCGTACCTCAGCCTCCCTAGTAGCTGGGACTACAGGCCTGCACCACCATGCCTGGATAATTTAATTTAATTTATTTTTTTGTAGAGATAGGGCTCTTGCTGTGTGACCAGACTAGTCTCAAACTCCTGGCCTTGAGTGGTCCTCCTGCCTTGGCCTCCCAAAGTGCTGGAATTACAAGTGTGAGCCACTACATCCAGCTTATTTAACTTTTTGAATGAAGGAACCAAGCTGGTATTATAGCCCATTCAAAGGAGAAACTTTAAAACAGGTACGTGTACAGATCAGGAATATTGAAATGGATATGCAAATTGAGGCAAAACCAGCTTCTTCCACTATTGGGGAGGGAAGTCAGTGAACCTCTACCGGACAGCACATAATTTGTATGCTTATAGTTGAGAATTATTCTGCATCGTTATCAGTTATGTGTAATGTACAGAGTTGTAAAATAGCTTCTCTAGAATCAGAATCAGGTAACTGAAAGGATGTGCCCCTAACAATGCATTTTTTTCTATTGAATTACAAATAATTTTTCTACCTGAGTTACTAGAAAGCTTTTGATTTTCTACAGTTTCTTTAGAATTGTAGATAAGGGATATAGAGTTATGGTATGTTTGAAAGTGTTAGTACTTGCAGAAAGATAAAGTGCAGAATGGTGGTTGCGATTTTAAATAGAAAGGCTAGGGAAGACTCACTGAGGAGGAGATATTTGGGAAAAGAGTTAAAGTAGATGAGGTTTTTGCCTGAATAACTGCAATGATGGAGTTGCTATTAACTGAGGCGAGGGAAGAGCAGTGGGAATAGAGGTACTGGAGGTACTGGAATAGAGGGTAGTGGAGGTAGAGAGCGCAACCTCAGTTTTGGCTTTTAGACATTCAAATGGAGCTCTTGAGGCAGCTGGATACACATAGCTGGTGTTCAGGGGAGATGGGTGGACTAGAGGTAAACATTTGGGAGTTAATGCATATGGGTGACATTTAAAGCCCGCAGACTAGATGAGATCACTTAAAGAGCTCTTTCAATGTGTCAGGCATTGTGCTAGTCCCTAGGAATATAGAAATAAATTTTAAAATGTCTTTCTGGGCTAGTGTGGTGGCTCACACCTGGAATCCTAACATGTTGGGAGGCCGAGGCAGGAGGATCACTTGAAGCCAGAAGCTCAAGACTAGCCTGGACAACAAAGTGATACCCCATTTCTACAAAAAAATAAAAAAATCAGCTGGGCATGGTGGCTCACAGCTGTAGTCTCAGCTACTGAAGCTAAGGCAGGAGGATGGCTTGAGCCCAGGAGTTTGAGGCTGCAGTGAGCTATGATCGTGCCACTGTACTCCAGCCTAGGAGACAAAGTGAGATCTTGTCTCAAAATAAATAAGTTAGTAAGTAAAAATTGTATTTGTCTTCAAGAACCTTATGGTCTAATGCAGGAGGAGGGCAGGGGAGAGATGCAAACAGTTAAAACATTGAAAGATACTCTAATATAATTCAGTGAGGCCAAATCTGAGAGTCATAAAACATGTACAGAAGGTAATCAAAGGGTGGTACCTTTTCTAACAGCTGGCTTCTCCACTGACCCATTTACCCTACCATGTTGCCAGTGATACTAGAGAACCTCAATGGTGACACTTCTTCTTCTTCTTCCTTTTTTTTTTTTTTTTTTTATGTTGAGATGGGGTCTCTCTCTGCTTCCCAGGCTGGAGTGCAGTGGCGCGATCTCGGCTCACTGCAAGCTCCGCCTCCCAGGTTCATGCCATTCTCCTGCCTCAGCCTCTGGAGTAGCTGGGACTACAGGTGCCCACCACCACGCCCAGCTAATTTTTTTTTGTATTTTTAATAGAGACGGGGTTTCACCATGTTAGCCAGAATGGTCTCGATCTCCTGACCTCGTGATCCACCCGCCTTGGCCTCCCAAAGTGCTGGGATTACAGGCATGAGCCACCGCGCCCTGCCAATGGTGACACTTCTGCATGGCTTACAAGGCTCCTTTTATATGGTCTTTGCCTCATCTCTTGCTTTGATTCCTTAGACCTGTTCATAGTGACAGATGATCAGTTAAGGATTTTTGAAATATCACTCCTGGCTGCAGAGTGAAAGGTGAATTAGAAGAAGTAACAAAATAGATATAGGTAACATTAGTTTGCTATTTCTTTGCCTCAGTCGGCCTTCATGTTGATATTTAGTGACTTATAGAAACCCATAGGGTAGAAAAAGCATAAGAGGTACACAGAAATAGAAAGTGCATATTGACGCTCTAGAAAATGCAAATTTGGGGATTAGGGAAGAATTTCTAGTAAATGCATGTAGTTATAAACTTTACACTCTTCCCTCTTACACAGGCAGACTTTAGAGATATTGCAAGTTTGGTTCCAGACCACTGCAGTAAAGCAAATATTGTAATAAAGCAAGTCACTCAAAGTTTTTGGTTTCCCAGTGAAGTCATATTTATTATACTATAGTTTACAGTATAAATATACACTGCTATAAGTGTCCAGTAGCATTATGTATAAAAATGTATATATCTTAATTAAAAAATACATTATTGCTAAAAGGTGCTAATGATTATCTAAGCCTTCAGTGAGTCATAATCTTTTTGCTGGTGGATGGTCTTGCCTCAGTATTGATGGCTGCTAACTGATTAGAGTGGTGGTTACTGAAGGCTGGGGTGGCAATTTCTTAAAGTAAGACAATAATACAGTTTGCTGCATCAATGAACTCTTCCTTTCTTGAAAGATTTCTCTGTAACATGCAATGCTATTTGATAGCATTTTACCCATATTAGAACTTCTTTCAAAATTTGAGTCAGTCCTCTCAAACCCTGCCACTACTTTACCAACTAAGTTTATGTAATATTCCAAATTATTTGTTGTTACTTCAGTGGTGTTTACAGCATCTTCACCAGGAGTAGATTCCATCTTAGGAAATCACTTTCTTTGCCCATCCATAAGAAGCAACTCCTTATCCAAACCTGTTTGATCATGAGATGGCAGAAATTCAGTTAATCCTCAAGCTCTACTTCTAATTGTTGTTCTCTTGTTATTGCTACCACATCTCATTTACTTCCTCCACTGATACCTTGAACTCCTCAAAATTATCCATGAGGGTTGGAATCAACTTTTTCCACATTCCTGTTAATGTTGATGCCTTGACCTCCTTGAAGGAATCATGAATGTTTTTAATGGCATCTAGAATGGTGAATCCTCTCTACAAGGTTTTCAATTTACTTTGCCCAGATCCATCCGAGAAATCACAATCTATGGCAGCTATAGCTTCATGAAATGTATTTGTTAAAGAATAAGACTTGGAAGTCAAAATGACTTCTTGATTCACGGGCTGCAGAATGGATGTTGTGTTAGCAAACAGGAAAGCAGCATTAATCTCCTTGTACATCTCAATCAGAGCTTTTGGGTGACCAGGTGCATTGTTAATGAGCAGTAATCTTTTGAAAGGAATCTTTTTTCTAGGTAGTCAGTCCGAATAGTGGGCTTAAAATGTTCGGTAAGCCATGCTGTCAACAGATGCACTGTCATCTAGGCTTTGTTGTTACATTTATGGAGCACAGGTAGAGTAGATTTAGCATAATTCTTTTTTTTTTTTTTTTTTTTTTGAGATGGAGTCTCATTCTTGTTGCCCAGGCTGGAGTGCAATGGCACGATCTTGGCTCACCACAACTTCCGCCTCCCAGGTTCAAGTGATTCTCCTGCCTCAGCCTCCTGAGTAGCTGGGATTACAGGCATGCGCCACCACACCCGGCTAGTTTTGTATTTTTCGTAGAGGCAGGATTTCTCCATGTTGGTCAGGCTGGTCTCGAACTCCCGACCTCAGGTGATTCACCTGCCTCGGCCTCTCAAAGTGCTGGGATTACAGGCGTGAGCCACTGTACCCGGCCATTTAGCATAATTCTTAAGGGTCCTAGGATTTTCAGAATGGTAAATGAGCATTGGCTTCAACTTCAAATCACCAGTTGCGTTAAACCCTAGTAAGATAGTCAGCCTGTCCTTTGAAGCTTTGAAACCAGGCGTTGACTTCTCTCTAGCTATGAAAGTCCTACACGGAATCTGTTTCCAATAGAATTCTCTTTTGTCTACATTGAACATCTGTTGTTTAGTGTAGCCATCTTCATCAATGATCTTAGCTAGATCTTTTGGATAACTTGCTGTATCACCTTGCACTTTTATGTTATAGAGGTGACTTCTCTCCTTAAGCCTCATGAACCAACCTCTGTTAGCTTCAGCCTTTTCTTCTGCAGCTTCCCCACCTCTCTCAGCCTTCACACATTGAAGAGAATTAGGGCCTTGTTCTGGATTAGGCTTTGTCTTTTTTTTTTTTTTTTGAGACAGAGTCTCGCTGTGTCGCCCGGGCTGGAGTACATTGGCATAATCTCAGCTCACTGCAACCTCTGCCTCCTGGGTTCAAGTGATTCTCCTGCCTCAGCCTCTCGAGTAGCTAGCATTACAGGTACCTGCCACTACGCCCAGCTAATTTTTTCTATTTTTAGTAGAGACGGGGTTTCACCATGTTGGTCGGGCTGGTCTTGAACTCCTGACCTCGTGATCCACCTACTTTGGCCTCCCAAAGTGCTGGGATTATAGGCGTGAGCCACCTCGCCCAGCCAGCTTTGTCTTAAGGTAATGTTGCAGCTAGTTTAATCTTCTATCCAGATCACTAAAACTTTCTCCCTATCCACAATAAGGCTGTTTTGCTTTCTTATCTTTGTGTGTTCAACAGAGTAGAACTTTTAATTTCCTTCAAGAACTTTTTCTTTGCATTCACAACTTGGCTAACTGGTGCAAGAGGCCTAGCTTTCAGCCTGTTTGAACTTTCAGTGTGCCTTCCTCAGTAAGCTCAATCATTCTAGCTTTTGATTTAAAGCAAGAGATATGTGAGATTCTTCCTTTCACTTGAACAGTTGGAGGCCATTGTAGTTTTATTAGTTGGCCTGATTTCAATATTACTGTTTCTCAGACAATAGAGAGGCCCGAAGAGAGGGAGAAAGATGGGGGAACAGCTGGTGGGTGAGGCAATCAGAATACACACAACATTTATAGATTAAGTTTGCCATCTTATGTGGGTGCAATTTGTGATGCTTCAAAACAATTACAATAGTAACATGAAAGATCACTGATCACTGTAACAGATATAATACTGAAAAAGTTTTAAATGTTGTAAGAATTACCAAAATGTGACACAGAGACATTAAGTGAGCTTCATGCTGTTGGAAAAATGGTGCCAGTAGACTTGGTTGATGCAGGGTTGCCACAAACCTTCTACTTGGGAAAAACACAGTATCTGTGAAGCAACGAAGTAACTATCTGTATGACATATGGAAAGGAGACCTAGGCCAGGCACAGTGGTTTACACCTTGTAATCCCAGCACTTTGGGAGGCTGAAGTGGGAGGATTGCTTAAGGCCAGGAGTTCGAGACCACATTAAAAGAGGTGATCTAGAAATACCATGCTACTGTAAAAAAGAACAAGAAATATTATTTTTATTTTTTTCTTTAAAAAAATTTTTCTTTTATACCAAATCACTTCTCACCTGAAGGAAGTATTTCTAATATTGATATTGTCCTAATATTAATGGCAAACTTAATCTATAAATGTTGTGTGTATTCTGATTGCCTCACCCACCAGCTGTTCCACCAGCCTGGACAACGTAGTGAGACTCTATCTCTACAAAAAAAGTTTTTTTTTTTTTACAAAAATGACCTATATGGTGGTTCCTCAAAAAATTAAACATAGAGTTACCATAGGATCTAGCAATTTCACTTCTGGGTATATATACAAAGGAATTGAAAGTGGGGATTCAAATAGTTATTTATACACCAATATATAGAGAACATTATTCATAATAACCAAAAGGTAGAACACCCTAAATGTCTGTTGAGGGGCAAATGGACAAACGAAATATGGTCTATACATACGATGTAATAGTATTCAGCTTTAAATAGGAATGAAATTCTCATACATGCTACAACACAAATGAACCTTGAAGACATTATATTGTGTGAAAAAAAGGCAGACACAAGTGGGCAGACACTGTATGGTTCCACTTATATGAGCTACATACCAAGAACAGTCAAATTCATAGAGACATAAATTAGATAATGGTTATCAGGAGCTGGGGGTAGGGGGCAACCTGGAGATATTATTTAATGGTATAGATTTTCATTTTGGGATGAAAAAGTTCTGGAAATACACAGTGATGATGGTTGTACTTAATCCCATTGAACTAGTATAAGTAGTGGGATTAAGTAAATATACTAAGTATATCTAGTATACTTAAAAATGGTTGAAATGGTAAATTTTACATTATGTATATATTTTACCACATTAAAAGAGGTGATCTAGAAATACCATGCTACTGTAAAAAAGAACAAGAAATATTATTTTTATTTTTTTCTTTAAAAAAATTTTTCTTTTATGCCAAATCACTTCTCACCTGAAGGAAGTATTTCTAATATTGATATTGTCCTAATATTAAGAGATTTCCAAGATAGAGTAAGGGTAAGAAAACAAACAAAGTGCAGAACAGTGTGTATATTATGCTATCTTTTGTGTAAACAATGGAGGATAAAATATATATTCATATTTGTTTTTATTTGCATTAAGAAACATTGCAAGGAAAATAAGCAATTAATAAAAGTTGTTACCTCCAGGGAAGCAAGAGGAGTGGTAGTGAGACATTTCAATATATAACCTTGTATATACTTTGATTTTTGAACCATATGAATGTATTATCTAGTCAAAACAAATTTTTTAACACAGGACTTAAAATGAATTTATTCTAGTGGGATCAACAATTGGAAGTCACAGAAAATGTAGTTTTTTAGAAGTGTTGATTAAATATTGCTACTGTGACAACCACTTTCCCAGACAAGTGAGGTCCAGGAATCAGGGATCTGTGCCAGTGTTGGGTGTTTCAAGAGCCTGGTTTAGATGCGGAAGTGGAGTTCTACTTTCCCATCTACTTCAGGCTGCAAAGAGAACATATTTTGCATAGGTAATAAAGGCAAACTCTCTACGTTCATCAATATCAAGGAGTCAGAAAGAAGGAGACAGTCATTGTGCCTGGGGTGAAGTCTCTTGCCACAGTGTAAGTGCTTCAAGGCTGGCCATAGCAATGGGGTCATTAAAAACAGGGTTTGCCAGAGCCAGAGATCCTGAAGTGTTCAAAATGGCAAACTCTCTAGATTTTGGGAGGCCAAGGTGGGCAGATCACTTGAGGTCAGCAGTTTGAGACCAGCCTGGCCAACATGGTAAAACCCTATCTCTACTAAAAATACAAAAATTAGCCGGGCATGGTGGTGCGTACCTGTAATCCCAGCTACTCAGGAGGTTGAGGCAGGAGAATTGCTTGAACCTTGGAGGCGGAGGTTGCAGTGAGCTGAGATTGTGCCATTGCATTCCAGCCTGGGCAACAGAGCAAGACACTGTCTAAAAAAAAAAAGTTACTAAAGTTATTAGAATGGGTAAGCAGTTTATTTTTCTCTGCCTCATTGATCTATTTATATGTCTGTCTTCCTTACCACATTGTGGGAATTGAAGACATGAACTTTAGCTGTAGTGGAAAAAGCATGGACTTTGCAATCAGGCAGATCTATTTAAGTCCAAACCCCTTCTCTTTCTAGCTATTTGACTTTGGTCATGTTATTTTTATCACACTGAGCCTTGGGTTCTGTGTGCATCATAAAATTGTTCTAAAGATTAAGTGAGAGAAAAACATTTGTATATAATCATCTTGCACATATAAAATATTCAAGGGAAGTTTTGTCTTTCCCTTTTTGCATCTTTCACAGAGCTTTACATTTAAAAGGTATTCAAAATATTTATTAAATTGAATATGTTTCTCTTTACCTGTGAAATCTGAACCCTGTTTAAGGACAGCCTGAGGGAGGCATATTTCTAAGGCTTTTACCTTGAGCAATAATGTCATTGTTGCTAAATATTTTATCAAACAGCTGTCTGTTATGCGCAAAGTGCTGTTTCTGCTTGCTGCTCTGGTCTATCTTTCCTACATATCGTCAGAGTCCAGCTTAAAGCTTTTACTTTGTGAAGTCCTATTTCTTTTTTTCTGTTTACAGGACCTGTTCTCAACTTCAGTTTTTATAAGTGGGCATGACAGTCATTCCCTTATACTCACTACTCTTCAAAAAAAAACCCTCAACCACATACTCTAGGGATGGATAAGTACAGGGATTGTTAAATATCTTTCCTTGTTTTGTCGCCTGTTTCTTGAGCACCAATACAGTGCTAGGGTAGATATAAGCAGTATTAATACATGAGTCCTGCCTCCCAAGGAACAGTTTCTTTAGTAAAAAAGATATGCATGTACAAAAATGTAATTAATTATTTAATGATATGATATTACTTTTGTTTGCTGTTTTACATTTTACCATTTAAAATCCTATTTTTAAAAACACATTCCTGCTTGCAGTCTCTGACAAGAAAGAAAGTAAAACAAAACAAAACAGATATACCTAAGCACATAGAAAAAGGATTGGAAAGATATGCACCAAGATATTGACAGAGCTTATCTCTGAATGCCAGTATTTTGGGTGGTATTTTTTTCTTTCATTTTGCTTACCTGGATTCTCTAGATTTTCAGAAATTTCGTTTTGAAGTTATAAGACATTCATCATTTCCCCCTCCTTGCTAACACAACAGTGACCCCTCTCTTTCTTTTGCATTCAGCTTTTGCGAGAATTGAAGCACCCTAATGTGATTGCATTGCAGAAGGTGTTCCTTTCTCACAGTGACAGGAAGGTATGGCTGCTGTTTGATTATGCAGAGCATGACTTGTGGGTAAGTATAATCTCACTGTATTTCTAGGATTGTTTTATATAGGTATGGAGCATATTTATATAAAATACATATTGTTAATGCACAGAAAGGAAAGCTTGCTCTGTTAGCCATATTTCAAAGTCAATATAAACATAAATGTTGATTTTGAAGAATTTAAGCAATAAACTCACATTTTACTGAGAAGATAGTATTTGTAATATTTAGAAATTTTACTTCAGAAAGATTTTAATGAATGGGAGACTATACTTTTTTTGGCCCGGGGGAGACGAACGGGGAAGGGAGTTTTGCTCTTGTTGCCCAGGCTGGAGTGCAGTGGCACGATCTTGGCTCACTGCAACCTCTGCCTCCCAGGTTCAAGCGATTCTCCTGCCTCAGCCTCTTTAGTAGCTGGGATTATAGGCATGCACCACCATGCCTGGCTAATTTTGTATTTTTAGTAGAGACGGGGTTTCTCCATGTTGGTCAGGCTGGTCTCGAACTCCCAACCTCAGGTAATCTGCTCACCTCGGCCTCCCAAAGTGCTGGAATTACAGGCGTGAGCCACCATGCCTGGCGGGAGACTATACTTTTATGCAAGTAATTAATGGCAGTTTACTAATATGTATAGTGAAGATTGCTTTAAGGATGTTTTTATCAACGTATGAAAGAAGCAAAAAATTCTAATTCCTGTCTTTTCAAATTAGGAATCAGAACATTTAAACACTTTATCTGAGGAACTGCTAAAAGTAACAAACTTCAAATCTGGCACTAAGTTAAAATTATGGATAATTAATTTAGCACCACTATGCCTGGCTAATTTTTCAAAAATGTTTTATAGAGACAAGGTCTTGCCACCTTGCACAAGCTGGTCTTGAACTCCTGGGCTCAAGTGATTTTCCTACTTTGGCCTCTCAAACTGTTGAGATTATAGGCATGAGCCATCACACCCAGCCTTTTTTGTTTGTTTGTTTGTTTGAGACAGGGTCTCGCTCTATCACCCAGGCTGGAGTGCAATGGCACAGTTATGGTTCACTGCACCTTTGACCTCCTGGGCTCAAGCGATCCTCCTGCCTCAGCCTTCCAAGTAGCTGGGACCACAGGTGCATGACCACACCTGACTAATAAATTTTGATTTAATATAATGTGGTTTGTCATCTATATAAGTTATAAATCTGTTGAGGAATAACTTTAACAGACTCAGGTCTTAAAGAAACTTTCAGAGTGTATGCTATTATAGCAGATATGGACAAGAATTTCCAGTGTGTTTTTTTTGTTCAATTCTTTTCATGGATATTCACAGACATTGTATTTTCTCCATTTTTCTATATTCCCCTATATGTCAACCAAGGCTTACTGGACAGTGTATGTACTTTACTTTGAACATCAGTGGGGTGATGAAAGAAGATGATGTTGTACATTGGAATAGTCAGATCCTGTAGAACTGTACTGTCCAATACCATATTTCAAAATAAATATAATCATAAATGTTGATTTTAAAGAACTTAAGCAATAAACTGACATTTTACTGAGAAGATAGTATTTGTAATATTTAGAAAATTCACTTCAGAAGTATCTGAAGTGCACACATTGATTTTACCTGTTTCTTTTTTTTTTTTTTTGAAACGGAGTTTCACTTTTGTTGTCCAGGCTGGAGTGCAGTGATGCAATCTCAGCTCACTGCAACCTCCGCCTTCTGGGTTCAAGTGATTCTCCTGCCTCAGCCTCCTGTGTAGCTGGGATTACAGGCATACACCACTACGCCCAGCTAATTTTGTATTTTTAGTAGAGACGGGGTTTCACCGTGTTGGTCAGGCTGGCCTTGAACTCCTCACCTCAGGTGATCCACCTGCCTCGGCCTCCCAAAGTGCTGGGATTACAGGTGTGAGCCACCACACCCAGCCTCTTTTTTAATGTAGCTGTTAAAAAGTGGAAAGTTATACATGTGGCTCCCAGTATATTTCTACTGGAAATCACTGCTGTAGTATAAACTCTATTTTTCTATTATTTCTTAAAATCAAATCAATGTTATTACTGAACAGTTTATAAAAATAAAAAAGCTGTATAAATAGCTTAATAATTTTACATACCATTTGGTCATCTTAAAGTTACTGGAGCGCTATTGACAATTTCATCAGTATTGTTTGCATAGGATTTTGATGGTCCTCAGTGTCCATTTTATGTTTTGGACAGAGGCAGGGGTGGGGTAGGGATGGAGGTGGAGGTGGGAGCACTGCGGGGGCAGGTAGCATTTTTTCCCTTTCAGTACAATGTTTTTATAACCCACAATATAACGTGGATATAAAAATTTGAATATGGTGACCCAGTTGTATTTATTTCAATGGGATCGAATTTCCTATTTTTTCTCTCTCTTCCTTTTTAGCAATTTCATATTTAACATTAACTCCTAGGAATATATTCTAATTTATTCTGTGCCAAAGATGAAACTTTTCCAATAATTCAAATATACACCTGATCAGTGATGTTACCCAAGTGTACTAAGTGCTAACTTTTTATAGAAAGTGAAGATTTACAGTTTTTCTTTCTTTTTTAAATCTTTCATTCTGTCAGTAGAGAATATAATACTCTTCTTCAGCAGCTGTTTCAATATCAGTCCTTTTTACCTTTTGGTCCTATTTAATGAAAATCTTAATGGTTTCAGTAAATTTAGTCATTATAACCCCTCATTAACATGGTCACAGTCACCCTCAAAATAGATTGTTTTGGTTGAACTTATTACTCAAATTATTTTTCTTTGTGTCATTATTGGCCTTTAATAAGTAATTTTAAAATATAGAGCATTTGTTACAGCATTGATTGTGTTTTATTGGCATAGATATTAGCAAAGACTATATTATTATGTTTTTTTTTAATTTTTAGCATATTATTAAGTTTCACCGTGCATCAAAAGCAAATAAAAAGCCCATGCAGTTGCCAAGATCTATGGTTAAATCCTTACTTTACCAGATTCTTGATGGTATCCATTACCTCCATGCAAATTGGGTGCTTCACAGAGACTTGGTAAGTATTTTTCTTTTAAATTCATCAATATGTTTTTCCCTACTCTTTTAAAAAATATATTTTCTTCTTGGTACCATTATAATAAAACATTAATTATAGAAAAACTTGAAAATATACATAAGCAAAAAAGAAGATAAAAATCACCCATAAACCTATAATAAAAAGATTAACACTATTTAACATTTGGTGGGTATCATTCCATTATATTTATGCATAGCTGTAAAATATCAGTGTGATTTTGAACAAATGATTACTGTACAATTTTAATGGAGTAGTCACATGTGAAGCATGCACATTTCAATCCAATTTGTTCTTCATATTATTGCTCATCATTAGTAAAAATGTAATTAATACTGAGTTCTCATTTTTCTTTCCCTTAAGATCTAAACTGAAATAATGACATTGCATCTAGTAAAAAGAATGTTATCAATATTAATAAACAAATGAATAAATAAATCTAACAGGTGGTATATACTTATTAGGCAAATTAGCTGCAAGTTAGTGTTTGATTTTACTTTTTTTTATTCAGTATACATGTAACCATTATTTACTGATATCAGATTATATTGCTAGATATTCATCTTCACATTGTTGTTATTTTAGTTTATGTTGATGCAAGTTTCTTTTGTTTGTTCTTAAGAAGATATGGTTATGGAATAGCTGTAATCCTCATTTTCTCCTCAGTTTATGTTGGAGGTTTTATTTTGGCCCCACAACGTGATTTCATGATCTTTTGTTTCTTAGGCTTTTGAGAATTCTGGGGATATGGTAGGGATACATCTAGGTAAATTCCATTTTATTAACTGATGAGCAGTGTTTATTGACGAAAGGATCTAGTTAGTATCCGTTGGGACCTTGTCAGTCAGGGCTACTCATCTGACTTGACCATTCTTGCTGTGATATTGTATAAATTGGGGTTAAATGATAGTGACCACAAAAGATGCATTTACCATATTAATGGAAGCATTTCTCCTTATAATTTTTTTTTTTTTTTTTTTTTTTTTTTTTTGAGACAGAGTCTCTCTCTGTCGCCCAGGCTGGAGTGCAGTGGCGCCATCTCGGCTCACTGCAACCTCCGCCTCCTGGGTTCAAGCAATTCTCTGCCTCAGTCTCCCAATTAACTGGGATTACAGGCACCCACCACTATGCTGGGCTAATTTTTTTTTTTTTTTTGTATTTTTTAGTAGAGACAGGGTTTCACCATCTTGGCCAGGCTGGTCTTGAACTCCTGACCTCGTGATCCACCCTCCTCGGCCTCCCAAAGTGCTGGGATTACATGTGTGAGCCACCGTGCCCAGCCTCTCATAATTTTTAACTGTAAGATTCTTTGAGGCTTCCATGTGTCCACTTTACTATTAGCTCTGAATCAGCATGTTTTAAAATGATTATTGGGCTGGGTGTGGTGGCTCATGCCTGTAGTCCCAGCACTTTGGAAGGCCGAGGTGGGTGGATCACTTGAGCTCAGGACTTCGAGACCGGCCTGGGCAACATAGCAAAACCCCATCTCTAACAAAAAATAGAAAAATTGGCTGGGCGTGGTGTGCTCCTGTGGTCCTCGCTGTTTGGAAGGCTGAGGTGGGAGGATGGCTTGAGCCTGGGAGGTGGAGGTTGCAGTGAGCTGAGATCACTGCAAACTCTGCCTGGGCAACTGAGCCAGACCGTATCTCAAAACAAATAAACAAAAAGATTATTGGGTACATGATGTTGTTCTAGATCATGAGAAGAACTCTTTCATAAACGGGCTTTTAGATTTTAATCTGCTGTGCACTTAATGAAACTTATGCAGGTTATATTTTTGAGGTTATGTTCATGTTTGAATCATTGATCAGAATCTTTTATTGAAGATTAATTTATCTGAGCTCCTCTCTCTTTTTCATAAAATTCTATATTTTGTTCTAAACAGCATAGCTTAACATATTTTATTCATGATATTGTCACCTGAATGTCCACTGATACCAAAATTTAGTATGCCCAGGACTCAGTTTCCTCCCATTCAGATTTGCTGCTGCTTTAGTGTCCTCTCTTTTGGTTATGGCACCACCCTCTTCCTAGCCTAGAAATTTATTTTACCTCTTTGCAGACCCTTCTTTGCACTCCACATTCAGAACTTGTCAAGTTCTTTCAGTGTTGTCTCTAAAATATGCCTTGCACTCATCTATTTTCATCTCTAGTCCTCATTCCTAGTTCAGGCTTTTATTACCTCTTTCTTGCATTGTGATACTAGCCTCTATACTTGTCTGTTGTCAACAATCTGTTTCCCTTCCAATCTACTTTCGACCTTCTGACTAATTACTCAGCTCCTGCTCAAGAACTTTGAAATAGTTCCTCATTGCTTACAGACTAAAACTCTACTTCCTTATTTGGCTTTCAGAGTTTTACCAATTATAACTTTAACTGCCTTTAAAATTTTTCTCTATCCCTGTCATCTTTCATGTATACTTTACTACTGAACTATTGAGTGTTCCCTGTCTCCTCCTGGGATTTCCTGCCTTAATGGCCTTTATTTCCCCTATCTTAAAACCCCTTATCCCTGTCTCAACATATTCAAATACTATCTGTCTTTCAGGGCCCAACACAAATGTTAATTAAAACTTACCCTCATATCCATGTCTACTTGGAACCAATCTCTTCTTGTTGTTGGTTCCTGTTGTACTGCATCTTTACTTCTGTTATGGCATTTATCTATTAGTATTATAGCAGTTTAGAGATCTCTTAGAACATCTCGTAGCCTGTGAACTTCTTGAGAGAGCAAGATCTATGTCTGACTCTTTTTGTACACTACTGCCCCTGTACACAATAGGTGTTGAGGAAGTATTTCCTCAGTGAATGAGTATTAGGGAGAATAGTACTGACATTTTGGGGATCAGGCATTTGAATACACTATCCTTAATGAACATTTTTTGTTTTCTTGTATGTGTAAAGCACAGAGGGATGGGAACAACACAAATATGACCATGTCAAACACCTTCTTCTCAAGGAGCCTTGAAGAAATATGACATACACACAAACAATTATACTATAAGATAGATGAGAGAGAATGTGATTGTAGCTACATGAGAAGTACAGACTGAATCTATGCAAGGCCAGAAGAGCTTCTGAGTAGGGGATAAGGGTAAGTTTGAAAGAGCAGGTTGCATTTGAGCTGGACTTTGAAGGATGACTAGAATTTAAATAGAGACTTGGGTGATGAGGGTAACCCAAGGGAGTTTTAGATGTAAAACTTCTGAGGTAAAGAAGCACTTGGATTATCTCAGAAAGGATGTGCAGTTCTGGTTGGCTCAAATATGGATAAGCTGAATTGCAGTAATGTGAGGTCATGCTCAGAAGATATGGGTTGGAGCCTACTAGAGTTAGAGAGTTTTTGGGGTCTTTTTGTTTGTTTAAGTACTGACAGTTTGTGAGCAACAGAATGATTTTTTCCCCCACTAGAAAAGCCACCACTGATTATTATTACCTCATCAATGGCATGAACACAATGTTGAAAATGCATTCTGAATATGGTTCTTACGTAGTATAGCACTGGTTTATATTTTACCCACACATTTACTGAATGCCTCCAACTCCTCAAGTGAGTAACTCTAATAAGATTTGAAATTTTGAACTGACTGGGCATGGTGGCTCATGCTTGTAATTTCAGCATGTTCGGAGGCCAAGGCAGGAGGATCACTTGAGCCCAGGAGTTCAAGAGTAGCCTGAGCAACATAGTGAGTCCCCATCGCTACAAAAAATAAAAAATTAACTGGGTGTGGTGGTGCATACCTGTAGTTTCAGCTACTGAGGAGGCTGAAGTGGGAGGACTGCTTTAGCCCAGGAGGTCAAGGCTGCAGTGAGCCACGATTGTGCCACTGCGCTCCACTCCAGCCTTGGGCAACAAATTGAGACCCTGTCTGAAGAAAAAGAAACTTTGAACCAACAGGAATCTAGTCTGTGATAGCCTCTTCAATTCTTGATTCACTAATCTTGAGTCCTGATATCTGTGCCATATTGTCATGGTTTTGCCAAAGTACTTTCAGGAGTAGATTTAAACTGTATGCTTGCTTTATAAATACATTCTGTAGTAGATACAGAAATATAAAGTATATGAAATATGAATATGGTCTTAAAAAGAGGATGATGGAGACATTTGAAAAATTATGTTTTGTGAGTTTAAGAGTTGCTGTTGTAGTCAGTGACTAGTTTTGTTTTTCTTAATGCTTCATTTTCTATTGCTGTAAGAAATTTGGCTTGACACTATTTGATAGTCACAACTGAGTGCTCACCATCTCTAAATTTCATTTGATGTGAGAAACCTGGAAAATCCATATAATTAAATGTGTTAGAGTAAATATAAATTTACAGTATAATATAAAAAATTTAAAGTAAATAAAAGTCAGTGTTTTGGACATCACACACAGAGGCATTACATCATCATAAAGGTTGGTGTTTTTCATTATGATTGATTTTATATCTGAATCAATATTTTAATTATGTCATTCGAATCCTAGAATTTAATACAGAAATAGAGAATGTAAATAAAGTCACCAAAAATAACTTAAAATGAAGAATTGCTTTAAAAGGAAAGGAGAAAGAGAGCTAAATATGTTCATCTTGGCTGAGAGACAGTGAAGTAGAGGCATAAGTCTATAAATATTTGGAACTTGTAAACACCAAGGGAGAAAAGATGTATTTTAATTTTATAGCAGGATATAGCTAAGAGTAAGAAAATGAAATATAGGATGACTCATTTTTATGGGATTACTATTTTGGTAGATTGGAAGAATGCCAAGATATAGTTTATCTCTTTTTCAAAATTATGAGCTTCTTGAGAGCAAGGTTCATATCTCAATAATTTTTGTAGTCCCAGCATTGGCATATTGTTTGTGCTCATAAGTTATTTGAATTGAATTTCAGCAAGGCATCTGGCAATTTCACATTATTCTTTAGCAATGATAGAGAAATGCCAGCTAAATGATAATATTATTAAGTGGATTTATGACTCCTTCATTTCAGAATCTTGCTACTAGATCAGTGATATAAATTGAACTATCAGTTAGACTATTTCTTTTTCATTATCATATCCCAGAACCTAGTACACAATAAGCACGAAGTCTTTATTGAATGAAGGATTTGAATGAATGCTTTAGGGTCTCAACCTTAGGTCTGTCTTTTAAAAAATATGTGTGGAGGCCAGGTGTGGTGGCTCATGCATGTAATCCCAGCACTTCAGGAGGCCAAGGCGGGTGGATCACCTGAGGTCAGGAGTTTGAGACCAGCCTGGACAATATGGTGAAACCCTATCTCTACTAAAAATACAAAAATTAGCTCGGTGTGGTGGCACATGCCTGTAATCTCAGCTACTCGGGAGGCTGAGGCAGGAGAATCGCTTGAACCTGGGAGGCAGAGATTGCAGTGAGCCGAGATCGTGCCACTGCACTCCAGCCTAGGCAATAGAGCGAGACTCAGTCTCCCCCCCCAAAAAATAAAAATACAAATAAATAAATAAAATGTGTGGAGTTGCCATCCCAAAGCTCTTTTCACATTAGTGGGTGAATTTGCAGTCTTTTGAAGTCTGTGGGCACAAATAAGTATATGATCTGCAAACATGGTACAGTATATCAAAATTTTGTGAGATCCAGTTGAGAGAGAAAATAATTTTGTATCCAGGAATCTTTTGGCTTTTATTGTTAATTAACAGCTATTAAAATGTCTAGTAGCTGTTACTTCTGTCACAGAAGTAAAAACTTATTCTATTAGAGGTCTATCCGAATGAAGTAACAAAAAACCTTGCCAATACTTTGAGTCAGATATGATTTCTTCATCTGATTAAAGGAAATGATGCAAACTGGGTAGGGTGGCACATACCTGTAGTCCCAGCTACTCCAAAGGCTGAGGTGGGAAGATTGCTTGAGGCCAGTGGTACAAGGCTGTAGTGCGCTGTTTGTATCTGTGAATAGCCACTATACACCTGTCTGGCAACATAGTGAGACCCCATCTCTAAATAAATAAAATAAAAAAGAAATGTTGCAATAGATATTCTAGTTGCAGAGGAAAGTACAGATATTCCCCAATTTTTCATAGAATTACATCTCATTGGAACCATCATAAGTTGAAAATATTATAAGGCAAAAGTATGTTTTTAACTTCTAGTATCTTCAACATACAATGGGCCTATCCAGAAGTAACCTCTTTGTAAGTTAAGGAGCTTACTGAATGTGTATTGCTTTTGCACCATCCTAAAGTCGAAAGATCAGTACATTGATCCATTGTAAGTTCAGTGATTTTCAGAATTCAAAATATGTTTCCTAATTTTCCCCATTGAAAGTTGGGAACCATCTATATATTATATGACTTTGGATATTTTTTCATACTTATTAGAAGCAAGTTATTAGGTATAGTCCACACTCAAGGAGAGGAGTTTACACAATAGTGTGTATACCAGGAGGTGGGAAAGATTGGAAACTATGTCTGAAGCTACCTATTGATAGGGACAGGAGGCAGGGAAATTCTGGGCAGAAGAGGGTGGGTCCCTGGTGAAGTTCCTACCCTCAAGCCTAAAGGCCTGATACTGTGGCCCAAAGTGAGAACTTACATCCCTGTTTTCCCACTTGAATGTTGCCTTTTCCAAAACCACCCATGACTTGCCCTGCTCCCCATCCTGTGCCCATAAAAACCTCAGGCTCAGCCGGCAGAGAGGAGAAGCAGCTGGAGGTTGGAGACTGGTTGCATATTGGAGATAAGCAGCTTGACTTCAGAAGGACAGCTTGATGGTGTAGCTTTGGAGAAGAGTCTAGTTGGAGATGGCTGGACTTTGGGGGAGATTAGCTTCCTGCTCCATCCCCTTTTCAGCTCCCCTTCCTGCTGAGAGCCACTTTTATTGGCAATCAGATCCCCTACATTTACCATCTTCAGTTTGCCCAGGCGACCTCATTCCTCCTGGATGCTGGACAAGAACTCGGGTGCCACGAGTGCAGGTGCAAAAGGCTGTCACACCAACCCTCCACTGAGCTGTTAACACTTAAGCTGTCTACAGATGGCAAAGCTAAAAGGGCACTGTACCATTCCTTCTGTGGCTTAAGGGGTCATGGGCACACCCCTTAGACACTGCCATGGGCCCCGCACAGAGTTTTGCTCCTGCTGGCACCCAAAAGTACTCGCCCCGGCTCCTGTACCCACTCGCCTGCATGCTTCCCCTCCTGAGAGCAGGTCGAGTGAGTGGAGTTTGCCCCTGCTGGCACCCATGCACTCCAGTTCCAGCCTGCGAAGGGGTCAGGGAAATATCCTGTTTCACTATCAGAGTTGAGGAAGGTTTTAAATGATATTTGGGGCTAGCTGTGATGGCACATGCCTGCAGTCCCAGCTACTCAAGAGGATAAGGTGGGAAGATACCTTGAGCCCAGGAGTTCCAGTCCAATTTGCATAACATAGACCCTGTCTCTAAAAAACAAAACAGAGCAAAAATTAAATGATACCTGGATCCTGTTATTGTCATTTTTTATTTAGTGGAAATGCAATGAAGAAAATGCAAAAAGTCCCCACCTTTCATATATAATTTTTTCATGTGTAAAAGTTACATGGATGGTAAGATCTAGCGGCGGTTCTGGTTGGAAAGAGCTAAAAAATAGTTATAATGTACTAGTTATCTCTTCCCTTTTAGAAACATTGTTCAGTGATTTTCAGAATTCAAAATATGTTTCCTAATTTTCCCCTCCTCTCCTCTCCCCTTCTCTTCTTCCCCTCCCTGCTGTCGAACCACAGATTTAATCCACTTAAGTTCAGAGGATATATTCAATTGAGGTCCAGAATTTATCACTTTGAACATACCTAGACATTTCCATCTTTTTATGCAGTCTGAGGCCTGTGCTTATCACTAGTATTAGTACTTTCTTATTTCTATATTCTACTCTTTTGTGTAAAGCAGAGGCAAAAATGCGAAGAAAAATTTAAATAATGGCAAAACATTGTTTTCCAAAGCTGGTATTTCTGCTGAATTGTAACAGCTAGCCAAGAGGCATTGAAAGGACACTATGCAGAAACATGAAAAAGACCTTTAGCTGAAGAGAGTGAAGATATCTCTGTATGAAAGTCTAATACTATGTATGCAAAAGTCAAAGACCACCCTCTGTTTTCACTCAGCTGTAAGAAAAATGCTGTACTGTTCATCTTTCTGAACATTTGATTAAAAATAAGTGCTTAGAAATCTCTGCATGCAGCATAGCTTCTCTTCATAAGTTGTCTGACAAGGAGATACAGCAGGTCTTTAATTTTGTCTCTGCTAAATAGGGCCTGATAAGGCAAAACCCTTAAAATCTTACTGTAACCATTATGCCAGCATTTTGCAGGCATTTAATATCGTTCTCTAGAGTTTTAGCCTTACTTAGTCCTTAAGATATAGAAACTTTGAGAACCTACACTTTAAAAAATTATTTCTAAGATTTTGATCCTTAAGCCTTAGTTTACTCATCTGTAAAATGGGGAATACTGAGAAGTAATTTATATGGTTGTTGACCCTCAGTTCCACCAAAGTTCCTGAATGTAGCTCCAGAGTTCCTGAATATCTCATTTTCTTTCTGCAGAAGCTTCTGTACATTCTTTCTTGATCCTGCCAGTAATCCAAAGATGCCCTTTCTTTAACCTCTTTTTCCCCCCAGAATGCCTGTCGTCTCATACTCTTCCTAGCCCCTTCAGCTTTACAAAGCAGAGATCTAGTGTAAATATGTGAAATATGCCTCCTGGTGTTAAAACAAAAAAAGTAGGCTGTGTTTTATCCTGTTTATATTTAAATATTACAAATATTTTTGCCAAGTCTTCATATTTAAAATATGGAAGTTTTTAAAAAGCTTGATTAAATGAGATCACAATTAGCAACTGCTTCAAATGTACTTTTCATTCTTCCTTCTTGAATGATATATTACTAAGAGAGGCTTTGGAGGTAGCAATTCCATGCTAGTCAAATGACTTAATTATTTGTTATTTTTATTTGATTTATCAGTTAACATTCTACTTAAAGAGGATTATGACAAGAAGTAGTATTTCTTTTAATATGACTTAATCATTCTGATTTCTTTTAAAATGCATAGTTAGCAATCAGAAAGCAAAGTATGGCCTGGATATCTTCTGACCTGCTATTTTAGGTGATTTTGGACAATTGCAAATCTTGTCATGCTGAAGAATCATACTAGTGTTCCTGCCAGTGACCTCTGGTTCCTAAGAAGTTCCTTAAAGCTGAGTCCTTGATAGTCTAGGGCTTAGCCATTCATGTCTGCAGTCTGGAGGCCTTTGATGGTAGTGATGCCATCCATGCTCCTGTCTTGCTGCCTCTACACAGGCCTTGTGAAGATCAGACACAATGTTTCTTACAGTGCTCTGGATATGGTGACACACACCTTACATGTGTAAGAAGGTAATATTGATGTGTTTTCTAGACATGGGCTATGATTTTTCTTTTTGGCATGACAGTTTTTTTCATCATCTGAGTTCATAGCCCTGTAGTTGGAGCTTTCAACAGAGTCCTGCACATCTATCTGTCAGTTTGAATTAATGCTTCACCAGTTATTCCATAGTGAGAGGGTACACACCAAGAATCCCACTTCCAAGAGGGCCAGCTTGCAAGGAGCCATGGTTTGACTCACAGTGACATACAAACTCTCTTAAGGTTTAACTCAGGGTCAGGGCTCATTTGATAATCACTGACTTAAGCATAAAGTTTTAGTGGCCTGTGCTGACAAACACATGTATTAAGAAGACTATTTACCAAACTAACTTCAAGGTCACTAAGAGGGTCTAATTAAGATACATCCCACATTGATAGCAATGGCAGGAACTAGTTGAGAACCAAAGGCTACAGACAGAGCCCCAGTACTTTGAGGCCTTTGGCTATTACTGAAGAATCAATTTAGGCACGCTATTTTATTAAATTAATTTTATTGAGGTGGAATTTATATACAGTAAGGTATACCCATTTTAATTACAAATTGATGAGTTTTGATAAATATATACCTGGGCAATTAACACCACAGGTATTCTATTAGACTAGCAACATAGATACCTTATAAGAATAAGGGAATCTTGCATGCAAGGACTGATGATTCATTTTACCAAGAGATTACATATGATAGTTATTTTGTGGGATCATATCCTCAACTAAGCACACATCAGGTAGAAGTCTTCTATAGGGAGGGCCATAATCAGTTAAGTACTGTTCATTTTCCCAGGGTGCTGTGGCTGTCACAACTCTGGCTTGGAGTGCATCTCTGAGAGAACTGGGTTTTCATCTGGACCTGCTACTCTCCGCACAGAGTGAACTTGGTCAAGTTGTAGGTCTTTCTCTTCTCTAGGCCTCTCTTTCTTCATCAGTAAAACAAGAGAGCTCAGTCTGAGAATTTCTATCTCTGACATTCTTAATTTCTCATGATAATAAGACCAAATTATTTGATCTGGATGTGGGTATTCCAAACATAAATAGAAAGCTACTCTCTACCAGTGTTGCTTCTCTAAGGATGAATTGTACTTATTAATGAACAGGAATAAATCCAAATACCTTTGTAGCATTATTCCTACCATGGATGTTAATGTGGAATATATCGCGATTATACTCGCATAATGACCTTTAAGTTAGTTAGGTAAATAGCCTTCTACATACATGTATTTGTTTTACATTGAACTTTTTATAATGGTTGCTTTTTATTGGTTCTTGTTAGAGAAAAGAAAACCTTATCTCTGTTGTCCAGGCCAGTAACTACTCCTGAAAGACAAAGAAACACATTGTTAACTGTTGGCAGTGCTGGGTTGGCAAGCATTGTTTACTGTGAATACTGAAGTTTGATTAACATAGGTGTTATATTACAGATACTGTTAAACCAGTTTAAGCTAAAATGAAATTAGTCATAGCATTTAATATTACAGGTTTCTCCTGATTTACAGATAGCCTACATATAGTTGTAAATACATAATTTCAAACTGGAAAGGCATTTTCATTAGAAATAACATTTTAAACAGTAGTTAGAGTCTCTGAATAGAAAGACCTATTTAGCCTATAGTGTACCTAAAGTTATGACACTAATGTAATTATGGAACCTAATTGTCATTTTTAGCTATTTATTTATTACTGGATTTCTGTGGGGGGAAGTAGTGGTTTACAGACAAAATACAGAATATTTGCATTACAAACATATTTGGCTTCTTAATATGTACCAGATAGTATGCTGGGTACTGGGAATACAGAGTTAATGAATACGATCCCTTCCCCCAACGAGTACATGGTGGGGAAGAGCCAACAAACATAATCATAAAGCAACAAGGTTTACAAAAGAAATTATGAGGTACATTCAAGGATGAGCTAAGCATAAGGTACTAAGTACCTTGGATAATTCATACTGAGCTGAATAGGAAAGGATTCATAGAAATTGGTAAGATGAAGAGAGGTGGGTGGGGAGAGCATTCCAGGCAGAGGAGTATGAATAAGGGCATAGAGAAGAAAGTACAAGCACTTTATATTACTGGGACAAGGCAAGAAGTAGTAAAAGAAGAGGCAGGAGAAAGAGGACCAGATTATGGTGGATCTTAGTTGTCCTGTTTAGAAGTGTGGATTTTTCCTGTGTCCAGTTTCCTGAGCTGGTCAGGTTTTTGTTAAAGAAAGACCACTCAGACAGGGCTATGGAGAGTTGGTTTGAGGACACAGGGATAGTAGCCTTATCAGGTGGTTGAAGTCAGCTGGTGGAGAAATAAGGAAGGCTTGAACTATGACAGAGGTGATCCAAATTGAGAGGAGGGGAGATAGTTGACAAAAATGTAGGATGTAAGTAGTCAGATCTGAGGATTGGTTAGATTTGAGGGAGAAAAGAGAGCGTCAATGCAAGTTCAGACTTCTGCTTTTGTTGACTTTGTGACTGAGAAAGGATTAACCAAAAAAAGAGGAGTTTTGACAGGGAAAAGTAAAAATTTAGTTTGGACAAGTTGAGTTTGAGGTGACTGTGGTAATGGCTACTGTCAACATATCTCTGAGATATATGGAAAGTTAGAGACCTAGAGGTATAGATTTTGGTGCCATTAGCATATAGAGGATTTTTATTTTTATTTATTTTTTTTTTTTTGAGATGGAGTCTTGCTCTGTTGCCCAGGCTAGAGTGCAGTGGCGCGATCTCGGCTCACCACAACCTCTGCCTCCTGGGTTCAAGCAATTCTCCTGCCTCAGCCTCCCAAGTAGCTAGGACTACAGGTGCGTGCCACCATGCCCGACTGATTTTTGTATTTTTAGTAGAGACAGGGTTTCACTATGTTGGCCAAGCTGGTCTCGAACTTCTGACCTCGTGATCCACCCACCTCAGGCTCCCAAAGTGCTGGGATTACAGGCGTGAGCTACCGTGCCCGGCCTATCGAGGATTTTTGAAACCCCAGAATAAAGTAAAATAATAACTTTTAAAAACCGTTATTCAGAAGTGAGCTTGGCATGTTTTGGAGTATTTATTCTAGTTTCCTTCAACTTCTGTTCTTTCT
This sequence comes from Homo sapiens, assembly GCF_000001405.40. Lineage (NCBI taxonomy): Eukaryota > Metazoa > Chordata > Mammalia > Primates > Hominidae > Homo > Homo sapiens. The sequence goes on along the minus strand of NC_000006.12, from coordinate 110,654,962 downwards.
TTCTTTCTTTTTTTTTTTTTGGAGACAGAGTTTTGTTCTTATTGCCCAGGCTGGAATGCAATGGCATGATCTTGGCTCACCATAACCTCCACCTCCCGGGTTCAAGTGATTCTCCTGCCTTAGCCTCCCGAGTAGCTGGGATTACAGGCATGCGCCACCATGCACGCTAATTTTTTGTATTTTTAGTAGAGGTGGGTTTTCTCCATGTTGGTCAGGCTGGTCTCGAACTCCTGACCTCAGGTCATCTGCCCGCCTTGGCCTCCCAATGTTCTGGGATTACAGGCATGAGCCACTGCACGCAGCCATCTTCTTTTCAAATTGGGAACTTGCCTCTCAGAGGACACTTATACCTTACCCCATAGCTGGATGGATTATGAGTACAAACCACTGGCAATTTAGCTCATTCACTTATTTGTTTACTCATTCAACAAATATGTATTAAACACAGTATGTACCTAGTTCTCAGCAGACGTATAAAGTTGTGACAGAATGACTCTCCCTGCCCTCTAGGAAGTTGCAACCACAATGATCAGATTCTCCATATTTTAAATCATCTACTATCTAATCAATGAAGTTGTTTTAAGGGGTAAGCAGTTATGATAGACTAATGCTATTAGCAAATAACTGCTTAAGAAAAAAAGAAGAAAAAGGCATAGATTTTACTCTTAGGTAGTTCTTTGCCCTATTTGTTACAGTGCAGAATCTTATTTGTTCAGGGTAAACAATGAAGAACAGTGTAAAGAAAGGAGCATGAACTGAGGGTTTTTTCCTGGGAATGTATGTTTGTATCAAATGTGAGGAAAGTTGTGTCACCACTAACAATATTTAAATAAAAGTATAGTTGTAGCCATTAATATCAAGCCGGCACTGTTCATTGTTTCAGAAACTACTCCAATTGATATTCTGATTGTCTCTGTTCCTATTATTCAGGATTGTAGACAATTGTGTTTGTCTTTTTCTCTCTTTATTGGTACTGATAAGAGTCATATTATGAGTTTCATATTTTTGTCCCAAATGTCTTGGGGTGGGAGAAAGCAAATGTAGTAGGAAGATTGTGTATCTTTAGGCTGTGCTACTCATAATGTGCCAATTAACTGAAATATATTTAACCCTGTGAAAAAATTGATTCTATAGAAGGAAAAAGCAAATCTGGAGTACATGTTAAGTATCATGAATATAAATTAAAGCATTAAGTAAATTCTGCTAAAATGCAGATATTTCAGGAGTAGCTTCTGAGTAATCATATTACTTATCACATTATTTCCCTGACTTTTGCCTTTAAAATACAATTTAACTAAAATGAACCCTGGGCATTGGTTTATCTATCTGATTTTATTGCCGATAACTTAAATGTGAGGCATCCAACTCTTGCCATTTCTACTGTTTCTATGGTAACCAAAGTGTGCAAACCCAGCAGTATCACTTTCTTTCACAGCTGGCATTTTGTGTTCACAGTAAGAAGAGGAGTTTTAGTAAAGCATAGTCTGTGTTACTTGGGATGTAACTAGGTCAGAACAATTTTGGTATCCTTTCTTCATCCTTTTAGGTTTTTTATGTGGGTGAAGGTGTGTATGCATGAACTGTAGTTTTCTTTTTTTTAAAAAAGAGCATATACTTTCACTAAAATTAATCACCATTAGTCTTTTGAAAATTAAGCATAACATCTGCAAACACAACTTAATATAGAATCTTGAGGATTGGATGGAGTTGCCCTGAGACTTGACCCATAGCCTTGTATACCCTTGAATATTTCCATTAAGAAAGATGAAATGATGGATGTGAAATGCTTTGAAAAATTAAACACACTTTGATGGTGATTATATTATTCATTTTGTTATTATTCATATTTTGAAACATCAAGTATCTTGAGACCTTAACATTTATTTACTTGTTCTAAAGGGAACAGGCAATCCCAGTAAAGAAATGCACATTTAAAAATGACTTCCTTCTGCAATTCCAGGTCTTAACTTGACTACAGGAGCCCTTCTCTGTGGTTACTGCCCAAGCTCTAGGTTCTGTTCTCAAACTGTGCAAAAGAGCTCATAAGCTACTACTCCCTTAAACGATGTCACTGCCTCTGCCCTCATCTCAGACTTTACATGGAGAGTCCACACTTAGAGCTTCCATAGGCTTCAAGTATGTTAAATCAAAGGTATTCTCTACTAACTTCAGTACTAGAAAAGAGATATTCCTCCTTTCTCTCTCTGTGTCTTCATTCCATTGTGTTGCTCATATTCTCTGTTTCGACATAGTGTGACTGCAAGAACTTCTATCAAGAGATAGCTGAGTGATCTAAAACCACCTTCCTGTACTACTTGCGTTCAGCAGCTTATAATCTATGTTCATTTCTTACATGAAGCAATTTTTGCTCTCAGATCTCATACTTCGTAGTGTTTTTATCTTACTATCTTTATTTTTAAAGGGTTTAAGCTCAAACTTAAGGAATGAAAAATAATTAAAAAATAAGATAGCTTATTTGATAATTTTACAATTAAAAAATTGTTATGTCCCCTAGAGATCCCATTCTCACTAAGGCTTTCAAAAATGTACTCTAAAATCTGCCTTTACCTTTTCCCCATTTATTTGGATCTCATTTACTGTGTCTGGCTTCTGTAAATGCACAGAAATTATTTTTTTGGAATCACCTATGACCCAATTGTCCATTCCAATAGCCTTCTCAGCTTTCATTATGTTGCACCTGATGGCTACTTTTTAGGTTCTCTTAGCTTCGAGAACCCTGTGCTATCTAGGTTTTCTTACCTTTGTTTTCTTTTTTAGCTTATTTATTTATTTTTTACTTTCTTGGTTTTCTTACCTTTGATGTTCCTTCACAGGATCTTTCTCTTTTTTTCTTTGTTTTTGTTGTTGTTGTTTGTTTGTTTCTTTTTTGAGACAGGATCTTGCTCTGTTGCCCAGGCTGGAGTGCAATGGCGTGATCTCAGCTCACTGCAACCTCCATGTCCTGGGTTCAAGTGATTCTCCCTTCACAGAATCTTTCATCGACTCTTGTTCCTTCAACTCCCTTTATTCTCCTTTGCTTGCTTGCTTTATTTATTTATTTATTATTTCTTTCTTAGACTGAAGAAGCTAAGAAATGCTAAATAAACTAAAACTGTAGTTAAAAATCTTTCTGAGAAAACATCAACCCCAGATGATCTTAGAGGCAGGTTCTCAAAATTTTCAACTGATTGTTTTGATATTATTCAAACATTGTCAAATAATAGAGAAAGAGGGAATGCTCCAAACATATTCTAGAAAGCCAGTATAATCTTGATAGCAAAACCAGACAAAGCATGAAAAATAAAAATTTCAGGTCAACCTCACCTATGAGTGTAGTTGTAAAAATATTAAAATACTAGTAAACCAAATCCAGGAATACGAATGTATTTTTTTTAGAGATGGGGTTTTCACCATGTTGCCCAGCCTGGTTTCAAACTCCTGAGCGCAAGCAATCTGCCCTTCTCGGCCTCCCAAAGTACTGGGATTACAGAGTTGTGCCATCGTGCCCGGCCTATTTTTTATTATGTGTTTTAAAATGCCATTTCTCTAATTATAAGCAATACCAAAATAGACAAAAGCAAACATTAGAGAAATATTTAGTGTACTAGAAGTGATAGTCTCTTCAAATCCTCTGCCATCAGAAATTGGGCAGGAGGAAGATAGTTAGACAGACAGATACATAAATAGGTGTTAGACGGATAGATAGATAGATAGATAGATAGATAGATAGTAGATCTATTTCAACTATTTAAAAATTATGGATAAGACAGAAGATAATATAACAAGTGATGATAATTCTAGTCATGTAAAACCCGAAGTCTCTCCAAGTTATGTGATTCTGTATAATTGACAACCCCCTTCCCAACCCTTTGCCTGAGCTCTTGATTTCCGGTCCTTACTCTCCTGTTCTTACATTGACCTCTTTGCTGTTTCTCTCATTAGCCAGTCTGCTCGCTCACCCAAGTTTTTCCTAACCACTCTAAACACCATGACCTTGACCTTGCCCTTGCCCTCCTGCAAACCTTGTAGCAGTAGCAGTCCTCCCCAACTGCCAAAGCACAGGCCAGAAGGTGCTCGAGAACCTGCCCAATTCTGGTACTAAAATGACTTGGATGAAAACAGAACCATTTGAAACAGCAAGCAAGCCCTTCCTTGGGTTTCCTCTCTTTATAATTACTATTGCTGTGTCACTCTATTTTTCCTGACCCGTTCTATTCTCCTTAGTCTTGTCTCCAGATATCCCCCGTTTTGCTTTGGGCCTTCCAGCTTGCTCCTCCCTCTGCCAGGACTGCCCTTCCCTTAGACACCCAGCTGACTCAGGTGTTATCCCAAATGTTATCTTCTCAAAGAGGCTTTCTCCGAAGAATTTAAAATAATGCTTAAATAATGCTGACAATTATACCCTCCCATCCCACTCCCAACAATGCCTGTCCCCATGCCTTGCTTTATTTTTTGTCTTTGTTATTATATGATACATATACAAGAATATTTGAAATATTTATGGATGTTACAAAGCATAAAAATACAGTGAACTGTTGAGAACCTGTCACTTTACCCAGTAAGTGGAAGATTACCAGTAGCATGCATAAGAGAACCTGTCACTTACCCAGTAAGTGGAAGATTACCAGTAGCATGCTTATGTTTATGTTTCCCCTGTTCTATCCTCCTGGCTCCTCCCAAGAGGTAACATATATCCTGGATTTTGAATCTATTACTTTCTTCTACTTAAAGATAGATTTATCACATTTTTATAAATGTCTAAACAGTATATTCTTTAGCTTTGTCTGGTTTTAAGCTTTATGAAATGGCATCCTGTTCTATATAGTCTTAAATCTTGCTTTCTTTTCACCCAACATAATGCTTCTAAGATTTGAACATGGTTTTACATTTATTTGTAATTCAGTGATTTTTTTATTGCTGTTTTAAAATTCATTGTGTGACTCTACCACAATTTTTTTAAAAAATTGTAATCTGGCATTTTTAAAAATGGAATTACTGATTCAAAGGCTATATATAGTTGTTCCTTTTGCAAGGTCATGCCAAATTGTTTTCCAAAGAAGTTGTACCAACAACTATTCTGCCACCAGCTATGTACTGGAATTCTGACTGACCTACTTCCTATTCAGTAGTTCTAAATTTTGAACCCATCTAGTAGGTATAAAATGGTATGTTATTGTGATCTTAATTTATATTTCCCTCATTATTGATGAGGTTGAACATTTTTTAATATGTGTATTGGTTAAACCTGTCTGTACTTTAGTTAAATGCCCGTTCAGACATTTTGCCCATTTTTCTATTTTGTTGTTTTTCATATTGACTTGTAGGAGTTCTTTATTTTGGATACTAAATCTTTGTTGCTTATATGTGTTGCATATATTTCTGCCAGTTTGTGCTTTGTCATTTATTTTCTTTATCTTTTGATAATTGGAAGTTATTTTAATACAGCCAAATTTATCAGTCTTTTCTTTTATTATTAGGATTTTTTTGTATCTTGTTTAAGAAATTCTTCCCTAACTTAGGATCAAAAAGATGTTCTATATTTTTTTCCAAAAGTTTTAAAGTTTTGCTTTTTCACATTTACTTTTTTAATCTGCCTAAAATTGATGTGTTTATGGTATAAGGTGAAGATTCATTTAATTGATTTTTTCCACATTTAGATAACTTGTTGTACCAACACCATTTATTGAACAGATCCTCCTTTCTCTACTGATCTCAGGTTTCCTTTCTCTTGGTATCATGATTCCATTGAGGGTCTCTGCTCTATCCCACTGATCAATTTGTTCCATAGGAACAAAATCCCTGATGGGATTTTGATGGAAATGACTGTAAATGGAATTTACAAATAAGTATGGGGAGAATTGATTTTTTTTTTTACTGTATCGAATCTTCTTATCTATATATATGGGTTAATTTATTTAAGACTTTCAAAATGTCATTTAAGATAAGGTTTCGGCCAGGCACAGTGGCCCATGCCTGTAATCCCAGCACTTTGGGAGGCCGAGCGGATCACGAGGTCAGGAGTTCGAGACCAGCCTGACCAACATGGTGAAACCCCGTCTCTACTAAAAATACAAAAAATGAGCCGGGTATGGCGGCGGGCACCTGTAGTCCCAGCTACTTGGGAGGCTGAAGCAGGAGAATGGCGTGAACCCGGGAGGTGGAGCTTGCAGTGAGCCGAGATCGCGCCACTGCACTCCAGCCTGGGCGACAGAGCAAGACTCCATCTCAAAACAAAACAAAACAAAAAAACAAAAATTAGCCAGGTGTGGTGGCACATGCCTGTAATCCCAGCTACTCAGGAGGCTGAGGCAGGAGAATCGCTTGAACCTGGAAGGCAGAGGTTGTAGTCAGCGAAGATCGTGCCACTGCACTCCAGCCTGGGCAACAGAGCGAGACTCCTTCTCAAAAAAAAAAAAAAAAAAAAGAAAAGAAAAAAGATTTCATGGTGTTCTGCATACCAATCTTGTACATTCTTTGATATATTTATTCTTAGGCATTGTATGGTTTTTCTTGCTATAGAAGTGTTACCTTTGAAAAATTATATTTCCTAGCTCTTTTTTTCCTGGTATATAGAAAAACAGTTGACTCTTTCATATTATTCAGTTAGCCAGACATCTTGCTAAGCTCTGTTACTATTGCCAACAATTTGTCTGTAAATACTTTGGTTTTCTATGTAGATAATTATAGCATCTGCAAATAATAATACTTTTGTTTCTGCCCTTCAATCTATATACCTTTAATTATTGTTTTATAGTACCGGGTTTATATTACAATGTTGATTTTATAAGTGGTGATAGTAGGCATCCTTGTATTATTTCTGATTTTAAAGGAAATACTTCTAATGTTTCCTTCTTAGTTTTTAGTGTGTGCCTGTTGTCAGGTTAAGGTAGATTTTTTCTAGCCTAACTTGCTGAAAATTTTTATCATGAATGAGTGTTAAATTCTATCAGCTGTTTTTTTTCCCCAGCATCTATCAAGATGATTTTATAATTTTCTTCTTAATCTGTTCATATGGTGATAAACTTCCATAGATTTTCTCATGTTAAGCCATCTGGATGGATTTGGTTTACTAATATTTTGTTTAATATTTTTACAACTATATTCATGAGTAAGGTTGGCCTGAAGTTTTTCTTTTTCATTCTTTGGTTTTGCAACCAACATTATATTGACCTTCTAGAATATGTTTGGAGCATTTAATCTTTTTCTGTTATTTGACAGTGTTTGAATCATATTGAAACAATCTGTTGAAAATTTTGAGAACTCCCCTCTAAGATCATCTGTGGTTGGTGTTTTCTCAGAAAGATTTTTAACTACAGTTTTAGTTTATTTAGCATTTCTTAGTTTCTTCAGTTTTTCTAATTCATTGTGAATCAATTTGTAGGTTACATTTTTGACTTTACATTTTCAAATTAATAGATATGAAGTTATTCATGGGATTTTTAGATTTTTCTGTCCTCTACTGGATCTAATGTAGTTTATTTGCACTTTCTCTCTTCTTGCTCCAGTCGTCCCAAAGGCTTCATAATTCTCTCTGGTTCATGGATTTCTACCCTTTATCTTCCCTCCCCCCCACCCCCCTTCACAACTCCTTTGTAGTTCTAAAACACCAGAGGAAGGAGGGGCTTGGGTTTCGCTGGTTCTACTTAAACACATCATGGCTTTCTGTTCCATTGTTGGGGGATTTTGGTGAAGTCGCTGGTCTCTTGCTGCATAGACAAGGCTGGGGTGCAAGGAGAGAGACACCGTCGCATGCTTCGAGGTTACTGGCCGGCCGGACCCCAGCTGGACGGTGCGCTACCTCGTACCACCACCAGGAGGCGGTTGTTCCCTCTGGCTTTTCCTTTGGGGGTGATAGAGGGGAGTGCAGGGGTCGGGAGGCAGGAGGGTGTAGACAGCGCAGAAATAGTGTCGGGTCGTGGTGGGTGAAGCAAGATCGCGAAGGCCTGGGGCATAGGTGGAGACCCTCCTCTGTCTCTGTGGGGAGTCCTTGCAGCCACGAGGATTTCAGGATCCTGGGTTCCCTCCACAAAAGACTGGAGGCGGGCGGTCACGCGGCCCGAGGCAGCAATTACAGCAGTGGGAGATTTTCCTTCTCTCACCTGCCGGGGAGCCCCTTCCTCCCACTTGGGAGGACCAGGAAACACTGCTGCCTTCCAAGGTTTGCCCGCCACCCCACGATGAGTCAGACGCCAGAACTCAACCGTGCGCAGTGGAACAGGGGAGGCAGCCGAGGTGGGTTAACTGCATCGATAGGGATGATGAACGAGATTCCAGAAATTCCCAGAGAGACATATAGCAAAGCCAAAGGGAAAAGGGAGTAGTAAAACTAACTTTGTCTTTTCCGAATCCCCCCTCCCCGCCCCCTCCGCCGTTGGCCCGGTTGACCCCCTGCAGGTGGCCGTACTCAGCACGACTTAAGCACCTGTTGCAGGTGGAGGCGCACGTCGGTTTCCCAGGGCACCACGCTGGCACAGAACGAGCTGGGCTCCGCCTTCTGGGCCTCAGGGATGAGGCGGTGCATGGGGTAGCTGCGGCGCGGGAAGGCCATGTCGCCGCCCGCCAGCAGCCCCATGGGCAGAAGTCGTTGGCGCTGTCGCCCACATGGAAGAGGCACTCGAAGTGCATGCCGTCGTGGGCCCGTTCGCGCAGGTAGTCGCTGAGCACCTTGTGCTTGCACATGTTGGCGGGGCAGCACACGCAACTATGTGTGTGGAACGGCCACAGAGCCAGCAGCTCCTGCGCGTCGGACCCCGACGAGTTGCTGAGGATGCGGAGGAACAGGCTCTGGTGGCCGGTGGCGCGCTGCGTGCTCTCCATGCCGAAGGTGTTAGCATCAGAGATGAGAATCACCTCGAAGGAGGTGCCTTGCTTAGCCACAAACTGCAGCAGGTCGCCCATGCCTGGCAACAAAGGGATAGCTTCGTAGATGGCACGCAGGTCCCGCGACCGCACACCCTGCTTGCCCAGATACTTGAAGACGCGCTGCATGTGCTCGTTGTAGAAGCCCTCGCGGTCGGTGGCTCGCAGGCTCTCCTGCACCTGCTGTCCCGGCACAGTTCGCAGGACTGAGTCGCCGCTGTTTTCGTCTACGATAGTCTCTTCGAAATCGAAGGTCAGGAGGAAGCGCGGCGCGTCGTGCGCGGCCATCCCTCCGTCTCTAGATAGGCACCAGAGGCCAGAAACTGGAAAACAGCCGCTCATTGTCCATGCATTACCGTGGACACCACCTGTAGGGACTCTGTTGGCCTCCAGCCGTCGTCAAGAGTTCGGAAATTGGAGGGGACAAAGTGTCTTATCCACCCCTGGATTTCTGGGCTCCGGCTCGTGAGTCCCTGTAGTCCCGAGGGACCGAGGATGATGTGCATCTGAACGGTCCCCTCCACTTGCCCACCCATCCTACCCTTTATCTTTCTACTTCTACTTTCTTTTGGTTTATTCTGTTGACCTTTTCTCTTTCTCTATTTTTTAAACTTATTGAGCACATAACTCATTATTCTCAGCCTTTTTCTCTTCCTAACATATTTAAGGCTATACATTTTCCTTGTAAGTACTGTATTAGATGTCTTCCACAAAGTTTTTGTAGATAGTATTTTCATTATTTCAATTCTGAATATTTTAAACTTTTATGGTTTCTCCTTTTACTCTGAGTAATTTAGAAATATTTAAAAATTTTCAAATATGTAGAGTTTTAATTGTATTGTGGTTAGAGAACATAGTCTGTTTGATAAAAAATTTCTTGAAATTTCTTGAGACCTGCTAGTATATGATCAGTATTTGTAAATGTTCCATGTGTGCTTGAGAAAAATGTGTACTCTCTAATTACTGGATAGAAAGTTGTGTATATGCTCTCTAGATCATCCTAGTTAATTGTATCCTTTGGATAGTCTATATTTTACTAATCTTTTGTCTGTTTGACATATGAATAATTGAGGAAAGTATGTTATCATTGGCCTTTTTACTCCCTGAAGTTATATTTATTTTGCTTCATATATATATTTTTCAAGTACATAACAGGTTTAGGATTATTGCCTCTTCCTGGTGAATTGAACTTTGTATCATTATATAGTGATCATCTCTACCCCTAATTTGTTTTGAAATTTTTTAATTTTTACAGACACATAGTAGATTCCTGTCCTTTATCTTCCCCCCTGCCTCCCCTCCCCCTGGCCCCCTTCACCTCCTCTGTAGTTCTAAAACACCAGAGGAAGGAGGGACTTGGGTTTCGCTGGTTCTGCTTAAAAACATCATGGCTTTCTGTTCCATGGTCGGGGGCAAGAAGTGTGCCGAGGTTCCAGCCTGCGAGGGACTGGGTGTATAGTAGATGTGTATATTTATGGGTTACATGAGATATTTTGATAAAGGCATGCAATGTGTAATAATCACAAGAGGGTAAATGGGGTATCCATCACCTCAAGCATTTATCCTTTGTGTTACAAACAATCCAATTATACTCTTTTAGTTATTTTTAAAAGTACAATTAAATTAGTATTGACTGTAGTCACCCTGTTGTGCTATCAAATACTACTTCTTATTTATTCTTTCTATTTTTTGTGCCCATTACAGCCCCACTTCCTCCTCTCTCCTGCCCCTACTACCCTTCCCCGCCTCTGGTAACCATATTTCTACTCTCTATCTCCATAAAGTCAATTTTTTTAATTTTTTTTTTTTTTTGAGATGAAGTCTCGCTCTGTCACCCAGGCTGGAATGCAGTGGCCTCATCTTGGCTCACTGCAACCTCCGCCTCTGGGGTTAAAGCAATTCTCCTGCCTCAGCCTCCCAAGTAGCTAGGACTACAGGCACGGGCCATCATGCCCGGCTAATTTTTGTATTTTCAGTAGAGACAGGGTTTCACCATGTTGGCCAGGCTGGTCTCAAACTCCTGACCTTGTGATCTGCCCGCCTTGGCCTCCCAAAGTGCTGGGATTACAGGTATGAGCCACTGCGCCTGGCCAATTGTTTTAATTTTTAAAAGTTTAATTTTTAATAATGTTTAATTAAATTAAATTAACTTAATTTTTAATTAATTTAATTAAAATTTTAAATTTTAATAGTGAGATGGGGTCTCACTATGTTGCCCAGGCTGGTCTTGAAATCCTGGGTTCAGGTGATCCTTCTGCCACAGCTTTGCAAAGTGCTGGGATCACTGTCCTGTCTTGGCTTTGCCTATAGAGTAAATTCCAATTTCTTTAATGCGGTATTTTATTCCCAAGATAGTTTTCCAGTTGCATTTCTACACCAAACATTCACTGCTCTTGTCACATCAAAATATATATAAACTCTCAACATGCCATGTCTGTGTTTTTATGTGACTGTGTCCTTACCTGTAGGGTTCCATGAGCCTGAAAACTTTTTTGTTGTTGTTGTTGTTTATGCTTATCAAAATCTTAGTTATCCTTAGCTATAACCCCAAAATCTTAGTATCCCTTTTTTATTTATTGAGCCACTTCATCCAGCCAATTGTTTTAATTTTTAGCTCCCACAAATAAGTGAGAACATACGAAGTTTGTCTTTCTATGCCTGGTTTATTTAATTTAATGTGATGATCTCCAGTTCTATCCTAATAATGTTTTTGTGTTAAAAGCTATTTTATCTGATGTTACCATAGTTGACTCAGCTTTCCTTTGGCAGTTTGCCTTTTACTTTCAGCTTTTATGGTTCTTACCTTTAGGTGGACCTCTTTTAAATAGCATGGATTTTGTTTTTAATCCACTATGGAAATACCTGTGTCTTTTAGCTGGAAAATGTATTGTTTTACTCGTCAGGCCTAAGTTGGTAAGTGTTTCCTCCAGAAGGGGTTTGCTTTGGCTTCTACTGGTAGCATCTAGGTTTCCTTTAGTGCCCTTGAAGGTCTTAGTGATTGTGGGGTAGCAGGCTCAGCTTCCTTACCTTGCTGGTGGCCCAAGGCTCAGTGTCCTTGCTGAAGTGCATTATTGGCAGCTGCTCTCAGGCCTACCTTGCCTTTCCTTAACTCTCCAGCCATAAGGATACCTTATTTGGAGTGAGGGTAAAGTTTGTTATCTCTTGTGCAATCTGGGATGCTTCAAGGAATATTTCCTTTCTTTTTCCTTTTTCTCTCTTTTCCCTCTCCTCTGCTGTCTCTCTCCCTCTTCCCCCTTTCCTTCTCCCTTCTCCTCTACTCTCCTTTCCCCTTCCTGACTCCTCCCCTCCCCTCCCCTCCTATCAAAGACAGGGTTTCTCCCAGCCTGGCCTTGAACACCTGGGCTCAGGCAATCCTCCCACCTCAGCCTCTGGAGTAACTGGGATTACAGGTGTGGACCACCGTGCCTGGTTTGTTTCTTATATAGCATATAGCTGTTCTGTTAAGGGGAGGGTCCCTCAGAGCACTTAGTCAGCCATAATAGCAGATTTGACAATCTCTTGTATTCTCTTTTTGTTTTCTTTTCCATGGTACTTATCAGTATATGATATGTTGTATACTTATTTATTTATTGCCTTTCTCTTCTCACTAGACTGTAAGCTCCACGAGGGCAAGGATTTTTCCTGTTTTTGTTTTCTGCTGCTTCTGTAGCATCTAAATCACTGCCTGTTACTTAGTTTGTGATCAAACAATATTTGTTGAATGAATGAGGGTTGAGAAGATAGTGTGAAAAGGCAATGCCAAGTCTTGAACCCTTTTTTTTTTTTTTTTTTTTTGAAACAGAGTCTCACTCTGTCGCCTAGGCTGGAGTGCGGTGGCACAGTCTGAGCTCACTGCAACCTCCGCTTTCCCGCTTTCCGGGTTCAAGCGATTCTCCTGCCTCAGCCTCCTGAGTAGCTGAGATTACAGGTGCACACCACCACGCCCAGCTAATTTTTGTATTTTTAGTAGAGACGGGGTTTCACCATGTTGGTCAGGCTGGTCTCGAACTCCTGACCTCGTGATCCACCCGCCTCGGTCTCCCAAAGTGCTGGGATTACAGGCGTGAGCCACCACGCCCAGCCTCCAATTTCCTTAATCTGGTATTTTATTCCCAAAGTTGTTTTCCAGTTGCATTTCTACACCAAACATTCACTGCTCTTGTCACATCAAAATATGTCTAGGCTGTCAATATGCCATGTCTGTGTTTTTATGTCCTTACCTGTAGGGTTCCATGAGCCTGAAAACTCTTCATTTTTGTTGTTTATGCTTATCCAAATCTTAGTTATCCTCACTTAAAGTCATCCAGAGTCATCTTCCTAAAGACTATTCTGATGTTCAATGAGAAGAATCATTCATTCCATGCAATTTTTCTTTCTATATTGATAGTTTTCATAATCTGCCCTCTGCCTTGTCCCTCCTTCCTTCCTTCCTTCCTTCCTTCCTTCCTTCCTTCCTTTCTTTCCCTTTCCTCCTTTCCTCTCCTTTCTTTTTCTTTTTTTTTTTTTTTTTTGATGGAGTCTCACTCTGTTGCCCAGGCTAGAGTACAGTGGCACGATCTCAGCTCACTGCAACATTCACCTCCTGGGTTCAAGCGATTCCTGCCTCAGCCTCCCAAGTAGCTGGGACTACAGGTGCCTGCCACCATGCCTGGCTAATTTTTGTATTTTTAGTAGAGATGGGGTTTCACCATGTTGACCAGGCCGGTCTTGAACTCCTGACCTCAGGTGATCCACGTACCTCGGCCTTCCAAAGTTCCTGGGATTACAGGTGTCAGCCACTGCACCCAGCCTCTTCCTTGTAGTCTTAAAAGCTGTCTGTCTTTTCCTCCTGGATTTAAGCTCCTTAAAGTCAAGATCTTCATGTTTTATTTCCTGTTGTTTCCTAAAGGCCTGAAGTACAACACTTTTTACATAATGGACCTTTGATAAATAGTTTTTTTTTTCTAGTATGGTGAACCAATCTCATCTCATATGGTGAACCAATCTTTTTCTTTTTCTTTCTAGTATGGTGAACCAATCTCATTTCAGGTATCACACTCTGGTGATAATAACTTTCAAATCCAAATCTTCCTCTTCTCACTCCTCTGGCTAGTATGACTTAGGCATTTCACATTTCTCAAACTCTTTCATTTTATTTAATATTTTTTGAGACGGGGTCTCACTCTGTTGCCCAGGCTTGAGTGCAATGGCACGCTCACAGCTCACTCTAGCCTCGACCTCCTGGGCTCAAGCAGTCCTCTCACCTCAGCCTCCCAAGTAGCTGGGACCACAGGCATGTGCCACCATGCCTGGATAATTTTTTTTAATTTATGTTTTATAGAGACAGGGTCTCTTCAGGTTGCTTAGGCTGGTCTCAAACTCCTGGGCTTAAACGATCCTCCTGCTTCGACTTCCCAAAGTGCTGGGATTACAGGTTTGAGCCACCACGCCTAACCATTTTTCAAACTCAATATGTTGTCGCCTTCTCTTTATTGTTCCTTATTTTTAAACCATTACCTCTTATAACTTTTCTGTGTCCATGAAAGGCACCATTATTCTTCCAGTCACATAAACTTAAAACCTTGGTAAAATCTTTACCACCCTTTTTCTTAATCTTTTAGCTTAAGCCAGTCACAAAGTCCTGTTAATTTTCTCCTCTAAAATGCTTCTCAGCTCCATACCTCCCTTGCCATTTCTGCTGACAAGACATTGGACAGAGCTCTTACCACCTCACATCCAATTCCACTCCCTCATCCTCTCCTGTAAACTCACTGACTGTAATATAACGGTCTGATTACTTCACTTGGCATTTAAGACTATCCAGAGTCTAGGTTCATCCTACTACCCTCAACATGAGCCCTTTTCAGATTTTTTTTTTTTTTTTTTTTTTTTTGTGACAGGGTCTTGCTCTGTCACCCAGCCTGGAGTGCAGTGGCATAATCATGGCTCACAGTAGTACCCTGGTAGCCTCAATCTGCTAGACTCAAGCAATCCTTCCGCCTCAGCCTCCTGAGTAGCAGGGACTCCAGGTGCATGCCACCACACTAGGCTATTTTAAAAAATTATTTGTAGAAACAGAATCTTACTATTTTGTGTTTTGCCCAGGCTGGCCTTGAACTCCTAGACTCAGGTGAGTCTCCCGCCTCGGTCTCCCAAAGTCCTAGGATAACAGGTGTGAGCCACTGCACCTGGCCCAAGTCAGACTTCTGCGTCTTATGCATACCTGGTCATATCCTTTTTCCACTTCCTATGGTGTCCTTGCCCTTCCTCTACTCTGCCATGATGGTTCCTGTTCATTTTCATATCCGTCTAATGGACACCATTCCCACTTCCATCCCCAGTGAGCATTTCCCTTAACAGTGGAATCTTTAATTCATCACTTCCTCCTTTGAATTTGTTTTTTAAGTGCTTTTTGTTTTCATTGAAACATTTTTAACAATCAGCAAATTGAAAGGGATCTTTAAAGTAATCCAGTTTAATCTTGAACACAAAACCTCAGTCTTCTCTATAACTCATACATAGCACTAGCTTCTAATATTATACAATCCTTCTTAGTTTTCTTTCTACTTATGTAGTAAGCGTCTGGAGGTTAGGAACTTGGTTTTTACTGTGCTTTTGTTTTCCCTCTTAAAGATTGGCATGGTTCTTTATCCTTAGAAGATACAAAAAATGCATTCGTTGATTGAATAAATGAATCCAGTAAGTTAATAACACATACATTTTCCTTCAAAGACTTTACAAAGGAGACTCACTCTCTCCCCCTTCCAAAGCCTATCTCAACAGTTTCTCTGTTTCCAAGTGTCTACAGATAAGGGTGACTGAAAATATGGTAGATACATTTGCAGCCTACTCTTTTCTTTTTATAGTTCTGTATTAGCCTTGGTTTTTATTTTCCTACATCTTGAAATTATATTTGGAATTTCCTACTTTTGCATGTATGATAGCTGATGCATGAATTTTAATAGAGTTGTTGAATGCTGATCATGTTTTTCTACGGTAGTTTAGAAATATTTAGGAAGGAATATTCCATTCAACTTATTCATATGAAGGCGATTATGTTGTGGTTTGAAATTTTATATAAAATTTTTCAAGCACATAAACTGTGCAGGTTTAAAAATTATTATTAGTTTTTTCTGCGGGATGAATCTATTTAGAAATGATAGCTTTAATTGCTTTGTAATTATTTGTATGATATAATTTTGAAAATAAGGTGTGTTTCCATAGCAAGGATGTTCATATAAAGTTAGTGCTGACTTCAATTATGTCAAATGCTTTAACTATGTAGAGGGTGCTTAATATTTGATTTACTTTTGATGAAAATACAGAAATGATTTTTTATATGATAAGAACTTTTCTCCATTTTAGAGCATGTCAAAAGAATAAACATGGTAATTTGAATGCTCTATTTTTATTTCTAGAAACCAGCAAATATCCTAGTAATGGGAGAAGGTCCTGAGAGGGGGAGAGTCAAAATAGGTAGGTAATTATTCCTAAAATAATTTATTTAAAAACTGAAGTTAACTGCAAAGATGGTTTCCCTTTTTAATGCCCTTATTTAGGTAGTTAATTTTAAAATTACTTTCTCATTATTTTTAGAAAAGATATTGGAAAATGTAGATAGATAGTCTACAAAACTCCTAGGTTTTTTCCCAAAATAAGATTCTTTAGTTCTAAGTTGAGGCATCACTGGAAATTGACAAGCTAGTTCACAAAAGCATTCATTCCCATACAGTAACCCAAGCATGTGTTTATGTCACCACCACTGTCCTGCACAGCCACCTTAAATATAATCCTCTAAATCTCACTTCTGTTTCAGGTTTACCAACTATTCTCTTCCTGAATATTTTCCTCCCCACCCTGAGCGAATATATTTAAACCTTCACAGGTTCTCCCTACTTCACCACACCTGGCCTGCATGTCTTGCACCAAGTACTAACATACCTTTTCCAAATAGATATATATGTTTACAGACTCTCTTAGCTGCCTCTCTTAGATTGAGGCACTGGCAGGATTCTTATTTGTATATTAAGATTTCCTTTATAATCCTGAATGTTCTAAAAAAAAAAATCAGCATCATTTATACCTATTACATATTTGGGGAGAAGATGAGCTAAGAAATGCTTTATTCTAATTTCTTTTTTTGAGACGGAGTCTCGCTCTGTTGCCCAGGCTGGAGTGCAATGGCGCGATCTTGGCTCACTGCAACCTCCGCCTCCTGGGTTCAAGCAATTCTCCCTGCCTCAGTCTCCCAAGTAGCTGGGACTACAGGCTCCCGCCACCACGCCTGGCTAATTTTTTTGTGTATTTAGTAGAGATGGGGTTTCACCATGTTGGCCAGGCTGGTCTCGAACTCCTGACCTCAGGTGATCTGCCTGCCTTGGCTTCCCAAAGTGCTGGGATTACAGGCATGAGCCACCACGCTAGGCCTATTCTGGTTTCTTTTACTAGAAATTATATTTATTGAAAGTTGAATGCTTTTTAGAAATATGTTAAAATGTGTTAATCAGCCTGGTTTCTTTGCTATTAGAATATACCATGCTAAAGGTGATGCAAAATTGTGCTCACTTGACCCACTACAAATTCATGCTGCCCTATTTCAAGCCCACCCTGCTGTTTAGTTTTCTACTTTTTCAGTTAACTCCCTAGCCCAGTTGCTAAATAAGCTGTTCTAAACCAACTTCCTTTTCTTTAAACACCTCTAGCCTAAGTTTGCTGAGATTATCAGATTCATTCAGAAGTTTGTTGATGTTAATTAAGTAGCTGGTAGCTTTCCTTCTCTTCCCTCCCCCACTTCCACCATAATTTCTCACTTGTCTATTTTTATTTTACTCTTGCACTCCTTTTCTTAGAGGCATTTATTGAGTGCCTACTTTTTGCCAGATACAGGCGAAAGGGAGATAAAGGATGGTCCCTTCTGTGAGAGACAGTAAAATGAACAGTTTACTATACATTGCAATATGTACTTTGATGTTACCGCATTTATTTTACACAACCACCCTCTGAAAATAAGGAAGACAAGATTTAGAGAGGTTGTAGCTTCCTCAGCCTGTCAAAGCTAGAACTTGAATTCTAAGTCCTGAGGCTCTTTCCCTACAAACATCCCTGCCTAGTGATATCAGAGCTGTCTGGTGTGATCTCACTGACCTCTACTCTTTGGCTGTACAGCCCTGCCCTTGAGAAAGCCTCTGTGAAAGACAGACTTTCCTTTCCTAAGTCCTATCTACTAGTGCCCTTCCTAGCTTCTAAATGTCTTCCTACCTCATAGTACAATATTGCTATTTCCCCTTCTCAAGTTTCTCTTTTTCACCTTTAAACCTTCATCGTCCTTTTCCCAATTTAAAATACATCTTATATCCATCTTGTTTTTCTTTAGCACTTGCTCTATTCATTTCCCTTTTTGTTCCTCTACTTTTAGAACACATGATGTTCACTCTTTGGTTCCACTTACTCTAATTTGTTATAACCTGGCCTCTAATTCCATCCCTCTATCAAAAGTCCTCTCTGAAAGGACACCTGTGACCTCTACTTTACCAAATCAAGTGGCCTGTATTAATCAACTTTCTCCTTTACTGCAGTAAACCATTTGTTCTTCTGACAGTCCTGGCTTTGAGGGTGTCTTCTCCGCTGGTCTATATGGCATACCATAATTCCATTTTTCTGCCTCCCACTTTTGCTGTGACTTTGCCTTCTGTTCATTCTTGCCTCTTACTTCTACTAACCTATTGTTTCAAGGCACTGGCTTAGGACATGGCTTCCCTCTAAAATTACTTCTTTAGGAAATTGATAAGTTATGGCCTCAGGATCATGGATTTATGAAAATGATTCTAAGATCTTGATACCAGAGTCTAATCTCTCACCCTAGCCGAAGTCTTTATTTCTATTTGGATATCTTGTGGTAACTTATCCTCCATTGTCCCAAACCAAATTCATCATCATCATCTTGTATTCCCCTTGTTTGTACCATTCGTCACATTTCTCCCAGTCACCCCAATCTAATTTGTTCTCTTAGTACTCCTTAGCAAAATTCTGTACTCTGGCCAGGCCAGTTAGTTACCTTACTATTAAGAGTTTTAAGATTGTAATTCTGCCAAGATTAGGGATAAAACTAGGGTTAAAAGTAAGTAATAATTAATGATAAAGATCTAATGGACAATCAAGATAGTTTATTAAATAGATTTTAAATTTTGTTTTAGTAGCCACTATTGTTTTTTAAACATTAGTAATACCAATGCCTATGCCTAATGCTTTGATACAGTGTTGTTTTTTGCTTAAAAGAAAAGGATAGTTGGGCTGGGCACAGTGGCTCATGCCTGTAATCCCAGCACTTTGGGAGGCCAAGGCGGGCAGATCATGAGGTCAAGAGATCGAGACCATCTGGCCAACATGGTGAAACCCCGTCTCTGCTAAAAATACAAAAATTAGCTGGGCGTGGTGGTGCGTGCCTGTAATCCCAGCTACTCGGGAGGCTGAGGCAGGAGAAGTGCTTGAACCCGGGAGGCGGAGGTTGCAGTGAGCCGAGATCATGCCACTGCACTCCAGCCTGGGCGACAGAGCAAGACTCCATATGGGAGGCGGTGGGGGAGGGGGAGTGGGTAAGAAAAGGATACTTGCATGGAAAACACATTTTGCCCTTTGCTGTATCTAAGCCTTCCCATTCTCAGCAACCTAAAAACTTCCCAGGTCTTACCTAAAATGCTTATTGCCTTCCTCTTTTGCTATTCAAAATAATTCATCCTGCAGGATCCAGCCCAAGTCCCACTTTCAATTTAGTCTGCTTTTACAAATGTTTATTATACATTGTTCCAGATAACATAATAAAAGAGAAATAGACCTTCCCCCAGGGGACTTAGCATCTAGTAGAAACCGGTAACAACTTCCTTTATTCTCACAGTACTTATCACTTTTTTGCTTCTACTCTGTATATTTTGTCATCTCACCTTCCTGTAAACTCCTTAGTGGTAGACCTTGTTTGTTGCTGCTTTTCATTTGATACTAATTAGCACTCACACCAGAATTTTACTAACCTTATCTGTGAACTGGAACAATTTCATCCATGTGTAATTTTAGAAAGTCAACTGTTACAGTAATCTTTAGGCTAATTACCTTTTGTCTAAATCAGTATTTATTTGAAAAGTAGTTTGAAACTCTTTTAAAGTTCATAAAATAGATGGGAATTGTTTTTAAAAGTATGTATTTTTTCCTTCTGGCCTTGATTGCATCTGCGAGTGAGTAGATGAGGCTTAGGTAAAACTGAGGAGGTAGAGAATAAGGGGAGAAATACTGGCTTTAGCTAACTTTACTTTAGAATGTTTTTCAATGGATGAAACAGCATTCCATCATATTACTTTGTCATCAACAACAATTGGCATCTATTAAATATATAAAACAGTGCCTTGAATATTGTGTAATATTGTAGAATAATAGGTGTAATATTGGTAGAATGAATTTGAATATTTTTGTTTGCTGTAGGGAAATGTAGTTTAAAAAGAGTAGGTATCAGCACAGGCTTCCTTTGGATAGCTTTAGTTTTTAAGAGCTGGATACTCCAAAGCATTCTCAAAAAAGTCTTACAAATTATTCAAAATCCAAAGAAACAAAATCACTACAGGCCGGGCTCAGTGGCTCATGCCTGTAATCCCAGCCCTTTGGGAGGCTGAGGCAGGCAGATCACTTGAGGTCAGGAGTTCATGACCAGCCTGGCCAACATGGTGAAACCCCATCTCTACTAAAAATACAAAAATTAGCCAGGCATGGTGGTGGCGCACCTGTAATCCCATCTACTCTAGAGGCTGAGGCAGGAGAATCGCTTGAACCTAGGAGGTAGAGGTTGCAGGGAGCTGAGGTGGCACCACAGCACTCCAGCCTGGGCAACAGAGCGAGACTCCATCTCAAAACAAAAACACAAGACAAAGACCCGAAATTTCTATAAATTAAAAAGATTTTTTGCCTGTTCTGCTTATGTAAATGTAAATTAAAATTTTAATATGTTATACCGTAGCACATTAGTTTTAGATTAAATGACATTCTGTGGTTGAAAGTTTTATGTGCATTTATGCATTTTATAGTACATTGGGGCCCCTTATACAATCAACATTTGTTATGTATATTATGTATTCAAATTATAGAGGCTTATTCTTGTGACTTTGCCTTTGTGACTTGCAATTATCATATGTATAATTTGTTGGATGTCAGATTTAGTAGTTAAGGAGGTAGCTCCTAAATTATAACATGGTTTTTGTTTGAGTACTGGCATGTTTATTTACTATCCCTGTGACCACAGGCAAGTCATTTAACTGCTTTGGGCCTTAGATTCTTCATCTCTGAAATAGGGAGCAAAATACTGATTAAACCAGTGTTCTTATGAGGATTCAATGAGGTGAAATATGATGTATATGAAAGCCATTTGTAAACTGCAAAGGACTTTGTAGATAAAAGATGTTGGTTATTTATGATATCTTAAGAAAATTAGTTTCCAGGATCTTATTGCAGTAGTAATTTTTTTTATTACTTTTATATACCCCCAATATTTCAATTGATTAGCTTTGGTTTAGACCTTTGTTAAATGCCGAATTATAACAAATTATCTTTTATGTGTTCTGTGTATGCTCTTGAAAACATGCATGTAATGTGCTGATTACCATTCAGCAACTGGCTCTCTGGAGCAAAAAATGTCCCAATTTGTAGCATTTGCTGTTTTCCATGTTGTAGATACTCCTACCATAGCCAATTCCAAATCATCAGTATGCTGTCATTGAATGCAGAATTGGGAAAAGATATATATATGTCAGCTCTTGTGAGTTTGTTGGATCTGGCTGCAGCACACACTGAACTAAGACGTAGTCAGGTTTTGTTTGTTTGTTTGTTTGTTTTGAGACAGTCTTGCTCTGTCTCTTGTTTGTTTGTTTTGAGACAGAGTCTTGCTCTGTCACCCAGGCTGGAGTGCAGTGGCACGAACTCGGCTCACTGCAACCTCTGCCTCCTGGGTTCAAGTGATTCTCCTGCCTCAGCCTCCGTAGTGGCTGGGACTACAGGTGCGCGCCACCACGCCCAGCTAATTTTTGTATTTTTAGTAGAGACTGGGTTTCACCATGTTGGCCAGGATGGTCTTGGTCTCTTGACCTCATGATCCACCTGCCTCGGCCTCCCAAAGTGCTGGAATTACAGGCGTGAGCCACCGCGCCTGGCCATAGTCAGTTTTTAAATGTATAAGCATACAGAAGTCATTATTAATCAGGGATACTTTTGAACTATTTTAGATTTCAAAAACACTTAAGAATGTTTTTGTAACTCTCTGAAAGCCAGGAATCTAAAGTCAGACCTGGATTCTAATTCTGCCTCTGCACTTACTAGCTGTGTGACCTTAGGCAAATCAGAATATCTTTCTTGGGGGACAGGGGATGGAGTCTCACTCTGTTGCCCAGGCTGGAGTACAGTGGTGTGATCTTGGCTCACTGCAGCCTCCGCCTCCCTGGTTCAAGCGATTCTCCTGCCTCAGCCTCCCGAGTAGCTGGGACTACAGGTGCGCACCACCATGCCCAGCTAATTTTTGTATTTTTAGTAGAGATGGTGTTTCACCATGTTGTGCAGGCTGGTCTCTAACTCTTGACATTAGGTGATCCGCCCACCTCGGCCTCCCAGAGTGCTGGGATTATAGGTGTGAGCCACCCCACCAGCCCAGAATATCTTTAAGCTTCAATTCCTTCATCAGTAAAACAGGCACAATAATAGTATGTCCTTCTGATGGTAGATAATAAAGGTAAATGAAGTTAATTCCTTTCTGGTACTTGGTGTAGACCTCTGGTTAAAAAGGGAGGAAAAGGATTGCTTTATAAGGTCAGCAGCTATTGTTGTCAACCTTGCATGGTTCTAATAGCATGTCAAACTGAATTTTACACTTGATCTTAGCCAAAAGGACGAGAAACAATCAAACTGAATTTTATGTTAATTTATTTTATTTTTTTAGCTGACATGGGTTTTGCCAGATTATTCAATTCTCCTCTAAAGCCACTAGCAGATTTGGATCCAGTAGTTGTGACATTTTGGTATCGGGCTCCAGAACTTTTGCTTGGTGCAAGGCATTATACAAAGGCCATTGGTAAGTTGGTCTAAAATGATTTACTATCTTGTCATCTAACGATCATAAATATAAAATGGTATAATAATAAAGCTACTTGATAAAAACCATTTTATACATTTTTGTAAAAGTCCTATTGTCTTCTGTATTCCTAGATTTCTGGTAGATTTAGATTGTTAACTGTATAGGAGAATATGGTTATTTTAAAAGAAGAAAACATTTTCTTTCAGAGAATAGAGGTATCAGTATCTGATCCTGTTGAGTTGCTATGGAAACAATAACATGCACATTTTATTTTGTACTTAGTAGCTGTTGATCAGAAGAACTGGAGAGAAGTTGAGAATTGT
The DNA here is from genome assembly GCF_000001405.40 of Homo sapiens. Taxonomy (NCBI): domain Eukaryota; kingdom Metazoa; phylum Chordata; class Mammalia; order Primates; family Hominidae; genus Homo; species Homo sapiens. The sequence goes on along the minus strand of NC_000006.12, from coordinate 110,631,703 downwards.
TTTCTTCACAAAATGAAAAACAAAAACAGGAGTAGTGCAGTATTGGAAAGAACCCCTTCTATTTGGGGAAAAGTTAGTCACATTGTTTCCTAAGCAAGAAGCAATATAACTAATCTTTCTCTCTTGCCATTACAGTTATGAGAATGGCAGTTTCTCCATTAAGGTAGGAAATAGAGTCTGGGTAGATTAGCTGTGCTCAGCGTCTTGCCATCTCATCAAGTTAAAAAAACTGAGTAAGAAAATCTGTTATAAACACACTGTGTAAAATTTAAAGTCTGCCTCAGAACAGTGGCTTCAGAGATTTGCTACCTGGTGACTGCAGTATCCTCACACGGCCCAGCTGTGAATGGAGGGAGTCAGTAGGAGCTGGCCCTCCTCAAACCTAGAGATTTCTTTAAAGGAAGGAAAAGGAGAGAGTAGGGGAGAGTACATTGTAGCTGTTAGAAGGGATAGTTCTACAAGGTATCCAAATTTCCTAAGTATATTTCTTTAAATTTTCCTTTTATTGAATTTTCTGTTTACTGGCATTAGTCTCATATCAGTTTTGGCTACCTTTAGCTGCTTTTGTTGAATTCTATTTAATAAAGGCACTGCAAGTATAAAATTATTAAAAATAGACAAGCACAATCCTTTCTCTGCTAAACAAGCTTATGAAAAACCTGGTGATACCCAAAGAGCTACAAAGGAAACTCTCACACTTGGAAAGATTAGACTGATAATTAGCCTACTCATGGGTTAAAAAAGAACACAAAAATTAAAATATAGTAAGTCCTCATTCATCAAGACGTCTGATTTCTGCAAAACTCAGACACCAGAACACATTTAGATTTTGTCCAGAGACACAGACTCTAGCACAGTGCTGCAATATTGTAAATTATTGATAAATACTGCTGAATAGTTTTGTTAAATTAGTGAAAAAGCCTCTGAGTAAACTGGTATGTGTTTGACAGTAGAGAAATGTGAGAGTGACATAAAACCCTTACCTGTGCAGCTGGGCCTCTGGTAAGGCAGCAGATCAGAGGCTACCAAGGCCAGGCTGTCATCAGTGGACAGTGGCAGCCGTCTGCAAAAGGTGAGGGAAGAACTACAGACAGCAAGTGGAAGGGATGGAGTGGCCCTGTGATCCTGCCTGTGTACATTCCAACCAGTGACTTTTACTATGGAGCTGTATTTTTGAGACTTTTAGAATCATAAGTTTGTTTTTTCTGTCATTTAGGTCTCTCCTTACCCACTATTGAAAACAGTCATATCCCTTAGACAACCTCAGAAGGAACCAGAGGATAGGAAGAGACTGAAAGTAAGCCAGGGAAGGGAAGAGTGTTAGTTGAAAGTAAAAGGTGATGCCTTAGAACAGGTTAATGACAGATAACCCAGGACACGAGGAAGGGAGAAGAGGATGCAATCTCCATAGAAATCCATATACCTTAGACTTAATCCAAACACTAGGACAGTCTAGCTCTAGAAGGGAGATTTCCTTTAGGAAAAGACACATTCAGTCAAAACCTTCTGTTAAGCTAAATGACTTCCCACCAATGTCTGTCCCACTCTCAGAGAAGCTAACACAGCGGGTCCATGCCCTTAGGTAGGTGATTCTGTTGTGCGGGACCCATATACTTTGAGAGCCCACACTTTGAGAAGCACAATTTTATGAATATTTTCTGATTTATTTTTCTCTTGTTGAAATGAAAATAGATGCTTTTTTTTAAATAAATGAAATCGGATATGAGTTGAAAACCAATTATACTTCTTATTTCCTCAGGGTAAGGAAAAATGAAATTGAATTTTAACCAGCTTGCAACTCACTTGCTTGGTAAATGAAATTTACCGCTTAAAGATAAAAACATAATCACTAATTTCTAATTTTAGTCAATTCCCAATTATCCATTCTGGATAGAAGGTAGGAGAAAGTTAAGACAGAAAGAAAGAATAATCCCCAAATCAGTTATCTTAGGGCTTCAAATATGTTAATAGCAGATGTTTATAAGTACATACTTATTCACTTTTTCGTACTCTTCTCCATACATGGTCCATGTTAGAAATGAGTACTTAGGGCCGGGCAAGGTGCCTCATGTCTGTAATCCCAGCGCTTTGGGAGGCCAAGGCAGGTGGATCACTTGAGGTCCGGAGTTAAGACCAGCCTGGCCAACATGGTGAATCCCCGTCTCTACCAAAAATACAAAAATTAGCCAGGCATGGTGGTGTGTGCCTATAATCCCAGCTATTCTGGAGGCTGAGGTGAGAGAACCCCTTGAACCCGGGAGGCATTTGATATCAGTGGAGGTTTGTGGAGTGACAGTTGGGGAGGGGAGTGGCAGTGATGGTGACAAGCAGTGTTGGGGCAGGTGTGTTTATGGGTGTGTCAGGAGAACAAATCATTGATAGAGGAAAGAAACCTGAGAAGTAGCTACAGATGGTGCAGGAGCCAGATGGCCTTTTGAAATTATAGGCTAATATGAGGCAGAAAACCTTTGAATGTACTGCCACCTGCTATCTGAGGTTTCTTATGTTAGCAGTTCACTGGGAACTCAAGACCCTGGCTCTTGTCCTTTGAATGGAGGACAAACCAGGAATTGGCATGACCAGGCACATGCAGTAGTAGTCCTGGTATACTGCATAGTAGAGGTGGTAATGAGGAAGAGAGATGGGACCATCAGAGGCAGCCATATCGGGGGAAGAGTGACAACCAGTATGACATGGGAGACAGAAAAGAATTCAGAAATGGATGCTGAGCAGTATTATTACTCTACTCTGTAGTGATGGATGTTCATGATGATGATGACCTTGCTGCATCATTAAGGAGGATTACATTTTTTATAGCCTTTTATGGTGGCAGGCAATGGTGTAATTAAAAAATGGTCGTCAAAGGAATATGTTTCCATTATCCAGAAGGCTAAATTATGTGGAAGGAAACTGTACCTGAATGTGGTCAAATAAGTAAGGCATTACTGTATGGATTTTTCCATTTGACAATTTGTTTTAGGAGAGAGCATTCTGATGCGTCTTCTAGCTAATGGATATACAGTAGTCCCCACTTATCTGCTGGGAATATGTCCCAAGACCCCCCCAGGGGATGCCTGAAATTGCAGATAGCACCGAACCCTGTATATACTATGTTTTTTTGATCTAATAACCCAGACGACCACTAAGTGACTAACCAGTGGGTAGTGAGTATACAGTGTGGATGAACAGAGGGATGATTCACATCCCAGGAAGATGGAGAGCGTAGCATGAGATTTCATCACACTGCTCAGAATGGTACACAATTTAAAACTTATAAATTGTTTATTCTGGAATTTTCCATTTAATATTTTCGAACTGCAGTGGTTGACTGCAGGTAACTGAAACTGGAGGGCAAAAACTTAGATGAGGAAGGAATAGTGTAATTAACCTTTTTCCTTGTTTAGCTTATTGCAGAATGTGATTCACATATTTAATAGGCTACTAAACACAGTACTTTTTTATGCTATACCATAGTTTTTTGTTTGTTTTTTCCAAGATGGTGTTTCACTCTGTCGCCCAAGCTGGAGTACGGTGGCATGATCTTGGCTCACTGCAACCTCTGTCCCCTGGGTTCAAGAGATTCTTCTGCATCTGCCTCCTCAGTAGCTGGGACTACAGGCGTGTGCCACCACACCCGGCTAATTTTTTGTATTTTTAATAGAGACAGGGTTTCACCATGTTGGTCAGGATGGTCTCGAACTCCTGACCTCAAGTGATCCGCCCACCTCAGCCTCCCAAAGTACTTGGAATACAGGCATGAACCACTGCACCCAGCCTCCCCAATTCTTTTATATGGTCTATACTGTCTGTCTAGACTCAAAACTTATAAATTCTACTCTATCATTATACATTGGATGGCTTTAAAAGAATTACGTCACCATGTCTGATGATGATATTGTTTCAGTATATCAGATCTGTGTATTACGCCTGGTATTAGATTATCAATTGAGTACTTTAATGATTAAATTATTAACAGTGGTTAGACATGGTAAGACCTTGTCTCTACAAAACAATTTTTTAAAAAATTAGCCAGGTACAAGTAGCACACACCCATAGTCTGAACTACTCTGGAGGCTGAGGCAGGAGGATTCCTTGAGCCCAGGAGGTCAAGGCTTCAGGGAGCCATGGTTACACCACTGTACTCCAGCCTGGGTGACAGAGACCCTAAAAACAACAACAAAAAAAGTGGTTAGAAAGACCTTTGCCTAAATCTAAAGAATTTGTTGCTTGCTAAATTGACTGTCCCCATTTATTGTCATCAGAAAATTTACAAGTAAATGTTTTTTATTACTTGGCTTTCAATTTGTTACATGATGATATAGCTATTTCATGTCATGTATATATATATACACATACACACACATATATATACATACCTATATATACACACATACCCACACATATGTCAAAATACAAAGTACAATAATGTTCTCTTAATGTACTTATTGTACTTTGTATATTGATTTACTGAAAAGTATTTTTATAAGTAGGCTGGGATTATATCTAGGAATTATAACCAAGGAAATATATACAAAAACTTATGTTTCTTCCTTCCCAGATATATGGGCAATAGGTTGTATATTTGCTGAATTGTTGACTTCGGAACCTATTTTTCACTGTCGTCAGGAAGATATAAAAACAAGCAATCCCTTTCATCATGATCAACTGGATCGGATATTTAGTGTCATGGGGTTTCCTGCAGGTAATTTATTTTCCTTTTTAAAGTCATATTTTGAGTCATATTTCAAAATCATTTCTTCTCAAAAGCATATTTTAATGTATATTTATAAACTAACATAATTAGGAGATTTTAAATTAACACATTATTTTCTATAACAATATTTAATTTTTTTGTAAGATAAAGACTGGGAAGATATTAGAAAGATGCCAGAATATCCCACACTTCAAAAAGACTTTAGAAGAACAACGTAAGTAATTCCACACAGTCTTAGTCTTTTTGTGCTGCTATAAAAAAATACCTTAGACTGGGTAATTTATAAACAACAGGAATTTGTTTTCTCCCAGTCCTTGAGGCTGGAAAGTCCAAGGTCAAGGCACTGGCATGTTTGTAATCCCATGAAGGTTGCTTTCTGCTTCCAGGGTGACACCTTGTTGCTGTGTCCTCACATAGGTAGAAGGGCAAAAAGGGGCAGATGCTGTGTGATGCCTCTTTTACTCTTTTACAAGGCATTAATCCCACTCCTCAAAGCAAAGCCCTCAATTCTGGAAGGCCTTATCTTCTAATACTGTTGCATTGAGAATTAAGTTTCAACATGAATTTTGGAGGGGACATAAACATTCAAACCATAGTGTACATTAATTATAGGTAGTAATTTCAATGAGAATAGTTAAATTAATCTTTTTAAAAAACAGATGTAGATTGTTATTTAAACTAGAAACTGAGATTTTAGCATATTAATTATGCCTGTGATTTAAAGAAGATTTTCCAGATACTGTTAACATATATAGTTCAGGTTTAGGCTGCAGTATTAAAAACTTTTAAGAATTTAAGGGTCAATAGGTAGTTTATATCTGCTATGTTTTAGCATGAATAAAGTTCTCAGTTCTAGGCCACAGTTGTGGTTTTATCTTTATCTGAGTAATGACTGGTGACTGACATGCTGGACTAGGAAACCTGGAAGGCTGGCAGAAGGAAGAACACGTGGCCTGGAATATGAGTAAAACAAACTGATGAAGGCATTTACTTTGAGCAGAAATGAGATTAAGGGTGATGGCATGTGAGGTGTTTGTTATAAATATGCACACTTACCGAAAATTGTGGAAGAGCTTCTCTATGGGCAACTTACCAGGAAAATTTCAGGACAGGATGGCTTATAGGAACAAAATCAGACATCATAAAGAGAAATAGAGAATGGCATTGATCATTTCTAACCCCTTTTTCTCACAGTCCTTGGTGGGGTCCTTTGCCTGTATCCATCTCTTAAGGACAGTGCTGGTATCAAGGTTCTATCCTGGGCTCTTTTCTCACTCTAGGTATTTTCCCATTCAGACTCTATGATTTTGATGGCCACAATTTACCATCAATTATGTGGATAACTCCCAATATGTATCTTACTCAGTTCACTTTTCCAAGTTTCAAAATCATTTATCTAATTGCCTTATGGAATCCCAACCTGAATGTTCTATAAATTCTTCAAACATTCAAAACCAAACTAGTTATTTTCATTTAACATTTTATTGTACCCTTGTTCGCAAGGGTACAATAAAATGGACATTCTGGCCAGGCACAGTGGCTCACTCACGCCTGTAATCCTCACACTTTGGGAGGCTGAGGTGGGAAGATCTCTTGAGCCCAGGAGTTTGAGACTAGCCTGGGCAACATAGTTAGACCCTATCTCTATTTTTATTAAAAAAAAAAATTATTACGCATATGCTACTGGTGAGGATGAGTACTTCTCAAACTTCAGTGTACCTACAAATCACCTGGAGACCTTGTTAAAAATGTAGATTCTGAGTCAGAATCAGGGGTGAGAACTGAGAACCTTCATTTCTAATGCAGGCTCTCAGGTGATGCTCAGGTTGCTGGTAAAAGCTACATTTGTGTAGCGAGATTCTAGAGCACCTAAAAAAGGCTTTAAAATATGTATGCCCTTTGACCTGATAATTCCTGGAATTTATCCTGTGGAAGTAATCAGAGCTGCCACAAATAGATGAGTACTTCTTATATACCAGGGTGGTGCTAAACCCTTTACCTACATTTTTTCATATGATCTTCCTAGCAAATCTATAGGATAGGCATAATTATAATTTCCACTTTTCAGATTCAGAACCTAAGGCTTTCTTAGAGGTTAACTAACTTGCCCAAGATCACACAATTGGTGAATGACAATCAGGGTCTAGTAGGGGTCTCTGAGTCTCACCTGCTAGGCAGTATTGGCTCCCTGCCATGCACATCAGATTTAGCTACAAGGACTTGTATGCCACAGCTATTATGAAACAAGTAATACCCGTACCAGTAGGAGATAGGCAGCCACTCAAAATAATAAGTTTGAAGATTATTTGACAAAAGAAAATGTTTATGGAACAATATTAAATAAAAAGCTAAGACAATTTTTTAGTAGGATTCCAATTTTATAAAAACAAAGCAAAAATTCCTGTGTTTATACCATATATGTATATGCCACACACACGCAAAACACCAAAGGGACATTATAAAAATTTTGTCAGTGGTTTTTTTGTCACTGAGTGGCTTGATTGTGAGTGATTTTAATTTTCTTCTATACTTTCTATATTCTGTAATTCTTTTTATCATGAACATACATTACCTATTTTTAGACCTTTTAATTTGAAATATTTCATATGTAGGAAAGAATATATAATGAAAAAATATCTAGTATATTTAGAATAATAAAATGAATACCCCTTTGCTCACCTCTGAACCTAGGAATTAGAACATCACTAAGATTACTAAAGTACCCTGTGTGCCCCACCTCCCTATCCACATCCCTCCCAGAGGGTAGACTCTGAGTGTTCTGCATTTGGGTTTATCATCCCCACAGTTTTTATTATAGTTCTAGTCCACATGTTTATGTACCTCTAAAAGTTATTGTTCAGTTTATTGTCTTTCAACTTTTTATAAATGGTAACATATTATGTATTTTCTTCTGCAACTTGCTTTTTCTCCTCACTGAACCTTGCATATTCATTTTTACTGTTGTATAACATTCCATTCTGTGAATGTATAAAAATGTACCCATTTTTCAGTTGATGGACATTTGGATTGTCTATATATATATACACACATATATATATATACACGTATATATATATACGTATATATATATACACACACATATATATATACGTATATATACTATATATGTATATATATGTATATATGTGTATATATATGTGTATATGTATGTGTATATATGTGTATATGTGTGTGTATATATGTGTATATATGTATATATATGTGTATATATATATGTATATATATATATATTGGCCATTACTAAAAGGCTGCTAAGAACATTTTTATCCCTGTATCCTGATATACATGTACAAAATCATCTCTTTGACTCAGGTATGTGCCTAGAAATGGAGTTGCTAGGTCATAAGCTATACACATTTTCAACACTAATGGTTAATGCATAACTGTTTTCCAAAGGGATTGTAACAGTATAAACTCTCATGTTGTGTGTGACAGTTCCTATTTCTTCACACATTTGCTAATATTTGGTAATGTGTTTCTTCTTATTCAGAAAAAACAATGACTTAAACACATACCTTATAGGAAAGCCAATCCTGGAGCTTATCATTAAGAAATATCAATTGGATGAGTGTTCCCAGTGATGTGTGACTGTGCGTGTCCTTGCAGGTATGCCAACAGTAGCCTCATAAAGTACATGGAGAAACACAAGGTCAAGCCTGACAGCAAAGTGTTCCTCTTGGTAGGTGCTTCTCTCCCAGACTAAAATCTGATTCTCAGCACAAATCTCGCCTTCTATTTACTCAGCTATTCCTCCTCTTTAGAAACAAAAGAAATTAGTGGATGCTGGGGTAAAATTAAATATTTTTTTTGTTGAGATGTCACCCTGTCTTTCAGCCTTCACTTTAAATGATTTATCAGCAGAAAATGAACTTTATAAGGGCTTTAATGCTGATGATTTCTGCCAATTTCACATAAAAGTATGTAGTATGCATAATCTGCAGTGAGCTACACCAAATGTATTTTATATTAATCCTGTTACACAGTAATACAAAAGACAAGGTGTTGACTTGTAAATAACCTTTTCATGTGCTGTACATTTCCTGTGTGTCACTCTAGCTTCAGAAACTCCTGACCATGGATCCAACCAAGAGAATTACCTCGGAGCAAGCTCTGCAGGATCCCTATTTTCAGGAGGACCCTTTGCCAACATTAGAGTATGTATCCTGTCTTTTCTGTGTCCTTTGCTCCAGGCTGAGGAGGCTGCATGGTGGTTGAAAGCAAGGGAAGCACTTGCTACTGAAGTATTTAACTTTTTCAATGATACCACCTAAAGACTGCTCAAGAGCAAGCTTCCACATTTTGAAACAGGCAAAGCTGCAGAGAGGGATGAATGAAAACAAGTATTTTAGGAACGACCATTTGTCAGTTTTACAGATGAAAACTAAAGCTGATAACAGATAAGACCTTTACAGACCAATTGGCCAGATCAGAAATTCAGCCAAACCAGTAGGCAACAGAAGTTAATCTGTCTTTCAGAGCATGTCCACTGCACTACAAAACCTCTCTACTCCTTCATCCTTCTTAACCCCAAGTATAGACTTTGTGTTTTCATCTATAAGAGGTGTAGTTTTTCTTGTTAAGGCAAATACAAATTAAGTTATTTTTGGCGCTAATGAAGTTAGTATAGAGAAACTTCTGTGTCCTATATGTCAACTAGCTAGCAGCAGTCAAGATTTGAACACTAGCCACAGATGAAGAGTAGGAAATAAGTGAAGAAAAACAAATTGGAATTTTAAATTAACAAGGTAATGATATTACAGATTTTAGATCATGATATGTTTTTTCTTTTTAATGATTTTTAGTGTATTTGCCGGCTGCCAGATTCCATACCCCAAACGAGAATTCCTTAATGAAGATGATCCTGAAGAAAAAGGTGACAAGGTATAAACTGCACGGTATACTTTCACTTCCAAAGAGCAAGGGAGGCAAAAAGATAGTTTAGGTATCGTTCCATAATTCCTATACATTTAACCACCTTTTCTAATATTTAATTAAATTTGAATGTATCTTATTTTCTGTGGAAGTTTGGGGATTGTAAAGGTACCTTGAAGTTTGAAGTATGACCAGCTCACAGATACCTGAGCTTCCGGTGTGTGTTACAGCCAGTTCTACTCCCGGATTCCCACTTCTTGCTCTTTCTGTTTGTTTGGTGTCACTACCACCCCTTTATGCAGGCTGGCTTTTGCTAGCATCACTCTGTTCTTTCGTCTTAACTGGATATATTGGCTCACTCTCCAGACCGCTCTGCCTTTCCAGAATCACGATTGAAAAGATTTCTTCTAGCTGTTTTAATGAGCTATAAGAAATGTATTTCTAATGTGCCTGTGGCCTTCAGTGAGATGTCTGTGACTGATTTGGAGGATCACTGTGCAGTCTAAATGAACTTCAGGGAAAGAGTCCTGTTTGGGGCTCAGCGCCTTGCCCTTTGGGAACACTGTGTTCCCTGGCTGCTCCATTCTCCAGTCCTCCCCATCACTCTAGTGTCCCACATAGATTGCTCCCCCAGGTTGGTCAGCAGCCACATGTGCATATCAAATAATTAAAGAAAGCTCCTGTTAATTTGGTTTCATACCAAGCTTGCTTTTTTCCCCTTAAAAGAATCAGCAACAGCAGCAGAACCAGCATCAGCAGCCCACAGCCCCTCCACAGCAGGCAGCAGCCCCTCCACAGGCGCCCCCACCACAGCAGAACAGCACCCAGACCAACGGGACCGCAGGTGGGGCTGGGGCCGGGGTCGGGGGCACCGGAGCAGGGTTGCAGCACAGCCAGGACTCCAGCCTGAACCAGGTGCCTCCAAACAAGAAGCCACGGCTAGGGCCTTCAGGCGCAAACTCAGGTGGACCTGTGATGCCCTCGGATTATCAGGTACTCCCTGAATGTCTAATGTTCATATGCTTTATGAAGTGGGGAAAAGATTTATCCTAGATCCTTTTAGAGTTAAGTAACACTTAACTCTTACATTTGACTGTGCAATCCTGTTTCTAGGGCATTCTATGAAGAGGAAGATTTTCATCATATTTCATGTAATTGTAAGATATCTCGTATTCTGACTTGTTTATCCTGACACCCGAGGAGAGGAAGGTAGGGAGGCCAGTGCCCCCATCCTTAAAGAAAATTTCATCATTTTACCCTTATAGCTGCCTTAGCAGTTCTGGTGTATCAGAAAAAGATACGTAGATACGCAGTTGAAAAGGGAAGGGGAGTGGTGTCTTACTTTGGACAAAATTAATTGCATTCTTTAGAAAGATATGCTCTTTCTGGGAGGAAGTAGCTACATAGATAAAGAAGAGAAGGGGGCTAAGACTGAGGCTTTTCTGAAATAACTGTTAAGTCTCATTAGAAATAATTTTGAGACTAGAAAATACTTTTTGTTATTCAGATAAAAAGAGAACACCAATTGCAGTGCTAATTCAGGAAATTAAAGGAGCTAAGTCTAAGGATTGGTATTTGGAGAGAGGTAAAAATACCCATTGTGATAACCATAGGAAATTTTGAAAAAAAAATTTTTTTTCAAGGTAGTAACAAGTTAAGAAACCATCTAGGAAGAAGGGAAAACTTAAGTTTTTTGTTTGTTTGTTTTTTTGTTTGTTTTAAGTTTAGAACCACAGTCCCTCCGGGAACTCTTGCAGATGAGTGCATAGGATAGAGATAATAGAAAACAAAACCTCTGGCAAGGGAACCATAAACTCACTGATAAGGAACTGCAATAAAGAGAAACTTTAACAAGAAAGACATAACAAATAGCTGCATAAACTGCCTTCACATTTTGAATAGCTCAACAAACTAATGTGTTTCCACACAACTACTCTGAAAAACTTCTCTTCAGAATATCCCTGCAAGCAGAAGAGTACATAATACTTCCACTTGGTTCCAATTAAACAAATTTAGGCTTCAGTTTGATCTACTAAAAACAGCTTGCTAGCTGGGTAGTAGCATGAGCATATTTGAATTTTGTTATAAAATCTGTTTCCCCTCCATTATATGAGCAACAAATGCTTACTATATACTGGTTCATCTTTGTGTGTCTGATTGAATTATATTAACCTGTGTTAAAAAATAATAATAATTTGCCTAAACACTTGTTAAAGTTGGTAAGGCAGACTTTATTCAAGGCGGGGCCATGTTAGTGCATAAAGGGACCACTGCAACAGGGGCTGGCAGTTGGGGAGGAAGACTGGACTCAATTCAGACTCCTACATGACAAGTGGAGAGGTATAGCCAAAGAGCAGGGTGGGGATCAGTGGATGGAAAGTTACCAAGAGGAAACATCCAGGATAAAAGGTCTCTGGCTAAACTGACTGCATAGTATTAGGCTGAAGGGAGGCCTGGGTAATAAGCTTTTAAAGGTGGGGGATTTTTGCCAAGCCAACTTAGCAAGATTCTTGCTCTAACAGGATTCTCCAAGGACAGAGGAAAGCCCAAGGTCAGGCCTAGTCAAGCAGAAGACTCACAGAGCTCCCTCCAACACGACCCTGTAAAACTTCCCTCCAGCCTCTTTGCAGACAACACCTCCTCTACTGTGCTGCCCCAGGCAACAACATGTTTTCATACCTTCTGTAATAAACCTGCCTTTCTTTACCCAAAACCATCTTGGTTAAAACCTTGACTGCCTGAGAGCAGCCTGACTGCAGTTTTTGTCAAAGGAAAGAGTCTTTGTCACCCAATTGTAGTCAATTATAGACAGATTACTGTATTTCTTTTTTTCCCCAAATTCAAACATTCTTTGAAATGCTTTTCTATGTCCATATTGTTCTGTTGACTTAAAAATAAACCTTTCATAGCTGAGTCCTGATGTCTGTGGAAAAAAATAATAAACCTTCCAACATATCTATTAAATGAATAGATACAGCTATTTAGTTGGAGAGACTGGCATGAGGGGCAGTCAGGTGTCCCATTACACCGAACTTGCAACTCATACACCATCTAGGGGCCAAGGGAAAAACTTTCCTTTCACTCTCTGAAAGTTCGCTGAAAAATCAACTCACAAAAGGCAGGTTAATTGGAGAAAATGTCATGGGTGTGACTAGCTAGGGCCAGTGTCTCAGGCAGTCAAGGTTTTTACTAAGAGTTCTGGGTAAAGAAAGGCAGATTTATTACAGAATGTATGAAAACATGTTGTTGCAACAGACAGCATAGCAGAGGGAGGGGCTGTCTGCAAAGAGCAGGGGCTGGAAGGAAGTTTTACAGGGTCTTGCGGGAGGGAGCTATGTGCCAAATGAGGTCATTGTGCCCACCAGTTGTTTGTGACTAGCAGTGTCTCAGAACAATTGTTCATTGTTTTTCCCCACCTGGAGCCCCTTCCTCCTTGTTGCTTACTTATCAGGACAGAAAGGCATACAACTTTGATACCAGTGGGCTGAGGGAGGTCCCCAGATGCTGGTGGGACCTCAACCCCACCCTGTGTCCAGGCTCCTAACACCATCGGGAGAAGGAATTAAAGGATGAGTCAAAAATAGCAAAAGTATGGAGATTTATTGCAGAGGGAAAAGTACACAACTCAAGAAAGGGGAGTGTGGGTATACGCAAGAGAGAATCTGGCTGGGGACAGTGGCTCATGCCTGTAATCCCAACACTTTGGGAGGCTGAGGCGGGTGGATCACCTGAGGTCAGGAGTTCAAGACCATCCTGGCCAACATGGCAAAACCTCGTCTCTACTAAAAATATAAAAATTAGCTGGTTGTGGTGGTGCAAGCCTGTAATCCCAACTACTTGGGAGGCTGAGGCAGGATAATTGCTTGAACCTGGGAGGCAGAGGTGCAGTGAGCCGAGATCGCGCCACTGCACTCCAGCCTGGGTGACAGAGTGAGACTCCATCTGAAAAAAAATAAATGAATAGAGAGTCATGCAGTCTGGTTTGGGTTTCTATCTTTATGGGTTTCTTTAACCAAAGGGTGGAATATTCATGAAAATTCCTGGAAAAAGGGGGAGATTTCTTGGAACTGTGGTGCCACCCATTTTTATGCCAAATATGGATGTTCTTGGAACTGTCATGGTGCTGGTGAGTGTGTGATTTAGAATGTTAATGAGCATATAATGATGTCCTAGGTTTTTAAGCAGAAATTCAAAGTGTGTTTCATGTAGTCTTTTTTTTTTTTTTTTTTTTTTTTTTTTTGAGACAGAGTCTCACTGTGTCACCCAGGCTGGAGTGCGGTGACGTGATCTTGGCTCACTACAACCTCCACCTCCTGGGTTCAAGTGATTCTCATGCCTCAGCCTCCCAAGTAGCTGAGACTACAGGCATGTATCACCACTCCCGGCTAATTTGTGTGTGTGTGTGTGTGTGTGTGTGTGTGTGTGTGTGTGTGTATATATATATAAATAATTTTATTATTATTATTATTTTTTTAAGTAAAGACAGGGTTTCGCCATGTTGGTCAGGCTGGTCTCAAACTCCTGACCTCAAGTCATCCACCTTCCTTGGCCTCCTAAAGTGTTGGGACTACAGGCGTGAGCCACTGTGCCCGGCCAGAAATTGTCCATTTTTATGGTTTAGGGTCAACAAAGTGTAGACAGCCATGTAGAAACATGATTGGACAGAAGGGGTATGATCTGATGCTAATAGACTGAGGGGGAAACCCAACATGGCCTGTCTAGGTTCCTGTTGGTCTCTCTAAGCGTGCATTCCTGCCTCTGGGTGTGGGGCAGGACCCCCTCTGGGACAGGAGTCTCATGACCTACAGTCAGACAGGATATGCCAGATCATTTCTTTATGTCCAGTTTTTACACAGAAAGGTAGGGGGAAGTTAGAGTAATATTTTTAGGTTTCACAGCTGGTGTTGGGGAAGTGGGGTTCTGGTTTCTATGGCTTGCCTTAGGGAAGGGGAATTCTAGTTTCTATGGCTGGCTCTGAGGAGAATGGGACTGTGAGACAAGAGGGCACAAAAAGGTCAGAGAAAAACTTTTGCTCCTGAGGCCTTCATTTTGGGGTATTGTTTTCTGTGCCCCAACAGTTCCATTAGTAGAGTTTCAAGGCTTTTGAGCTGCTTCATCAATGTATTGTAAGCAAGTACAATTAGCGCTTTGAAAAGCGGGACATTGGCTTATTTTCTGTCTAAAAAACCCTTTGTCATTAAAAAAGCTATGTTACAGCACATTAGATTCTTACATGTTTACATTATACTTTATGGCAAAATTGCCCCAAATAACGTATGAGTTGAAAGAACATTTTTCATAATAAACTTCAAAATAAAACACGTAATTAAAATTTGGAATTTTTAAAGACTTCTGTAACCAATGTGACTATTCAGTTGTGCAACTTAGGAAGGGGCAAAACTAAGTTTTGTTTTGTTTTTTTTTTTTTGAGATGGAGTCTCCCTCTGTCGCCCAGGCTAGAGTGCAGTGGCGCCAATCTTGACTCACTACAACTTCTGACTCCTGGGTTCAAGCGATTCTCCTGCCTCAGCCTCCCGAGTAGCTGGAACTACAGGGACCCACCACCATGCCTGGCTAATTTTTGTATTTTTAGTAGAGATGGGGTTTCACCATGTTGGCCAGACTGGTCTTGAACTCCTGACCTCAGGTGATCTGCCCAGCTCAGCCTCCCAAAGTGCTGGGATTACAGGTGTGAGCCACTGTGCCTAGCCACAACTGAGTTGTTTTTAACCAAAACTACCTTAGTGCCCTGTTATCTTGGACCAGATATTCCAAGTCGTTTGGCAGCCTTTGAGCACTGAGCAGGAGGACCTTGCTGATCTGTTCTTTCCTAAACCCCCAGTGCCACCTCAAGATAATTTACATGTTTAACTCAAAGTGTAACCGCCCGACAGGTTCTTCTTGCTCGCTGCCCAGATAGAGCCAATTTATCAAGACAGGAATTTCAATAGAGAAAGTTTAATACACATAGGGCCAGCTAAATGGGACATCAGAGTTTTATTATCAGCCTCCTCAAAATTTGGAGGCTAGGATTTTTCAAAGATACTTTGGTGGGCAGGGGTCTAGGGAATGACTACTGCTGCTTGGTTGGGGATGCAATCAAAGGGGTGTGAAAAATGGTCTTCCTGTGCTGAGTCCACTTCTGGGTGGGGGCCACAGGACTGGTTGAGTCATGAGTCTCAGTCTGGGTGGAGTCATCCGAAATGCAAAAGTCTGAAAAGCCTTCTGAAAAGGTTGACAATAGTGATGTTATTTACAGGAGTAATTGGGGAGTAGCCAATTGACCTCCAGAACAATGACTGGTAATTGTTTAACTGCACCTACATCTTAGCAGAATTCAGGCCTCTCTCATAATCCTAAACTTGTGGCCTTTTAGTAGTTTTATAAAGGCAGTTTAGTTTTGGGATGGACTATTGTCGTTTAAACTATAAACTAAATTTCTCCCAAAGTTAGCTTGGCCCATGCCCAGCAATGACCAAGAACAGTTTGGAGGTTAAAGGCAAGATGGAGTGGGTTAAATCAGATCTCTTTCACTGTCATAATTTTCTTGCTGTTTAATTTTTGCTAAGGAAGTTTCAAAAGTAATAGCTTTATTACATATATTCTTTCCCACTTTGCTTACAAGAAAAACCAGCCTTCTGAATATAGCCAAAGATACTACTTCCAGCTATGCTTGTCTCTTACATACTGTTCTTATTCTATAGATGATTTTTCCTTTTACACATTTTTTTTGTATTTGCGTTAGGTACTATGAAGATGAAGGTTTCATTTAATGTAATAAAAATACATTGAATTGAAATGCATTTTTCTGTCTTCTCTTGAAGACAATCATATGTGAAAATTGCTTTATTCTAAATGTTACCTGAAGTTTATAAAACCCACATGTTGCTGCCGCACCCCACCTAATCTTGCCTTACTTTGTCTCGTAGGTAGAACTCCTGATACCCCTAGCTTCTACCTCTGAAAACCCTTTGCTCTAAAATAATGATTTCTTAATCACAGCTTTGTTATTTATAATGGGAAAAATAATAGCATGTCAGTATACATTATGAATACTATTGATTTCAGTATGCCAAATTGATTATTCTTGTTTGCACGTCTCAGTTATGCAAAGGATTGTTACACCCCAGAATTGGAATAAAGAGAAATGGGTCCGCTGAAATTTCCCCTTTTCCTTTCTTTCCAGTGTAGCTTATCTCCCACAAAAATCTAGCCAAATTTCATGCCTGCCAGAATGTGTGGTTACAGTGGTGGCAGGCTGTGATTTCAAATAAGCAAAATGTGTTAACAACTTAAGTTAGCTGTCAGCTATGTGTGTCTGAACCAGGAACCTAATGAAAACGGCTTATATCTCTATCCTACTGTGATGAGCATCTTGAGTCATCCTCTTCCTCCATCAGTAATTCCCTTTTCCTGTTTCCTTCTCCTAGCACTCCAGTTCTCGCCTGAATTACCAAAGCAGCGTTCAGGGATCCTCTCAGTCCCAGAGCACACTTGGCTACTCTTCCTCGTCTCAGCAGAGCTCACAGTACCACCCATCTCACCAGGCCCACCGGTACTGACCAGCTCCCGTTGGGCCAGGCCAGCCCAGCCCAGAGCACAGGCTCCAGCAATATGTCTGCATTGAAAAGAACCAAAAAAATGCAAACTATGATGCCATTTAAAACTCATACACATGGGAGGAAAACCTTATATACTGAGCATTGTGCAGGACTGATAGCTCTTCTTTATTGACTTAAAGAAGATTCTTGTGAAGTTTCCCCAGCACCCCTTCCCTGCATGTGTTCCATTGTGACTTCTCTGATAAAGCGTCTGATCTAATCCCAGCACTTCTGTAACCTTCAGCATTTCTTTGAAGGATTTCCTGGTGCACCTTTCTCATGCTGTAGCAATCACTATGGTTTATCTTTTCAAAGCTCTTTTAATAGGATTTTAATGTTTTAGAAACAGGATTCCAGTGGTGTATAGTTTTATACTTCATGAACTGATTTAGCAACACAGGTAAAAATGCACCTTTTAAAGCACTACGTTTTCACAGACAATAACTGTTCTGCTCATGGAAGTCTTAAACAGAAACTGTTACTGTCCCAAAGTACTTTACTATTACGTTCGTATTTATCTAGTTTCAGGGAAGGTCTAATAAAAAGACAAGCGGTGGGACAGAGGGAACCTACAACCAAAAACTGCCTAGATCTTTGCAGTTATGTGCTTTATGCCACGAAGAACTGAAGTATGTGGTAATTTTTATAGAATCATTCATATGGAACTGAGTTCCCAGCATCATCTTATTCTGAATAGCATTCAGTAATTAAGAATTACAATTTTAACCTTCATGTAGCTAAGTCTACCTTAAAAAGGGTTTCAAGAGCTTTGTACAGTCTCGATGGCCCACACCAAAACGCTGAAGAGAGTAACAACTGCACTAGGATTTCTGTAAGGAGTAATTTTGATCAAAAGACGTGTTACTTCCCTTTGAAGGAAAAGTTTTTAGTGTGTATTGTACATAAAGTCGGCTTCTCTAAAGAACCATTGGTTTCTTCACATCTGGGTCTGCGTGAGTAACTTTCTTGCATAATCAAGGTTACTCAAGTAGAAGCCTGAAAATTAATCTGCTTTTAAAATAAAGAGCAGTGTTCTCCATTCGTATTTGTATTAGATATAGAGTGACTATTTTTAAAGCATGTTAAAAATTTAGGTTTTATTCATGTTTAAAGTATGTATTATGTATGCATAATTTTGCTGTTGTTACTGAAACTTAATTCTATCAAGAATCTTTTTCATTGCACTGAATGATTTCTTTTGCCCCTAGGAGAAAACTTAATAATTGTGCCTAAAAACTATGGGCGGATAGTATAAGACTATACTAGACAAAGTGAATATTTGCATTTCCATTATCTATGAATTAGTGGCTGAGTTCTTTCTTAGCTGCTTTAAGGAGCCCCTCACTCCCCAGAGTCAAAAGGAAATGTAAAAACTTAGAGCTCCCATTGTAATGTAAGGGGCAAGAAATTTGTGTTCTTCTGAATGCTACTAGCAGCACCAGCCTTGTTTTAAATGTTTTCTTGAGCTAGAAGAAATAGCTGATTATTGTATATGCAAATTACATGCATTTTTAAAAACTATTCTTTCTGAACTTATCTACCTGGTTATGATACTGTGGGTCCATACACAAGTAAAATAAGATTAGACAGAAGCCAGTATACATTTTGCACTATTGATGTGATACTGTAGCCAGCCAGGACCTTACTGATCTCAGCATAATAATGCTCACTAATAATGAAGTCTGCATAGTGACACTCATCAAGACTGAAGATGAAGCAGGTTACGTGCTCCATTGGAAGGAGTTTCTGATAGTCTCCTGCTGTTTTACCCCTTCCATTTTTTAAAATAAGAAATTAGCAGCCCTCTGCATAATGTAGCTGCCTATATGCAGTTTTATCCTGTGCCCTAAAGCCTCACTGTCCAGAGCTGTTGGTCATCAGATGCTTATTGCACCCTCACCATGTGCCTGGTGCCCTGCTGGGTAGAGAACACAGAGGACAGGGCATACTTCTTGTCCTTAAGGAGCTTGTGATCTGTGACAGTAAGCCCTCCTGGGATGTCTGTGCCATGTGATTGACTTACAAGTGAAACTGTCTTATAATATGAAGGTCTTTTTGTTTACTTCTAAACCCACTTGGGTAGTTACTATCCCCAAATCTGTTCTGTAAATAATATTATGGAAGGGTTTCTATGTCAGTCTACCTTAGAGAAAGCCAGTGATTCAATATCACAAAAGGCATTGACGTATCTTTGAAATGTTCACAGCAGCCTTTTAACAACAACTGGGTGGTCCTTGTAGGCAGAACATACTCTCCTAAGTGGTTGTAGGAAATTGCAAGGAAAATAGAAGGTCTGTTCTTGCTCTCAAGGAGGTTACCTTTAATAAAAGAAGACAAACCCAGATAGATATGTAAACCAAAATACTATGCCCCTTAATACTTTATAAGCAGCATTGTTAAATAGTTCTTACGCTTATACATTCACAGAACTACCCTGTTTTCCTTGTATATAATGACTTTTGCTGGCAGAACTGAAATATAAACTGTAAGGGGATTTCGTCAGTTGCTCCCAGTATACAATATCCTCCAGGACATAGCCAGAAATCTCCATTCCACACATGACTGAGTTCCTATCCCTGCACTGGTACTGGCTCTTTTCTCCTCTTTCCTTGCCTCAGGGTTCGTGCTACCCACTGATTCCCTTTACCCTTAGTAATAATTTTGGATCATTTTCTTTCCTTTAAAGGGGAACAAAGCCTTTTTTTTTTTTGAGACGGAGTGTTGCTCTGTCACCCAAGCTGGAGTGCAGTGGCACGATCTTGGCTCACTCCAACCTCCACCTTCCAGGTTCAAGTGATTCTCCTGCCTCAGCCTCCCGAGTAGCTGGGACTACGGGCACGCACCACCACGTCTGGCTAATTTTTGTATTTTTAGTAGAGATGGGGTTTCACCCTATTGGTCAGGCTGGTCTTGAATTCCTCACCTCAGGTCATCCGCCTGTCTCGGCCTCCCGAAGTGCTGGGATTATAGGTGTGAGCCACCGCACCCAGTTGGGAACAAAGCCTTTTTAACACACGTAAGGGCCCTCAAACCGTGGGACCTCTAAGGAGACCTTTGAAGCTTTTTGAGGGCAAACTTTACCTTTGTGGTCCCCAAATGATGGCATTTCTCTTTGAAATTTATTAGATACTGTTATGTCCCCCAAGGGTACAGGAGGGGCATCCCTCAGCCTATGGGAACACCCAAACTAGGAGGGGTTATTGACAGGAAGGAATGAATCCAAGTGAAGGCTTTCTGCTCTTCGTGTTACAAACCAGTTTCAGAGTTAGCTTTCTGGGGAGGTGTGTGTTTGTGAAAGGAATTCAAGTGTTGCAGGACAGATGAGCTCAAGGTAAGGTAGCTTTGGCAGCAGGGCTGATACTATGAGGCTGAAACAATCCTTGTGATGAAGTAGATCATGCAGTGACATACAAAGACCAAGGATTATGTATATTTTTATATCTCTGTGGTTTTGAAACTTTAGTACTTAGAATTTTGGCCTTCTGCACTACTCTTTTGCTCTTACGAACATAATGGACTCTTAAGAATGGAAAGGGATGACATTTACCTATGTGTGCTGCCTCATTCCTGGTGAAGCAACTGCTACTTGTTCTCTATGCCTCTAAAATGATGCTGTTTTCTCTGCTAAAGGTAAAAGAAAAGAAAAAAATAGTTGGAAAATAAGACATGCAACTTGATGTGCTTTTGAGTAAATTTATGCAGCAGAAACTATACAATGAAGGAAGAATTCTATGGAAATTACAAATCCAAAACTCTATGATGATGTCTTCCTAGGGAGTAGAGAAAGGCAGTGAAATGGCAGTTAGACCAACAGAGGCTTGAAGGATTCAAGTACAAGTAATATTTTGTATAAAACATAGCAGTTTAGGTCCCCATAATCCTCAAAAATAGTCACAAATATAACAAAGTTCATTGTTTTAGGGTTTTTAAAAAACGTGTTGTACCTAAGGCCATACTTACTCTTCTATGCTATCACTGCAAAGGGGTGATATGTATGTATTATATAAAAAAAAAAACCCTTAATGCACTGTTATCTCCTAAATATTTAGTAAATTAATACTATTTAATTTTTTTAAAGATTTGTCTGTGTAGACACTAAAAGTATTACACAAAATCTGGACTGAAGGTGTCCTTTTTAACAACAATTTAAAGTACTTTTTATATATGTTATGTAGTATATCCTTTCTAAACTGCCTAGTTTGTATATTCCTATAATTCCTATTTGTGAAGTGTACCTGTTCTTGTCTCTTTTTTCAGTCATTTTCTGCACGCATCCCCCTTTATATGGTTATAGAGATGACTGTAGCTTTTCGTGCTCCACTGCGAGGTTTGTGCTCAGAGCCGCTGCACCCCAGCGAGGCCTGCTCCATGGAGTGCAGGACGAGCTACTGCTTTGGAGCGAGGGTTTCCTGCTTTTGAGTTGACCTGACTTCCTTCTTGAAATGACTGTTAAAACTAAAATAAATTACATTGCATTTATTTTATATTCTTGGTTGAAATAAAATTTAATTGACTTTGCTTCTGTGTGGATTTTTTAAATATAAAAAAAATCTTATAATAAGGCTTAGTGGCTGGACACAGTGGCTCATGCCTGTAATCTCAGCACTTCGGGAGGCTGAGGTAGAAGAATTGCTTGAGGCCAGGAGTTGGAGACCTGACTGGACAACATAGTGAGACCCCATCTAGCGTTAAAATTTTATCTGTGTGCCTAGAAGCTTTTATAATTACACTTTTCCTGCAGAGATACGAAGTCTTTCTGTGAGTTCTAATATGTTATTTTGTTCAGGATGCTATGATGTCATAATACTGCAAAGCAAGCAAGGCCTGCAAATACCTCATAAGTAAAATTGCAGGTTTTTATACATCTTTAGGAGAAACATCTTTTTAAAAAAATATAAATGAGAATTAGAAAAGACTAATAAGCATTTTGTGGATGGGGTTGGATTGGGAGTTTCTTGTTTTATAAGAGCACTCTGTGGTACCTGGCTGCTCCTTCTATAATTTGTTTGATGAATCTTCTATGGTTGTTACTCCAATATCCAAAGGCATCACAGAGTGAACTGAACAATGTTTAAGTGGCATGAATACAGAGCTTTCATTTCTATTTAAAATAATCACATCCCACTTGGCTGCTTCTCTTTTTGGCACAGATTTCATACTCAGTGCTGTGCTATTTGTAGGATAGATCTTCTGCAAAGCTGTTCATTGGCCTCGGCTGCGTTTCTCACCAGCCATCTGGGTAAGACAAAGCAGATGACTGGACAAACCCTTTACCACTCCTGGGAGAACTGGGAAGGTGATGTCCATCACCTTAACAGACTGTAAATTCTTGGGAACAGGGCCTGAGTTTTATTCCCCTCTTGCCCAGCAGCTGTCAAGATGCCCAACACAGAGCAGTTGCTTAATATGGTAAGTCATAGCATCACTTGTACACTTGCATAGAATTCCTGGGTCATGTAATATTTGTTTATGGATAAGGATGAACATAATTTTGTTCCATGAATAATAAAAATACTAGAAACAGGCATCACCTTTTTTTTCTTTTGGATAGATGGCATCTGTGTTGTCCAGGCTGAAGTGCAGTGGCTATTCACAGGTGTGATCATAACACTTTGTGGCCTCAAACTCCTGGCCTCGCTGGATCCTCCTTCCTCAGCTTCCCAGGCACAGGCCACTATGTCTGGCTTGCTTGCTTGCTTGCTTTTTTTTTTTTTTTTTTTTTTTTTTTAAGACAGGGTCTTTTGTTCTGTCACCCCGGCTGGAGTGCAGTGGCCTGATCATAGCTCACTGCAGCCTCAACCTTCTGGGCTCAAGCAATCCTCTCACCTCAGCCCCCCTAGTAACTGGGATCCAGGCATATGCCACCACACCTGGTTATTTTTTAAAAATTTTTATAGAGATGGAGTCTCTATAAAAAGTGTTAGGATATAGGTGTGAGCCACTGCACTTGGCCTGGTTCACTTTCTTAAAATAGGTTTATTTCTATGTTTGACTGCAGAGTCATAATAAAATTCACCCCAAAGGGACAAACAAACAATTCAAATTGCATTTGAATAAAAGAAGTAAGGCCAGGTGTTGTGACTCACACCATTTGTAATCCCAACAATTTGGGAGGCCGAGGTGGGAGGATCACTCAGACCCAGGAGTTTGAGCTCAGCCTGGGCAACATTGTGAGATCCTATCTCTGCAAAAAATAAAAAAAATTAGCCAGGCATGGTGACACATACCTGTAGTCCCAGCTACTTGGGAGGCTAGGGTGAGAGAGTCACTTGAGCCTGGGAGGTTGAGGCTGCAGTGAGCTGTAATCGCACTACTGTACTCCAGCCTGGGCAACAAAATGAGGCCCTGTCTTATTAAAAAAAAAAAAAAAAGATAAATTAGCCATACTTGCCACTCTTCTTTAGAAGCCATCTTTTTTTTTTTTTTTTTTTGAGACAGAGTCTCACTCTGTGGCCTAGGCTGGAGTGCAGTGGTGCAATCTTGGCTCACTGCAACCTCTGCCTCCCGGGTTGAAGCAATTCTCCTGCCTCAGCCTTTCGAGTAGCTGGGACTACAGGCATGTACCACCAAGCCCGGCTAATTTTTTTGTATTTTAGTAGAGACGGTTTCACCACGTTGCCCCCAGGGTGGTCTCCAACTCCTGAGCTCAGGCAATCCGCCCACCTCGGCCTCTCAAAGTGCTAGGATTACAGGTCTGAGCCACCACACTCGGCCAGAAGCCGTCTTTGTTTTGGCTACCTAGAGGTAGGCATTTTAAAGCCTTGTATAGCATCATTTTATCTAGTAGGCAATAGGAAACCAGCTTGGACAAGCAACATACAAACCTAAAAGGAAATTTTGTTTATCTAAATGAGAGAATATAGTATCGGGGAAAGAAATGAAAATGTTGACTTAAAACATCAAAATGTATCTCTTCAGCACATTCTTTGCTGCACAAGCTTTTTCAAAAACTGCTGCTGAGTTTGCACGATGAAGCTGCTGTGGACTGAATATTTGTGTTTTCTCCAAATTCGCACGAAGCCCTAACCCCCCATGCGTCTATATTTGGAGATGGGGCCTTTACAGAGGTAAGTAGGATTAATAAGGGTAGGGCCCTGAACTGACAGGATTGGTGCCCTTATAAGAAGACACCCCAGGGAGCTCATTCCCTCTCCCCTCTTCCCTCGGGGACACAACAAAAAGGTGGGCATCTTCAAGCCAGGAAGACAGCGGATTCTGCCAGACCAAATCTTGGAAGTTTCCAGCCTTCAGAACTGTGAGAAAGTAAATTTCTGCTGTTTAAGCCACCCAGTCTATAGTATTCTGTCATGGCAGCCCGAGCTGACTGATGTGACATCTTACCTTTTAGCTAGCAAAACCAGTTACCCTTGTGATATGGTTTGGCTCTGTGTCCCCACCCAAATCTCATGTTGAATTGCAATCCCCAGTGTTAAGGGACAGACCTGGTGGGAGGTGATTGGGTGGAGGGGACAGATTTCCCCCTTGCTGTTCTCGTGATAGTGAGTTCTCACGAGATCTGTTCGTTTGAAACTGTGTAGCACTTCCCCCTTCGATCTCTTCCTCCTGCTCCAGCCATGTGGGACGCGTTTGTTTCACCTTCACCTTCCACTGTGATTGTATTTCCTGAGGCATCTCCAGAATCAGAAGGCTGTACAGCATGAAAAACCATGAGCTGATTAAACCTCTTTTCTTTATAAATTACCGTGTCTCAGGTATGTATAGGAGTGTGAGAATGGAGTAATACACCTTGCTCGGTCTCTGACTTCTCTCCCTCCTCTATAGAGGTCAGTTGTCCCTGAACTGGTAAGACAGTCCTTACCTTCTGTTTCCTGTCTTTTCCAACATGGTTTTTGCTGACTTAATTTTAACTGAATTCTGAACCCCTCTTTCCTACCAATCTGGTGTGAATTCAAAGGGTCTCCAAGAGTCTCCTGCCCAAAGATTATCCTCACATTTGAACAGGTACATGCACCTACTGCACACACCTGGAGATTATTCTTCTGTCTTCCTAAAAATTACTAATGTTCCTGGGAAGAACAACTGTAAATGTGTCCCCATCACCCCCTGTCCAGATCGTCAGTCCATAAATACCTACTGTGAACTGGGCACTATGCTGGAAAATTGGAGACGCCAACATGGCCAATGTGTGTAAGATATTCCCAGCCCTGTAACTAGAGTTGAAGAAGGGCAAAGACCTAAGGCAGGTCATGAGACAACAAGACAGTGCGATAAGGACTAAACAAGAGAGCATGGAGGAGTGGGACAGCTGCCTGGGGGGTCACAGCGTGTGTCAAAGACAGATGTTTGACAGAGTGAACCAGAGGGTAAGGACTCCAGGCAAAGAAAGAAGCATGAACGAGTGAGGTGTATGTGAGAACAGCAAGAACTTGAGAATGATGTGTGTGTATGTGTGTCTGGGTGGGGGAGAGAAGAAAGGCTGGAGATGAATCTGGAAAGACCACATGAATTTCAAATTTGCATCTTAGGAAGATCTCTTTCATGGTGGTGGGGAGGATGGGCTGAATAGGTCCAACTCACAGCATATCAGAAGGCAGACTGGAGACTAGGCAGACAAGCTTCAAATATTTCAGACTTGTACCTTCCTCCAGCCTTGTCCTCTGCATTTATTCTCTTACATGAATTCGCTGGTCCTGAGAAAATCCTCTTTTAAAAAAAGATCTGGGCCCATAGGCTGGGGACAGTGGCTCACACCTGCAATCCCAGTGTTTTGGGAGGCCAAGGTGGGAGGATTGCTTGAGGCCAGAGTTCTAGACTGCAGTGAGCTATGATCACACCACTGCACTTCAGCCTGGGTGACAGAGCAAGATTCAGTCTCAAATGAATGAATGAATGAAAGATCTGGGTCCTCCAAGCAAATGCTATCCTATACTGAACTTTCCTCTTTGGTTGGAAGATTAACCTACATTAATTCAAACTTGTAGGCCTTAAGTTATAAACCAGATGGTGCCAGATTTCACTGAATTCAGCTGCAGATGCCGTGTTTGGGTTGTAAACGTCTGATTAAATTTTTCTTTTTTCTTTATTGATATATTTTATAAGTAGTAAAATGCACAGATCTTAAGTGTACAGTTCAAAGAATTTTGATGAATGTGCACACCCATATAACCAAAATCCAAATCAAGAAATAGAATCTTTTCATTACCATCCCCTCAAATTCCTTCATTGTCATTTGTAGTCAATACCTCCTCACCCACAGAGGCAACCACCGTTCTGATGTCTACCATCATATTTTAATTTTGCCTTTTTAGAATTTCATACAAATGGAATCATATAGTTTGTACTCATTTTGTCTAGGTTCTTTTGTACAAAATGTTGTTTTTAACAGTTATCTATGTTGAGTATATTAGTGATTTGTTTCTTTTTATTGCTGTATAATATTCCATTACATAAATATACCACAATTTGTTTAGTCATTTGTCTGTTACTGGACATTTGGGTTGTCTCCAGTTTGGGGCTATTATGAATGAAGCTGCTGTGAACATTTTTGTATAAATTTTGTGGACAAATGTTTCCATTTCTCTTGGGTATACTTAGAATTGTTGAGTTATAGGACAGCTGTATACTTCATCTTTAAAAAATGTCTAGCATTTTCCAATATTATTATTGTATCCTTTTATAATCTACGAGCAGTGCATAAGAATTTCAATTGTTTTACATTTTTAATAACATTTAATGTTGTCAATGTTTTTAATTTCAGCAATTCAAATGGGTCTGTAATGGTATGTCGTTATAGCTTTAATTTACATTTCCCAACTAACTAATGAGGTTGAGCACTTTTCCACGTGCTTTTTGGCCATTTGTATTATCTTTTTTTTTCTGTAGTGTCTAAGACTTTTTCCACTTTTAAAAGTTTTATTATTGATTTGTAAGCATTCTTTATATGTTTTGAATATAAGTCCTATGTCAGATGCATGCAGCGTAAAATTTTTTTTATTGTTTTAATAATGTCAATTTTAACATCAAAATGTTAATTTTGATGAGGTAGAGTTCATCCCTTTTTTCTGTGTCTGTGTGTATTCTGAGAAACCCTTGACTATCATATGAAGATACCTTTACTTTCTTCTAGATTTATGGTTTTAGCATTTTTGTTTAGGTCTCAGGTCCATTTCGAAATAATTTTTGTGTAATATGTGAGGTGGAGGTCAGGGATCAGTTTTTTCATATGAATACTCAGTTATCTAGCTACTATTTGATAAAAAGACATTCCTTTCTGCATTAGTCCATTTTTGCGTTACTATAAAGGAAAACCTGAGACTGGGTAATTTATAAAGAAAAGAGGTTTAATCGGCTCATGGTTCTGCAGGCCATACAAGCATGGCACCAACATCTGCTCGGTTTCTGGTGAGGGCCTCAGGAAGCTTACAATCATGGCAGAAGGCAAAGTGGGAGCAGGCACATTACATGGCGAGAGTGGGAGCAAGAAAGAAAGGAGGGAGATCCCAGGCTTTTAAACAACCAGGTCTCACATGAACTCACTTATCACCATGGGGATGGTGCTAAGTCATTCATGAGGGATTGGTCCCCGTGATCCAATCTCCTCCCACCAGGTCCCACCTCCAACACTGGGAATCACATTTCAACATGAGATTTGGAGGAGACAAATAACCAAACTATGTCATTTTGCCTCACTGAATTGCATTTGTGTCTTTGTTGAAAAATCAATTGACTGTATGTGTGTGAATCTATTTGTGGACTTCTTATTCTGTTCCATTTAACTGTTGTCTATCCTAAGCCACTATTATTATTATTATTATTATTATTATTATTATTATTATTATTATTGAGACAAGCTCTCACTCTGTTGCCCAGGCTGGAGTGCAGTGGTGTGATCACAGCTCACTGCAGCCTCAACTTCCCAGGCTCAAGTGATCCTCTCACCTCAGCCTCTGAAGTAGCTGTGACTACAGGCATGTGCCACCACGCCCAGCTAATTTTATTTTATTTTTTGTAGAGATGAAGTCTTGCCATGTTCCTCAGCCTGATTTGAAACTCCTGGGCTCAAGTGAATCTTCTGCCTCGGCCTCCCAAACTGTTGGGATTACAACCATGAGCCACCACGTCTGGCCTCACTATTTTAAGTATTGGAATTTTAAAATAAGTCTTAAAACAAGATAGGGTAAGCTTTATAACTTTGTTCTTATTTGCAGGATTATTTTGGTTACTCTAGAGTCTACACGTTTCCATATATATTTTAAAATCAGCTTGTCAATTTCTACAAATAAAACCTGCTATGTTTTGATTGGAATTTCCTTGTATCTATAAATCAACTTGGAGAGAACTGGTATCTTAATAATATAGAGTTTCCTGGTCCATGAACATGATGTATCTCTCCATTTATTTAGGTCTTCTTCAATGTTTCTTAGCAATGTTTTGCAAATTTCAGTGTAGAGGTCTGCAGATCTTTTGTTAAATTTATTCCTAGATGTTGATGCTACTAGAAATGGCACTTTTAAAATTTCGTTTTCTACTTATTTGTTGCCAGTAAATAGAAGTACAATTGTTTTTTGCATTTTGCCTTTATAGCCTGCAACCTTGCTAAATTCACTGTTCTAGAAGTGTTTATGTGTGTGTGAGGAAGGATTCCTTTAGTTTTCTACATACACAAACAGGTCATCTGTGAAAAAAGACACTGGTACTTCTCCCTTTCCAATCTGTATAACTTTTATTTATTTATTTATTTATTTTCCCTAAATGCATGGGCTAGTACTCCTAATACAATATCAAAAGAATTGGTGTGAGTGAATACCTTGTAATGGTCTGAATCTTGGAGGGAAAGTGTTTCATATTTCACCATTAGGTATGGTGTTCGATAAAAGTTTTTTGGTCGGGCGAGGTGGCTCACACCTGTAATCCCAGCACTCTGGGAGGCCAAGGCGGGTGGATCACAAGGTCAGGAGTTCGAGACCAGCCTGGCCAACATGGTGAAACCCCGTCTCTACTAAAAATACAAAAATTGGCTGGGCATGGTGGCAGGTGCCTGTAATCCCAGCTACTCAGGAGGCTGAGGCAGGAGAATCGTTTGAACCTGGGAGGTGGAGGTTGCAGTGAGCCGAGATTGTGCCATTGCACTTCAGCCTGGGTGACAGGGCGAGACTCCATCTCAAAAAAAAAAAAAAAAAAAAATTTCACTGATGCCCTTTATTGAATTGAATAAGTTTTTTTCTACTCCTATTTTGATAACAGTTCTCATCATGAACTGATGCTAACTTTTGTTAAATGCCTTTTCTATATATGAAATGATCATAACTTTTTTCTCCTTTATGTTGTTAATGTAATGAATCACATTGATTTTTGAATGCTGGAAGAACCTTGCATTCATTCCTGGGAGAAACACAGAGGATAAGGCAATGGTAAGGTGGAGGCAGAGATTGGAATGATGAGACCACAAGGCAAGGAATGCCTTCATCTATGTTGTAATATAAATATTTCTCATAAGATATATACGTAGATATGAAATTACCAACTGAAAGGCAATGAGCACCTTTAATTATGATAACATTTATGGAGCTAATATTTATTGAGCACTTCTGATACGCACTTTATATATATTAATTCATTTCATTCTCACAAGTGTATGAAGTAGACACTATTATTATCCCCATTTCTTAAAAATTTATTTCAATTATTTTTTGTTTTTAGAGATGGGGTTCTTGCTATTGCCCAGGTTATCCCCATTTAAAAATTTTTAAATTATTATTATTATTGTTATTGTTTTTAGAGATGGGGGTCTTGCCCCTGTTGCCAAGGCTGGAGTGCAGTGGGATGATCACAGTTCACTGCAACCTTGAATTCCTGGGCACAAGTTATCCTCCTATCTCAGTCTCCCAAGTAGCTAGGACTGCAGGTGTGTGCCACTAGGCCTGGCTAATTTTTTTTTTTTTAATACTTTAAGTTCTAGGGTACACGTGCACAACGTGCAGGTTTGTTACATATGTATACATGTGCCATGTTGGTGTGCTGCACCCATTAACTCGTCATTTACATAAAGTATATCTCCCAATGCTATCCCTCCCCCCTCCCCCTACCCCACAACAGGCCCCAGTGTGTGATGTTCCCCTTCCTGTGTCCAAGTGTTCTCATTGTTCAATTCCCACCTATAAGTGAGAACATGCGGTGTTTGGTATTTTGTCCTTGCAATAGTTTGCTGAGAATGATGGTTTCCAGCTTCATCCATGCCCCTACAAAGGACATGAACTCATCATTTTTTATGGCTGCATAGTATTCCATGGTGTATATGTGCCACATTTTCTTAATCCAATCTATCATTGATGGACATTTGGGTTGGTTCCAAGTCTTTGCTATTGTGAATAGTGCCGCAATAAACCTAAGTGTGCATTTGTCTTTATAGCAGCATGATTTATAATCCTTTGGGTATATACCCAGTAATGGGATGGCTGGGTCAAATGGTATTTCTAGTTCTGGATCCTTGAGGAATCGCCACACTGTCTTCCACAATGGTTGAACTAGTTTACAGTCCCACCAACAGTGTAAAAGTGTTCCTACTTCTCCACATCCTCTCCAGCACCTGTTGTTTCCTGACTTTTTAATGATCGCCATTCTAACTGGTGTGAGATGGTATCTCATTGTGGTTTTGATATGCATTTCTCTGATGGCCAGTGATGATGAGCATTTTTTCATGTGTCTTTTGGCTGCATAAGTGTCTTCTTTTGAGAAGTGTCTGTTCATATCCTTCGCCCACTTGTTGATGGGGTTGTTTGTTTTTTTCCTGTAAATCTGTTTATGTTCTTTGTAGATTCTGGCTATCAGTATCACCTGGGAACTTTTTAGAACTAAATCTTCTCAGGCCCCACTCTAAACCACTGAATCTGAAACTCTGGGGGTGGGACTCAGCAATCTGCTTTAATGAGCCTCCAGGTGATTCTGATGCATGCTGGAGTTTAAGAACCAGTGACTTATGAGTACTCTTCTCACACATTCTCCCAAATTACTTTCGAAAATGGCTGTACTAATTACACCCCCACTAACAGTGTATGAGAATGCCCATATCCTTTGGCCTTACCAAAACTCACTGTGAGCAATCTTTAAATTACGAACCAATCTGATTGGCAAAAAGTAGTGTGTCCTGTGCCTTAAAAAAAAATTTTGGTCCTCCTTCTAATGAGAGAGTCAGGTTCTGTCCCTTCTCCTACCTCTGCTTGGGCCTCCTTTCCTTCCTAGTCTCTGGCTCCACTGAGGATTCTCAATTTTAACACTACTAACCTTGACAGGCAACTATGGGTGCTTGAGCACTAAATTAATCTTAGTCTTTGGGAGTAGGGAGAAGAAAATAGGTGATCTTACATAAATACAAAAATCTCATTTTGTTTGCTGAGCATAAAATACAACATCTTTTTTAGTTCAACTTTTGTCAATGAAAATCTTTTTCTAAATTGTACATTTTTCTTAGATCTTTGTGTACTTATGAGTGCCAGCTGCTGAACATGAATGAAGATCATAGGTAGAGGAGCAGAGGAGTTTTGAAGTCATCCCAAGTGTCTTAGTCCATTTCGTGCTGCTATAACAGAATATCACAGACTGGGTAATTTATAAAGAAAAGAAATTTATTTCTCACAGTCTGGAGGCTGGGAAGTCCAAGATCAAGGTGCTGGCATCTGACAAGGGCCTGCATGCTTCATCATCCCATGGCAGACTGCAGAAAGGCCAGAGAGTGTGAGAGAGCAAGAGGGAACAGAATTTGCTTTGATAACAAATCCAGTCTTGTGGTAACAAACCCATGCTGCAATAAAGACATTAGTCTATTCATTCCTGAGAGCAGAGACTTCATGACCTAATCACCTCTTTTTTTTTTTTTTTTTTTTTTGAGACGGAGTTTCGCTCTTTCGCCCAGGCTGGACTGCAGTGGCGCTGTCTTGGCTCACTGCAAGCTCCACCTCCCGGGTTCACGCCATTCTCCTGCCTCAGCCTCCCGAGTAGCTGGGACTACAGGCGCCCGCTACCACGCCCGGCTAATTTTTTTTGTATTTTTAGTAGAGACAGGGTTTCACCGTGTTAGCCAAGATGGTCTCGATCTCCTGACCTCGTGATCCGCCCGCCTCGGCCTCCCAAAGTGCTGGGATTACAGGCGTGAGCCACCGCGCCCAGCCGACCTAATCACCTCTTATCTCACCTCTCAACACTGTTGCATTGGAGATTAAGTTTCCAACACATGAAATTTGAGGGATACATTCCAACCATAGCACCAAGGGATAACCTCTCAAGTATTTGGGGAAAACTACTCCCTGATCCCAACATTTTTTTCAGGGTGGTTACCTTTCTTATGACCAAGAACAGGAAAAAGTTGATTGACCCAGGGCCCCTATCAGTTGATTTCATGGCATTTCCCATTGTATTTTTCCCACATTGCAGAAAAGACCATAAACATTGAGCTGCTTAAATCTCACAGGGATGATTTCTACTTATACTTCCTAGTAATGATTGAGTTGTGATATTCACCTCTGCCTCAGCTGTATCAACACAGCATGACAAAAATTACACGGGTTTTGGAGACTAGACACACTTAGGCTTGATGCCCAGCCCTTTCTATACACAGGGCTCTGAGCTGTGTGATCTTAGATAAGTTACTGAACCTCTGTGATCTTGTTTTAGTCCTTGTCAAATGCCAAAAATATTATTTACCTCACAGAGTTTACAGAATAAATGAGATGAGTGCTGACCAGAGTGCCTGCCCCAAAGTAGATTCTGAATAAATATGATTTCCTTTGGTTTGCACTTTCCTCTCCAACTTCTGTGTTTGAATCTGTGTTTCTAGTATAAATACAAAGTTCAATGTTCTTTATCTCCTTCATTTGATGATCACTCTTTTGACAGAGGATGACATCTGTATCTGTACAGATGACTGGGTTAGCCATTTTGCATGAGTGAATGCCAAGAAGGGCACCACTCCTCGTGCCTGGAGGCATTCCCACAAGCAGCGGGCTGTCCAACAAGCACCAGGACCTGGCTTCATTAACGAAACTCTTGAAAAAATGAGGCACTCTTTTGTTGTGTTTTGGTGACATCACCCATCACCTCCTTTTGTTCCTCCTACATCAGCAAGGAAAAGTTCACTAAATTGTATTTCTATACCATTTATAGCTGTGGTTCTACCAAGGAGCAACTATCTTTTCTGGACGTTCAATTGCAACATTAAAAAGAAGCCACCCAGCTAGTCTGGATCCACCTGCATCTGAGATTCTAAAGGGAACATAATTCCTCTATTTCTACACTGTGGTTCTCATAAATTACCATCCGTACTTCCAACTCCTAAGTGATCATATCTTATAAGGCGTGGCCTAGAGATTCACAAAACTTCTCAGTTGCCAGTACTTTTGTACCGTTTATATGAGAAAGACAGCCAGGAACAAAAATAACTTGTGAATTTTGAGAGAAAAAGAGATCATCCATCTGCAAGTAGACAGCACAAGGGGTCCCTCTGATTACAGCAGCCCCTAGTGCACGAGTGGGTGGGAGTAGGAACTCTCAGATTTCAGTTAGCTGGTAAGCACCACTCGGTGAGGCCTGATGGAGTTGGAGCAGTCAAGGTCTATAAACTCTAAACCAATAAAACAGGGCTCCCTTCCAAAGTCCTGCCCTTAGGAGAAACTGCTGGAAGCATCATCCCAATTGAGCAGGGCAAAGGAAAGAGAAGGTTCAAATGCAAGTGGAAAAGGGAGAAGAGGTGGATCCAGAAAACCCAAAGGCATATTTCTCCCTAGAGAATTTGTAGAAACTTTCTAAGTTTTTCTAACCAGGAGCATTTCAATTCTACCCACACATATCTAAACATCTTCTAAAAAACACTTTCTCAATTTTCCAATGGCTTAAAAAAATCCACACATATTTTCACATAGGCAAGGAATATATTTGTATTTGCTTTTCTGCTCATACTATGTTTATAAAAGCTTTTTTGACCTGAGCAAGGAGCTTAGCATTAATTGTAATATATGAGTATACATATTTTCATATATAATTACTTATTTGCTTAATAGGAACTTGAACAAGATGACTCAAAAAAGAATTACAGGCCAAATGGAGGCTTCTACCAACTAAATGGTATGAAAAGTTCTCCTGCAATTGTTTGTAACACGTTCTTTTTTTTTTCTAGCAAATTCTCAATGAGGAAAAATAGGTTTTGAAGCAGAAATTCTTGTGTGTGTTTCATGTAGTCTTTTTTTTTTTTTTTTGGAGACACAGTCTCGCTCTGTCACCCAGGCTGGAGTGCAGTGACACAATCTTGGCTCAGCGGTGACACGATCTTGGCTCACTGCAACCTCCACCCCCCCCGGGTTCAAGTGATTCTCATGCCTCAGCCTCCCCAGTAGCTGGGATTACAGGCACCGACCACCAGGCCTGGCTAATTTTTATATTTTTAGTACAGATGGAATTTCACTATATTGGCCAGGCTGGTTTCAAACTCCTGACCTCAAGTGATCTGCCCACCTCAGCCTCCCAAAGTGCTGGGATTACAGGCGTGAGCCACTGTGCCCAGCCTCATGTAGTCTTACAACTGCCTGGTGACTTTTCTCGTATAATTGCCCTGCATTATTTAGTTGTTCTATTCTCATTTAACATTTAGGCTTGTATCTTGACATGAACTAAATAGTGTACTTGTTAGAGCAAGTACCGTATTTCTGTTTTTGTTCACCTTTGAATCTCCCCAGGGCCCTGTACATATAATGAATGTCCAATTACATTGTTTACGTGAGCTATAGAAGATTGATTGGGCATATGGAATAACTTCCTAAATTGAAACTTTTCTAATTGGTTACTAATCTACACAAGGCCATGTAACCTCACTGTTGGAAACCATCAACCATTCCGTTGCCCTTGGGGTGGTTTACATACTACGTGGCTTTTGACAGGCTCTTTGTATTGTTCCTGTCCCTATGTTCTGTGGAAAAAAAAAAATAATAGAAAGGCTGAACATCTTATCTGGGACTTGCCCTGGCCAACAGAATGAACTTTTGTTTGCTCCCAAGGCTAAGGAATAAAAACAATGGCTCTAGAATCTAGATCTTTTCATCAGATATAGTTTCAGCAAACAAGCCAATCTCCAGCCTGCCACGGCCACCACACCCTTTCTAATTCAGAGAAAGCAGCAAATGGATTCTGCAACATTTTACGCTGTTTTAAAAAATCAGCAAAACATTTCAAGTTAAAACTACCTAAAATCCTCCTTATCAATGTATCTGCACATGAAACTTATTAACATCTAAATCCAACTTAAAATATTGTTCAGAAAGCCAAACAAATATTCAATATCCATCCTAGTGTGTCACAAATGAATGTTTCATGAAACACTGCTTTTATTGTCTTGTTCACAGATTTTCACAAGCAAAAAATTACATGGCCAAATACATCTGGAAAATTGTGGGTTAACACCATTAAAAAGAACAGGACCAGGCCAGCGTGGTGGCTCACGCCTGTAATCCCAGTACTTTAGGAGGCTGACCTGGGAGGATTGCTTGAACCCAGGAGTTTGAGACCAGCCTGACCAAAGCGAGACCCCATTTCTACAAAAAGTTAAAAAAAAAAAATAGCCAGGCATGGTGGCTCATGCCTGTAGTCCCAGCTACTCTGAAGGCTGAGGCAGGAGGATCCCTTGAGCCTAGAAGTCAAGGCTGCAGTGAGTTGTGATGGCACCACTGCACTCTAGCCTAGGTAACAGAGCAAGACCCAGTTTCAGAACAAACAAAAAGAATAGGACTTCATCAGAGCCCTTTTTTTTTTTTTTTTTTTTCAGACAGAGTCTTGCTCTGTTATGCAGGCTGGAGTATACTGGCATGATCTTGGCTCCCTGCAACCTCTGCCTACCAGGCTCAAGTGATCCTCCCACCTCAGCCTCCCAAGTAGCTGGGACTACAGGCGTGTGCCACCACACCCGGCTAATTTTTGTTTTTTTCATAGAGACGGGGTTTCACCACGTTGCCCAGGCTGGTCTCGAATTCCTGAGCTCAAGTGATCCACCCGTTTCAGCCTCCCAAAATGGTGGGATTACAGGCATGAGCCATGGTGCCCGGCCAAGCCTTTAATATGCTGATAACATTGTGCATTTCCAGGAAGGTGATATAGTGCAACCTTTCTAAGCTTACTTGGCCAAAGAACTGTTTTTTTCTT
Source organism: Homo sapiens (assembly GCF_000001405.40). Lineage (NCBI taxonomy): Eukaryota > Metazoa > Chordata > Mammalia > Primates > Hominidae > Homo > Homo sapiens. The sequence continues at coordinate 110,595,358 of NC_000006.12, read as the reverse complement.
GTACCTCCAAAGAATGCTCTGATGAAACAATTTGGAAATCCCTGGTTGCAACAGATGCTGTTGTTGCCTCCTGTCCAGCCATCCTTTGCTTCCTCCTTGCTGTCAGAAGCTTGATTTGTTCACTCTGTCCAGAGTGGCCATGTCCTTCTGAGAAGGGTGGGCCCCTTCCTCAGCTCCAGATAAATACTGATTGGACCTAACCAAATACACTGAACTCTGTCATAGTCCATTTTCTGTGCTATAGTAGAATAGTGCAGTCTGGGTAATTTATTTGGCTCATGGTTCTAAACGATAGGAAGTTCACAATCAAACAGCCATGTTTGGTGAGGCCCTTCTTGCTGTATCATAACATTGTAGAAGGCATCACATGGCCAAAGAGGGCAAGAGTGCGTGAGACAGAGAGAGGAAACAGGGTGAACTCATCCTTTTATCAAGAGCCCACTCCTGCCATAACTAACCCACTCCTGTGAAGATGGCATTAGTCCATTCATGAAGTCAGAGCCCTCATAATCTGATCACCTCTTAAAAGGTCCCATCTCTCTTTTTTTTTTTTTCAGACAGAGTCTTTCTCTGTCACCCAGGCTGGAGTGCATTGGCGCTGTCTCGGCTCATTGCAAGCTCTGCCTCCCAAGTTCACACCACTCTCCTCCCTCAGCCTCCCGAGTAGCTGGGACTACAAGTGCCCGCCACCACACCCAGCTAATTTTTGTATTTTTAGTAGAGATGGGGTTTCACTGCGTTAGCCAGGATGGTCTCAATCTCCTGACCTCATGATCCGCCCACCTCGGCCTCCCAAAGTGCTGGGATAACAGGCATAAGCCACCATGCCTGGCCAACCCATCTCTTAATATTATCACAATGGCAATTAAATGTCAACATGAGTTTTGGAGTGGACATTCAAACTGCAGCATCATGTTTTCTTTGCCAAGCTATTGGTTTAAGCATGGTGTGTTAGTCCATTTGCATTGCTATTAAAAAATATCTAAGACTGGTTAATTTATAAAGAAAAGAGGTTTATTTTGGCTCACTGTGTTAGTCCATTTTCACACTGCTATAAAGACACTACCTGAGACTGGGTAATTTATAAACAAAAGAGGTTTAATTGACTTATAGTTCTGCCTGGCTGGGGAGGCCTCAGGAAACTTACAACCATGGTGGAAGGGGAAGCAGGTGCCTTCTTCACAAGGTGGCAGGAGAGAGAGAGAGAGCACAGAGGAAAATACCACATTTAAACCCTGAGATCTCATGAGAACTCCCTCACTGTCACAAGAACACCACAGGGGAAACTACCCCCATGACCAATCACCTCCTACCAGGTCCTCCCTGAACACATAGGGATTACAATTTTATATGAGATTTGGGTGGGGACACAGAGCCAAACTATACCACTCATGGTTCTGCAGGCTGTACAAGAAGCATGGCACTGGCATCTGCTTCTGGGGAGGTCTCAGGAAGCTTTCAATCATGGCAGAAGGTGAAGGAGGAGCAGTTGTGTCACATGACTAGGGAGAGAGAGGGAGAGAAAGAAGGCAGTGTCCAAGGCTGTTTAAACAACCAGCTCTTGTGTGAACTAATGTCCATGGGGAGCGCACAAAGCCATTCATGAAGGACCCACCCCCATCACCCAAATACCTCCCACTAGGCCCCCCTTCTCCAACATTGAGGGTCACTTCAACATGAGATTTAGAGGGGGCAAGCCTCCTAACCATATCACAGGGAATGTAATAAAATTCTGGCCAATAAAATTGGAGGGAAAATCTTCTAGGGGGGTTCTAGTAGGGTTTGTTTCAGCTTAAAAAGATAACCAAGACACCAAAATTCCCTTTTCTACCTGTGGATATCTGTAAATGAGCTAAGGAACTGTGACAGCCATGTCAGGGCCATGAAGGGAGCTAGTCTCAAAGGCCAAGCTGAAACGTGAGAACCAATGAGAACAAAGGTGGAAAGAGCTGGGATCCTTAAGAACAGCATCGAATCTGTGATCTAATCAGTCCTGGAACTGCCCTATCTCTGGATTTCCTTTCTGGGAGATTATAAATGACCTTATTTTAAAAATAAATTTTATTTAGATTTTCTGATACTAGCAGTCAAAATCATTCAGATACGGGGAGTTTAACCAGTCAGAGACTTATTTAATGCCATTAGCATGATTACAGAACATTCAAAGCATTTTGTTTGGAAATCTTTATTGTTACAAAGCAGTGGCTGATTACAAACTGAGTGTCTCCTGCTATTATTACTAAGGGCTGCCATCTTTATGTTTAGATGAATGACTCTAATATTACTATTTCTAGTGCCTCTGAATTAGGAAATTAAACATTTATTCCTTAGCAGCAGTGACAGGCTGTAATGATAAACAATTCTCAAAGCACTGTAACAGTGAAATCCGTAACTAAGTGCTGAATTCCCTTGGAGCCTCTGAGGAGGCAGAACACGTTTAGCAGCCCTGTGCCTCTGCACGGCTGTCTGTTCGCGTGCTGCAGTGCCTAGGCTAAGACTATTCTCCCCTTCACCTTCAACACATTTGCACTGAGTCCTTCCTATATTGCAAGGCACTAGAAGAGGTTCCTCTCTTCTGCCCTCCAAACCCTAATCCCCCACCCCAAAAGTCCTGCTTAAGCCTCATCTCCATGAAGCCTCCCTAATTACTCCAGCTCCCATTGAGCAACCTTTTTCAAGAATTTATCCTAGATACCCAGGCTGAACCATGTGGTTTGGCATTTAATTGTATACACCTATATTTTTCTCATATTAGCTCATGTTTTCTCTACCCCACCCCATTGAAAGAAAGTAGTAGAGATGGTGGAAATGATAAGAGTACTGTTTAAGTCAGTAGTTCTCTGTCAGACCTTCCTCCCCTTTTTACAAGAAATATTTTTGTTATGCCCTTTATCTATCATGAAAATCATAGATAATATAATTGACCTCCACATGCAATTTCCAAATACATTGATACGATACTCTAGGTGTTAATATTATAAGAGAGAATAAAAGGAAAGTAACTTACGATAAAATGCTGATGCTCCCCAGCTTATGACAGGATTACATCCATCACAAATCTAGGAGCTACTGAGTAAATATCACTTTTGCAGGATCATAAAGTTGAAAAATTGTAAGTCAAACTATCATAAGTTGGAGACCGTCTACAATGTGTATTTCATTGTATAGATGTTTGGCATGACTTCATTAGAAGCTACTACTAACTAGTAAGAAAATGCAGATTGATATGAGGTATTGTATTGGCAACTCAGATGCCACAAGCCATGGTACTATCAGTGATGTGGCTTTATTATTTATTATGATTTTTCTGTAGATCTTTTCTGTGGTCATGGTGCAACTTTCTGAAACGAGGATCAACTTTTGGTGACGTTAAAGAAAAAAAGAAGCCAATCAGCTTAGCTTGATTTATGTGGTAGTCTTATTTCTAGCAATTCAGCATATATTAAAACTATGCAAAAAGTATATTTTGTTTATATGAAAAGTGAGTTAGGTTCACTTTATTAGTTTATAAAATTATAAACAGATTTCAGGACATTCAAAAGTTGTAAAGGCTGCAGGATAATTCATTGTGGGGCACAGTCTGGCGTATTTTGGCACACCCAGCAACTCTGGCCCTCACCCTCTACAGGCCAACACTAACCCCCTATTTTTAGATAACCTCAAAAGTCCCTACAAATTTCTAGAAAGGCTCCTGGGATGTAATGGTTATAGTAAGATCCACTGACCTAAACCAAGACCCCCTGGAGATAGGATTATTACCATATAATCCAGCTTTACCCTAAGGGCCTAAGGTGAGCCCCCAAATGCCAGTTTACCGGTTCACTGCCCTGGTTCTCAAGGGGGTGCTGAGACCCATCAAAGGAGACAGCAGGTCAAACTAGGAGAGAAGGATGGTCTGCTTCCCCCTCAGGTTTCCATTTGTTCCATGCAGCAGTTGAGTTCCCATGCATACTTCTGTTTGAACAAAGGGTTCCTCCATTTTAAGAAGTGTTACATATGTTTTGGCAGTTGTGTGCAGCTTTATAATTGCCTTTCTGGGAGGGGACATGTTTATCTTCTCACCCCATCATGCCAGAAGTGAATGTTCAATTCAATTCTTGTTTATAGTTTCCACCTCTCTATTGAGACTCCCTGTCTGTTGAGTCATTGTCATTATAGTTTTCTTTAATTATTTGAACATATATGTAATAGCTGCTTTGAAGTCTTTGCTGAAACTAACTTCTGGGCCCACGCAGGGTCAATGAGTACTGCTGGTCCCTCATCTGAACCTCATATCTCAGGGTTCAGTCAGCACATTCACTTCCTGTGGTCAAAACTTCGTGGGAGACCACATCATTGTTCATAACCACTTTTAAAATTCATCATGAGAAATCCCTGTCCAAGGAGAGAAACCTCTGATGATGGAACAGCTGAGGAGAGATGACTCTGGGCTGAGAAAGAAGTATTAAGCAGGGCTGGGTGGCCTGGCTTGGTGGTCCGGGCCTTCTGGAGGCACTGCAATGCTGGGCATCTCCAGGAAGAAAGAAGACCCCTCCCACTAGCACTTCTTCCTCTTGCCAGCAGAGAGAGAGGATGCAGCGGGCCTGGACTCAGAACATAGGAGCTGGAAAGACACAAGACTCTCTGGCTTCAAGCTCAAGAGCTGATGAATTCATCCCACAGTCAGGATGCCATGGGGGCCTGGGATGGGTTAGACATACCTAACTCCTCAGCCAGCTTCTGGTCCCCTATTGTGCTTGTGTCCACCTTGTATACATCTGCCTCGGCCTTTCCTTTCCTGTCCTTTCGTGGCTGACCCCCACCGCCCCTGCATCTAACAACTCTATTTAGTTAAACACTGCCTATATTCTATCTGTTTATAGTAGAGGCCCTCAGCCTGGGAGCTACTTGTGAATATCTTCTCTTTGATCTATTGACAGCATAACCCTCAGAGAGTCATGTTATTTCTCACATTTCCAGCTCCCGAGGGCCTGTGTTTGCGTATCTGGGTACAGAGAAATTCCCCATCTTGATGGCGAGCTCTGGAGGGCACAGCACAGCTCTGGTCAGGAAGATCTGGGTCCCAGCCCCTCCCTGGTGCATGGTGTGTATGCCCCTCGGTGAGCTCTTTGGAGCCCAGTGTGTATTAAACTGTGAAAGGAAGACCACAGGGCTCATGCCAGGGCAAAATGAGCTAAGGATCATCCAGCATCCAGCTAAGATGTTATTGACAAACATGATCACCTTTTCCTGTCTCTTCATGGCAGGGGCCTTATTTCCCGTGCACCCCTACATCATCTAGCCCAGTTCCTGGTTCTCAGTTGCTGCTCAGTAAATATTTATTAGGGGAATTACCTGATGCTGGTCTCTTCTGCTTTTTTAATTGGTGGCTTTCACATTGTGTTCAGTGCAGTTTTAGGAGTTCTGACGAGGTGCCTGAGGGCCCAAGTGGGCCAGGGTGGGTGAAGCCAGCAAGGGTAGGTGAGAACTGATAAGAGTGGACAGTGGGGGAGTGGGATGAGTTGGGCTCTAGGCCTGCCCCTATGTTCACACTGCTAGTTTGCATTTAAATTGGTATAGGAATAATATTTTCTTCCTTGAAGAAGGAATTCTGTGATTTAAAGTTTGAAAATAGGCTGGACATGGTGGCTCACGCCTGTAATTCCAGTACTCTGGGAGGCCGAGGTGGGTAGATCACCTGAGGTCAGGAGTTCAAGACCAGCCTGACCAACATGGTGAAACCCTGTCTCTACTAAAAATACACACAAAAAATTAGCTGGGCATGGTGGCACACACCCATGATCCCAACTACCCAGGAGGCTGAGGCAGGAGAATCACCTGAACCCAGGAGGCTGAGGTTGCGGTGAGCCGAGATCACACCACTGCATTCCAGCCTGGGTGACAGAGCAAGACTCTGTCTCAAAAAAAAAAAAAAAAAAAAAAAAAAGTTTGAAAATAACTGCCTATGCTTTGAATAGTTTAGAGGAGGAATTTAATTTTATGAATGATGCAAATGTCTATCTCCATCTTCATTGTCCCAAACATTAGCCATTACAATTAAATTAAAAACTCAGTTCTAAGTTCTTCAGCCACACTGTTCATATTTCAAGTACTCAGCAGCCACATGTGGCTACTGGCTACCACTTTGGGCAGCACAGATATGAACATTCTTATCATTAGGTAACTGCTCAATGTGTTCATCTTGCCTACTACCCAGAGAGAGCAGATTTTTCAAGACAGGGGAATGGCAAAAGAGAAGGAGTTTAATACACAGAGAACTGGCTAAAGGGGAGATGGGAGTTTTATTATTACTCAAATCATCCTCCTCGAAAATGTGGAAGCTAGGGTTTTGCAAGGATAGTTTGGCAGACAGAGGACTAGGGAATTGGTACTGCTGATTGGTTGGGGATGCAACCATCGGGGTGTGGAAGCTGGTCCTGGTGCACTCAGTTGGCTTCTGGGTGGGAGCCACGGAAGAGTTGCTGGTCCCGGTGGGTCCATCTGGTCAGAAAGGCAAAAGCTTGAAAAGACATCTCTAAAGGCCAATCTTAGGTTCTACAACAGTGGTGTTATTTACAGGAGTAATTGGGGAAGCTGCAAATCTTGTAACCTCTGGAATAATGGCTGGTAATCATTTAGCTATGCCTACATGGTAGCAGAGTTCAGGCCCCTCTCATTCTCCTAACCTGGTGAGCTTCGATTAGTTTTACAAAGGTGGTTTAGTTTTGAGGACTATTATCATTTAAACTATACATTTCTCCCAAAGTTAGCTTGCCCCACACCCAGGAATGACCAAGGGCAGTTTGGAGATTAAAGGCAAGATGGAATTGGTTAGGTCAGATCTCTTTCACTGTCATAATTTTCTGTTATAATTTTTGCAAAGGCAGCTTCAGTTACAGAAAGTTCTGTTAGACGTTTCTGGGTCTGTATTTTCTATTGTTTAAGTCACAGGACTTAGTAGACAGACAGTGGCTGTATTCCCTGTGCTGTAATATGTTTGTGGGCTTAAAGGGTAAGTTGAGTTGTCCATGGATGTAGGTTTGAATCCTATTTATTAACTTGCTATTAGCCTACCTGACTGGCTTTACATTCCCTCCTCTGTACCAGGGAGGTTCAGTCACATCAGAGGTTTCCATCTACTTTATCTCCGAGGGTCCCTGTGATTGTGTCTTTGTTCTCTTGGACCCACACCCATGATGGAAATGAACTGCTTTATTAGGTAATGATTGGCTTACCCTCCCACTTTTGTTAACGAAGGCTATTTATAACTACCAACAAAAACCCTTGATCAGCATACGATTATCAGAATTCTTATAGTGAGTTGAAGTAGTTCCAACCCAAACTTAGAAACAGGACATTATGGTTAGCTTAGCACCTTATCTCTAGTAATTGTACAGTTTCCATGTGGCATCTTTCAAATATTGAAAATAACTTATCAGTGTTGTTCCCTGTCTCTATTACTACCTTCTCCCACCCTTAGGTCTTGTTAGGACTGCTTAAAGTTTTTTTCAGGTTTTTAAAGAGATTCTAGGTCCAGGGAGTGAAAAGCTTTTGAAAAAATAAAGTTAACAGAGTTTATTTGAGTGAAGAACAATTTATGAATCAGGTGGCACTCACAACCAGAAGAGGTCCAGAGAGCTCCGCTCTATAACATGGGCAGTGAGTATTTAAGACAGGAAAATGCTTGATGAAAGCAGAAACAAGGAACAAAAAGTGCATTGGTTGTTTCAAAGTTACTTTCCTCGTAAGGGTTAAAGCAGAGGGGACTTCCTTATCATGCTGGCTAAAGCTGGCCAGTTTGGAGATTTGGCATTAATTATGTTTCTCTCCTGATTTCTTGTTTCAGTTTGGTGACATGAAACTTTAGCATGAGTGACTCCATTTTGGTTTGGTCTGATGGGGCCTAGTGCAGGAGCTCAGTCCAAATTAACGGCCTCCTATAAATGTTATGTAACAATAGTCTCCCATTTTGGTCAGGCTATCACCTAGGTGAGTGTGACCAAAACTTAGGGCACCAGTGTTACTCTCATTCACCATCATTCCCAGTTCTTGACCTCAACATGTCACTCATAGGTCCTGGTGACCTTGATATCATGCTTTTCTTTGATTTTTAAAAATCATTCCAATCACATAGAGACCATTTGCCATTCAACTAATGCTGCACGCAAACGTTTTAGACCTTTTGAGAGGGAGACTACTATTATGACTGTCAGGAAGATAATACCAAGAGTGTGGTGTATGCCCCTTAGCCAGGGCTCCCATGCACCAAACCAACTAAAACAGACAAAGTAAAAACAAAGGTTAATGGCTAGAAACATGGTCTCTGAGTCCAGAGGGCAATCAGTCAAGAAGATTACCAGATGTTGGATTTGAAGCATCTTATATTTTTTAACCTTTTTTTTTCAGAGACAGGATCTCGTTATGTTGCCCAGGCTGGTCTTGAACTTCTAGATTCAAGGGATCCTCCTGCCTCAACTTTCTGAGTAGCTGGGGCTAGAGGCACATGCCACCATGCCTAGCTATTTATTTCTTCTTCTTATTATTATTTTTGGATATGGGGTTTCACTATGTTACCCAGGCTGGTCTTGAATTTCTGGCCTCAAGTGATTGTCCCACCTCAGCATTCTGAGTACCTGGGACTATAGGCATGAGCCATCATACCTGACTTTGAAGCATCTTTTGCAGTTTGAATGTTTCCAGTGATGTCTGAGCAGCTCACAGCAACAGGCACAAAAGTTGTCCATACGTAAGCTGTGGTGGTGAGTTCTCTTTAAGTCTAGATTAAGTTGTCCAGCTTCAGCTTGCAGGGCTTCCGGAAAAGGGCAGTTTTTGTTCTTAGTGATTCCAAGTCAGAAAGATAGGAGAAAATTGGAAATGTTAGTTTGAAGAGTTACAACCAGATATTGAAGGAAACTAAAAGAATCCAGGATCTAGTCCAGTTTACAAGTAAAAGCTTTACAAAATGAACAGAGCTAGAATCTAATAATGAGTGCACAATAGTTTTTCTCCTGAAACATAATTATTCTCTCAATCATCCCCATCCCCACCAAAGTCAATCATGGGAAGATCAATCAGCCTGCAAAACAAGTCTAATCTCATTAACATGGGCTGATCAGCTATACAAGTGTAACAAGAATAGTGATTGACCACACAAGCTCTTTTTATGCCTACTTTACTGAAACATTTGGTCAGGAATCTCAGATTAGACTTTTAAAAGCCTTTTGTCTAGTCTGTTTTGCATTGCTCTAAAGGAATACGTGAGGCTGGGTAATTTACACAGAAAAGATGTTTATTTGGCTTACAGTTCTGCAGGTTATACAAAAGTCATGGTGCAAGCATCTGCTTGGCTTCTGGTGAGGGCCTCAGGAAGCTTTAATTCATGGTGAAAGGCAAGGGGAACCGATGTGTCGCATAGCAAGGGAGGGAGCAAGAGAAAAGAGAGAGGAGGAGGCGCCAGGCTCTTTTAAACAACCAGCTCTTGTATGAACTAATAGAATGAGACTCACGCATTACTTCAGGGAGGGCATCAAGCCATTCATGAGGGATCCACTCCCATAAACCAAACACCTCCCACTAGGCTCCACCTCCAACAGTGGGGATCATATTTCAACATAAGGTGTGGAAGGGACAAATATCCAAACTATATCACCTTTCCAGACTAGGAAGCCAAGCCACGGACTCATCTCTCATGCCATCATACCTGTAATGCCAATAGGTTTGGATGAATTCTTCTCTTCTTCAGATCTTTAAAATATATTTAAAGTTTCTGGGCCTTCTTTTCATAAGGCTAAAAAACCCAGTAGTCTATGCACATTTTCAAATATGATGCTCCAGCCAAAGCCTTGGTAAAATAACCAATGTTTCCAATTGTATTCTGTTATAAAGAGAACAAATTCTTATTGAACTTATGCAGATAACTATATTGTCATAAAATAAGAATATTCAGCCAGGTGTGGTGGCTCACGCCTATAATCCCAGCACTTTGGGAGGTCGAGGTGGGAGGATTTCTTTTTATTTTATTTTATTTATTTATTATTATTATAATACTTTAAGTTCTAGGGTACATGTGCACAATGTGCAGGTTTGTTAGGTAGGTATACATGTGCCATGTTGGTTTGCTGCACTCATCAACTTATCGTTTACGTTAGGTATTTCTCCTCATGCTATCCCTCCCCCAGCCCCCCACCCCACAACAGGCCCCGGTGTGTGATATTCCCCTCCCTATGTCCATGTGTTCTCATTGTTCAATTCCCACCTATAAGTGAGAACATGCGGTGTTTGGTTTTCTGTCCTTGTGATAGTTTGCTGACAATGATGGTTTCCAGCTTCATCCATGTCCCTGCAAAGGACATGAACTCATCCTTTTTTATGGCTACATAGTATTTCATGGTGTATATGTGCCACATTTTCTTAATCCAGTCTATCATTGATGGACATTTGGGTTGGTTCCAAGTTTTTGCTATTGTGAACAGTACCGCAATAAACATGCATGTGCATGTGTCTTTATAGTAGCATGATTTATAATCCTTTGGGTATATACTCAGTAATGGGATGGCTGGGTCAAATGGTATTTCTAGTTCTAGATCTTTGAGGAATTGCCACACTGTCTTCCACAATGGTTGAACTAGTTTACACTCAGTGGGAGGATTTCTTGAGCCCAGGAGTTCAAGACCAGCCTGGGCAACATAGTGAGACCCTGTCTCTACAAAAAACAAACAAATCAGCTGGGTATCATGTTACATGCCTGTAGTCCCATCTACCTGGGGCTGAGGTAAGAGGATCACTTGAGCTTGGGAGGTCAACGCTGCAGGAGGCCATGATGATGGCACTGTACTCTGTCCTGGGCGACAGAGCACAACCCTTTCTCACTAACAGTTTCTGAATTATGGAGAGATCAAGTAGGGAGAAAAAAGGGATTGTTTCAATTATGTTACAAAGGTATAATTTACCAAATTCTTGTAAACTATAGATAGATTTTAAAAATCCCTTAAATCTGAAATACAAATATGCAAAAGATAATTTTAAAAAATTACTGCTGGATGTGGTGGCATATGCCTGTAGTCCCAGCTACTCAGGAGGCTGAGATGGAAAGACTGCTTGAGCCGAGGAGTTTGAGTCGAGCCAGCTTGGGCAACATGTCTCTAAAACAAAAACAAAACAAAACAAAAACTGAATTATTTCTCTCTCTCTCTCTTTTTGAGACAGTCTTGCCCTGTCACCCAGGCTGGAGTGCAGTGGCACAATCGTGGCTCACTGCAACCTCCGCCTTCAGGATTTAAGTGGTTCTTATGCCTCAGCCTCCTGAGTAACTGGGATTACAGGCATGTACTAGCATTCCCAGCTAATTTTTTGTATTTTTAGTAGAGACAGGGTTTTGCTGTGTTGGCCAGGCTGGTCTTGAACTCCTCGGCTCAAGTGATCTGCCTGCCTCAGCCTCCCAAAATGCTGGGATTACAGGCATGAGTCACTGCACCCAGCCTGATTCTTTTTCATCAGTTCATTTAGTTCCACATAATTAATTCTCATTTTGCTTGATGTTGGGCTAGCAACTTATGAACCAATTTGTTTCTTCATAAGAGTTCTGGAAGTTCTTTTTTTTTTTTTTTTTTTTTTTTTTTGAGACAGAGTCTCACACTGTTGCCCAGGCTGGAGTGCAGTGGTGCAATCTTGGCTCACTGCAACCTCCGCCTCCCGGGTTCAAGCGATTCTCCTGCCTCAGCCTCCCAAGTAGCTGGGATTACAGGCGCCCACCACCACGCCCAGCTAATTTTTTTTTTTGTATTTTTAGTGGAGACAGGGTTTCACCATGTTGGCCAGGCTGATCTCGAACTCCTGACCTTGTGATTCACCTGCCTCGGCCTCCCAGAGTGCTGGGATGACAGGTATGAGCCACCACACCCGGCCACTAGAGTTCTGGAAGTTCTTACTCAGTCCAATAGTATATTCCTAGGAAATTTATGGAAAGAACTCTGACAAGTACAGGTTTCCGGTAACATAGGAATATACTATTGGACTGTGTAAGAACTTAGAGTTCTGGAAGTTCTTATCCTTAGAGATACACTATTTTAGGATTATAGCTGCTTGCAAAACCTTTCAGGAGAGCATCAGAGTGAAACAATTTACTGTCTATGGATGACAAGACTTAAAATGGTCATGGTTGCGGTGGCTCACACCTGTAATCCCAGCACTCTGGGGGCCGAGGCGGGCAGATCACGAGGTCAGGAGATTGAGACCATCCTGGCTAACATGGTGAAACCCCGTCTCTACTAAAAATACAGAAAATTAGCCGAGTGTGGTGGCGGGCGCCTGTAGTCCCAGCTACTGCAGTGAGCTGAGATGGCGCCACTGCACTCCAGCCTGGGCGAGAGAGTGAGATTCCATCTGAAAAAAAAAAAAAAAAAAGGTCATGGTTAAAGATCTAATGAGAGTTTATTATGATAATGACACAACTGACAGGTAAAATCATTATTTCTGTGACATACAACATTTTAACATAATAACCAGAATTATGACTGATAACATTATGCCAGGACATATCAGACTTCTCGGAATTTCACATAATTTCTGGAACACGTAAACACTCAATCATGATTGCTTATTTGACAATGTTTATTCTGCAAATTTAATGTATCAATTAAGCCTAATTAGCTTAACATTTCTCTTTTATAAGAAGACCTTCCAGGGCCCCTGGGAGGTTCCAAAGTCAATGTGGGGTAAAAAAGGCTTAATTTTAAGAATTTGATTTTGGAAAGTTTGTCAAAAATACCAAAATGTTTGTCAATATTAATAGCAATGTTAAAGGTTTGATTTTTATCAATATCAAAGGCTTGGTTTGGAAAGTTTGTCAAAAATATCAAAACACTTCATTAACTAGGATCACAGATCATTATGGGACAGTACCAGAATGACAAAGGATTTTAAAGACAAATACAGAAAAGTTACACAGTTGAAAAAAAAAAATTTAACATTGAGAATGCTCTGTTTTCTTAATTAAAAGTTCTAATAAAAGACAAAATGGGCAATACAAAATATCTTCTACAACTTCTTCATTATGTTCATAAACTTTGTTACTGGGTGGCTTTGATGAGATTCAGATATTCAAAAGATACCTCTCCAACAGATACATTCTCAGCCTCTCGAGTAATGGTGATGGTATTTAATTATAAAGCATTATTCAGATGTTAATGAAATACTTTCACTGCATACTCATTTACTTCTTACAAGAACTCTGTCATGAAACTAAAAGCAGTTAAGCTAACATTAGAACTAAAAAATTTTTAGTTCTTTCTGTTGAAGCACCCTGTTTACAGATAGAAATTTTTACCTCCTGAGAGACATAAGTGTATCATGTGGTGAACATATATGCTCTTTTTTGGCTAAGCAGTATATATTTTCCTTTCTTTTAGTTAATGCTATTAATAATTTGAACTTCTAGGAGAACCACCCTAAGTACTTCAACTAGACTTAACTCTATCCCTGATTCCAGGGATGAACATGTGACTCAGACTGGCCAATCAGAGATGTCATTCCCCTGGCCTGTGACCCAATATAGGCCAATAAGAGTCAGGTACAGAACATTTATAGAAGAAAATATAAGAAACTGCACTGTGGGCAGCCATCTTGCTAAACATGTGGAGTCTAAGAAAGAAGCCAACAGAGCTGATATATCAGACACTTGGATCTGAGAACATAATTTAAGTTCCTGAACCCTGTCAAGCCAGAAGTCAAATTTACTTGTGAACTTTTTGCAAAATTTCCCCTTTTGCTTAAACTAGTTCATGTTAGATTTTCCTTATCAATTGTTGGTGAAATAGTGAATTTTATCTCATATGGATAAATAATTATTTAAACAAGAAAAGTTAAATACTGGAGAAGAGCTATGTCATTTTAATCACTTCTAGTTTCAGACGTTAGTCGGAAGCTTGAGGGACACTTATGTAGCTAGTCTGGCCCCAGGCATAGGATCTGAAAATATCCTACTCAGGATTTTGTGTCCTTCCTCATGAGGTCTACTGGAGCCCAGCACATGTAGAAGCTCAGTAGAAAACTTGTTGAATGTTGAATAAATCTGAGGTAGTGTGGACTTCCATGAAGCTGTAATATGTGTGCATGCCTTATGCCTGAAATAAACTGTTCATACGTATGCAAAAAAAAAAAAAAAAAAAAAAGACAGCATAAAGCACAGGAAATCATTTTGATGAAACATCAATTCTTTGTTTTCTAGGCAGAGCACTTAAGAAAACGTTTTTCCAATAAAACTTTTTTTTTTAACTTAGAGAAACCGGCTTCAAGTTTTGTACCAAGGTACTTTTGATATAAGGTTCAGTTTTTTTAAAACCCTTAAATAATTTTATTCAATTTTGACCATCTTGACCACATATAAAATTTCTCTTTCAAAAGCCTTCTAAAACTTAAAAAAATTTTTTTGAATTTTAAGTTCCAGGATGCATGTGCAGGACGTGCCAGTTTGTTAAGTAGGTAAACGTGTGCCATGGTGGTTTGCTGCACCTATCAACCCATCACTTAGGTATTAAGTCCTGCATGCATTAGCTATTTATCCTGATGCTCTCCTTCCCCCGACTCTCCCCACCAACAGGCCCCAGTATGTGTTGTTCCCCTCCATGTGTCCATGTGTTCTTACTGTTTAGCTCCCACTTATAAATGAGAATATGCGATATTTGGTTTTCTGTTCCTTCATAGTTTGCTGAAGATAATGGCTTCCAGCTCCATCCATGTCCCTGTAAAGGACATGATCTTGTTCCTTTTTTATGGCTGCACAGTATTCCATGGTGTATATATACCATATTTTCTTTATCCAGTCTATCATTGATGGGCATTTGGATTGATTCCATGTATTTGCTATTGTGAATAGTGCTGTAGTGAGCATATGCATGCATGTGTCTTTGTAATATTTGTATTTACATATTAATTATAATTTATAATATATATTACATATTATATTACATATTATATATAATTACATATAGTATATAATGTATATATTATATATTGACTTCCTCTCTTCCTTTTTGAATACCCTCTATTTCTTTCTCTTGCCTGATTGCCCTGGGCAGTACTTCCAATAGTATGTTGAATAGGAGTGCTGAGAGAGGGCATCCTTGTCTTGTGTAGTTTTTCAAGGTGAATGCTTCCAGATTTTGCCTATTCAGTATGACATTGGCTGTTGGTTTGTCATAAATTGCTCTTATTATTTTGAGGTCTGTTGAGAGTTTTTAACATGAAAGGATGTTGAATTTTATTGAAGGCCTTTTCTGCATTTATTGAGATAATCATGTGGTTTTTGTCTTTAGTTCTGTTTATGTGATGAATTACATTTATTGATTTGCATATGTTGAATCAGCTTTGCATCCCAGGTATGAAGCCGACTTGATTATGGTGGATAAGCTTTTTGATGTGCCACTGGATTCGGTTTGCCAGTATTTTACTGAGGATTTTTGCATCAGGGATATTGGCCTGAAGTTTTCTTTTTTTTGTTGTATCTCTGCCAGGTTTTGGTATCAGAATGATGCTGGCTTCATAAAATGGATTAGGGAGAAGTCCCTCCTTTTCAATTGTTTGGAATAGTTTCAGAAGGAATGGTACCAGCTCCTCTTTTTACCTTTGGTAGAATTCAGCTGTAAATCCATCTGGTCCTGGGCCTTTTTTCGTTGGTAGGCTAGTTATTACTGCCTCAGTTTCAGAACTTGCTATTGGTCTATTCAGGGATTCATTGTCTTCCTGGTTCAGTCTTGGGAGGGTGTATGTGTCCAGGAATTTATCCATTTATTCCAGATTTTCTAGTTTATTTGCATAAAGGTGTTTATAATATTGTTTGTATTTCTGTGGGGTCAGTGGTGATATCCCCTTTCTCATTTTTTATTGTGTCTATTTGATTCTCCTCTCTTTTCTTCATTAGTCTAGCTAGTGGACTATCTATTTTATTTTTTTCAAATAACCAGCTCCTGGATTCACTGATTTTTTTTGAAGGGTTTTTCATATCTCTATTTCTTTCAGTTCTGCTCTGATTTTGGTTATTTCTTGTCTTCTGCAAGCTTTGGGGTTTGCTCTTGGTTCTCTAGTTATTTTAGTTGTGATGTTAGGGTGTCAATTCTCTAACAAAAGCTAGAAAGTGAGATCTTTCTAGCCTTTTGATGTGGGCACTTAGTGCTGTAAGTTTCCCTCTTAACACTGCTTTAGCTGCATCCCAGAGATTCTGGTATGTCGTCTCTTTGTTCTCATTGGTTGCAAAGAACTTCTTGATTTCTGCCTTAATTTCATCATTTACTCAGGAGTCATTCAGGAGCAGGTTGTTCAATTTCTGTGTAGTTGTATGGTTTTGAGTGAGTTTCTTAATCTTGAGTTCTAATTTGATTGCTCTGTGGTCTGAGAGCCTGTTTGTTTGTTATGATTTCAGTTCTTTTGCATTTGTTGAGGAGTGTTTTACTTCCAAGTATGTGACCAGTTTTAGAGTAAGTCCCATGTGTTGCTGAGAAGAATGTATATTCTGTTATTTTTGGGTGGAGAGTTCTGTAGATATCTATCAAGGTCCACTTGATCCAGAGCTGAGTTCAAGTCGTGAATATCCTCGTTACTTTTCTGTTTCAATGATCTGTCTAATATTGACAGTGGTGTGTTAAAGTCTCCCACTATTATTGTGTGGGAGTCTAAGTCTCTTTGTTGGTCTCTAAAAACTTGTTTTATGAATCTGGGTGCTCCTGTATTGGGTGCATATATTTTTAAGATAGCTCCTCCTGTGAATTGAACCCTTTACCACTATGTAATGCCCTTTTTTGTCTTTTTTGATTTGTGTTGGTTTAAAGTCTGTTTTGCCAGAAACTAGGATTGCAACCCCTGCGTTTTTCTGCTTTCCATTTGCTTGGCAAATTTTCCTCCATCCCTTTATAATGAGCCTATGCGTGTCTGCACTGAGATGGATCTCGAATATAGCACACCAATGGGTCTTGACTCTATCCAGCTTGCCATTCTGTGTCTTTTTACTGGGACATTTGGCCTATTTACATTTAAGGTTAATATTGTTATGTGTGAATTTGATCCTGTCATCATGATGCTGGCTGGTTATTTTGCAGACTTGTTGATGTAGTTGCTTCATAGTGTCATTGGTCTTTGCACTTCAGCGTGTTTTTGCAGTGGCTGGTAACAGTTTTTCCTTTCCATATTTAGTGCTTCCTTCAGGAGTTCTTGCAAGGCAGGCCTGGTGGTGATGAATTCCCTCAGCATTTGCTTGTCTGAAAAGGATTTTATTTCTTCTCTGCCTATGAAACTTAGTTTGGCCAGATATGAAATTCTGGGTTGGAAATTATTTTCTTTAAGAATGTTGAATATTGACCCCCAATCTCTTCTGGCTTGTAGGGTTTCTGCTGAGAGGTCTGCTGTTAGTCTGATGGGTTTCTCTTTGTGGGTGACCCAGCCTTTCTCTCTGGCTGCCCTCAACATTTTTTTCCTTTGTTTTGACCTTGGAGGATCTGATGATTATATGTCTTGGGGTTGATCTTCTCATGGAATATCTTACTGGGGTTTTCTGGATTTCCTGAATTTGAATGTTGGCCTGTCTTGTTAGGTTGGGGAACTTCCCCTGGATGATATCCTGAAGTATGTTTCCCAACTTGGTTCTTTTCTCCCCATATTTAAACATAAACTAACATTTAGTCATTAATGCTTCAGTATTTTAACTTTTTTTTTTTTTTTGAGACTGAGTCTTGCTCTTTCATCCAGGCTGGAGTGCAGTGGTGTGATCTTGGCTCACTGCAATTTCCACCTCCCAGGCTAAAACAATTCTTGTGCCCCAGCCTCCCAAGTAGCTGGGATTGCAGGCATGCACCACCACGCCCTGCTAATATTTGTATTTTTAGTAGAGATGGGGTTTCACCATGTTGGCCAGGCTGGTCTTGAACTCCTGGCCTCAAGTGATCTGCCTGCCTTGGCCTCCTAAATTAATGGGATTACAGGTGTGAGCCACTGTGCCTGGCCTATTTAAACTTAATTAGAAATGACCCAGGCATTTAATGAATACCTATTACCTAATTAACTTACCATAACTTTAAAGCTTTTGAGCTACCAAAGAGAATTTTGAAACTATGAAAAGTTTACTTATAAACTTTTATCTCACTTACATTCACCTAATTCCCTTATTCTTAACAGTTATGCTTGAATTGCTCATGAAAATTTTCACAAGACATTAAACAAAACTAGTCATTATCAGGCTGGGTGTGGTGGCTCACACCTGTAATCCAGCACTTTGGGAGGGTGAGGCAGGTGGATCACTTGAGGTCAGGAGTTTGAGACCAGCCTGGCCAACATGATGGAACCCCATGTCTACTAAAAATACAAAAATTAGTCGGGCATGGTGGCATGCGCTTATAGTCCTAGTCACTCAGGAGGCGGAGGCAGGAGAATCTCTTGAACCAGGGAGCCGGAGGTTGCAGTGAGCTGAGATGGTACCAATGCATGCCAGCCTGGGCAACAGAGCAAGACTCTGTCTCAGAAACAAACAAACAAAAACTAGCCATTATCTTAAGTCATTTCCCTGTTAACTATTTTTACAGCATGTGCATATTAGGCAGTTATCATCAAAGCAAGAAACTAAAAGTTACATGCATGTTTTTTTACATGTAAGTCAGGAGAGGAGACACAGCTGTTTATCATTAACCCAAAAATATTTTTAAAAATTCTCTTTATTTTTACAACAATTATCTTAGAAAAATCAACAATATTAAACAAATCTTATTTACCAAAGTCATGTAAACTCTGAAAGCATTTGGGTTAGTTTCTGAACTTCCAAAGAGTTTAAGGAATCCTTAATTCATAAGAGTACATCTTTTCCTTTAAGCCAATCAAATGGATCTTCTTTAAGAGATTTTATAAATTAATTTGGAAATAGTATCTGAGGTAGGAAAATATGATATACATAACATATAAACAGACATACATAAATACACATGTTGGGGCTCAGAAAACAATACCCCAAAATGAAGGCAGCAGAAGCAGCCTCAGAAACGAAAGTTTTCTTCTGAACTTTTTCTCCCCTCTTGCTTCAGTCCTTTTCTCCCCCAAGGGTAGCTATAAAAACTAGAATCACTCTTCCCCAAGGCAGGTCATAGAAACCAGAACCCCTTTTCTTCAAAGCCAGCTGTGAAAACAAAACATATTACTCTGCCTTTCCCTCCACCTTTCTGTGTAAAAACTGGCTGTAAAGAAATGATCTGATCCATCTTGTTTGACTGTAGGTCATGAGACCCTCAATCCAGAGGGGGTCCTGCCCCACACCCAGAGGCAGGAATGCGTGCTCAGAGAGGCCAACAGGAATCTAGACGGGCCGTGCTGGGTTTCCCCGCTCAGTCTATTAGCATCAGATCATACCCTTTCTGTCCAATCATGTTTCTACATAGCTGTTCCTACTTTGTTGAACCTAAGCATAAAACTTCACTTGAATTCTTGGTCAACAGAAATTTCCCTTGTATCTTTGAGTCTTCATTCTGAAGGCTCCCATGTATACCTGTTGAATAAATTTGTTTGCCTTTTATCCAATTACTCTATCTTCTGTGAGTTGATTTTTCAGCAAATCTTCAGGGGCCAAAGAGAACTTTTCTCTTGCCCCAACAGAGTCCCAGACTCCCTGAATTTAAATGAACTCATTATTTTCTGTCTTCCTGAAACCTTTCCTACTAGAGGTCTTTTACTAAACCCGGTTCGGTTTTTGTCTAACTTAGTCGGATACCTAAAGCCTTCTTATAGAACCTAATCCAGTTTCTCTTGTGACTTCCACAGATAGTCTGGATCAAAACTGTTCATATAAAATTGGACACAAATAATGGAGCTCATATCCAAGGGGGACTTACCAGTGACACCCTCCAAATGTGCAAAGAGAAGCAGTGAGCACAAGTAACTCAGCAGAGTAGCCAGTCTGTTTGCTTGTTAATCCTGGAGTTCATCAATGTGGATCTCCTTTGAACCATTGCTTTTGACCATACATCTAATAAAATAAAACCTTAGACAAAATAAATTTAACAGAGTTTATTTGAGCAAATAATAATTCAAGAATCAGGTAGCTCTCACAACCTGAAGAGATTCAGAGAGCTCTGCTCTGCAATGTGGCCAGTGAGTATTTATAGACAAGAAAAGGCTGAAGAATGCAGAATCAAAGAATAAAAGATGGAGTGATCATTTCAAAGTTGTTTTCCTTGAAAGGGTTAAAGCTGGGGGGGGGATTTCCTTGTTATGCTGGCTAAAACTGGCCTGTTCGAGGATTTGGCTATTATCTCTCCCCTGATTTATCTGGAAGGTTAGATAAACAACTTAGTTTCAGTTTGGTGATATGAAACTTTAGCATGAGTGACTCCATTTTGGTTTGGTCTGATGGGGTCTAGTGCAGGAACCTAGTCCAAATCAGTGGCCTCCTATAAATTTTATTTAATAGGAGGTAATGATCCCAAAAGTTTAATGTGAGAATTTAGAAAATCAACTAAAAAAAGCCTAGTTATCAGCTGGGCGTGGTGGCTCATGCCTGTAATCCTAGCACTTTGGGAGGCTGAAGCAGGCGAATCACGAGGTCAGGAATTCGAGATCAACCTGGCCAACATGGGGAAACCCAGTCTCTACTAAAAATACAAAAAATTAGCTGGGCATAGTGGCAGGCGCCTGTAATCCCACCTACTCGGGAGGCTGAGGCAGGAGAATCGCTTGAAGCTGGGAGGTGGAGGTTGCAGTGAGCCAAGATCGAGTCACTGCATTCTAGCCCAGGTGACAGAGTGAGACTCCGTCTCAAAAAAAAAAAAAAAAAAAAAAAAAAAAGCCCAGTTATCAAATCTGTAAATCAAACAAAATCTAGAATATATAGACTTTTTTAGTGTAGAAAACAGGATATACTGTGCGGTTGCATTTATAAAGTACATATAGGGTGGGACTGTTGGCTATTGCAGAGTGAAGAGGTTGACAAATTCTCACCACAAAACTGGGCAACATTGTGAAAAACAATTTCAGGGCTATGGAAATCAACCAAAAGGAAACAAGGAATTAAGAAGTTTTTAGTTTGAAAATTTACTGGCCAGGCGTGGTGGCTCACACCTGTAATCCCAATAGTTTGGGAGGCCGAGGTGGGTGGATCACTTGAGGTCAGGAGATCGAGACCATCCTGGCCAACATGGTGAAACCCCGTCTCTACTAAAAATACAAAAATTAGCCAGGCATGGTGGCAGGCGCCTGCAGTCCCAGCTACTCGGGAGGCTGAGGCATGAGAATTGCTTGAACCCGGGAAGCGGAGCTTGCAGTGAGCCGAGATTGCGCCACTGCAGTCCGCAGTCCGGCCTGGGCGACAGAGCGAGACTCCGTCTCAAAAAAAAAAAAAAAAAAAAAAAAAAAAAGAAATGCTATGAAATCTCTCCACAGACCCCGAATGACCAGGAAACTATGCATATGCACAGGGGAAAGCCACGAGTGCCTTGACAAAAGTAAAAGTTAGGCAGACTTGAAAACAGAGTGAACTTTAAATGTATTCTTCATCCCACACACAGATCCATTAGCAGAGGATGGATCTTGTAGGCTTAAGGTGTTTGAGCACAGCCTCTGCCCAATCATTGGCTGACCACTAAACTAAGCTACAGGGACTACTCTTAGAAGGCCAGGCTGAAAGTTAAACACAAGACTTAAAAACAAAAAAGCTGAGCAGAGACATTAGTGGCCATGTACTGCAGGAGGCAAAGATTCTGCAGATTACCTCTGGGAAAGCAAATAAAGACAATAATAACTGCCTCAGGAAAAGAAATCAGAGTCCAGAGTTGCTAGAGTATATTATCTAAAATGTCAAGTTTTCAAAAAACGTTATGAGACATGAAGAAACAAAATCTGACCCATACTCAGGAAAAAAAAGCAAATATATACTATGAGTGGTTCCAGAAATTAGATTATTGGACAAAGATTTCAAAGCAGCTATTATAAATATGTTCAAAGAACTAAAGAAAACCATGCTTAAGAATGACTAAATCAGTGTAATGACAATGATTCAACAAATAGATGATCTCACTTAAAATGCAGAAATTATTTTTTAAAAAAGAACCCAGTGGAAATTCTGAGTTGCAATAAATAATAGCAAAAATAAAAGTACTAGAGGAGGTCACAGAAGAGTCAGTGAAATTGAAGATAGATCATTAGAAATTACTCAGTGTGGAAAAAAGAGAGGAAAAGATAGAAGAAAAATACACAGTGCCTCAGAGACTGGTGGGATAACATGAAGCATACCAACATACATGTAATTGGAATCCCAGAAGGGGACTCCAGAAAAATGAAAGAAAAATGTTTAATGACATAATGGATGAAAATTCCCCAGTTTTGACTTTAAAAAATCATTTCACAAACTCCAGAAGCTCAAGAAACTCTAAGTAGAATAAATACAAAGACATTCACACCTGGACACATCATGGTCAAACCACTGGAAGCCAAACCAAAGACAAGAGAAAATCTTAAATCTAGTAAGAGAAAAACAAATCATCACATACAAGGGGACAATATGATTAATGGTCAACTTCTTGTCTTTAAACCACGGAGGCCAAAAGACAGTAGAATGATATATTCAAATTGCTGAAAGAAAAAGAAAAAAACTGGCTGGGGGTGGTGGCTCATGCCTGTAATCCCAGCACTTCGGGAGGCTGAGGCGGGTGGATCACTTGAGGTCGGGGGTTCGAGACCAGCCTGACCAACATGGAGAAACCCCATCTCTACTAAAAAATACAGAATTAGCAGGCATAGTGGCACATGGCTATAATCCCAGCTACTTGGGAGGCTGAGGCAGGGGAATTGCTTGAACCCAGGAGGCAGAAGTTGTGGTAAGCTGAGATCGTGCCATTGCACTTCAGCCTGGGCAACAAGAGTGAAACTCCATCTCAAAAAACAAAAAACAAAAAACTGTTGACCAAGAATTCAAAATCTAGAAAAACTAATCTTTAATAATGAAGGTAAAATATATTCCCAGATAAAGAAAGAATGAGATAATTTGTTGCTAACTGACCTGTTTACAAAAAATAAAGAAATAAAAAATGCAGGAAATGGTAAATATGTGGATAAATGTAAAGATATATAAACATTGATCTTTTCTTATCATGATTACTTTGAAAAACATAACATTCTGTAAAACTATAATTACAACTCAGTTTTAAACTTGTAATGCATATATGTGTAACATCTAAATACCAATCACATAAAGGAAGGTGGAAATAAAGTTATAGTGGAGAAAAGTTGTTATATTTTACTGGAACTAAGTCAGTATTAACTTGAAGTAGATTGTGACAAGGTAAGATGTATATATTCATCTGTCGAGCAACCATTACTAAAATAAAATTTTAAAATAGCTGCTAGGCATGGTGGCTTACATTTGTAATCCCAGCATTTTGGGAGGCCAAGGCAGGCAGATTGCTTGAGCTGGGGAATTCAAGGCTAGCCTAGGCAACGTGGTGGAACCCCATCTCTATAAAAAACACAAAAATTAGTCAGGCATGGTGGTGTCCATTTTTAGTCCCAGCTACTTGGGAGGCTGAGATGGGAAGATCAATTGAGCCCAGGAAGTTGAGTCTTCAATGAGCTGTGATCATGCCACTACACTCCAGCCTGGGCAACAGAGCAAAGCCCTGTTTCAATAAATAAATAAACAAAATAAAATAAAATAAATAAAAAGTAAATAAAAATGTTTGCTTAAAACCAGGAGTTCCAGACCAACCAACGTTTAGCACAGCTCATAAATACTGACCACCTATATCAAAAAAGAAAAAAATTACTAAAATATTACAAATCAGCTTTCACTTTAAGCAATTAAAAAAAGAAAACGAATGAAACTCTAAGTAAGCAGAAGGAAAGAAAGAATAAAAATTATAGTAGAAATCAGTAAAATAAAAACAGAAAAACAATACAGAAAATCAATTTAATTGAATGAAAAGTATGAAAATATTTTTAAAGGATAAACCTTTAGCTAGACTAAATAAGAAAAAAAAAAGAAAAGGCACAAATGATCAAAATCAATAATGATGAGGGCCATCACTACTAATTTAAAACAAATTAAAAGGATTTTAGGGGACGGTTATGAAAGACATGAATTACCAAAACTAACTCAAGAAGAAACAGAAATTCTGTATTCATCTATGACAAGTAAAGTAATTGAATTTGTAGCTAAAAACTTTCCGACAAAATAAACTCTAGGCCCAAATGTTTTCACTGGTAAATTCTATTAATATTTAAGGAAAAAATAATGCCAATTCTACAGTCTTTCCCAGAATATAAAAGCAGAAGAAACACATCTTGACTCAATTAATTAGGGCAATGATACCCTAACACCAAAACTACAAAAAGATATTACAAAAAAAAATCAAATTATAGGCCCAAATTCCTCATGAACATAGATGCAGAAATCCTTAACAAAATATTAACAAGTCAAATTCAGCAATATAAATAAAAAGATAATACATCACAACCTAGAGGGGTTTATCTTGGTAATCTAAATTATGAATAATTTGTCTCTGGATGATGAGATTATGGGGAGTCTTTTTCCTCCAAATTTTCAATAATGAACATGGTTTAGTTCTTTAATGATAATTTAAATATTGCAATTTAAAAGAAATACAATGAATTTTCTTCCAATATTTTCTGGAGTTCCAATATTTTCTGGAGAAATGTTTCTTCCAAATATTTCTTCCAATATTTTCCACAGTGAGTGGAAATGCTGATTTCGGTAAAAGAGAACACATTTCTCTCTCTCTCTCTCTCTTTTTTGTTTTGTTTTTGTTTTTGTTTTTGAGATGGAGTCTTGGTCTGTCACCCAGGCTGGAGTGCAGTGGTGCGATCTTGGCTCACTGCAACCTCCGCCTCCTGGGTTCAAGTGATTCTCCTGCCTCAGTCTCCCGAGTAGCTGGAACTACAGGCGTGCACCACCACGCCCAGCCAATTTTTGTATTTTTAGTAGAGATGGGCTTTCACCATGTTGGCCAGGATGGTCTTGATCTCTTGACCTCGTGATCCATAAGGAAAAGATGAAAGCATGAAATTAAAAACAGCAAATGTAGCAGGATGCCCCCTCATCTGTCCCATGACCAAGCAGGGGTCCAGCAGAGTCCTCAGTGACAAGCAGGGGCCTCTGAGGCCCCAATCACACAGAGGAACCACCTCCCCTGCATGACAGGGACATTTGCACAAGGACACAATCAGGTTTTGTCATTTGCAAGGTATGTTATAATAACTCCTTTTTCAAGGGCAAAGCAGTGAGGAAGTCATCAAAGTGGCCATGTTTGTAAATGGCATGGCATGTGCAGAAAAAAGAAATTTGTAAGTTTTTCTTCATTCTCTGTTCTTAGCTGGGACCTCGGACTTTATTCTAAATAGTTACTCTAGTACCAAAAGCTGAATGAGACTATTGTGCCACGGGGAAGGGTAATCTCCGCTGGCAGGAAACCAGAACTGGTCTACCTTCAAAATCACCAAGAGGGATATTTTATTTAATTTTCTATTCTATTTCCTATTTTATTTTGCAATTTGAAAAAGGAAATGATGGGTGATATAAACTGAGCAATTTATTTCCTTACCAATCTGCCATCTTTCCCAAAATTCTGGCTCAGAGCTCTGGTGACACAACTTCTTCCCCTGCTTCAGTCTGTAACAGAGTGGGCAGGTGTAGAGACTTAGTGTTGGGACAGCTGAGGCAGAACTCACTGAGCTGATGCTGGTGAGAACCCGCAGTCACAGGCTTGGGTATCCCTGGGCCTGAGCAATGTGGGATCCCTCCCTCCCTGGGCCCTATGTGCCTCCTCACGTACTTGACGATGCCCCAAATTCCTTTAACAAAAAGTATTTACTTACATTAGAGACAGAAAGTCTAAAATGCTAACTGCAGGAGAGGAGAACCATAGGCTGGGGTTCAAACTAAAATGCAGCGATTGATACAGAGCCAGTTCAGGGAGCAGCCTGCTGAGAGTTCTAGGTGTCTGAACGGAGGCCTCCTGCCTACACGATTCTGCCTGTGTTTGGATGCCATCTTTCATCAGACCTAAAACCCATGTCTATATTTCTGCCAAAGAACAGGTTAAGGTTCCTGGGGACTCTGGGCAGTATAAGCAATTCTATGAGGTGATATGGCTGACTTCATACACAAGGTACCACACTGCAGGGCCCCTTCAGCACCACAAGAGTAGTGAGCTTCCCACTTATAAGTGAGAAGGTGTCAGGCCTGATTCAGCAGGAGGAACAATAACGTGAAGGATGTCCCTCGGACAAAAGTCAGAATGAGGCCAGGTGTGGTTGATTCACAGCTATAATCCCAGCACTTTACGAGGCTGAGGCAAGAGGATTGCTTGAGCTCAGGAGTTCCAGACCAGCCTGGCCAACATATTGAGACCTTGTCTCTACCAAAAAACAAAATTAGGCCGGGTGCAGTGGCTCACGCCTGTCATCCCAGCACTTTGGGAGGCTGAGGCGAGAGGACTGCTTGAGCCCAGGAGTTTGAGACCAGCCTGGCCAACATAGTGAGGCCCAGTCTCTATAAAAAATTAAAAAAATTGTCCAGGCGTGTTGATGCACACCTATAGTCCTAGTTACTTGGGAGGCTAAGAGGGGAGGATCACTTGAGCCCAATAGGTCAAGGCTGCAGTTAGCTGTGATCATGCCACTGTACTCCAACCTAGGTGACAGAGTGAAATGACAGAGCAAGACCCTGTCTTTAAAAAATAAAAATAAAATAAAAAGTCAGAGAGGTGAGAAGCACTGGGCGGGAGGAAGCAGGCAGGGAGACTGAGAGCTGCCCTGGGACAGCAGATGACAAGGTGACAAGGTGCCCGCAAGGAGGATGTGGAAGCTGCTGAGGGCAGGGCCTGGAGTCACTAGTGTGCCTGTGTGTCAGCAGTTTCCCTGAGCCCAGCTGTGGTGGTGGAGAAGGCCCTGACTCCCTTGAGGCTGCCTGACTTCCTTCTGGCCTCTCTTTGCAAGTCCTAAATATCACTCCCCACCCCTTGTCACCTCAGAATCTCTTCAGCTAGGGTTTTGCCATGGCCAGGACACACATGAAGAAACTGAGATGGCTTAAAGGTCAAGTCTTCCGATTCCAGCACCTGTGTCCTTGTTCACAGAGCCAAGACTGGTCTTCCTGCTTCTTCACTCTGCTTCCGTGTCCTTGGTCTTGCATATGTTTCTGTCTTCTGGGCTCTGCAAGCGCATGTTGCTTTATTTGCCACCTGAGCCTCACTCTTCAGGCAGCTGTCTAAATTCAATTGTCTAAAGGCAATGAATCATGCAGCAGTTAAGAAGATAGGCTCTGGTGCTAGGCGTTTATTAGCTGTGCAATCATGGGCAAGTTACTTACGCACCTTCTGCCTTAGTTTCCTTCTATGTGAAAGGGATAATAATACCACCTGTTTTCATAAGCTTGTAATAATAGAAAGAGTAAATATTTATAAACAATTTTTTGAGACATGGTTTCACTCTGTTGCCCAGGCTGGAGTGCAGTTGTGTGATCACAGTTCACTGCAGCCTTGACCTCCTGGGCTCAGGAGATCCTCCCACCTCAGCCTCCCAGGTGGCTGGGACTACAGGTGTGCACCACTGCACCCAGCTAATTTTTTGAGCTTTTTGTAGAGACAGGGTTTTGCCATGTTTCCCAGGCTGGTCTCCAAATCCTGGGCTCAAGTGCCTCCCAAAGTGCTAGGATTGCAGGCATGAGCCACCGCGCCCGGCCCATATAAACAATTGAATAATGACTGGCATATGGCATAAGGCTTGGCTCTTGTGCATTTATTTATTTATTCAGCACATGTGTACTGAACACCCACTTGCTATGTGCTGCATCAAGTGATGGAGATGCAATGGTGAATACAAAGAAGCCCTCAGGAAGCTTCTAGTCTAAATGAGGGACATTTAGACTTTAATCAATAATTGTACTGTAAATAACGGTACACAGTGCTTTAAGAAGAGGTGCTGTTATAGGACCACCAGGTTCAACTGCACATTGGACAGTAACAGACCAATACACAGAAATGGTGGGAGTTGTAGCAGAGAAACAGTGTAGTAATCATATGGCAGCCAAACAAGGGGGTGGGAGGGAACCTCAAATCTGCCTCCCTAAGGAGTTTTAGACTGGACTTTTTAAGTGAATTTTGGTGGGTAGGGGGCTGAGGAGCTAGGGATTGCTGATTGGTCGAGAAGTGATGCGTGCAGTTATGGGACAAGGAGATGAAGGAATCACATTTCTGTGCTGGATTGGCACCTTGGGGCTGGGGTTCTGCAGACTCGTTGACATCAGGCATTCTGCTGGAATGCAGGATCTGAAAAATACCTTAAGCAATTTTTTAGTAAAAAGGTCCAGTGTCACAGATTCTCTCTATAGGAACAATGAGGGAGCAGGTGGTCCGTGTGCTACGTGACTCTCGGTTAGCGAGCAACTGCAGGGAAGTGGGTCAAAGTGCACCAGCACACCCTGGTCAGTGCCTAGCTATAACTCTGCCTAGAGCCTGGCTTGACATTCTCGTTAACCCTGTGAGAGTGCTTTCAGTGCGGTGCTGAGAGAGTGTAATATTAATAGATCTCACCCAGGGTGGGGTGAAATGTCTGAGGCCAGACATTCATTTCCCATCTTCTCACCTGGCATTTTGAGATAATCACTGGCTACTCTTTGGACTCTGGTCCCTGAAAAGGAGCCAGTTTGCTTCCTGAACTAAACCAGTGCCCTGAGATGGAAGCAGGATATTATATAAACCACCACCACAAACAGCATACCAGGAAAACACAACTCAGATCTTCCTGGCTCTTCCACTAGCTGTGAGACATGGGGCAAGGCTCCAGATTCAGCTGGGCCTTTATTAACCAGCCCTGGAGTTAAATCATCAACCCAGAGGTCTGTCCTAGCCCTGGAGCCCAAGGAGACCCCTGATTATGCAGCAAGCAGGGTGAGTGTTCATGGATATGTCCTTCCCAGTTACAGAGAGTATTTCAGAGTCAGCAAAGCTCAAAATGCCAAACCACACCAGAAGTGACAAGGACAATTTAAAAATCCAGTGAGCGCATTAGATAATTAAAACTATTCAGACTCTCAACTTTAAGGATTCTTTTTTTTCTTTTTTTTAGATAAGATTTTGCACTGTGGCCCACCCTGCAGTGCAGTGGCACGATCACTGCTCACTGCAGCCTTGCCCTCCCAGACTCAAGTGATCCTCCCACCTCAGCCCCCTGAGTAGCTGGGACTACAGGTGCATGCCACCATGCCTGGCTAATTTTTTATTTTTTTACTTTTCGTAGAGGCAGGATCTCACTATATTGCTCAGGCTGGTCTCCAACTCCTAGACTCAAGCGATCCTCCTGCCTCAAACTCCCAAAGTGTTGGGATTACAGGCTGGAGCCACCACACCCAGCGGGGATATTTTTAAGGCAGAAAAAATGACAAATATGTGACCAGTGGGCAGGGATTTGTTAATTCTTTTAACCCAAGTCGGGGCTACTGTCCAGGCGATACGCCAAACCTGGGCTGGCTTCCGCCCCAAAGTGGACTTTGATGCCTCACCACTCAACGTGCTGGCCTTTGGGCCAGCAACATCACCATCTCCCGGGAGCTTGTTAGAAATGCAGAACCTCGGCTGGGTGGGGTGGCTCATGCCTGTAAACCCAGCACTTTGGGAGGCCAAGGTGGGTGGATCACCTGAGGTCAGGCGTTCGAGGCCAGCCTGGCTAACATGGTGAAACCCCGTCTCTACTAAAATTACAAAAATTAGTCGGGCGTGGTGGTGGTGGGGGTGCTTGTAATTCCAGCTAATCGGGAGGCTGAGGCTGGAGAATTGCTTGAACCCAGGAGGCGGAGGTTGCAGTGAGCCGAGATCACGCCATTGCACTCCAGCCTGGATGACAGAGCGAGACTCTGTCTCAAGAAAAAAAAACAAAAAAAAGAAATGCAGAATCTCAGGCTCTCCCTCAGACCTACCGCATTAGACTCTGCATGTGAACAAGCTCCCCTGGTGAGTGGCGTGTGCATCAGTGTTTGAGAAGCACTGGCCTGAAGGGTGTTGGGAGGCTGCCCACCTGTTTCAGGTGTGCTTTAAATATGGCACCTGTATCTGCATTGTACCAACTCAAAGGACCCAAAAAGTCATCTCCCTCTGAGTCTTCCGTTAACATAAATATCCTAAACTGGGGGTGGAAGGTGGGTGTCTGAATATTCCTGGTTTAGCAGTATGAGAATTCTTCAGCAATGAAGAAAATCTAATTTGCATTCCTAAATGGCACAAAGCCTGTTTCCTTTATGGCTTTGTCTTTGTTTCATCAAATTTGCCCTCTGTGGTCCATATCTGAGACCAGTCAGCTCTGTACACCAACCGAGTTAAGGCCTGCCTCGCTCCTCCAGCCAACCAGCAAGTGTGGGTGCCACGCTGGGTGCCAGGGGGTGGAGATGGATAGCATATGATCCCTAACCTTGAGGGTGCCTTTGTTTTGCTTTGAGTTTTGGAATTTCATAGACTTGGAACTCAGAGTCAAGTTCAGCTAAAACAGCTGAACGTCCCCAAGCTTCCTGCAGAAACTCCCAAACCATGAACTTTGCCCATGGTTCTGAGTCAAAGCCATAATCTAGCCAAGTCTCACCTTCATCTGAATCAAAGAGCATGTCTGAAGTGATAGTTTTAACTTCCTATTCTGATGGTAGGGAGGATGGTAGGAAGGATGGGGGGGGGTGAGTTCTTTGTCCTTGTGGATTTCTGATTTTTTTTAAAAAAAATTATTTTTGTTTTTTGTAGAGACGGGGTCTCCCTATGTTGCCCAGGCTAGTCTTGAACTCTAAGGCTCAAGTGATCCTCCTACCTTGGCATCCCAAAGCGCTGGGATTACAGGCACCAGCCACTGCACCTGGCCTGTTGTTGTTGTTTTTTATTTTTGTTTGTTTGTTTGTTTGTTTTTGAGACAGTGTCTTGTGCTATCACCCAGGCTGGAGTGCAGTGGTGCAATCATGGCTCACTGCAGCCTTGACCTCCTGGGCTCAAGTAATCCTCCCGTCTCAGCCTCCCAAGAAGCTAGGACTACAGGCAAGCACCATCATGCTCGGCTACATTTTTATTTCTGTTTGTTTGTTTATTTATTTATTCTTCATAGAGATGGGGTCTCCTTATGTTGCCCAGGCTGGTTTCAAACTCCTGGACTCAAGTGATCCTCTTGCCTTGGCCTCCCAAAGTGCTGACATTATAGGCTTGAGCCAATGTACTTGGCTGAATTTTTGATTCTTAATCTTGGCTGTACCCAGGAATCTAAAAATGTTTATGCCTAAACTGCAACCCAGGTCAGTGCAAGAACATTTGCATAACAAAGAAGTTAACCGTTCTAAGTGCTTTTCATTTTGCTGAATCTCCACAACCCTATGGAGTAGGTACTCTCATTACCTTCATGTTTGGATAAGGATTATGGGGCTCTGGGGAGTTAAGTGACTGATTGAAGGTCCCTCAGTCTGTGAGGGGTAGAGCCAGGTGGTCTGTCAGTTTCTGCACTAGACTATTATGCTAAAGTGCTTCAAATTGGCCCCCAAGTGCACTTACACATCTCCCCAGGTGTCCATAGAGCGTTAAGCACCTCTGCTATAGACTCAGCAGGAGCCTGACCTGCTCTTGACTCCAGTCTCATAGAATCTATGCTCCCCCAGGTAAGAGGTGGCTGCCAGGCCTGGGGTGGGGGTGACACCTCAATTGTTCAGCCTCAAATCAGAGCAATGCCCCTGGTTTTGTTCCTGCTGTCTAGCTTCAGGTGCTCACATCTCAGTGATGGCAAATCACTCCAAATTCATTTTGCCCCAGCCCCGATCTCTTTTCCCACCTTCTTTTCCTCTCCATCTTCTTTCGATCTCACTCCCTACCTTTAATCTCATCGATCTAAATAGGTTCACAGCACTGTTTATTGCCCACTGGTTTGGGTTATAAATCCACCCAATTTATAACCCAGGGAGGCTGAGGCTGGAGAATTGCTTGAACCCAGGAGGCGGAGGTTGCAGTGAATTCTGCAACCTCCACCTGCTGGGTTCTTCCACCAGGCTTTCAAGGCCCTCTACATCTTCAGCTGGCCCAGGCTTTGTTTCCCTAAACCGACCTCTGCTCTCAGCCCCTCTGCTTGTCTGGGCCCTACCCTTCTTCCCTTGCCTGTGCTGGACTGACCCAGGCCCCAGCTTCTCCCTGCTCCCCACCTCTGGCCAACATGGAGCTCTCCAACCTCTCACTTAACACTTTCTGTCAACCCCACAAGCCTTTGATTAACTATTCTGCACTGTCTTCTGATTGTTTCAGAGACATTAGTCTATCTTACCAACAACACCAAGGACAGGGACTATAATAACTAGTTCTTGTGTTTTCCCTGCAGCATGAAACACTAAGCTAAACATATCAAAAATTTGCAATAAATGCTTGCGGAATTAGATTTATGGACAGACTTAGAAACCAGGCTGATTTAACCTTTTTCCTGGAGGTGATTGAGAAATATGGGGTGGGGGATGGTCTTTGAGGGGGTTGGGATGGTGTCACAGTTGAATACTGGGCAGGCTAGATGCTGTAGTTGAGTACTGGGCAGGCTAGATGCTGGACAGGACACAGGAGACAAGGAAGTCTGGATTGCAGGGTGCAGTGAGATCGATGTGTAAGGGCTATCTGTTGTGTATTGGTTATCTAGTGCTGTGTAACAAACAACCTCCAACCTTAGTGGCTTAAAATAACAAGTGTTCTTTTGAGAATTTGAGAACAGCTGTTCCCCTGGCTGGCAGCGCAGAGGTGTCATGATTCCTGGAGTTACTGTAGAAGACATGAATCAGCAGGAGTTCATCAGAGCTCTGGTAGCCCTCCTCAAAAAGTCCAGGAAGCTGAAAGTCCCTGAATGGGTGGATACCACCAAACTGGCCAAGCGCAAAGAGCTTACTCTCTGAGATGAGAAGTGGTTCTACACATGAGCTGCTTCCACAACATAGCACCTATACCACCAAGGTGGCGCTGGGGTTGGCTCCATGACCAAGATCTATGGGGAATGTCAGATAAATGGTGTCCTGCCCAGCCACGTCAGCCGAGTCTCCAAGAGTGTGGCCCACTGGGTCCTCCAAGCCCTGGAGGGGCTGAAAATGGTGGAAAAGGACCAAGATAGGGGCCATAAACTGACACCTCAGGGTCAGAAAGATCTGGACAGAATCACTGGATAGGTGGCAGCTGCCAACAAGAAGCATTAAAACAAATGATCCTGGGTTAATAAATTGCTTCATTCATTAAAGAAAAAAAGAGAATTTGAGAGCAGCTTAGTTGGATGGTTCTGAATCAGGGAATCTCATGAGGTTGTAATCATGATTGTCAGTTGGGGCTTCAGTTATCTGAAGCCTTGACTGGGGCTGCAGAATCTGCTTCCAAGCTCACTCATGTGCATGGCTGTTGGCAGGAGGCCTCAGTTCCTTGCCATGTGGTTGTTTATAACACAGCAGCTCACTTCCCCCAGAGCAAGCAACCTGAGAGAGAGAGACAGAGAGGGCAGGGCAGGGGAGCATGAAGTCTCTGATGACTTAGCCTTGGGAGTGACAACCATCACTTCTACTGTGTTCTATTGGCCACACAGACCAACCCTGAGTCTATGTGGAAAGAGACTACTCAAGGGCATGGACACCAAGAAGGAAGTTCATTAGGGGCTATCTTGGAGGCTGTTTCCACCAGGAAACATAAGACCCTGGCTCAAACCCACTTGAGGGATGGAAAAGGAGGGGAAAGAGTCTCAAAGGACTCCAGCCTGGAGCCTGGAAATTGAGGGGTCTCCTTTTCAAAAAGGCCTTTCTTGACTACTCTGGCCAAACACTGCCCACCACCCTCACATCACTCTCAGGTTATCCCATATACATTCTTTGCACTTTTCACTCTGAAATTGCCTTTCTTGCAGATTTGTTGTATCTTTCCCATTAGGAAATAAACTCCTTATGAGCTGGGAGCCTGCCTTGTTCATGCTGTGTTCCCAGTACCTAGTATGGTGCATGACATGTAGTGGGTATCAATACATATATATCTAATGAACACATGAATGACACCTGGGGGAAGGGACACGACCCTTTGCCTAGGGGTGGGAGTTTGCACTTTGCACAGGGATGGGGCGAGTGGGGCTGAAATCCAGCTGGCGCCCTGCACTGAAGTCTTGTCCTGGGACAAAGCCTTCCTCCACTGAATACCCGAGTCCTCTCAGCTGGGTCTGCCTCAATCCTACAAAAGGGCCATATGTGCTAGCAGAGGTAGGGGGATCCTGCCAAAATGTTGGGGTGGAGGCTGCAGTCCATAGTGCTATCCCAGAGATCTTTTTATTCTTATTTTTTATTTTCGGAGACAGGGTCTTGCTCTGTCACCCAGGCTAGAGTGCAGTGGAGTGATCATAGCTTGCTGCAACCTTGAACTCCTGGGCTCAAGAGATCCTCCTGCCTTAGCCTCCCCAGTGGCTGCGACTATAGGCGCATTGCACCGCACCTGGCTCAGAGATCTTTCTGAAGCTCACTCTACTTTTCCTGTGGTTCTAGCCCTTTCCTTCCTGTTTGAGGCTCCCTTAGGGTATAAAAGTCACTCTGCAGCGTCTCCTCTAGAGTAAATAAACAATTCTCTTGAGGTCCTTTTCTGCCCCAACCATTTCACCTTCTCTGTGTCTTTATGAGCTTGACTTAACAGGAAGTTCACCTTCTGGCTTCTGTTAAATAGTATTGTCTGGACTGACAGCCTCCGCTTTGCTGAGTGTAGAACCCAGAGGAAGAAGTGGACACTCTAGTTTGAGTTTGGCCATTAAAACAGAAGGAACATTGATCAACACAGGACCTACTTCATTTCATAGCAGCTACACACAGTCGTGACAATTGCTTACCTTTCTATGGTGGTTTATGGTTGTAAACAGCTTTTCCATACTTCAATTCTCAACAGGAAACTGTCATTACCACTAGCTAAAAAGCATTTACTGAGCACCTGTTGCATGCAGAAGGTGCTGTGATAGGGAATATAGTTATGACAAGAGAGATGATAAGTTATTTATCTCCCAAATTTATTGTTAGGTAAGAAATGTGAGGAGCAGAACACTGGGTATGGTAAATTTCTATTTGCATAAAAAAAGTATTATACAAGGAAACATGCTCTCACCTGGCCAACAGAAAGGTGGCTGTTTCTTGAGAGGCCTCACAGGATAGTATTACTGGTGAAACAACCACAGCGCAGGGGCTGGCCTTCATTAAAAATAAAAAATAGATGTATATATATTTTTATATGGCTTGGTATCTTCGGGAGAATACACAAGAACCTGACTACTTTGGTTACCTTTGGGTGGCTGGGATGAAAAGTAAACTTACTTTTCATTGTATTCTTTTGTACCTTTTGAATTTTGTACCACACACGCATATGAAAACATAATAATGTGTAATTAAAGGAAATGATGAGATTTAAAAATAGAGCATTGTTAAAAGCCACATAATCTGTAAAGTAGAATATGTAATGTAGATATTTTTGTCTCTAAAAATGTTGTGGGCTGGGCACGGTGGCTCATGCCTGTAATCCCAGCACTTTGGGAGGCCGAGGTGGGCGGATCACGAAGTCAGGAGTTTGAGAACAGCCTGTCCAACATGGTGAAACCCTATCTCTACTAAAAATACAAAAATTAGCCAGGTGTGGTGGCGAGTGCCTGTAGTCCCAGCTACTCGGGAGGCTGAGGCAGGAGAATTGCTTGAACCCAGGGGGACAGAGGTTGCAGTGAGGTAAGATTGCACCACTGCACTCCAGCTCTGGGTGACAGAGCAAGACTCTGTCTCAGAAAGAAAAAAAATTGTTGTGGTTTGTGTCTTTTAGTAACTTTACTGGAGTGATTAACCAAAGCAAAACATGTAGGTATTTGCTTCCTCTCTGTCTGGGCCTCTGCCTTGGCCACTTGGGCTTCCTAACAGCATGGCAGCTGGGTTCCAAGAGTAAGTGTTCCAAGAGGCCTGGAAAGGAAGCTGCAGGGTTTCCCGTGATCTAGTTTCAGAAGACCTATGCGGTCATGCGCACCACATTTTATTAGTCAAGTAAGTCACTAAGGCCAGCCCAGATTTAAGAGAAGGCAAATTAGGTGCACCTTTCAGTATGAAAAGTTCCAAAGAGTTTGTGTCCATCCCTAATCCGCCACACACAGAAGCAAAAGCAAGCATGCAAACAAACAAAACAGAGGACTAACACAGTGTTGCCAGGTTTTATTTTGAAAAATAGAAATATTAAAAAGCAACACCAAAAAATGTTGTCATCCACTACCACATTGTCACATCTGTTTCTTAAAAGTACTTTTCTTCCACCAAAAAAAGTAGAAAGGACATAGTTCCAGAACAAATGGCAGTTCTTTAAATAGAACAAATTTAGCTTAATGAAAAACTTGCTATGCTGTACTTATTTTTTCTCATTTCAGACCAGGTAGAAAACTAGGTCATGGAGAAATTGTCCATTGGCAAACCACCAGGTGCAAGGCATGAGCACCTCCGCAGTGCCGAGCAGCAGTCCTCTACTGCTGGTTTGCATCCAGGCTCTCCATGAAACCTGTGTTCTGTTGGCTTCTGGGATTTACCTCCCTACTCAGCTCCCAGTTCCCAGGGAGGTGCCAATGGGCTCGTAGGAAGAAAGATCTGCCTGCTGTCTAGGGTTTCCATGGCATCACACTGATGGGGATTTTTTTCTGACATCGTCAGGCTTTCTGGCCCAGGTCGGGCTTCTTACACTGTGGCTTCTGCTCTGTGGGCTGGGCTATTCTGGCTCTGCAGGTCTGGACAAGAATTAGTGACCATGGGCCTGACACAATGGGAAGCCTGCCCAAGACCACCACCATCACCCCCTCTGAGCATATCAGAATCACTGGGGGAAGCTTTTCAGCACCAGCCTCCACTCTCCTTGAATTCCTGGCACCTCTTCAGTGTGGAGCCTAACAGGTCCCACAGTGGGAATGTCGTACTAGATTAACAAGCAACCTTTACTTGGTCCTCTGGGACCAAGTGTCTGGAGACCTCTAAGCCAAGCCAATACTGTATTTCTATGCATCGCCCAGCGTAGCTGACTGAAGTTTTACCGGTGGAAGGGAATTGCCTGCTGACAATCAGCTACTCAGATGGCTGAGGATTAATTTTCTAAGTGTGTCTGACCTAGAAACATGTCAGAGGTCGGGAGCAGGAGTGGGTCCAAGCCGGGGAGACTCATACCCTCTGGGTCACATCCTCTCTGCAAAGCCTCAGCATCTTGGGGAAGCAGAGTCCTACTCCACTTTCCCTAAACATTTCCAAAATTCTTTTAAAATTTATTTATTTATTTATTTATTTTGAGATGGCGTCTCGCTCCATCACTGAGGCTAGAGTGCAGTGGCACAATCTTGGCTCACTGCAACCTCCGCCTTCCGGGTTCAAA
Organism: Homo sapiens; assembly: GCF_000001405.40. Lineage (NCBI taxonomy): Eukaryota > Metazoa > Chordata > Mammalia > Primates > Hominidae > Homo > Homo sapiens. The sequence continues at coordinate 110,557,985 of NC_000006.12, read as the reverse complement.
TGATTCTCCTGCCTCAGCCTCCCGGGTAGCTGGGATTACAGGCATGTACCACAACACTCAGATAATTTCTGTATTTTTAGTAGAGACGGGGTTTCACTATGTTGGCCAGGCTGGTCTCAAACTCCTGATCTCAAGAGATCCACCCACCTTGGCCTCCCAAAGTGCTGGGATTACAGGTGTGAGCCACTGTGCCCAGCCCATTTCTTAAATTCTTGATGCAGAGGGAGGAACTAGTGTCTACTGCTCACCCTACAACTTTTAGGTAAATAGTTGTCTCTTAGAGAAAGGACCTCAAAATGGACTTTTGTTTATTAAAGGTATAATTGGATAAAAGGGCCAACTAGAAACAAGAGTTATGCATCTAGAAACCAGAGTCATGTATCTATTCACTCCAGGGGTGACAGCAGATCTCTTGGGTGTTTCCCCAACAGCCCTGATATCAGACATCAGGAAGCAGGACAGGGTCACCTTCCCCATTTAGCGATGCCTCTAAGAAGCAGGTCGGCCCAAGCATGGGCAGGCATAAAGCCCTAGATTTGCAGTGAGCACAAAGAGTCAATTCAACAGCCCACAGAGCTCATCCTCTGTAACAGTCCTAATTAGAAACATTATACATAAGGAGAGGAAACAATTTACACAGACTCCAGCATGAGCTCATGGCAATAGCTTGTTTTCCAGCTCCAGCCCCGAGGCCATAGACACACACCTCTGAAAAAATAATGCATAGGTATTTCCAAGACTGATATTTTCAGATACTGCAGAAAAACGTGGCGGTTAATGATGTGCTGTAGCAAAACCGTCTCCATTGTGACTCCGTCTCTCCTTCCCCTTTTACCACCCCTGTTGTCTGTCTTGGTGTTAGGATTTTGTTAGTAGCTTAATATTTCAAAAAATAATTTACAACATGTTCCTTCTTTTCTGTTCTCACATAAACTTGAGATTTAAACATTTTTTCCATCTGCTTTTTGTTCCTTTCCACTGGGCAGCCCCTAGTGATGTTTCCTATGCTTCACGGAGCAGAAATTAGCATGCATTTCTGTTTACCAGGGATGCTGCGCCTGGTGGAACAGTCTCGCCGGCGTGTTACTGAGCATTTACATTCATTACTACTTAACTGTTGCTAGGGGAGCCAGATAGAAAAAGACAAAAGGCACAAATCACAGCGTCTCACTGATATTTTACCGTCAACACTCTTTCTCTTCTCTCATTTGGAGCAGGAGTTTTTTTCTCTCTCTATAGTCTTTTGGTCTGAAATTCTTCATCCTGGTTTCAGGGGATTCATAGAAGATGTCAACTGACCTTCCATATAACCCACACCTTGCTTATAACCCCCATATATCTCCTCCTTTTTTCTGCCCTCCTGCTCTGGTTTCCCTGTGTACTTACAACAGCTGGTGGGTAAGTTGTGGTCTGTGGTTCCACATTGTCTGGGTTTGAATCCCTACTCTAGTTGTGTGATCTTGGGTTAGTTCCTTAGCTTCTCTGAGTGGGCTTCTTCCTCTGTAAGATGGGGGATATGCTTGTCTCAGCCTCAAGAGATTGTTACGAGCATTAAATGAGGCTCTGCATGTGAAGAGTCTAGTACACAGTACGGATTCAATAAACCACCTTTATTCTTGTCATCAGTAGTCTCATGGCTATCTTCAAGCTTGTCCAACCCATGGCCCACGGGCCACATGTGGCCTAAGATGGCTTTGAATGCAGCCCAACACAAATTTGTAAACTTTCTTAAAGCATTGAGATATTTTTGCAATTTTCTTTTTTAGCTCATCAGCTATCGTTAGTGTTAGTGTATTTTATATGTGGTGCAAGACAATTCGTCTTCTTCCAATGTGGCCCAGGGAAGCCAAAAGATTGGACACCCCGTGAGATCTTCTAGGCGACTGGCCCCCAGTGAAATTGTGATCACGGAGGATAGTAGAGTCCCGGTAGTACACATAGGAGATGTTCCACAAACTCCATATGATCAGCACCGTTTTCGGGAGGCCCCACACTGTGCCGAACATCATGAATCAGTGAGGGTTTAGGAAGCACATCAACCTCCCAGTGTTTGGGAGCTGCTGTTTTAAGAAGGTCCCGTTTACCATTCTACTGCCCACATGAAGAGTGAAGACTAATCCGTGGACAGGATGCCTCTCCAGTCTAGCTGTGCCCCGCTCCCTCTTTCTCATCTAAATCGAACCCTTTTCCTGTGGATTGAGATGAAAAGTCCTTGAACGCACCACCTTGTGCTGCTAGGTCAGTCTAGACAATATTAAGTCACATCCATTAAGTTTTCCTTAAAGAAAATGTTTGAAATATTTCTTCCTTCAGTTCGATACTAAGTGTATTTTGCCACAAGACACTTCCTGATGACCCAATTTCAGGTCCCCATTCTTTTATCTATGTGAGAATTCTCCACTTTCAGACTCTGCTTAATTTAACTCTCTCTGAAAATGTGCAAGTTCATAAAAGAAGGTGAAATAATTACTACGGTACATACAAAGAGGTGAACATTTCTTTTTTATGTACAAATTGTGTGTTACCCCAAGTGGACTTTCCTGGGCCCGCCTCCTCCTTCTGTCCCAGGATCCTGGCCCAGCTCTGTCCCCCAATGAACTGCAGAGGTAGAGGGGTAAAGAAGAGCAGTTGAGTGGCTCAGATTGCTGCCTGAACTCTGGACCGAGGAGCAATCACGAGTAACCCCAAAAACTGCCCATTGGTTTGCGCACTCATAGCATGAAAACAAGTTCCGTTCTTTTGTGCTGTCCTGGAACATCAGCCAGCTCTTAAGTCACGTTGCCCGGATTCATGTGCTCCTGCAATGAAAGGCCCTATTGTCAACAAGGCTGGTCAACAAGGCAAAGCAAAGTTTGACCCGTGCATCAAAACCTGGAACATCCTGACTTGTTACGTGCTGAGAAATGTGTGCTTAGTATTGTATTAAAGTAAATGGGGAGGGGCAGTGTCTTTAAAAATACCCAAAGCAAAGAAAAATAGATACTATCTGCTCAATGTCCCAGAGTAGAAGTTTTTAAAATGACCTGAGAAATAGGTTTATTGCTTTCATTGCTTCCTTCCTTCTTCTTCCTCCTTCTCTGACATTTGGCCCTCCTCTCTAAAAACTTCCCCTCATAGTGACCCCAGGCTCCTGTTGGGAAGTCTCACCCACTGTGTGGGTGAACAAGCAAAGCAACTGTTAAAAGTGTTCAGATAACATGGACAAAAAACACATGGAAAAGCTGATATCGAGTTCCATTGGGTTTGGAGTGGTTCTTGCGGGCAAAGGATGCAGTGAGCTGAACATACATTAAAAATACAAACCCTTAAGAGCTGACTGGGTAAGACTTAAGCCCAGTATCTTTCAGAGATGAGTGTCTAGGTGCATCACCCAGATCTTAGCCTGCCTGAGTGTACCAGTGAACCTGCCCAGGTTTTAGTTTCCTTTTCTATAAAATGATAGCTTGGTTCTGATGATCTTCAGGCTCCCTTGGGAGGTCCTTGAGGCTTCAGCTCAAACCCTAGCTCTGCTATCTACCTCTTCTTGGTGCTGAGATTCCATGATATCCTTCAATTATTGTGGGACTGACTTAGTAGAAGGCATCAGAGGGAATGGAAGCCTCTACATTATCAATGCAGAAATTGAGGCAAGAGGCCAACATTATTGCACAAAACATGGCAGATGTTGGAATGAAGAAGACAGTGAGACACAGGCAGCAACAGAGCCTCCTTAATCTCTGACCCAAAAGAGTCTTGACTTGAAGTTCCCCAAGCTCCTTCTTTTCTCCCAGGCACTCACTGCTTTCAAAGCGACTTCAATCTCAAGTTGGGAGATGTGGCCCAGTTCAGGGTCTGCCGCAGACTCAGGCACCATCCCTTCTCCTATCTCAGTTTCTTCACTGGCAAATGGAAGGTATACAATTAGATGATTTTTAAAGCCAAGCTCAGAGCTAACATCCACAATTCCAGGAATTCCAGGAAATGCACACTAAAACTAAGGTTCTGAAACAAGTAAAAAAACAGACCAAATGTTCGAACCAACGATTTTCAGACATTGGAGCACAGGTGGCACAGGAAACAAGTGAGGTGAGTCCTGTGATTGCCCCAGCTTGCTGCCTGGAGAGACTTTCCAGGCCATGGAACAGGGACATGGAATACAGGTGGAGCACAGCCATATCCCTGTGTAGAAGGATGGGGCTGGGGTCCCAGGGACACTTGTGCACCTAGAACTCACAGGAGAGAATACTGGAGAGAAGAAAGCTGCACACGGAGAGAACTCTGGGCTCTGCAGAGTGTCATCTTTGGGTCTTCAGCAAAGTATTGATCAGCACATGCATGTGAGGAAAAGAAATGAGGCCAGAAAAAGAATCACCCAAAAAGATTAGAGGGAACCATTCCTAGAGCTCCCACCAGCCAGAGAATAGCCCCTGTGGCCACCAACCACAGTTGAAAACCTTCTAATTCATCGGGCACTGAGTAGAACACTCTGAGTATTGTCTCAGTAATGCAGCCCAATTCAGCTTACTCTAAAGTCTCCTGTGGTCCCTCCTGACAAGGCTTAAAAGCAAGTCTTGGCTGGCACGGTGGTGCGTGCCTGCAGTCCCAGCTATCCAGGAGGGTGAGGGCTGAGGCAGCATGACGACTGTTCAAGCCAGGAGTTCAAGACCAGCCTGGGCAACATAGTGAGATTCTGTATCTTTTTTTTTTTTTTTTTTTTTTAAAAAAAAAGGCCGGGCACGGTGTGTCAACCCTGTAATCCCAGCACTTTGGGAGGCCGAGGTGGGTAGATCATCTGAGGTCGGGAGTTTGAGACAAGCCTGACCAACATGGAGAAACCCTGTCTCTACTAAAAACACAAAATTAGTCGGGCGTGGTGGCACAGGCCAGTAATCCCAGCTACTCGCGAGGCTGCGGCAGGAGAATCGCTTGAACCTAGGAGGCAGAGGTTGCAGTGAATGGAGATCGCGCATCGCTGTCCAGCCTGGGCAACAAGAGGGAAACTCCATCTAAAAAACAAAACAAACAAACAAACAAAAAACAAGTCATGAAAGGATCGAACTGTTTTCAAGTAAATTAACTGTGTTCTAGAACAACACTCAAAAGTTTTTTTGTGTGTTTGTTTGTTTTTTAAAGAATATCCAGGCCAGGCATGGTGGCTCACACCTATAATCCCAGCACTTTGGGAGACCGAGGAAGGTGGATCACTTGAGGTTAGGATTTTGAGACCAGACTGGCCTCAAACATGGTGAAACTCTGTGTCTTCTAAAAATACAAAAATTAGCCAGGTGTGGTGGGGGAGGTGCTGTAGTCCCAGTTACTCAGGAGGCTGAGGCAGGAGAATCGTTTGAACCTGGGAGGAAGAGGTTATACTGAGCTGAGATTACGCCACTGAACTCCAGCCTGGGAGACAAAGTGAGACTCCGTCTCAAAAAAATAAAAAGAAAAAGAATATCCAGCACTCAGCAAGATAAAATTCAAGCAAGAGAAACATGAAGGAAATTATAACAAGACACATCATAATCAAATTGCTCAATACCAGTGATAAAGAGAAAATCTTAAAATTAACAACAGGAAAAAAATTATGTTAGAAACAGGAGAACAAAGATAAGAATGGCAGCAGAGTTCATGTCAGAAGCAAGCAAGTGAGAAGACAGAGGAACAATAATCTTTAAAGTAATCAGAGAAAAATATTGTCAACCTAGAATTCTAGGTTTTTGGGTGTTTTTTTTTTTTTGTCTTTCACATGAAATGGCCACTAATTCTATACCCAGCAAAAATGTCTTTCAAAAACAAATGCAAAATACTTTTTCAAACATACAAAAGCTTAAAAAATGATCCTCTGAGGACCTATACTATAAGAAATGTTAAGGGATGTCCTTCAAGCAGAAGGACAATGATACCAGATAAAATTCTGGCTCTACAAAAAGAATGAAGAGTTCTGGAAGTGGAACTTCAACTACTCTAAACATGCAACAAGCTATGAATGGGGAGTCTTTCTGTGGAGGCTTCCAGGACCCAAAAGTGAGGACAGAGAAGTACTCTTTGCCTGAGCTGACACCCACCAGAGCTGAGAACCAAGGATTCCTAAGAGGTGACATATGTGGCTGTGTTACCGCCAACTCCACCTTCTACCCAGTAAGACTGGGAAGGAGGGAGAGAGAGAAATAAGTCTAAGGGTCACTGGAGCACAGGACGTGTGAGGAGAGGGGACTTCCTGCCCTTCCTGTGGTTATGGGAAATGGGGTGGCTGTGCTTTCCTCCCTAGTAAGGTTCTAATAAAATGATTCCACAAATATTGGAATGTAAAGTAGCTCCCCTGTTGGACATTTGATTAGGAAAAGGATTTGCTGGCTTATTCATACATCATTAGGGATAGAGGAGGGTCTTGGAGAAAGAAGAAAGGGCACAAAGAAGAGCTGCAGGGGCAGTCTGAACTCACCCAGTTGGTCAGGGCCAGAAAACGCATTTCCTGCAGTTCAAGTGGATGCTACTTAGAAGGCAGCTGGATTTGTTCCATCCCTACCCCAACAGGGTTCTCTCTCCTATTTACCGGGGAGCTCAAAGAGTCCGTAGAGTACATATCCAGTCATGGGAGTTGAGGGGCATGGAGGTGGTTGAGCCTGGATTTACCATATCCGTGCCCTGCAAGTCTCTCTAAAAGAACCCAGATGTGTCTTCCAGAGAAGGCTAGCACGTCGATGCCTGCCTCACAGCCAGTCCCAGTGGGACACCGCTAGAGAGAAGGCTACCACTAGAGAGAAGGCTACCACTAGAGAGAAGGCTACCGCTGCCCTGTTAGTTTACGACCCTCTGCCCTTTCTCTGTCCTACCTCTCAGCCCAGCGCACTAGAGGAACTATTTCCCAAAGCGGAAAGCGAGAGTGGAGGAGTGTCCCAGAAATAGACCTCCCTCATTCAGGGTCCAGGTCCAAGCTTGCACTGGACCGGGAGAGGGCAGTGGCGCTGGGAGATGAGGTGAGAGTAGAATCGTTTGGAATTAATGTTTTAAAGTGGACTGAGGGTTAATACCTGAAAACAGTGGTAAAATTTTGGACCCGCCCAAGATGTAATTAACAGATCTGCTACCCTCTGGATAAGGTTGAGCACATTTGAAAGGGCTTCAGAAAATGAAAAAGCCTTTTCTGTCTTTAAGAAAACAAACAAACAAAAAAAAACAAAACAAAAGAACAAAAAACCTGTCTTCCCCCAACAGGCACAATTACATTTGTAAAGATGGTTCCCAGCAGATGGTGAGGTGCTAATGAGTCCCAGGAGGGGCTCAGGAGAAAACTCACCTTCACCACCTTGCTCCTGGTGACTCCCAGCACACCTGGTCCAGCCTTTCCTCTGCAGCTGTTTTTTAGTGCATGGCCTGTCCTCCTGGAAGGAAAACTGGAGAGCGTGACCTGATCCAGGGAGCAAAGGCTTCATGTGCCCTGTGGCCTTTTTCAGCATGGTTAGCGGGGTGGGACTCTGGGCCCACTCTCAGGTTTGGGGCCATCACTAGGTCCTGGCAGCTGCAGTCCAGGCTGGCCCCACAGGAGGCCACAGGCGGTGGCTCCACCTGAGGAGAAGGTGGCATGTGGGTACCCCACCTGGCTCTCCCGGGAAGGGCCCTTGGCAACATCCGCAGCAGCTTGGCTCCACCCCAGTTGCAGTCTTGACATTTGGTTATTTTCTATTCTTTTTACTCTGCAAATAATACATGTTCGTTATACAATCAGGTAGAATGTACAAATAAGCAAATAAATAAACAAATACTTCTCATAATCTCACTACCAAACAGCCACTGTTAATAACATTTTTGTGTATTTCCTCTAAGATCGAGTATGAAATATTTATATATATACATATATATATGTATATACAAACAAAATGGATTAATATTCCATACGCATATGTGGGACATTTATATTGTTTACAACTTTCTGTTATCTTAAATAAGGTGTGATGAACACCTTTACTCATAATTTTTTGTGCATAATTTATAATTCCTTCGAATAACTTCCCAAAAGGAAGCTATACCAGGGAAGTTGCAAGTTTTTAAACTCTAGTAGCTGAATTTCTAGCTAGTAGTGGTGGAGGAGGAGGACCTTGAGAAGGAGGTGGAGGCATGGGAGGAGCTGGGCCTCAGGGGAGGCTCGGGAGGCTGCTCCTCTCCTTTGCCTCCTTCGGTTTCCCTGTTTAATCCTTCCCTCCGTTCTCAGGCTCCTCTTCCCCTGGTCTTCTCTTTCATCCTTTAATTCCTTCACCCTTTGCCCCTTCTGCTATTTCAACTCTGGATTTTTCCTCCAGTGCTCAAACCTCATTCTGTTCCATTGAATGTCCCTCATTGAATGTCGCTCACTGCTTGGCCTGCCTTCCTACCTGTGTCCCCACCAGGCTCCCTGTGGTGACCCCGTGGTGGCAGCGTGGACTTCCTGCCCTCTCAGGTTTGTGTCCTGCAGGGAAGAGTGAAGGTCTTTTCTAGTGGCTCCCACAATGCCCTAGGGACTCTCTGATTGGCTTGGTGTAGGTCACATGCCCATCTCTGAACCAATGACTATGCCCGATCTTCACTGTGGCCTCATCTGGGCCACCTGGTGGATCCCTGGAGTTGGGATGAAGCCTCACCCAGCCCACAGGAAGTAAAAGTGGGGGCAGAGGAGGGCCCTTGGATGAAGGTCGAGCTCTGTTCTGGGAATAGTGGGAATATCCTTGAGGCATTCATCTCCCATAGACAGTGAAACTCTCCTTGCCTATGGAAGGATATGACAAACGTGAAGATTTTGCTTTTAAATGTAAGAATTGTCAGTGTCATACCTAAGAAATGACGGAAAATAATATTAAAAATTTAAGAGTGTTAAAATAGATCAACTGCAAACGTGTGTTCCCAGGACACAAATCTGAAGGGTATACATTAACTAATAGACGGGTTATTTTTCTTTAAAGAAAAATCCCTTATATCTTATATATACACAAGGGATTCTTAAGGAAGGACAACCTAGTCTTCCTTTTCACCCAAAATTTACAGTGTTAAAAATAATTTTATGGCCGGGTGTGGTGGCTCACATCTGTAATCCCAGCACTTTGGGATGCCGAGGTGGAAGGATCACTTGAGGTCAGGAGTTTGAGACCAGCCTGGCCAACATGCTGAAACCCCATTTCTACTAAAAATACAAAAATTAACTGGGCTTGGTGGAGCACTTCTGTAATCCCAGCTATTCAGGAGGCTGAGGCAAGAGAATCATTTGAAACTGGGAAGCAGAGGTTGCAGTGAGCCAAGATTCTGCCACTGCACTCCAGCCTGGCGACAGAGTGAGTGGGACTCCATCTCAAAAAAATAAAATAAATAGATGAATAAATAAATAAATAAATAAATAAATAAATAAATAAATAAACAATTTTACTATTAACTGAGAACCTTTTCAGTGCCAGATCCTGAGCTAGGCTCTTGATGTGTTGTTATTTTTAATCCTTACAACAACTCTACAAAGCAATCTTAGTACTCTTCATTTCCAAAGGAGGAAAAAGAGGCTGAGAGAGATTGTATAACCTTCCAACAGTGACAGCACTAGTAGTGCCCACCAAGTGGTCAAGCCCAGGTTGTATGTACCGGAGTGCCCTTCTTGGCTAAGAAAACCTAAAATTCCCTAACTTGTGTTTGGCTGAATTTCTGAGGGCTTTGAGTGCCCAGAGTGCTCCTGCTGCTTCAAAAGCTGCAGCTTCAGCTGCTTTTGAACATCTCAGCGACTGCAGGGACAGAAATAGCACTAAGTGGAAAAAGGATCCAAAAGAAGAATCTAAAACTTCAGCTATTATATAGACACAAAGATATACTACTTAGGTCTTTCCAAATGGATGAAAGGATGCCACACCTAGGTTTTCCAAAGAATTCATTCCTTTTGGTGTGGCTGAACTGGTGAGATGTAGGGGCTTCTTAAAAGCATTCTGATGTCATCTCCTGGTAAAGCCTAGGGCTTGGGAACTGAAATGTACAAGAAATAAACATGCAGTGAAACACCTGAGAGTCTATCCTCTTTGTGTCTCCCATCATTTCTGCAGGCTGAAGTTTCCATTTAATTTTTGCATCACATCTTTAGCACTATTGGACATCCTAGAAACCTCATTCACAAGATTTCAAGTTTGAAGTGATAGTGTTTGCTACCAGAGCCCCTTTTCTGTCAAAGAAATTAGAAGCAGGAAGGTTGATGCATTCCCCCACAGGTGAGTCACCAAGAAAATGTTTGAGTCTTCAAAAGGCGATGGTTCCACTCTTAGCTGGTGAATTCCATGAGCATACAAAGCTCTGTTTGTAACCCTGTCACAGAAGAAGAATCTGGGATGTGTTTTTTATTTGGTACAGGAAATAAGAGGTGGATGATTCCAGTTTGTGGAATTTGACAGTCTTCTGTTCAGTCAGTATCTCTTATTTTGTTATGCTTATTTTAACAGAAAGAAAAGAGGTCTTTTAGAATAATGTGAAACTCACACTCTGCATGGGGACAGGTAAGGAGGGAAGCCTGGGATGTGTGCAGAGAAAAGGCAGCATGGCTGTTTGACTGGAGCAAAGGAAATGTGGCATGGGGGTGGAGGGACAGGGCCACCTCAGGGAGCATTGAAGGTTCAGCCATGGAGTTCAGGCTTTATTCTCAAAGTAGTGGGAGTTAATGAAGGTTTTTGACTAGATGTATCAGAATTGTGTTTTCTGTTTGTTTGTCTGTCTGTTTGTTTGTTTGTTTGTTTGAGACAGAGTCTCTCTCAGTTGCCCAGGCTGGAGTGCGGTGGTACGATCTCAGCTTACTGCGATCTCTGCCTCCTGGGCTTAAGCCATCCATCTTCCCACCCCAGCCTCCCGAGTAGCTGGGGTCACAGGTGCATGCCACCAAGTCTGGCTTATTTTTGTACTTTTTTTTTTTTTTTTTTGTAGAAAAGGGGGTTTCGCCATGTTGTCCAGGCTGGTCTTGAGCTCCTGGGCTCAAGTGATCCACCCACCTCAGCCTCCCAAAGTGCTGGGATTATAGGTGTGAGCCACTGTGCCTGGCCAGAACTGTTTTAGGGAGAACAATTTATTAACAATATAGGAAATAGAACAGAAACAGAGGGTGGACATAGGCAAGCCTGTGAGATGTCTACTATAGAGTCCCAGGCTGACACTGGAAGGCAGGCGTTAGCATCAAGAGTCAGAATGGAAAAGACGTCAGGAGGGAGAAGCTACTATAGAGATGGAAGTTATGGGTCAGAGTGGATAACGAAGGACAAGATGGTGCTGCACTGGGTGACTGCATGGGTGGTGGTGCTGTGTACAGATTGGGGCGAACGTGGAGGAAGCACAAGTGTTGAAAGAAGGGATCATGGGTCCACTTTTGAACATACTGAGTTTGAGGTTTCAATAGGACATCTTTGTAGGGATGCGTAGAAGACAGTTGGAAATACAAATGTGGATTCAGAGACAAGTCCAGCCTTCAGTGGAACTCAGACAAGTCCAGGAAGATGAGGAGGAAGGGGGCTAGAGAAATAGTAGAGGAAGGGGGCTAGAGAAATAGTAGAGAAAGGAAAGGACAGAGATCTGCGAAGCTGAGGGAGGAGTTTTAAGAAAAGGGTGGGCCAGGTGTGGTGGCTGTAATCTCAACACTTTGGGAGGCCAAGGCACAGGGGGATCACTTGAGGCCAGGAGTCCAAGACCAGCCTGAGCAAGATACTGAGACCACATTTCTACAAAAAAAAAAAAAAAAAAAAAAAAAAAAAAGTTATCTGGGGCAGTGGTGGGCACCTGTAGTCCCAGCTACTCAGGAGACTGAGGCAAGAGGCTTGCTTGAGCCCAGGAGGTCGAGGCTGCAGTGAGCCATCATACCACTGCACTCCAGCTTGGGTGACATAATGAGACCTTGTCTCAGGAAAAAAAAAAAAAGAGTGGTGTGGTTAGCAGTATCTGATTTAGTAAAGGGCTGAGAAGGTTGAGGATGGACACTGGCAGACTTTGGCTTTTACCCTCATCCCTGTCCAGTAAGAGTTCTCTCAATTCCAAACATTTAAAAGTGAGTGGGAATCATTAATGGAACCATACATTTCAAAATGATTAAAATGGAAAATTCTATGTTATATTTCTCTATAAATGAGTAAATGAGAGAAAAACATTAACATTTAAAAAAATCATATTGTTCTCTACATGTTTCTGTATGCTTAAAACATAATAAATTGCTTTGAAAAGTAAGTGGTAGGTCAAAAACAGAAGTATTGATACAAACCACACTTTGGAGAAATGTGATAGCTAAGTGAAGGAGGGAAAGCATGAGTGACTCAGCTTAACGGGTAACAGGAAAGAAAGAACTTGTTTTTTCGTTTGTTTCGATGAGGCAACTTGTTTATCTTTCTGGGGGCCATCGCTTACCCACCAGCTGCCCCCTACCTTTGTTCCCGCCTTCATTGTGGAGTCTCACACTCAACTCAACCTGGAAACAACTCAACCTAGAAACAACACGGTGAAGGTGAGACTGAAGATGGGGGCCAGGTGGTGGGTAAGTGATGGCCCCCAAAAAGGTACGTCCACGTCCTAGCTCCTGGAACTGTGGATGTGACCTTATTTAGAAAGAGGATCTTTGCAGAGGTAATTCATAAGGATCTTGAGATGAGATCATCTGGATTATCCAGGTGGGTCCTGAATCCAATGACAAGTGTCCTTATAAAGGGCAGAAGAGGAGAAGACAGAGAGAATAGGAGGAGCCCATGTGAAGATAAAGGCAAAGTTGGCAGCGATGCAGCCACAAGCCAAGGAAAGCTGGGTATCACCAAAAGCTGGAAAGGACAGGAAGGATTCTCCCCTAGAGCCTTTGGAGGAAGCATGGCACAGCTGACGCCTTGATTTCAGACCTCTGCCCTCTCAGAACCGTGGGAGAGTGTATTTCTGTGGTCTGCAGCCACCATATTTGTTGTGGTGATTTGTTAAAGCAGCCCTAGGAATCTAACAGGGGTGGGGAGCTTGGCCACAGTCTGAGGTCCTGAGCAGTGGGGCTGTGTCTCAGGCTTCTCATTTTCCACACCCCACCCGGGGCCAACACAATCATTTATTATGAGTTTATTCACTTGGGGCTTAAATTCACAGGACAGTATTTCTCTCATAGTGATAACTTTGTCTTCATTTTTTTCCTGTCTCGTTCCCAGTGGGTTTTAGAAAATCCACAGATATTTTATTTCTTTTTAAATTTTTTTCTCACACTTTTACCCCAGAAGATAGAAAGTCAACAAATATTTTCGTACTGATATCTTTCTCTTTTACTTTCATTTTTTAAGCTGGGACATTGGCGCCAGCGGGGCCCAGGGCTTGCAAGGGGAGCTCCTCCCTGGAGTCCCACTCCTGCCCTGGCACACAGACCAGGTGACGGGGGGCCTGTGACCGAGCAGGGCAGCATGTGGCAAAGGGCAGGGTGCCAGGGAGACCTCCCTCTGATAACTGCTGTGCATTTGAGCTGCTGATGGGGATTGTCCCAACCCTTCTAAGGGTCATGAGGTGTCAGCTCTCAGCAACCAGGGAGACTGGACTGCACAGGGGACCTCAGGGCCAGGCACCTGAGGAATGGCGATCCCTGTCTTCCCCCTGACTCTGCCTGGGTGGAGATAGGTGTTGCTCTGGCTGAGATCCTCCTCCAAGCCAGACCTGAGGTTCTATTTTTGAGGACCAAAGGAGGTGAGGGATCTTGGTCTAGGGAGAGCTGACATAGCTGCCCTCCCTCCTGTGCCTGGGAAACATTTTTCCTTGGGGACTTTCAAGGTGTAAGAACCTCCAGGAGCCGCTCCAGTCCTCTTGTGTGCTGTTGTCTGGCAGCCCTAGGGGAGACTGCTGGGCAGGGTGGCCCTGGGAGAGACTGCAGCAGGGTTCTGCGCTGCCAACACTGTCACTTCCCAGCCACCCAGACCCAGCCTCACTGGTCCTGGTGCCTGCCTTTCTCTTCCATCTTCCCCGGGCCAGCGAGGCACTGAGTCCTTTGCTTCTTTCTCACTTCATGCACCTCTGCCCTTCTTTCTCGAGCTGGCTTGCCCAAGAGTCCTTATCTGGAACCTCTGGTCTTTGTACCTCCTGGCCTGCCCTCAGCTGCTCCGTTGCCTGGGTCCCAGTGCTTGCCCACCATATTCAGGGGACATCCTGGACTCCTTGGCCACCACCCAGACCCTTCTGTATTCTGCTCCCCCTAATACCTCCTGGTCTCTGCATGAACCTCCCACTCTGACCACACTGCACTGTTGTTTCCTGGACACACGGCACCCACTCCTGCCTCCATGCTCCTGCTTCCTCCACCTGGAATGCCCTCTCTGCTGACCTACCACACACTCCTTTAAGAACGAACTTTCCTTCTTCCCCCATAGAGCCACTTCCACTTGCTCCAGGCCACAGAGTTCTCTCTCCCGTGACAGTTTCCTTCCTGTGCAATAGTATCGCCTCTGGAACTTCCTCACCTGCCACCTGGTGCTGCTACATGTCCACGTATGTATGTACGCTTTCATTCATTCTTTCTTTCTAACATTTGTTCTGAAAAAAATACATCATGTGCCATTATGCACCAGGCTCTAGAATATAAAGATGAGTAAAACCTAGTCCCTGAGTTCTAGACGTCTCCAGGTGTGGTGTGTATGCTGCGTGCCTCCCACTGGCTCTTCCAGATCCAGCCTCTGCTCTGCTCATGCCCTGGGCAAAATGGCCCAAAGCCAAAACAAGCAAACTGGTTCCCCTATAACCAAACCAGACAGCTTGGGGCCTGGCAGTGCCAGGGGAGAGCTGGCATGAGCAGGGCAGAGGCTGACTCGTATGGCGCCATCCACAGGCCCCATTGCCCTCTGGCTTCTGGTGGGCTGTGGCTAGGGAGCCCCCCCCAGGAGAGCAGAGGTTGAAGCTGCAGGGGCTGGATTCCCCTGCACCTCGCTGTGGGGTCACCCTGTCGGCTGTGTCACGATTCCTGTTAGTTCCCACTCTGCTGTCTCTGGATCTAGTGCCTGTTCCCTTCACCCTCAGGCCAGGGGTGGAGCCCTCCCCCCAGCCCCCAACCCCATACCCTGCTCACACCTTTGCAAATAGCGTCTTTACTAAACTCTCCCAAGTGTCTATATGTGCCATTTCCTTTCCGCCCAGCACCCTGAGTGAAAGTGTTTTGAAACCAGGGAGAAGCTGGAGGACAGAGGCACATAAGGTGCCGAGGACAGGAGAGACTGCACACTCTTTGTAGCTTTCACACAACCAGAGTCCAGTGCACAGAGTGCGTACTCATGTCTACAAAAGACACTTCACTCTTCTTAATTCAACCCATATCCCACTCTAGTGCCCATGTGGATCTTTTTATCATTGCAGGATGACCAAAGTCATTAAAACTTCGTAAAAAGCCTGCTTTAGTGAAGAGCTTCTGGCGACGGCCTTTGAATCTGTGCCCCTGAGGGCTCCAGGGCAGGACTCCAACTGGTGGTGTAAGACTTGCTGTCCTGATGTGGGTGGCAGTTGCTAGAAGAGGGACTGTTTCATTTCATTAGCAGTGAAGTGTGCTGTCAGCCGGCAGTGATAGCCATGGGACAAGATGCAACCCAATCTGACTCTGAAACATCCTGTCCTAGCCACCGCTGAGCTCTTCCCCCTTAGGGGGTCGCCAGAAGAGTATTGATTGGACAAGGAGAGAGAGCCCTCTTGAAGAGGAATGGTGCTAAAGTCAACCTGAAGCCTTCTGAAAATTCAGCGGCCCTAGAACTGCCCCAAATGCTATTTACTGCAAAGCAGAATTCTGTATCCAGAGGGGTTGTCCTGGACTCCACTCAAGAGGTTTAGCTTTTAAAGAGCCTAAAGGATTCCTGGCTTATCTGTTGGGTGAGTGTGAGAGTCAGATCCCAAAGGATTATATGATATGATGGATGATTTAGCACGCTGCTTCACAGGAATTTAACAGAAATATAAGATTGCTCAGCTGGAGCAGAATTGTCTAAGAGACAAACCTTTTTAAAACCCCACTAATGTATAACCTCAAGCCACAACTGGATTCAATTACTGCGTGGAAAGAAAGGCATTTTCTTATAAAGCCACTCTGTTTCCGTGCCTGGCTGTGAGCTGGGTCAGCCATGACAAAGATAAGCTTGTGTGTTGTTTTTGGTTGTTTTTCCTTTCAAGCTCTTCCCCTGGCACTGCCAGGCCCCAGGCTGTTTGGATCGGTTGTGTGGAGGCCAGTTTACTTGTTTTGGCTTTCAGCCTTTCTGTTCAGCATTGATGATAGAAGAGTGGGCCTGTGTCCTGCGTGGCCAGTGATGGGCTATCAGCATGGCTTGGTGGTGGCACCATGCCCAGGTGCCCCTTAGGAGGCACACAATGTTTAGAAGCCACACAGTTTGTGAGGAAGGTGAACATTCTAAGGAAGGAGACTGGCAGAGATTGTAGGGGACTCGAGAGGGGTCTGGGCACAGAAGGGTCTGCGTATTGACATTCTCAAATATTAATACAAATACCTAACATGTGGAGTGCTTACTCTCTCTAGGCCCTGTCCTAACAGCTTTACATATATTACTTCATTTAAACCTCCCAACAATCCTGTGAAGTAAATGTTATTATTATATCCACTTTACAGACGAGGAAATTGAGGAACAGAAGGGTACATAGTTTGCCCAAGGTCACACAGTAAGTAGCTGAGGGCCCACGTGCTTGATCACTCCATTGTCAAAGAGTATGGGACAGAAACTTTAAAACCATGACATGTGCATTTATGCAGACACTAAATATTTTTACAGTGTTCTTTATTCATTATTTTCCTTAACATAGTATATTAATACCTGAAAGGCATATTTGTACTGTTATATAGCATGTTTGAAATCACAAGAATGGAAAGACCCATTTGGTTCAGTCTGCCTTGGGGAAGATAAGAATATATATATAGAAAGACCTAGCCAGTGCAATAAGGCAAGAGAAAGAAATAAAAGTCATCCAAATAGGAAAGCAAGTCAAACTACCTCTCTTCACTGACTGTATGATTCTATACTTAGAAAACCCTGAAGACTCTGCCAAGAGGCTACTAGAACTGATCAATGATTCTAGTATGATTTCAGGATACAAAATTAATGTACAAAAATCAGTAGTATTTCTATACACTAAAAATATCTAGACTGAGAGTCAAATAAAAAACACAGTCCTATTTACAATAGCCATGAACAAAATGAAATACCTAGGAATACAGCTAACCAAGGAGGTAAAGATCTCTACAAGGAGAACTACAAAACACTGCTGAAAGAACTCAGAGATGACACCAATAAATGGAAAAACATTCCATGCAAATGGGTTGGAAGAATCAGTATCATTAAAATACCCCTACTGCCCAAAGCAATTTACAGATTCAAAGCTATTCCTATCGTATTACCATGTTATTCTTCACAGAATTAGAAAAAACTATTCTAAAATTCATATGGAACCAAATAGCCAAAGCAATCCTAAGTAAAAAGAACAAAGCCAGAGGCATCACTCTACCTGAGTTCAAACTATACTATAAGGCTACAGTAACCAAAACAGCATGATACCAGCACAAAAACAGACACATAGACCAATGGAACAGAATAGAAAGCTCAGAAACAAAGCTGTGTGCCTACAACCATCTGATCAACAAGGCTGACCAAAAAAAAAAAAAAAGGACTTTCTATTCAATAAATGATGCTGGGATAGCTGGCTAGCCATATGCAGAAGAATAAAACTAGACCCTTACCTTTCACCGTATACAAAAGTTTTCTCAAGATGGATTAAAGATTTAAATATAAGACCTCAAGTTATAAAAATCCTAGAAGAAAACCTAGGAAATACCCTTCTCAACATTGACCTTGACAAATAATTTTTGGCTAAGCCCTTAAAAGCAATTGCAACAAAAAACAAAAATTGGCAAGTGGGACCTAATGAAATGAAAGAGCTTCTGCACAGCAAAAGAAACCATCAACAGAGTAAAACAGACAGCCTACAGAATGGGTTGCAAAATATTCTCAAACTATGCATGTGACAAAGGTCTAATATCCAGAATCTATAAAGAACTTAAATCAACAAGCAAAAACCAAATAACTCCATTAAAAATGGGCAAAGGACATGAACAGATACTTCTCAAAAGAAGACATACAAGCAGCCAACAAATATATGAAAAAAGTTCATCATCACTGATCATCAGAGAAATGCAAATCAAAACCACAGTGAAATACCATCTCACACCAGTCAGAATGGCTTCTATGAAACAGTAAAAAACAACAGATGCTGGTGAGGCTGTGGAGAAAAGAGAGTGCTTATACAGTGTTGATGAGAATGTAAACTAGTTCAGCCACTGTGGAAAGCAGTTTGGAGATTTCTCAAAGAACTTAAAACAGAGCTACCATTTGACCCAGCGATCCCATTATTGGGTATCTACCCAAAGGAAAACAGATCATTATACCAAAAAGACACATGCACCTGTATGTTCATCACAGCACTCTTCACAGTAGCAAAGACATGGAAACAATGTAGGTGCCCATCAGCAGTGGACTGGATAAAGAAAGTGTGGTGCATATACACCGTGGAATACTATACTGCCATAAAAAAGAATGAAACATGTCCTTTGCAGCAATGTGGATGGAGCTGGAGGCCATAATCCTAAATGAATTAATGCTGGAACAGAAAAACAAATACCCGTGTCCTCACTTATAAGTGGGAGCTAAACATTGAGCACACATGGTCATAAACATGCGGACAACAGACACTGTGGACTACTAGAGGGAGGAGGGAAGAAGCAGGATGTGGGTTGAAAAACTACCTATTAGGCACTATGCTCACAAACTAGGTGCAATGTGCCCATGTAACAAACTGGCATGTGTACCCCCTGTATCTAAAATAACAGTTGATATTTTTAAAAAAGAATATATATAAACATATATATTATATGTAAAGTATATATATTTTAGGGCCTGGCACATGATACTAATGACTCATATGGAAAGCCAGCGAGCTTTCATAAGATATTGCACACAAGGAAAGTTAAGAACCAGCTTGCTGGGCTGTCTGATCACTAGCTCAGGCTTTCTGCATGAGCTTGGCTTTCTGATAGGAAAATCCAGGGCTCTGAGCCTGGAATGAACATATGTATGGCCCAAGCTCCACCAGCAGCTTAATTCACTGTGACAATTATCAATTGGTTGCCTCTCAGCTCCAAATTCACCCTTCATTACTCGCTCTTCGAGAATGATGAGGGTTAGGCTTTGTCAGCAGGAAGTCCTGGAGGGACATTGTGAGAGAAAATGGCTGCTCTTCCTAGTTCCAGGGGGCTTGCTTTCTCAGGCTCTTGCAGCCTGGACAGCTTTCTCTGCAGCCCCAGGTGGCCAGCAGCCTGAGATGCCTTCCTGCAGACAGCTTCCCTGGGCACCTCCCTGTGAATGACCTCTGCCAGATCCCCCTCAGGAAGCTTTGCAGTAGGGTGCACAAAATGGGGTACCGCCCCTTGGATGGCTTCCCTGGCACCCGCTTGGGCAGCTTTGCAGTGGGTGCCTTCCTAAGCACTCCAGAGACAGGTTTCTGGACAGCCTCAGCAGTGAGGCCCCTCATGAACTTTTCCCCCATCCTGAAAGCCCTGGCCAGACCCTCTTCCATGAGGCCTGGATCTCAGCTCTTCCTTGAATGCTCTATCTCAGTCCTAGGGGAGATAGCTGCTGTCTGTATCAGCTATTCCTATATTCTTTAGAGCTCTCTTTACCGGTTACTAGCCAGTCTTTCATCACTTCAATCCCCTGTTACTAATTTGTTATAGTTAATTTTCTTGTAGAAATTACTGATTTGTCTCCTGTTCAGAGTTTAGTACATTCACCATATTTTTTCAGCCCACCATTTAAAATAAAAATGTAACTCCCTTTACATGAAAAACACTGCAAGAAACATGGAAGCAACAAAAACAATATGAAAACACTTTCACTATTAATTTACTAAGTTAGAAGATTCTATATTCTCTTTCAGTTCTTGGCTATCTGTCTGATTTTTCCGTATTTGTAACCTGCGTGCATAATTGAGTCTGCACTCTAAGTTTATGAGTTGACTTTAGCTTACGTAAGCAGTTTGATAGCCCTATAGTCCCCAAGTAGCCACTGGTCACATAGTCCTTGCATTTGTCATCAGGCAAGGCAATATAATATTCCATTTTCTTCACGTGCTCAAATTTGCTAAGCTAGTTCCTGATTGTGGGATACATGGGTTGGTTCATGCTTTTCCATATTACAAAAAGCACAGATCAAAATATTTTTGTTCAAGTTGCATCAACCCCACCTAATTTTTTCTCTTGTTTCTTCCTTTCTCGATTCTCTAACAGTTGGGCTCACATATTTTCCCACCGATAGACAAGAGATTACCAGAAAAGGGGTGAGGAATCCAGAGAGAATGTCTGCATAAGAAGGAGGGTGGAGATTTCTTACTGAACTAAAGGCTTCAAGAATTGGCAAATACCTGCTCAGTAAGTATCTCCTGCCAGGAAAAGAACCAGTCTCAGAGGTGGAGGCAGAGGGGAATCATTGGTTGGAGAGGAGGAATTTAGACTTGGGAAGCAAGGTCGTTCTAGAGATCAAGACTGTCTTTTCTTCAGTCTCTCATAGTGTAACCTGTGACTAATGCATTAGTCATACTGAGCACGTGGAAACTACACAATATACACTAGAAAAACATTTTAGTTCTCAAGAATAGCCTCAAAATCAGACAATGCCTGAAGTAATTGAGAGTGGGAAGCACATTGTGCAAGTGATTACTGCTCTCTGACATTTTAAACCACCAATAACTCAATTGTTTCCTGAATTCCCAGAGAGTCAGAGAACATGAAAAAACCTTCTTTGTCACTCAGTGGAGTAAATGTTAATCTCATACTTAAATCTTTTTCTTTTTCACATAAAAGTGTTCCTGGTATAAAGCCCAGAAAGAAGCTTAAGCATAGCACCCCCTGTATTGTTCATTTTCTTGTTCATACATAATGTTTACCTGGAAATTCTTTATTTCACACTTATTCTTAAAAGTAATTTTGCTGAGTCTCCAAACAACTGTTTTCAAAATTTTCTTCCATTTTTCTGACTTGGAATCACTAGAAATTAAAACTGTGCTTTTCTTAAAGCTCTATAAACTGAAGCTAGCAACTTAAACTTCGGGAGAAACAATAGCAACATATGTAATTAATATATATATATATACAACTTTTGTGCCTGCCTGATGATGTATGGACTTCTCAGAAAGTTCACTTGAACACCCGATTCGAGCCACAATCCAGAAAAATCTGTCAGGTTGCTACTGCAACCTGAAGATGCTTGAGAGACTCTAGAAAAACTAGTCTATCAACTGCTCCAGGACATTCACCTTTGCTTTCCTTCTGTTTCTGTAGAAATGCCTCCTATTAAAGATCTGTTTGCCTGCATCATATATAGTGGCCCACCCTGTCTGCAATGCCACCTCCTAGAATGAGACACAGCTGTTTAACTGATCTATTCTCAGGACTAAGAGACTGACTAAAGAAGATACGAGGATGATATATTTAAATTTGCTCTTTTCTGTTCCTTCCAATTTGTCTTTCCATTTCTTTGTCTATCTCTAACAAGCTCTAAAACAAATTTCTCCAAAGCTATCTGCTTGTCTTTTAATATGTGAATTTTTTTAAGTTTCAAAGTGATGACTGAAATATTTCACCCCAAAATATGGCTCCCTGGTATAGTGAGTATGTTGAATTCAACACCCTTAGAGATCAACAAGCACTAGAAGAGGCTTTTCCCACCTACATAAAGATAGGAATGATCCACCGAGGAGAACAATTGCTCTTGTTCTCCTCCGTTATCTCATTATCCATTACAGGAAAGAAGACCAAGAATGTAACCACACCTGAACGGAACCTTTTTGAGATAATGACTGTCTCTAAGGATCATTTACATTCCAAGAACTACTTACAAGTTAATTTCTGCTCCCTGATCCAACCATTTTCCCTGGTGATCATTTATTGCCCCTCAATACAATTATTCTCCTCCCCATTCCCATAACCCATTCTATCCGGATTCAAGCCCCCATTCTTTCTGTAACCTCAAGATAGCAGGTAAGCTGCTGTACCACATTGAGAAGTTGGGTCTTCATTCTGAAGGTTCCCATGTGTACACACTAAATAAGTTTGTATACCTTTTCCCCTATTTATTATTATTATTTTTGAGACGGAGACTCCCTCTGTAGCCTAGGCTGGAGTGCAATGGCGTGATCTTGGCTCAGTGCAACCTCCACCTCCCAGGTTCAAGCGATTCTCCTGCCTCAGCCTCCTGAGTAGCTGGGATTACAGGTGCCCACCACACCTGGTGAATTTGTATATTTTTAGTAGAGATGGTGTTTCACCAAGTTGGCCAGGCTGGTATCGAACTCCTTACCTCAAATGATCCACCTGCCTCAGACTCCCATAGTGCTGGGATTACAGGCGAGCACCACCGTGCCTGGCCATCTATTCCCCTATTTTTTTTTTAAAGTAGTTTTGCTGCACATGCAATTCTCATTTATTTTCGCTTATCACTTTGAAGATATTGTTCCACAATTGTCTAGTTTCTGTTGCTGTATAAAGGTATGTTGCTAATAATTTTTGTAGATGATCTGTCATTTTTCTGCTTTAAGATCTTTCTGAGTTTAGCATTCTGCAATTTTATTACTATCTTTTGCAGACTGGGTGTGGATTTTAAAAGCTTTATCTTGCATGGTATATGGTGTGCATCTGTAACTGCCCAGTAAGTTCTTCTTGCCTGCTGCCCAGATAGAGCCAATTTATCAAGACAGGAGAACTGCAATGGAGAAAGAGTTTAATTCGTGCAGAGTTGGCTGAATGGAAGAGTTTAATACACATAGAGCAGGCTAAATGGAAGACTGAAGCTTTATTATTACTCACATTAGCCTCCCTGAAACACAGTCTTGCAGGCAGGGGGCTAGGGAATGGGGAGTGCTGATTGGTTGGGTTGAGGATGAAATCACAGGGAGTCCAGGCTGTCCTCTTGCTCTGAGTCAGCTCCTGGATGGTGGCCACAAGACCAGAGGAGCCAGTTTACTGGTCTGGGTGGCGCCACTGGATCCATCAGAGTGCAGAGTCTGAAAAATATTCCAAACACCAATCTTAGATGTTATTCACAAAAGCAATTAGAAGGTTAGGAATCTGGTGCCCTCTGGCTGTATAACTCCTAAGCCATAATTTCTAATCTTGTGGTTAATCTGTTAGTTTTACAGAGGCAGTTTGGTCCCCACACAAGGAGGAGGTTTGTTTCAGGGAGGGGCTGTTATCGTCTTTGTTTCAAACTATAAACTAAATTCCTCCCAAAGTTAGTTCAGCCTATGCCCAGGAAGGAAGAGGGGCAGGTTGGAGGTTAAACGCAGGATGGAGTCAGTTAGGTCAGATCTCTTTCACTGTCATAACTTTCTCACTGTTGTAATTTTTGCAAGGGTAGTTTAACTTTCTATATCTGGGAACTCATCTCTTATCAGTTCTGGAAATTCTCTTTTATTATCTTTTTTAATATTGGTTTTTCATCTATTTTCTCTAGTCTTTTCTGCCACTCCTATTATATTAAATCTTATTCTATCCTCTATGTCTTGACCCCTCTTTGATGTTCTATCTTCCTGTCTCTTTGTGTTATATTCCAGGTAATTTCTTCAGATATATTAGTTAAATAATTCTCTTTTCAGTTGTTTCTTATATACTGTTTAATTTGGTCATTGAGTTTTTAATGTCAACAACTATATTTTTCATTTATAAATGTTTTACTTGGCTCTTTTTCAAATCTGCCTGGTCATATTTCATAGTATCTGGGTTACTTCCATACATTTATGATCTCATCTTGGATTTCTTTAAATATTTCCTATACAACACTTGGTATGCATGATTTTGCATTTAAAATGCACTATTTTGCATTTAATAATTCTAATACCAAAGTCTTGGGAGTGTAAATTTATTGTTTATTATTTTTGCTTTCTTTTCCATATGCTGGCTTATTCTCTTGCTGTTTGGTGGTGGTCTTTGATCCTGAACACATTGTGCTTGATCACTGGGAGTCTTGGGGTCCTAAGTTGAAGTTATGTACTCCAGAAGAGGTTGTCACTTGCTTCTTCCATGGCCCAGAGGACTGGTTGAGCCTCCTTCAGGGGTCATGGTTTACAGTGGGAGACCTGAAGTTGACTTTTGCACCTTGTAATGGGCTTGGGGCTTAGTGTCAGATTTTGTCCCACACTTACCTTTTAGCTCTTTCCTGGATTTCAGCTCACTGCCATTGTTTCTTTGCTTGGAGAGTTTGTTTGCCATTGCTGCAAGCCCAGCTGCGCATTAAAAAACATGTTGTATCCAGAATGTAGTAGAATTATAGCAGGAGGCCTTCAAAGGATCAGTTTTGTCAGAATAGTGAGAATGGATGGTGTGTGTTCGTAATGTTCAAGGCATATGAACACAACTGCAAGAATTAGACAGGCACAAGTAGGTGTAGCCCACACTTCAAAATTTTAGAAACAATAAGACATAGACATAGGAAAGAACTAGAGCACATTTCAAAGCTCTATCTCTCTTTCTCTGTCTGCATCTGTCTATCTATGTCTATATCTACAGCTGTATCATCTAAATGTCCTCACATGTAATACAAAGGTAGAGATGGGTGAAGAACTGATACCCAGAGTAAGTGTAGGATTTCCTTTAAGGGCCTGAAGCTGGTACTCAGGGTGGAGGAAACAGCATGAACAGAGGCACTAGGAGGGAATAAGTATGGGATCATCTCTGTGTCTCTGTTTATAACAAGGGCCTTGCCTCACTGTTATCCTTCTGGCTTCATAATTGCAGAATTTAGCTAGTAATTTTGTATACAAATATCCCTTTTGAGAGTCCCCTATAATTTCCTTATTTACAATATGGATGCCCATTAAAGTCCTCATAGTCTTATCAGGTGGCTTTTACATGTGGACAATGTAAGGACTGTATTATTTACTCCTTTGATGATCATGGTAGCTAGGGTGCTGAAATCAATCAAGCAACAGCATCTCAGAGAGATGCACCTTGTTTCCTACTTTTGCATGCAAAGTTGCTGTTTTTTCCTTTCATTGTCCACTTATTGAGGTGGGGTTTGAGAGTTCTGGTTTCTGTCTTTTAACACTAAAATCACCGCTGACTTGTCCATCAAGTCAGCAAAGTCTTTCCTTGGTACAGCAAAGTCTGTCTGGCTCAACCTCCATCTGGGCCTGTGGCATTCTACTGAACTTTGTAGTTTTCTCTATTCTTCAAAACAAAACTATCTGAAACAGGGTCTACTTCTGGGTTGTAAATTAGTTGTAGAAAATCTGGGCTCTGAACAAAAACCACATTTGAAAGCACATGTCTTCTCTTTTATTGGCTTTTGCTCTAAAAAGCAAAGGCTGAAAAACAGCTGTTAGCTGTTTATAGAGTATTTTTTATTTAAGTGTTAGACAATAGCTGTTTTCTTCTCCACTTACAATGGCACATTTTTTCTCAGGCCAGTTAAGTCCTCTCTCGGTGTGGCCCTGGGTATTTGTATGCACCTCCTCCCTTTCCCTAGGTTTCTCAGGAGACTAAGGGTTGTTGTTTTTTTCTTCCTTTCTTCAGTTTCTGGTTTTTGGTTTTGAATTCAGACTTTGGTCTCTCAGAATAGATGGCTGAATTTAGTCCCAGGCCAGAATCCTTCTGGGCCAACTCTACACAGGTATTCACAGAAGACACTCTAGAGGAAGCTTCTATAGGTGCAAAGTGTTGATGGTTTGTGGCTAGATGGCATGGGCAGAATTAGATATAGACGTAGTTATTGCTCTCTATTCTCGAGCCCTGAACATCGTTGGTTTGCTTTCCTCTATTAGGAATTCAGAAGATAGTGCTTTCCAATCCCCTCATCCTGGAACGTGCTCTGAGGACACTGCCATTGCTCATTATCCTCATGGTCCCAAGCAAGCAAGATCAGCAGGGCTCAGGGACATATTGCACATGAGTGAAAACACTCCCTAGCCTGCAAAAGGAACCAGCCAAAATGTTTTTCAGCACTCTTGTGCTGTGTGCTGCCATAGCAATTCCTACTATATAAGACAATGGTAACACCATCAAGTTACATGTTATACCAGGTTTTCCTGGGATTTTATTTGCCTGCAGTCTGCCTCCTTTTAATCAATTTCTGTTCTTTCAGATCATCAACTTGTATTGATTTACATATGGGGGAATAGTCTAACCTGTGATTTCTGGAAAAGACAGCTTCTTATACCTCACTAAGAAGACACAGGGGCTGGTTATATCTCCCTGAGATCTTAGACATTCAAATCCTGCCTAACGAACATGAGCCCCTTCATTTACCCATCCATCACACCATGGGCTGGGCCACCTCTAAACCAGTTTCTAGGACTTGGGAATTTTTTTTGTTTTTTTAGACAAGGACTCACTCTGCCATCCAGGCTGAAGTGCAGTGTCACAATCACAGCTCACAGCTCACTGCAGCCTCTAGCTCCCCAGGCTCAGGTGACCCTCCCACATCAGCTTCCCAAGTAGCTCAGGTGACAGGAATGCACCACCACACCCAGGTAATTTTTGTATTTTTAGTAGAGATGGGGTTTCGCCATGTTGCCCAAGCTTGTCTCAAACTCCTGGGTTCAAGCGATCCTCCCACCTCAGCCTCCAAAAGTGCTGGGATTACAGGCGTGAGCCACCACACCTGATGAACTTGGGAATTCTTACAAGGTGACACCAGGGAAGCACTGCAAGCTTGTTAGAAACTGCCTTTGCAAAACTTATAATGGTGAGAAAATTATGACAGTGAAAGAGATCTGACCTGACCAACTTCGTCTTGCCTTTAACCTCCAAACTGCCCTGGTCATTCCTGGGCATGGGCCAAGCTAACTTTGGGAGAATTTTAGTTTATAGTTTAAATGATAATAACTCTTCCCAAAATGAAACTGCCTTTATAAAACTAATAAAAGTTCACAAGTTTAGGATTATGAGAGGGATTTGAATTCTGCTAAGATGTAGGCATAAAGGATTATCAGCCATCATTCCAGAGGTCACCAGATTTGTAACTTCCCCAATTACTCCTATAAATAACCTCACTATTGTAGCCCTTTTGAGATGTTTTTCCAGACTTTTGTATTTCTGATGACTGGATGACTCCACCTGGACCCGAGACTCATGACTCACCCAGTCCTGTGGCCCCACCCAGAAGTGGACTCAGAGCAAGAGGACCATTTTCCACACCCCAATGAGTGCATCCCCAACCAATCAGCAGCACCTGTTCCCTAGCCCCCTGACCACCAAACTCTCCTTGAGAAACCGTAGCCTCCAAATTTTCTGGGAGGCTGATTTGAGTAATAATAAAACTTTGGTCTCCTATGTAGCTGGCTCTATGTGTATTAAACTCTTCCTCTATTGCAATTCCCCTGCCTTGGTAAGTCGGCTTTATCTGGGCAGTGGGCAAGAAGAATTCACTGGGTGTTACATGTTGAAATAAATATATACCTGGATAACAGACAAGCTTTGTACCCTTCACAGAGACTCTAGGAATTTGCAAATCTATAGTGACAATGCCACCTCCAATCCCCCAACAACCCTCCCCAAAGTACTCCTCCGTCTTATTCTGCATCACACATAACTAAACACATTTTGCTCTTATTTAATAAGGGAAAAACACATTGTGATTGTTGCTTTTAGAATAGTTGGTCCAAATTAGATAATTAGAAAAATAGTTCCCATAGATGTAACTCAAAACAGTAGGTTTGTATGACACTATTTCAAAAACAAGTTTTGTGGTTAAAATAATACCTCCCTTTGGGAGATAAGAGTTTTGGCATATTAAAGGCTCCAAGAAGTCCTGTGACAAAGACATTTTGTGGAACTCTGTTTTCACAGGACATCTATTAACCTCTCTCAGTACAGTCATGAGGAAAACATGTCCTGAAATCTGTCTTGAAGTTCAAATTTTCAGCATCCTCAGGCATATTCACCCACCGGGAATCCTGGTTTCAGCTGCCCCATCCTGCTGCTGCCCTCTCTCCACTGATCCTCACCGACTCCCTTTGTTTATGGGACAGGGCTCAATAATGGGGAAGATCAGGGTCCCACACACTTTCTCAGAGCTTAAACTAAGAGGGGAGGGGAGCTGACGGTGGAGGGAAAAGCTGCCTCTTCTCCATGATTGTCCTCACCCACCCTCTTGCCTACAGGGGGCTGCTTCTCTTGTGTGGCACATTTGCTTTCACTATTAATAACTGTATAGTTATTTTGCCATCCTATTCTAGTTGTGGACCAGTTGGAGCGGGGCATAGACATAATGCGTGAAGAAGGATGCTGACCCACAGCTATTCTTCCAGAAAAAGGCAGGCACCCCCAAAGTACAAGGGGAAGGGCACTTCCCCTTAGCCAGGTGGAGGCTGGCATGGAACATAAAGTCTTAGTTGAAATGGATATGGCAACCACAAGGAAACATGTGACTTTGCAAAGAGAGACAGATGGACAGTGACTCAGACAACTGTACCATACCAGAAGCACACCAGCTTCCTGAGCACAGAAACATCCATCTCCAGCCCAGCGATAGAAATGTTTGTAAAACAGTGTAACAAGATTCTGCCCAGTTTCCCACTAGGTGTCCGGGGAAATGGGTGGCTGGAGGATAAAGAGGAGGAGGAGGAGGAAACAGGCGCGTTCTGGCCAGTAATTCTCTCAAACGGGATGAGTATTGTTGCCAGCAGGACTTCTCAAAGGAAGGTATCTTAGTTCAGGCTGTCATAACAAAATGCCATAGACTAGGGGGCTTACAAACAACAGAAATTTATTTCTCACAGTTCTGGAGGCTGGTACCCCCAAGATCAAGGTGCCAGCTGGTTCGGTGTGTGGTTAGGGCCTTGATCCTCATAGATGGCCAAATTCTCACTGTAACCTCACAAGGCGGAAGGGGTGAGGGGTCTCTTGGGGCCTGTTTTATGGGGACACTAATCCCATTCATGAGGGCTTTTTACGACCTAACAACCTCCCAACGGCTCTGCCTCTTAATACCGTCATTTTGAGGGTTAGGATTTCAATATACGAATTTGAGGGGGACACAAATATTCAGGTCATAGCAGAGAGTGACTTCCATTTGTCAATGAAACCAGACTGTGTACGTATCACTCTTGCCATCCATACCATGGTTTGCATGTGATGTTGGGCAACAGGTTTATTTGGCTACATTCATGCCCACATCCACTAGACATGCACACTCTTCCCAAGGAGAGGGAAAAAAAAGCTAGAAACTGGTTATGTAACAATCATTAGTTTTATAGCTGAGTAAGTTATGAATAATAGTGCTTTCAGCGATTTCATTACCAATCTGCCCCCAGGAGCAAGATGAAGCTGATAAAATATTTATGGGCTAGTAAATTTTTTCTACTAATTTGCAAGGCTATAATAAAATCCATGAACTTGATGGCCTGCAGGAAACATAACAAGAACTAGGAATGTAGAGTAATTTGGAGCTAGAAAGCCTCTTAAGGCCCTACAGGAAATGACTCCCAGAAAGCAGATGAATCACAGTATTTTAAACAGAAAATAATGATGTTATGTTTGTACTTAACCAGTTATAGCCTGAGAACAATTTTCCACAAGGAAATTGTGGAAATTTCCTGCTCTCCATTATTTTTGCCTTAAGAAATAAAATTAATTCAAGTATATAAAAAACAATATTCAAATAAAAACAATTACTGGAACACAGTGTATCCTGTAATGAATATGAACTTTTAGGATTGTAATTGTTAAGAAACTACAGTATACACAGTCACATTGTGCCCTCTTGTGGCAGAAATATTGTTGTGCTCCGAGGACACGCCCTGGTGTATTTTATTCAGTAATTAATCAGGTTTGTTTGGGGGAAGTCAGTTCAAGTGAAAAGATGGTTTGCAGAAGGTAGTTGGCAAAGAGTTGTTTCTGGGGCACTCTAGAGGGTGCACACCTGGAAGGGGCCGTTCTTAGCCAGGGGAGCAGCTGTCAAAAGGTTTCCTGATGTTTTAACACATGCTAAGAAATACCCATCACAGAATGCTGCTTCAATTGTCTGTCTAATGTTACACTTGCTCATTTAAAATATTTTATTACTAGTTATCCTCATCTATAAATAACAGTAATTGCTATTATTTAGTGAAACAGGCAGTTGATGCACAGTATCTCATTTAATCTCAAAACTATAAGGTAATATAAGGAAACTGAAGATCGCAGATATTAACTAATGCTGTAGTTTACCTAACTAGTAAATGGAAGAGCTGGGATTTGATTTAACTTCCCATGTTTCCATAAGCCTATGCACTTTCCATTCTGCCAAGCTGACTCTCTAGACAAATATTTCCTGAATACTGAATACATGTGAGACTCTGTTGCTGGGTCCCCTGGAATTGACAAGGTGTAAGTAATATACTCCTATCCTTCAGGAACTTATGGCGTAAATAGGGAAATAAAAACATACACGCAAAAGAAACTGCCATACGAGGCAGCATACAAGGAATATCCATGTAGAACTTTTTTTTTTTTTTTTTTTTTGAGACGGAGTCTCGCTCTGTTGCCCAGGCTGGAGTGCAGTGGAGCGATCTTGGCTCACTGCAAGGTCCGCCTCCCGGATTCACGCCATTCTCCTGCCTCAGCCTACCGAGTAGCTGGGACTACAGGGGCCCGCCACCACGCCCAGCTAGTTTTTTGTATTTTTAAGTAGAGATGGGGTTTCACCATGTTAGCCAGGATGGTCTCGATCTCCTGACCTCGTGATCCACCCGTCTCGGCCTCCCAAAGTGCTGGGATTACAGGCATGAGCCACCGCGCCCGGCCATGTAGAACTATTTTTTAAACAAATACACAAAAGATCTGTATAGTCATGTACACTTCTCCCCTTCAGAGCAGTAGAGCTATATACTTTCTGCAGTTACTCTCCTATTGCTTTTGGATTTGAGTGTGAGCAGGACTTGTGGCTTGCTTCTAAGCCATAGAATACGGCAAAGCTGTTGGGATGTGTGTGATTATGTGTGAATACATGATTATGTTACATAAGATATTAGTACCCATCTTGCTGGGGTCTCTTTCTCTCTGGCTTTGAGGAAGCAAGTGATTACGTTGGGGAACACGTGGCAAAGAACTGTGTGGGTGGTGTCTAGGAGCTGAGGGCAGTATATTGAAGTCCTTAGTCCCAAAACTATGAGAAACTGAATTCTGCCAATAAGTGCCTCTAGTTGAGCAGTAACATTGTTACTCAACAATAGATAACTAGTACATTTATCTTTTAAAGTTTTATAATTTTAAATCTTGCATTTAGGTCTTTGATCTATTTCAAGTTGCTTTTTGCTTTTTTTTTTTTTTTTTGAGACAGAGTGTTGCTCTGTCACTCAGGCTGGAGTGCAGTGGCAGGATCTCAGCTCACTGCAACTTGCAACTCTGGGGTTGAAGTGATTGTTGTGCCTTGGCCTCCTGAGTAGCTGGGATTACAGGCATGCACCACCCATGTCCAGCTAAGTTTTGTATTTTTAATAGAGATGTGGTTTCACCATGTTGGCCAGGCTGGTCTCCAACTCCTGGACTCAAGCAATCTGCCCACCTTGGGCTTCCAAAATTCTGGGATTACAGGCATGAGCCACCATGCCTGGCCTCATTTCAAGTTAATTTTTATAGATGGTGCAAGTTTCCCACTGTCAGGTACAGGCTGACATTCTCTTTTTTTTTTTTTTTTTTTTTGACTTTTTTCTCTTTTTGGCATATGGGTATCCAATTGTTCCAATAACCAATGTTGCAAATATATCTTTTGTCCACTGAATTGCCTTGGCATCTGTATTAGTCTGTTTTCACGCTGCTAATAAAGACATACCCGAGACTGGGAAGAAAAATAGGTTTAGTGGACTCACAGTTCCATGTGGCTGGGGAGGCCTCACAGTCATGGTGGAAGTTGAAAGGCACTTCTTACATGGTGGTGGAAAGAGAGAACGAGAGAAGCGAAAGCGGAAGCCCCTTATAAAACCATGAGATCTCATGAGACTTATTCACTACCACGGAAACATTACGGGGGTAACTACCCGCATGATTCAATTCTCTCCCACCGGGTCTCTCCCACAACATGTGGGAATTTATGGGAGTATAATTCAAGATGAGATTTGGGTGGGGACACAGAGACAAACCATATCAAAGTCTTTGTCAAAAGACAATTGGCCATATATATGTCTATTTCACTGCAACCTGCACCTCCGGGGTTGAAGTGATTCTTGTGCCTCAGCCTCCTGAGTAGCTGGGATTACAGGCACGCACCACCATGTCCAGCTAATTTTTGTATTTTTAGTAGAGATGTGGTTTCACCATGTTGGCCAGCCTGGTCTCCAACTCCTGGACCCAAGCAGTCCACCCACCTTGGGCTTCCAAAGTGCTGGGATTACAGGCATGAGCCACTGTGTCTGGCCTCATGTTTCTAGGCTCTCTGCTCAGCTGATCTATGTATCTGCCTTTATGCCAGTGCACACTGTTTTACTTATTGTAGCTTTTTAATAATTCCCGAAATCAGATAGAATAAGTCTTCCAACTTCATCTGTTCTTTTTTCACCAAAGATATTTGGCTATTCTAGATGCTTAACATTTTCATAAAATATTAGAATGCAAGTTCATTGCCACGCCAGAGCATCCCCTTTTCTGCCCTGTTGTCCCAGGCCAAGAGCCATAGCCTCTTTGCTTTAGTTTCCTCAACCCTGGATAACCTGTCCCGTGGCTCACAATTTCAGGGGACATGTGTCAAGCTCTCTGAGAGGTTTCCTTGAAGCTCCTCTTCAGACTTATGGTGAGAAAGTGTCATCACCCCTCACAGGGTAGCAGCAGCTCTCACCAGGAACTCTTCCCGTAAGCCCACTCCCAGTGGAGTTCCAAGGGGAGAGCCACGAGACTGTTTTGTGCCTTCTATGTGGCCTGTATTCTTGGCCACTTGCATTGAATGTCTTCATCTTGGTCTGTCTCAAAATTTGCTTTGTGTCCAATATTTATCACGTCTTGGTGTTTCACTCAACACTTCCAATTCAATGTTTTGTTACTCATCTAAATTTAAATGTTACACGTTTAGATAATTTCATCTAGAATTTTTAGTTGTTTTATAGAGGAAGGGATGTTCAGGGAGTTGAGTTTGCAATAGTCCCAGAAACGGAAGTTTGCAATTATTTGCTTACCCATTATTGCTGCTATTTTCTTCCTGTTACCATTATAGTTATCGATCAATCATATGGAATGTACAAATTGTTTCTCTGTAGTGCAATCTTGTCACAGAACACAGAACTATCCTTTTTGGGGAGGCAGAAGAAATAGAGTAATACTTTGCCTTTTGAATATATTGGGAAGAAGAAAAGTGCTCAGATCTCAGTAAAATCTGAACATTTCTAGGTCCTTTTCAATACTTAGATGTAGCTCTTGTGAGTACTAAGTACTAAACCTCCCAGCTGGGGAATGTTACATAGCAGCATTTAAATGGGAGATGAACAATCTTAACCACATGCTGGTTCCGAGGCACTTTCCTGCAGAATGACTATATAAATCCAGGTGAGTGCTTGTAAAACACACAATTACACCCCCACAGAGTGGACTGAAAGCACGTAGTCAGGCAATGAGCACAGTTAATAATATGGCTATAAAAGAAATACAGGATCTCCTTCACTTTTTTTTTTAAAGGAAAAGGCCAATATTTATGCTTGAATGTCTTTATAGTTTGAGACACATTTTTTATTAAAATAAATTAATACATAATTGATGATGTGTATATACATATGTACCTTTGTTTGGGGTCGATATTTTTTATAACCTTGTAGTTTAAACCCAGGGGAAAATTTTTTAAACTGGTAATTTACTTGAGTTTTAAAAACCTGATGATGAGGGTAATAATTAAAATAGTAGCAATAGCAATGTAGTATATGATAAAGGCAGCATTTGAATCAATGGAGAAAAAATGGGTTAGTGTCACTCCACAGTCTTGGGACAATTGGCAATTATTTGGAAGAATGTAATCTATGTATCCTTACCTTTTTCTTTCTTTCTTTCTTTTTTTAGTCGGATCTCACTCTGTTACCCAGGCTGGGGTGAAGTGGCACAATCATAGTTCACTGCAGCCTTGACCTCCTGGGCTCAAGTGATCCTCCCGCCTCAGTCTCCCAAAGTGCTGGAATTACAGGTGTGAGCCACTGCTCCTTGTGATCTTACTCTTTCTACCAATAAAAATTCCAGATTGTATTAGTCTGTTCTCACACTGCTATAAAGAACTACTTGAGATTGGGTAACTTATAAAGAAAATAGGTTTAATTGACTCATAGTTCTGCAGGCTCAACAGGAAGTATGACTAGAAGGCCTCAGGAAACTTACAATCATGGCAGAAGGTCAAGGGAAGTATGCACACATTTACAATGGCAGAGCAGGAGACAGAGAGCAAAGGGGGAGATGCCACACACTTTTGAACA
This sequence comes from Homo sapiens, assembly GCF_000001405.40. Taxonomy (NCBI): domain Eukaryota; kingdom Metazoa; phylum Chordata; class Mammalia; order Primates; family Hominidae; genus Homo; species Homo sapiens. Next base: position 110,523,593 of record NC_000006.12, on the reverse strand, counting down.
ACCGGATCTCATGAGAGCTCACTCACTAGCATGAGAACAGTAAGGGGGAAGTCTGCCCCATGATTTAATCACCTCCCACTGGGCCCCTCCTCTGACACGTGGGGATAACAATTCAAGATGAGTTTTGGGCAGGGACACAGAACCAAACCATATCACAGATGAAGTTTTATATGTAAAACACAAAGAAACACAAACCTAAAAGCAACAGAATAAACCCATATATATGTATGTGTACATATGTGCATGTGCACACATACATATATTCATGTACTCATGTAAAAATTTTGTAGCACCCAAGGGTGTAAAGTAAAAAATAAATGTCCCCTTCTTCACCCAACCTTCATGTTCTATTCCCAGGGAGAAAACAAGTTATCAGATTCTTGCATGTCCTTCCAGAGATATTCTGTATATATTTAAGCATATATGTGTATACTTTTATTAAAAGACATTCTATTGGATAGACAAGATTATTCTATTCACTTTTTTGGCAAAATATTAATATATTGAACATCTTTCCACTTAGTACATATTGTTCTATCAACTCATTGTTAATGATTGCCTAGTATCTCACTGTATAGAGGCATCATATTTATTTAAACACTTTCCTAAATTGCGTTTCTCATATGGCAATGTTTCATGGTCTTCCCATATAGCCCATATGGATCTCATTATGGGAGATACCTCTACCTTATTTTGTCCTATTGCATACTATTCCACTCTAGGAATATACCACAACGTATTAGTCCATTGACAGGTTGTTTCCAACTTTTCTCTATTACAAACAATAGTTTCTAGTACATGTCCTCTTATGAAAATTTCCCTAAGACAGCAGTTCTCATACAGTCAAAGGATCACCTTGGCTATGGTGTTGAGAATAGCCATGGCATCGGGGATCAAGAACAAAATCAGTGACAGTGGCAGGCCATTGCAAATAGTCCAGATAAGTGACTAAGTGGCTTGTACTAGACAGTGGTGGCAAGGATGGTGGTGACAAGTGGTTGGAATGGGGCACATTTTGGAGGTAAGGTAACATGATTTCTTGACCCTTAGGTGTAGAGTGTGAGCAGAAAAGAGACATCAATGAAGATTCCAAAGTTTGGGGCCTAAACAACCAAGAAAATAAAGTTACCAATTACCAAGATACGGGACACTGGGAGACGAGCAGCTTTGGGGACAGGATCCATGTCACAAAATCTGTTTTGGACATATTAAGGTTGCCAATCAGACTTCCCAGTGAGATGTCAAGAAACTAAGAAAGAAGGAAAAGATCCAGGAACAGGCACTGAGAAAAAGCAGCCAGTGAGACAGGAGGAAACCAAGGAAGCATAGAGTCCTGGTTTCCAGGGAAAGGAAGTGATCTAATTTCTTAAATGCTGCTGACAGGTAAAATAAGAGAAGATGTACAAAGCACTACAGGAATCGGCAAAGTGGAGTTCACCGATGTGGACAAAAGCCTGACTGGTGTAGGTTCAAGGGAACATGGGAGAAGAAGAATTAGAGACAGTCATTAGAATTACAACTCTTTGGAGAGTTTTGCTTTAAAAGGGAACAGGAGGCCGGGCGCGATGACTCACGCCTGTAATCCCAGCACTTTGGGAGGCCGAGGCGGGCGGATCACGAAGTCAGGAGTTCGAGACCAGCCTGACCAATATGGTGAAACCCCTTCTCTACTAAAAATACAAAAATTAGCCATGCGTGGTGGCGCGTGCCTGTAGTCCCAGCTACTTGGGAGGCTGAGGCAGGAGAATCACTTGAACCTGGAAGGCGGAGGTTGCAGTGAGCTGAGATAGTGCCACTGCACTCCAGCCTGGGCAACAGAACGAGATTCTGTCTCAAAAAAAAAAAAAAAGGGGGAACAGGAAAAAAGGGACAGTGGCTTGAAGGGATGTATGTGGAATCAAGTGAGGATGCTAAGATCACACCATTCTTGTAGGATGTTGGGAGATTCCAAGTCGAGAGGAGGAAAATGCAGGGAAGAAAGGCACTAAGGATTCAACTGAGGATTGATGTCCTTGAGTATGTGAGAGAAGCTAGGGATCCAGCGCACAGGTTGTAGGGCTGGCCTTAGGTAGGAGCACAAGAGTTTGTCCTTCATAGCAATGGGAAAACAAAATACATGAGCATAAACGCAGGAGAGGGGTTAAATGTAGAGCTGGGAACGTGTAGAAGTTCTGTACTGTTTCTATTTTCATGGCGCAATAGGAAGTTAGGATCAGCTGAGACCGACTGGCTAGGTGATGAAAGGCGGTCACGTAAGGGGTGAATGTTAAGTTTTGCCTATGACGAAGGACAGATGGTCACGGTTGTGCCATAGAAGAACCTGAATTGGCAAGTGAAGACCGTCATGTCCCCTGGCAAGGCAAGCTGGTAAGCTGTCCTAGCAAACCAAAAACCAATGAAGCATAAGGCCAGCTGGGCGGTGCGGTGCCGGGGAGGGCCCCTTTACTGAACAACTCCCTTAAACACCGGCTGAGAGCCGGCACTAGGCTAGGATGGTGAGGTGTGATTGCGGGTGAGACAGGCCACCCCTTCTTCGACTGGGTAATCTATGGAGATATATTTTTCTGTAAGAATAAATCTGATTTTTATAATCGAAATAACTGGGGGGAAAAAGATGATATCCTCAGGTATCTGGTGAGAGCAGGTAGAAGAGAGAAGGGAGGTTGGGAGAACTGAAGAATGAATTTGCAGGAAAATGGGAGGCACAATTTTTACAGCTTGGGACACACATGCGCTCTCCTCGTTAGGATCAACTCTCCTTTTTACTTGAGTTATGCAGAGCTAGCTGCCACACACTGTGCTACCAGGTGCCTGGGTGGACTTTGACAAGTCCCTTTATGTGCAAAGCACGTCCTGGAAGAGGTGCTTTCTGAGGCCCCAGCCCACAGCCCAGTGATTCTGCCACGGGACCTATTTTTCCTGAGCAATAATGGGAGAAGTTGGTTTTTAAAATAGACATAAAGAAAATCCATCCCAAATATTAACCGTTTTTATAAACCTCTTAAGTCATTCTGTCCCTTTCCTCTTTTATGTTTCCAAGTAAATCCAAGAAGGTCATCATTAAATAAGCCCCAATTATAAAAGACATGCTAAGACTTAGTGTGCTTGGCCGCCTCTGCTCTTTAGCCGGCAGTAATAAAACAATGAACCCCAGCAGGACTCCGTTCCAAATCATATTCTGCAGTTATTGTTCTGACTCCTTTCTTTCATTATTGCAAACAGAATCCCACTGAGCTCACACACTTTCAAAACGACTGTTTCCCCACACTGCAGAAAGTGGGGCGGCATTTTCTAAGAGCCGCTATTGTTTTCCCATGGCACATTTATATCTCAAAGGTACATTACCTAATGCTTACTGCACGTTATGATTTTCATTTGCTTCTTATAAATGCCCTTCCTTAATGAATTTTTAGAAAGTACAGTTTTTTGTCAAACGTTTTTCTATCTTTTTTTTTTTTTGGATATTTGATTATTTCTTTATTCCACTGGACACAAAGCAGTACTTGGCAATCATTAATTCTAGGCAACCACATCAAAGAAGCTGTATTAGCACTTTCTATTAAGGTCTCATTACTAAATAGTTGGTAAAGGCAATAATAATGTTTTGTTTTCTTGTTCTGGCCTTACAAATATTCTTATTTTCCCATGTATTCTTGTATAGTTCAATGATATTTAATCACACAGTGCTAAAAATTAAGTGATTCTAAGTTTTTTCTGCTGTTGGAAGAAATTGGTATGTGATTGAGCAAATCATTCTGTATTTTGTAAGCTGGGATAAATCTTGAAGTGCTTTTCTTCATGATTGTAGGTCTATCTATCCTTAAAGCTTAGTATGAATTCTTCGTATATCTGTGCATGAATAAATAACTCAAAGTAGTTCAAATAACAAAGAAACATATTGGTTTCTATAACAGAAAATTCACAGGTAGTTGAACTCAGATAAGGTCTGATCCAGAAAACAATGTTATGTAGGATAAAAATGTTATAATGTTATATAGAGGACCAGGACATTCATTAATACAAATATTAGGCTAGTTTTTGAGATTGTGTGATTTTTAAATACTATTTGTCAGCATTTGTTTTTTTTTTTTGCTGCAGGTGGGCGTGTGTCCACATGTGTGCATCTGAATTGGTTTGCAGGTTCTGTGTGCCTCTACCTTCATGTTGTGTTCTTTTTTAAAATTTTAACATTATGTATATTTTTTAAATTAATTAATTTTTTTTCTGAGACAGGGTCTCACTCTGTTGCCCAGGCTGGAATGCAGTGGCACCATCAAAGCTCACTGGGGCCTTAATCTCCCTGGGCTCAGGCAATCCTCCCACCTCAGCCTCCTGAGTAGCTGGGACCACAAGCGCATGCCAATATGCCCAGCTCATATTTGTATGTATCGTAGACATGGGGTTTTGCCATGTTGGCCAGGCTGGTCTCAAACTCCTGGGCTCAAGAGATTTGCCCACCTCGGCTTCCCAAAGTGCTGGGATTACAGGCATTAGTGATGCTCCTGGCCCTATTAATTTTTTAAATTGACAAATGATAACTGCATGTATTTATTGTGTACATGTAGTTTTGAAATATGTACCTATGGCTGGGCGTGGTGGCTCACGTCTGTAATCCCAGCACTTTGGGAGGCTGAGGCAGGCAGATTGCGTAAGCGCAGGAGTTCGAGACCGCACTGGACAGCATGGTGAAACCCCGTCTCTACTAAAATACAAAAAATTAGCTGGGTGTGGTGGCACAGGCCTGTAGTCCCAGCTACTTGGGAGGCTAAGGCAAGAGAATCGTTTGAGTCCTGGAGGCGGAGTTTGCAGTGAGCCGAGATCGCACCACTGCACTCCAGCCTGGGCTACAGAGTGAGACTCCGTCTAAAAAAAAAAAAGAAAAAGAAAAAAAGAAATACGCGCATATTGTGGAATGGCTGAATTGAGCTAATTAACATATGCATTACTTCACATATGTATTTGTCAGCTTTTTAAAATGTGCAAAATATTGTGATTTCTTTTCTTATTCTAAATAACTTTGTATTTATAATTTTTAATTTTCTAAAATGGTTCCCCCAAGTTGTATAAACTTTAAGTCTCACAAAACCTGGATCTGTCTCTGCTGAGCAAAGGGTGAGGTTGCTCCCAGAGGAAAGATTTTGTGCACACGCAGGAGAAAGGACACCTAATGGCAAAAACAGGGCATGACCAGTAAAGTTTTAAACCTTTTCTGAACTTTCTTTGCTTTGAATTCTGCCTCTATGAGGCTGATAAATTTTTTAATTGGCAATGAAGCTATTTTAAGGCAGGGATTATGTGTTAAACCTCTCTGGTTGTGCACCCAGTAATCAGCGAACTAACTTGTATGGAAGAACATATTGATATATTAACACTTCTTTCCAGTACAGTGATTCAAAGTGATTATACAGTCGTCCCTTGGTATACACAAGGGATTGGTTCCAGGACCTCTCCGCCTCACCCACCCCCTCACCTATATACCAAATCCATGCATGCTCAAGGCAAGTCCCACAGTCAGCCATGTCGAACCTGCACATAGGAGAACTCAGCTGTCTGTACAGGTGGGTTTCATATCCCTCAAGTACTGTATTTTCAATCCACGTTTGGTTGAAAAAAATCCACGTATAGGTGGATCTGTGCTGTTCAGACCTGTGTTGTTCAAGGGTCGACTGTACTTTTTTTTACTTGAACACATAAAATTTTCATGGAGGAGTCCAAATTCCATAAAGGAGTTACATCATAAACTCAAAAGGCTGTATAGAGAAAGATTATTACAACAATAGCAAAACATGTTTGCAGAACAAAACAATGACTCAAGTCTTGGACGTGGACCCACTAATTTCAAATAATTATCTATTGGCTGCGTCTCTAGTATTTGTTGAACAGAACTGCAGCTACAGTAAGAAATCTTGCCTGATGAAAGATTATGATTAATTTAAGAATTGCTAAATGTAACTCAGTGTTTTCTAACATCCTTGAGGAGCATATATTTGTTTTAAAGGTTAATCTGGAAAATGAGTTTTAGGAAACGTTAATGTGCATTTACTTGGGAGGTAAATAGTTAAATTAGACTCTTCCCCTTGGCCTTTCCAGGAGGTTTGGGTTTCATGTTAGGTTTTGCTGTAAATTGAAATTCATTTGCAGTGAGAAAGCGTGTTGAGAATGGATTTTGGGATTTTGTCAGGTTTGTCCAGAGACTGTTGTCATTGGTCTGGAGAGGGAAGGATCTTACTCCCGTAGAATCTTTGTCTTCTTCCAGAATGTCCTCATTTGGCAGTACTGGGTGACACATTGGTACATTATTAAGTAACTGTAGTTTGACCTCTTGGAGTTTGTTGGGAACAAATCCAAATAAACTGGCATCTACCTTCTGTTTGCCTTGTTCGTGCTTTGCTGTTTGTCAAATCACCTCTCTCAGCAGAGTGTCCTCTTTTTTTTTTTTTTTTTAGCAGTGTCCCCTGGTAAAAACCAGGGGGTTGTTTCAGAATGAATCTGAGGTCCAGTTAACTGCAACATTCTCTTATTCTAGGATTCTGTTTTCAGGAACACAGATACTTTCAGACAAATGTTAAAAGGCTTGGTTAACATGGGAAATAGTTCCTCAAAACTTAGAGGTTAAAGTACTGTACTGTTAAAGAAGTTAAAGTACTGATTTTAAACTTTTCTAGAAATTTCTGGGAACAAGTAGTGTTTTTCAAGATTTCTTAGAGGGAAGAGACCTTTCTTCCCTACCAGCAGTCTGTCCATCCTTTCAGACAATCATTTTGGATTAAGGATATTTAAGTAAGTGGTTAGTGTGCTTCAGAATACCTGGGGTTTATTAAACACAGGTGTATGCATTGTCATATATTGTGAACATCTTTCCATGTTAATAAATATGCAACTAGGCCACCATTTTTACTTTAATTTTAAAATTATATATTATTGGCCAAGCGCAGTGGCTCACACCCATCATGTCAGCATTTTGGGAGGCCGAGGCTGGTGGATCACTTGAGGCCAAGAGTTCACGGCCAGCCTGGCCAACATGGTGAAACTCTGTCTCTACTAAAAATACAAAAATTAGCCAGCTGTGGTGGTGCACGCCTGTAGTTCCAGCTACTCAGGAGGCTGAGGCGTGAGAATTGCTTGAACCTGGGAGGCAGAGGCTTCAGTGAGCCAAGACTGCATCACTGTACTCCTGTCTGGGCAACAAAGACTCTGTCTCAAAAAAAAAAAAAAAGAAAAAATATACATTATTTATTACAGAAGTAATAACATCCTAGTATAAAAACCTCAGACGATTCAGGGCTGTATATTCCCCTATGCCAAAATATACTTTTCAATAGCTGCATAGTACTTTCTTATATAGAAAACACCATAATTTACTTAACCAGTCCCCTGTGAACATTTGGCCCTTAAGTTGCTTCCTTTTTGCTTTTCTTATAAATAATACTATACTGAAAATGCTGCACATAGACAATTGCACATTTCTCTGATTATTTCCTCATTTTAATACCCTTGTGATTATAGGGGTAATATACTGTATACAGTATTTATTATAGAAAATACAAAAATAATAAAAATACTTTTATCTGAGGCAATTAGGACCAGTAGATAGTCGATTAACTGAAAAAGTTGGTAAAGCAAAGAATCATAAAAAAAGAAATTTTATGAAAGACCCAGATGACTTCAAAGCTATTTGAATTGTTTCAGAGCATAAAAAGAGAAAATACCCAAGTTATTTTATAGGAAGCCAACGTAACATTGAAAACAGTGTGCAACAATGTTTGCACAGGAAAATTCTAGACAATCTCATTTATTAATATCAGTACAACAATCTAACATAAAATATTAGCAACCAGACTTCAACAGCACGTCAAAGGATAATAAAATTAACAATTAGAGTTTATTACAGGAATGCAATGACCATTCTTTTTTTTTTTTTTTTTTTGAGATAGAGTCTCACTCTTGTTGCCTAGGCTGGTGTGCGATGGCACAATCTCGGCTCACTGCACCCTCTGCCTCCTGGGTTCAAGCGATTCTCCTGCCTCAGCCTCCTGAGTAGCTGAGGTTACAGGCACCCACTACCACGCCTGGCTAATTTTTTGTATTTTTAGTAGAGATGGGGGTTTCACTATGTTGGCTAGGCTGGTCTCAAACTCCTGACCTCATGATCCGCCCGCCTCAACCTCCCAAAGTGCTGGGATTACAGATGTGAGCCACTGTGTCTAGCCAATGACCATTCTTTATTTTGAACTCTTTTATTACGACATGAGAAAATTAATATTATCTTTTCAGCAGGTACTAAGAAGGCATTTGATACAATCCAGTATTCATTCCTGGTGAAAACTTCGTAAACCAGCAGTAGGTGGATACTTTCGGCATGAGTAAATATATCTATCTTAGTCTAAAACCTAGCATTGAGCATAATGGAGAATGGAGGAACACCATATGTTTCCATTAAAGTCAGAAACAAGGCAAAGGTGTCCAGGCACACTGCAATTATTTAACATTATTCTGCAGATACTAGCTAATTCAATTAGATAAAAGAAACTAGGCATCAATTAAAAAAAGAGGAAGTGGCCAGGCGTGGTGATTCATGCCTGTAATCTTAGCACTAGTTGAGGTGGATGGATCACTTGAGCCCAGGAGTTCAAGACCAGCTTGAGCAACATGGCAAAACCCATCTCTACTAAACATAAGAAAACCGAGATGGGAAGATCACCTGAGCCCGGGGAGATTGAGGCTACAGTGAGCCATGATGCTGCCACCGCACTCCAGAGAGACACCATCTCAAAAAAAAAAAGTCACATAACCATCATTTGCAGATGATATCATGATATATCTGGAAAACTTAAAAAGAGTCATCTGAAAAATTATGTCAAACAATATGGGAAGTAATTTGGCTTGGTAAAAATAAATAAATACAGAGAAATAGTCTTTTACTTTTTGACAGAGTCTCACTCTGTCACCCAGGCTGGAGTGCAGTGGTGTGATCTTGGCTCACTGCAACCTCTGCCTCCCAGGTTCAAGCGATTCTTATGCCTCAACTTCCCAAGTAGCTGGGATTACAGACATGTGCCACCACACCTGGCTAATTTTTGTACTTTTAGTAGAGATTAGGTTTCACCATGTTGGCCAGGCTGGTCTCAAACTCCCGGCCTCAAGTGATTTGCCCGCCTTGGCCTCACAAAATGCTGGGATTACAGGTGTGAACCACCACACCTGGCCCAGAAATAGCCTTTTAAATACAAAAACAATAATCAGTGAGTAGATGGAATAGAGGATCCTACTTACATTGTAGCTGAAAAAGTAGATTAAGCTTAAGAGAAATATAGAAGTTCCAGTTCAAAAACATTTAAACCCTACTGAGAAATACAGGAGAGAATGTGAACAATTGGAAGGTTCTGCTTTTGAGTAGAAAGACTCATCATAATCATGTCAACTGTCTTTATTTTAATGCAATCTCAGTAAAAACTCTGTAAGGAGTTTTTTTTTTTTTTTTGAGACCAATTAAGGTGCCTCTCAAGTATTAAAGCATATTATTATATAAAACCAGAATAATTTATGTAGCACAGTGCTGACATATTATAGGCAGCTTGACAGAACAGGGTATAAAATCCTGAAATGCATATCAGACATCGTTTATGATATATACTGTTGTTTTGCAATATGATAACGGTGCATTTCAAATACAGAAGGAAAAAGTGGATTACTTAGTTAATGGAAGTGAGAAAAACCAGATACTCTCTGGAAATAAGTTGAATTCATATTTTACATCTTATACCAAAATACATTTCAGATGGGTCCAATATTTAAATACAGGAAGTAAAGAGAAGTAGAAGAAAATATGGAATGTTTTCATCATGAAATGGGGAAGAAATTTCTGAGCATAATATGAAACCCAGAAGAAAAGAAAAGAAAAATTTGATCAATTGGACTATATAATAATAAAATAATTCAATATGACAAAAACAACCATAAGGAAAGTGAAAATTCAAACAACAGACTGGGGGGAAGTATACAATTTCCATCATATATAAAGGTTTTATATTCCTTATATAAAAAACTCCTACAAACAGTGAACAATACCAACAACCAACAGAAAAATGAAAAAAAAAAAAAAGAGATGTGAACTGTAGAAGAAAAGCACAATAGGGTCTTAAGCATATGTAAAGATGCTCAATTACATACATAAGAAAGTATGAGAAAATACAAACTATAAAGTAGTAACATTTTACATGCCAATTTGGCAAATCTCAAAAGTTTGCTAACATGCTGTGTAGGTGAAAGTGAGAGAAAAATAAACAGTATTACAACATACTGAATGGAGTGTAAATTGGCACAATGATTATGAAGAGTAATTTTGCAATATCCATCAAGATTATAGATATAAATATACTTTCACCCAGCAATTCACTTCTGGGAATTTAGCCAACAATAGCTCTCACATGTGCAAATAGCACATATTATTATGGCAAAATTATTCATGGTAGCTTTATTTGTAATTGTGAAAGACTGGAAACAATCCAAATGTTCAACAATAGAAGTTTGGTTACAATGTTTTTGGTTACTGTTTCTTTTTTTAAATAATGGAAAAATATTGTGCAACTATTCAGAAAGAGAAATATAGTGGTTTGAACTGTCCTCTAAGAGAGTAGAGTGAGTTGCAGAACCATTTGTGTAAAACAAAGAAGGAAATAAATATATTGATTTTTTTGCTTATTTATGCATAAAATATTTCTGAAAGGATATCCAAATACTTTAGTTAGCTGGGGCTGCCATAACAAAATACCATAGTCTAAGTGGTGTAAACAACAAAAATTTATCTTCTCACAGTTCTGGTGGCTGGAAGTCCAAAATCAGGGTGCCAGCATGGTTGGGTTCTGTTGAGGGGGAGAGAGTATGAAAGCTCTTCAGTGTCTTTTCTTCTTCTTTCTTCTTGTTCTTGTTCTTCTTGTTCTTGTTCTTCTTGTTCTTGTTCTTCTTGTTCTTGTTCTTGTTCTTCTTCTTCTTCTTCTTCTTCTTCTTCTTCTTCTTCTTCTTCTTCTTCTTCTTCTTCTTCTTCTTCTCCTTCTCCTTCTCCTTCTCCTTCTCCTTCTCCTCCTCCTCCTCCTCTTATTCTTCTTCTTTTCTGAGATGGAGTCTTGCTCTGTCACTCAGGCTGGAGTGCAGTGGCGCAATCTTGGCTCACTGCAACCTCCGTCTCCCGGGTTCAAGCAATTCTCGTTCCTCAGCCTCCTGAGTAAGCTGGGATTACAGGCGTGTGCCACCACACCCGGCTATTCTTTTGGTATTTTTATTAGAGACCAAGTTTCACCATGTTGGCCCGGCTAGTCTGGAACTCCTGACTTCAGGTGATCTGCCTGCCTCCGCCTCCTAAAGTGCTAGGATTACAGGCGTGAGCCACTGCACTCGGCCCAGTATCCCTTCTTCCAAAGGTACTAATCCCATCATGAGGGTCTCACCCTCATCAGCTCATCCAAACCTAATTACCACCCAAAGCCTTCATCTCCAAACACCATCACACTGTGAATTAGGGCTTCAACATATTAATTTGAGGAGGACACAATTCAGTCCACAGTACCAAGTTATTTGATCATAGTAGTTGCTGCTGGGCCCAGGGAAGAAAGCAAGATGTAGGAGAATAGAATTGGAAAGGTGATTTTTCATTGTTTGCTCTTTGTACCTCTGTAATTCTCTATCTGATATCAACCGAGTGTCCAACAATTCAATTCAATTCTGACCCACTGTGTCACTGACCACATGTTCTTGGACTCTCCATAGAAAGTAACATGAGGCTGAAAGAGTTTTTCCAGATAAGACTTCATTGGAGCTTATGCCCAGACAGGAAGGCAGCATGAGAGAGAGAGAGAGAGAGACACTGGGGTAGATTATGCAGGTTGAAGGGTAGGGTATGCAGGTCAGCATTATCTGCTTAGGATGGTTATCTTGTGTAATGGACCACCTGGTGGTCTGGCCAGCAGCAACAAGGCTGTAATCCATTGTTCAGCATTCCTTCCCAGGTGGGACACTCCACAACCTTGGTTTGATGTGTAGATTTCCTAAGGGCAATTCCTAGAATTCTTTAAGTAAAAGGCATAGTTAAACATTATGTAGGAGGAGCCACATCCCATTCCTATTCTACCTCATATATACTTAGGGTTACTGTCAGATTCCATAAGTTAAAGAGCTCAGCCCCACAAAACCGCCTCAACTTCAGATGCTGGTCTTAAGTCATGGGCCACTCATACTTTTTTTTTTTGAGATGGAGTCTCTCTCTGTCGCCCAGGCTGGAGTGCAGTGGCACGATCTCAGCTCACTGCAACCTCCGCCTCCCGGGTTCAAGCGATTTGTCTGCCTCAGACTCTCGAGTAGCTGGGATTACAAGCATGCACCACCATGCCCAGCTAATTTTTGCATTTTTAGTAGAGACAGGGTTTCACCATATTAGCCAGGCTGGTCTTGAACTCCTGACCTCATGATCCGCCCATCTCAGCCTCCCAAAGTGCTGGCATGAGCCACTGCGCCTGGCCCCATACTTCTGACTAGCTATAGATTGGTGATTCCCATGAATCCCTCCTCATTTTGAGTATTTTGCTAGAATGTCCCCCAGAACTCAAGAAATCATTTTACTTATGTTTACCAGTTTTTTATAAAGGACACAAGTGAACAGCCAGAGGAAGAGGTACAGAGGGTAGGACCCAGCAGGGTCCCAAGAGCAGAGGCTTCTGTCCTGTGGAGTTGGAGCCAGCCACCCTCCCAGCGTGGGTTGGATGTGTTCACCAGCCCAGGAGCTCTCCAAACCCTGTTGTTAAGGGGTTTTTATGGAGTTTCTTACATAGGCATGATTGATTAAATCACTGGCCAATGGTGATCCGATTCAATTTCCAGCCCCTTTTCCCTTTCTAGAGGTTGGAGAGTGAAGGTTCCAATCATCTAATCAAGACTTGGTCTTTCAGGAGAAGGGCCCCTATCCTCAAGCTATCCAGAGGTCCTCCAGGAGTCACTTTATTAGCATAAACTCAGGTACAGTTGAAAGGGGCTTGTTATGAACAGTAAAAGATGCTCCAATTTTCCCTATCACAGAGGAAAACTCCAAGTGTTTTAGGAGCTCTGTGTCATGAACCAGGGACAAAGACTCAGTATATATTTTCTATTATATTTTACCACAGTGTTAAGGAAAAGGGGTCCTGATCTACACCCAAAGGGAGGGTTCTTGAATCTCATGAAAGAAAGAATTCAAGGTGAATCCATACAGTGAAGTAAAAGTAAGTTTATTAAGAAAGTAAAGGAATAAAAGAATGGCTACTCCATAGGCAGAACAACCCTTGGGGCTGCTGGTTGCCCATTTTTATGGTTATTTCTTGATTATATGATAAACAAGGAATGAATTATTCATGAGTTTTCCGGGGAAAGGAGTGGCAATTCCTGGAACTGAGGGTTCTTCCCCATTTTGGACCATATAGGGCAACTTCCTCATGTTGCTATGGCATTTATAAACTGTTATGGCACTAGTGGGAGTGTCTTTTAGCTTGCTAATACATTATAATTAGTGTATAATGAGCAGTGAGGACAACTAGAGGTCACTTTCATCACCATCTTGGTTTTGGTGGGATGTAGTTGGCTTTACCACATTATTTTTTCAGCAAGGTCTTTATGACCTGTACCTTGTGCAGACCTTCTATCTCATCCTGTGACTAAGAATGACTAACCTCCTGGGAATGCAGCCCAGTAGGTCTCAGCCTTATTTTAACCAGCCTTTATTTGAGATGGAGTTGCTCTGGTTTGAATGCCTCTGACAACAGTACCTTTTGAATTTTGACCTATGTATACAAACACACACACACACACACACAAACACAGAAGTATTAATACTGAGTAATACTGAGAGTTGGGGGGATGCTCAGAAAGACTGAGTTACCCAAGTTCACATAATTTGCCATGGTCAGAGATGGACCTCAGGTTTCCTTACTTCTGTTTGAAGGTTTTTTCCAATATGCTGTGATTACTTTCTCATCTCTTTGAAGATGTTTACTGCTTTCATGACTTCAGAATGTCTGAGTATTCTAGTTTTCAATATCTAAAGGGGAATCCTTTAGATTTAGGGGCATGGGGGCCACTTGTGGGAGGTCAATGATATTTCCTCACACATTAATGCAATTTTTCTCCAATATTCAATGCAAGATATGGTATATAGAGAGGCAACCATGTATATCATGCAAATTGAGAAAGACTTGGAAACTGTCCCATCCAAAAGTACTCATCTATTAATCTGCTCAAAGAAATATGAAAGAAAACTTAGAAGAAATCCCACTACTGTGTAGTATCTCTTAAGTAAATTGCAAATATTTCTAGGAGAAGTGCTCTTGAAATGGGAGAGTTCCCTGACCACCCTTAAAGGACATGCAACAGGGGTATGGCTCATGTGTTTGGTCACCACACACTCAAACCCCTAACAGGAGTGGGAGCACACAGCAGGGCAGGCACAGGAGCTGGGGCGAGTGCTTTGAGGCTCCAGCCCCATAGCAGCATCTGGAGTGGGTGCCTGTGACTCCCAAAACCCAAGTGGGCATGGCATGTGTTACAGTGCACTCTTTTAGCTTTGATGTCCACAGATGGTGTAAGTGTTAACCAGCTCAGTGGATCCTCTGCCTTTTTGCAAGGGCAGAGGGCCAGTGTGACAGCTTACTGTATCCCAAGCTCCTGTCTAACATCCCAGAAGAATCAGGTCACACATGGACTTGAAGGGTAGTGAATGTGGGGGTTTTATCGGGTGGTAGAGGTGGATCTCAGTGGGATGGATGGGGAGCTAGAAGGGAGATGGTGTGGGAAGATGATCTTCCCTTGGAGTTTAGATGCTCTTTCTCTTCTCTGCCACATCATTCTGCTGTTCTTCTGCTCTTCTGTTCATCTTCTCATCTCCTTGTCTGCTCATCTGCTTCTGGAACCTGAGGTCTGTGGTTTATATGGGTACAGGATAGGGGGGTCAAAAGACAACTTTTGGGGCATGAAAACAGGAATGCCTGTTCCCATTTAGGGCCATGAGTATCCAGGCTTGAGGATGGGGCCTTTGCTGGGGAACCACCCTCTTCTACCCAGTATTTCTCTGTCTCCTGTCCATATCACTCTTACACTGTCAACAACTATTATTAACTCCTGAAAAAATGAATTTATCAGATTCCTACTTGCAGGTCAGATTCTAACAGCAGGCTCCTACAGAAATGGGACAAGTGGTTGATGAAGAGTCAAATTCTGTAAAATATTTTAAGAGATTTATTTTGAGCCAACTTTGAGTGACCATAGCCTATGAAGGAGCCCTCAGGAGGTCCTGAGAACATGTGCCTGAGATGATTAGGCTGCAGCTTGGTTTTATATATTTTAAGGAGACATGAGACTTCAATCAAATTCATTTAAGAAATACATTGGAGGCCAGGTGCTGTGGTTCATGCCTGTAATCCCAGAACTTTGGGAGGCTGAGGTGGGTGGATTACCTGAGGTCAGGAGTTCGAGGCCAGCCTGGCCAAATGGTGAAACCCTCTCTACTAAAAATACAAAAATTAGCTGGGTGTGGTGGTGTGTGCCTGTAATCCTGGCTCCTCAGGCTGAAGCACAACAATCGCTTGAACCCAGGAGGTGGAGGTTGCAGTGAGCCGAGATTGCGCCACTGCACACTCCAGCCTGGGCAACAACGTGAGACTCTGTCTCAAAAAAAAAAAAAAAAAAAAAAAAGAAATACATTGGTTTGGTCCTGAAAGGTAGGACAACTTGAAGCAGGGGTTTCCAGCTTATAAGTAGATTTTAAAATTTTCTGGTTGGCAGTTGGTTGAGTTTATCTAAAGACCTGGGATCAATAGAAAATAATGTTTGGATTAAGATAACAGGTTGTGGAGGCCAAATTTCTTATTGGCAGAGGAAGCCTGCAGGTAGTCGGCTTCAGAGAGAATAGGTTGTAAAATGTTTCTTATGTGACTTAAAGTCTGTGTTGATGTTAATGCTGGAGAGGTATAATGAGCCATGTCCAACCACTACTTCCCATCATGGCCTGAAACAATCTCTCAGGGTAAATTTTAAAAGAGCCCTGGCTGAGTAGGAAGTCCATTCAAGTGGCTGGGGGGTCTTGGAATTTTTTTTTTTTTTTGGTTTACAAAGGGATAATAAATTTTGATTTAAAAAACAAAGCACCTGAGGGGTGGGCTCAGTGGCTGATGCCTATAATTTCAGCATTTTGGGAGGCCAAGGTGGGAGGATCACTTGAGGTCGGCAGTTTGAGACCAGTCTGTGCAACATAGGGAGACCTTGTCTCTACACACACACACACACACACACACACACACACACACACACATGATCTGAGGATCTTTGTTTTTTTCTTCAAAGACAGGGTCTTACTATGTTACCCAGGTTGGATTTGAACTTCTGGACTCAAGGGATCTTCCCATTTCAGCCTTCCAAGTAGATAAGACTATAGGCATGTGCCACCACACGCATTCTCTCGGTTTTGTCATCTGTAAAACGAGTGAGCTGGACCAGTGTGTCCTCAGATTTCCTTCCTTCAGAGCTCTGTTCTGGCTAAATGATTTTTCAAATCCCTTATCTCACTTGCATCCCATGGAAAACCTGGGAAGGGCAGGAAGGACAGGGGAGACTATTTTTCTTACTTGTCAGATAAGGAAGCCAAGATTCAAGAGTTCCATGATCACCAGCTATCTTAATCCATTTGAGCTGTTATGACAAAATGCCACAGACTGGGTAACTTATAAAAAATCAGAATTTATTTCTCACTGTTCTTGAGGCTAGGAATTCAAAGATCAAGGTGGCAGCTGATGAGGTCTCAGTTCCTCTGCTTCCAAGAAGGCACCTTGGGGCAGTATCCTACAGAGGGGATGAATGCTGTCCCCTCACATAGTGGAAGAGAGAAGAACAAAAAAGGACTGAGTGCTACATGGAGCCTCAGGGCTTTAATCCCATTCACAAAAAATAATCACGTCTTAAATGCCACACCTCTCAATACTATCACAAGAACCATTACGTTTCAACACATGAATTTTGGAGGAGATCACTCAAACCATAGCACCAGGCAAGGAGCCTGTTTAGCATGGGCACTTAACTCCAAGTTTAGTGGCCTTTCCACTGTCTCATACACATTCATTCGTCTTTTGAGTACAAGGTATTATGCTGCGTGCTGGGGATGCAAAACCAAAAAGATAAGCCTCCTGCCCTCCAGGGGCTGACAGTGGCTGGAGAAAATGAATGCTTACAGAGCCTCATGGTCAGCTCCCTGCTGGAAACAGAGATGGAGGAAGGAGGACAAACAGTATCGGGGACAGAGCAAGTTTCCTGGAAAAGGCCCATCACTGAAGCTGAACGAGGAAGGATGAATAGGTATTTGGTATAAAGAAAGGGAAGGCCTGTGCTCTCAGGAGACAATATTTCATCCTTAAGTGGGATACTTAGGGTGCCATGTCAGTTGTCTGTGGTAGACTGGGAGACAGAAACTTTTGGGTAGAGGGATCTTTCAACCCTTTTTGGTTAAGATTGTTTGTCACTGCTGAGACCAGCTCAGTCAGGGAGACCCTAACCCAGTGGCGCTAGAAGAATTAAAGACACACACACAGAAATACAGAGGTGTGAAGTGGGAAATCAGGGGTCTCACAGCCTTCAGAGCTGAAAGCCCAGAACAGAGATTTACCCACATATTTATTAACAGCAAACCAGTCATTAGCATTGTTTCTATAGATATTAAATTAACTAAAAGTATCCCTTATGGGAAACAAAGGGATGGGCCAAATTAAAATAATAGGTTGGACTAGTTAACTGCAGCAGGAGCATGTCCTTAAGGCACAGATCGCTCATGCTGTTGTTTGAGGCTTAAGAATACCTTTAAGTGGTCCGCCCTGGGTGGGCCAGGTGTTCCTTGCCGTCATTCCCACAAACCCACAACCTTCCAGGGTGGGTGTTAGGGCCATTATGAACATGTTACAGTGCTGCAGATATTTTGTTTATGGCCAGTTTTGGGGCCAGTTTATGGCCAGATTTTGAGGGGCCTGCTACTAACATGTCCCCCTTCTCTGATGTGCAAATCAATAAACTCAAAGGCAGCTTTGTCACAGTGAGCTACTTCTTGCAGGAGTCAGGATCCACATCTGCAGACTATACAAAGACAAACAACACAGATTAAAAGCACAATCATCATTGAAATCACAGAGCTTCCAAGTGTTTTTATCAATTTTCAGCTCCTTGAAGCACACCAGTTCCTGGCATTAAGGTCAGGTGTGCCTGGGATGCTTTAAATATTTGTTCTTTTAATTTTAAATCCTTACGCTAAGCTCCTAGAGTGGGCCATATCTTTTGAGGTTGAGGTGCCACTATACTGCCATGGTTCCAGATAATAGGAACTCTTGCTATACTTATTATTATATCTACCATCTGACCGTTTTGTTCAGACCAGCTGAACATAGTGTGGCCATGGCACACAGACTGAGAGGTGCAATTTGAGCTAAACATCCCCTTAGGGGACCAACTACTAATGATTCCATAGGAATCGTTGTGCAACACCTCTGCCTGTTCTGCAATGCAATCTTCCTAAACAAGTATGTTCATTTTTTCTAACTGGGTCCAATCCTGTTTACAAATAGGTTTTTGAGGGCAGTATGCCTCAATTATAGGAGCAGATTGATTATGGTAAATACTGAGATCAGAAAGCATGTGTAACTGTGTCATAAAGTGATTGCATCCAGGCATTATTGCCAGCCAAGATTGATAAATAGACCCAGTAAGTATAATTGTTCTCTGTGTCACCCCTTATTGAAGGAATACTCATGACAGTGGTGATAACCACTATCATAGCTACCATTAAATTATTCATTGTGACTGGTTGTCCCGCTTTCCTCAAGTTTTCTTCCGCCATCTGTGACAGCTTCTTGATCTGTCCCCAGGTGGGTGACTGTGTTCAACGGGAGTTACTCATTGACAGTTGGGGTCCTCCTCAGCGTCAGCCTTGACATGGCTGCAACTGGGGGGTCCTTGGGATCCTCCCGAAATCTCTTCCTCAGCATCTGGCTCATGATAAGGTTTTGAGTGTCTTGATGGTATCCAAATTTGCTGTTGATTTTGGCCTGTACCCCAAGTTATTATTTTACCTATTTCCCAACTTTTTGTTATCAGATCTCTCCACCAAATCAGTTGTTCTGCTTCTGTCTTTGCAGCTGGTTTCTGTAGATGCTGTTCAGTTGCTGATGACATCTGGCCTTTGGGCAGGCTCAAAAAATTTAAAATTAATAATGCTAGGTTCAGTTGCATCTGTGGGGGTTCCATATTGTCTGTCTTCCCCTTTCTGCTTTTGCAACTTCTGTTTTAGGGAGAGATTCATTCTTTCCACTATGGCTTGTCCTTGAGAATTGTATGGGATACCAGTAATGTGTTTAATATTCCACATAGAGAAAAATGTAGCTAGAGCTTGGCTAGTATGGCCTGGGGTATTATCTGTTTTAGTAGAAGCTGGAATGCCCATCACCGCAAAACACTGCAAAAGATGACATTTAACACAGGCAGAAGACTCTCCTGGCTGGCATGTAGCTCAGACAAAGTGAGAAAAGGTGTCCACACATACATGTACATAAGCTAGTCTCCCAAACAAGGGAATATGTGTGACATCCATTTGCCAAAGTGAATTAGGTTCCAGTCCTCGAGGATTAACTCCTCCTCTAAAAGATGAGGAATGTACCATTTGGCAAGTTGGGCATCGCTGGATAATATTTTTAGCTTCTTTCCAGGTAATGCTGTATCTGTGTTTGAGACCAGAGGCATTAACATGGGTTAAATTGTGAAAGTGTCTAGCATTAGATATTGCATTAGCAACTAGGTGATCAGCCATTTGATTCCCTTCAGTCAAAGGTCCTGGAAGAGGTGTATGAGCCCTAATGTGAGTGATATAAAAAAGGTGCATTCTACTCCTAACTGCTGTTTGCAATTGGGTAAATAAAGTCATCAGTTGTTCATCTGTATGAAATCATAACTGAGCATTTTCAATTAATTGTGTGGAGTGAACTACGTATGAAGAATCAGAAATCACATTAATAGGCATATCAAAAGCAGTCAATACCTCAATTACTGCTACAAGCTCTGCTTTTTGAGCTGAAATATAGGGCATCTGGAACACTTTACTTTTTGATCCAGAATAAGAAGTTTTGCTATTAGTAGACCCATCTGTAAAAACATTTTCAGCACCTTCAATTGGTTTAAATTTAGTTATTTTAGGGAGAATCCAATTAGTTAATTTCAAAAACTGAAACAGCTTCTTTTTAGGAAAGTGATTATCAACAATACCCACAAAGTCAGCTAAATGGGTTTGCCAAGTAAGACTAATTATAAAAGCTTGCTGTATTTGTGCCTTCATGAGAGGGATAATAATTTTTCCAGGATTATATCCATGTAATTTAACAATACAATTTCTCCCAATCCCTATCATAGTAGCGATTTGATCTAAATAAGGAGTTAGAGTCCATGAATTAGTATGTGGAAGAAAAAGTCACTTTACTAAGTCCTGTTCTTGGACGAAAACACTAGTAGGTGAATACTGAGTTGAAAAAAATAGCAAGTCTAGAGTCTTCTCTGAATCTATTCTATTTATTTGAGCTTTATGGACTTGCTTCTCAATCAGTTGTAACTCTGCCTCAGCCTCCTTTGTTAATTGCCGAGGGCTAGTGAGACTAGGATTTCCTCTAAGGATAGAAAACAGATTACTCATGGCATAGGTAGGAATGCCTAGAGCAGGTCGTATCCAATTAATATCCCCTAGTAATTTTTGAAAGTCATTTAATGTTTTCAGTTGATCCCTACGTATGGTTACTTTCTGTGGCACAATGGTAGTGTCATTTACTAAGGTCCCCAAGTAGGAGTAAGGAGTAGTAGTCTGAATTTTGCCAGGAGCTATAATTAAACCAGCATGAGAAATCGAATTTTGCAAGTGATCATAACATTGGAGTAATATTTCCTGAGTGGGGGCAGCACAAAGTATATATCATCCATATAGTGAATAATTTAACACTGTGAAAATTTTTTATGAGTAGGTTCAATTGCTTGCCCCACATAGGCCTGGCAAATTGTGGGACTGTTTAACATGCCCTGTGACAACACTTTCCAATAAAAACGCTTAGCAGGCTGCAGGTTGTTTACTGCAGGAATTGTAAATGCAAACCATTCACAGTCTTGCTCAGCTAAGGGGATAGTAAAGAAACAGTCTTTTAAATCTATGACTATTAAAGGCCAATTTTTTGGAATTATAGCAGAAGAAGGCAATCCTGGCTGTAATGCTCCCATAGGTTGTATAACTGAATTGATAGCTCTTAAGTCAGTTAACATTCTCCATTTACCTGATTTTTTCTTAATTACAAAAACTAGAGAATTCCAAGGGGAAAATGTTGGAGCTGTGTGCCCATTTTCTAATTGTTCAGTAACTAATTTCTCTAAAGCCTCCAGTTTCTCTTTACTTAGCAGCCATTGTTCTATCCAAATTGGCTTATCTGTTAACCATTTTAAAGGTATAGATTCTGGAGGCTTAACAATGGCAACCATCAAAACTTATTTCCTAATCTTTGGCAGGAACTTTGATTTTCCGCTTGAAGTGGTTCTTTCAAACCTTGCAAATTTTTTTCTAGTCCCATACAAGGGACATACCCCATTTCATCCATTGTATGTTGACTTCAAGGGCTATATAATTGTTCTGGAATTATAACTTGTGTTCCCCATTGTTGTAATAAATCTCTTCCCCATAAATTTATAGGTACAGAAGTTATAATTGGTTGAATAGTCCCAGGTTGTCCATCGGGCCCTTCACAATGCAAAATATAACCACTTGGATATACTTCAGGGGCTTTACCAACTCTACCTATGTTAAATTGAGTGGGTTGAATTCGCCACGTGGACAGCCAGTGCTGCAGAGAAATGATCGAAATGTCCACTCCTGTATCTACCAAACCTTTAAATTTCTTTCCCTGAATGGTTGTTTCACAGGTAGGATGTTTATCAGTAATTTGATTTACCCAATAAGCTGCTTTGCCTTGTTTATTTGTGCTTCCAAATCCTCCTGTTCGTTTAATTTCACTTTTTCCCATTCCCACATATGGCACGATCAGGAGCTGTGCTATGCGCTCTCCCGGCTCTGCTTTCCAGGAAACAGAAGTAGATATAACAATTTGAATTTCCCCATTGTAATTTGAATCAATGACTCCTGTATGTATTTGTATCCCTTTTAAACCTAAACTAGACCTTCCTAAAAGTAATCCTATTGTCCCTGCTGGCAAGGGTCCACAGACTCCTGTTGGGACCTTTTGCAGGGGTTCCCCAGGTAGAAGGCTCACAGCTTTTGTGCAGCATAAATCTACTGTGGCACTACTGGCTGTGGAGAGGGACAGACATTGTACAGGGGTGAGGGAATGGCCTGAGCTGGAAATGCCCCAGTTTAGAATGGGGCCCAGGATGGGCCCCTCATGGCGTTTCCCGAAATTGGGTTCCCTTCTTTATCAAACTTAGAGTGACACTGATTAGCCCAATGTTTTCACTTTTTACATTTTGGACATATTTCAGGATCAGCAGTTTTCTTTTCTCCCCTGTCTGACGGCCTGACTCGCTGATTTTTTCTACATTCTTTTTTAGTATGACCATGCTTCCCACAGTTAAAACAAGCTCCAGGAAATGGAGTATTTCCTTTATCCACTCTCAGTCCTGCCATTGCATGTGCTAGCAGAGTAGCTTTATGCAGATTACCTCTGATGCCATCACAGGCCTTGATATAATCAACTAAATGTGCTTTCCCTCTGATAGGTCGCAGAGCAGCCTGGCAATTGGGATTAGCATTGTCGAAAGCTAATAACTGCAGCACTATATCCTGAGCAGCCAAATCTGCGATCATCTTTCGAAGAGACTCCTGAAACCGAGCTATAAAATTAATGTATGGTTCTCTTGGTCCC
Organism: Homo sapiens; assembly: GCF_000001405.40. Lineage (NCBI taxonomy): Eukaryota > Metazoa > Chordata > Mammalia > Primates > Hominidae > Homo > Homo sapiens. The sequence continues at coordinate 110,500,647 of NC_000006.12, read as the reverse complement.
TGTTTTATAGCACTAAAGGAAAGGTATTGTTCTCCACCTGAAGTGATTTTTTCCCAAGCTCTAATGCATACTCCTCTAAGCTGCTCTATGGCATCATCCTGCATGACCACTTGTGCATGTAAACCAGCCCAGCCACCAACCCCTAAAAGTTGGTCTGCAGTTATATTAATTTGAGGTTGGGCCTGGGCATTGTGAGCAGCCTGAATGGTAGCTTCACCTGTCCACCAAGTTTTAAATTGTAAGAACTGAGCAAGAGTTAGACAAGCTCAAGTAAGAGCGTCTCAGTCAGTAGGAATCATCTGACTGGAAACAGCAACATTCTTTAACAGTTCCATTAAAAAAGGAGAACGTGGTCCATACTGATTTATAGCTTGTTTAAATTCTTTGAGTAATTTAAAAGGAAAAGGCTCAAATGTAGCTATAATATTTCCCTGTTGATCTGGGGGCTGTATTCTAACAGGGAACTGCCAAGCCTCTAAATCACCCTCTCGTCTAGCTTACTGGATTCCTGCCTGAATAGAACTAAGAGTGGTTGCTCAAGGCGCTGCTCGAACAGTCACTGGGGCAACTAATTTTTGCCCAGTGTCCTCTGGAAAAGAAAGATCTGGAGGGTCATTTTCTTCAAAATAATAAGGAGGGGGTGCAGAAGGGTAGGGATGAACCTCTCCCTCCTTTGCCACTTTAGCTTTAGCTGGTAAATAAACATGCTCTGTAACCTCTTCTGTTACTTCGCTATACTCTATACTCTTGTTCCTCCTCATCATCAGTGTGAAAAAGTTCCAAGGTGAAACCAACCAGACCCCACATCTGTCCCATTGTTACCCTGACGCTTCTGAGCTCCCCTTCTTACTCACCACGGTGATTGCTTTAAGAGTACTCGGGTATCCTCCAGCTAGTTTTCCATTCCAACTGTCGCTCTGGTGACCCTTTGACCTAGATTTGAGCCCCCACGATGGATGCCACTTGCTGAGACCAGCTCGGTCGAGGAGACCCTAACCCAGTGGCAATAGAGGAATTAAAGACAAACACAGAAATATAGAGGTGTGAAGTGGGAAATCAGGGGTCTCACAGCCTTCAGAGCTGAGAGCCCAGAACAGAGATTTACCCACATATTTATTAACAGCAAACCAGTCATTAGCATTGTTTCTATAGATATTAAATTAACTAAAAGTATCCCTTATGGGAAACGAAGGGATGGGTTGAATTAAAGGAGTAGGTTGGGCTAGTTAACTGCAGCAGGAGCCTGTCCTTAAGGCACAGATCGCTCATGCTATTGTTTGTGGCTTAAGAATGACTTTAAGCGGTTTTCCGCCCTGGGTGGGCCAGGTGTTCCTTGCCCTCATTCCCGTAAACCTACAACCTTCCAGTGTGGGCATTAGGGCCATTATGAACATGTTACAGTGCTGCAGATATTTTGTTTATGGCCAGTTTTGGGGCCAGTTTATGGCCAGATTTTGGGGGGCCTGCTCCCAACTGTCACTACCCTATTAATGTCTTTATCAGATTTTCAGAGTCATAGGCACCTTCTAACTTGCTGTTCTGCCATCCCCTATGTGGTCTTTATGCAAGAGGCTATGTTGTGAAAGATTGAAGCTGGCAGACAAATAATAGGCCATGCCATAACTACTTCTTTGGGTGGTTTATAGTCGGTTTTACTTCCCAGATTATGAAGAGGGGGATTAGCATTCCTCTTGAGATTGTCAAAAGACTCAGTAACACACCCAAGTTTCAAAGGCGAAACACAAGAGCAAATTTTCATCACTGCTTTAAAAAAATGTATTGTGGCCTCTGCCTGGGCTGAGGGCTCCGTGGAGCAGGGACAGGTTGCTTCCAGGTAGCTTCAGTGCATCACATTCCGCAACCGTCTGCTTCACACCCCAGCCCCTTAAGAAATACACTTTGGAAGCAGAGCTCGAAAAATTTCTCTGTTGCCTTCCTCAGACCTGCTCCTTATTTTTTTGATAACTTTGGTCAGTGTCACTGTGGGAAGCAGCTAGCTATCTCGAAGGTGTTAGTTGTTATTCTTCAGCTCACTCACAGACCTGTAAACACACACACACACACACACACACAGATGCACACACACCTTTCACCTCTCTACTGATGCTGGCAGAACCCATCTTCTGCTACATTCTTTGCATTTCTAACATCAACATGTTATAACACTCAAGGTTCCTAGGCCAAAATTTTATCCATTTCATGTTCTTTGAAAGAGACTGATAGTAGGTATTCCAGGTCTTTTGCACATTCTACAGATCCCCTGTTTGTTTCTTTTTTTTATGCTAAGAGGGAAAACATTTCATTCACTGGAACCTTTCTTAATTCACTGCATTTGTTTAGGAACCAATCCTTTCAAAACTGCTCCAGGTAGAGCCCTCAGCAGGTGTGCACGTGAAATACATCAGAGAAAGACTGTGCTGTCCAGGATAAGAGGGAAACATGCATCATTTTGAAAGAGAGTGGGGAGGGAGGGAAAGGCGGAAAAGAGGGAGGAGGAAAGAGAGAAGCTGGAAAGGTCAGACCACCATCCTGTCAGATACTCAGGCTTGTAACCTCCTCTCCCCTCCTCACGTTTATTTGCTGACCCCAGGGAGTAGGTTCCCATAGCCTGTCATTCTTCTCCATCATTGAGTGAAGCCCTTTATTCTGTATCTACTATCATCTCTTTAACCTGGATGGTGAATACTAGGCTCCCAGAGAATCTTTCTGCCATCAGCTTCTCCACCCTCCTCCACTCTCTGCTACACCCCATTATCAGACCAATCTTCTGACAGCACCACTCTGGACAAAAACTTCAGTAAGCTCCCCACTGTCCATTAACTAAAGCTCAGTAGTCTTGGCCTAGAATTCAAGGCTCCCCTCCTCCTTGTGGCCCCAACTTTATTGACTTATCACAAGCCAGGTACTCTGTTAAAAGCATCTAAATGTTAATTTGTCCATCTAAAATCCCTTTCCAGGAATGTGCTTTCTCCCCCACTTCCTCTCCCAGTCTCTGAAGTGTTGCGCTGCTATTGATGAGAGATGAGCATATGATGCAGGCCAGCCAGTCAGAGCATTTCACGGCCTGGCTACAGGCCAGCCAATCAGAACCCTTCACAGCCTGGCCATGGGCCAGCCAATGAGAGCTTTTCACAGCCTGGCCACAGGCCAGCCAATCCGAGCATTCTACTCTCTGCCGCCCCACCGCCACTCTCAGCTTTCTTTCTTTTTTTTTTTTTTTTTTTTTTGAGATGGAGTCTTGCTCTATCGCCCAGGCTGGAGTGCAGTGGTACTATCTTGGCTCACTGAAACCTCTGCTTCCTGGGTTCAAGCTGGTCTCCTGTCCCAGCCTCCAGAGTAGCTGAGATTACAGGCAAGTGCCACCACGCCTGGTTAATTTTTGTATTTTTAGTGGAGACAGGGTTTCGCCATGTTGGTCAGGCTGGCCTCGAACTCCTAACCTCAGGTGATCTTCTTGCCTCAGCGTCTCAAAGTGCTGGGATAACAGGCTTGAGCCACCGCGCCCGGCCCCATCCTTAGCTTTCTGAAATGTGATGTGTAGGTGTGGTGGAGAGGGGGCTTCTCTCTTCTGGGTTTGAAATCTACACAGAGAAGCAGAGAGGAGAAGTGATGGAGAATGAGAGAGAAAGGGAGACCTGATGACACTGTCTCTCTGGATCCCATGGCACGTGGGGCTTGTTCCACCTCTGGACTTTTCCCAGAGTGAGTCAAAAACGTCCCTTGTTTTCTTCGGCCTGTTTGAGTTGGGTTTGCTGTTACTTGCAGCTGAAGCCATGAAGAAAGTGTCGGAGGCGAGCGACGACTATCTGGACAGGTGGCGGGGAGATAAAAGAATTTACCAAGACAGGCCGGGTGCGGTGGCTTACGCCTGTAATCCCAGCAGTTTGGGAGGCTGAGGCGGGCGGATCACCCGAGGTCAGGAGTTGGCGACCAGCCTGACCAACGTGGAGAAACCCTGCTTCTTTAAAAATTCAAAATTAGCCAGGCATGGTGGCGCATGCCTGTAATCACAGCTACTCGGGAGGCTGAGGCAGTAGAATCGCTTCAAGCCGGGAGGCGGAGGTTGCTCTGAGCTGAGGTTGCGCCATTGCACTCCAGCCTGGACAACAAGAGTGAAACTCCGTCTCAAAAAAAAAAAAAAAAAAATTTACCAAGGCAGTTGTAGGTAGAAAAAGGCAGATTCATTAGAGAAAGTATGAAAATACCTTTCCAGGAAGCAACGGGCAGGCTCAGCAGAAGAGGCGCTGACTGCAAAGAAACAAAGGCTTGCTGGAGGTTTTATAGGTTGGTTCTGAGGCTGCAGAGTGTCTCATTCAGTACTGATTAACGCCAAGGTTGCAGGGAGCTAACTTGCATTTTTTCGTATCAGCTGAAGGTCTGGTGATAGCTCGGTGTAGGAAGATTGTGAGTTATTTGTGTAGGAGGGCTGTGTGTCCTGGAGCATATAGAAAGGCAGACTTGTAGCTTATCTGCTTCTTCTTTTTGCTTTCCCTTGCTCCCACCAGCCTGACTCCCTTTCCCTAATTAGGACGCCAGAGAGAGCACTTAAGAGGGCCTATGTCATTTGATCCTCATGACCACCATGAGGCAAGACTGTTAGTTCACCATTTTGATGGGGAAGTGACACCTGAGAGATAAGCCAGTGCCCAAGGCCTCACAGTTTTTAAGTGGTAGAGACAGAATTTACAGCCAGGCCTCTGACTCCGAGGCTGCTCTCTTAACGATGAGTTCCAAGGCCTTCCAGGAAAATGTACCCGGTACTTCCTATGTGCCGGGCACTAGGCTAAGCGCCACACACTTGTCCTCTCCTCATCTGCTGCTGTTTCCAGCGTGTTCCACACGCCCCTCAAACAGGTCCTGGGTTTTCCCACATCTGCATCTTTACCTGGAACATGCTCTTTGCCCCACCTCTGCCTGGCAATGTTTACTTATCTTTCCAATCTTGGATCAAATGTTGAGTCTTTCTGGAAGTCTACCATACTCAGAAGCAAGTACTTCCTCCCTGGAGTCTTAAGGCTTTTGATTTGACCCCCAGGCCAGTCGGCTGCCTTTGAGCGCTGATGGCACAGGAACTTGTAGGCATTTCTTAGGGAGAGTGGGGAACTGACAGTTTGAAGTTACCAGATTTAGGTTCTAGTTATTTTGATGGCATCTCGGCAAAACACCACACTTTTCGATAACAAGAAATGCCACTGTCATGGAATGGGCAGTGGCTTTGGGGTAAGACAGGGCTGGGTTTGAATCTGTCTCTGCAACTCTAGAGCTTGGGTGACATTAAAAAGACTACCCATTCTCTCTGAGTCTCATTTTTCTTATCTGAATATGAGGATGACAGCAGTGTTGATCTTAGAGATCTGAGAGAAGTAAATGGGATAATGAATGCTAAGGGCTTAGCACAGTGTCTGGTGCCATGTATGTATGTTTTTACATAAAGGATTACATCTTAAACTCATTTTTGCCCCTGCACGCAGAGAAGATGCAGGTAACACACGTACTTATTAAATGAAGGACCAAATCTTATGAATATCCCTCCTTTAAACCTTCTCCTAGTCTTTGATAGCAACTGGCCACTTGTAGTTGCTTAAAGAAGCTAAAGAGAATTGGAAGCAGCAGGATGGAAGAGAGGTGGAGGGAAATGGGAGTCAGAAAATAAACGTCCTTTTAAGAAAGGCCATCATAAGAGCAGTGCAGGTGTTCCAGCGAGGCAAGAACCAGGGTTAGCTTTGTTCCTTAGATGACCCACGCTTCATTCCTTACTTTGTCTTTTCTTAGAGGACACAGGGTGAGATGACCAATGACATAGGCTGCATTGTTCCTTTTGGAATTGTGCAGTGTTCCCAGTTCAATCTTCCTCATAAGCGGGAGTGAGGCAGTGGTGCAGTGGTGGTGCTGCCATGGCGGTAACAGCAGCTGCCCAGCAGCTTCCTGATCTCTGGGTTGAAACTCTGGTGGTGTGACCTTGAAACCAGTACTCATGTTATGACCCCTGACTTCTCCTCCAGCTCTTCCAACAATGTTGAAAGCATATAATTATCTTACTTATATCCCTCTCTGCTTGAAATACTTAGAGGGGTTTCTGTTTCCACTACTTAGCTCTGATGAATACACATAGCATATAAAAACAAGCATATTAAATACTAGTTTTAAATTGGGCATGGTCACACTGCTATAGTCCCAGCTACTCAGGAGGCTGACGTGGGAGGATTGCTTGAGGCCAGGAGTTTGAGGCTGCAGCAAGCTATGATTGCACTGTTACCGGTGGAAGATATCAGAGTTACTGGTGAATCTGTATGGGTCTGCAGCAACCTCAGTTCTTCCTTTCTCAGAAGAAAGAATTCAACCGAGGAGCATAAGGCAGAAAAAGAAACTGAGGCAAGTTTCAGAGCAGTTTATTTAAAAAGGCTTATTTAAAAAAAAAAGGCTTTAGAACAGGAAAGAAAGGAAAATTCACTTGCACCCAAACAGGCACCTGAAGGTCAAGTGCAGTGTTGAACTTTGATCCTAGGACTTTATAGGCTGGCCCCTTTCCCATGATTCTTCTCTCAGAGTGGGCTGCCCGCATGCACAGTGCCCTCCTTATCCTTGGGAGATGAGCATTCACAGTGCTTAGGAAGTTGTACACATGCCCATCTGAGGCTTTCTTCCCTTTTCTGGTGGAGTGCCCTCAGAAGGTCATCCTTTGCCATTTTGTCTCCCTTTTTTTTTTTTTTTTTGAGTTGGAGTTTCACTCTTGTTGCCCAGGCTGGAGTACGGTGGTGCGCTCTTGGCTCACCATAACCTCCGCCTCCCGGGTACAAGTGGTTCTCCTGCCTCGACCTCCCGAGTAGCTGTGATTACAGGCTTGCACCACCACGCCCGGCTAATTTTGTATTTTTTTTTTTTTTTTAGTAGAGATGGGGTTTCTCCATGTTGGTCAGGCTGGTCTTGAACTCCCAACCTCAGGTGATCCGCCCGCCTTGGCCTCCCAAAGTGCTAGGATTACAGGCATGAGTCACCGTGCCTGGCCTCCATTTTATCTCTTAATGCACATGCCCAGGAAGTTGTGTCTCCCTGGTGCCTGCGCTCAATTAACACTTCAGTGCAACAGGTGCAGGCCATCAGGACATGGCTTCTCCCTGGTGCAGGCTGCCAATGTATCCCTTTTAGAGAGGCAATGTGATCATTGCCAAAACATCACCTGACATTCCTAGCGGGTGGGGGAAGAGCCCTCTCCAGCCCCACTCATGCTTGTCTAACTACCTGTAACAGCGCTACTTGCACTCCAGCAGCCTGAGTGATAGAGCAAGACTCCATCTCTTTTTAAAAAAGGAATTTTACAATGTGAGTCAATTTATTTAGAAAATTATAGCGATATGACAGATATGAAGGTGGTCATCAGTGGTGGGATGCTGAAGTGTGGGAAACACTGGTCTTATTTAATAATCATAACCAGGTAGGCACTATTGTTACCTTCAAGAGAAAGAGAGGCTAAATGAATCCCTCAGGATTACATAGCTGTTAGGTAGTGTTTCTGACTCCACAGCTCACTTTCTGAAGCTGGAGAAAGGAGTTGGAAATTATTTGGTTGTCATCAGAGACCAAACATCAAGTGGCACTGTAACTGCATCCTGAAGAATGAATAGGATTTATCCAGTGAGGTAGGGAGGGATTTCCAGGCTGACAGGCTGACATGGACAAAGGTGTGGTGGTGTGAGTGGGCACCATGCATCATGGGAACTGACGGAGCCCTGCAGTTCTAGAGCAGAGGAGTTGTATGGGAACGTGACTGGAGGTGATACCTGAGAGGGGAGCAGGAATCTAGTCCTGGGAGTCCTTCAAAGCTATGATGAGGAGATGACGCAATTCTGAAAGCCAAGGAGCCATGGGAGGATATTAGACAGGGTGACCTATTCGCATGGGAATCTTAGAGAGTTACTTCATTCGGTGGAGAGCTGGGGCTTAGGATCTAAGCCGATGAGGAAGAGGTGGGCTGAGGAGCCTGTAGGTGTGTGATGAGAACTGAAACAATTTCCCTCCACACAGCTGGCTTTCTACATTGACATCATTTTACTATTGCGCTGTCTTCATTAACATGACTTTACTATTCCAGGAAACTCTTTCCCAGAAAGATATATGTTACAAATACCTTGTGGTTCATTTCAGGAATTTCCCAAACTCATTTAAATGAATATCAAATGGTTAAACTTTTCAGTAGAAAGTGTGAAACAACAGTTTGCTCCCCAGAATCTTTTGAACCCCTTGCCTCAAAATCCCCACCTCACTGTGTCCTCCAATCCTAAACTCATATCAAGATCATTATCAAACCCCAATCCAGCCCCTCCGTTGAAATACCTGCCTGGAACCAGACTCCAAAACCTCATCTCCTTTCGTCCTCTGCTTTCTGAACACTATTAAGACTCTGGCAAGTAAGTAGTTTCCCTTACTGCTGTGAGGCTTGGCTTTATCAAGTAGTAGTGAAACTGCCTTTGCAAAAATTATGACAGTGAGAGAAATCTGATATAGCTGGCGTCATCTGGCTTCTAGCCTCACAAGCTAATCCCCTTTGTTAACTGTAAAACAAAGAGAATAACAGCCTCTTCTAATAACAGCCAAAACTAATATTCTCCTTGCCCAGGAACTGAAACAGTCTTTGTAAGACTCCTGAAAGTCCCCAAGATTAGGATTATGGGAGGGGCCTGAATTCTGCTAAAATGTAGGCGTAGTTAAATGATTAACAGCTATTGTTCCCTAGCTTGCTTTTCTGTAAATCCTTACAGCTCAAGAGTAACGTAGCTGGTAGCTGAAGGGCACAAGATCTGTAACTTCCCCAATCCCAATTGCTCCTACAGATAACATCATTATTGTCAAAACCTAAAATTGATCTTTGAGATATTTTTCAGACTTTTGTATTCTGGCAACCAACTGACTCCACCTGGACCCGTGACTCATACCAAGGAACATGACACCCACACAGAAACTCCCATCCAGAAACAAACTCAGCATGCGAAGACACTTCGGACACTAACATATTTCATTCCCAATCAATCAGCAGCACCCATTTCTTAGCCCCCTGCCTGCCAAATTGTACCTAAAAACCCTAGCCTCAGAGCTTTTGGGGAGGTGAATTTGAGAAATGTTTCCTGTACTTCTGCTCGGTTGGTGATAATTAACATTTTTTTTCTAATTTTTTTAAAAAAATCACTTGGATCACTTGAGGTCAGGATTTTGAGACCAGCTTGGCCAACCTGGTGAAACCCCATCTCTATTAAAAATACAAAATTAGTCGGGTGTGGTGGTGTGCGCCTGTAATCCCAGTTACTCAGGAGACTGAGGCAGGAGAATCACTTGAACCTGGGAGGCAGAGGTTGCAGTGCCAAGATCACACCATTGCATTCCAACCTGGGCAACAGAGCAAGACTCTGTCTCAAGAAAACAAAACAAAACAAAACAAAAACAAAAACAAAAACAAAAAACCACGGTTGACAAAGAAATTTGTTACCTCTGTAGCACACAATAATTTAACGTAACAGTTATTACTGATAATGTATACTAAGTCCTACCAGAATTATAGGAGTTTCACATAACTTTTGAACACATACCAGTAAGATACTTCTACAAATACAGCCCAAAGAAAGTCAAACATTATTTCATATTTGACAATGCTTCCTGTATAATTTTTATGCCAAATAAGCCAAATTATGTTATTTTTGGACTTTAGGAAACCTAATATCTTAAAAGATTAATTAAGTCAGAAAAAGACATAATTTATAATTTTTGTTAAAGAGCAGATCAGTGCTCTAAGAAAAACCGGTTGTGCTTTTATTCCAATATTCAATTTATTGAAAAACTGAAGATTAATTCCTTTAACTTTAGCCAATATGTTCACACACATAATTTCTTTTGTAAGACCAATTTTTCAGAAACCTTCCAAAAAGTCAAAGAAGCAGTTCATTACCTTAAAGCATTTAGCAAACCTAATATATGACCTGCATAATTTAGACCAAATGTCTACATTTTTGAAGATATTTTTATTTTACCAGTAATCTTTAAAACCATTTTTATTTCTCAAAGATTACTCAAGTCATGTGAACTAAAATGCATCACACTTTTTATTTTTCTGACAAAATATTTGCCTACCTAGTTATTATACACCAAAGCTCTCTCATAATGGGAAGTAATTTTTAATACCCCCAAAAGTAAAAAATGTCAGTTAATGCAATGCAAAACAGTACAAAGCCTTAGATTTTGAGAGGAATCTATCCACTTTTTAATCCCTGGGGTTCCATGAGGAAAACAGAGGTTTTTCCCAAAATGGGATCTGTGGCTCCTCCTATGTTTTCCCCAAGGATTTCCAGGCTGTTAGAGCTTGAATAAGCTGACTTAACCACAGTGCTCTTTTAAAAAGTCCTTTTAAATCTCGTATTACCAGACTTTAGCCAGGCCAAACGGCCAAGATTCCTGGCTTTTGAACTTTACCAAAAGCAACCTCACAGGTGAAACCAACAAGTCTTAACTAAAGTTATGGCTTAATCACGAGTGTATGAGGTATTTTCAAAAAGGTGGTAAGCAGTTTTTACAAGATCTAGAATCTCCAGTGGTAGCTAAAAGAAAGGAAGATTCAAGAAGGGAACCAGAAATTGTACATGGAGGGGAAGAGAATCAACAAATGTTAAAGGTCATGCAGAAATCAAACCAGAAAGGGGTCATCTCCTAAGCTGGAATTGAACCCAGGCCATCATTGTAAAATGGCAGAGACCAAGAGACAGTACTGCCACATGGTTACAAGGTCAAGCTCCCAAGGACATGAAACAAGATGAGAGGGAAACTTTATCCAGTTTTTTTGGTTTCAGAGACCTGCAGCAAAATTTGTAACTGACCAGTTTGCTGGACCATCTTGAACAGTGGGTTTACAGGGGTCCTAGGCTTGCATTCTATCCTACGGTACCCATCTTTATGACAGAACAATACAGAAAGACACACAAAGCACACCAGATTTGCTACAGCATAAGATTACCCTCACAAATCCTTTTTCTCATTAATTAAAACTTTACAGAAGATAAACAGAGATTTTTACCATTCATTCAATCAGTTTGCACAGCAAGAGAGAGAGGCCAGAAGTCTGACTGGTAAGAAATTCTTACCCTTTTGCCAGCATGCCAGGCTTCTGGGTTCCCTTTGCCTGAGTGGCCCTAGTGACCTGGCTTGCTGCACCATAGCGCTGGGGGCCAACCCTCAACACAAAGGAAAATTATCTTTTTCCATTCTGGCTGGAGCAAAATATGTGTGACAAAACACAGACATCAGCCACTCTGCTTAGCACCCAATATCAAACTGGCAAAGCTCAAACTTGCCCCCGGTTGGCCCCATAATTGTTAATCCAGTCTCCAACCAGGAGTTTCAATTTGTGGTCTCTGGGCAAGATGGTAGCCCTGGGTAATAGAAAAGATAAGAAAGAGAAAGGAGAGAAAAGGAGTGAAGCGTAGTCTGCAGTAGGGTGGGGAAGGTGAAGAGCTCAGAGAGGCCAGAGAAAAACCCACCCATCCCAGCGATGCTGAATCAAAAGTTCAGGTGGCTTCTTGTCAGTCACGAAGGGATCTTTTCCAGCAGTTTCACCAGCTCTCAAGTTTCCTCCTTTAGGGAGGAAAAAGCTCCCCATGTCCCATGATCCTGTACATGACTAATTCTGTCACCCACAGCCACCAGCAAAGAGTGCAAGGCAGACTTATCCAAAGAAATAGCAGTTAACATCCTGTAATGCCAAACCTGTTCTTAGCTGAGAGGGACTTTACCAAGACAGGCCTCCAACCCCCTAAATTTTAGGAAGGACTCTAATCTTCCTAAGTTGGGCCGTGAACCAAGGTTTGGTCAAGCATCCTTGCCTTTTCTTAAGAGGGGTCTTTAACCCTCTCTGTCTTAGGAGAGACTCTAACTCCCCTAAGTTGGGCCCCTAACCCAATCCCATCCTTGACCCGGGTACTCCACCATGTACCCAAAATCAGTCAGTCAGTGCTAGTCTATTTCCTTTGAGTCGAGGGTCTCCTCAGTGTAGTCTTTTCATGGCTCTCCAGAAAGTTGTTACTGGAAAGGGGTCCTGATCCAGACCCCAAGAGGGGGTTATTGGATCTTGTGCAAGAAAGAATTCAGGGTGAGTCTATAAAGGGAAAATAAGTACATAAAGAAAGTAAAGGAATAAAAGAATGGCTACTCCATTGGCAGAGCAGCCCCAAGGGCTGCTGGTTACCCTTTTTAATGGTTATTTCTAAAATATACACCAAACAAGGGGTGGATTATTCCTGCCTCCCCTTTTTAGACCACATAGGGTAACTTCCTGACATAGTCATAGCATTTGTAAACTGTCATGGCGCTGGTGGGAGTGTAGCAGTGAGGACAACCAGAGGTCACGCTCATGGCCATCTTGGTTTCAGTGGGTTTTAGCTCGCTTCTTTATTGCAATCTGTTTTATCAGCAAGGTCTTTATGACCTGTATCTTGTGCCAACCTCCTATCTCATCCTGTAAATTAGAATGCCTAACCAGCTGGGAATGCAGCTCAGCAGGTCTCAGCCTTATTTTGCCCAGCTCCTATTCAAAATGGAGTTGTTCTGGTTCAAACACCTCTGACAATTTTGTTTATTTTTTGTAGAGATGAGGTCTCATTATGCTGCCCAGGCTGGTCTCAAACTCCCAGGCTCAAGTGATCCTCCTGCCTTGGTCTCCTGAAGTGCTGAGATTACAAGTGTGAGCCACTATGCCCAGCTAATTAAACTGTTTATTTGCTGCAACACCTGATGTTCTTAGTGCATTAGCTTTTCTGGACAGTGGGCAAGACGAACCCATTAGGTTGTTACAGTTTGGGTGGTATTTTCTGGGATCTGGACCTGGAGAATCTGCTCAATCAGAAGAGGGAGCCAGCCATGGTGGCACGAGCACCTGTAGTCCCAGCTACTTAGAAGACTGAGGCAGGAGGATCACTTGAGCCCACGAGTTTGAGTCCAGCCTGGGCAACATAGTGAGACCCTGTCTCTAATTTTACGAAAAGAGAGAGAGAGGAAATAGGGGAAGAAGAGCCAGGGATAAGAAATGCAGAGGACGGCCGGGTGTGGTGGGTCACGCCTGTAATCCCAGCACTTTGGAAGGCTGAGGTGGGCAGATCACGAGGTCAGGAGTTTGGGACCAGCCTGGCCAGCGTGATTAAATCCCGTCCCTACTAAAGATACAAAAAAAATTAGCTGGGTGTGGTGGTATGTGCCTGTAATCCCAGCTACTTGGGAGGCTGAGGCAGGAGAATTGCTTGAACCCAGGAGGCAGAGGTTGCAGTGAGCCAAGATTGCGCCATTGCACTCCAGCCTGGGTGACAGGGTGAGACTCCATCTCAAAAAAAAAAAAAAAAAAAAAAAAGAAAAGAAAAGAAAAAAAGAAATGCTGGGGACATCAACATTCAAAGGCAGTGGGGGAGCCAAGGTAATTTTTCGACAGAGAATCCAGTATTAGCCTAAATTCCATCTAGATTCACAGGCCCTGGAAAGCAGGACTTTGAGAAATGGAGAGGAGGTAATTTGGAACCAGGAGCCTTCAGATGGGTAGAACACAGTGAGTGCTAGGTACAGGTGAGGGTGGCAATTAGAAACCAGCCCCAGCCTGATGCATGGTGGGACACAGGTGATGGGGTGTCTGGAATTGGAGAGAAGTGTGGGAAGTGAAGTGAGAGGGTGCTGAGACAAACTTGACTCTGGAATTTCCCCAGGCAGGCTCTGACTGGGCTCTCCTGAGGAAGGACTTCGGCTTGGTAGCTGGAGCAGGTTCCCTGGGCCAAGGGGAGGACAGGGTGGGGCAGACCCTATGAGAATGGCTGCAAGACTCTTACTGCAATAACTCAGTGAGCTGCCATCCTCCCCCTCCCCCACCACACAAACTCCCCTTCCCACTTTGTTGATGATTTCTTAGCTCTGGATGCTTCCGGTCCATTTATAGCTAACCTTATAATCGGATGCATACTTGTCATTTTATAAGTAGAGCTCTTGGTCACTCTTTGCCCATCAATTAACTCAATTGTGGTGTTTGTTGTCTGTCCTCTTTCTACTTTCTGGATACCTTGTATGGACCTAGATGTGGTTCCAGGGACACTTTGAATAGAAAGGCCAGGCTGAGATGAGGGTTGGGCCTGGAGGCCCCTTGGACCACTGGACATCAGAACATTTACTCACGTGCCAGGGACTCTAAGTCACCCAACTGAACAACTACACCTTCTAGATTTAGAAGAATGCACATACATAGTTTCCTCTCAGGCCCCTGCTTTCTCCCCTCCCTTTCTTCCCACCTCCCTTCCACTTACTGGCAGAAATATATCCACCCTGTATTGTGTTAAGATGACTTTATTGCATTTCTAAAGGGCAAGTGTGTTGTTGGTAGGCTCCCTTTTAGGAAGCTGAAAGGCTTGCCTGAGTGCTGGGTGGGGTTAGAGCCAGGACCCCAGTCTTCTTCCATTCATGTGTGGAGAAACTGCTTTTAGGAAATTGCTTACAGTTTGTTTTATTATTCCCTCTGCTTGGACTATGTCCATTCATTCATTTATTCAACATATATTTATTGAGCACCTATTATATGTCAAAATGCTTGCTCTCGTGGAGCTCGTATTTGAGAGTAATGATATCAGAATGCACATATTATATATGTATTACATATATATATAATTAGGTTGAAGAAAAACAAAACAAGGTAGCATGGTAAGGGGCTAGAAAATGATGAGGACTGATATTTTAGGAGGAGCAGAGAACAATGACCTGACTGAAGTGAGGAAATGAGCCACGTGGCTCTCCAGGACCAGAAGTTTCAGGCAGAGGAATAGCACGCGAAAAATCCAGAGACTAGGGAGGTGGGTGTTTACTGTGTTTGCTGTCTTTGAGGATGAGCAAGGATGCCAGTGTGGCTGGAGTGGAGCAGGAGTTGAGAAAGAGTGGTAGGGAGGTGGGTCAAAGAAGCAGCCAGAGCTGTGGCCGGACTTTGCATTTTTTTCTGAGCATGATAGGAAGCAGCTGAGCAAGGGAGGGACTTGATCTGGATTCTATTTCCTGCTATGTGGGGTGAGGGAGGAAGCAAGGAGAGCAGCTGGGAGAGACAGAGTATAACAGAATCGGGGTCTATTATAAAGGAAGAGCAACCAGAATTTTCTAATGGAAAAGGATATGGAGTGTGAAAGCAAAAGAGGAGTAGTAAAAGACACCAAGGGTTTTGGCCTGAGCAACTCAAGGACAGGGATGTCATTTACCGAGATGGGAAGTGCTGGAGAGGAACAGGAGTGAGGGTGGCCACGGTGAAATGTGGCTTTGGGATGTGTGGTGGAGATGTGGAGAAGGTGGAGGTGTTAACAAGTCTAGAGTGCTGGGATGAGGTCATGTTGGACATGTAACTCTGGGGATTATCAATGTATGTTTTGAAAGCCATTAAGATTGTCTGTAAAGAACAAGATGGTAAGTGTTTTAGGATTGTCCCAACCACTCAACTCTGCCATTATAATATGAAAGCAGCCATAGACAATATGTGAATGAATGATCATGACCATGTTCCAATAAAACTTTATTTTAGAAAGCAGATAGTGGGTCAGATTTTGGCCCATAGGATATAGTTTGCCAAATCTTAGACGAGGTGGTATTACCTAGGTAGACTGTAAAAAGAAAAGAGAAGAACTCAGAGCCTTGGGGCACCCAACACTTAGAAATTGGGAAGAGGAGAGGGATCTAAGAGAATGAGATATAACAAGCAGCAAGGGAACAGGCAAATTAAGAGATTGGGGTGGCATGGGAGATGGAAGATGTTTCAAGAAGGACAAACCAATATTATGGTGCCAATAAACGTTGTGAAATACACTGAAATGGACAAAAAAATTGAGTGTTCTGTCTAGTATACCCTTCAGGGTTATATTTATTTTTCATTGCTTTTGAGCTATTTTACAACTTTTTAAGTTGTAGAAAACTGACAATAATGCAAATGATTCTTGTCTATGAAAACAAATTATGTCCAGTACAATGCAATTAATTGCACTGGTGGAATTGGTAGAATGCAATTGCCCTGTGAATAAACCAGTTTTGCATCTATAATCATGTGATGCTTAACCACAAGGATATGTTCTAAGAAATGCGGTATTGTTAGGCAATTTTGTCATTGTGCAAACATCATACAGTGTGCTTACACAAACCTAGATGGTATAGCCCACTACACACCAGGCTGTAGGGTAGAGCCTATTGCTTCGAGGCTACAAACCTGAACAGCATGTTACTGAACTGAATGCTGTAGGCAATTGGAACACAGTGGTGAATATTTCTGCATCTAAACATATCTAAATATTTAAAAGGCACAGTAGAAATACAGTAAAAAAGATTTGAAATGCTACATGTATGTAGTGCACTTACTATGAATGGAGCTTACAGGACTGGAAGCTGCCCTGGGGGAGCCAGTGAGTGAGAGATAGTAAATGTGAAGGCTTAGGACATTATTGTACCTGATGGTAGATTTTATAAACACTGTACACCTAGGCTACATTAAATATATTTAACGTTTTTTTCTTTCTTCAATAATAAATTAACCTTAGATTACCGTAACATTTTTATCCTATGAACTTTTAAATTTTAACAATCTTGTTGACTGTTTTCTAATAATATTTGGCTTAATACACAAACACATTGTACAGCTGTATAAAAATATTTGTTCTTTATATCCTCATTCTATAAACTTTTTTAATTTAAATTTTTTTTTTTTTACTTTTTAAACTTTTTTGTTAAAAATGAAGACAGAAACACATACATTAGCCTAGGCCACACAGGGTAAGGATTATCAATATCACTGCCTTCCACCTCTACTCCTTGTCCCACTGGAATGTCTTCAAGGGCAATAATATCCTTGGGGCTGTCGTCTCCTATGACAACAATGCCATCTTCTGGAGCACCTCCTGAAGGACTTATCTTAGGCTGTTTTACAGCTAACTTTTTTTTTTCTTTTGAGACAGAGTTTCACTTTTGTTGCCCAGGCTGGAGTGCAATGCGTGATCTTGGCTCACCGCAACCTCTGCCTCCCGGGTTCAAGCGATTCTCCTGCCTCAGCCTCCCGAGTAGCTGGGATTACAGGCACCCGCCACCACGCCTGGCTAATTTTGTATTTTTTGCAGAGACGGGGTTTCTCCATGTTGGACAGGCTGGTCTCAAACTCTCAACCTCAGGTGATCTGCCTGCCTTGGCCTCCCAAAGTGTTGGGATTACAGGCATGAGCCACCAAGCCCGGCCTACAGCTAACTTTTTTTATAAGTACGATGAGTACACTCTAAAATAATGATGAATGTACAGTATAGTAAATACGTAAACTAGTAATACAGTTGCTTATGATCATTATCAAGTCCTATGCACTGTACATAGTTGTATGTGCTATGCGTTTATACAACTGGTAGTACGGTGAATTGGTTTACACCAGCATCACCACAAATACATTGCGTAATGCATTGTGCTATGATGTTAGGACAGCTATGATGTTACAAGGCAACAGGAATTTTTCAGCTCCATTATACCCTATGGGAATACCAACATATATGGGGTCCATTGTTGACCAAAATGTTGTTTTGCAATGTGCAACTGTATTTGTAAATTTAGAATAGCATTCCTTATTGCTTTTGTATGTGAGTTTCATTAACTTCTTTAAACTGGTTGTAACATCTTACCGGTTCCCTCATTAGTGAGTAAAATAAAATCATTTACATGTATTCATTTTATATTTGTATGTGAGCCATGATTTCACTTTTTGAAATAATTATTATTTGACAATGGAGATTAAGTTAAATAAATATTAAGAATTAACAAAATTGGCAACATACAGATCATGGTGACTTTGATAAGAACGATTTTGGAGTAGGAAGGGTGAAAGACTGATTGGAGCAAATTGTGTAAAGCTATAATAAATAATAAAGACACATGGGCACAGGGGTAAATAAATAGACCAATGGAACAGAGTTAGAGATCCCAGAATAAACCCACACATAAATAGAAACTTTGTAGATGGCAGAGATGGTAATGCAGGAAAAGGATGGAGTAGTCAATAAATGGGGCTGGTACAATTTGTCATCTATATGAGAAAAAAAACAAAACTGGATCTCTACCTCAAACAAATCAGTCTGTTCCAGTGGATTTAAGATGATATGGTTTGGATCTGTGTCCTTGCCCAAATCTCACGTCGAATTGTAATCCCCAATGTTGGAGGTGAGGGCTGGTGGGAGATGACTGATCATGGAGGGGGATTTCTCATGAATAGTTTAGCACCAACATCTTGGTGCTGTTCTCCATGATAGTGAGTGAGTTAATGTGAGATCTGGGCATGCAAAAGTGTGTAGCAGCTCTTTACCTCTCTTGCTTCACTCTGGCCATGTGACGTGCCTGCTCGCCCTTTGCTCTCTGCTATGATTATAAGTTTCCTGAGGTCTCCCCAGAAGCTGAGCAGATGCCAGCACCATGCTTCCTGTACAGCCTACAGAACAGTGAGCCAATTAAAATTCTTTTCTTTGTAAATTACGCCATCTCAGGTGTTTCTTTATAGCAACGTGAAAAGGGACTAATACAGACTTTTAGAAGAAAATAGAAGGGAATATTTTTGTGGCCTCATGGTAATGAAAAAAATTTAAAATAAGACACAAAATCACAAACCTTAAAGGAAAACATTTATGAATTTGACACCATTAAAATTTTAAAAACTTTTGATTATCAAAAGACACATTAAAGAGATTGAAAACACAATTACTCATAACACTTAACTGACAAAAGATAGGTATCCAGATTCTGCAAAGAACACTTACAAATCAATATAAATAAAAATAACTTAATAGAAAAATGTGCAAAAAATATGAATAAACAATTATCAGAAGAGAAAACTCAAATGATCAATGAACATATGAAAAGATGTAAAACCTCACTACTAATTAGAGAAATGCAAATTAAAACCCCAATATAATACTATTTTACATCTCTTTAATGGACTAATCTTTAAGAGTGTGATGATCCAAGTATTGGCAAAGATGTGGGGACATTAGAACTTTTATACTCTCTTGAGTGGAAGGTAAATTGTTATAATCACTTTAGAAAGCAATTTGGCAATATTTAATATTTTAAGTTTTTCTAAGCAGTTTTCCAGGGGTTGTTGTGTTATAGGGTATACATATAACACAGCAACTCCTGGAGATATACCTTAGAAAAACTCACAAATATGTACAGAGGGACAGTTTATAGCAATGGTGCTGTAGTAAGATTTTGGCTATAACCTGCCTGTCCATCAATAAGAAAATGATTAAGTAAATTGTGGTTTATTGAGACAATGGAATACTATGTAGCAATGAAAAAGAATGGATTAGAGCTGCATGTATCAATATGGATGAATTTCACAAACAGATGTTCAAGGGAAAGAGCAAGTTGCACAATACATGTTCATACCTAGTTTTCAGTTTACAGATCTTGCACATTTTTGTCAGATTTATCCCTAAGTATATTTTAAGTGTTATTGAAAATGGTATTTTAGGCTGGGCCTGGTGGCTCATGCCTGTAATCCCAGCATGGCTTTGGGAGGCTGAGATAGGAGGATTGCTTGAGCCTAGGAGTTCAAGATCAGCCTAGGCAACATAGTGAGACCTCCACTTTACAAAAGAAATAAAAATAGCCAAGCATAGTGGATCATGCCTGTAATCCTATCATTTAGGGAAGCAAAGGTGGGGTATAGCTTAAGCCCAGGAGTTTGAGACCTGCCTGGGCAATATAGCGAGACCGTGTTCTCTACAAAAGAGGGGAAAAAAGAAAAAATAAATAAAAATTTACAAAATTAGCTGGGCATGGTGGTGCATGCCTGAAGTCACAAATACTCAGGAGGCTGAGGTGGGAGGATCACTTGAGCCCAGGAGGTTGAGGCTGCAGTGGACTATGATCATTCCACTGCAGTCCGGCCTGGACAACACAGTAAGACCCTATATCAAAAAAAAAAAAAAAAAAAAGAAGAAAACAGTATTTAAAAAATTCCAATTTCTAATTGTTCCTTACTAGTATATAGAAATACAGTAGACTGTTGTATATTAATCTTATATCCTGTAACTTTGCTAAAATCACTTATTCTAGTAGCTATTAAAAATAGATTCCATCAGATTTTCTCTATATTTGACCATGTCATCTGTGAATAAACACAGTTTTATTTCTTCCTTTTCAATCTGAATGCCTTTTTTTCCACCTAATGCTCTGGTTAGAACCCCCCATACAAAGCTGAATAGAAGCAGTGAGAACAGACATCTTTGTCTAGTTCCCAATCTTAGGGAGAAAACATACAGTCTTTCACATGAAGTATACTGTTAGCTATGGGTTGTTTTTTGGAGATGCCCTTTATGAGATGGATGTAATTCCCTTCTATTCTTAGTTTGTTCAGTGTTTTTATTATGAAAAGGTGTTGGCTTCTCCCAAATGTGTTTTTTGCATTGACTGGGATAATCATGTTTTTTCATATGGTCTGTTAGTATGGTAAATTATATTGCTTGATTTTCAGATGTTAAATCACTCTTGCATTCTTGTGATAAATCTCATGTGCTCATGATGTACTTGTCCTTTTAAATATAAAGAGACATCCAATTTGCTAAAGTTTTGTTGAGAATTATTGCATCTATGTTCATATAGGTATATTGGTGTATAGTTTTCTTGCCTTGTAAGGTCTTTACCTGGTTTTGATGTCAGAGTAATGCTGGACCATTCAGTGATTTGGGACGTATTCACTCATCTTCAACTTCCTTGAACAGTTTGTGCAGAATCAATATTATTTCTACCTTAAATGTCTGACTCTGGGGCTTTCTTTCTTTTCTTTTTCTTTTTTCTTTTTTTTGAGGCAGGGTCTCACTGTGTCACCCAGGCTGGAGTGCAGTGGCCCAGTCACGGCTCACTGCAGCTTCGACCTTCCAGGCTCAAGTAATCCTCCCACCTCAGCCTCCCAAGTAGCTAGGATAACAGGCGTGCACCATGATGCCTGGCCAAATGTTTTGCATTTTTTATAGAGATGAGGTTTCACCATGTTGCCCAGGCTGGTCTCAAACTCCTTGACTCAGGCGATCCTCCTGCCTCAGCCTCCTAAAGTGTTAGGACTACAGGTGTGAGCCACTGCACGTGGCCAACCCTGGGGTTTTCTTTGTGGAAACATGTGTTAGTCTATTTGCATTGCTATAAAGGAATACCTGAGACTGGATAATTTATAAAGAAAGGAGATTTATTTGGCTCATGGTTCTGTAGGCTGTACATGAAGCATAGTGCCAGCATCTGCTTCTGTTGAGGGCCTCAGGAAGCTTCCAGTCATGGCAGAAGATGAAGCGGTCCCTGAATCACATGGTGAGAGAAGGAACAAGAGAGAAGGAGGAGGAAGTTCCAGACTCTTTCAAACAACCAGATATTGTGTGAACTCATAACTGAGAATTCACTCATTACTGGGGAGGATGGCACCAAGACATTCATGAAGGATCCATGATCCAAACCCCTCCCACCAGGCCCCACCTCCAACATTAGGGACTACATTTCAACACGAGATTTGGAGAGGACAAACATCCAAACTATATCAGAAGGTTTTTAATTGCATATTCAATTTCTTTAATAGATGTAGGCCTATTTTGGTTATCTATTTCTTCTTGAGTGTTGTTAGATTGTATTTTTCAGTAATTTGTCCATTTTATCCATATTGTGACATTTCTATCTGGTGTAATAAGAATAGTGTTCATATCAAAGTTCAATTTCTCCATATCTTTTCCAGGTAACTCTCCCTTTGGTGCTTTGAAGCAATATGGCGTCTTGACTGGCTGCCATGGCCCCCACCTTTCCTCCTAGGCTCAGCCCTTGACATAACTACTCCTCACTACCCTCTCATCTTCCCCCCACCTTGTATCCCTCTAGCATTCCTCACCTGAAGAACTTAGGCTTTCTTAAGTCTCTTTAGTTAGCAGGAAACTATCTAATTTAAAAACCCTCTCCAAGTTGTTTATTACTTAAGGGATTAGTCCTTCCAAGAGTATTTATGTTTCAGAAGAGAATGTCTAGATAGGATTGTGCATAACAAAAATAAGTCAATTTTTAATGGTGTTATTGTAGGCTCTGTGACAAGTAGGGGAGGGAAGCACTTTGGGAAATGGACTCTCCTCTCTTTCAAATATTATTCAAGTACAAGTTTGCGCCTGTTACTCTTCTGCTTTAAGACTGTCTACAGGGAGTTCTCCTTGTCCTTTGGTCAAAGTAAAATGTTCAACACAGCCTTGCAAGATCCTGCCGCTTCTCGGAGCCATCAGACCCACTCTTGATGCTCTGCTCTGGTAGAGCTCTGCC
Source organism: Homo sapiens (assembly GCF_000001405.40). Taxonomy (NCBI): domain Eukaryota; kingdom Metazoa; phylum Chordata; class Mammalia; order Primates; family Hominidae; genus Homo; species Homo sapiens. The sequence continues at coordinate 110,478,315 of NC_000006.12, read as the reverse complement.
CTGGCCCTCAAACTGTTGGACTTCTCTGAGAAAGCGATAGGTGTGCTCAGATTTTAAGGATGAGGTGGAGAAGTTCAGAGAGAGGGCATTTGCTATGGAACTGAGGCTACCAAAGTGACGAAGAGAATGCATCCCTGTTCTCTAGGAACTCAAGGTTTAGTGGCCTTATAGAGTGGAATAGCACGCCAACAGTGGGGCCAGTGACTGCCAGGCTGACTAGAGAAGGCAACTCTCACTGTGGATATAGTCGGAAACTGGCTTTTCTGCTTCAGCGCTGTGGACCAGCAATTGACCTTTCTTCCCTAAAGTTCATTCACTTGATACCTTCCAGAAGGAAGGTCACCCCCTGCCTGGGTTGGCTATGGGCCAAACCCCTGCCCACTCCAAAGTGTGGCTTGGAATGCCATGGTCTGCTTATTAAAAATCAGATTTCGGGAGGCCAAGGCGGTCGGATCACGACGTCAGGAAATCGAAATCATCCTGGCTAACACGGTGAAACCCCGTCTCTACTAAAAATACAAAATATTAGCCGGACGTGGTGGCGGGCACCTCCCCGCTACTTGGGAGGCTGAGGCAGGAGAATGGTTTGAACCCGGGAGGTGGAGCTTGCAGTGAGCCGAGATTGCACCACTGCACTCCAGCCTGGGCGACAGAGCGAGACTCCGTCTCAAAAAAAAAAAAAAAAAAAAAAAAAAAAAAAAAAAAAAAAATCAGATTCCTGTTCCCCAGGCATCCTGAATCATCAGGGATGGAGTCTCAAAATAAATGTACATTTATTTATTTTTTATTTTTGTATAGACGAGGTGTCGCTATACGTTGCCCAGGCTGGTCTCAAACTCCTTGGCTCCAGCAATCCTCCTGCCTCGGCCTCCCAAAGCACTGGGATTATAGGCCTGAGCCACCACGCCGGCCTAATTGTACTTTTATTTTTTTGAGACGGAGTTTCACTCTTGTTCCTCAGGCTGGAGTGCAATGGCACGATCTTGGCTCACCGCAACCTCCGTCTCCAGGGTTCAAGCGATTCTTCTGCCTCAGCCTCCCGAGTAGCTGGGATTACAGGCATGTGCCACCACGCCCGGCTAATTTTGTATTTTTAGTGGAGACGGGGTTTCTCCATGTTGGTCAGGCTAGTCTTGAACTCCCGACCTCAGGTGATCCGCCCGCCTCGGCCTCCCAAAGTGCTGGGATTACAGGCGTGAGCAAGTGCGCCCGGCCTTAAATGTACCTTTTAAACCAAGTTCTGCAGTAGATTCTTAGGCATTAAAGTTTGAGAGCCATGTTTCTGAGGGGCGTCATGCTGAAGGCTATATATTCTTGCGGCCCCCGGACCGAGCCTAGCCCTTGCATTCCCACCCTGGGCTCTCTCTCAGCGACAACTTTTCCCAGGCGTCGGGGCTTCCCTCGAGCGTGGCGACCCCGCAGACATGGTGCCAAGAGCCAGGGTGGGCGGCGGGGCGGGTGGGAGAGCGGCGGCGCTGGGGGCGAGGGCACCATGCGACCGCGGGCGCCGGGACCACAGCGCGCCGGGAAGGAGGCCGAGGCGGCAGGAAAAAAGCCGAAGATACTTGGGGGGACCGAGGGGCCAAGCGACGGAGGGAGGAACAGAATACAGCCTCGCGCTGGTCCCGAGCACTGGGACGCGCGGGGAGAGCAGGAGGCCGGGCGGGGAGGTTCGGGGCGGGGCGCGCTACCCGCAGTCCCCGGAGCTCGGCTAACTCGGCGCCCAGTGCACGGCCGCACCATGGGGTCCCGCCACTTCGAGGGGATTTATGACCACGTGGGGCACTTCGGCAGGTATGGGGGAGGGGCCCCGCGGCGCCACGCGGGAGGCGGCGCCGAGGGGTCTGTTTCTTTCCGTTGCGGCGGGGTTCTCGCGCGGCGCTCGCGATCCGAAAACATCTCCACTTCCTCCTCACCCCGCGCAGTCGGGACACGGGCGTCCAGACGCCGGCCCCTAGCTGGGCTTCTCCTCTAGGCCTCTGGCAGCGGGACCTGGCATGGTGAGCAGAGGCGCTGGGCTCGCTCGGAGTGCGCCTGTTGCCGGGCAGGAGGGACCTGGTGCGTGCTCTCCGCGGCAGCAGATGCTGGAGGCATCTGGCTGGAGATCTGGCTCGAGGGGCCAGATCTCACTCGTAGGGGGTGCCTGTGCCTGGCCGCCCGTTTCTCTAATCCGCCGCCACTTCCCTAGACGGCTGCTGCCCAGTTCTGCCCTGCGCCTCCGTAGGGCCTCCCTCTGTGCCTGGCAGGTGTTCCCCAGGGACAACCGTTAGTCAGAGTTGGTTGCCGTTTATTAAAACCTAATACGTGCCAGGTACACTGTACCTGGCGCTTACACATAGTTCTTCATTTGATGTTCACCGGGACCCTGCAAAGGAGGTGTTCAAATCCTTATTTTAGTGATTGGGAAACAAGCTGGCGGGGTCAAGGACTCATAGCCAACGCATGGTGGAACCACGTTTAACCTCCGTACACCCTCTTTTCATTTGTCAAATTGATTTAAAAAATTTAAATTATTCATTCGTTCGTTCACTCATGGACAGAGCTCCTCTATCTGACTCAGAGTGTTTTGAGAGGGGAGGTAGCCGGGTGAGGGGCCATGCAGCGTTATGGCCGGAGATTTGGAGCTGCGTCTCGATCCTGGCCTGCTACTTACCTCTGATATGATTCTGGAGATACTTTGTGTGTCAGTTTCCTATCCAGAAAACGGGAATCAGGCTTAGCAAAGAGATGATGTGGTGCTGTTCTTCAAGGTGGAAGGTTGCATGCGTTTTGGTTTTGATTCCCAGTGTCTGCAAAAAGGAGCTGTTAGGACAGAGGAAACGGGCAGGAAGCCCCAGCTGTTCCCTTCTTCCTCTGCTTGCATCATTGAACGCTGCCTTGTGCCTGGCTCGGTCATAAGCCGTTGGTACATGTTACTTCCTTTAATCTTCACTACAGCCTTATAAGGTTGGTAGTATCACCCTCTTTTCACAGATGAGAAAACCAAGGTTTCTGCCTAAGCACAAATCTAATACTAGCAGGGCAGAATTGGATGCCATTGGATGCCCATCACCTCCACAGCCCACACTCTCAACCATGATGCACTCCTGAGCACGGTTAGGTGACGGCTCCTCAGCTGGGCCAAGCTCTTTATGTATGATCTCATTTCATCCTTCTGGAAGCAGAATAGCACAGAGGTTAAAAGATCAGTTTTAAGGCTGGATGTCTAAGTTCCCACTCTGGCGCTACCACACATTAACTATACGGTCTTGAGCATTTTATTTACCACTTTCTTATCTGTAAAATGGGGCTAATAATAGTACAAATGTTTTCAAATAGGAGTAGTGAAAATGTGTATATGAGGACTCTGCATGCAGTTTCTCATCCTTACAGTAACTCAATGAGGTAGGTGGTACTTACATCTTAGTTCCCCTGTGTTTTTTAGGGATTAGCTGAGGTAATTATATTAGTTGGTGTTTGACTAAAGTGCCCAATCAAACAGATTCCTCAAATGGAAGTTTATGCCTCTCCAGTAACTGCCCACAGCAGGATCTGTGCCACGAGACCATTCAAGGACCCTGGCAGGTGGGACAGCTCTGTCATCCACTGCATGGGGCTCCCTGTCTGTGCCTGGAGCAGCTGCGCACCCATGGTGACAGCTCACTACGGTGAAGAGGGGGCAAATGGGTTTGAGGAGACAGCTCTTAGCTGGCCACCATAATGTATGCAAAAGTCTTATTATTCAGTAAGTTCTCAATAAGTCATGGCTATTATCATTACCTGAGTTCCCATATTGGTGGTCAGGGTTGACTCGTGAAAGCAGCTTACAGGAGGGAAAAGGGTAACAAACCACTGCTTATATAGCAGAAGATGAAGACTGTGTGACTGCAACACAGTACCACATTTTTCTCAGGTATTTGTTCTAATTGGTATCTATTCTTTATAAACAGAAAGGAAAGTTATTGTGATGATTATTTAGTCCTCTCTTTAAGGGATCCTAGTGAAAGTGTTAAGTAGAGCAGTGGTCCCCAACCTTTTTAGCACCAGGGACTGGTTTTGTGGAAGACATTTTTTCCACAGACCTGGTCCCTAACCTTTTTAGCACCAGGGACTGGTTTCGTGGAAGATATTTTTTCCACAGACCTGTGGTGGGGTCGGGAGGATGGTTTCAGGATGGAACTGTTTCACCTCAGATCATCAGGCATTAGATTCTCATAAGGAGCACTCAGCCTAGATCCCTCGCATGTGCAGTTCACAATGGGGTTCACGTTCCTATGAGAATCTAATGCCGCCGCTGATCTGACAGGAGGTGGAGCTTAGGAAGTAATGCTCGCTGGCCGCTGCTCACCTCCTGCTGTGTGGTCCAGTTTCTAACAGGCCATGGACCAGTCTGGTCTATGGCCTGGGGCTTTGGGACCCCTACAGTAGAGAACCCTGATTACCTCTCATTTCTCATTGGTCATTTCTAGAATAAGGAAGCACTATTCTAGTCACCTTTAAAAGGGGAAAACAGGCCAGGTGCGGTGGTTCATGCCTGTAATCCCAGCACTTTGGGAGGCTGAGGCAGGCAGATCACGAGGTCGGGAGCTCGAGACCATCCTGGCTAATGTAGTGAAACCAAGTCTCCACTAAAAATACAAAAAAATGAGCCTGGCATGGTGGCGGGGGCCTGTGGTCCCAGCTACTTGGGAGGCTGAGGCAGGAGAATGGCGTGAACCCAGGAGGCAGAGCTTGCAGTGAGCCGAGATTGCGCCACTGCACTCCAGCCCGGGCGACAGAACGAGATTCCGTCTCAAAAAAAAAAAAAAAAAAAAAAAAAAAAAAAAAAAAAAAAAAAAAAAAAAAGGGAAAACAGGATACCTGAGAAGAACTAAAATACCATTCCAGGATTTCTCCTGAAACCATATCGTTTCCATAAACTTCACAGCTTAAGCTCCATATGAAAAGAAATTGAGAAGACTGAAATTTAGGCACCTGTGTTGGGAGGATCTGAACCTGGATCCCTGAGTTAGTTGTCCTGGGTTAAGAGGAGAGACGGTTTAAAAGTTTAGAGTTGGAATGTGGAGCCTGTGGCAGACCTTCATCAATGGATAGAGGTAGGGTTTTGTTTTGTTTTGTTTCAGTATATAGAGTTTTTCTGGCTCTTTTTTGACTTCAGTGTGTGAACATCATAACATCTATCATTTATATACAGCTACGGTGTGTCATAGAGTGCTTTCCATGTGTTAACTCATTTCATTCCCACAAAGCCCATAGTTTAGATGAGGAAACTGAGGCACAGAAAGGCTAAGGATCTTGCTCATGGTCCCTGGTGGTAAGTAACAGGGCCAAGATCAAACCTTGGCAGTCTGGCTCCAGAGTCCATGCTCTTAGCCATGATGGACTCCACCAGTTATGCTTTTATATGGAATGGTATAATCTAGGACTGAAAGCAGTTTTCTTCATCCGTCACTCAGATTGCATGGGTCCATTCCCTGGGGCTTCTGGCCGCCCTTGCTTTTCCTCGCCTCTGGGTTTTCTGCCGATTGTGTTTGTGTGATTATTTTTCCATTAGAGTGTCATATCTATAAGCCTGTTGTCCTGGTGGACCCCTAGGTTGGGTACATGCATGACACCTCTGAGGGCCAAGAATCTTTGTAAAAGAGAGAGTGATGTGTTAGAATGCTAGACGCCTAAGGAAATGGGGCTTGGTTTTTTTTCAAGAGGTTATTCTTGCAAAAGGGAAAGGGAAATTTGAATTGAAGGAGTGCTTAGGACCTTTCTAGCACATGGAAAGTGTGTTTATGTGAACTAGCATGGCTTGATTGGGGGCCACTTAGTGGTTTATTATTTTGGGGGTATAAAATATGAGAGTGAGAGAGGCAGGAGGTAAGCTTACAGTCATCTCCATGAGTGTTTTTGCAAAGTTTGGGTATCAGAAGTTTGGGTTTTGCAGTGCAGAGGGTGGATTGGAGGGGCAGCGAGTGGGGCAAGGGGGCCAGTGAAGACCTAGATAAGAGCCCAGGTGAGAGAGAAAGAGGGTCTGGAGAGTGGGAGTGTGGGCAGGGAGAACCAGACAGTTTTAGCAGGTGGAGTTGATGGGAGCTCTTGGCCCTAAGGCATGAAGGAGAAGTGAATGGGACCACATGCCCCTCCTAGCCCACCCCATGTCCCATGCCCTGGATTTCTAGTTTGTGTGGGTGATGGTAGCCTAAACTCAGAAAGTTACCCTCCAGGCGGGGCAGGCCTAGATATCGAGCTCAGTTTGAGATTGGTTTACCTTGAGTTCCTTGTGGGAATTCCAGGTGGAGACATCAAGTGGGAAGTTGGGTAGATAATCTGTTGCTCAGGGAAAATGCCCCCTTGTCAATATGGATCAGGTGGCCACCCAGGGCTGCAGTCCAGCTGGACCAGTGCCTTGTGGACAGATTAGGCATGCCTGGCACCTGTTCCAGCTGTGCCTCAGCAGGGGTGTTGCTGAATAGTTTTCCCTCTCCCTGGGCGCTGTAGATAGAAAACTTTTAAATTGATATATTACATATATGCAGAAAAGTGTCCACCATAATCTACAGCCTGATGAGTTGTCATACAGTGAACACACCTGTGTTACCCCCACCCAAATCATCTCCTCTTATGCCTTCTCCCAAGCCCTACTCCGTCCCTGTCCCCCAAGCTCACTACTGTCCTTACATCAACGATACTAAATGTTACATAAGTGGGGTAAAAGGCACTTGCCCTTTGGCTTCTTTTGTTCCACACTGTGTTTGTGAGATCCACCCATATTGTGTGTCACAGAGGTTAGTCGATTTTCACAGCTACATAGTATTTAATGGCACAAATATTTCACGGTTCATTCATTTACTGTCAACAGACGTTTAGACTGTGTCCAGGTTGGGCTTATATGAGTTGCCTTTCTTGCATTTGTCTTTTAGGGTAGGGTTATATTTTGCTTAACGACAGAGATACTTCTGAGAAGTTCATCGTTAGGTGATTTTGTTGTTCTGCAAACATCACAGATTTTATTTACACAAGCCTAGATGGTACAGCCTGCTACACATTTAGGCTCTATGGTATAGCCCACTGCTCCTAGACTACAAACCTGCACAGCATGTTATTGTACTGAATACTGTAGGCAATTGTAACACAATGGGAAGTATTTGTGTACCTAAACATGGAAAGGGTGTGGTAAAAATATGATATTAATATTATAATCTTATGGGACCACTGTTGTATATGTGGTTCATCATTGACCGAAACGTCGTTTTGTGGCATGTGGCTCTACCTGTGTATGCATTTCGCTGGGTAGATACCTAGGAGATGCTGTCACAGGCGGTGCATGTGGTCCCCTGCCAGAGAGTTTTGCAAAATGGTTATAACAAATGTCACCCTCACAAGCTGTTTATTGGTTTTTCAGTTGCTCCACAACAATTGTCCAGTATTTTGAATGTCAAACCTTGTACCAGTACATAGTTTAACCAGAAAACTAGATATCCTGGGGCAATGTTTTCATCCGTATCAGCATCTCCTAAGAAGCTTCTTAAGCTTGTAGGGGCCTTGACCCCACCTTAGACCTCCTGAATCACGATTGCTAAGAGGGGGACAGAAAAGACAAATCCTAGCTTCAGAGGCCTGCCAGGGTGGGTGCTGTGTTGGTGTATGTGTGTGTGTGCACAAGAGAAAAAGACACAAAGAGAGAAGGAGAGGGGAAGAGAGAGAGAGAATAGTTCTGGTGATGTGGTGATGACTGTGGGGGTCACTGGCTGAGGAAGAAAAAAACTGAGGCCAGGAAGGTAGAAACTAACTGAAGAAGCTGGTAGGATCTGAAGACTGGACGCCTGAATGGTGCTGGAAATGGGGTCAGTGGGAAGGATGGGGGAAGTAAGAGGGTGGGAGGTCATGCTCAGAACCTGAGCTTTTCAGTGGTGGAGCTGTTCCAGGTAGAGACTAGTTAGGGAACAAACCCAAATGCCTCAGGTAAACTTTAGGCAAGTTAAACATGCCTGCTGTTTGCAGGGGCTGTGTTGTCGTTTGCTGAGTTGAAATTTCAGGGATGGGAGTCAAATAATTATAAATATGTGCACCATACGTACATGATTTATGTTCTATTTCCAGTCATATTCATATGGGATTGTTATTATAGGGTGCTCCTTAGGCTCTCAACAAAATTTAGTTTCAAGAGGACCTGATTTTCATGCCTCTTATTGCCATGGTGTCTAGCGGGTAGATGCTGGCCCACCACAAGCCACACTGTAATGATCTGGATGGGGTGATTCTCAGACTAGGAATACTCCTTTAGTTAAAAACTACATGCTACCCTTTCCCTCTAGGATCTCCTAGGAGTATCTACACTTTTATCATACTTTCACCATAATTTCTTTAACCAGTCTCCTGTCAATGGACATTTCAGTTTTCTATGTTTTGCAGTTGCAGACACTGCTGAAAATAAAATTTATAAATTAACTTTGGGAGAGTTGATATCTTTGTGATGTTGACTACTGGTTACTTTTAGGGAAGTCAAGTTTTATTATTAACAAGAGCAGACAATAACACCCATTAGTGTAATGTCTTTTAGCAAAGCAGAGACAACTAGGTGCTTGATTTTACAAAAAATTAGTACATATGAACTGTTTCCTTAAGCAAGATTAATTTCCCACTTTATTTACATCAGCGATTCACTAAGCAAAGATTTTTTTTAGTTTGTCAGCTGGCTCACAAACTCTGATGTATGTTGGGATGATTAAATGAGATAATGAGTGTGAACATGCTTTAAAGTATGATCCAATATAAGGTGTTAGTATTTATTTATTTTTGAGACAGGGTCTCTCTCTGTTGCCCAGGCTAGAGTGCAGTGGCACGATCTTGGCTCACTGCAACGTATGCTTCCAGGTTCCAGCTATTCTCATGCCTCAGCCTCCTGAGTAGCTGGGACTACAGTCACCCGCAACTGCCTGGCTAATTTTTGTATTTATAGTAGAGATGGAGTTTCACCATTTATAGTAGAGATGGGGTTTCACCAGGAGTTCAAGGCTGGTCTTGAACTCCTGACCTCAAGTGATCCGCCTCAGCATCCCAAAGTGCTGGGATTATAGGCATGAGCCACTGCGCCCGGCCTAAGATGTTAGTATTATGCACAGTGACCAAGACAATGCTGAATAAGCTGCCACGTACAGTACAGGCAGGAGTGAATAGAGTAGAGTAAAGAGGGGAGAATTGACTTCTGCTGTGTAAGATGAAGCCCATCTACAATCTGTGCAATAGAAGCAGACTGGATGGCACTGTAGGGTCAAGGAGTCTCTTAAGAGAGCCATTCTTATTGCCTGGAAGATGCCTCTTGAGAAAATGACAGGGAAGGAAGAAACACCTTCTGAATGGACAAGCCTGCTTCCCAAGGGCAGGTGACCCACCAGCCATGCTAGGTGCTCACCCCCATGAGGCCACAGGCAATATAGCAACCCCAAGGCTCTGTGGTGACACGGCAGCCAGTGCAGGGGCTGGGGACGAGGGATTCTGACCTGCAGGTGTGAGGGTCAGCACCACTCATCTTCAAGCCAAGATGTTAGCCTGTGGGGTCTTTTGAGCAAGAGCAACACCGGCCTGTCTTCTCAGCCTACTGTTCCTGCCCAACCCCTCTGTCTAGGATGGACTGAGGCTGATTTCTTTTTTTCTTTTTCTTCTTCTTCTTCTTCTTCTCCATTTTGTTTTTTTTTTTTTTGAGACAGAGCCTCGCTCGCTTACCCAGGCTAGAGTGCAGTGGTGTGATCTTGGCTGACTGAAACCTCCGCCTCCCAGATTCAAGCAATTCTCCTGTCTCAGCCTCCTTAGTAGCTGAGACTACAGGCACGTGCCACTATGCCTGGCTAGTTTTTGGCATTTTTAGTAGAAACAGGGTTTCACCATGTTGGCCAGGCTTGTCTTGAACTCCCAACCTCAGGTAATCCACCTGCCTTGGCCTCCCAAAGTGTTGGGATTACAGGCATGAGCCACCATGCCTGGCCTGATTTCTGATCATTTTACTACTGGCAGGGACATATTAATGTTTTTGGAAAAAACAGAGCTAGCTCCCATTAGCCCATCAAGCACTGGGGCTCCAAGCTCTTCTGTTGGCTGCCCATCCCAAAGAGACCCTAAGAATAGGAATTAGTGTGTTCTTTCTCATCCTGGAGCTAGAAGAACACTACTTACTTCCCGCCTGCATTTTGCTTTGTAGTTTTCTTTCGTGGACTAGCTAGCTACAAGGGCCAATGCCATAGATAGAATTCAGTTTTGAAACTGTGGCCAACATGACCAGCCTGTGGTGTCCTGATAGCCACAAGACTTCAAATTCATTCCATTTAACCTATTATTTATCTACATGAGGTTCTATGAGAAGTGAGGAATGGTGGCTACATGCCAGCCTGGCAGTTATCTGTGAGGACTTGGAGAGGTCACTAGGTTGTGATAGTCTCCAAAGTGGGGTGTGTTCACCAGTGGGCGGTAGAGATGATCCCTTGGACTGCCACCAGAAAACACCCATTTTATATATGAATGTGTGCATAGAAGTCAATATGTACAAATAGAAGTTTATATTTCAATATACATAATAAGTTAATTTAGCATTATATGAATATGTGTGTGTATACATGTTCACTTTATATGTCTACATGCACATCTGTGCACACATACACTTTTTAAAATTTAACTGATGGGGGACCCAGGCTAAATTTTTGGATACACTGGCCTATTGAACATCTCTCTTTAGCAGAGTACTGAGTATGAGTCAATTTCAGCACTGTTCATTTTCAGCCCAAGGTATTCTCCAGCATTCTATAGCCACTGCACTACACACTGTGCTGGGTGCTACAGGAGATACTAAAGTGACTGAACCACAGTTTCTGCTCTGATGAGACTTTAACTCAACCTTTTATAGGACTTCTGTTGTTGGTTTGGTAGAGAAATAGAAAACATTCACCTGGTGTTCTTTAAAAAAATCAACATAAATAACAGAATGGTACTTCAGCTGCATATTGTGTTCATAGAAGAGAAGGAAGAGAAGGAAAAGTGGGGACTAGAAAATGCATAAATGAGTGAGAATGGGAAAGGCGGAAGCAAGTAAAAAGACAGGACTGAGAGAAGCTGGCAGTGAAGGATAAAGAGACTGAAAATCGGCATTTAGGTTGGAGGGAAAAAAAACGCAGAGAGAGAGGAGTATGAGAGGAACAGGCTAGACCAGCAGGTCTCAAAATGTGAGAATTCTTGTAGGTCTTTGAAGTCTGCAAGGGTAAAACTTTTTTCTAGCAATACTAAGATATTAGCTGTCTTTTTAAAAACTCTCATTCTCTCATGAAAGTACAGTAGAGTTTTCCAGAGGCTAGATGATGTGTAATAACTCATCAGATTGAATGCAGATTATCTATCTATCTATCTATCTATCTATCTATCTATCTATCTATCTATCTATCTATCTATCACATTTTCTTTATCCAGTTAACCACTGATGGACTCTTAGGTTGATTCTTTGGCTTTGCAATCGTGAATAGTGCTGTGATAAACAGACAAATGCAGGTGTCTTTTTGATATAATGATTTCTTTTCCTTTGGGTAAATACCCAGTAGTGGGATTGCTGGATCAAATGGTAGTCCTATTTTTAGTTCTTTGAGAAATCTTGATAATGTTTTCCATAGGGGTTGTACTAATTCATATTCCTGCTAACAGTGTATAAATGTTCCCTTTTCTCCACAGTCTCACTAATATCTGTTATTTTTGACTTTTTAATAATAGCTATTCTGAATGGTATGAGATGGTATCTCATTGTGGTTTTAATTTGCATTTCTCTGATGATTAGTGATATTGAGCATTTTTTCCTGTTTGTTGGCTGCTTGTATGTCTTCTTTTGGAAAATGTCTGTTTATGTCCTTTGCCTACTTTTTAATGGTTTTTTTTTGTATTAATTTGAGTTCTTTATGGATTCTGGATATTAGCTCTTTGTTGGATGCATAGTTCGGTTTGCAAATATTTTTCCCATTCTGTAGGTTATGTACTCTATCGATTGTTTCTTTTGCTGTGCAGAAGCTTTTTAGTTGAATTAATTCCCATTTGTCTATTTTTGGTTTTGTTGCATTTGCCTTTGAGGACTTGGTCATAAATTCTTTGCCTAGGCTAATGTCCAGAAGAGTTTTTCCTAAGTTTTCTTCTAGGACTTTTTGAGTGTCAGGTCTTACATTTAGGCCTTTAATTCATCCTTAGTTAATTTTTGTATATGGTGAGAGATAGGGATCCAGTTTCATTCTTCTGCATATAGCAAGCCAGTTTTTCCCAGCACCATTTATTGAATAGAGAGTCCTTTTCCCATTGTTTATTTTTGTTGATTTTGTTGACGATCAGTTGGTTGTCAGTGTGTGGCTCTATTTCTGGATTCTCTATTTTGTTCCATTGGCTTGTGTGTCGATTTGTGTACCAGTTCCATGCTGGTTTGGTTACTATAGCCTTGTAGTATAGTTTGAAGTCAGGTAATGTGATGCCTCTGGCCTTGCTCTTTTTGCTTAGGATTGCTTTGGCTATTTGGGCTCTTTTGTGGTTCCATGTGAATTTTAGAATAGTTTTTTCTAATTCTGTGAAAAATAATGCTGATTCTATAGGAATTGCATTGAATTTGTAGATTGCCTTGGGCAGTATGGTCACTTAAATGGTATTGATTCTTCTAATCCATGAGCATGAGATGTTTTTCCATTTTTTGTGTCACTTCTGATTTCTTTCATTAGTGTTTTGTAGTTCTCCTTGTAGAGGTCTTTTACTTCTTTGGTTAAGTGTATTCCTAGGTATTTTGTGTGTTTGTGTGGCTATAATAAATGGGATTGACTTTTTGATTTAGTTTGCAGCTTGAGTGTTGTATAGAAATGCAACTGATTTTTGTACATTAATTTTGTTTCTTGAAACTTTACTGAAGTTGTTTATCAAGTCTAGGAGTCTTTTGGAGGAATCTTTAGGATTTTTCTAGGTATAAGATCATGTTATCAGGGAACAGAGATAATTTCACTCTTTTTTTCAGTTTGGATACCTTTTGTTTCTTTCTTTTACCTAATTGCTATGTTTAGGACTTCTAGTACTGTGCTATTTAGGAGCTGTAAGAGTGAAATCCTTGTCTTGTTCTAGTTCTGAAGAGGAATGCATTTTACTTTTCCCCATTCAGTATGATGTTGGCTACGGGTTTGTTATATATGGCTCTTATTATTTTGAGGTATGTTACTTTGATGCCTAGTTTGTTGAGTTTTTTTTTTTTTTATCATGAAGGGATGTTGGATTTTATCAAATGCTTTTTCAGCATCTATTGAGTTGACCTTATGTCTTTTGTTTTTAATTTTGTTTACGTGGTGAATGACATTAATTGACTTGCATATGTTGAACCATCTTGGCATCCCTAAAATAAAACTCATCTGATTGTGATGGATTATCTTTTTGATGTGCTGTTGGATTCAGTTTGCTAGTATTTTGTTGAGGATTTTTGTATCTATGTTCATCAGAGATATTGGCCTGTAGTTTTCTTTTTTGATGTGTTCTTATCAGATTTTGGTATCATTATGATACTGGTTTCATAGAATTATTTATGGAGGAATTCCTCTTCCTTAATTTTCTGGAATGATTTCAGTAAGATTGGTTCTAGCTCTTTGTACATCTGATAAAATTCAACTGTGAATCCGTCTGGTCCTGGGTTCTTTTTTTGTTGTAGTTGTTACATTTTTTTGTTACTGATTCAATTTCATTACTCGTTATTGGTCTGTTCAGAATTTCTATTTCTCTTGAGGGGTTGTATGCTTCCAGAAATTTATTCATGTACTCTGGGTTTTCTAGTGTGTGCACTTAGAGATGTTCATAGTAGTCTCTGATGATCCTTTGTGTTTCTGTGTTATCAGTTGTAATGTTACTTTTATCATTTCTGATTGTGCTTATCTGAATCTTCTCTTTTTCTTTGTTAGTCTAGCTAGCCGTCTAACAATTTTGTTTACCTTTTCAGAGAACCAACTTTGTGTTTTGTTGATCCTTTGTATGATTTTTTTGGTTTCAATTTAATTGAGATCAAATCTTCTCTGATCTTTGTTATTATTCTTTTCTTCTGCTAGCTTTGTGTTTGGTTTGTTCTTGATTTTCTAGTTCCTTGAGGTGTGGCATTAATGGTTGTTAATTTGAGATCTGTCTTTTTGATTTGAGCAATTAATGCTATAAGCTTTCCTCTTAGCACTGCTTTTGCTGTATCCCAGAGGTTTTGGTATGTTGTGTCTGTTTTCATTCATTTCAAAACATTTTTTTGATTTCTGCCTTGATTTTATGGTTTACCCAAAAGTCATTCAGGAGCAAGTTGTTTAGTTTCCATGTACTTCTGTGGTTTTGAGAGTTTCTCTTGGTATTGATTTCTAATTTTATTCCTCTGTGGTCTGGGAAGATCCTAATATGATTTTGACTTTTTTTTTTTTGCATTTATTGAGACTTGCTTTATGGGCAAGCATATGGTGAATTTTAGAGAATGTTTTATGCACAGATGAGAAAAATGTATATTCTGTGGTTGTTGGGTGGAATGTTCTGTAGGTGTCTCTTAGTCCATTTGGTCAAGTTTATATAATCAAATCGACAGATCAAGCTCAATGATCTGTCATCATTGACAGCTTATTGCTGTCAGTATGGTATTGAAAGTCCCTCACTCTTTTATATGACTGTCTATCTCTTTTTGTAAGTCTAATAGTATTTGTTTTATAAATCTGGGTGCTCTGATGCTGGGTGCATATGTATTTAGGATAGTTAAATCTTTTTGTTGAATTAGACCGTGTATCATTGGATAATGCTATTCTTTGTCTTTTTTTTTTTTTTTTTTTTTTACTGTTGTTACTTTAGAGACTGTTTTATCTGATATAAGAAGAACAACTCCTGCTCCTTTTTGTTTTCCATTTGCATGACATATCTTTTTACCCCCCTTTACTTTAGGCTATGGGTATCTTTACATATTAAGTGGTCTCTTGTAGGTAGCAGATGGTTGGGTCTTTTTAAAAAAAAATCCATTTTGCTCATCTATATCCTCTAAGTGGAGCATTGAGGCTGTTTACATTTAGGGTTAATAATGATATGTGAGGTTTTGTTCCTGTCAGAGTTTTGTTAGCTAGTTGCTTTGTAGTGTCAATTGTGTAATTGCTTTATGGGATCTGTGAACTTTCTACTTATGTGTGATTTTACTGTGGCAAGTATTGTCCTTTCATTTCCATGGTTATAACTTCTTTAAGCAGTTCTTATAGAACTGGTCAAGTGGTGATTAATTCCCTTAGTGTTTGCTTGTCTGGGAAAGACTTTATTTCTCCTTCTTTTATGAGGCTTATTTGGCAGGATATAAAATTCTTGGGAGGCTTTTTTTTTTCCTTTAAGAAGGCTATAAATAGGCCCCCAATCTGTTCTGGCTTGTAAGATTTCTACTGAGACGTCTCATTAGTCTGACAGGATTTCTTTTTATAGGCGATCTGACACTTCTCTCCAGATGCCTTTAAGATTTTTTTCTTTAGCATTAAACTTGGATAGTATGATGACTATATGCCTTGGTGACATTCATCTTTTATAGTATCTCCCAGATATTCTCTGAATTTCTTGCATCTGAATGTCTACCTCTATAGCAAGATCAGGGAAATTTTCCTGAATTATTCTCTTAAATATAATTGCTTACTTTTTCTTCTTCTCTCTCAGGATTACATATAAGTCATACATTTGGTCCCTTTACATAATTGCATATTTCTCAAAGACTTTATTCATTAAAAAATTCTTTTTTCTTTATTTTTGTTTGACTTGTTAAAATAGAAAGATTGGTCTTCAAGCTCTGAAATTATCTTTTCTGCTTGGTCTAGTCTTTCACTATAGTTAAAGTTTAATATATCTATTTTGTCTTTCATGTCCTAAGTTTTTGGGGGTTGATTTTCAGCTTTCTTTTGCATCTCAGTGAGCTTTCTTACAATCCATATTTTGAATTCTTTATCTGTCATTTCAGAATTTTCATTTTAGTTAGGATCCATTGCTAGAGAGCTAGTAATGTTTGGAGGTGTCAAAACACTTTGTCTTTTTGTATAGCTGGAGCTTTTATGCTGATTCCTTCTCATCTGAAGGAGCTTGATATAGTTTGGTTCTGTGTCCCACCCAAATCTCATCTTTTAACTCCCATAATTCCCACGTGTTGTGGGAGGGATGTGGTGAGAGATGATTGAAACATGGAGGCAGGTATTTCCCGTGCTGTTCTTGTGACAGTAAAAGGGTCTCACAAGATCTGATGGTTTTAAAAATGGGAGTTTCTCTGCACAAGCTCTCTCTTTGCCTGTTGCCATCCATGTAAGATGTGACTTGCTCCTCCTTGCCTTCTGCCATGATTGTGAGGCCTCCCCAGCCTTGTGGAACTGTAAGTCCAATAAACCTCTTTCTTTTGTAAATTGCCCAGTCTTGGTATGTCTTTATCAGCAGCATGAAATTGGACAAATACAGAGCTGTTGCCTCCTATTTTTGAATTTGCCAACATTTGAATGAAACTTTTAAAGTTTGTATTCTTTTTTCACTTGAGGGTGTGGCTGTAGTATATATTGCGTATGATTGTTTGGCTTTGTTTCTGGGTGCTTTCAGGGGGCCAAGGGTCTCTATGGGTTCCTTGGTTATGGATATCATTTGTGTGGTGGCTTTCCCAGATGCTGCTTGTTGCAGTGATATGTAGGGTGTATGAGCTGACACACTATCTTCTGTAGGGCTAGGAGTGTGGAGGTCTCAGGAAGCTTATCTCATACACTAGCACTGTGCTCTTCTGACAGCAGGTTTTTTGTTTGATGATGCAGTTCAGTCTCTAGTCCAGTAAGTGACGCTTGAGGGTAAGAAGAGCTAGCTCACCCTCAGGTCATCCAAAGATGAGTGGAAGCCCCTTCCTTGATGGGGGTTCTGAGGTCTCAGGGGTAGGGGCCAGCAGGGGGCTGCACCAGCTCCTCATCCTGGGCAGACAAGAACATGATCCACTACCTATCATGCCCCTTTCACAGCACTCATAACCCTCAGTTCTTTTAAACACTGTCCTTTGGCTCCTGGCCACTCCTGAGGTCTGTGAGAAGGCTTCGATTGTGGCTACCACCAAAATGGCCTCGGGTCAGAGCCTCTTTCTCCAGTCCAGAACAGTCAGCTCTGTGGCTTGTCTGTCCTCTGTTGCAGGGACATTGCTACTTTGTGTAGGGAGCGGTAGATGGGCCCTGCCTTTTCTGAAAGCCCAGGCAGTACCACCTCACTTTCAGTGGGGATGCAGCCACTGTGAAAAGTGCTAGAAAGCCTTTCTTCAATTGCACGAATGCCAGCTTCCAGCAGGGAAAGCCTCTGCTGCATCTGCAACAGTGAATGGGTGGAGTAGGAAATAGTCCCCTCTCCATGTCCCTTCCCAGCTACTACTACCGCCCCTTTCAGAGATTGGTCCTGTGCCTGCATTTCCTTTGTCCCAAGGAGCACTTTGGTGGGCTGTGCTCCCCCTAGAAGAAACCTGCACTGAGGGCTAGATTTCTGGGGTTCCCGCAGCTCCCCAGGGTCCTGCTGGTCCCCCATGGTTGCCAAAGTCAGAGTGGTTGTGGGGTATGTTTCTGGGGGATCTGGTGATACAATATCACAAAGGCTGAGGTTGCTTGGGCAGGGCAGTGGCTCAGAACAGGTGCACAACCAGTATGGTGTCCACCATCTCAGTTCAGGCCTGAGGGGAGTGCCAGCACACCTGCATGAGTTGGTCACCTGGCACTCTATTCTCAGGAAGTTCCCAAATCACCACTGACAGCATTGCCCAGGGTCACGAAGGCAGAGGGGCTCTCCCACAATTTGGTAGTCAGCAGTTTGTTACAGGGGTGAGGTGAGAAGGGATGCACCCCTATCCACCCTTTCTGTAAGACTCCAGGCTCCCCAGGGGCCAGTCTCTGCCAGATTCTTGCTGTTTTCCTTTTCTCTGCCCCAGCTTCTTCCTGTGGGCTCCCTGGCAGACCTTGGCTCTCTTTCCTCCTCTCTTTCTCCATTTTAATTTCTAATATATAAAAGGTGATAAATATGATCCACATAAAGAAAGTCCTTTTGGAATCCTCAAAATTTGTAAAAATATAGAGGCTCTTGAGACCAAAAAGTGTGAGAACTGCTGAGCTGAGGGATGGTCAGAAGCATCTTCCAGTGAGAGGGAGCATCAGGATGCAGCGGGGTGGGCAGGTCTGCAAAGGAAGAAGGGCGATGGAGATCACATGTGTCAATGGTGCAATTTGACCTCAGTTTGATCGGACAGGACCTATTTCCTACCTCCCATTTTAATGGTTTTATAGGAATGTTGGTGATTGCCTTAACTGATTCTGTTTTCAATCTAAATAATTAAGTCACCTGTTCAAAGGTCTGCTATGCCTCTTAATTTCAGGGGTTGGAATTTTGTGGGGTAATCCAAATTTTATCTGTTCTATCCTGTTGTCCTGTGGGCATAATTGTCCTTATGCGGTGATTTTTTACTTCAGAAAATATGTCACTGTTGGTTTGAGTCTATAAATTTGGAGACTCTATTTTTTTAAATTTTTAAATAAACTTTTTATTTTTTGATAATTTTAGATTTATGGAAAAGTTACACAGATAGTACAGAGTCCCCATATGACCCTCACCCAGTTTCCCCTATTGTTAACATCTTACATTACCATATTTGTCAGAACTAACAAACTGATATTAATATGTTACTATTAACTAACTATATACTTCATTTGAATTTCACCAGTTTTTCCAAGTGTCCTCTTCCTGTTCCGGGATCCAGTCCCAGAGCACCACACTGCATTTAATTGTCTGTAGCAGTCTCTCAGTCTTTCTTTATTTTTTGTGACCTTGGCAGTCTTTAGGTATATTGGCCAGGTAACCTGTAGATGACCCCCAATCTGGGGTCTTTTTTTAAATTATTAAACTAAGGTTATGGTTTTTGGAAAGACAACAACAGAGATGAAGTGCCCTTCTCATCAGATCATAGGAGGGATACAGCATATCCACATGACGTCACTGGGGATGTTAACCTTCATCACTTGGTGACTTTAGTGTTTGCAAGTTTCTAGGTTTCCCCACTGTAAAGATACTATTTTTCCTCTTTTCCTGCTTTGTTCTTTAGAAGCAAGTTACTAAGCCTAGCCCACCCTTTAGGAGTAAATTGCGGGAATTAAACTCTACTTCCTGGAGAGAGGGAATGTCTACAGATAGTAATTGAATTCTAATGTAAGAAAGATTGGTCTCTTCTCCCTCTTTTATTTTTTCATTCATTTATTTATATGAGTATGGTGTATTGTATTTGTCAGGCTTCTCCAGAGAAAGAGAACAAATAGGATACACACACACACACACATACACACACACACATATATGAGACTTATTATAGGAGTTGGCTTACATGGTTATAAAGGCTGAGAAGTCTCATGACCTACTATCTGCAAGCTGGAGAACTAGGAAAGCTAGTGGTGTAATTCAGTCCCAGACTGAAGGCCTGGTGTAAGTCTTCATCTAATTCCAAAAACCCAAGAACCAGGAGCTCTGATATTTGAGAACCAGAGAATATGGATGTCCCAGCTCATGCAGAGAATAAATTTGCTCTTCCTTCACCTTTTTGTTTTATTCAAGCCCTCAAGTGATTGGATGATGCCCACCTCAACTGGTGAGGGTGATCTCTACTTAGTCTACTGATTCATACGCTAATCTCTTCCAGAGACACTCTCACAGACACACCCAGAAATAATGTTTTGCCAGCTATCTGGGCTTCCCTTAACCCAGTCAAGTTAACACATAAAATTAACCACACAGTATGAATTCATGTATATTTATTTTATGCTTTGGGATATACTATGCCATTTATTTTGTTGCTCAAATTGTTTCAGCTTCCAACTGGCTGTAGGGGCCAGCCTTACAGGGTCTGTGGGTTTTTCTCCCCATGTGTGGAGACGAGAGATCGTAGAAATAAAGACACAAGACAAAGAGACAAAAGAAAAGACAGCTGGGCCTGGGGGACCCCTACCACCATGACACAGAGACTGGTAGTGGTCCTGAATGTCAGGCTGCACTGTTATTTATTGGATACAAGACATGGGGGCAGGGTAAAGAGTGTGAGCCATCTCCAATGATAGGTAAGGTCACGTGGGTCACGTGTCCAGTGGACAGGGGGCCCTTCCCTGTTTGGCAACCGAGGCGGGGAGAGAGAGAGAGAGAGAGGAGACAGCTTATGCCATTATTTCTGCATATCAGAGACTTTTAATATTTTCACTAATTCTGCTACTGCTATCTAGAAGGCAGAGCCAGGTGTATAGGATGGAACATGAAAGCAGACCAGGAGCGTGACCACTGAAGCACAGCATCACAGGGAGATGGTTAGGCCTCCAGATAACTGCAGGCAGGCCTGACTGATGTCAGGCCCTCCACAAGAGGTGGTGGAGTAGAGTCTTCTCTAAACTCCCCTGGGGAAAGGGAGACTCCCTTTCCTGGTCTGCTAAGTAGCGGGTACTTTTCTTTGGCACTGACGCTACTGCTAGACCATGGTCCGCTTGGTAACGGGCATCTTTCCAGACACTGGCATTACCTCTAGATCAAGGAGCCCTCTGGTGGCCCTACCCGGGCATAACAGAAGGTTCACACTCTTGTCTTCTGGTCACTTCTCACCATGTCCCTTCAGCTCCTGTCTCTGTATGGCCTGGTTTTTCTTAGGTTATGGTTGTAGAGCTAGGATTATTATAGTATTGAAATAAAGAGTAATTACTACAAACTAATGATTGGTGATACTTATATATAATCATGTCTATGATCTATATATATCTAGCATAACTCTTGTTATTTTATATATTTTATTATATGGAACAGCTCGTGCTCGGTCTCTTGCCTCGGCACCTGGGTGGCTTGCCACCCACAGCTGGCCACTGGGAACTTTTTCAGGTTGCTACTTGGGCCCCTTTCATATGCCCTTATCCTTTTGTTTTTTGAGTATTTCCTTACTTTATGGTATTGTAAGATATTCCAGGCTTATTTTGTATTCTTCTTTTCCTGGCTTTAGAATCAGCCACTTTTTCTGGCTCCTCTCATTGGAGAATGGTATTTAGAAACTAAGATCTGGGCAATGGGTGTGCTTGCTGCTCTTGGGATGTCATTGCTTCTAGGCCTTCTCAGTAGATGGAGCTAAGTAATATATGTATATATACTAACCCACAGATATAAATATGTCTATAATTATTTCTATATTTATCCATTCGTGTATATGTTAAGATAAACATGATGGAGACCCTTCAAATTTGCTTATGTTCTTTTTCAGCCTATAGACCAGATATAATAATTAGCTTTTCTTCTCTTGCAGATTCCAGAGAGTCCTCTATTTCATATGTGCCTTCCAGAACATCTCTTGTGGTATTCACTACTTGGCTTCTGTGTTCATGGGAGTCACCCCTCATCATGTCTGCAGGCCCCCAGGCAATGTGAGTCAGGTTGTTTTCCATAATCACTCTAATTGGAGTTTGGAGGACACCGGGGCCCTGTTGTCTTCAGGCCAGAAAGATTATGTTACGGTGCAGTTGCAGAATGGTGAGATCTGGGAGCTCTCAAGGTGTAGCAGGAATAAGAGGGAGAACACATCGAGTTTGGGCTATGAATACACTGGCAGTAAGAAAGAGTTTCCTTGTGTGGATGGCTACATATATGACCAGAACACATGGAAAAGCACTGCGGTGACCCAGTGGAACCTGGTCTGTGACCGAAAATGGCTTGCAATGCTGATCCAGCCCCTATTTATGTTTGGAGTCCTACTGGGATCGGTGACTTTTGGCTACTTTTCTGACAGGTAAAATCAAATATTTAGGATTGTTGTATCAGTGTAGGGTTTATTTTCCTATCTGGTTTTCTTGGGACACAAGGAATTATGTTTAAAACTTGTCATTTTTATACTTCCTATCTAAATACCTACCTCTTTGCTGATCCATTATTTAGGGATGTATAATGATAAGGATAGGCTCTGAAGACAGTATACCTAGATCCAAATCCTGGTTCTACCACTTATTAACTGTGGACCCCAGGCAAATTGCCTAACTTACCTGTGTTTCAGAATCTTTGTCTATAGGCTGGTGATAAAAAATAATATCACTTACTTCAAAGGATTATTGCAAAATTAATACAGAAAAAAAGTACCCTGGACATATAATCACTCAATAGATACGGTTTATTACTTTGAATATTTTCTTCTCTTTAAATAGACTTGCTTTTTAATAGGAGTAGCCTGATCCTAAGCAGTATATCTGTAAAATTATGGGCTTGATATAACAGCCCCTTTTAGTCTTTTTGTGCTGCTGTAACAAAATACCACAGACTGGGTAATTCACAAACAATAGAAATTTATTTCCCATAGTTCTGGCGGCTGGGAAGCCCAAGATAAGGTGCCAACAGGATTGCTGACTGGGAAGGCTGTTGTTTGCTTTCAAGATGGTGCCTTATTGCTGCATCCTTTGGATGGGATAAATGCAGTGTCCTCACATGGAAGAAGGGATGGAAGGGCAGGAGAGTGCTCCCTTCAACCTTGAGCACTTTTCTAAGGGTGCTAAGGGCTCTACTGTCATGACTTTATCACCTCCCAAGGCCATCCCTCTTAATAGTGTTGCACTGGAGATTAAGTTTCAACATGAATTTTGGAGGGAATACTATCATTCAAAGCATAACCTGGCCATATATTTTTAAAAATTTACATTAAAATGAATATGTAATTCTTAAAATAAAGCAAAGTTTATCTCTGTATGAACATGGACCATACCAAAGCACAGAGATGAACTTATTTGGTCTCCATAGTTGTGGATTTTACAGTCATATGGTGGGCACTGAGGACCTAAAGACAATAGCTTAGATCAGAAATCCCTGCCCTTGAGGTATACCAGTCTAATGGGGCTGATAAACATGTCAAAAGAAAAATTAAAGGGCTTTGTTATGGGCAGGGCCATACCTCTCATAGTATGTCAAAGGTGCTAGGTATTAGTGTTTTCATTCAGCAAGCTGTTATACAAATTATCACTTGGGGCTTTTCTGTTGAAATGTGTTCACTGCTTGACTCTTGAAACTCAAAATATTTGCAACTACTTGTATGAAATGTACTAAAATACATTTGCTGTATGACAAAAACGGGATATAAATAATGCTTATAACACAGTCAGAGTACAAAATATGTTAACTGAAAATAAATTTAGTTCCTTTGTCTGAACTTGGTATAGTTATATAGACATATATTGAACACTTACAGTCACTTTGATAGATGCAGAGATGTGTGTGTATATATATATATAATATATAAATAAAAAATATATTAGTGAAATTATATATATATTTCACTAATTATATGTACATATAATATAAATATATTATATGTACATGTAATATATAATATATATTTATATATTATATATATTATAATATATATATTATATATAATATAACATATATTATATATATTATAATATATATATTATATATAATATAACATATATTATATATATTATAATATATATATTATATAATATAACATATATAATATATATATTATATATATTTATATATTTATATATATTTATATATATAAATGTATATAATAATATATATATTATATGTACATATAATATATATAAAATATATATACAAAAAATATATATAATATAAAATATATAATATATATAAATATATATAATATATATAAAATATATAATATATATAAATATATATTATATATAAAATATATAATATATATAAATATATATTATATATAAATATTATATATAATATATATATTAGTGAAAGCAAGTTTATTAAGAAAGTAAAGGAATAAAGAAGGGTCACTCCATAGGCAGAGCAGCCATGATATATATTTTTTAAAGTCCTTGAGAAGTTGCATACCATTAACTGGTATTCATTTGGATGGGTAGCTTGAATTAAAATTACTTGGGAGCTCCAGAAAAACCTTAAGCTAAAAAATTGGTTTGACATGGTCCCTGACTCCCAGTGTCTGTATTCTCTCGGCGGAATTTGTTGAAAGAGACAGCCTCCTTGCACCTCTTGTAGTCTTCTATACTTCTTGCTGGATGTGCCAAGATGGCAAGTCCCTGACCACTTTTTTATGTGGGCCATTTCTCAGAGTTGTCTATGCAGCCAGTACCTTAAAAGATGAGTGCTATGGCTTAGATATGATTAGTCTGTTCTCACCAAGGCTCATGTTGAAATTTGATCCCCAGTGTGGCGGTGTTGGGAGGTGAGGCCTAGTGGGAGGTGTTTGGGCCATGGGGGCAAATCCCTCATGAATGAATTGGTGCTGTTCTCATGGCAGTGAGTGAATGAGTTCTGGCTGTCACAAGACTGGATTAATTCTCGCAGGAATTGATTAGTTCCTGCAAGAGTGGATTGTTTTAAAGTGAGGACACCCCTCAGGTTTCTCTCTCTTTACATGTGTCTGCTTCACCTTTGACCTTCTCTGCCATGTTGTAATGTAGCATGAAAGCCCTTGCAAGAAGCCAGTACCCTTGATCTTCCCAGCCTGCAGAACTATGAGCTAAATAAACCTCTTTTCTTTATAAATTATCCAGTCTTAGGTGTTCTTTTATAGCAACATAAAATTAACTAATATGATGAGATAATGTCCCCTCTCTGCCACAAAGAGTAGGCTTCCTAACTGCTTGGTACAAAACCAGTGGATTCCCCACATCCAGTGCTCCTCCTCTCTAATTCAACCCACTATCTGTGAAGTGTCATCTGGACTCATTGTGGGACTTGGGGATTAGAGGACCTGAGACAAAGATGCTGCTGCCCTACTGCTTGCTAACGAAGTAAGTAATGAAGTTCTTTGTCTCTGACCCAAACATCTTGTGTTTTTGCCAGCATCCCTTAAACAGTACAGATTAACATATTAACTTAGAGTAAAATAAAATTGAATATTCTTTGTATACCCTCATCTTGGGCCTGAGAGGATTCTCATAAATTATTTTTCAAGGTGAATAAGTAGCTCAGTGAAAACCAAAAGACATAATTAAAAGGGACCATGAGTGAGAATCAACAGAAACAACTGGCAGCAGAAGCAGACTTCTGCACAAAGACTTCAAATACTAGAATTATCAGGCACAAATAATAAAATAACCACACTTACTATTTTTAAAGAAATAGAAGACAAGCTTAAAAATATTGATAAAAACTGGACATTGCATTAAAACTGACATAAAATTGAAGAATACCCAGGACATCTAGAAATACAAAGTGAAATAAGTGAATAACAAATCACCTGCAAAGTTTTAACAACCTGTCACACACAGCTACAAAAAATTCATGAAATGGATGATAACTCAGAAAAAGTCATCAATATTAAAGCTCAGAGAGACAGAGAGGTGGGAAATATGAGAGATTAAAATTTATGGAGGCTGAAAAGAGAAAAGTTCTGAAATCTACTTAATATTAGAAACTAATCAATGGTATTTACCACATTAACGTATTAGAGGACAAAATTCATACAATCAACTCAATACATATAGGAAAAGCATTTGATGAATTTCAAAATCCATTCATCATAAAAACTAAAAATAGAAGAATGCCTTTAACCTGATAAAAGGTTTCTACAATAAGGTTTACCATGAATATCTTACTTGTGAAGTTTAAAATATTAATTTCTTTTTTCTTTCTTTCTTTTTATGTTTAGAGACAGGGTTTTGCTATGTTGCCCAGGCTGTTCTCAAACTCCTGGGCTCAAGCAATTCTCCTGCCTCAGCCCTCCCAAGTAGGTGGGATTACAGGCATGCACCACTGCACCCAGCTCTTAACTGTGAAATGTTAAAAGCTTTTCCTTTGAGATTAGGAACAGACGAGGATGTATGAAACATGTCTTCTACTTAGCATTGTACTGGATAGTCTAGCCAGTGCTGTAAGGAAAAAGAGAGAGAAAGAGGTAGAAGGAAAGGAAGCAAGGAAAGAATAATGATTGGAAAGGAGAAATAAAAAGTCATTATTTGTAGTTATTACAATTTTGTATGAAAAAAGTCCTACATATGAATTATTAGAATTAATGAGCATTTAAAATTATATTTCTATATACCAGTAACAAATATATAAATTTTAAAAATGTCATTGCAGAAACCTAAAAATATGAAATATAAATGGTTAAATATAACAAAAAGTGAAGAAGGCCCTCTGTGGAGACAATTATAAACTTGAAGAATCAAATCATTAAAGTAAATAGATATATCACTAGACAAACAGATTGAGGCTCCCTTAGAGGTTCCTGGAATAGACTTGTGCATTCATAAACATAAGTATAGACACATAGGCATTTTATATTAGCAGGAAAAGGATCAATCATTAAGTGGTGCTGGGACAGATGTCTAGCTATATAGAAGGAAATACAACTGGATTCATTTTCTAACATTTTACAGTACAACAGCAGTTCCAGAAGGACTAAACGTGCATATGTGAAAAGCAAAACTATACGATTTTAGGAAGATAATTTAGGAGAATATTTTCAGGACCTAATGGAAGAAAGGGTGATTTTTCTAAAACACAAAAAACATTGATCATGAAAGAAAAAATGGATAAATTTGACTTCATTACAGGAATTTATGTCCACCAAAAGACACCATTAAAAGAGGAAAGACATGAATGTGTGCACACAAGAGAGAGAAAATATTTGCTTTACATATAACTAAATTATTAGTGTCCAGAATAGTCAAAGGATTTTTACTTACATCAATGGGAAAAAGACAATCCAATAGAAAAATGGGAAAAAGATTTGAAGTCACTTCATAGAAAAGAAAATCCAAATGGCTAATGAAAAGTTGAATTGACAGTGACATATAATCACACCATTTACTTTTGACCAGTTGTCAAAAGTCAGAAGTCTTGTAATACTAAGTGTTGGTGAGGATATGGAGTAATAGGATCTCTCATCCTGCTGGTGTGAATGCAAACTGAGAATCCAAATTGGGTTAACCTTGAAGACTGATTTGGTATCATATAGAGTTGGTGATGTGCACAGCCACATGCTCTGGGGCATATACCCTGAGCATGCTCTTGCACAGGTCCACAGAGGTACATGCATAAAAGTGCCCTCACAGCATTGTTCCTAACAGCCCTGCACTCTAAACAACCCAGATGTCCTTCAATTATCTCATGGACACATGTATTAAAATATATTCTTACAGTAGGATATGTGGACATGAAAATGAATGAGACACAGCTACATGAAACAACATAGATGAATCTCCTATACATAATGTTTGATAAAGGAAGCAAGTCATAAAATAATACATGTGGTATTGTCCTGTTATAGAAAATTTAAAATCATAATAGCAAAACTTACCTATACTGTTTATAAGCAGTAACCTGTATTGTTTAGCATTGCTTATAAAAGTAGTAAAATGAAACAAAAAACAAGAGATTATCACCAAAATTAGAAAAATGTTTCCTCCTAGAAAGGGCAAGGGATTTGTAGTCACAAAGAGAGGTGCAAGAAGCTATCAGGAGGCTGGCAATCATCTCTTTCTTGCCTTGGGTTGTGATTTCTAGGCATTTGATTTTTTATTATTCTTGAAACTGTACATATTTTATGCATGGTTATATATGTATAAAATATTATAATAAAAAAAGCAAAGAAATAAGATCTGATCCCACCCTTAAGGAGCTAACAGTGGAGAATATAGACTTTTGAACTGACAATTTCAATGAAATGTAGTAAATGCTTTTTTTTTTTTTTTTTTTTTTTTGAGAAGATGTCTAGCTCTGTTGCCCAGGCTGAAGTGCAGTGGTGCGATCTTGGATCACTGCAACTTCTGCCTCCCAGGTTCAAGTGATTCTCCTGCCTCAGCCTCCCGAGTAGCTGGGACTACAGGCATGTGCCGCCATGCCTGGCTAATTTTTGTATTTTCAGCAGAGTAGGGGTTTCACCATGTTGGCCAGGCTGGTCTTGAACTCCTGACCTCCAGTGATCTGCCTGCCTTGGCCTCCCAAAGTGCTGGGATTACAGGCATGAGCCGCCATGCCCAGCCGGTAAATGCTTTTAAAATAATAAAAACTCGCATTTATGGACAATTTATTATACACTAGGTACTATTCTAAATGTCTTATATATCATCTCATTTAATTATTTAAAGAGGTCTGTGAGATAGACACTATTGTGCCCCCCCCTCCTTTTTTTTTAACCAGTAGGGAAAAGGAAGCATAGAAAGTTCACATGGAAAATAAGGGATGGAGCTGGGATTTGAGCCCAGGCCAGCATCCCCAACTACTGCATCACACTGTTTCTGAATTTTTGCTATGAGACCCCAAGGAATGATCAATGGAAGTTGTCAGATGGAGAAGGCCCCCAAGGGAAAGGAATAGCTTTGTGTCATGAAACAACCTGGCATGTTCAGAGAATTGTGGGAAAGTCAGTGTGGCAGAAGTAGAGAAGGGCAGATTGTGAAAGGAAATGACAAGAGACAAAACCACAATGGGGATTATTTTATTTCTAGGAAGTGTGGAAGGTGTACTGACATGAGGTTAGGAAGACCAGCTGGGAAGCTAGTGGGATGAATGATGTAAGAAATGGTGAAGACTTGAGTGAAAGCGGGAAAAGCAGGGAGGAAAAGATGAAGACATATTTGGGAGGCATTTCTAAACTCACATAATCTGATGACGAATATGCAGGAGGGAGCGGAGGAATGTATTAAGGTTTAGAAGCCTAATGGAAGGAGATTTTGCTAACCAATTCAGGAAATACCAGGGAGAGAGCAGTTTTAGAAGAGAAGGGAACACGTTTGGATATATTCCAGTGAGCTTGTCCTATCCCTATTAAGAAAAACAAAGTCCTATCCCTATATTAAGAAAAACAAAGTGAAGATGTGTTCAAAGTTAATACCAATTACAACAGCAACAAGAGATTGCAGCTCTGCAGGACATTAAAGCAGAGAAGAGCAACTGGGGCCAGATGGTGGGTGGGGAGTTAATAGCCCATACTTAGGAATCAGAGCCAGGGAAGTGGATGAAATCACAAGGGCAGAGTGTGCAGCAGAGGACTTTAGGGAGTCCAGCTTTGAGGCAGGCGGGTCATCAGGGAGGTACAAGCAGAACCAGGTGAGAGGGATGTTTTACAAGCCAAAGGACAGCAGGGGTCTAACGAGTAGGCATGGTCAGTGGCATTAGAGAGGACAGGCAGAAAGGACCAGGAGAGGCAATGTGCAGGTCCCTGGTGACTGCAAAATGAGCTCAGAAAAGTTGGTTGCACCTGGTCATCATTGGCTGAGGAAACATGTAGGAGTTGAGGAAGGAAATACTCCCTTCTGATATATCTGTCAAGGGAGGAAATGCAACGTGGCTAAAGGAGCAATGGGGTCAAGAGAAGGTTCTTGTCTTTGGTTGGAGGAGACTAAACTGAAAGGAAGAAGTCAAAGGAGAGGGAAAAACAAAGGAAAAAGAAGTGAAGGGTTTCAGAGGAAGTGGGAAGAGGCACAAGCCGATACAAAGATTGCAAAATGATATTTGGAGAGAAAGGGGCATGTGTCTTCAGAGAGGCAGGAAGAGAAGGCTGAATGCAGATGCAGGTCATGTTGGTAAGTGGACAGAGCAGGAAGTTGTGGGTCTTCCTCTTTGATGGTCTCTGTTCTCTGCAGGAGATGGCTGTTCATCTACAGAGAGAGAAGTTGTTTGAGGTGGGAGAGAGGGTCAAGCAGTGATAGGTAAAAATAGTTTTAGGTGGCATTCAGGGATAAAATTAGATTGGGGAACATTCATATATAGGGCCAACAATCTCTACTAATGTGCAAAGGAGCAAAGAAGGCTGAAGTGTGAAGATGATGGTTTCTTATTTATTTGCATATCCTCTGCTGCACCAAGCAAATCTGTTGGTTGGACTCTCCAGACAATATTCTTTTGCCTTAAACTATTTGTCAGAGACAACCCATAGGAAGAAAATATTTGCTTATTATATATCTGATAAGGGTCTAGTATCCAGAATATATAAAGAGCTCTTACAACTCAATATTAAAAAAGCAATAGACTAATTCAAAAATGGGCAAAGAATTTGGATAAACATTTCTCTAAAGAATATATGCAAATAGCCAATACGCGCTTGAAAAGATGCTCAACATCATTAATCATTAGGGAATTGTAAATAAAAACCACAATCAGATACTACTTCACAGCCATTGGGCTGGCTATAATAAAAAAGGCAGACAGTAACAAGTAGTGGGGAGAATGTGGAGAATCAAAACCCTCATACATTGCTGGTGGGAATGGAAAAATGGGGCGGCCATCTTGGAAACCAGTTTGGCAGTTCCTCAAAATGTTACACATAGAGTTACCATATGACCCAGGAATTTCACTCTAGGTATATACCCAAGAGAATTCAAAACCTAAGTTCACACAAAATCTTGTTCATGAATGTTCAGAGCAGCATTATTCATAATAGCCAAGAAGAGGAAAATGAGCCATCAACTGATGAATAGATAAAATGTGGTTTATCCGTATAATGGTGCTACTCAGAGAGAAAAAAGGAATGAAGTGCTAATACATGCTACAACGCAGAAGAAGCTGGAAAATCTAATGCTAGGGAAAAGAAGTCAGACACAAAAGGCCACATATTGTTTGACTCCATTTATGGGAAATGTCCAGAACAGGCAAATCTATGGAGACAGAAGGTAGATGAGTGGTTGTCAGAGACTGGAGGGAGCAGGGAAGAGGGGGTGGCAGCTTCTGGGCACAGAGTTTCTTTTGGGAGTGATTAACGTATCCTGGAATTAAAGAATGATGATGGTTGCACAACCTTGCAAATATACTAAAAACCACCAAATTGTCTACTTTAAAAGGTTGAATTTTATGGCATTTGAATTATATCACAATTTTAAAATCTGTCAGATATTATTTGTTTTTTAAACAAAGAGATGCCTCTTTCAATTATGAAAAGATAGGGCAAGTAAGCACATTATTCTAGAAGAAGAAGGTAGCAAGACCTCTGTTTTTAGAGGGGCTTGGCAAGAGCTGTCATAGCCTTAGTGGACAGAGCCAGCCTGGCAGGGAAGATGATCCCACAGAGAGCCAAAGTCCTGAAAGGGAGAGGACAAATTCTCTCCTCTCTTCCCCCAATCCCAGGTTAAAGGGTCCTGCGGGGATGACTCAGAGTGATCAGGTATGTATATTAGCAACTCAGGTAAAGGCCTCTCCACTGAACAGCTGGTCTTTTAAAGAAGCCATGGAACTTATGGTTTGCTCAAAATAAATAAAAGAAAAACAATCAATACATAAGCTATTCAAGGTATATAGGTAATGCCTATCTTTTATGAATTGGAGTGGATGTTTAAACTGTTACAACTCTACCTTTCCTCTTCCACTGTGTGACTCTTATTTTTCAGGCTAGGACGCCGGGTGGTCTTGTGGGCCACAAGCAGTAGCATGTTTTTGTTTGGAATAGCAGCGGCGTTTGCAGTTGATTATTACACCTTCATGGCTGCTCGCTTTTTTCTTGCCATGGTGAGTTGTGTTTTTTACTTCTTTAATTCTGCTGCAGTTTTTCATAGGAAACCTTAACTCTCATCATTTTGCTCATTTAAGATCTAGTGAGCGAGATCAAGGACTCATCTTTGTCCACTCCACTGCAGAAGTCTGCCTACAGAATACCAATGCCTTATGTTTAGAATGGAACTCATTAAAGTGAAAAATTGTTGCTGGCTAGGCAGAAGTGTGTTTGCCTCTGTGTCGGGCATGTGGTCCACATGTCACAATTACTGAGGCATTATTTTCTTTCTGAGTAATCATATTGGTCTAGTCAGGGCCTGTTCACATGAGCAAACAGACAGTTGAGGTGTGTGGTTAAAGTCACTTGTATAATGTACAGGAAGAATGAAAACAGGAGGGCATTAGGTCCTTATGTTACCAGGAACGGCAGTTTAGTGGAAAGGGCACGAGTTTGAATACCAGCATTGTCATATATTGGCTTGTTAGTTGTATGATCAGTATCCTCTTTGAACCTTTGGTTGCAGTCTGTAAACTGTAGAAAAGAATCTGTGTTTATTATTATTATTCTCAGGATTCAGTGAGATTAAGTATAAACAACCGCAGTACAGCACCTGATTACAATGGTAACTTACTAGAAATGGACTAGCGAGCAAGGAGGCTGTTTCCATGCTCAGTGAGGCTTCCAGATAGATTTCCAACTATCAAGCAACATCAAGAATAATAGAGGGAAGTTTCCATCTGGAGGAGGAGCTTGTGATCTTGCTAAATGCAGAGCAGCAGGTTGGATGGTCTGAGGGTCTGGAGAGAAGCAAAGGGCTTCAATCTCTCTGCACCCCCTCAGAGAACAAGATGGGGTGTCAGTTTTGGAGTCTTTTTTGATGGATAGAAAGGGTTTCTAGCAAACCATACAGTTGGCCAAGGATAAGGAAGATGCATAAAAATAAATCTAGGAGACTGGAAGGTGTTGTACCTCATTAAAAAGTAAATATATATATTTAGGAATGTAAAGAGTTTTAAATACAAGATAGCAACCAGTAGTTCTGTTTCCACTGAGGACATAACTCTGTGACTGTAGAGTGAGATTTCACGAGAGAAACCTTCTGGTGGGACTGAAGGCTCCACAAAGGCACAGGTACTAAGAAAGTATAAACATCATCTTTTGGAAGACTTAAGAGGATATTTCTGAAAATATCTGTTTCAGTCTTGCAAAATACCACGCGTTGGCTTCTATACCCAAGGAAACAAGGCCACACCCATAGAATACATCCGTGAAATGTGGCCTTAATTTTCTGTGACTGTTTCCGTTGATGTTCATGGGGAATGGATTTGTGGGGGAATTCTGTGGATGGGAGATGCAGGCAGATTCATTTACTCAACACATTTATTGATCTGTCTACAGAGTGTAATGCTAAGTAAACCAGACCCAGCTGTCTCAGTAAGTCTAGTAGGAAAGGCAAGACGTTGATCAGCCATCTTCAAAAATAAATAAAATGTTGACAGTGAGGGCATAACATCAGTGGGTCTGGAGCGTTCACCAGGGTCTGGAGGGTCAAGGGTTTTCTCACTGTGAGGGATGGGTGAGAGAAGAATATTCCAGCAAAGATAGAAGTGGATGAAAGGGCCCTGAGATGAGAAAGAAAAGCCGGAATGTCTGGAGAATAGAGAGGAGGAGAGACGCATTGATGAGGCTGAAGGGATCAAGGCGGTTAGGTGGGGCTTTGTAGGATTGTCAGGATTTTGCTCTATCTCCTAAAGGCAATGGCAATCCACAAAAGGGATTCCAGGAATTCTGGCTGCTATGAGGGGGTGGATTCCGAGAAGATGTGAGTATTATTATCAGTGGAAGGGATGGGTGTGAGTGGATTCACAGAGTGTTTTGGAGTTAGTTGTATATGGATTTTCTGAATCCAATAACAGAGGAAGTTGTAGCTGACTCATGAGAAATAATTAGCATTGAAAAACCTGACAGGGACAAATATTACAGCTTAATTTAACTGGGAAATTTATAGTATTTGAAAGTTATCACAATCTTTGTTAATGTAACAGCAGCGCTTACCAAAAGCGACTTCTGGATTGTTAGATGTAGGGTCCCGATGATCTGAGTCTTGCCATTACAAAGTTGCACAGGGAAATAAAAGCTGTTGTCACAAAAATATTAAACTGATTATGAATACAGTAGTCCTCATCAAGCACCTCCCTGCCTCCTGCTAGTGTCAACCCTTTCTGACAGCAGGAATATCCTTGTAGGCCGGCCTCTTTGTGACTGTCCAATGCAAGGAGAAATTGCAGTTATTACAAGGGACACATGTTTACAAAAAGTCTTTAAAAGCAGTGAGGGAACAGGGGAACACTGCCTGAATCCTGCCCACAACCTTTGGCCAGTGGGGATCTGGCAGAGAGACCTGTTAACTTTTGAAGAAATTAACATCTGCAAGGATAATCACATAATGAGCCTTTGAAAGAGTATGATTCAAATATCTAATGATTAAGAGAAGCCTTTGGGGAGTGGTGCTCTCGAATAATTTTACAAAAGTTAATTGTATGATTTGTGTTGTAGAAGTCAAATATGAAAAAATTTTGTAGAAAAAATTCTTCCCCTCCTCCTCCCAAAAAACCCATCAATGGACTCATTCTTTGTTTATTTCAAGAATGGTCACATATTATATTCTAATCACATATTGTAATCTAATTTTTATTAAAGATAGTCATATTTCCAAAATAAAGTTTTTCCCCAGTTTTCCTTCTTGTGGTAAAGTACATATAACACAAAATTTACCATCCTAACCATTTTTAAGTGTACAGTTGAGTGATATTAAGTGCATTCATACTGTGGTGCAATTATCACCACTGTGCATCTTCAGAACTCGTTTTCATCTTGCAAAACTGAAACTCTGTCCATTGAATAATAACTCTCTGTTCCCTGTCTCCCTAGCCCCTGACAACCACCATTCTACATCCTGTCTCTATGAGTTTGGCCACTCTAGGTACCTCATGAAAGCGGAATCATATGATAGTTGTCTTTTTGTGACTGGCTTATTTCCCTTAGCATAATATTCATTGTATGCATAGACTACATTTTTCTTATCTATTCATCTATGGACGGACCCTTGGGGGGTTGCTTCCATGCTTTAGCTGTTGTGAATAATGCTATGAGCAGGCATGTGCAAACATCTCTTCCAGACCCCACTTTCAATTCCTTTGGGTATATACTCAAAGGTGGAATTGCTGGATCATGCTGTAATTGTTTTTTGAGGAATCGTCATACTGTTTTTCCTAGAGGCTGTGCCATTATACATTTCTCTCACATATTACACATGGGTTCCAGTTTCTCTACATTCCCGCCAAAACTTGTTATTTTTTTTTTTAATTAGCCACACTAATGTGTATGAGGGGGTATCTCTTTGTAGCATTGAATTGCATTTCTCAATGATTGGTAAAAATTTGTATTTCTTCTGTTTGAAATGTCTGTTCAAAGCCTTTGCCCATTTTTGAATTGGATTGTCTGTGTTTTTGCTGTTGTTGGATTTTAGGAGTTCTCCATAAAATCCCTTATCAGATATTTGATTTGCAAATATTTTATCCAGTTCTGCAGGTTGCCTTTTCCCTCCATTGATAGTGTTCTTTGATGCACAGTTTTAATTTTCATGAAGTCTAATTTGTCTTCTTTGCCTGTCAAAATAGAATTTTAATTAAATCAGTTTTTCTTACCACTAGTTAGCGTAAATTTTTTTGTCTCCATTTAGCAGTTAGGATTTAACAATAAGGACCTCCTGGATACAGATAACTTGATGTATGCATTTACAAGGAATGGAGAAATACATCCACAGTATAATGAAATATTTAGATGACACAAAAGACAATGTCTAACATTTATATCATAAATAATCTCTCAAGTTTTGCCATTTGGGGTGGGGAGGATGAGGGAAGATGAAAGGACCTATAAGAAAAAAAGATAGATCGGATTGAATGTCATTTTATACATCTGATAGGGGTTTCAGAAAGCAAGTCTTTGTCATTTTCTTTTTTGCCTATATGTGATTTGCAATGGGGTCAGACTCCTCAATAGTTATAAATGTGACCTTGAATATAAATCCCTATTATTTGTTTTTCAGGTTGCAAGTGGCTATCTTGTGGTGGGGTTTGTCTATGTGATGGAATTCATTGGCATGAAGTCTCGGACATGGGCGTCTGTCCATTTGCATTCCTTTTTTGCAGTTGGAACCCTGCTGGTGGCTTTGACAGGATACTTGGTCAGGACCTGGTGGCTTTACCAGATGATCCTCTCCACAGTGACTGTCCCCTTTATCCTGTGCTGTTGGGTGCTCCCAGAGACACCTTTTTGGCTTCTCTCAGAGGGACGATATGAAGAAGCACAAAAAATAGTTGACATCATGGCCAAGTGGAACAGGGCAAGCTCCTGTAAACTGTCAGAACTTTTATCACTGGACCTACAAGGTCCTGTTAGTAATAGCCCCACTGAAGTTCAGAAGCACAACCTATCATATCTGTTTTATAACTGGAGCATTACGAAAAGGACACTTACCGTTTGGCTAATCTGGTTCACTGGAAGTTTGGGATTCTACTCGTTTTCCTTGAATTCTGTTAACTTAGGAGGCAATGAATACTTAAACCTCTTCCTCCTGGGTAAGTAGTTACAGTATATTTAAATTTGGCAGTGAAGTGAGATTTCTACCATTTGTGTGTGTGTGTCTGTTTCTGTGTGAATTTGAGAAAAAGAATGTTTTTAATAGGCCCTTTAAAACCAGGAACAATACTGCCAACCATATTATTATGATATCTCTTAGTGTTATGTTGTAACACATGTACATATGAGGGGACTTCAACCAGTTCATGGAAAAATGGCATTAAAAGACAAAAATTTAAAACATAAACTTTCTCAACATGATTGCCATCAAGGTCAAGACACTTTTGTACGACATCAGCCATTTATTCCATCCTTAAAAAACTGAGGGTCCTGAGAATGTACCCATGTCAATGCAGTCTTATTTACACTATTAACTGAAGAAAAATGGGTGCCGCGTACAGACTTTTTAAGATTAGGAAACAGAAAGAAGTCAGAATGAGCCACCATGAGAACTGTTAAGGTGGCTGCCTAGTGATTTCCCATCAAAACTCTTGCAAAATTGCCCTTGTTTGATGAGAGGAATGAGCATGCCCATTGTCATGGAGGAGAAGGACTCTCTGGTGATGTTTCCCAGGCATTTTTCTACAAAAGCTTTGGTTAACTCTCTCAAAACACTCTCCTCATAAGCAGATATTTTCATTCTTTGGCCCTCCAGAAAGCTAACAAGCAAAATGCCTTGAGCATCCCCAACAAACGTTGCCATGACCTTTGCTTTCGACTGGTCCACTTTTGCTTTGACAGGACCATGGCCCCCCTTGGTAACCATTGCTTTGGTTGGGCTTTGTCTTCAGGATCAGACTCGTAAAACCGTGTTTCATCTCCTGTTACAATTCTCCAAAGAAATCCTTCAGGATCTTGATCCCACTTGTTTAAAATTTCCATGGGAAGTTCTGCCCTTCTCTGCAGCTGATCTGGGCACAACTGTTTTGGCACCCATTGAGTGGAAAGTTTGCTCAACTTTAATTTTTCAGTCAGAATTCTGTAAGCCAGACTAATTGAGATATCTATGGTATTGGCTATTGCTTCTGCTGTTAATCTCAGTCTTTGTCAATTAGGGCATAAACAAGATGTATTTTTTTCCTCAATGTGGATGCTCTGCCACTGTGGTCTTCATCTTCAATATCGTCTTGTCCTTTCTTAAAATAAGTTATCCATTTGTAAACTGCTGATTTATTTGGGGCTTTGTGCCCGTAAACTTTTCATAAAGCATCAATGATTTCACCATTCTTCCACCCAAGCTTCACCATAAATTTGATGTTTGTTCTTGCTTCAATTTCAGCAGAATTCATGTTGCTCTAGTGGGAGCTCTTTTCAAACTGATATCTTATTCTTCTTAGTGCCTCAAACTAGCTCCTCTTCAGACACGTTCTAAGAAGTTAGTACAAATTTCTTTTAGTGCAGAAAAAATCTGAAAACACATGCATAGTTTTTTCATAATATGCACTTTCCATTAACTTTTTTTTTTGGAAAAGGAGTCTTGCTCTGTTGCCCAGGTTGGAGTGCAGTGGTGTGATCTCAGCTCACTGCAATATCCGCCTCCTGGGTTCAAGCGATTCTCCTGTTTCAGCCTCCTGAATAAATGATATTACGGGCACATGCCACCATGCCCAGCTAATTTTTATATTTTAGTAGAGACAGGGTTTCACCATGTTGGCCAGGCTGGTCTCGAACTCCTGACCTCAGGTGATCCACCCGCCTTGGCCTCCCAGAGTGCTGGGATTACAGGCATGAGCCACAGCACCCCGCCGTCCATGACCTTTTTGAAAACTCCTTGTATTTTCCATTTGAAAAAAATGCATCAGAAGAATTTAGTCTCTCCCTTTCTGCCTTCTCTCCTTGCTCACCTTCTTCACACCCATCCCCAGCCCAGAGCTCCTCCCAGGGGTAACTTCTATAATGTTTGGGTTGTGCCCTTTCAGATCTATTCCTATGCATTTGTGCCAGACATTGTGGCATGTGCCTGTAGTCCCAGCTACTCGGGAGGCTGAGGAGGGAGGATTACTTGAGCCCAGGAGTTCTGGGCTGCAGTACTCTATGCTGATCAGGTGTCCACACTAAGTTCAGTATCAGTATGGTGACCTCCTGAGAGCAGGGAACCACCAGGTTGCCTAAGGAGGGGTGAACCGGCCCTGGTCGAAAATGGAGCAGGTCAAAATTCCTGTGCTGATCAGATCTGTTTCTACGCATTTTCATATATTTGTGCATATTAATGTTTTATATTTTAACATAAATGAGATCACTCACTATATATTGTTCTTTGTAAGTTGCTTCCCTTTTAAAATTTAATATGCCTTGGCTATCTGGCACCTCTCAACCTTCAAGTGTCCTTAATTTATAAATTTTAGTTAGTAAAATAACTTTTAAATACATGCAACTATAATTTATGTTGTTGTACTTCTTTCATTTTAATGGCAGGTTAAATCACTTTAGATAGCTTGAGATGTGACTCCTAGTGTAAACCAAATTTAAACTAAAACGTGAGAGAAATATTAGAAACCTCTTTTTATCCATCTAGTCTTAACTCCTGCTTATTGCTGTGTAGGCTGCCTGTATTTTATATTATCCTCAAAACATCTTGCTTCTAAATTTTTATACGTAGACATCGTGCCATCTCATTAAAGTGCTCTGACGGCACATCTGGTTATTTTTTCTGATTTCCTCAGCAGACACATCCGTTTTTGTTCATTATAGCTCAGCAGGAATTATGAGAGAAGTCGTTTTAAGAAAAAAAGATTTACTCTTTTTTTTGAAGCAAACTAACAAGTTTATAGAAAGAGCCTGTCTTGACTTCAAACTCATTCTCTATGACAATTTGAGATGGTGCAGTATCCCTAGAACAGAGTGGCCAATGGTAGGTGGGGTGGAGTGTGGATGCAGAAGCTTAGGAAGGCTAGAAGTTTAGATCTTCATGACATAGTTTTTTACTTTTGCCAAAGACATAAATTGTCAAAAAACTGGGCAATCTCATAAATACAAAAATGTTTCCAAAGACAAACACACATGGTTTTATATTATCTACCGTTTTGGATTTTTCACTTGTACTCTTGCAGATGGGTGCTTCTGTTCAATAATTCTCGGCTGTGAAATTTTTGAACAAGTTTTTATCTCCTGAGACAGTTTGGGGCTGGTGGGAATTTGGGCTCTGGCTTTGTGCCATTTGCAGGTGCCAGGCGGATTATGAGCATTAGAGCATTTCACAGGAAACGCTCATCTTTACTGTAGTGAGTTTAAAAGTGGCGGGGCTGGCTGCCTCGCAGCAATTCTTAGAGAGTTTCTAAAGGCCCCAGAAGTGAGGAGAGGGCTGCTCATGCCTTTTGGGTAGTGGGTTAGAAGACGGGGGTCCCCTTTTGCAGTCGGGTACCTAGACTTATAGAGGGCTGCTTGCTCAATGACAGGTGTAGTGGAAATTCCCGCCTACACCTTCGTGTGCATCGCCATGGACAAGGTCGGGAGGAGAACAGTCCTGGCCTACTCTCTTTTCTGCAGTGCACTGGCCTGTGGTGTCGTTATGGTGATCCCCCAGGTGAGTTATCTTCTGTTTTTTATAAGACAGTTATACTGTGACAGTTTGATGGGAAGAATTTAGCTTATTACAGTTAAGTATGAAGGTCAATTCAGAGTATGATTTGGGCAGAGTATATAATATTTAAAAATCTGTTTTCTTTAAAACATTCTTTTTCTGTTATATAAGTAATATATGTTCATTTTAGAAAATTTGAAGAGAAAAATGTAAAAAAAAAAGAAAAGCCTAACCTGGGTGCAATGACTCACACTTATAATCCCAGCAACTCAAGAGGCTGAGGGTAGGAGGATGGCTTGAGTTCAGGAGTTCGAGGCTGCAGTGAGCTCTGATCACTGCCACTGTACTCCAGCCTAGATGACAGAGTGAGAACTCATCTCAAAAAATAAAAAATAAAAAATAAAAAGTTCATAATCCTAATTCCCAGAGATGACCAGTGTTGTATTTTGTAAACGCAATAATCTTGTGTGAGGAAAGTCGATCACACCTTCCAGCATCATCATACTGAACATTCACTCATTTATTCATTCAGCAAACATTTATCCACCATCTTTTATGTGCCAGGTGCTGAGAACACACAGTGCATCAAGTTTCCGTAAATGTAACGAGAGGGCGTCTGGCACCCGTGTGTACTCTTTTGTCTAGGGTGGTCGAGGATGGTGCACCTCTCGGAGGAGGCGACATGTAATCAGAAACCTGAATGAGGGAGGCAGCCATGGAGACATCTGAAGGATATGAGTCAGATATTCAAGACTGGTAGAGTTTCAGTACACTGTTTTTCATTGCAGGAGATTAGTAGTTTCCAATGTCTGGTACGCATAAACACCCCAAGGAGCTTGTTTTTAAAAACAGTTTCTTAGTGAGAAACACTACCCAGAAATTCCTGAAATGACTTTCACATTCCCATATTTTGGCAAACTGCGTCCCTCAAAATACCTCTTGCATCCAGAAGTGCTTCCCCTCTTCCCAAAAAAGATGTTTTCAGATCTGTATTTTAATTCTTGATTTGCAAAATGTCACTATAACAGTACTTAAAATATTTTATTTAATGTTCTCCTGTGATTATATAATCATTAAGCAATAGTATATCAACATTTAGAGCAAAGCATTTTAAGTTTTGCATATCGTTTGAAATTTAATTTAAGCTAACAAGTGTCTTCCTTTTATAGTAGCACTTTACTTAATGCTTAGGATCGGTGAGCCAAATATTTTATGTAATGAAATTTCCAGGTGATTGATACACAACTAATTGAATGCAATAAAACTACTCGGGACAAGGAGGTCTCTGCCAATTTGAGAGAACTTCATCCACACCTTTAAAAAAGTAGTTTGTAGTGATGGTAGTTGAGTAGATGGCAGCTGCCTTTAAGTTGGTGAAGAGTTGGGGAACACCAGAACCTTTGAGTTCTACACTAATAGGGAAGATGAGAAAGAGGCTGATGGAGATTTCTAGAAATAGAGCATTAACCCACAACGACAAATCTCTCCCCTCCAATAAATTTTTCCCCAGGTGATAATGTCAACACAATACAAATACTAATTTAATTAACAATTGTTAATTAATTTAATTTACAATTGTAATTAAGGTGACATTAGCTCTTTAATAGAGGCATCCCAGAATCTCAGTGACTTAACATAAAGGATGTTTGTTACCTGCTCATAGAAAGTTCCATGTATTTGTACCTAGCTGGCCAAAGTGGGAGTGGTGAGTGGGTGTTTGTGTCCATGGAGTCATTCAGGGATGTAGGCTGACAGAGGCACTGCTGTCCTTAACACATCAGCCGCAAGGCCACCCTGGGTCTCAGCATCCAGTTGGCAGATGGGGGAGGAGGGAGATTTCGGAATATAGGGTGTCTTTGTTAGTTACCTTTGGAAGTGGAACACATTAGGGAGAATAAAAACCGAGGTGGAGGTAAAGGTTTTGCCATTGAGGAATGTATCAGCTGCAAACAAACAAACAAATGAACAAAACAGTCTGTACTAATAGTTACCACTTTCAAATATTTTCTGAAGATAATTTATAAGCCAGGGATTACTGCCACAAAGGGCACAATTTGTTTTGTTTGTTTTTTTTAAGAAAAGTAAATAGATTAAATAGAGACAAGATCTCACTCTGTCACCCAAGCTGAAGTGCAGTGGTGTGATTATAGCCCTCCGTAATCTTGAACTCCTGGGCTTAAATGATCCTCCTGCCTTAGCTTCTCCAGTAGCTGGGACCACAGGCATGTACCATCACACACAGCTAATTTTTTTGTTTTTCTGTAGAAATGGGGTCTTGCTATGTTGCCCTGGCTGGTCTAAAACTCTTGGCCTCAAGTGATTCTCCTGCCTCAGCCTCCTAAAGTGCTGGGATTACAGGTGTGAGCCATTAGGCCCGGCTCACAATTTGTTTGTATGGCTCCTTGATTCATTCTGCTGGATCAGTCCCAGAAGGAGTGGGGAAATTCT
Source organism: Homo sapiens (assembly GCF_000001405.40). NCBI lineage: Eukaryota > Metazoa > Chordata > Mammalia > Primates > Hominidae > Homo > Homo sapiens. The sequence continues at coordinate 110,436,274 of NC_000006.12, read as the reverse complement.
TGGTGCCACCAGCACTATCAGGGCGTGTCTCCTTCCAAAACAGTCTTCCCAACTGGCTTTCGTCACAGTTCAAACCCTCCAAAGTGGATGGGGAGAAGAGACACACTGAAACTTTCCTCCACATTTCGTAAAGATGGAAAGCTTTCTCAGACTGTGAGTAGAGTTTAATACATTCAAACAGAAAAATAAGGGTCTTCATTGTTCTGAAAAAATACTGAAGGAATTAGAATGTTTTAAGTAATGATTTTAAAGATTTTCTATTTTCCTTTAAAAATACCACTTGTGATGATCTATTCTGCTAAATTTTTTTCAGAAACATTATATTTTGGGTGTGGTGACAGCTATGGTTGGAAAATTTGCCATCGGGGCAGCATTTGGCCTCATTTATCTTTATACAGCTGAGCTGTATCCAACCATTGTAAGGTAAGGATGAATTGTTTTCTGGTTGTTTTCCTATTATCTTTCACTTGTGTGTCATTTCATTGTATTTGGCCTTTACATGTAAATGCTTCTTTTTTATAGAAGTTACCTGGATCTCTGAGATGGGAAAATGACATGCTGATACTCATTTTGAGTCTGAGGCTTTGTACCCTATTAGTGAGGATATTAGACGAATTATTTTGAAATAACACTCTATTATTCCAAAAACATTTTAAGTTTCAAGTACCATAGACTTCCACTGAGTCTCTGTATTGACTCAAAGGTAATTTCTCAGGATGTGTCTCTCGATGTTCTGATGCCAATTGTGTTAGTCTGAGTGGGCTGCTGTAACAAAATACCACAGGCTGGGTGGCTTAAACAATAGAAATTTATTTTCTCACAGTACTGGAGGCTGGAAGTCCAAGAACAAGGTGTCGGCAGGTTTGGATTCTCCTGAGGCCTCGCTCTGTGGTCTTCAGGTGGTGCCCTCTTGCTATGTCCTCAAGGGGTCTTACCTCTGTGTGCACCGCTGATGTCCCTCCCTCTTCATATAAGACACCAGCCATATTGGATTACGGCCTCACCCTAACAGCCTCATTTTAACTTAATCACCTCTTTAAAGACCTTATCTACAAATACCATTACATCATAAAGTACTAGGGATTCAGACTTCAACACTTGAACTTTGGGAGGGACAACTTAGCCCATAACATCAGTAATCATTGGCTCCCTGAGATTACCTTATCTGGAGGTTCTCAAAGCTGGCAGCTCGTCAGAGTCATTGAGGTATTTCATAAAAAATATCAGTCTTGGGTCCTTACACCAGACCTGCTGGATCAATCCAAGAATGACACTGGGGATTTTTTTTTCTTTTTTCGAGATGGAGTCTCATTCTGTTGCCCAGGCTGGAGTGCAGTGGTGTGATCTTGGTTCACTGCAAGCTCCGCCTCCTGGGTTCAAGCAATTCTCTTGCCTCAGCCTCCAGAGTAGCTGGGATTACACGTGCATGCCACTACACCCGGCTAATTTTTGTATTTTTAGTAGAGACGGGGTTTCACCATGTTGGTCAGGCTGGTCTCGAACTCCTGACCTCGTGATCCGCCAGCCTTGGCCTCCCAAAGTGTTGGGATTACAGGCATGAGCCACCACGCCTAGCCGAGACTCGGGATTTTTAACAAGTCTGCAGGTGACTCTGAGTTGCCACCCTGCCCGCCCCACCCGCCCCCCCGACACCCTTTGGGAATGTCTGATGTGATTCCCACTGATCTGGGAACCTCAGGGACTTCCAAGCTTTTACAAAGCTTTTCCAAACACATTTTACTTGGAAACTCTTTATGTGGTGAAGAGGACGGAGGTCCTTTGTGGAAGCTCTGTTGAGTACCTGGAATCCCCCCAGTGCTCCTGCCTTCTTGCTCCAGGGGGCTGCAGCAGAACTTCCAGGCCTTAACAGTACATCCTTTGTAAACCACACTTCTTGTTGCAGCCCTCATGTCCAGATAAGACAGCTGAGACCAGGGAGATCAAGTACCTGGTGCAAGACACACAGCTGGGACCCCAGCTATAAAGGGAAGGGATCTTTTCTCTGATTCTCCATTGGATTTTATTTTATTTTTTTTGAGACAGAGTCTCACTCTGTTGCCCAGGCTGGAGTGAAATGGTGTGATCTTGGCTCACTGCAACCTTACCTCCCAGGTTCAGGTGATTCTCCTGCCTCAGCCTCCTGAGTAGCTGGGATTGCAGGTGTGCACCACCATGCCCGGCTAATTTTTGTATTTTAGTAGAGACAGGGTTTCACCATGTTGGCCAGGCTGGTCTCAAACTCCTGACCTCAAGTGATCCACCCTCCTTGGCCTCCCAAAGCGCTAGGATTACAGGTGTGAGCCACTGCGTCCGGCCCGTCAGACTTTTTGACTCTTTTTTTTGCAAAATGATCCTGTATTTTAAAGTGTAAATAGTGATTAGGGTCACACTGCTGCCAAGAGACACTTGTCCCACAGATCTCCCTCTGTGAAATTCCGTAATAGTTTCCTATCTGCAGTCCTCCCTTAAATCCTCCAAGTGGCATTTTCCTAACACCTGCTTTATCAATGGAAGTTTTCATTTTCTAAGGGAAAAAATTTGTTAGCTTGGATAATTTCTTAGCCTATTAAAGACCCAATCTTAATGGCAACAAATAAACAAACAAGATATTAAGGTTTTTCACAGGAAACTTATTAAAAAATCTAACTGCTTAGCTAGTGGGTTCATCCCATTTAGGAGTATGTTATTTGTCATGTGTTACAAGTGTGAAAGGCAAGTGACTTTCTATAGAGATAAGTCCATATAACACCAGCCCAGAGATGCCTCCTCCTTGTCTCCACAAGCAGGAGGGATGTAGGACCTAGAAAATCCATTAGTCAAGAGATAGCATAAATCCTTCCCTAGGAATTTTCCATGCCCACACACCTGCCTGCTGAAATGCTAGGGCAGGCAGCCCTGTGGACCAGGATGGGTAAGTACATTTGTGTTGACTGTAGATAGATTAATGGATATCTAGATGGATGGATGGATGGATGGAGGGATGGAAGAATGGATAGATAGAGTAGGTACACATATATATCTAAGAAAAAAGTTTATCAGACTAATATGTGACCAGGGGTATAGAATAGCAGAGGAATAACTCCCTATGTAATTGTCTATTAGCCCAGTTGTCTGAGAGTAGAGTTTTTCTTCTTCCTCCATACTTCCCCTCTAGGTCACCCAGAGTGCTATTATTAGACCACTCTCGCAGTCTAATAATAAATACATCTTCTGTCCATTTTACAGGTTGTGGAACTGGAATTCACACAAGATTAGGGTCGTGGCCAAAGGCATCTGGCTAGTCAGTGACCCATCAGAACTCAAATCCACATCTTTTGGCCCTATCTGTCACCCAGTGAAATACATGAGAATTTTTATGGGAGACAGTGCTTAACATTAGCGGGGGATAAGTTGCTAGCAGTAGAGCTTTAGTAGCAGAGGGGAAGAAGGTATTTTGGGGTAAGGGCTTTGTGGACTCTTCTCAGATCATATTGTGAAAGTGGCAGCCCTGCACAGATGTACAGTAGCAGACAGGCAGAATAACAGATTACATTCTAGCACTTACAGGCTGACAATGGTGGAGACTAGTTGAATGCAATAGAGAGTGAAGTTGCATAATTGCCAACTTGCGTTGTGGCTTTGGCTCCGTTGTGGCTGACCCAGGGAAGAAGCTGCTCTAAATCAGGGAGAATATCTTTGTCATGTCCTGTGGGACCCTTCTGGCCTCTCAGGTGGATTTCTGCTCAGCCAGGAAAAGCTTCAGATTTTCCCAGTTCAGAATTCAGATTGGACCAGATCCATGCAGTGCCTGGCACATATTAGACTCTTGACACACATGTGCTGAGTGAATGCATGTTATATGCTAAGAAGGTGACAATCCCATCAAATAATGTCAATGTGCATTGCAATTATGAATATTATAGTATTTTTTAAGATCTTTTCTTTGTTGGCTTGGTTGTTGGTTTACAACCACAGGTACATGACCTCAAAAAAATCCAATATGTAAATATTTAATACAGGAAATCTTTAACCAACTCTATGAGCTCCCTAAACACCCTAACACTGCATGCAAAATTTTACTTATGTATGATTTCTTTCTCAGAAGAATGCCATACTTTTTATCAGTTCTTTATAAATGTGTGTGACTGGAAAAGATGAGGCACCGTTAATTTATAGAGGTACTTACTCACATAAAAGGACAGTCTTTCCTTACTAACATTCTATACATTTTCTCTAAGTAACCTTTAAAGAAAAGCACATTAAGATATTCCTTGACTCTAAAAAGTTGAAATAGAACAGTACACAGGTATACAGATACTTTGTTCTCTCAAATTCCCACTCCCTACCTGAAACAAATTCCTGCTCTAGAAGACCTTATTATTCTTAATGTTAGGCTGGATCAGTACACACAAGGGCCTCACCTGCACAGCAGATGAAGAATGGCTTACCTCCACACTCCTACCTCTTTTTTGTCATGAATTGTCTTGAATTATGTGCATGCTTATATACACCACTGTTTCACAAAATGTAGGTATTGTGATTCTTGAAAAATTTAAGTAAAATTATTTTCAAGCTTACGTTTTTTTACGGTCATGTGTTGCTTAATGATGGGCACCGTTTTGAGAAATGCATCCTTTGGTGATTTCGTGGTTGTCAGAACATCATAGAGTGAACTTACACAAACCTAGATGGCCCAGCATACTACACACCCAGGCTATGTGGCACAGCTTATTCCTCCTCGGCTGTGACCCTCCACAGCATGTTACTGCACTGAATACTGCAGGCAGTCGTAACACAATGGTAAATATTTGTGTATCTAAACATATTGAAAGATAGAAAAAGTCGAGTAAAAATGTGCTATTATAATCTCGCGGGGCCACCGAGGTTGACTGAAACGTTGTAATGCGCTGCCTGACCACCCTTATCCTTGCTGGGGAGCGTGGGAAAGGAGCTGCAGGAAGCAGGTCCCTCAATCCCTGGGTCACTTGTGCCTTACTTGTCTCAGCCTCTCTCCTCTGTTTCCAGATCGCTGGCTGTGGGAAGCGGCAGCATGGTGTGTCGCCTGGCCAGCATCCTGGCGCCGTTCTCTGTGGACCTCAGCAGCATTTGGATCTTCATACCACAGGTGTGCTTCAGTTTGCAGACCCTCCCCAAGGGGGCACGGAGGCAGTTTCTAATTGCCTATTAGCAACTTCTCTATTGTTATTTACTGAAAGCCAGTACATCATTTCCTAATGGGGTTTGTAGAAACAACCCCATTACCAACAGCTGGCCAGTTGGTGAGTAGGGTGGTGGCTGCTGTGCGATTGGCCATTGGTGGCCTTCCACCACTGCTGAGCTGTTCATTACAACTCTGCCTGCCACAAAAGGGCATGTCCTCACCCTTGCCTGGAAGCCAGGCCTGGGGAAGGGAGAGCTCTGGTCTCTGTCCTCCTCAGGGCATCTGCCCCCACCCGCTGGCCTGGCCTTGCCTCTGTGTTCCCACTGAGTGCCTGCTGGGCAAGGCGAATTCTGGGGGCTGCCTGCTCCAAAAAGATTATGTGATGCCTAATGGAGAGCATTAGGAACCCATGGTTCTCAGTTGACCTGAACCTGAGGGGCTCCAGCAGTGTGAGCCATTTGCCTGGCTTTCAAAGAGTGAGAGCAGGGACGCTTAGTTTGCAGATCCTCAGGTAGGGGCTGAGAGGCTGGGAAGGCACGTGAGCACTGCTGCACCTGGCTTTAGTGGACTCTTCTGCTCAGGAAGAAGATGCGGGATGGGTGGAGGGCAGGTGTGACTTGCCAGCCTGCAGCTCCTCCCTCTCCCTCCCCTCCAGTGCCTCCTTTCTCTTTTCTGATTGCCCCTTAGACTCAGGCTGCCGGATTCCCTCCCAGCCTCCTCCCCGCCCCCTGCATGCATCACCTCTCATCCTGGCTTCAGGCGAGGATTTCCTCCAGCCTCATGTACATTCTCCCTGGATGTTTCACCACAAACTCAATGTCTCCCAAGTAGAACTGGCCAGTGACACCTGTCTTCCACTTTTGGTTAAGGATAGGTCAGTGGCCTCAAGCATGACACTGTGGCATCGGCTTCTTATTCATCCTGTTCTTTCATCACCAAATCCTCACATTCTCCTTCAAAACTACCCCTGCATGCCTGGTCCCAGTGCCTCCCAGTCTTCTCCTTGCGCTTCATCCCCCACCCTGTCTGGGTAGCACAGAAGGCACCATGGCCATGACCCAGTGCCCCTGTCAGCTTCAGAATAAAAGTCCAAACTCAGCTGATATCCAGGGCTTTTCCCGATTGACCCCCTGCACAGCTCCCCTGTTCTATTCCTCATGCAGCTTCCCCTCCTCTCCAGACTCAGCCCCACTGCAAGCCTTCCCTTCTCCTCCCTGTCCTCATCCCACCTCCTCCCCTTCCATGCCACTGCCCAAACGGCCCCTCCAAAGACAGCGCTCCTCTCTCATGTACCTGTTAAGTAGCCTTCCAGGTATCCGCTTTCCAGGAGGCCAGCCAGATCTAGTGACCCCGCCTCTCCTTTTCTCAAGCATGTCTGTACAGCATTTAGTGGGTGCCTCTTTCAGTTGCTGTCGCAGTGTGGCTTTATTATTTGTGCGTGTGTCTTCATCGCCCCAGTCAGGCTGTTGTGCTTTGCAGAGCAGGACATTTGCATCCCCACAGCTGGGCCTAGCCAAGTGTTTCCCTCAGCTTGTGTGCCACCCATGCTGTCATTCACCTGCTATTTTAAATCAAATAGATTGACTTTTGGAAATTAGCTTTGTCCTAAACAATAATATCAGTGAAGTCATGGGTGTTATACTAATTATGTGTTTTTCTAAAAGACACTAACGTAATCTCACAAGTAATAAAACAGTGCTTGGTATCCCCTGGAGTTGCCTTGTACACACAGCAGGTACACATACGGCTCTTCGGGAATCGCTGGCTTGGCATGAGTGTCTCCCATGTCCCCGGAGCAGGCGCTCAGTAAAGCGCTTGGATGTGCCATTGGGGTGTTAGATCCCAGCCACTTTCTCAGACTGACTCTGAGGTTAAGAAACCATGTGGGCTGTGTGGGAGGTGTTTTGGGGGAGTCTACCACCCTTTTTAGGTCATGAACTTTTCTAGAAGAATCTCCTTTGTGCTAGCACTTGTTTTCCTTATTATTTTTTTTCAAAAAAGATAAAATGAGAAAGTGTTTATTAAAATAATAAGTTGAAACATGCAAATATAAAATAGATAAATTTATAAAAGGTAATTACCAGAAATAAAACCAAATAAATATATTTTTAATGGATTTCTGTAAGGCTCAATTAAGGACTACGGACTCAGAAGGGATCTCTAATTTTATTTAACAGATATTTAAACAAGCTCCTTTTATTTTTATTATTCTTCTGAGACAGAGTCTTGCTCTGTCGACCAGGCGGGAGTGCAGTGGTCTGATCCCAGCTCACTGCAACCTCCACCTCCCAGGTTCAAAAGATTCTCCCGCCTCAGCCTCCCAAGAAGCTGGGACTACAGGCGTGCGCCACCAAGGCTGGCTAATTTTTAAAATATTTTTTAGTAGAGACGGGGTTTCACTATGTTGGCCAAGCTGGTCTCGAACTCCTGACCTCAGGTGATCTGCCCATCTCGGCCTCCCAAAGTGCTGGGATTACAGGCATAAACCACCATGCCCTGCCTAAACAAGCTCTTTTTGAACATGCTTTACAAAAATTAGTCTTCATATAATGCAGATACTGTTGTTCTCTTCATTTTACAGATGAGGAGACTGATGGACAGAAAGTAGTTATTAGCCCAGGGTCACGCGCCTTAAAGGTGACAGAGCTGGGATTTGAACCCAAATACCATGCTCCTTTGCCTTTTACACAAGGTCCAACAAACAATCTATACAAAAGTGAGCACAGAGCAGTCAGCTCCTTGTCCAGCCTGTCCCTGAGTGGCCCATCCCTTCTCTAAGACAGCTCTGGCCACAGGGTGTGGTGTATATTTATGGAAGTAGTCTGTGAATGTGCTTCCTTTGGATCTAAGGAGTATTACCTATTGTTTGTAATGAGTCAAAAAAAAAATCAGATTTCCCATTAAACTTGTTTATGGATGTCAAACTGCCTGGGGAGCCAGTGTTTTCATTTTGAGAAATGAAAACTCTGATCTGGAAGATGTTTATATTTTCTCTTTTGAAAAGAGGCACATGAAAAATCACTCGTTCTGATGCTTTTGTTATTAACCATTATTTTCTAGTAATCTAAAAAAGGTGGACACGTAATTAGCTTTTTATGTGCTCATTAACTCATTTGGCAATCGTTGACTGAGTGTTGGTTTTGAACTAGCCACCCTGCTAGGTGCTAAGGAGCAGATGAAAGAAATAGCCTGTCTTGAGAGATGTACAGTCTGGTGGGAAGGGCAGGAGAGCAAATCACCACCAGTCCCGAAGAGAAGGGCTGGAGTGGGGAAATGCCAGGTATGGTGATTTAAAAGATACAACAGCAGTAATGATGGAATATTAAGAAACATCTTGTTTTTCAATATATAATAGCAGTAGGGCAGGCGCGGTGGCTCACACAAGTAATCCCACACTTTGGGGGGCCAGGGGTTTGGGACCAGCCTGGCCAATATGGCGACACCCCGTCTCTACTAAAAATACAAATATTAGCCGAGCGTGGTGGTGCGTGCCTGTAGTCCCAGCTACTCGGGAGGCTGAGGCAGGAGAATCGCTTGAACCCGACTGCCTGACTAGTCTTACTACCAAGCTAAGAATATATATATATATGCATGCAGTAATGAGAGCTTACATGTATTGGCTACTTACTGCAGCCAGGCGCTGTTCTAAGTGCCTTTTGCGTAATATTTAATTTCATCCTCTCAACAGTCGTTTGCGACAGATACTATTCTTTCATCCATTTTACAGAAAAGGACTCTGAGGAGCAGAGAGGTTAAGTAACTTGCCCAAAGCCACACAGGTAGCAGGTGGCAAGTACCCAGGCAATGTGGGTATGGAGATTATAAAAGGGTCAAGAACATTTCTTTTTCTTTCTTTCTTTCTTTTTTTTCTTTTTTTTTTTTTTTTTGAGATTGGGTCTCACTCTGTCACTGAGGTTGGAGTGCAGTGGTGCAATCTTGGCTCAATGCAACCTCTGCCTCCTGGGCTCAAGAGATTCTCCCACCTCAGCCTCCCAAGTAGCTGGGACCACAGGCATGTGCCCCCACACCTGGCTAATTTTTATATTTTTCATAGAGAATTTCACCATATTGCCCAGGCTGGTCTCAAACTCCTGACCTCACGTGATCCGCCAGCCTTAGCCTCCCAAAGTCTTGGGATTACAAATGTAAGCCACTGCACCCAGTCTTTGAGAAGTTTTTTTTTTAAGACGGAGTTTCACTCTTGTTGCCCAGGCTGGAGTTCAGTGGCACAATCTTGGCTCACTGCAACCTCTGCCTACTGGGTTCAAGCAGTTCTCATACCTCAGCCTCCCAAGTAGCTGGGATTACAGGCATGTGCCACCTCGCCCGGCTAATTTTGTAATTTTAGTAGAGACAGAGTTTCACCATGTTGGCCAGGCTGGTCTCGAACTCCTGACCTCGGGTGATCCACCCACCTCAAGCCTCCTGAAATGCTGGGGTTATAGGCTTGAGCCACCATGCCCAGCCCTTTGAGAGCTTTTCTTTTTGCCAAGGGAAAATAGCCAGCAGAAAGGAAAAGATCAAAAATATGTGAGAAGGAGGTTGGACGATGGATGGAGGGAGATCTCTGAGGAGGAGGTGAGAGGCAGTGGGGTCTGGAGAGTGTGAAAGGATCCGCCTGGCCTCCCTCCAGGAGGAGGGAGGGGTGGGAAAGGGGGGACTTATTTCAAAGTTTGGTTTGGGGTTTGGGGGATTGTGGGGAGCTGGTCAGGGAAGCAGGAGTGAGGAGGAGGTGGAGAGGTATGATTTGTTTCCTGCCTGACTAGGCTTACTACCAAGCTAAGAAGAAAAATTCCATTCTGTTCTGGATCTTCCATTTGATTCTATTTTGCTTTTAGACTTCCTCAGTGTTTTTCAGATCCTGACTTAGGGCTCTTCTGGGGTTTCTAGATCACTGGATATACTTGCCGTGTCTTGAGAGACCAGAAAACGTCTTTAAAATTCCTTTGGAATGTCACTTGAAATTCTGCTACTGCGTCTGGGTTAAGCTTACTCATATATTTCGTATATTTCTAAGAATTAGGTTATCAGTGCTCTGCAAAACAAAATGAAAAACTGCCTTCCCAGGTCTCGTCTGTTATGGATGTGATCTGGCATCACTTCACACTTGCTCTATGTATTTTATGATTCTCATTTTCAGAGGCTATAAACATACCAAGTGTGTAGATTTATCAGAAAAGCCACACCTTAATTTATTTTTATAGGGTCTTTCCAGCAAATATATTTTGCTAAAGGAGTTTGAATTAAGTAAGGACAGATTGTGTTTTTACGGATTGTATAGAGATTTAGCTCTGTTAATAAAAACCACCCAGCATCTTCATGATGATAAACAGAGAATAGATATGCAGACTTTAATTTTTAATGTGACCTGCATTTTTAAAAGCAAACGCCTTGGCGCTAGTCTAAAAGGCTGCCTTTTATGTGTCAAAATCTGGAAAATAAAGAAATCACACCGAACTGTATAGGAAATTATATGGATCCCTGCCCCATAAAGTAGCAATTTGTTTTCACTGCCTTTGTTTAGCTTCCCCCAAATTCCGTAGATTCTGGTTGATTGAAACCTGTTTTCATTCATTCATTCCCTATCATTTACTGAACCCTGATAGTGTACTGATTATTGGGGCAGGGACAGGGTTGACTAAGACAGTCCCTGCTTGGCATGTCCTGACCCAGGGCTCAGTTACTTGTCTTCTCCACAAGATTCTGGGGTCTGGAAAGATGGGGTAAGTGTCTTTTTTCTTTCTGACCACAGCTCCTAGGACAGCACCTTCAGGAGTAATAATGCAGGCAGTAGCTGGCAATTAAGGAGGCACTCCATGGTGGGTCATGAAGGAATGAATGAGTGAGTGATGAGATTAAACCTCGTTGATGAGGAAAAGAACTCGAAGTCCAGCACAAGTAACCAAAGATCTCACCGAGTAATCACAGTGACAACTGTTATGTCAAATTCAAATCCATTACCCTCTGAAAACAGTTAGGAAATTCTATTCTCCGAAGGGTTCGTTCCTTTCTTGATGTGTCACTTATCATTATTTTTAATTCCTTCTAGTTGTTTGTTGGGACTATGGCCCTCCTGAGTGGAGTGTTAACACTAAAGCTTCCAGAAACCCTTGGGAAACGGCTAGCAACTACTTGGGAGGAGGCTGCAAAACTGGAGTCAGAGAATGAAAGCAAGTCAAGCAAATTACTTCTCACAACTAATAATAGTGGGCTGGAAAAAACGGAAGCGATTACCCCCAGGGATTCTGGTCTTGGTGAATAAATGTGCCATGCCTGCTGTCTAGCACCTGAAATATTATTTACCCTAATGCCTTTGTATTAGAGGAATCTTATTCTCATCTCCCATATGTTGTTTGTATGTCTTTTTAATAAATTTTGTAAGAAAATTTTAAAGCAAATATGTTATAAAAGAAATAAAAACTAAGATGAAAATTCTCAGTTTTAAAAACTGCTTTCTTATTGCTGCAAAATATTTTTCAACATTTGTTTTTCTATGTAGTTGATTCTCAACCTTTCCCCACCACCCCCCTACCATGCATGCCAGAGGGAGTTCACCTATTTCTTTTTTTTCTTTTTTCTTTTTTTTTTTTTTTTGAGATGGAGTCTCGCTCTGTCGCTCAGGCTGGAGTGCAGTGGCGGGATCTCGGCTCACTGCAAGCTCCGCCTCCCGGGTTCACACCATTCTCCTGCCTCAGCCTCCCGGAGTTCACCTATTTCTATCCCGCCAGTGCCACCCCTCCACGGCTTCCCAAAAGAAGGGGCATGTGAGAATGCATTTCTTTTGACAAAGCTCCTTGCAGATTCTATTTCTGATATTTTTTCCCCTCTTATGAGAATCATAGCTCTAAAAACAAGTCTTATTCAGAAATGCCCTCTCAAAAAATGCTTGCCTTCACAATTAAACCATAAAAAATCAGAGCTACAAAAATGATGCCGTGCTTCCCAGAACCTTGAGCCAAGAAGGCTTGAATGTGCAGACAGTTGTGCTTGTGTTTGGTTCAGATAAGGGACACACACCTGCCAGGCTCCAAGAGTGAGCTTTCTAGTCTGGTATTCTTATTTTTCCCAAATTTACCAAATTCTCCCTGTAAGTCTCCTTTACAGCCCACAGAGGCTATGACTTTTTAACCCACTGCAAACTTTTTCAGTTGGCAGATCATCCAGGAAACTGACTTTAAGTACCATCTGGATTTGTTGCCATTGTAAAAATGTTTGTAAGTATTCTTGCCTTTAAAAAAATAATTTACATGAAGATTTTACTCTTTTGTTTTACTATACTTTTTTTCCCAACTCTACTTAAAACCATAGTCTTTCAAAAACATTAATATCCTGGACACTTCAACTGCAAATTATGTAATCATCTTATCTGTGGAAGAATGCATTTCAGATTTACAGTCAGTTTCCCATAGGTTTTGGGTTTTTCCTTACTGTGGTTTCATCATAATTTCATTTTTTATTGTTGTTGCTCTTGAGATTTTGCTGTTAGGTATGTCTTATATCCTGCATTTGAATTGGTGAAACATTAGCATTATCTGCAGAGGAAAGTAAAAGAAGGCAGTTATATAGATGTTGTGAGTTTGAAAAGCATTTCCAAGGGGGAAAAAAAGGAGGGATTTAACCTGAATTATTGATTTTTTATATGAGTTTAGTTCCTTGGGTAATTGCTTAGTTCTTCACTTGGTCTTTCCATTAACAAAGGAAAAATAAAGCCAAAAACTTTTCTTCCTTTATAAAAGAAAATAACATATATAGGATTTTATGGAGAAAAAGGAGGAAGACATTTATTGAGCCTTTATCTTATTTCTTATTTTGTCTCTTTTTTCTTTTCCCTCAGCCCATTTTTCTACTGCCATTAAAATTTTTCCTCTTAGTTAACATTTGATACTTTCTTTCTTTCCTTTTTTGAGACAAGGTCTAGCTCTATCCCCCAGGCTGGAATGCAGTGGGCTCACTGCAACTTCCGCCTCCTGGGCTCAAGCGATCCTCCCACCTCAACCTCCCGAATAGCTAGGACTGCAGGCACCTGCCATCATGTCCAGCTAATTTTTGTATTTTTTGTAGGATTTGTATTTTTTGACAGGATTTCACCATGTTGCTCAGGCTAGTCTCAAACTCCTGAGATCATGCAATCCACCAGTCTTGGCCTCTTGAAGTGCTGGGATTACACAGGTGGGAGACACCACGCCTGGCAACACTTTCTTGACTTTACTTTTATATTCTGTTAGTTTGCTAAGGTGATCATAGCAAAATACCACAGACTGAGTGGCTTAAACAAGAGAAATTATTTCTTCACAGTTCTGAAGGCTGGAAGCTCCAGATCATGGTGCCAGCATGGTTGGTTTCCTCTGACACTTCTCAGGCTAACAGCTGGTTGCCCTCCTGCTGTCTTTTAACATGGTCATCTATTTGTGTATACACACCCCTGGCTGGTATCTTTCCTTCTTCTTTTAAGGCCATCAGTCATATTGGACTAGGGCTTCACTCCAATGACCTCATTTTAACTTAATCACCATTTGAAGATCTCATCTCCATATATGGTTGCATTCTGAGGATTGAGATTTCAACATATGAATCTTGAGGCATTTCTTTACATTTTTATTGCCCACTGTCTTTGTCAGCTTGAGCTGCTATTCAAAAAATACCACAATCTGGTCAGCTTAAACAACAGAAATGTATTTCTTACAGCTCTTGAGGCTAGGAAGTCCAACATTAATGTGACAGCAAGGTAGGTTTTATTCCAGGGCTTTCTCTCTTGACTTGTAGGTGGCTGCCATCTCACTGTGTGCTCACAGGACCATTTCTTTGTATGCACAGATGTGGAGAGACAGCAAGCTCTCTGGTGTGTCTCTCATCATAAGGGCACTAATCCCATACAAGGGCCCCACCCTTAGGACCTCATCTAACTCTAATTACCTCCAAAAGACCCATCTTCCAATATCATCACATTGATGGTGGGTAGGGCTTCAACATACGAATTTTCAGATCATGACATCTACATATGTATGACTGTATCAGTCAATGTCTAGTCAGGAAAACAGAAACCACTGGAGATAATTCAAACAGAGAGGAATTTCATGCACAGTTAGTTATAAAAGTGTAGGAAAGACTGGTGGAACAAAATGCAGAAGTTACCTAGGGATCAGAAAGCCGCTACCATGGCTGGGTTGGGAGCCCACAAGCCTGCACTTTCTGCTTCCACTGCTCGAGCTGAAACCACATTTCCGCTGCTGACCAGAAACCTAGGAGCCCACACCCCCACTGATTCTACTGAAACTGCCTATTATGCTTTCAACTGGAAGGGGTTGAATTTTTAGATTAAGTTAGGGAAAATTCACTCTTTTTTCTGGTATTGACTCTTCTATCCATTATCATGGGTTATCTCTCTCCATTTACTTAGGTCATCATTAATATCTTTTAATGAAGTATAATTTTTTCCATAAAGGTTGTACATGTTTTTTGTTATATTCTTATATGTAAATTTCCATTATAATTAGAAATGAGAAGTTTCTAATAATTATATTTTGTGACTGTATATTGCTGGCATAAAATACATTGATTTTATATGTTGATTTTGTATCCATCAACCTTGATTAAAGTAGTTTTAATTCAAAAGGAAAAAATTTTCTTTATTGGGGCAGGGTGCAGTGGCTTATGCCCATAATTCCAGCACTTTGGGAGGCTGAGGCAGGTGGATCACTTGAGGCCAGGAATTCGAGACCAGCCTGGCCAACATGGTGAAACCCCATCTCTACTGAAAATACAAAAAAACTAGCCAGGCATGGTGGTGTACACCTGTAAGCCCAGCTACTCAGGAGGCTGAGGCAGGAGAATTCCTCAAACCTTGGAGGCAGAGGTTGTAGTGAACCGAGATCATACCATTACACTCCAGCCTGGGCAACTCTGTCTAAAAAAAAAAAAAAAAAAAAAAAAAAAAAATTTCTTTTTCTTTACTGGAAGAAAAATTAGGCTTTTTGTTTGTTGTAAAAATTCACAAATGTTTATCGTGCAGGAAGCCAAACATACTTTGTTCCTTCAGCATTTCTTAATATGTGTAACCTTCTGATTTTATACTTGGAAAATGGTGATGATCTATAATAGTTGGAACCTAGTCATAACACATCCGATCTGTCTCTGATTGCAAATATTTCAAGGAGTACTTTACCATAGCATTACAATGAATGGAGGACAAACCACACACAAGTAGGTAAGATTCAGATAGGTGACCTTGTTTCTCAGTTCTATGTCACTGAGGTTAATGCACTAACTTGACTTTGACAGGCTACGAAGTGTGAGAGGCAATGGAAGCCTGGAAATAAAAAAGCCCTGACTATAAGCATTCCTGCTTAAGCAAACCAATCTCTCTTTACCCCAATCTTCTCATTTGGAAATTCAGGATTATCATACAATGTCCCTCTGGGAATGGGAAAATTAAATGAAATAATATATCAACACCATTTAACGCCACTCTGCACAGTCCCGATATTTTACAAGGCTATTTCTCCATTCACTGTATGTGATTCCACCCTCATTAGGTGTCCTGCCCAGTCTTGGTCTTGGCCAGTGGGCATGGGGGCCCCGTCTATCAGTGCTCCACATGTGTCGCTGTCCTGACTGTGCCCTACCACACACTGTTGTCCTCCCTCATGGACTCTGCAGTTTAGCTACCTGGAGATACTTCTGCAGTTTCCCTTTTGCTCCAGTGGTTAGTTCCAGTCCATGATAGCTGTAGGCAAGACTCACTGAAGCTAATGACGCATAAACTTCAGGCTCCTTCAGTTGGACAGGCTCCTGTGATGGAGCGTAGTAATGGGTCCACTTGGACATAAGCTTTCACAGAATTTTGTACATTTTGCAAAAGTAAGATCTAGTCACTACAATCAGCTGAGACCATCATATTTTTCCACTTGGTTTTCCCTTCTATCACATTCCTCCTCTGCCAGATGTTATCAAAGTGGTCACAGGCATTCTTTTCTTTTGTGATTTTGTATTTTTTTCCTCTTAAAAGGGCTCTTGAAACTGTACAAACTTCAGACCCCACAAAAGCTGAATCTTTCCCCTGAATCACTGTTAAAAGGTGTGTTGTTAGGGAGGTTCATACTCAAAATATGCTCCGAATGTACTCAATTAAATGCTCTGTTCTGAGGGGCCCACCTGTGCCCTTTCTCTCATTCCTATCAAATATGTAACGAAAACATACTAAGTGCAAAATGGTGTAGGCAAAGCAGGTACTTAATAAATTCTTGTATATGGTGAAGAGGAGTATTTTCTTATCGAAGATGGTAAAGCTGACTATGGCAGCCAACGTCTTTGGCAACTTCCCCCAACAGAATGTCTGGAAGTTTCGATGTTTGTTGTTTTACTTGAATTTGCCAGAAGTCAGTGATGGCTGCTGTTTTTATGTCTGAAGTCTACAGTGCACCAACGTTTCACTGGCAACTGCTTGTTCTCTAAGTAAACTTTTTTTTAATTCCCAGCCTCTCTCTGGGCTCACCCATGCCAGTTGGTGTCAGCCATTCTGCTGAAATTGAGGATCTGAAGAACATCTTAAGCAATTCTTGGGTAAAAGATCCACTGTCAGAGATTTTATCTGTAGGAACAAGTTGGGGGAGCAGGTGGTCAGCATGCTACCTGATTCTTGATTAGTTAGCAGTTTCAGGGGAGCAGGTCAAAAGTACACCAACCCACCCTGGTCAATGTTTAACTAGAATTCTCCATAAAGCCTGGCTTATAATCTCATTAACCCTATGAGGACGATTTCACTGTCCTACTTCCCTGCCCCAAACTGCTGTACACATGGGAATCCCTGGCCCCTGAGCCTGATATCTTCAATAGTCTTCTGATGAACGCAGGCTTAGGTCCTGCATTTACTGGCCACAGACACACCAGCAAGGCTAACACCCTGCAAGCCAGAAACACCCATGGAGAGCACAGCAAGAGGGGGAGGGTGGCTAGAGAGACCCTAAATGTGCTGCAGAGGTGAGGCCCTGGGGACCTCTGCAGCCCAAGTTTAAAAGTCTCCGAAGAAGCGTTGGGAAGATGATGAAGCCCAGCTCCCCTGCAGTCTCAGGGAGATCACGTCAACACTTCAGACCCCAACCACTAACCTGGAAAACAACACTAGATTCTCCCCAGGTGGTTCCTGAGGCCCCTTTTAGAAGTTACCCTCAATGATACCTAAATCAGTTTTCCCATCCATTTTCTGAAGGACCCTTCACTTAAGTCATAGTGCTAGAGCTCTGCGTTTAAAAAAAAAAAAAGGATTTATTAGTCCTATCTGTATAGACTCTGCACTACTACAGAGAAGCTTTCTTTCTGGGTTTCATTTCTGAGTATGTCCTCCTCTTCTTGCTTTTCAGGAAAACATGGAGTCCTAACCTGGGCGGGAGGAAGAAAGAGCCTTCTCAGATCTCTTCCGTGGCTCCCATTACTTTTTGAACACAGTCTTGCATCCTAGCCAGATTTCCAGCACTTTCACACCCTGGTCTTGCACAAACCTCCCCATGAACCCCCTTCTCTTTCCTCAGGTCACTTTGAACTTCCTGCCTCTGTGGCTTTGTCTCTCCAGAGATTTTTCTCCCTCCTCTTGTTTGTCCATCGAAATCCCACTGATTGATTAGGGCCTTCCTCACTTCCCATGTACGCTCCTGGACTAGCCACTTGGGTCCACTGTACTCCTCTCTCTCCTGATCCTTCCCAGCACCTGCAGTATGTGCTGTTGGTTAGAGGACAGTCTTATTCTGCCTTGTTTCCTTTCTTGAGGGAGCAAACATCTCAGAAGTTCTTAAATCTTTTATAGCCCTTGCAGTATGTCTTGGACAAAGTGGCTGCTCCATAAATGTTTGTTGATTGATTTTTATAGTAGGTGCTCAATAAAATATGTATACCACCTGTGATACTGGGAACTATGTATTTGGTCTTCATTCCCATTTCCTGACATATAGCTCCTAAAACCCTTGGAATCCTCAGAGTGATAAGAGTGTCTTTTGTATGCTAATGAGATATCTGGTGGCTGGAGCCCTGTAGTAAGCTTCAGGATGGGAGCTGGTCATCTGGAAATGACAAGACATGATTAGAGAGTGGGGACTTTCAGCCCTATCCCCAACCTCTAGGGAGAAGGGGTTGAAGGTTAAGTTGGTCACTAGTGGCCAATGTTTTAACCATCATGTCTACATAATAAAGCTTTCATTAAAAAAAAAAAAGGAAAAACACAAGACTGTGTTTAGGGAGCTTCCAGATGGCTGAATATGTGGAGGTTCCTGGACGTTGTGCCCCCAGAGAGGGCACGGGAGCTCCTTGCCCGTTCCCATATGCCTAGCCCTGGCCCTCTCTTCCACATGGCTCTTCATCTGCATCCTTTGTAATATCCATATTAATAAATGGGTAAAGGTAAGCAAAGTGTTCTTTTGAGTTCTGGAGCCACTCTAGCAAATTGAACCATTATTAATTGAACCTGAAAAGGGGCTTGTAGGGACCCCGATTTATAGCCCACCAGTCAGAAACCCACAACCTGGGGCTTGTGATTGGCATCCAAAGTAGGGTAAGTCTTGTGGGACTGAGCCCTTAACCTGTGGGATCTGACACTATCTCCAGGTAGCTGGTGTCAGAATTGAATTGAATTAGAGGACATGCAGCTGAAGTGTCTGCTAGGGAATCTGCAGAATGGGATGCTTGGTGTGTAGGGAGACAACCCCCACACACCTGGTCACAGAAAGTGTTCTGTATTCAGTGACTGTGACAGTATTGAGCATAGCCAGAGAAAAAGTTGCTTTTCCCCACCACCCCCTCACCGGCCCTCAGACCACCTTACAAAGAATTGTACATATCTCAACTTATCAGAGACCTACAACAACTTGCAAGGGATTCTTAGTTCATTCTCAGTTTTCAGATGGGCAATCCAACTCAGAAGTCAGGTGATTTGCTCAAGGTAAAAATGCAGGTCTCTTGAAACCAAAGTTTGTGTTTTGGTTAAGGGCTTGAGCTTTGGCTGGGCACAGTGGCTCAAGCCTGTAATCCCAGCACTTTGGGAAGCCGAGGCGGGCAGATCACAAGGTCAGGAGATCGAGACCATCCTGGCTAACATGTTGAAACCCCGTCTCTGCTAAAAATACAAAAAATTAGCCAGGTGTGGTGGCGGGCGCCTGTAGTCCCAGCTACTAGAGAAGCTGAGGCAGGAGAATGGCATGAAACCAGGAAGCAGAGCTTGCAGTTAGCTGAGATAGAGCCACTGCACTCCCGCCTGGGTGACAGAGCGAGACTCCATCTCAAAAAAAAAAAAAAAAAAAAAAAAGAGCTTGAGCCTTGACGTCAGATATCCAGACTGGATTTTACCATTTAAGAGACCCTGGACCCTTCCTTACTGTCTTGGAGCCTCAATGTACTCATATACAAAATGGGGATAGTGATAATAGTACCTACTTCATAGGGTGGTTGTGATATATGATGTCATACATGTGTCTAGCACATGGTTAATGCTACATATACATTATTGAAAATATTATTGTCACTAATTTGACACATCACACTGCCTCCCTGGAAACAAACTTGTTAACTGTGCCTCATGCCTAGAGCTCAGTAGACACTCATCAAATATTGAATCCCTTCTTTGAATATGTGGGCTAAATCAGGGATCCCAAATCCCCAGGCCACAGACCACTACCAGTCCGTGGCCTGTTAGGAACTGGCCTCACAGCAGGAGGTGAGCCGTGGGTGAGCAAGCAAAGCTTTGTCTTCATTTATACCCACTCCCTATCATTTGCATTACTGCCTGAGCTCTGCCTCTTGTCAGATCAGCTGAGGCACTAGATTCTTATAGGAGCACAAACCTACTGTAAACTGCGCACACAAGGGATCCAGTTTGTGTGCTCTTTATGAGAATCTAATGCCTGATGATCTGTCACTGCCTCCCATTACTTTCAGAGAAAACCATCTAATTGCAGGAAAACAAGCTCAGGGCTCCCACTAATTCTACATTATGTTGAGTTGTATAATTATTTCATTATATATTACAACGAATAATAATAAAAATAAAGTGCACAGTAAATGTAACACACTTGAATCATCCTGAAACCATCTCCCCATCCCCAGTCTGTGGAAAAATTGTCTTCCATGAAACCAGCCCCTGGTGCCTAAAAGGCTGGGGACTGCTGGGCTAAAGAATCATGTGGTTCTATCCTAGATTATCTCCTGAATAGTGTTTCCAGCTCCAATCAATCAACAACATTACTCAGCCCTCACCCCCTCCTTCCTGCTTCCCCCACCAGCTGACCCAGCAGAGCCAGGCACCCGGCTAACTGTGGGCAGCCAAACGAGGTTGGAAGTTGGACAGGCTCACCCATTATTCACCATACCTACAAATCAGCTGGAGAAAGCCCAGGCTGGCGGCCAGACAGAGGGCTCGTGGGCCAGAAAGGGAAGGGCTTGGCAGAGACAGCGCCATGGAGATGACAGGTTGAGGTCACTTGCTCCTTTCTCCGGGGCAATGGGTGACAGAGACAGCCATGCAGGCCAATGGAAAGGAAGACCAGGGGGAATGTCCTGAATCAAGTCACCAATGGGAATCAGTTTCGCTTTCTCTCTGTCTCTCAGGGCATGAGACCAGCCAGGCACTGGGAAACAAGGTTTGGTGCCAGAGATTTTGGTGGCTTCCAAGACTGCTTTTTCAGAGACAGGTACTTGAATTCTTGCTTTCAGCTGAGGGGTCGTTCCGTCCATGCTCTGGGAGTTTGGGAGTGTGTCTGAATAGGGTCAGGGGACAGTGATGGACAGGCCACTGTGCCAGGACACACCACATTGCTCGCTCACTCCTCCTCCCTGGCAGCTGGTTATTCTTAGCCACAGATTGCTTGCCCTTTCAACTTAGTTTATTAGAGCTGTTTTGAGAGAGTTGCTGGACATGGGAGGCTGATGTGAAACAGCGAAGTCAATAAGGTCACTGGTGGCTGCAGGACAGCTCTACTCAAGCTGGCCCCCACCAGACTGCTCTGGCCTGGGCCCGTTCCCTTCTCTTCCCTCAGCCCTGGCAGGCCCACTCTCTCTCAGCTGACCAGCCCACTGTACAGCAATCAAATTAACGTATCAAATTAGCACAGAAATGCATAGACTGCTCGAGGAATAGGAATATCACACTAAACTTCATTGGAGGGCTTTAAAGTCTCATAGTGCGAGAATCTTCAGAACTGGAAGAGAAAGCAGAGGCCACTAACAACCAAGCCCACGTTTTTCCTGCCAACAGCCCTTGCTGAGGAAGCTGCCCAGCCTTCCAGAGGAAAGGTGAACCTCTGTGTGTGGGTGGCCATGGTTTGTACCATGTGGCCCAGTACCCTGATTACTGTGCTTTGGACAGAGAAGGGCAACTATGCCAAGGGCACATTCAGAGGCTGGTTTAGCCCAGCAAGTTGGCCTGGTGCTAGAATTTTGTCCAACAGGGGATGCAATGACCAACTGGTACAACTGCATTTTCTCTCTCTGGAGTTTAAACCTGAGCCATACAGAAAGAGTCAGAGCAGGAACAGATGGGGAAAGCCAAAAACAGGGAAGCAAAGGCAGGCGGGGATGCTGACAGTGGAGCAAGGCTCCGTGGGTGAGGGGTGGGACAGAGGGTGCCAGCCTCAGGACACCTGGCCCGGGCTCCGGGATGTCTGTCCCCTGCATTTCCATTCAGACTCTCCCAAGGAGCCCCCTTTATGAGACCGCCTCACTGGGTCTCTCTTATTTACCACCCAAAGGAGCAAGTAATCCATCTGTTCTGTGTTACAGATGAGGGAGTGGAGGCTAGGAGACCACGGACTGCTCCTCAGGTTACAGAACCTGTCCAGGACAGACAGGGGGCCGGTGACAGTGGCAGATGGCAGAGGAGACTGAGTTCAGCTGCTGAAACTTTCTGTAATGTCCTTATTATTAGAAACAACTTTGTAGACAGAGTTGAGTTTTGAGTTGCTCATGGGTCATGCCCCTCACCACTGCTCCTCAGGTAGTTCTGGGAGCAAAGACTACAGCTCTGTGGTTTTCTGTCAACCTTCCCTAGGTTGTGCCCATAGGGAAAATGGTTTAGGAAAGGGGGATGAAGCCGGGCATGGTGGCTCACGCCTGTAATCCCAGCACTTTGGGAGGCTGGGGCCGGCGGATCACAAGGTCAGGAGTTCGAGACCAGCCTAGCCAACATGCTGAAACCCTATCTCTACTAAAAATACAAAAATTAACCTGGCGTGGTGGTGGGCACCTGTAATCCCAGTTACTCAGGAGGCTAAGGCAGGAGAATTGCTTGAACCTGGGAGGCGGAGGTTGCAGTGAGCCGAGATCTCGTCGCTGTACTCCAGGCTGGGCAACAGAGCAAGACCCCCTTTCAGGGGGAAAAAAAAGGGAAGGGTGAAGAATGAGTAGAAAACTCCTCCAAATGCAGACCTACTTACTGGCTAGGTGTTCTAAAGGCAAATCCAAGCCAGTTTTGTGTTACTCTCTAAAAGCCCATGGAGATCTTGTTGCTTATACACCAATATTTAATGGAAAGTGAGCTTATGGGGTTATCCTCTTTATCTCACAAGAAACACCAATAGGCTAAGTCTTATTCTGAGTGGCTGAAGACCTAAGGAAAAAACTGTCAAGACCAAACTTTGTCTGGATGGGAAAATCCTTAAAACAAGGGGTATAGCTCCCATTTCCCTCCTCACAGGCTCATGGACACAGCACGGATTGCAGTTGTCGGGGCAGGTGTGGTGGGGCTCTCCACGGCTGTGTGCATCTCCAAACTGGTGCCCCGATGCTCCGTTACCATCATTTCAGACAAGTTTACTCCAGATACCACCAGTGATGTGGCAGCCGGAATGCTTATTCCTCACACTTATCCAGGTGAGAGATTTCAGCTCCTCTATCAGATACAATAGATGTCAGATAGAATGATGTTAGTGGAATTCTATTGACAAAAGACAGCTGGCTATAGGTGTAAGTGTAATATGCAGGTTTTTTTCTTTTTCCTTTCCTCTTTTTCTCTTTTTTTGAGACAGGGTCTCACTCTGTCACCCAGGCTAAAGTGGAGTGGTGCAATCTTGGCTCACTGCAGCCTCAACCTCCCAGGCTCAAGTGATCCTCCCATCTCAGCCTTTCGTGTACCTGGGACTACAGGTGCACACCATCATGCCTGGCTAGTTTTTGTATTTTTGTAGAGACAAGGTCTTGTCTTGTTGCCCAGGCTGGTCTTCAACTCCTGACCTCAAGCGATTCATCCCCCTTGGCCTCCCAAAGTGCTAGGATTACAGCCGCCATGCTTGGCCATAATGTGCGGTTTTAACATCCTGTTGGTTCATCTCTTAGGACAGCCTCAGTTATGCTGCAGGACAGAAACAACATCCAAATCTTAGCAGCTTAAAAGGCAAAAGTTTGTTCTTGCTCACACTACATGTGGATTGAGCATCAGCAAGGGGCCAGCTTGTCATCAGGGACCTAAGCCGATGGAGCAGCTGTCATCCTGATTGTCATCAGCGCATGTGCCCAGGGGCGGAGGGGAGGGGACCTCTGAGGTTCTCGCCTCTGTGATTAAACACTCTGGACAGGAAGCGACTTTCAACGCTTCTGATGATGGCTCATTGGCAGAGCAGGCCACATGTCTCCACCCTCAGCAGGAGGCCAGAAAGTGTGATTCTATAGTTCCCGGAAGATGGATAGCAGAAGCATGGGATGAACAGTACTGACAACTACATGATTGGCGGCTCTGTCTTTCCACTGATAACAGTAATGACTATCAAGTCAGAAATTACTTGTAAGGGAACTAAAATTATCCTAACTTCTAAGCCTGTATAAGAACAATTATCAATATGTTTGTAATCAGTCAATCATAATTAGTTAATATGTATTAAGACCTGAAGATGCATGGATTTTTTTTTTTTTTTAAGACAGAGTCTTGCCCTGTCACCCAGGCTGGAGTGCAGTGGCACGATCCTGGCTCACTGACTCACTGTAACCTTCACCTCTGGGGTTCAAGAGATTCTCATGCCTCAGCCTCCTGAGTAGCTGGGACTACAGGCATGAGCCACCACGCCCGGCTAATTTTTGTATTTTTAGTAGAGACAAGGTTTTGCCATGTTGACCAGGCTGGTCTCAAACTCCTGGCCTCCCAATCCTCCCACTGGTGGGGCATGGTGGCTCACACCTGTAATCTGCTGGCATGCCCCACCAATGCATTGATTTTTGAACATGTCCATGCGTCCTTTCCTTTCTGTATTTTCCACTTGAAATGGGGGAGGAAGAAAATAGCATTAAATAGAAACCAAAATCACGCTGCAGTAATGAAGTTTATACTCACTGTCCCCATTTCCTCATTTCCACTCTATTTTTCCTCTTTAATTTTATTTTTTATTTTTTATCAAAGTTATATATGCCCATAGTTTAAACCGTCCTCCCTTCTGAAGTCCTTTTCCCTCTTTCTGGAAAAGTTAATATGCTGGACCTCCCAGACTGGTCCTCCAATTCTTTTAGCTTTGTCCCCCTCCTATTTATCTCTCTCTATTTTACTTTCTGGGAGACTTACTCAGTTTTATCTTTTACCTTGCTATTGAATTTTTTATTTCTACTATAACATTTCTAATATTCCAAAGCTCTTTTTTGTTCTCCGAATTTTCATTTGTTATAACATCTTATTTGTGTTAGAAGATTGCAATGTCCTCTCTTATCTTTATGAAGATACTAATAACAGTTTTTAAAAACTTTCTCCCTGAATAGTATCTGAGTATCTGTCATCTCCAAATTGTGGGAGGTTTTTGTTTTTGTTTTTTGATTTTCTCATTTTTCATGATAGAGGTTTTTCTTGGCCGTGTGGTATTCTTTACCTGTCTGCTGATGTTTATGAGTGGACCCTGAACAGCAGATGGGAATTTCTGAGTGTTTGCACAGGGCTTGTTGCCAGTGAGCTCACTGGAGTAAGAGGGCAGGGCCATTTATTTGGGGACATCTGTGATGTCATTCAGTTTAAGTTTTTCTTCTTGGGCGGGTCCTGTTTCCCAGGGAAGAGGGTTCCATGTCCTGCCTGGGGAAGATGAAGGCCCGGATGCCAGCTGGCATTTGAGAAGGTGACAGGGGAAGAGGCTGGGGTCCTAGCATCCAGTTTGCATGTGTTTCCTTAACACTCCTTTTTTCAGCACGGCATCCCTGCCTTTGCTGGTGCTTTGTGTTTTCCAGTCCAAAGACCCCTAAGAAAGAATAGACATATCTTTTATTAGGGTGGTAATAGCAGCGACCTTGGCATTGCAGGTCCAGGAGCTTGGCTGGTCAGCTCCTGGGAACTGCCTCCCAGGAAACAAACACAGGCACCTGGTGTATCCACCAGATGCCAGCTGATATAGTTTGGCTGTATCCCCACCCAAATCACATCTTGCATTGTAGTTCCCATAATCCCTACGTGTCGTGGGAGGAACCTGGTGGGAGGTAGTTGAATCATGGAGACAGTTACCCCATGCTGCTGTTCTCATGATAGTGAGTGATTTCTCAGGAGATCTGATGGTTTTATAAGGGGCTTTCCCCACTTTGCTGAGCTCAGCTCTCATTCTTCTCTTCCTGCCACCATGTGAAGAAGGACTTGTTTGCTTCCCTTTCCACCACGATCGTAAGTTTCCTGAGGTCTCCCAGTCATGCTGAACCGTGAGTCAATTAAACTTCTTTCCTTTATAAATTACCCTGTCTCGGGTATGTCTTTATTAGCAGTGTGAGAACAGACTAATACACCAGCTTACACTAAGTGCTTTTCTTGTGACGAGAGTTCTTGGGACCATTTTCCAGGCTCTCCCTTGCCTGTACCAGGCCTGAGTGAGTGTTCAGAAGGCTGCCAGCTAGTCATGGAATCATCCCTCAAAGACAGTCACTCATCTGAGGGCTCATAGGGCCATCGAGGCCAGAACTGTCTCTTTGGCCAGGTGGCTGGTTCTCCTGGACCAGGGTTTTTCTCTCTGTGATGCTGCTAGATAAAGACTTTGGTCTTCTCTTTGGGTTTCTTTCCTAGACACTATTCAGATGAGCCCCAGTCATAACTATCTCCTGTGCTCATAAATGTCAATACCATATGGAGACCATGCCTGTCCCATAGGGTTGTTGTGGGGATTAAATGAGTTGATACATGTAAAGCATTTAGAACAGTACCTGGCACATAGTAAGTGCTATATCAGCATTTGCTATTGTTCTCACCATTCCAGCTATAGTTCTGTTTTACCAGGACTTGAACATGAATTAGGTCATCAGGCTTCCTAGACCCACTGCTGGATGGGAATTGTCTGTTCTTTGGGATGACTTCTGCAGCATGTGAATCTCAGCCACTATTTTGTTTTTAAGGTTTGGGGTGAGAACAGGGAGTTGCATTTTAATACAACCTCACACAGTGGCATAGATTGTTGGGTAAAGTCTATTTGAGGCCAAATTTAGTTCTCTCTGCAGCTTATTATTTATTTATTCCTTATTTCTAAAGCAGCATCCCCACTGTGAAATTTTGGAATATAGTGTTAATTTCACATGGGCACATGTTTAAAGATGGCAGTACAGATTCGCTACTAAAGAAATATTTATTGGCTCTATAACAAGCGAATTGTCTGAAAATCCCGCTACTGACATGACTTCAGTGACCTGGGGGCTTCACCTGGGAAGCAGGATGTCTCCAAAGATCTTTCTATCTGTTCCTTGAATTTCAGGGACACCTCTCCAAGTGGAACCAACTTAGCATCCTCTCTGCCTCAGTTCCCTCATCTCCTCTGTGGCTTCCCTCATAGCAGCCCCTGAGGCTTATTGTTCCCTGGTCCCTGGCCTAACCCTAGCCAGTCTCTCATGATCCTTCTACAGGAATCAGACGGCCACATACTTCAACCACAGCTGGATTTGTCTGTGATTTTGGGTCATTCCTGCCGTCTCTGTGCCTACACTGGACACTTATTTTGAGGCTTAAACGCTGCCTCTTGTTTCCTCCCCAACAGGCCTGGCACTCTTCCAAAAGTTGTGTCTGGGTCCAACCCCATGTGCTCTGGCAGAGGTGCCTGGGGGATGGTATGGTCCCTGCACGCCCCTGCTGGCTTCAGGAGTGCTACTCTGGCTGGCACCTGATTCCATGGTGTGGAAGGTAATGGCAGCCCCTGCTGGGAAGTCTGGCCTGCAGGGGGCTCGCCTCCAGCATGCAAGCCTTGTTTCCTTGTACCAGGAGGCAAGCCCCTGGAACTCCCCATCGAGGTGCAGTCTGTTCTCTGTCCCGGTTGGCCTGGGCCCCACAGACCTGCCCATGTCATCCACTATGTTTTCAGCCCCCAAGAAAGAGGCCCTCTGTCCTTGGTCCTATTGTCTCAACTGTGTGGCCAGCTGGATCCCACAGCCATGAACTAAGCTCTGCTCAGGTTGGTTATAGACCTGCCAAGGACCTCTGGAATATACCTAGTACCAAAAACCACCTTCCAACTAGCTCGCATGCCGGGTTTTGCCCTTATTGGCCTGTTTTCCCTCCATTGATTAATCATATGAGCAGATTTGGACAGCATGTGTCAACATGCAAATCTCTTGTTGCTGACAGATCCTCTGCCACAATGTGGCACTTTATATTAATGTTCCTCCCTGCCTCCTTATTTTATTTTTGCCTCCTTATTTTTTTTCCAAGTTTCTAGGAAGGAGCTTATTTGAAGCACTGTCATTATCATCATTTTCCTTTCTGTTCCACTTTGCTTTTCTCCATGATTACAGATACACCCATTCACACGCAGAAGCAGTGGTTCAGAGAAACCTTTAATCACCTCTTTGCAATTGCCAATTCTGCAGAAGCTGGAGATGCTGGTGTTCATTTGGTATCAGGGTAAGTGAAGAAATTTGAAGTTATTTTAGAGTGTAGCATGATCTTAACAGGCATTAGAGTTCAACATAAAATATTTACTGAGTAGCTGTTGTGAGCAGAGTGCTGACTTAGATGCAGGAGGATTCGGAAAGAGCATTATAGGCTTTACCCCAAAGAACTGAAGAAAGACAAGTTATGGTATTAGACTTTTTAACAATAAACAACAATCAGAGTTTCTCATCACAAATACGATTGATTTTGGGTTTCCTCAGAGACCATGCAGTGATTTGCAAATTTGGTTAAAAAAACACGCAGGAGGTAAATGCTGGATTTGGGTGATGTGGGGATGGTACAGCCGATGGAAAGCAAACAGGTATGATGTTGGGATGGCTGCAGAGACCTAAGGGAGAGGGACTTCTTATTTATTCGGTGTCCTTGGAGAATGAGATATTCCAAAGAAGGAAATTTTGTAGGTCACTAAACTTGCCTTTTGAAGTGCCATGTGGAAAAAAATATTTCTGAAACTGTTAGCACACTTCTATTTCATTTTTAATGTATAATTTCAGTAGGCATGCATAATTAAATGAAAATTTGAGAATAAATGCTATTTGACATTTCTATTAGTAAGACGAGCACTTAAAACATGACATCTTTTAATATCTTCTTAAACTGAGATCACTTAATATTCTATCACTTTCAATTTACTTCTCAGTGTCATCATATGATGTAACATACATGTCATTGGTGCATGTTACACTTGTAACATACATGTGTTATCCTGTGTGATAACACAGTCTTTCTGCGGCCTTCTGAAAAAATGTGTCTTATCTCCTCTTTTGATGTCAGGCTGCCCACTGGGGTTTTTTGCTAGTCTAGTGTACACACTTGCATTGGGTGAATTTCTACCCTTTTTCTCTTCTTGTTTTTCCTCACCATCACAAACACCAAGATGATGCTGATGTCAGTAATTTCCCAAAGCCCCTCCCCAAAGTAGCAGTTTTGCTTTCCTATCAATCTATGGATTGATTCTTCTGTATAACTAAATCTGGAGCCAGTTGATGAGCCAAGTAGAAAAAACATTTTCTTTGATTTACGGTCACACTCTTTGTCCAAATCCAACATGAGTCCGTCTAATTCACAAATTTTGGCTCTAAGTAATTTTTGGAAACAGCCATGTCCAGAATTAAAATCCCCTGTGCATCTTTGGCGTAAGTATATAGCCTTACTCATCTATTTATTCCTTCAAAACAACATATTCAGCATTCTTCAGTATCAGGTTCTTTCTTAGGTATTAGGGATATAGCAGTGAGCAATTTAGTAATACCACTTGGCATATGCTTAACAAATATGTGTTGAGTTAATTTTTAAGGAAGACACAGTCCTGCCCTTATGTAGCTTATGGTCTCTAGGGAATGCAGTAAATCAAATGAGTTACCAAATTCACTGGGACATGAGTTACCAAAAGGAAGAGGCTAGGGTGCTATGGAAGCATATGTCTGGAGAAGAAACTTGCTCTGGGAAGTGATGAGAAGCCATCCAGATCAAGGTGTTTCATCCGAGACCATCAGGAAGAGTGTAAGTTAGTCTGGTGATGTTGTAGAGGTGAAGTGGGGGCGGGGCAGGGTGGGAGACGAAGGAGACAGCATTCCAGGTGGAGGAAACAGCATACACCTAGACCTGAGTCTAGGGCGACTGTGGTGTGTGGGAGGGACTGAAGGAAGTCCAGAGAAATGGGAAGCCATTGAGGGAGTTTACACAGTGAAGTGACTGGTCATAATTGCATTTCAAAAATATGTTTTCTATAGTGTGGAGAATAGATTTGTGGGAAGAGTTGATGATGAGATAGATTGGGTGTGGACTGTAGAAACAGAGAGTAGATGGACTTGAGAAATGCCTAAGGGGAGATTTGATAGGACTTGTCAGTTGATGGTGTATGAGAGGTGAGTAGGGAGAGAGAATCAAGGATGATTCTTGGGTTTCTGGCATTAGCACCTGCATGGATGGGTACCATTTTCTGAGTTAGGTAGGATTGGGAAAAGAGTGGATGTGTGTGTGTGCATGCATGCGTGCATGTGTGTGTAAATGCATGAGACTTCTAAGTGGACTTATCTAGTGGGGAGTAGGTAACATGGGTCCGGATCTGTTTTTGGAGCTCAAGAGAGAGAATGGACTGGAGATATAACCTTCTAAGTGCTCAGGACTGGAAATGTAGCCTTCTAAGTGTCTGGCCTGTAGGTCATGGTGAAGATATGGAAGAGGGCAAGCTAGCCCAGCGCAAGAGTGGGCCAGCACAGAACCCTGCAGTAAAGGACATTTGTGTCTTCATGGGGACTGCTCTGAATCAATTACCTAGAGATACATATTCCGATGGGGGAATTATTAGCAACTATGCTTAGCACTCAGATTATTTTCCTTGCTATTTTTGAGCAATGATGATTTATAACTTTTTTTTTTTTGAGGCAGGGTCTTACTCGTCTAGGCTGGAGCGCAATGGTCCAATTCAGTTCACTGCAGCCTCGACCTCCCTGGGCTCAGTTGATCCTCCCACTTCAGTCTCCCCAATAGCTGGGACTACAGGCTTGTGCCTCCACACCCAGCTAATATTTGTATTTTTTGTAGAGATAGGGTTTCACCTTGTTGCCCAGGCTGGTCTCGAACTTCCCCTCGGCCTCCTAAAGTGCTGGGATCATAGATAGGTGTGAGCCACCATGCCTGGCATTATAACATTTATTCATTTACTGATGAAAACAACCCAATATTTACAAATCTAAACATTTGCATAGCAGCTATTAGTAGTACTATTACAGCCTTCTTGTTAACAACCAAATCTAGGCAGGAGCTTTTTAGAAAAGGAGTATTAAATTCCATCTTTAAAAAGCATGTTACTTTTAAGATGTTTTATTTGCCCAGTCACCAACATCTGCTATTTAGCTACTGAGTTATCTGAACCTAAGAGAATAGTAAAATAGATCATTTTCTCTTTGTGTTTATAGAAACTAAATTTTTAAAATGTTCTAGGCCAGCTGTAGTGGCTCATGCCTGTAATCCCAGCACTTTGGGAGGCCAAGGTGGGTGGATCACTTGAGTCCAGGAGTTTGAGACCAGCCTGGGCAACATAGTAAGACGCTGGCTCTACAAATAATTTTAAAAATTAGTCAGGTGTGGTAGCAAGCGCCTGTGGTCCCAGCTACCCGGGAGGCTGAGGTGGGAGGATTGCCTGAGCCCCAGAAGTTGAGGCTGCAGTGGGCCATGATTGTGCCACTGCACTCCCACCTGGGTGATGGAGTGAGACTCTGTCTCAAAAATAAAATAAAATAAATGCTCTAGAGAATGTCATGTGAAGTTTACTAGAAATATGTTAT
Source organism: Homo sapiens (assembly GCF_000001405.40). NCBI lineage: Eukaryota > Metazoa > Chordata > Mammalia > Primates > Hominidae > Homo > Homo sapiens. The sequence goes on along the minus strand of NC_000006.12, from coordinate 110,404,992 downwards.
TTCACAAATTTCAGGAAAAAATGTTCACTTAATACGTTTGAGTTGGCAGATATTTCAGAGCACTCCGACTGAAGAAGTGCCATTCTGGGCTGACGTGGTTCTGGGATTTCGAAAGATGACTGAGGCTGAGCTGAAGAAATTCCCCCAGTATGTGTTTGGTCAGGCTTTTACAACCCTGAAATGTGAATGCCCTGCCTACCTCCCGTGGTTGGAGAAAAGGTCAGTTGAAATGCTCCCTGATATTTCCTTATCTGTCATAGCCATAAATCACTTCGTAGCTATTCATAAAATACATACTGAAAAGTCTCTGGCATCCCTCAGAGCTCTTTCGCGTTGCCTTGCCACTCACAAATGGCTAGGGCTTTGTAAAACAATCTGAAGACAGTGTTTATGTCACAAGGACTAAGTCACACCATGCTTCTAGTAATTTGTCTTCTATTTTTGGTGTGCACTTCGATGCCTGACTTATTCCCTACCCTTCTTGCCCCAGGTAAAACCCTCTTATTGAAACAGTATCTTAGTTTTCCTCATCTGTAAAATGGAACAGTTTGGAGAATATATTTCCAGCTACAGAATGATATGATTTACTCTAATTCTTTGGACGAGAGAATCTTTGCTTATTATAAATTATTTTTGAATTTTTTCTCATTTTTGGTAAAGCAAAAAAATTTCATTATTTCCTTTTGTCTTAAATAAGAACTCTGAAACTAAGGACCTATCCAAATTATGTCACTCCTTCCTCATTAAGTTCAGCCCGTGATACCTTGAACTTGCATTTCGGCTTACTTTTCAGGACTTTCAGGAAACTAGTACTTAGCTTCCAGTTAGGAAACACATCAAGAGTATCTTCATTTGAGATACATCAGTAAATCTGTCTTTAGTTTAGTCTGGACTTGCAGGCATGTTGAGAGTTGTGAAATATTGATCCTTTCAATTCCCATATGTGTATATTTTGGTAAATAGGAACGATGTGAATTATTGTGTAAATGTTGGGAAAGTGACTTGAAGTAGGCCAGGGCAACAGTGATCTGGTACCAGATGTAGGTTATAGGATAATTGATTCATATAATTCATTAATTACACAACTTTTGTTGAACGCTTATATATATCTGGCATTATGCTAGAAGCTGGTAAAAAAGAAGGATAAAATATGATTTCTTTTTAAAATAATTTCATGGTCTATTGTGGATGACTGTGTGTGTATGTGTTTGCATATTAATTAACAATGATGGTAACACACATGGTAAAATAAAGTACAGACTTATGCAGGTTAGAATGGGAGCAGAAAGGAGGAAGCCTAGATCTGCTAGGCACATGTCAGTGGCATCGTAATCTAGTTTTGTAGCTTTTCAAGTGCTCTTCTCACTTTTACCTCTTAGCAATTTATATGGGACATTTTGCTTCTGTAAGTTCTAGTTTCATAAAACCCATGCCTTTTCTGGCCTTGTTCACCAGCCCATAAACCACTGTTCATATGCCAAGTTTGGACTTGTCTACATCAGCTGATAAACGTATATTTTGAGCTATCACATGATGGAGTTGCCCACCAGCCAACAAGCAAATTTTAGCAGCATCACCATCTTTCCTGAGTGGCAATAGTGTGTAGTGTTGAATTTTCCCCCTTCTAAAAATGACTAGAAATACAAAATTAGAAGCATTGATGCTAGTGATAAGGAATTGAGGCATCATATAACTTATCTTAATAAAATCCAGAATAAAATAAAATAAAATAAACAAAAAAAGTTAAAACATGTGGAAAAAGGCAATAAAATAAAATAAAATTTAGGTAAGTGGAAATTATTAGGCATGGCAAAAAATGGCAGAGTTTCCTTTCAATACAATGCATAACATTTTTAGATTATGACTCAAAAAGAGCTCAAAATGGAAGAACATGTACAAAATATTGTGATAAAAGGTGAGGTGTCATTAAGGAGTTTAACTTTTTTTGGTATTATTAGTGGTTTGGGCTGAAGTTTCATTATTGCCACCAAGTCCATTGTGTGGCTTTCTCATCTTGGATTTTTGTCTTAATGATCAGTAAGCTTTCTAGAAAACCTGGCTGGAGCCCTGTGGTCTCCAGCAGATCACGGAGAGGCAGATGAGTGAGAACCTAAGAGTGTTGTTCTCCCTCAGAGACATGGTCAAGGGCTGATTAAGGGCTTTCCTGCGTGGGGATGGCCAGGGGTATGTGTTAGGGATGGTAATGGACACAGAGCTAAGGGAGGTAGAGAAACTCTAACAAACTCTTCATACAGATTCCTAACATTTTGCTTCATTATTTTCGCTTTCTTTTTACTCCTTATACATATTTTCTTTCAGAACCATTTGAAAGTAAGTTGCAGTTTTCCTCTTGTGGCTCAGGCTGAAGTGCAGTGGCGTGATCTCAGCTCACTGCAACCTCCCGGGTTCAAGTGATTCTTCTGTTTCAGCCTCTCAAGTAGCTGGGATTACAGGTGCCTGCCACCACGCCCAGCTAATTTTTGTATTTTTAGTAGAGACAGGGTTTCACCATGATGGCCAGGCTGGTCTCGAACTCCTGACCTCAGGTGATCCACCCGTCTCGGCCTCCCAAAGTGCTGGGATTACAGACATGAGCCACCGTGCCTGGCCCCATGTTTAAATATTTAAATACTTGCTCTCAGAACAAGGGTATCCTCTTACATAAACACAGTAGTATAATAAAATCAATATCATTATATTGATACAACACTATAATCTATGGACCTTATTCATATTCTGCCAATTGTCCATATAATGTCCACATGTAAATATAAATACACACAACACATAATTTTTTCCAGTCCGTGATCCAATTACAGTCACACATTGTCTTCAGTTGTCATGTCTCTTTAGTCTCCAGTCTGTCTTTGTCTTTTATTACATTTACAAGCTTGAATAGTACAGACCAGTTGTTTCATATAATAGAATGTCCCTCAGTTGGGGTTTGTGTGATGTTTCCTCGGGATCGGATTGAGGTCCTGCATGTTGGGGTGAGAATGCATAGAAGTAATGTTGAATCCTTATTGCATCATAGCAGGAGGAAGATGATATCAGTTTATCCCCTTATTGGGGCTGTTAACTTTCATCACCTAGAATGCCAGTTATCTCTACTGTGAGGTTACTACTTTTTCTCTTTGTAATTACTAAATATTTTGTTGTGATATACCTGAAACTATGTAAATATCCTATTCCCATGAAACGAGTTCCTATGAAAGTAGTACTTTCACCTACGAGTTTTAGCATCCATTGATGATTTTTGCCTGAACTATTTATTACTGTGATATTTTCCAAGTGATCATTTTATAACTCCATCTATATAGTTTGCTTTCTACTGTAAAGAAGTTTTCCTTTTCCTATATGTATTTATATCAGGATGAACTCATTGGTACCTATTTTATTCAATGGATTATAATTTATCCCCCCCATCATTTTGATGTTCAAATTGTCCAAGATTAGCTGAGTAGGAGCCCCTTCAAACTGCTCTTGTGTCTTTTTGATATGTTCACTTGATTTGCTTTTTTTTTTTTTAAAGCACTTTTTTACTTTGGGGCACAACAAAATTCCACACACCCCAAATTTGGAGAAGAAAAACATTTTCTTTTCATGAATATTTTCCACCACCTTTCCCTTAACACAAACCTGCTGCAATGCCACAATTTAAATTTATGAATTTAGTGCAGAAAGAAATTGTCTTTTCTCTTTTCCTCTGTCCCCTGAAATTTTCACTCTGTTGCAATGTAAATCCTGATTTGAGGTGTAGCTAAAGAACACACCTCTACCACAACCACCTGGAAGTCCAAGTTGACATTTAGAATTTCTAGATTCCTAAGAGTCCTGCATCTTCACATGGCAGCAAAGGGGCCCAGGAGCATGCCGGGAAGCACCCTCGCTCTATCCATATCTTCCCTGAAGACAGTTGTCCTTGGCCACTCCTTGGGCTCCGGGGTGCACACAGTGGCACAGTCTGCCCCCGGGAGGAAGACAGTGCAGGTCCTGGAAGAGGACAGGGAATATGGGGATCCTGGGTCCCCAGAAGACGGGCTGGAAGTGAAGGGAGAGGGCTCTGGCTGGGCACATGCCCGAGCCCCACACACTCACTGCCTCAAGAAGAAAGCATGGCTGGAGAAGGGCCAGACAGGGGTCCTCTGGGTGCCCAGCTGAAAGAAGGTGCGGCTCAGATGAGCCAGAGTAAGTTTTGAGTCCTAGTGATAGCCTTGAGCTTATGGGTAATCAGGGAAGGCGGTGTGAAGCGTTTCTTCACAAACTTTCTCGGGCCCAAGCTTTCATTGAAGCATTGGCTCTAAAGTCTAGAAGTGAAATGCAAATGCTTAACTCCTCCTGGGAGAGAGGGCTCATTGCTTTCATTTTGCTTTAAGGGCCAAATTGTTGATAAGGCCCTGGGGAGATGAGGAGAGTTCTGATGGGGCAGGGAGGGGGCATGAAGGCCCAGGGCACCTGAAGAGGTGTCACTGTAGAAGGGGGCAGAGGCAGGGACGCCAGCCTCCCCCCAGCACACAGTCACCTCCTCTGAGGAGTCCTCATAAGTCTCCCAGTTGGCCTGGTGCCGCCCTGCCTCGTGGGCAGCGTCCTCCTCTGCGGGGGCTGGAGGTCCCCACGCGGGCCCGTGATGAGGCGCCAGTCCCCGCCCCGGCCCGCTCCTGCGCACCCTCCCAGCTCCCACTACTCCGAGAGAGAGTGTTTTAGCTCCGGGCAGCCCCCGTCATTTCCACACCGAATCAAATGTTATCTGAACAATGTCTTCTTCCTGCTTCCAAAGCATCGCCTTCTAGAAGACAGGCCCCGTAGTTCCATCATCTCTGTGTTTTCAGACCTGACCCCTGACTGCGGCAGGAAGGCCTGGGTCAACCCTGCCACCCCGTCCTGGGCTGCGGGCCTGCGGTCAGCATTTCCCGCCACTTAAAATGACCCCCAGCCAGGGGGCTTGGGGCTGCGAGGACGGCAACGCCATCGGCCGGAGACCGGCGGAGGGGGCGGTGCCTGGGAATACGCCGCCTCCCGGCTGTGGGTCGGTTATGGGCAGCGGGGAGGAGAGGACCGAGGGCTGCCCTTTTACCCGAGTCCTGGGGAGACCTTCTTCAGTCCGTTTGTTTGATACGCGTGCCCGCCAGGAAGGCGGCTGAGATGTGAGTGCCTCAGACAGAAGGCACAGGGTGTGCTGCGGCGGGAAGACTTCAGAGCCTCTGCTCCTCACTCCCTTGTGCTCCTGAGACCTGGCTCCCTCCTGACCCCGGTGTGGGGCCTCCACAGACAGCGCCCGGTGGCCCCTGGCCATGCAGATTAGCTCCCTGCAGCCCGGAGCCTGCGTCCGACCAGGCTGGTGGAGGAACAAGGCCACGTGTCCCCTTTCCTCCCTCAGGAGGCTTTGCAGCACGGGACTCCTCTCAGCCCAAGTCCGGCCTTTCAGGGCGAGCATTTCAGGCGGGGTGGGCGGGAGGGCCGCGTCCCGGTGAGGGGGCGACACCTGGGGCTCCCTCTGGGCTGCCACCCACTGACCTCCCGCCAGGCGACCCACATGGGACGCCACACAATCTCTGTTTGCTCCTCACACTCAGGGTCTATTTTGTTGCCACCTACGCCTCTTCCACACAATGTGAGTGTTCAGCCTTCAGTGTTCTCACTCAAAAATAAGCATTTGCTCAGCAAGCCACACAGCAATGGCTTCAGCTTAAGCACGATTCTTCTGAAATAATACAAACTTCCACAAAAAAATTTTGTGCTACAAATTAGATCTTTATTATTTTTCAAAAGATAGAAGAGATCATCTTGTTCTCAAACAAAAAGTAAAACAATAATGCCCAATAATATACAGAAGAAACACAAACAAAAACCCCACAGAGTTTGAATCACCCACACAGGTCATATTTCATATCATATTCTGCCAGTGGAGTTAAATTCTGCTGCTTTATTACTGGCTCCTTCCAGGAAATGAGTCAGCGAGGCATTAAGTCTTCCTCCAGGCAGCCCATCTAAATCAATCCTCCCAGAGGGACCAGGATTGTCCTGCCTTTGACAACATTCAGGAAACTGGGTGGCCCATTTCTGTGCTGGGCCCTGTAACATGGACACGTTGATCTCTTTCCAAGAGGCCATGCCTTATCCTGTGTCCCCAAGGAGGCCCTATGCTGACCGCAGCACTGGCCACACTGAGCTACTTGCCCTGTACTTTCCTCGCCCCTCCTCTGATTAGGCCTCTCTGTAACTTTCTCTGGGGGAGTCCTCTAATGCCCATCTTTTTCTTCTCCTGTATCTTGTGTTCTCCTGCTCGGCCTGACTCACAGCAATGCCTGTGAAAGAAACTGGCTTCCTCAGCACCATCATTAGCCCCATTAGCCAGCCATGTCTGCCCTGGAGCTCACCAGGAGCTCGTCTTTTCCCCTGTCCCCGCTGCCAGCCACAGGCTGTCCGCATCACAGCCCCCACCTCCCTGTTTAGTGCTACCTGAGATTCCTTTCTCGCCATGGCTTCAGCTTCAGTGGAGTATGGGAATTGCCTCTGATTCCAAGAGCAGAGAGGGGATGAGGGGACTCTGCTCCTGGGAGGCCAAGTGTGTGTGTGTGTGTGTGTGTGTGTGTGTGTGTGTGTGTGTGTACGCATTTAAGATTTGCTTAGTGGACCCTTATTTTCCTCAGGGGCACAGCCAACTCAATTTACCTCCTTGCTGAAACTCCCAGTGAGGTGAAGGAAAGGCGCTGAGGATGACCATCCTCCTTGTTTGTGGGTCAGGTTGATGCAGTCCAGCAGAGGGCTAACTTAAGCTTGGGGAAATGGACACTCTCATGTTTTAGGGTGATGACCAGAGGATGCTGGGGCTATTTCGTGAGCCCTGCTTCTTGAGTGCCCCTAACCCTATTTCCTCATGGGAGGTTGGGACAATGGTATTCTCTCTCTCCAGGATGAGGTCTTGCTCAGTTGCAAGAAGCCCCAAGAGGAAAGTCATCATGCTTCTTGTACCTCCAACCATGTCACCCCAAACTTCCAGAATAACTACCTCATATGGTCATAAAAGCAGCCTGGTAGGCACTTGGTCACCTAATTTAACATCTGACTTTTGGGTACAGTTTCCTCCTATGCACTGGTGCCATCTTATGCATTACCCATGGGATACATAATAATGACTGGGCATCACTATGTGGTTGCATTACAACAACATAAAGGTGACCAGTCTCCAGGCACATTTAGTGAGTTTTCCTCTGGGATCCAAGGCCTGGGAGCAATCCAGCACAGGAAGCCTGACAAGGCCCAGCCACTAGGATAGCTTAAGAAGTCACCAGGCACAAGTTGGACTTTTATCAGTAGCTTGACCAGCAGGGAACCCTTGAAATGGAAAAGAAAAGACATTTGCACTTATTGAATTCTTGCATAATCATCATAAAAACCCTATAAGTTAGGCATTCTTATCCCTAGGAAACAATTTCAGTGAGTTTTAAAAATCTGCTGATATCCCAAGGCTGGCAGATTCTCTTATTCCCCCAAATTATGAAAATAATTCTGAGTTTTAATTAATTAGGATATCTAGAGCACAGAACATAATGTTCAAATATTAACACATGGAATCTACAATGTAAGAATTTAAAAAACCCACAAAATCAAAATAATATTCAAATAATGATCAGTTAAAACTTTTCAAAATTGAAATATCATCCTTAATGAAACATAAGTGATATACAGGTATGGAGGATAAGAATACACATAGATAATGCACTGGGTCTTGTATTTTACAGTAGCATGAAAAACCCCTAAGCACTTTTTTAAAAATAAAAGGTCTTTATTGAGCAGCTATAGTGTGTTAGACACAGTGTTATGCTTTTTCCAGATGTGTCTCATTTCATTTTCACAACGAGCCTAGAGAGTCAGTATTACTACCCCCATATTATGGATATAAGATTAAAGTTTAGAGAAGTGGAATAACTTGGCCGAGGTCATATGAATGGTAAAGGGTAGAGGCCTCCTAAGCTCTTTTTAAAGTTCTTTTCTTCGTGTTCACTTTTTGGAAGATTATAAACACACAGAAACATGCTGCTCAGTATTACTACAAAACTCCAATTTACTTTTCTTTCTATGCCAATGTTAAGGGGAAAAACAACCTTTACAGTTATTTTACCTTTAAAAACATTTATCTATTATTACATGTTTAAGAACATAATTTAAGCTTCTAAATTGGTTATTCTTACTGAGAGAGCCAAAAACAATCTGTCCCCATAAAATTTGCTATATTTAGTACTTTTTATCTATGAACAGTTTTACTTATAAAACAAACAAACAAACAAACAAACAAACAAAACAGTAGCTCCAGCTTCATTCTCTCTCTTTTAACTACTTTTAATTACATCAAAAAGTAATCCATTGGCTTTATTGGTTCTCTGTGGCCCCAAAGTGTAGATGCTTGCCAGATTCTTTTCTTTGGTTTCCTTGTCTCAGGTAAACAATATACTCCCTTCCTTGGATTTTTAGAATAAAAAGCAACCGAATTTAGGTTCTGTTGTTTGAAGCATTGATGCTGGCAATGCAGCTTGCATTTAATAGGAAGTGCAGTGCAGGTTCATGTGATCTCAGAGCAAGCATAGCCTCTGAGTTCTTCTTGCCTCCTAAGGGTGCTGGGCACAGTACAAGCCCTCAACAAATACTTGTTGAATAATCAGTGAGTCTAATCCAGAGGTTTCAAACTGTTCTTGAAACTGCTCGGTGGACATACTTCAGAGGTCTCTGCAGAGGGAGGGAGTGTGAAGAGACTGAGCAGATGGAGCTCTGCCCAGCAGCTTGACCTTCAGTCAGATGCAGAGAACTGCAAAGATGCTGAGATGACAGCCTGTGGCTTGTACTTGATGGAATAGGAAGCTGAGCTATTGGGGTCAGGGTCTAAGATGCCATTGAGTAGCAATCTTGGTCTCTTCCATGCTCATCAACGTGAGGCATTCTCTCTCTTTCTCTCTTTCTTTCTTTTTTGAGTTGGTGTCTTGCTCTGTCTCCTAGGCTTGAGTGCAGTGGCGGGATCTCGGCTTGAACCTCCACCTCCTCGGTTCAAGGGATCTTCCCATCTCAGCCTCCTGAGTAGCTGGAATTATAGGCATGCACCACCATGAACATGAGACATTTTCTAGAAATGCAATCCAGCATCAGAAGGCCAGTTTTCTGCTGATCTTAACACAAGTTGCAGTTAAACTTTCCAACCAGGAAGTGGGGCGGAAAGTTAGAATCACTTCAAAGAGTCCCTCCTTGCTAAGTTAAAATTAGTTGTCAAACCCATGCCATCATTGACCACCATTGCAGAAGTTTCTGTCTTTTTTATTATTTTCCTTCACATTAAACCTGTTTATCTGGCCTTGAAAGTAGATAGCGCTCAGAACTGCTGTGATGATCACTTCTGCTCTCTTAGGGGCATGCAGGATACAAGCATTCTGCCTCCATTTTCAAGGTCAGCCCTTCCCAGTTTCTCCCTGAAACGGCTTGGATTGCGGCAGTCAGAGAGAGAAGATGCCAAAGTTCTGCCACCCTGTATCTCTCTCCAGACAAAAAGAATGAATAGGATGTGTAAGATCGGCAGGGTGAGTTGGCAGGCAAGCAGGAGACCCAGGAGAGCCAATGGTGTAGCTCTAGTCCAAAGGCCAGCAGGCTTGAGACTCAAGAAGAGCCAATGTTTTTGTTCCAGTCCAAAAAGAGGAAAAAGCCAATGTCCCAGTTGGAAGGCAGTCCAGCGAAGGAATTCTTTCTTCCTTGGAAAAGAGTCAACTTTTTTGTTTTATTCAGGCTTTCAACTGATAGGATGAGGCCTACCCACATTAAAGAAGGCAATTAGCTTTACTCTGCCCACTGATTTAAATGTTTTTCTCATCCAAAAACACTTTCTGCAGAAATACACGGAGTATGTTTGGCCAAATATCTGAGCACCCCATAGCCCAATCAAGTTGACACATAAATTAACCATAGCAGGTCCAAACCAGGATTTCATATTGTCTTTAGTATTGGCTAACACTTACTTCCAGTCCACTTGGTGTGGGGCACTTAGCTAGGTCATAGGGATGGTAAGAAACATAAGATACAGTCTCTCCCCTTGAGGAATTCGTGATTTATTGATATCGGTCCTCTAAGATGTATTGTGATTGACGACTGTTCAAAGTTGTGGCCATTATTTTATTGTAACCTCACAACCATCCTGTGAGACAGGCAAGGGAGGTATCCTCCCCATGATGCAGATGAGGAAACTGAGATTTGAAGTGAGGTGAGTTGGCCAAGAGCTCAAAGCTAATGTGAGGCAGAGCTGGGATATAAAGCCAGGCTTTCTGATTTCACACCACTTCTCCTGTAGAACTTAGTCCATTCTGCCAAGCATTTACACTTCTGTCTGCCAGTTCCTCTGTCAGCCCTTGACGAAGGGCACTGTCACTCACACCCTTCTGGTCCCTCTTAGCAGTGCCCCGCATGCAAGCATTCGGCCTGCGTCTATTGAACAGAGCTGCTGATAGTCTCTTTCTCTATTCTACAAGTGACCTGTGAATAAGATTACATGTCCTGGGGGTTATTGTTTATTGGGTAGACTTTCCATTTTGCAAGATTAAAAAAGTTCTGGAGGCCAGGCACGGTGGCTCATGCCTATAATCCCAGCACTTTGGGAGGCAGAGGCAGGTGGATCGACTGAGCTCATGAGTTGCAGACCAGCCTGGGCAACATGGCAAAACCCTGTCTCTATCAAAAATACAAAAAAATTAGCCGGGCATGGTGGCACACACCTGTGGTCTCAGCTACTCAGGAGGCTGAGGTGGGAGGATCACTTAAGCCAAGGAAGTCAAGGCTGCAGTGAGCTGAGATCACGCCACTGCACTCCAGCCTGGGTGACAGAGTGAGACCCCATCTCAGAAAAAAAAAAAATATTCTGAAGATGGATAGTGCATATGGATGGTGATGGCGGTTGCACAACAAGGTAAATGTGCTTAATACTACTGAACTTTACACTTAAAAATCGTCAAAATGATAAATTTTATGTTAAGTGTATTTTACCTTGATTTAAATAAAGACTACAGGTACTGGATAAACCATTTCTTTTCACTATTGATATAGTTGGTCCAAAAAATATAGTAATTACCAACCACAGCTGCCATTTAGCTCATCAGCTACAAATATTTTGTGTTCTTCTCGTGCTAACATAGTTGTGGACATAAAGCTGGTGGGGATATGACCCCTGTACCTTTTAGTTAGGGAGACCAGGCTAATACAAAGGATCATGCAAGAGTTAACAATATGAGATAAAATGTTTAAGGTAGTAAATTTAGGTGTTAAATAAGTGGTATAAATAAGAAATGCTTGGACATTTAAAATACCAAATCAACTTGGCATTTATTCAGCATCTAGAATAATGTAGGAATTTTACAAAATTTTAAAAGGGCAAAGCATATAATTTCCTTTGTTTTGAATTTTCAAGTGGTTTCCATTTAGATTCAACTTTAGAAATCCCCAGTTCCTAGGATGTGAAGCAGTTGATGGCTAGAATTTGGCCTGACTGGGCCCTGGAAGCTCCTGAGGTGTTTGTTCATCAGATCATCACCTAATTTTTGTTCCTGGGTTCCTTTTCTTTATTTCCTGGAAGTAGTTGATCAGGTCGCTAACAAATATTCACTTCATGGCCTCTCTTCCGTAGGATAAAGGGAAGTGGAGGCTGGACACTCACTCGGCGAATAGAAGACCTGTGGGAACTTCATCCGTCCTTTGACATCGTGGTCAACTGTTCAGGCCTTGGAAGCAGACAGCTTGCAGGAGACTCAAAGATTTTCCCTGTAAGGGGCCAAGTCCTCCAAGTTCAGGCTCCCTGGGTGGAGCATTTTATCCGAGATGGCAGTGGGCTGACATATATTTATCCTGGTACATCCCATGTAACCCTAGGTGGAACTAGGCAAAAAGGGGACTGGAATCTGTCCCCGGATGCAGAAAATAGCAGAGAGATTCTTTCCCGATGCTGTGCTCTGGAGCCCTCCCTCCACGGAGCCTGCAACATCAGGGAGAAGGTGGGCTTGAGGCCCTACAGGCCAGGCGTGCGACTGCAGACAGAGCTCCTTGCGCGAGATGGACAGAGGCTGCCTGTAGTCCACCACTATGGCCATGGGAGTGGGGGCATCTCAGTGCACTGGGGCACTGCTCTGGAGGCCGCCAGGCTGGTGAGCGAGTGTGTCCATGCCCTCAGGACCCCCATTCCCAAGTCAAACCTGTAGATGACATAAAATGACAGCAAAGAGACTGAGAGACTGTTGATCAAAGCACAGAACAGGTTCAAATAACTTTTCCACTGCATGAAAGTTTAATTAGACATTTCTTTGTTTTCAACATTAGAAGTGGTGTAACATGTAAGCTGAGCACGGTGGCATGCCTATAGTCCCAGCTACTTGAGAGGCTGAGGCAGGAGGATTGTTGAGCCCAGGAGTTTGAGTGCAATCTGGGTAACATTTTTTAGAGGTGCCAGTTCCCACCTCTAAAAAAAACACCAACAACAAAAGAAATGATGCAACATGTAGGCTTACTTAGGAAGTCCAGCATTAATGGCATAGGGCATAAAGCTCTATTTTTTGTTAAAAATACTTCTTATAGAGTAAAATTTATTTAGAACTGATGTCCAAGGACCTATGCAGATTTATATGAATGTTGGAAGCTATAGAGATTTTGATATCATTTGGCTTATAAATCCACAGGAGGAGATAATGTATGGAAAACATTTAAATCACTGTCAATTGCAGAGCTGCCTGTGATCTTCTTAGGTTATAGCCAAGTCAGCAACATAATTCCTCTAAATAAAATTACATTGTGCTCACACAGTGCTGGATTATTACATTTAATTGAAGACAAAGCATGCTTGCTCCTAGTACTAGCAGCAAGCTTTTCCTCCCCTCAGCTGGTAATGATGGTAGGAGACAGAGATGAAGTTGCCTATGTATGTCATATCAATTCAATAGCTGCCTGGGGTCAAACACCTAGGGGTTGTACATTCCATTACTGTAAATGATTGAGAGCTGGTTTGTGGTATGGTTGGCTTTGCCTAAGCATTTTTGAAGATGAACAGCATGTGCAGCCAAAGAACTAATTTGCTAATTAAGGTGGAACAATCATTCTGAATGAAATATAATCAGAGTACTCCGCAGTTTGTTAAGAAGTATTGGGGAGGAGGGGAATGTGTCTCACAATAAAATGAGTTGGAATTGTTGAGTTAAATGAATTTAACCTGTTTTTTGACTCAGGCCTACTCAGAGCCTCTAATGTGTGCACGTGTATTGTGAATCCTCTAGAGAGCTTGGGTGGACGGAAAATGAAGTGCTGGTATTGAAGTAAAGAGGCTTGAGGAGGCTGGGCACGGTGGCTCACGCCTGCAATCCCAGTACTTTGGTGCAATCCCAGCACTTTGGGAGGCTGAGGTAGGTGGATCACTTGAGTTCAGGAGTTCAAGACAAGCCTGGCCAACATGGTGAAAGCTCGTCTCTATAAAAATACAAAAATTAGCTGGGCATGATGGTGGGTGCCTGTAATCTCAGCTACTCGGGAAGCTACTTGAACCCGGGAGACGGAGGTTGCAGTGAGCTGAGATCGCACCATTACACTCCAGCCTGGGTGACAGAGCAAGACTCCGTCTCAAAAAAAAAAAAAAAAGGCTTGAGGAGAAATGGATTTAATTTTAATATTTGGGGAAGACGACTTCTGTTAAATGATACAGTAAGTTATATTTTGGACATCCTGAGTGAGATACAGGGTTGCCAATGAAAGTGTGGGAAAGAGAAAGCTCTTAGCACAGCTACAGCTTTACTGTTGCGTTCATTCAGAACTTGCATATGATTTTGTTTGCAGAGAACATTCTGCTGGTAGACAGTGAGAGAAGCCCACCAGTGTTTTATGCAGTCATAATCATTCCTTGCAGTATTAACATTCTCAAGTAAAATCAAGTGTGGGCTCTTTTCTATAGATTTCCACCAGGGGGTGGTGTTGTATCAGATTCAGATACATTGGTACATTCAAAAATTTAGAAATGACTAGAAATGAAAGATGGATACCAGGTATATAGAGTGTGCGTGCTTCTTTTGAGGTTTTGGAGTTTATATACTCCAAGTGCAACTCTTCTGAATTCTGTTTTAAGTATTTGAGAAATGTATAAGTTTAGACAGACTGGAAACACATATGCATCATACATAATCTGTGAGAAATAAAAGGTTATGATAAAACAGCATTTTTTAAAGGAGGAAATAATTTTTTAATAGTTAAAAATAAAAATGAAGGCCACTGTTCAGAATAGGTAGAATTTCAGTCATTTCGAAGCAGCTTTAAGTGTACTCCTTTGTTCACTATGCCTGTGGTTCAGATCCTGTGGCATTTTTATTGTGTGTTGTGGGCTCACCTTCTATGACCTTTGCCTATTTGTTACTCTAGTTCAGCTTCACTCTGCGTTTTATATTTCTAAAGTGCAATGCTACAAGAGTGCAAGACTGGAGGCTTCTTGAGAAAGTGGTTGTGGCTGCATGCCCTGATTTCATTTTCACTAATTGCTAAATATTGTTCCCAGTGTCTCTGAAACATTATTCATTTTGGTCAGTAGCTGCCAACCTGGGCTGCAACTTAGAATCACCTGGGAAGTTTTTAAACAATGTTGATGCCCAGGCCTGCTTTATGAAATTAGAATCTTTGGTGGGTGGGGCGGAGCTGCTGCATCAGTGTTTACTTAAAGCTGTCCACAAAGTTCTGAGAGCCAGGGCTGAGAACCACTGAGCACTACTTCCCTCCCCTCCTTCTAGGCCCCCACTGCTAGCGTCACCATTATCCTTCCCTTCCTTCCTCGCCATCTTGGGGCATCGAGCTCAGAGGGATGTGCTCACTTAGGCAAGTGTGTCCTTAGGCACTTCTGGGCAAGGTGGCCTAGAGGAATTAGCTGTCCCAAAATAGCTCTCTAGAAATACTGGAATCACCTTGCTGGCTATCAGTCAGCTGCTCCAAGACAGCTATCTGTCTTTATCTGAAAGACAACAGACTGAATGTACAAATGGACAATGGCTAGACCACATATAAAAATAGAACTCTGGCCCACAAGCTGCAGCAACCTGCCCAGGAAACCAATTCCCTTATCTACAATAAACAACACAGGAAGCCAGCCTGCTACACAAGTATATC
The DNA here is from genome assembly GCF_000001405.40 of Homo sapiens. NCBI lineage: Eukaryota > Metazoa > Chordata > Mammalia > Primates > Hominidae > Homo > Homo sapiens. The sequence goes on along the minus strand of NC_000006.12, from coordinate 110,389,845 downwards.
AGACTTGCAGGAAGCCATATTGCCATCTCTAGAAATAATCCAGAAAGATAAACAATAACTTCTGTAACAATTCACACAAAATGGCCAGGACTTGATTAATAATTGACAGCATCCCTAATTTTTGCCCCCACCTCTAACTTAGAACAAATCAGAGAAAAAAAATATGCTTGCCCCCACTTCTAACTTAGGACCAACCATATAGGATGCTTTGCTTCTAGTTAACTTGCCTACAGTGTCCCCATGCCTATCAGGACATATGTGAAGTCTTCTCTTTTTTCTGTTGTGAAGCTTTCTCACCCCTCTGCCTACCTTTGAATCTCTGCCAAATGTAAGTGTGATGGGCTGACTCCCTTGCTATAGTAAAATCTAAAGAAATAGCCTTTGCATTTCTCATTTGACTGGTATATTAGTCAGGGTTCTCCAGATAAACAGAACCAGTGGGACATATGTAGACATATAGAAAGAAATTTCTTATGAGTGTTGGCTCACACAATTATGGAGGCTGAGAAATCCCATGATCTGCTGTCTGTAAGCTGGAGGCCCAGGAGAGCTGATGCAGTTCTAGTCCAAGCCTGAATGCCCGAAACCCAGAGGAGCCAGTGGAGTAAGTCTGAAGGCCACAGTGCTGAAATCCAGGGACAGGAGAAGACAGATGTCCTAGCTCAAGCAGAGAGCAAATTTGTCCTTCCTCACCTTTTTCTTCTATTCAGGCCTTCAACAGATTGGATGATGTCCACTCACATTGGTGAAGATAATCTTCTTTACTTAGCTTACTGATTCAAATGCTTATCTCTCCCAAAGATATCCTCATATATACACCCAGAAATAATGTGTTGCCAGCTAGCTAGGCACCCTTAGCTCAGTCCATTTGACACATAAAATTAACCATCACAGCTTATCTTCATTTACTTCAAAGATTTCAATGTTTATATAAGTTGAGGTCTTCCTGGGTAATCGGTGCTACTGCCTGAGAATAGACTGCTTTATTTTTTCTTTCTTGTTTTCTATTTCAGAACATCTTTTATTTTTTTCTGAACATGAAGAACAACTGATTTCCTTCTTAAATCTCTGCTTTCAAGTGTCTGGCCTTTGTGGCTGAGTGTCTGCCTGCTGTGTCTGTGACCCAGAGGAACGAGGCTGCTTTGAGCCCTGTCATTGCCAGCGTGTGCTTCTTCAGCAGGCAAAGGTTATGCACAAAGTTTTAGGATTTTTTTTTTAACTTTTGGGATTTTATTTGCTTAGGAAGAAAAAAAAAAGTTTAACAGAAAGGCCATAGCCCAGGTGGACACAGTTGTATAGAAGAAAGGCTATTTTTAAAAATGACATATATTCTTCCTTTTATTGAATAATGCATTCAAATCAACTGATATTTGAACCGGTTTTTCTCAATCAATTAAAAGCTTTTAGAAAAAAGGAAGAAAAGGATGGTGGAACATGTGTCCACTGGGAGTTGTAGTTCTTAGAAACCTGTTTCAGGACTTTCGTAACTTGTCAAATATTTGAAATAAATGTAGCATTTTTTTTATTTCTCTCGTTTTTCTTCTTAAGGGTGTGAATGATGGAGACACATTTGAAACCTGCTTCCTCAGGATATCATTCACTCAAGAAAAGCCAATTGAGATCTTTAAGTGGTCCCTTTCTTCTTGAAAAATCTCAGCAGTTTGCCACAAGGCCTGGGGGTTTTATTATTCTAAGTAACTTTGCTGCCAATAAATCACAGCCCTAAGTAGCCAAAGGGAATGCATTAGCCAGATCTCTTATAAATATAACCAATGCTTCTTCAATTATTAGCAGAACAATTGACTTCCATCTACTCAAGGCACCTGTCAACCTGGCCTGCAGCCATGATTCCCACAATTCCACCTCCCAGAGCCTGTTCCCCTTGAATTATAATTTTTTTTATACTGGTGCACATTCTATGGTATGAGCCCAGGACCCAATTTTTCATGTATCCCGGTATTTCTCTTCCTTGCAGATCCAAGTCGTCTGTCAATGGAACTCAACCAGTGTGGTTGAAACTCCACATGGTCTTTTTGCTCTGCCCAGGACTCCTTTCCTGGGAAATCTGCTCAGACCTGGAAGATTCACTGTGTGGGCAGTATCCCTCAGGCCCTACCTCTCTGGTTACAGCTTATTGGAGCAGAGGAAACTGTCAGGTTTAGGCCCCATTGCAGGTAACAGAAACCCCCTAAATATTTGCTTAAACAAGGTGGTCATGTATTTCACTCACATAAAAGAAGCCTAGATACAGGCAGTTTAGGGCTGTTGTGAGGTCTCCAATGGTCATCAGTGATCCAGGCTCCTTCCAGCTCATACTATGCTATTTCAAGGGTGTGGCCCTTGTGCTCACATCCAAGATGGCAGTCAGAGCTCCAGCACATCATTATATCCACTCTCCAAGGACAGTTCCCAGAAGGTTCACATAACACCTTTGCTTGTATTTCACTTCATAGGATTTAGCCTCAGGGTTACACTGAGATTCAAGGGAAGCCGGGAATGTAGTCTTTTGTCTTGGTGGCAATGTAAAAGTCAAGGTTTTAGTAGGCTCTGCAAAAGTATCAAACTATAAATTGAGTTAGGTCAGTGTTTGGGCTCTGAAACTGAAACCCCAGAATATGGCACATTGACATGCTGAACTGAAGAAGTCTCAAGGTCTGTCTGACCTTCTCTACCCCAATCCTGTCTCTCCCAAAGTACAGGATGCAGCTGTTCTCTGAAGTTCCATTATCTGCCTGAAGTCCAAACCACCAAAGAAAAAAATCAGTTACCTCTGGTACCTTCCCTGAGTTTTCATGAACTGAACTCATATGACAGGAAGAAAGACTGAAGTCTGTCAACACACCTGGACAGACTTCTGTCCCAAACCATTGTCTGCTAAGCAGACCCAACCAACTTTGTCCCAGGCCATTATATGTTCTTTAAACCCACTGAATTCCCCTAAAAATCATTTACAACTCCCCTAAAATCATCCACACTTCCCCATCTTCCTTTCCCCTAAGAAGAAGGGTATAGAACCATCTGTACCCCATTGGATCATGGGGACTCACTCTAATTCACCCTTGTGCATGTTAAGAAATTTGTATGCCTTTTCTCCTATTAATCTGCCTTTGATCAGTTGATTTTCAGTGAACTTTTAGAGGGTGAAGAGGAAAATTTCCCTTGGCCCCTACACTAGTCAGATTAAGACTTTGTACTAAGAATTTCCTGTTGATGGTAGGCTCTGGAGACGTGTAGACTGGGGCTTGGCAATCCAGGTTGTTTAGGTTTACACAGTGGAAGCCAGGCAAGAGAGAAGAAGAGGAGAAAAGGCAGAGATGGAAGCACCAGGGCCCACGTACTGCTGGGGAAGCAACGAGAATGACCTTGGTTCTGATCCAGCCCTATTTCTTATCTTCTGTCTCACTGAACAGTCGATTCTATATTTCTCAGAAACCCCACATTTAAAAAAAATGCTTTTAAAACAATTATTGTTTTAAGAAAGTAAAAAAAAGTGGGAGCTGAAGAATTTCAGGTTCCCAACAAAGTAGTTGCTTTTTCTGTAATAATTTCAATAATAAGAATGCTTTTGATAGCTGTAGAGTAAAATCTAAACATCACAGATCAAATCCAGCATTTAGCAACTTTTGCTTAAAAATATTGTCCCTTCTTTTCCTATCACTAATGTGATATTTTACAAGTCCTTTTTTCCTTTATTGTTATAACCCATTGTTAAGATAAATAAGGTCAAAGCTACCCAAACAAAGCCTTTGCATTGCTTAGGCAACAGTTTTTTGTTTTTGTTTTGTTTTGTTTTTTCAATTGGTGCTAGCTTCTAAATGTATTGTTAGTTCCTAGTCAAGATCTTGTTATAACCAATGGTGACCTCAGTAATGCAGATTATTTTCTTTAATTAATAGAACTGAGTTATGGCCAATTTGTGTGGCAAAACTCATATTTTAGGAGTAACATCTGTATTTAGTTTCTTGTTCATGGATTCTATTGGGGGAATATTTTATCATAATCCTCCTTTTTCCTTGAGCCCATTAAGTGGATTCTTTCCTTTCAACCAAAAACCCTGTATAAGTCAATTGATAAAAAACAAGTGGATCACTGTGATGGAAAAGCAGAGTTCAACTATCCACTAGACCAAAGGTCAGCAAACTGCTTCTGTAAAGAGCCCAATGGTAAATATTTAAGGCTTTGCAGGCTACACGGTCTCTGTTGCAACCACTCAATTCCTCAACTTTACCATTGTAGTCTGAGAGTGGTCATAGCTAATGCATAAACAAATGATCATGGTGTGTTTCAATAAAACTTTATTTAAAAAAAACAGGCAGTGTACCATATTTGGCCTGAGGACTATAGTTCACCTTATATTAGACAATAAGATCTGTGTGCTCAGGGAGATGTCTGATTTAGCACTTTATAGCCAGCTCAGGCACCAAGCCTGGTACTTGATAAACATTTATTGAGTGACTAGGTAAGTGAACTATTAATGCAACATCAATGGATAGATTATCCCAATTTAAATTTGATTTTTTTAAAAAAGCAAGCCCCATTCAACAAGCTCTTGTTTTGGCCTGCTGATTGATTTTCCTTAAAATGTAAAAATCTATCTACTACTAAAATTTCACAGCTTGAATATACCATTGAGAACACATTCATGGCCTAGATTCTCAGGCAGCTGAATTATCTAACCAGCTAGAAGGAACAGGCTGTAGAAAACTTTCTTCGGAGCAAAGCCAGCATGTGTATGCCTTCACCCAGGTCTGCATATCTTCCTGGCATTACTCTACTAAGACATGAAGCAGGGTACATGAAGCAAGGGCCATGAAGCAAGGTAAGGGTGCCTCTGGTAAAGGAGCAGCTGAAAGCCATGTCTCTTCCCTGTTTTTATGCCTTCTGCAGCCTCCAGGCCTGTTGTACCTAGGATTTGGGTCCTGCCACAAGAGCAACAAGATAATAGATTTTTTTTCTTTATTTCTTCTAAAATAAGAATTGGGATACATGTGCAGAACTTGCAGGTTCGTTACAGAGGTATATGTGTGCCATGGTGGTTTGCTGCACCTATTGACCTGTCCTCTAAGTTCTCTCCCTTCAACCCCCACCCCCCAACAGGCCCCTCTCTGTGTCCATGTGTTCTCAATGTTCAACTCCCACTTATGAGTGAGAATATGCAGTGTTTGGTTTTCTGTTCCTGTGTTAGTTTGCTGAGGATGAAGCCTTCTAGCTTTATACATTTCCCTGCAAAGAACATGATCTCTTTCCTTTTTATGACTGCATAGTATTCCATGGTGTGTATGTACCACATTTTATTTATCCAGCCTATCATTGATGGGCATTTGGGTTGGTTCCATGTCTTTGCTATTGTAAATAGTGCTGCAATAAACATACATGTGCATGTGTCTTTATAGTAGAATGATTTATATTCCTTTGGGTATATACCCAATAATGGGGTTGCTGGGTCAAATGGTATTTCTGGTTCTAGATCCTTAAGGAATCACCATACTGTCTTCCATAATGGCTGAACTAATTTACATTCCCACCAATAGTGTAAAAGCGTTCCTATTTCTCCACAGCCTCACCAGCATCTGTTGCTCCCTGACTTTTTAATAATTGCCATTCTAACTGGCGTGAGATGGTATCTTACTGTGGTTTTGATGTGCATTTCTCTAGTGACCAGTGATGAGTTTTTTTCATGTTTGTTGGCCACATAAATGTCTTCTTTTGAGAAGTGTCTGTTAATATCCTTTGTCCACTTTTTGATGGGGTTGTTTGGCTTTTTCTTGTAAATATGTTTAAGTTCCTCATAAATTCTGGATATTAGACCTTTGTCAGATGGGTAGATTGCAAAAATATTCTCCCATTCTGTAGGTTGCCTGTTCACTCTGATGATAGTTTCTTTTGCTGTGCAGAAGCGCTTTAGTTTAATTGGATCCCATTTGTCAGTTATGGCTTTCGTTGCAATTGCTTTTGGAGTTTTAGTCATGAAGTCTTTGCCCATGCCTATGTCCTGAATGATATTGGCTAGGTTTTCTTCTAGGGTTTTTATGGTTTTGGGTTTCATATTTAAGTCTTTAATCCATCTTGAGTTAATGTTTGTATAGGGTGTAAGGAAGGGGTCCAGTTTCAGTTTTCTCCATATGGCTAGCCAGTTTTCCCAGCACCATTTACTGAATAGGAGATCCTTTCCCATTGCTTGTTTTTGTCAGGTTTGTCAAAGATCAGATGGTGATGTGTGGTGTTATTTCTGAGGTCTCTGTTCTGCTCCCTTGGTCTATATGTCTGTTTTGGTACCAGTACCATGCTGTTTTGGTTACTGTAGCCTTGTAGCATAGTTTGAAGTCAGGTAGCATGATGCCTCCAGCTTTGTTCTTTCTGTTTAGGATTGTCTTGGCTATACGGGGTCTTCTTTGATTCCATATAAAATTTAAAGTAGTTTTTTCAAATTCTGTGAAGAATGTCAATAGTAGTTTTGTGGGAATAGCATTGAATCTATAAATTACTTTGGGATCTATGGCCATTTTCACGATATTGATTCTTCCTATCCGTGAGCATGGAATGTTTTTCCATTCGTTTGTGTCCTCTCTTATTTCCTTGAGCAGAGGTTTGTAGTTCTCCTTGAAGAGGTCCTCACATCCCTTGTTAGCTGTATTCCTAGATATTTTATTATCTTTGTAGTGATTGTGAATGAGAGTTCCTTCATGATTTGGCTCTTTGCTTGCCTGTTGTTGGTGTAAAGGAATGCTTGTGACTTTTGCGCATTGGTTTTGTATCCTGCAACTTTGCTGAAGTGGCTTATCAGTTCAAGAAGCTTTTGGGCTGAGATGATGGGGTTTTCTAATATATAAAATCATGCCATCTGCAAACAGAGACAACTTGACTTCCTCTCTTCCTATTTGAATACCCTTTATTTCTCTCTCTTGCCTGATTTTACTGGCCAGAACTTCCAATACTATATTGAATAGGAGTGGTGAGAGAGGACATTCTTATCTTGTACCAGTTTTCAAAGGGAATGCTTCTAGCTTTTGCCCAGTCAATATGATATTGGCTGTGGGTTTGTCATAAATAGCCCTTATTATTTTGAGATATGTTCCATCAATACCTAGTTTATTGAGAGTTTTTAACATGAAGCGATGTTGAATCTTATCAAAGGTCTTTTCTGCATCTATTGATGCAGGGGTTTTGTCTTTAGTTCTGTTTATGTGATGGATTACATTTATTGATTTGCACATGTTGAACCAGCCTTGCGTCCCAGGGATGAAGCCAACTTGACTGGGGTGGATAAGTTTTTTGATGTGCTACTGGATTTGGTTTGCCAATATCTTATTGAGGATTTTCGCATTGATGTTCATCAGGGATATTGGCCTGAAGTTTTCTTTTTTTATTGTGTCTTTTCCTGGTTTGGTATCAGGATGATGCTTGCTTCATAAAATGAGTTAGGGAGGAGTCCTTCCCTTTCAGTTGTTTGGAATAGTTTCAGGATGAATGGTATCAGCTCCTCTTTGTATTTCTAGTAAAATTCAGCTGTGAATCCATCTGATCCTGGGCTTTTTTGGGTTGGTAGGCTATTAATTACTGCCTCAATTTCAGAGCTTGTTATTGGTCTATTCAGGGATTTGACTTCTTCCTGGTTTAGTCTTGGTAGGGTGTATGCGTGCAGAAATTTATCTATTTCGTCTAGATTTTCTAGTTCATTTGCATAGAGGTGTTTATAGTATTCTCTGATTGTATTTCTGTGGGGTTAGTGGTGATATCCCCTTTATCATTTTTTATTGTGTCTATTTGATTCTTCTCTCTCTCTTCTTTATTAGTCTAGCTAGTGGCCTATTTTGTTAATTTTTTTTTTTGGTTGTGAATTTCTTTTATTTATTTATTTATTATTATACTTTAAGTTTTAGGGTACGTGTGCACAATGTGCAGGTTTGTTACATATGTATACATGTGCCATGTTGGTGTGCTGCACCCATTAACTCGTTATTTAGCATTAGGTATATCTCCTAATGCTATCCCTCCCCCCTCCCCCCACCCCACAACAGTCCCCGGAGTTTTTTCAAAAAACCAGCTCCTGGATTTGTTGACTTTTTTTTTTAGGGTTTTTTCATGTCGCTATCTCCTTCAGTTAATCTCTGATCTTAGTTATTTCTTGCCTTCTGCTAGGTTTTCATTTAGTTTGCTCTTGCCTCTCTAGCTCTCTTAATTGTGATGTTAGTGTATTGATTTCAGACCTTTCTAGCTTTCTGATGTGGGCATTTAGTGCTATAAATTTCCCTCTTAACACTGCTTTAGCTGTGTCCCAGAGATTCTGGTACGTTGTCTCTTTGTTCTGATTGGTTTCAGAGAACTTCTTGATTTTTTCCTTAATTTCATTATTCACCCAGGAGTCATTCAGGAGCAGGTTGTTCAATTTCCATGAAATTGTGTGGTTTTGAGTGAGTTTCTGAATCCTGAGTTCTAATTTGATTGCACCATGGTCTGAGAGACTGTTTGTTATTATTTCTGTTCTTTTGCATTTGCTGAGGAGTGTTTTACTTCCAATTATGTGGTCAATTTTAGAATAAGTGCCATGTGGCACTGAGAAGAATGTATATTCTGTTGATTTGTGGTAGAGAGTTCTGTAGACGTCTACTAGGTCCACTTGACCCAGAGCTGAGTTCAAGTCCTAAATATCCTTGTTAATTTTCTGTCTGGTTGATCTGTCTAATATTGACAGTAGGGTGTTAAAGTCTCCCACTATTATTGTGTGGGAGTCTAAGTCTCTTTGTAGGTTTCTAAGAACTTGTTTTATGAAACTGGGTGCTCCTGTAACGGGTGCATATATATTCGGAATAGTTAGCTCTTCTTGTTGAATTGTTCTCTTTACCATTTTGTAGTGCCCTTCTTCGTCTCTTTTGATCTTTGTTGGCTTAAAGTCTGTTTTGTTAGAAGCTAGGATTGCAACCCCTGCTTTTTTTTTTGCTTTCCATTTGCTTGGTAAATTTTCCTCTATCCCCTTATTTTGAGCATGTGTGTGTCTTTGCATGTAAGATAGGTGTCCTGAATATAGCACACTGATGGGTCTTGACTCCTTATTCAATTTGCCAGTCTGTGTCTTTTAATTGGGGCATTTAGCCCATTTACATTTAAGGTTAGTATTGTTATGTGTGAATTTGATCCTGTCATCATGATGCTATTTGGTTATTTTGCACACTAGTTGATGCAGTTTCTTTGTAGTGTCTTTGGTCTTTATATTTTGGTGTGGTTTTTGCAGTGGCTGGTAATGGTTTTTCCTTTCCATATTTAGTGCTTCTTTCAGGAGCTCTTGCAGGGCAGGCCTGGTGGTAACAAAATCCCTCAGCATTTGCTTGTCTGTAAAGAATTTTATTTCTCCTTCGCTTATGAAGCTTAGTTTGGCTGGATATGAAATTCTGAGATGAAAATTATTTTCCTTAAGAATGTTGAATATTGGCCCCCAATCTCTTCTGGCTCATAGAGTTTCTACTGAGAGGTCTGCTGTTAGTCTGATGGGCTTCCCTTTGTATGTGACCTGGCCTTTCTCTCTGGCTGCCCTTAACAGTTTTTCCTTCATTTTGACCCCGGAGAATCTCATGATTATGTTTCTCAGGATTGATCTTCTCATAGAGCATCTTAATGGTGTTCTCTGTATTTCCTGAATTTGCATGTTGGCCTCTCTTGTTAGGTTGGGGAAGTTCTCCTGGATAATATCCTGAAGTGTGTTTTCCAGCTTGTTTCCATTCTCCCTATCTCTTTCTGGTACTCCAATCAAGTGTAAGTTCAGTCTTTTTACTAAGTCCCATATTTCTTGGAGGCTTTGTTCATTCCTTTTCATTCTTTTTTCTCTATCCTTGTCTACATGTCTTATTTCAGTAAGGTGGTCTTCAAACTTTGATATCTTTTCTTCTACTTGGTCAATTCAGCTGTTGATACTTGTGTATGCTAAACGAAGTTCTCGTGCTGCGGTTTTCAGCTCCATCAGGTCATTTATGTTCCTCTCTAAACTGGTTATTCTAGTTAGCAATTCCTCTAATCTTTTATCAAGGTTCTTAGCTTCTTTGCGTTGGGTTAGAACATGCTCCTTTAGCTCAGCGTAGTTTTTTATTACTCATCTTCTGAAGCCTGCTTCTGTCAATTCATCCATCTGATCCTCCATCTAGTTCTGCGCCCCTGATGGAGAGACATTGCAATCATTTGGAGGAGAAGGGGCACTCTGGCCTTTTGGGTTTTCAGCATTTTCTCACTGATTCTTTCTCATTATTCTGAGTTTGTCTAGTTTCAGTCTTTGAGGCTACTGACCCTTGGATGGGGTTTTTGTGGGGGCCTTTTGTTGTTGTTGTTGTTGTGGCTTTCTGCTGGCTTGTTTTTTTTTCAATAGTCAGGCCCCTCTTCTGTAGGGCTGCTGCAGGTTGCTGGGGGTTCACTTCAGGCCCTATTCATCTGATTCGCTCCCATGCCTGGAGACGTCACTCAAGGAGGCTGGAGAGTAGCAAAGATGGGTGCCTGCTCCTTCTTCTGGGACCTCTGACCTTGAGGGGCACCAACCTGATGCCAGTAGTATCACTCCTGTATAGGGTATCTGACAACCCCTGTTAGAGGGTCTCACCCAGTTGGGCAGCACAGGGAGCAGGACCCATTTAATGAAGCACTTTGTCCCTTGGTGGAGAAGGTGGGCTTCACTTCAGGGAAACCCACTCATCTGGGCTTCCCAGATTCCTCAGAACTACCAGGACTCCGGAAAGGCTAAGTCTGCTGGTCTGCAGAGACTGGGGCCACTTCTCCCTCTAGGGGCTCAGGCCCAGGGACATCCAAATTCTGTCCCTAAGCCTCTGGCTGGCATTATTGGAGATCCTGCAGGGTAGCCCCGCCCAATTAGGAAAGATGGGTTAGACCTGAAGAGGCACTCTGGCCGCAGACTGCCACAGGTGGTGTGTTGGGCTGTGGGGATAATTCTTGGGACCAAACCACTCAGCCTCCCTGGCTCCAGCAGGGGAAAAGTGCAGCCTGGAGGTATAGAGATGGGTGCCGCTATTCCCCTGCCCAGGAGCTTAGCGTGTTAGGCAGTTGTGAGTCCCAGTGCTGGCTGCTGCCCCGCCCCCAAAGAGCTCAAAGGGCTTAGACAGCAGGCAGCCGCAGCCCCTGCTGGTCACTCCTCCCTCAGGGAGTTTGGTAGGCTTAAGCAGATTCCAGCTGAGAGGCCTCAAAAATCTGCATGTTCCACGGTTAGGATGCTAGGCCCGGTAGCGTGGGTTCATCAGTGAGAACTTCCGATCCGTGAGTTGCACAGTTCTGTGGAAAAAGCACAGTTTCCCCTGCTGGGTAGAGTGCTCACTCACTGCTTCCCTCGGCTGGAGGAGGGAGGCGGTGAGTGAGGGGGCCCAAGGGTTCCCCTTCCCTGTGTGGCTCTCAGGTGGGCTGCCCCACCACACTGCTCTTCTTTCTCTCTGTGGGTCACGCCAGCCTTCTAGTCAATTTTGATGACAGAACCTGGATACCTTGGTTGCTGGTGAAGAATTCATACACTTATTATGGCTTATTTTGGATGGGAGCCTCTCAGCACTGCTGCTTCTAGTTAGCCATCTTGGCCCCCAAGATAATAGATTTTAAAAAGTCAGACCTGTGTCAACAAATTGCTTTGGCCAGAAAGCCTTCTGTTGAGGCTGTTGGCTTGTCTCCGCCTGGCCCTTCCCACACTGCCCCAGCGCACTGCTGTCTACCTGGCCCACCAATAGCCCTTCAGTATGTCGGATCTTCCCCAGGGCTTGCCTTTTCCTGGCACTCACTCAAATACGAGTTAACTTCCCTGAACAAAATCCTCTGGACCAGGGGTCTTCAATCCTGACTGTGCATTAGAATCACCTGGGCAGCTAAAACCAACCCAAAACCAACCAACTGAACAAACTAAAAAACATACCTGGGCCCACTGCCAGACCAAGAGAGTTAGAATCTTTATGATACAGACGGCAAGTATTAGTATTTTTAAAAAATCTGCTCCCACCCCCACCTTGGTGATTTTAATGTGCATCCAGGATCGAGAACCACAGATTTAGATTTCCAGTCCTGGTTATATATTAGAATCACCTGGGGGGTTAAACATATACAGGTGCTTAAGCTCTATTCCAGACCTCTCAGATCAAAATCTCACAGGGTGGGAACCAGGAATGTCTATGTTTGACAGCTTCTCTGGGAGCTTCCTGATGAACAGCTAGGGCTGAGAACCAGGCCTTAGGCCATGCCAAGAGCATACTCGTGGGCCTGGGCATGGGCATGCTAGAACCTCAGCCACCTGAGCCTCTGAGGAGGACAGAAAACCTGGACTAGGCCAAAAGATGGATGGCGTTGCAGCCCTCCAGTCCAGGTCCCAAAGACCCCTGACCTGGATGCCCACCTCAGTCCCTTGGCCAGTGATGTCCAAGCCTGGCAGTGCAAGGGATGCCCATCATCAACCATGCCCAGGACACTGAATCAGTCATGGCACCGTATTAGTCTGTTTTCACGCTGCTGATAAAGACATAACTCGAGACTGGGCAATTTACAAAAGAAAGAGGCTTAATGAACTCACAGCTCCATGTGGCTGGGGAGACCTCACAATCATGGCAGAAGGTGAAAGGCACATCTCACTTGGTGGCAGACAAGAGAAGATAACTTGTGCAGCGAAACTCCCCTTTACAAAACCATCAGATCTCATGAGACTCATTCACTACCACAAGAATAGCATGGGAAAGACTCGCCCCCATGATTCATTTATCTTCCACCGGGTCCCTCCCACAACACATAGGGATTATGGGAGCTACAATTCAAGGTAAGATTGGGGTGGGGACACAATGCCTAACCAGATCAGACACCAAGGCTGGCATCTGGGAGGCCTGAGCACTTGCCAGCCAGCAGGGCTGAGGCCAAGCTCTGCAGATCTGGCTTATCTGCTGCCTGGGGGTTCTGGTATATCGCTGGTTTCTGTGCCAGAAGTAGGATCCTGTGTTGAACCCCATCTTGTTTCTTTGAGAACTTGAGCCTCTGCTTAGATCTTGCCAACTCCTTTCCTCTTCCTCCCCAGGAGCAGACTTGCTTCTTGTGCCCCAGAAGCACCAGAAGGGATTTTAGAAATATACCTCCTAGGTCCTACTATCTGAAATTCTGATTTATTAGATATGCAATATGGCTCATGATTTAGAATTTTGAAGAAGCTCCTCAGGTGATCATGATGCAAAAAAAAAAAAAGCATTGGAAATTTTGCCTCAACCTAGGATCTAGTCTTCCCTCCCACATTCCACCTCCCCCTCAAAATACTAGGAGCTCCTTTTCCTTAGAGCCACCAATTAGACTGCTTGTCTAAATAGCCAGTCCAGCTGAATTACTCATGCTCCCCTCTCCCTTAATCTGTGGTTTGCCCACGGTGCCCTAGACATGATGCCATAGGATTTTTTTTTTACCTCCTTCCCCCATTCCTGTCTTCCTAGGTTGATCAAGTTTTCTTTTAGTCCTTCCCCTCTCCACTGCCACTAGTTAAGATGTTACACTTCACTCCTTCCCTCTCTCTCTTTCTCTCCCCTCCTCCCTTCCTTCTCCTTTCTCTTTTCCTCCTTCCCTTCCTTCCTATTTTCCTTAGTAGTTAACCTAAATATTTTATATGCATACTTGACTTAAAAGGTGTAAAGTTAACCTCATCATTTTCCTCCCAATCAATATAAGAATCTTAGAATACTGTAATCCCAAGCACCTCTCCCATCTTCTATGTTATTGTTCTCTTATATTTTGTTTCCACTCGTTTTTAAGTCCTCCATATTTGCTATTAAGAATTTTAAAATCTGGGCTTGGTGGCTCACACCTGTAATCCCAGCACTTTGGGAGGCCGAGGCCGGTGGATTACCTGAGGTCAGGAGTTTGAGACCAGCCTGACTTAACATGGTGAACCCCACCTGTAATCCCAGCTACTCGGGAGGCTGAGGCAGGAGAATCACTTGAACCCCGGAGGCGGAGGTTGCAGTGAGCTGAGATCGTGCTACTGCACTCCAGCCTGGGCAACAAGAGTGAAACTCCGTCTCAAAAAAGAAAAAAAAGAATTTAAAAAATCTGTAACTATTCAGATGTAACTACAGCTTTGCTTACATATTCATCACGTCTTGCAGTTAACCTCTGCCTGAGTTCAACGTCCTTCTTGAAGTGTACTATTCTTTCCTCAAGGGTCCACGACTGTTAAACTCTCTTGGTAATTAAAAAGTCTTAATTTTGACTCCATTTCTAATGATGGGTGAGTTGTGTATGAATTCTGGGTTTGAAGTAATTTCCCTCTGCTTCTTGAAGATATTATGCTGTTTCTGTGGCTCCCATTGTTGCTATGGAGGGGTGTGCTGTCAGTCTAACCGTTGTCCTTTGGTAGGTGATTGGTTTTTCCTCTCTGATTGTTTTGAAAAATATTTTATCTTTGTCTTTGATGTTTGTTCTGCAGTTTATTTTTAAATAATACGTCTAGGTGTGGATTCTGTTTTTCTAGACTGCTTCTTCAACCTGGGGATTTAGGCCTTTATTATTCCAGAAACTTTTCATCCACTATTTGTTCAAAAATGTCATCTCTTCCTTTCTCTCTATTCTCTCCTTCTGGATCTCCTATTAGACCTTCTCCGGGCTGCATGCCTATTAATTTCATGTTTTAAAAATCTCTACCTCTTTGTGTTCCATCTGAGTAATTGCTTTAGATTAATTTTCCATTTTTTAGTCTGTTCTCGCCTGGGTCCAATCTGCTTTTTAACCTATCTAATTAGTTTTACGTTTCAGTAATTGTATTTTAATTTTAGAAATTGTATTTAATTGTATTAAAATTATTTCTTATTTCATTATATCTTATTCTTTTCCTGTGGTGTTAATTATTTCTTTTATCTCCTTAATCACTTTGAATATACATATTGTATAATCCAGTGTTCAAAAAAATTCTAGTTTAAAATTTATTCTATTATCTGAAGACTTTGGGGGAGGGTGCTAATCTTCCTATTTGATTTACATGGAAATTAATACATATGGTGGATTACGTCTTCATGTATTTTGTAATTTGGGAGTTGTGGGACTATCTTCAGTTGATATTTTCCACTGTGGAAATCCTGTAGCCTGGGTTGGGGAACTGCCTTTCCAGGAAAGTTTTGAATTGACTTCTGTCAACACAATCACCAATCTAAAACCAGTTTTTATATTAATTTCTGTTTGGGAATTTCTGCATCACAGGAGATGCCCAGAATCCTGTGTTGAGGTAAACTTCTTTGAAATTTTCCTCAGCAGATAGATAGAGTTTTTATGGTTCTCCTCACAGATAGGCCCACACTTCACGGGTTTCCCATGCCTCATGCAGGGATGTCATTTCTAATCCTTTCTTTGTGCAGCTTCAAGCCCTCTTCCCTTGAACCTTTCCTGGATATTGGAACCCAAACCCCCAGCCATGTAGCCATAGGGTCGTTCTCTGCACGTGTTGCTCTAGTATAAACAATCATTTTGAGAGTAGGACAGTCTACACCCAGAATTAGAAAGAAAATGATTTCTCTAATTCTGCAGGGACATAGTTCTACAAATACATACCTTTAATCTGTGAAACAAGACACTTCCATCATGCTAGGAATCTTTCTTCAGTCTCTAGAAGCTACTCCATTCCTTCCAGCAGGGAAAAGGGCTTCTTTGTGATGCTCACTGGTGTAACTCCAATATCTAGTCAGTGCTTGGTACACAGTAGGTTCTCAACCACTATTGTGGGATGAATAATGACCACCAGGTTAATATCTGTAAGACTGAGAGAGTCCTTACGAGTCAGTAAGATTTAAAAATGGGCAACCCAATAGAAAAATATGCAAATGATATGAACAAGAAAGTCACAGAAGACTAGTCAAGTGACTGATACATCTGTGAAAATATGTCCAATGTTACTTTTATTTAAATAATTATAGCTCAACAATGAGATTTAGTTTTCCACTTACCAAACCAAAAAAGATTATAGGGAAAGTTGATTTCCAAGGTTGTGGAGAAATAGACATTTATAAACTATAGGTGAATGTATAAATTACTTTTTAGAAGGAAATAGTCTCAGTTGTTTTAAAAATTAAAAAATATTTGTTCCCTTTGACCCTATATTTCTCTCCTAGTAATTTATCCTAAATAAATTTTGGTACATCTACATGATGGAGTGCTATGAAATCATTCAAAACATTGTAAATCTATATGTACAAATATGAAAATGTGACCAGGATATGCTAAATAGAGCAAGTTGCAAATAATGATGTACTCTAATATCTTTTTTGAAAAAATATTAATAACGAAGTATAAATATTTACATTTCATTGTATACCAAAGAAGAATTGGAGATATATCCTCAAGATGTTAACCTTGATTGTTTTGGAGAAGAATTGTGGGAGATGTTTGTTTTCATCTACACATAGATTTACCGTGATTACATTTTGTGTTATAAAGGGATGTTAATTGTATAATTTTTAAAAAGAATAATATAAAAAGAGAAAAAGACCTACTGTTTTTGGTATTTAGGAGGATACTGGGGACTTTGCCCAGTAGTTTCTCTGGGAGGTTGCAAGTGAGAACCAAAATGCAGGGGATTGAGGAGTGAATATGTTGTGAGGAAATGAAAACGGCAAACATAGCTCTTTCAAGAAGCTCATCTGTTGGTTTCTTTTTTTTTGTGAGATGGAGTCTCGCTCTGTCACCCAGGCTGGAGTGCAGGGGCGCAATCTCGGCTCACTGCAAGCTCCGCCTCCCGGATTCACGCCATTCTCCTGCCTCAGCCTCCCAAGTAGCTGGGACTACAGGCGCCTGCCACCACGCCCGGCTAATTTTTAAAAAATATTTTTAGTAGAGATGGGTTTCACCGTGTTAGCCAGGATGGTCTCGATCTCTTGACCTCGTGTTCTGCCTGCCTCGGCCTCCCAAAGTGCTGGGATTACAGGCGTGAGCCACCACGCCCGGCCCATCTGTTGGTTTCTATGGGAAGCAAGGTACAGGGAGAGCCATTTCAGATGGGAGAGACTTGAAAATGCTCAGATGCTGAGGGAAACAGGCCCTAGGATGGGAGAAAAGGAAGATCCAAGCCACAGAGGGTTAATGTGGGCAAAAGTCAAGGGACCTTGATGTACAGAGTCCCTTGGGGAAGGCAGGGGAGAAGATGGTAGAGAGAACTCCTCCACTGAGGCGGAGGAAGGCTAGCAAGGGGAAGTGGATGTAGGCACATTTGTAGGCATGTGTAAAGACTCTGCTGGAGTTCTCATTTAATGACCTTGGTTATTCCCTGTAAGGTGGAAAGCAGAATCATTTGCTGATAATGGGTGGGATACTGCAGGATGGAGAAGGAGTTTGAAGAGAGGAGTGAAGTTTTAGAAGAGCCATATGAAAGATATCTGACCAGGGGCACATGAAATTGATCACCAAGTAATGCTTGGAGGTTGGTGATCCTAGATTCGTGGTGCCCCAAGTCTGCAAAATTAACTAATTAATTAAACAAAGACATATTTATTAAGTGCCAGTGGTGAGGTCACCAATGTTTTCAAACAGGGGGAAAGAGTGGTGAATGAGACAAAAGTCTAGTCTTCATGGAGCTTATATTCAACTGGAGGAGACACCATACATAAGTACATACCCTAATTTGAGGTAGTGGTAAGTGCTGTGAAGAAAAAAATGTATTTTTAATAGGGAGAATCAGTGTCTGCTATTTTACATAGAGTGCTTTGGTTGGGCCTCTCTGAGCAGGTGGCACTTGAATAGAAGCCTGAGTGAAGTGAGGGAATTATGATCCATGTGAATATCTGGGGAAGGACATTCCAGGCAGAAGGAACAGCAGGTGCAAATGCTCTAAGAGAATGAGTGTGTTTGGCATGTACAAGCAACAGCAAGGAGGCCAATATGGCTGGGTGCAATGAGCAAGAAGGAAGTGGGAGAAGATTGGGTCAGAGATGTAGACCCAGGTCAGATCCTGCAGGATTGGGGCCATGGTAAGGCTTTTGGATTGTGTACTAAGCACAATGGGAGGCTGTTGGAGAGTTGAGGATAAAGAAATGACATGATCTCATTATTCTGGCAGCTATGTAGATAACTAACTGAAGATGGGGCAAGAAAATGAAAAGAGAGAAAGCAGTGAGGAGGCCATTGCAACAGTCCAGCAGGAAGAGGAGAATGGGTTGGCCTAGAGTGGCAGAGGGGACAAGAAGTGGCTGCATTCAGTATGTATTTTGAAGGTTCGAATTACAGGATTTGCTAATGGATAGATGTTGGATGTGAAAATAAAAAAGGAGGTAAAGCTGACTCCAAGGCTTTTGGTTTGAGCATCTGAATGAATGAAGCTGCTGTGTTCTGAGATGGAAAACATTGAGGGAGGAGAAGGTTTAGTGAAGGGGGTGGGAGGTACAAATAATCAGGTGCCAGAGGAGCCATCACCACCATTCAGTTCTCAGTGCCTTGGAACCATGTAACCCTGTAATCAGGGCCAGGTTAGCCTGCAGGCAGACTAAAAAGCACCCAAGCCCAGTGACTTCAGGGTCCTCAGAATATCCTCTGTTTCTTGACTTTACTGCCCTAAAATTTAACCTGAAATTTTATCTGTTATATGTAGTGACTTTTAATAGGAAGAGAATTTCCTCTCCGTTCTCACTGGGGGTAAGTTGTGGGAGAAAATATACAAGGAGACTTCAAAAAGTTCATGGAAAAACGAAATTAAAATGTAGAAAATATAAACTTGATTGGCATCAGAAATTTCATCAAGTTCAAGACACCTTTGTAAGTCATGATACCAGCCATTTAGTTCACCCCTAGAGAACTGGGGGCCCTGGGAATTTACCCATGTCAAGGCAGTCTATTTTACATTATTAACTGAGAAAAAATGCGTGCCTTTTACACATTTTTTTGAAGAATTAGGAAACAGAAAGAAGTCAGAAGGAGCTGCATTGTACTCCTAAGTCTAAGGGGGATGCCTAATGATTTCCCATCAAAACTCCACAAAATACCCCTTGTTTGATGAGAGGAATGAGCAGGAGCATGGTCATGGAGGAGAAGGACACTCTAGTGACGTTTTCCCGGGCATTTTTCTCCTAAACCTTTGGCTAACTTTTTCAAAACACTCTCATCATAAACAGGTATTATCATTCTTTGGCCCACCAGAAAAATGCCTTGAGCATCCCAAAAAACCATTGCCATGACCTTTGCTCTTGACTGGTCCACTTTTGCTTTGACTGGACCATGGCCACCCCTTGGTAGCCATTGCTTTGGTTGTGCTTTGTCTTCAGGATCACACTGGTAAAACTGTGTTTCATCTCCTGTTACAATTCTCCTAAGAAATGCTTCAGGATCTTGATCCCACTTGTTTAAAATTTCTGTTGAAAGTTCTGCCTTTCTCTGCAGCTGATCTGGGCACAACTGTTTTGACACCCATCAAGTGGAAAGTTTGCTCAACTTTAGTTTTTCACTCAGAATTCTGTAAGCCAGATCAATTGAGATGTCTGTGGTGTTGGCTATTGTTTGTGCTATTAATTGTCTGTCCTCCTCAATTAGGGCATGAACAAGATTAATTTTTTCCTCATAAATTGACATGGATGGTCTGCCGCTCTGGGTTTCATCTTCAACATCATCTCATCCCTTCTTCAAAAGAGTTATCTATTTATAAACTGCTGATTTCTCTGGGGCATTGTGCCCATCAACTTTTCAAAAAGCATCAGTGATTTCACCATTCTTTTACCCAAGCTTCACTGTAAATTTTATTTTTGTTCCTGCTCCAGCTTTAGCAGAATTCGTGTTGCTCTGATCAGGGCTCTTTTAGACTGATGTCTTATCCTTCTTAGTGCCTCATAACTAGATCCTGTTCAGTCATGTTATAACAAGTTAGTAGGAGTTGATTTTGGTGCAAGAAACTTTTGAAATTCATGCATAATTTTTTCATAATAGGCACTTTTTATGAACTTTTTGGAGACCCGTCGTACTTGAAGTGTGGAGAGGGATGGTGTGTCAGTGTCTGAAGGAGATGCATAAAAGGAACAATGCCTGAGAAGGCACAGCTCTTCAAGCAGACACTAGTGGGTTTACAACTTAATGTGAATGTGTTGCAGGTCTCATCTGAGAGTTGGCTTTGATAATGTAGAGTTGGAGATGAGGAGGGTTGTTGCAGTAAAAGGTGGAAATGTTTGGGAAATCCACATATATTGGCTCTCTGCTCAGGTCAGAAGAGTTTGTTTCCAAGGGGTGGTGGTGTGCTGAGCACAGAGGTATAGGAAGATACGTTTTGTTGAGGATGGGCCATGCCTATACCCATTAAGGCTTATGTGAAAGAGTAGAAAATACTGACATGTACAAATGTAAAGTGGGTATATGAACAGTAGGCAATGCATTTGCTAGTTCTTATATTTGGAAGTAGACAAAGGAAAATGTATTCAGAAGAAAAGATGTGAGGGGGTCACAGGGGAATACTTTCAATCCTAGACAAGGCAGGGCTGCTGAGATTTCTCTGTCGGATAACCCAGGAAGGGTTTGTAGAAACTATGTGTTTTGTTTTTTTTTTTCCTTTTTGTCAGTCATGTATTAAATACTTTTGGGCTATGAGTGGAATGATTTAAAAGAGCTATTCAGAGACGAGGGAAATGACTGCTTGATCAGCATAATCCCGGGCTTTTAACGGGAGAAGGCTGAGTTGGGTTCATTATGACTATTTTAAGCTTGCAACAAAGGGGTTTATCCACAAAGTATTTCTGCAGGCTTTCCTAGGAGAATTAGAAACTTTCACAACTATCTAATTTTAATCTTCCCAACATCCTTGTGAGGTAGGTAAGAAAGAATATTTTTACACTTTTGTTTTTTTTTTTAGCAGATCATAAAATTTCATGACAAGTATTTTCCAAAAAAACCATGTGGGGCCAAAGTGCAAAGCCAGTCAGAGAAGTCTGTCTTCTAAGATCAAAGCTGTTTTTCTTGCTGAAGCATTTTGTTTAGTGTATACTTTCTACTTTCTATTCTGACCTCATGGCTGTTGATGGCTTTCAATATAGTAATGCAGAGTTTAGCGTTGATCACCTTAGTTATAAAGGCTTCCTTATGGTTTTGAGAGTGGAATGTGCATAGTGTGTGTATATATATATGTATATTTTTTTGGCCAGGCATTTATAGGTTTCAGAGTTGCAGAAAATTTCTCTGATACATGAAGCTGTTGAACCTTAGGAGCAATCTTTTGTTCAGCAGCTCAAAAAGCCTTTCCTGGAACATGAACTGCTAATGAAAGGCAGAAATTTTTTTAAGTCATTGCTAGTCATTATCTTCATACTTCCTATTGTCTGAGGGGAGAACTAATTCTATTGATCTGCCCAGCTAAGTTTCACCCCTGTCAGTAACAAAGACTTAAGTTCTAACAATAGTGATGAATAATAGACAAACACAGCCAATTTATCCTGGGTTGTTAAAGCCTGAAACATAATGAAACTTCTCTCCTTTGTTTAACGTGGGATTTGAGGCAGACTACATAGAAATAGTTGTACTTCATTAAGGCATTATGGTCAAAAAGATAAAGACCTTTGTGTTAAAGAGGGTTTCTATGTTTTAAAGAGATTTGATTGTGACGGGTTATGGATTTAGCTTTCATTTTTATTTCTTATCAATGAAAGTTTAGGTACCTCCTTTTCACATTTAATTTGTTAACAAAGCTCAGGGCTGGAGGGCCCCTGTGAAGTCAACATCATTTTGCTGTTAATCCAGAATTAGGCAACATGAAGGATTTATCTGGTCATATTGTAATGCTTAATGCTCACCACATCCCCTGTTATGCTGAAATTGAGTGCTGGAATATGATGATGTGGCTTGCAAACAATTTTCATTATCATCCACCAAACTTAGGAAGGCTCTAATCTAATGTATCAAATGTACGAAATCAAGATTCCCTAGAAATTTCATCAGTGTAGCTTTTAAGTGCTTCAAGAAAGACACTTTAGATGTACATTATAACATTGCTATGAGGCTATTCTTGGTGCATTCTGTGAGGCTGCAAAAAAAAAGTGAGATGATTTATTCTGAAATAATTATGTTACATCATTATCTAATTTTGTGTAAAGAAAATGCACAGTTGGGCAATGGCCACTTTATTTTGTTAAATCTCTGTGTTCAAAACTTATAACATTCTGTAAGTTTCTGGTAGAATGTTCTATGGTAAAGAAAGAGACTCATTTCAGTCTTTGGTGGTAAGAAACAGAAAAAGGCCTGGAAAAAGGTTCTTCTTGGCTTCAGAAGGTCTATCTAGAATCAAGCTTTTTCAATGTCAGCATATCTGATGTTTTGTGTTTTACAGTTTGGTACTGTTTTATTTTGAATAATATAAGGTGGGGGCTTGGGGAGTACCACAACCTGCATTCTTGGAGTCCATGCAGATCTTAATGAGGCCCTGCTTCAAATCATGCCAGTGTCTTCTGCTCAGAAACCATCAGTGACTCCCCGTGGCCCATTTAATGCAATTCAAACTTCTCAGCCTGCTCTTTTCCAGACCTATCTAGAACCATCCCATTTCCATGGCAGGGCTCATAGTGTTCTTTTCAGGCAGGGGGAGTGACAAGTTTCAGAGGCAGGAAAGCACAGCAGGTGCTGGGGTACAGTGAATGGGGGCACCTGAAGGTCAGGTCCACATACACCAAGTTCAGCATTGTGGGTTTCCTGACATCCTCTGCTGCATCTTCTGTTCACTGAGCTCCTCTCGGTGCCAGAGACTGGTTACCAGCAGGGAGGCAAAATGAATAATTCACCATCCACATCCCACCCTGCATCTGCTGTGGGACTGAGACTGGTAAACAGTCACCGCAGAGGCAGCTACATGCTTTCATACCTGGTGGGGCCAAAGTTATAGCAATAATGGGAATTTGTTTCCTGAATTTTACATACTCTTTCCCCACATTAAGGCAGAATTTAAAAACCACAAAGACATTAAAATAAGGACTGCTGTTAAAAACCTTGCCAGTGATCTCATAGTCGGTGGTTGAAGCAGCTAATGTGCACACGCCGGCAGGAAAATAGCAAGACACAGACTCTTCCCCACTCTTCTTTGTCATCCATCCTACAGGGGCTTTTCTCCTGGATGCCCTTTCTGATAGGGAACTATTTCTTCTTCCTTCTGTCTTAGCGACAGCAACATTCTTGCAGACAGCATTTGCCTCCCTCTCTGAACAACCACCTGAGCCACTGGGGTGGGAGAGGCAGAGTAGCCCCTGGCCTTCTGTTCTCTGGGGAGGAAGCTACTCTTGTCTTTAACACTAGAAACATTTTTGAGGGAAGGATGGGGTGAAGTGTGCTCTGTAATTGGATTTGTATCAAATACTGATGCTGCTAACTCACAAATGATCAGGGCTGAAGCTATTCCAAGGGGCCAGTGATAAGGAATCAGGTGATAGAGCTGGAGCAGTGCCAAGAGCATGCTTTGAAGAGAAATAAAGTGTGAAGTGAGCACAGAAAACAGGAAGAGAAAGGTGAAGGAGAGAAAAGTGGTGTGGTTACATGGCACACAAACCCCACAGAAAGCAGAGATGAAAGGAAGAAAGGAGCTGTTTTAGAATAGCACAGGTCGAAAGGGAAGGGAAAGATCCGCTAGTTAAATAGGATCAATGTGCTTTCCCAGAAATAACAGAAACCTTAGTGAGATACTCCCTGGCATATGATGACTCCAAGGAAAAAGACTAGGGATTTGCTAGTAGCAACAGCAGCACAGCTCTGGTTTCCATTTATCTTCTCTCTTGCTCTCTTTTTTTTGTAATTGAGAGAGGGGTCTCACTATGTTGTCCAGGCTGGCCTCCAACTTTTGGACTCAAGCAATCCTCCCACCTCAGCCTCCTGAACAGCTAGGACCACAGGCACACACCACGGTGCCCAGCTTCATTTCTCCTCTTATTTCAGTTGAGTTGAGATCCATTAAGCCCAAGCCCCAAACAATTCAACCTGAAGGCAAGAGAAAAAGGAGCATAAATGGGTGCAAAACTAAAATAAATGTCTTTTATGATTTATAGAGAATGGCAACAATAACAAATTATATATGATAGCACCGTGTGCCCAGTGCTTCAAATATGTTAGCTCATTTAACCATCTCATGACAATACCTCAGTACCCTATGAGGAAGTTACTATTATTACTGTTATTATTATTCTCATTTTAAAGATGAGGGAACAAAGCACAGAGGGTAAGGGTAACTCGTGAGCGGATGGGCATTGCATCCCAGCTAGGGCACTGAAGATTTCTGGGTGCTACTGCCTCATCAGAATAATCAAGGGACAGGCTCTCACTGTACAAGCTACATATGGGTAATCACAACTCCTTCCTTTCACTCTACAGCTTTGGGAAATTCCCAGAGCAAATAGGGGAAGGAAGGAAGAAAGGAAGAAGGGGGAGAGGGAAGGAGGAAAAGAAGGAAGGAAGGAAAGTTCCTTTTGCACTCCCTTCACTTCCCCGTGAGGTTCTGGGGGGAGAACAGAATGGCTGCCAAGGGAGCTCCTGCTCTTTTGAATATGAAGGCCCCTTGTTAATGCCTAAAACTGCTAGTAACTGTGCTTAGAGGTTTGAGGGAGAACATTTGCACCCATGGGTACAAGGACACCTTGTAATAAACTGCTCCCTACATATTGCCCCCTGACCCTCAACCGTCACCATGGTGGGAGCCAGTGTGCCAGGGTTTCTAAAAGTTTGATCATGGACCACCTGTAGCTTAGCTTTGGGGGAGTCACCACTGACTTAAAACTCTCTGGAGGTGGGGCTTTTGAACCTGCCTTTGAATAACTCCCTGGGGTATTCTCATGTACACTTAAGTGTGAGAGCCTCCGTATTATGATCTGAAAATAATATAGTTCTTAGACTTTCCCCAGGGCAAAAGCAGTAATGCGATGAGAAAGAAAAATGGCTTTTGACCTCAGGATTTTTAGTACATTCACAAGCTAAGTTGAAATGACACAGCCCTGAGATTTTTGCCTTTAAGCATGCTGTGCCTCACTTTATCCTGTCAGTTGCCTGGTAATCGTTTCTGACCTTAAAAGGTTTTTTTAAAAGCCCTTGACTTTGGGAAAGTTTTAACCAGGAATGTTTTTGACTTCAAAGTGATCTGTAGCTGGGAGATTATTTCTGGCATGTGTTATAATGCTGAGATGAGTGGAAGGTGCAGGAGGGTCCACACTGTGTAGGTGGTCCTATGAAAAAGATGTTTTGATCATTCCTAACCTAAGCCCTTTCATTGTCATAGAATCCAGGAATGCCTCATTGTGGGAGCTAATGTTTGTAAATAAACCTCTCTAACAATGCCTCAGATGTGTTTTCCGAACACATCCAAGGAAGTGGGTGTGTGTGTCTGTCTGTGTATGTTGCGTCTTTCATCAGAACTTCCTGCCCAAGGGCTCCAAAGCCTAGGGTTCCCTCAGAGCCACCACTGCAGTGTCCACCCTGTCCATGCACTGTTCTCCCCACATCCACATCTTTGACCTTAGTTCTTTGTCCCCCAGTGGCTTATGTGATGCATTCCCTGATTCTTTCCAAGTTCCTTCAGGGAAACAAAAAGGTACCAGGTTGGAGGTATTATTATTTGTGAGCCAGCCAATATGGGTTTGACTATGATTCTTTTTAGGTTAGGATGGATTAGCAACAAGAACTGTGGTATCTTGAGTCTGACTCCAGCAGAATTGGGGTGCGATGTCTGTTGTCTGTTAACAATTCCAGAGACATGATTAAGGCCTGCCCCATACAAGGCATTGCTGGTGGTGCAGAAGTGATTAAGACCCCCATCCCAATGCCTGAGAAACATCCCCGGTAGAGGAAGGATAAAACAAGTCCACAAATGTTAGAGTAAGAATGGGAGAACACGGGTGTAAGGGGGAACTAAAAAGAGGCAGGGAAGCCTTGTGCTCTCTTTCCCTGCCAGGCCTGGGCATTAAGACATTCCCCAGGCATTTTCCATAAGACCAGCCCAGAGCCAGCCTTATTTGGTTGTGGAATAGGCAGTGGTGTGATTTTAGGCAGGGCTCCCAGCCTCAAATAGCAGTTCCAGTGTCTGTCATTCTATTATAACTTTGTTCTAGGTCTCGAAAGCTTTCATTGTGGTGGGTTCTTTCTTGAACACAGATGTTTCTGTTAGGGTCCTAAGTCATGGTGAGCTAGTATCTTTCTTATTTATTTATTTATTTATTTATTTATTTGAGACAGGGTCTGACTCCATCATCACCCAGGCTGGAGTGCAGTGGCATGATCTCGACTCACTGCAGCCTCAACCTCCCAGGCTCAAGCAATCCTCCTATCTTAGTCAGCCTTTCGAGTAGCTGGGACCATGGGAACACAGCACCATGCCTGGCTAATTTTTTGGTATTTTTGGTAGAGATGGGATTTCACCATGTTGCCCAGGGCGGTCTCGAACTCCTGAGCTCAGATAATCCACTCACCTCAGCCTCCCAAAGTACTGGGATTACAGACCTGAACCACCTTGCTCGGCCTGAGCTAGTATCTTAACATTTAGCTACACCTTTAGGGTGGAGAGGAGAAAACTAATTGACAGCCCAGTGAACACAAATCCTACCTGGGATGTGGCTTGGGATTGGCATTTGAGGGGAGTTGAAGAATGGGTTCAAGTGTAGCAACAGGAGAATAGGAGGAAACTAAAAATAAACTGTGCTTAGTTCATCCTTCTGTTAGGCGCTGGCTTAAGGCTATCCTTTGAGGTTTCCCAACAATAACAAAGGAATATTTGATGGCTTTAAATGGGATTAAAACAGCCTTTTTTGGTGGACTTAAAAATTAATGATAGAACTTCACACTGAAAGACTTATGATTTTGCCTTCATGTAGCATTCTACTCTTAAGAATTTAATGTGACAAAATAACTATGAATGCACACAGACTTGATTCATTCCTCACTCTTTAATTCAACAACTATTTATTGAGCATATACTACATGCCAGATACTGTTCTAGGCACCAGGATTATAGCAATAATCAATGGAAACAAAGTCCCTGACCTCGTGGAGCTTACATTCTAGTTGGGGAAGACATCATAAACAAGGCATTATGTTACCAAATCTCAGAGTCAGTTTCCAGTCCACATCTTATTAGACCTCTCAGTGTGTTCCTTCTAGAAATACTCTCTTCATTTGGTTTCTGGAACACCACATTCTCTTACCTTACTGCTTACCTATCTCAGTAGCCTTTGTTGGATGCTCATCTTCCTGACTTTAAACTGGTGAACCCCAGAACTAAGCCTTCAGATATTTCACACCTGTATGCTGACGATCCAGTTTTCTATTTCCAGCCCTCACCACTCCCCTGAATTTCAGTCTTTTAGATCCAACTGCCTATGCCACATCTCCATTTGTATGTCCAATAGGTTTCCCAAACTTAACGGGACTACCAAAATCTTACTGGATTTTCTACTCTAATTGCTCTTAGTTGAGTCTTTCCCTTCTCAGTTAACAGCAACTTAATTCTTCCAGTTACTCAGGAAAAAACCTCGGAATCATTCTTGACTTCTTTCTTTCTCTCACACTGCATATCTGCTCCATCAGATTTAGCTACAAAGATGTCCATCACAGCATTGTTTATAAAAATGAAAAACTGGTAATTATCCAACTGTTCGACAATGGAAGAATGGTTAATATGGTACATGTTGTAGTTAACAGGTTACTGTTTAAGGACATTTTCCATATGGAAAATTTCGTACATGCTCAAAAATAAAGAGCTGTGAACCCATCATCTAGCTACAACAATGATCAACTCACAGCCATTCTTGCTTCATTTTTACTCCCACTTCTCTCCCATCTCCCCACTAGATTGTTGTTAAGCAAATTCCAAACAACATATTATTTAATACATAAACTATATAACATATTATGTTACAAAAGCACATTATAAAGAAATATATATAATATGATTTCATTTTTGAAAACCATCTACATGTGTAGGATAGCTATATCTGAATCGTGTTATGAATGTTGGTATCTTCTTTTGCTTGTGTATATTTTCCACAGTGAGCATGTACACTGAGAAAAGGTGATGAGAGGATGGCGGATGTTGATGTCAGACATTCTAACTTCATTCTTTTGTAAATTTGATCACTTTAATTCAGACTGGGTGATATGGTTTGGATGTTTGTCTCCTCCAAATCTCATGTTGAAATGTGACTTCCAGTGTTGGAGGTGGGGCCTAGCGGGAGATATTGGATCATGGGGGTGGATCCCTCACGAATGGCTTAGCACTATCCCCCCTTTGTGATAAGCGAGTTCTTGCTCTATTAGTTCATGGGCGATCTGATTGTTTAAAAGAGGCTGGCAGCTCCTTCCTTTCTCTCTTGCTCCCATTCTCACCATGTGATGCACTGGCTCACCCTTTGCCTTCTGCCATGACTGTAAACTTCCTGAGGCCTCACCAAAAGCAGATGCTGGCACTATGCTTCATGTACAGCATGCAGAACCAAGAGCCAATTAAACCTCTTTTTGTTATACATTACTTAGCCTCAGGTATTTCTTTATAGTGACACAAAAAAGGACTAACACACTGGGTATGTCACATTGTGAGATATAAATAACCACTTGATGAAGGTGAGGATACTATCGGCTCTGTTTTCTCTTTGGACAGTCTATAATTTAAAATGACCACATTGGCATCTATAGTTACAGCAGGTTTTCTCAACTTAGGCTCTCCTGACATTCTGGGCTGGACAAGTCTTTGTTGTGGAAGGCTATCTTTTGCACTGGAGGAGGCTTAGCTGCATCCCTAGTCTAATAGGTAGCCATTAGACGCCAGTAGCATCCTCCAGTGGTAACAACCAAAAACATCTTCAGACATTGCCAAATGTCCCCTGGGAGGCAAAACCAACCCTGGTTGAGAATCACAGCACTACAGCAGGTGTCCAAGTTGAAATGCATGTTGTTTAGGAGATTAGAAATGTTCTGTTTCACACATTTTTCTGGCTAAAACCTCTAGGAGGATGTAATCTGTGATCTGATGAAAGCCGCTATTGTGGTTTACTGACCTGCTTGTTTAATTAACCAGCCTATGACACAGCGGTTAATGATTATCTGCATTTTTGAGACACATCCAGAAAGGACTGAGACAAGTTCAACTCTATAAGAAAAGCAAAGGTCGTGAATGAAAGATTGCTTGTCAGCTACAACAGTGATCCATTAGATTTGCCTCTTCAGCCCACAGACTGACCCATTTTACTATTCATTATCATCCACCACACAGGAAAACACTGTGTGGAAGTTAAAAATAGGTTTCTTCCAGAAAATTGATGCTACATACATATAAACGGTTCTTTTTTATTAGTAATAAACACATAGACATAAACACAACTGCAAAAGATAAAAGGCTATTTAAATATTCCATGTAATTTGAATTTTTTTCCATAATGAAAACATTTTATTAGAGAACTGTAGAAATGAGATAAAGGAAAATATGAGGTCATCCTGCCCATTCTCTTCAAGAGCTACACTGTTTTGTATGCACCCCCACTCCATCCTCCACCCCCAGCCCAGAGTCTTATTAAATATCCCCATTTTAATAATATAGGAGAGTGCTTATGCTTCCCCACCCACCCCCAGAGAGAAACTCAACAGAGGAGCAGAGGGTACGCACTAGTGGCACCATGATCTTCAAAATATGACTTCTCTAGTTAGCGGCACTGTGTTGACTGCATAGAAAATAAAACTTCCAGCAAAGTCTACATCAGACATTACCAATCCAGGTTTATCAAGCACCCTACAAACTCTGTCTTAAAGAGCCTTATACAACTTAACAGAGTTCGTTTCTTGATGATTAATTGTTATTTTCTTGAAATTATTGGGTACTCTGAATTCCAGAGAATGCTGTATAAATTATTTGTAAATTTCCTTATACTTTATCTTTGCCCACTTTGGAATCAATGCTTACCTTTTGTTTTTCATGACAACATCCAGGATTTTCTTCCATGGTAAATAACAAAATAATTACTATTGAGACCCTTCTGTGAGCCAGTATTATTTGGGCATGAAACATATAATATTTTATGCAACATTTATAATCCTGCCATATATATAGATCTGTTTATTCATGGGAAAACGGAAACTCAGAGAGGTCCAGTACTTCGTTGAAAGTCTCATAGTGCTTGAACGGCAGGGTCCTGGTTCAAACACAGTTCAAGTAAATAGTCACAGGATGTGAGGCTGGCTCTCAGTTTGTGTAAGGAAAAACTCGTACTTGTTTAAATTTGTTAAAATAGAACCCATCTGCAATATCCCCTGGACTCATCTAAGAAAAAAGCAAAAGTCAATCCTAATGGAACGTTCAGGAGCCTGAGGATCTGGTGTGGCCAGGGGGTGGACTAGACTGGGTGGAGATATTTTGTTACATGTAGAGAAACAGCCCAAGTGCTTTGTTCACTAGCAGGGAATAAATTGGGTCTTTCTTAAGCCAGGAAGAGAAGAGGATTTTAGAGACGAGGGCTTCCTACGGAAAATACCCAACATTCAAAAGGGCAGGGGGGTAGGGCCCCATATTTGTTCTCTCTTGTCCATGCTGTAGGCTGTTACGGGGGAAGAGGATAGGTCTACAGGCGCAGTCTCCCATGGAAGCATGGAAAATGCAAGAGTAAAGCAAGGAAAAAAAGAAAAGTGACTACAGCTTAAAAAAATCTAAACCCAAACTCAAACCTAAAACCCAAACCCACCCCAAATGGGTTGTGGGAAAGGATTCTACTAACAATTGAAAATGGAACATCCACCACTGGACTTCAGGCTGTGAGAGTTCAGTCTGATTAATTAAGGTCAAGGTGGTGATGGAAATACCAGCTGGGGAGCATTTTGCCGAAAGATAAATTTGTCCCTCTGTATTTCTGCGAGACAGCAGGGAGGTGTGTGTTTGGAGCTAAATTAATTTGATTTACATCATGCCATGGTAACTTCTGTTCTCTCTCCCCCCTCCTCACCAACCCGCTGTCAGATGTCTTAGCTGGCTTTTTCCCTCTTCTTCTTCACCCCCACACATTTCATAACACGGAAAGAAAGCACGAATTGGCTTCAGGCAGAATTTAGACATAGAATAACTCTAATTTGATTATTCTGCATTGAGTGCTATTCTCTTCGCCCCCCAATCCCTTTCTTTCTTGAGAGAGAGAGAGAAGTTGTAAGCCCGGGCATAAGTGCTATTTATTTTTATATTGTGCTTAATGGTGCAAACTGCTTGACTGTTCCTTGTATGCTCACCTACCCTCCTCCTGTGTTTCTCCAACAACACTAATACCAGAAAATGAAGTTATGGCCCGGGATCCCGTTAGGAATGCGCTTTTTCTGGCCCTATGTCTTTCAGCTCCGTCAGGCTTTGGAGGCCGGGGCGGAGGGCACCTCTTGAGGGACCCTGTACAGCCGGGCCCTGGCACCTCCGGAGGGGCGGAGAGGGCCCCCTGTGACCGCGTTCGGCCCACCACCGTTCCAGCGGCGGGGCGCGCTCGGCAGGGCAGGATAAGGTTACGCCGGGGCTTCCTCGGTCGGGAGGGAGGGAGGCGGGTCCGAGCCCGCACCCCGGCCCGCGGGGGAGTTCCCACAGTTGGCCGCTCCGGCCTGTGGGGCTACATCCCTGCTGCCGGCCAGGCGCGGCCCGCGGGACCCCGAGTGTAGCGCCATGGCCCGGGAGAGGCCGCCCGGGAGGGGCTGCGGCGTCCTGCGCCGGTGTCTACTCGGGGCTGTGCTGTTGTTCGGCCTGCGGCTCTGCGCAGAGCTGCGGCGCGCCGGGCCCGGGTCCCCCACCCGCAGCGCCCCGCCGGGCCCGGCCTGGCGGCCACCTGGGCCGCACCTGCCGCCCGCGCCGGGCCAGCCGCGCGGCGCCAGCAGGAGGCAGGTGACCTACGTGCGCAGCGGTCGCCGGGCGCCGCCGGGGGGCGGCGGGAGCGGGACGCCGGAGCCTGGCTGCTGTGCCCCGCGCGGGCGCCCCCGCCGGAAGGTCAGTTGCAAAGCGGTCGGTCTTGGGCCTGGGACCAGAAGCCCCCTCCCGACCGCGCTACGGAGCCCGGCGCTCAGGTCCCGCAGGCCGCCTCGATGGGACCTCCGGAGGCTTCCGCTTCTTCTCTTCCCCCTGTGCTCTCTTAGGCGGCTCCACGGGTCGCATCTTTCAGTGCCCAGATAGACTGAAGTGCGGCCAAGCGGAGTTCATTCACTATTCAGCCAGTACTTGGGGGTCGCCGTGGCCGGGCGCCCTTCTAGGCTCCGCGCATCCCGTGAAGAAGGACGGAGCCCTGTTCTCACGGAGGATACACTTTAGTAGGGGAGTGTTTGCGTGATAGGCAGGGAAAGGGAAAGGGAAAGGAAGGCGTTGTGGCTGCCATTGATGTGCTGTGCTGCTCCCAGCCTTCTGCTTAAGGCCTGGACAGAGTTGGGTGGGTATCGCCGTGAATGGCCTGTCCACGCCACTGCCTTCATCTCGCTGAAGATCCACCAGCTGGCCGAATTTCCCTGGAGTCTCATTCCAGGCGTTGGCTGGGGGCTGGGAGGCTGGCGCCAGTTGAGAAGCCGAGCACCCAGCCCCACTTAATGAGAAGTTAATTGGATCCTCGAGGACCCAAGTAATAACCTGGGTTTGTCTTATAACTCTCGACCGTGTTGTGCCTCCTACCTCATTAACTTCTTGGCTTACACCTCACTGATTAGTCCATTTTTAGCCTCTGATTGTTAAGGTTTTGGGCTCATCTCCTTTTTGGAGCTCGGTAATTTGCGTCGTACATGGAAATGAAAAGAACTACAGGTATGAGCTCTCCTCATCCTTTTACCCATCAACTCCTGCTTCCAGCCTCAACCACGTTCTCCAAAGCAACTACTTTCCGTTGCCCGGCTGTTCCTCGTTTCTTTTAGACATCCACCCCAACCTCCACCCCGCTTCCCATCACCGGTCCTGGAGGGGAGGGAACAACTCTTCCTTTGCCTCGCTGCTGTCTTCGGCTGCCCAGTGCTAGCCTACTTTTCAGCACCACAACCCAGCACTCCTGCCGGGCTTCACTTCCTCGCTTCCTTCGGGCCTCGCCCTCCGTTTTTCCACACCACTGCTGTTCCTTGCTGGGCCATCGTGCTAACTTCCTGGATAAACTGAAATACCTTTTTCTATCTCGCAAACCTCACCTCCTGTGTAAAGTCTTGATTAGATCTTCCAGAAGAAAGCAGCCACTTCCTCTCCAAGTTCCTAATTCACTGTCCGTGATACCATGTTAAACATTCAGCACAGTTTTGCCAAGGGCTTACCAGGTAGGCATCTGGTGCTGGAGGCACAAAACGAGTTCAGATTCTCGTGGGGGAGGCTCTTAGCACAGGCATCCGGTGATTTCCAATCCTGTAATTGAGGCCTTCAGCTCTGCCTGGGGAGTCAAGAAAGGCTGCTCAAGGCGGGGGACATATTTGAGTTACAATGTGATGTTTCTTTCTTTTCTTTTTCTTTTCTTTTCTTTTCTTTTTCTTTTTTTTATTTGAGCCGGAGTCTTGCTGTGTCGCCCAGGCTGGAGTACAGTGGCTTGATCTTGGCTCACTGCCACTTCCGTCTCCCGGGTTCAAGCGATTCTTCTGGCTCAGCCTACCGAGTAGCTGGGATTACAGGCGTGCACCACCACGCTGGGCTAATTTTTGTATTTTTAATAGAGATGGGTTTCACCATGTTGGCCAGGCTGGTATCGAACTCCTGACCTCAAGTGACCCACCCGCCTCAATCCCCCAAAGTGCTGGAATTACAGGCGTGAGCCACTGCGCCTGGCCAACACTGTGATGTTTCTTAAGAGTGGGGCTTCTTTTATTCCCCTCTGGATGTCCTCAATGTTCCATCCTTGACACCCTCAACCCCTCCCTGCAGTTTTCCTTTTAGATTCACTCAGCATCTGTTGTTTCTGCTGTCATCTGTCAAGTAATTACTCTTAACTCTTTGTCTGTACCTCAAACGACAGTACTGATGGCTGGAGCCTGTCCTACAAAGGACAGGTTTGGAATGCATAGACTCAGTGGGGCGCTGGAGGGGAGGTTCACACTCATCCCTGCTAGGAGCTAGGAGGCTGCCACAGTGATTCAGGCTGGAGATGGGGGTGGCTTGCTGTGGTAGGTGTGGAGGTGGTGAGAAGTGGTTGGTTTCTGGATGTGTTTGGAAGGTGGATGAGGAGGAGCAGTTATTTCTCTCTTGTTTGTTTTGTTTGGGGGATAGATGGAAAGCAGGAATTCAGTTTAAGATATCCTTCAGGCATGCATGTGAAAATGTCAAATAGGCAACCGGACGTGTGAGTCCAGAGCTTGGAGGAGATGTCCAGGCTGAAGGTGGTGATTTGAGAATCATCCAAGTACAAATGGCAGTAAAACTGAGAGATCGTATGTGGTCATCTAGGAAGTGAGTGTGGCTAACAAAGAGAAGCAATCCGAGCCTGTGGCCTGGGGCTCAGTTTTATTACAATTAAATTAGGGAAAAAAGTAAAGGAAATGTTTAGCTTTGTGCCTGGCATGTTTAGCTCTCAATAATGGTAGCTTTACTTTCTACAGTAGGCCCCAGGTTTTTAGCCTCAGCCAGTCTCCAAACGTCATTCACTGTAACCTACAAAGGTGGCTTATGCTCACTCCTCTACCTGCAAGGCCCCATCCCCCTTTCTTATGACTCCTGCCCTTTTCACCCTTGGACATTCCTCAGGTCAAGGTTCATAGCCCAGAAACCTTCCCATAGCAACCCTGCTTCATGCTGACCCCTCCCCCACTTGGAATGACAACAGAAAGAGTCTGATTTGTGCATTGCTTTGTACAAGTTGAGGCCTGATAATCCATTTCGGATGGAATGTTTTGTCTCCACAGTTGTTCTTGATGGGAAGGATTGTATTTCCCATAGTGACCCCTAGTAAATGTTTACTCCTGAGACCCCAGTATGTGAAAGTATAAGAATCTTACTATTTCAGCCTATTCAGTAACTGTAAATGTCTTTGGTTAAAAATTTATAAGAAATAAATGGGCCTTTTGCTATTTCTAAAATATTAAGTTTTTAGTCTCCTAAGGTAAACATTTTCTTAGATTTCCTTCTCGCTAGCTATTATTTTCGGGATATACATCTAACCTTCCCAAATCCCTAGATAGTGTTGATCTTGAATTTGTTTTATTCTCCCATTATTTCACAGTTGAATTAAAATATTCCTTAAAACTATAGAAAGATCAGTTATCTAATCCATCCTCCCACTTCTGGGAACAAAGCTCAATAACCCCATATCTCTCTAGGGACAAGTCTTGTTTCTTTTCTGCCTCACATCAAGACAGCACTGTAATGTAAGCTGAATGTACCATTAAGTAATTGAAATAAAATTAGGAAGCTATTTGTTAAACTCCTTGGATCACAGTGTATTTAGATTTTGTTTGTTGAGAATACTGATCAACAATATTCTTAGGTTCTTGGTTACTTTGCCCCAGGCACCTCCCAGATTGATAAAGGAGAAAAAGTTCCATTCTATTTTGAGGACAGCTTTCTGGGTAGATGAAAACCTGCATGAAATAATTGGGTTGCCAAGTATTTCTTGTTACTCTGCTTCCATTCCAGGTGTTAGAGGCACCAAAATTCTGCCACTTTAATCACAGCTTATGCTCCTCTTAAAGAAAACAATCTGCTATAAAAAAGAGTAGTGAAGTGTAGTCCTCATATAATTCTTTCTTTCCTCGTCCCCTTCTTCATGGAGCCATGCAAGAACTAGCTCTAAATATTTTCAGATCTTTCGACATCAGGGGTTCTAATCTTCAAGCTTTGCAAAATGAGAGCCAATGATAGATGATGGATAAATACTGCCCTTTTTGATTATGCCCACCCTGGAACCTATATATTCTTGTGTATTACAGATTCTTTAAGCATTCTGTCGGGACTCTTCATCTCCAAATTTCGCATACTATGCATGCATAAAAATACCACTGTGATTCTTTTATTTTCTCTCTGTTTTCTATCTGCATGTGTTTCTGTTTGGGTTTTTTTTCTTTCTTAAATGAAACAGACCTTTACTATGATTACAGATAAAGTTCTTTTTGAAGGGATTTATAGAGGACTAGATATGGTCTTCATGATTTATGCTTTTTAATGCAGCTCTTGGGTGGATGTTTTATCTCTTATAGGTTGGCAATCCACCTAAAAGACAGATGCAACATACAGGGCCCATTTGCAAAAGAGAGACACTCACTCAGTGGCCAAGCTTCCCGAAAAAGTTTCATCTCTCTTATCGGATATATTTTACTTGACATTTAATATGTTGGATAGAAAAGTGACTTCTGAGTCACAGAGCTCCAGAACCCAGCAATGTGCTGGCTTGGTTCGTTAGTTACAGATCTTTTGGAACCATGTGTCAGGCGGAAAAAAAAAAAAAAAAAAAAAGAACTGTTTCCTCTTCTCCTGAAAAACCATATGGCAAAATTTGGTTTTTCTTTCTCACTTCTTGTCATCTTCTTAGTTTTCTAATTCTGTGATTGTCATCAAGAAGAAAGAGGAAAAATGGTATGGGATGCCCCCTGATATGTCCAACTGCCTTAAGAGTCCTTATTCTTTACAAAATACTTGAAGATAGGTTTGAATTGCTTGTGAAACATGGCCCAGCAGTAGTTTCTAGCTCCTCAGGTTTTTGCCTGTGTACCTACACTTCTGTTCTTCAGGGAGCAACATTAATCAGTCCTCTCACACTGTCCTTAGGAGGCAAAGCATTTTCATTTTAAACAAAGTCATTGAGGGTAATTGAATAAGCTCCAGCAATATGTGGGTGTGAAATAGCAGTTGCTTAGTCGCACAAAGAAAAGCAGGTTTTTATTACAACTTTGATGTGTCGTGGATGAAGAATAGAGGCCTGCACTTTTTCCAAACCCCGTAGTTCCTCAGAGAGCATTCTGTGGGCAAAGGAACTGCTAATGGAGGCTCGATTGTTTTTCAACCACTGGTGGTGGAGATTTCAGCTTTTTGTGTGTAATTTGTCCCAGTCCATTTTCTCCAAGGAAAAGAATGTCTTGTCAGTTTTCTCAAATAGAATTGGATTTCCTTTTTAGTCTGTGAAGAGAATCAGGTCAAGTAGTTAAACCAAAGACTGTCAAGGGTAGGCATTTGAGTTTTTCCATCTGTGCTGTAATACTTTTGGAGTCCTTGTGTTTCTAAGGAGTTTGGCATGCTTTGTTCTGTGGTTCGTAGAAAGTAACATGAGCCTGTTTTACTTACCGTGGGACACACACCGAGGCAGGAATCTGCCAGCATTGATAAGCTTCTTTTAAAAACACCACTTGGGTCCTCTAGATACCTCACATGAGCTCCATTAATGTCTTATGTTCTGATAAAAAAAAAAAAAAAGATATGAAAATTTGCTGTGCAAGAAACATTTTTATCCTGTTCAAATAATTGAATGAAAATTGAATTTTAAGAGCCTTATAATCTAGACCCATATGTAATATAAACCAATAGCAAGGTGGGTTGCTAGTTGACAGTTCAGGAGGTAAATTTGGCCCACGAATTTTATTTGAACCACACAGTGTTTTAAGTATTTGAACATAAATATCTTTATATGGGGCATATAGTGAGTCCAGTGAGGTCCAGCTCACCATTCTCTCCATTTACCTCACCTGTCTGATCTCTGAAGGCATTTGAAGTTACAACTATAAGACAGAGGTTGTTAAAATTAGCAATTATTTTCCTAAAAAGTGACAATCAAGGCTAAGATTGCTAAGCTCAGTGACGGCATGGCACATGACTACTCGGTTCAGAAAAGCCAAAGGTCCTTTTAAATTGCTCCCGTTAAGGAAGATGAGTTACCTAAGGCTGTAGCTGGATACTGGGGAGGGTAAGATCGTAGGGGAATAGACTTAGTTAACCTAACATTCTTTTGGTTATGAACAGGAACTGGGCTCTAGCCTAACTTAAACAAAAAAGGAAGAAAAAAAGAATTAAAGAATAAACAACTGTATGTGCCTATAATAATTAACAATTAAATTTTTTTAGAATTAAATTTATTGGGAAACCTTGGGATTTCTCACTGAATTGGAGGAAGAGTTAATGACTGCCATGTGGAATAGAGAAGGAATAGGGCTGTTACGGAAATCCCAGCTTTCTGAATTCTTTGATCTTCTCCCTCAAGTGCTATTATAATACAGGTCACCTCACTGGATTCCAGGGCTTGGTCTCTTTGACATTCACACTGGACCAGCCGGCTCAGGCCACTTGACCTAAACAAAGGCCTAGGGCGCCTGCCCAATCCTGGAAGCCATTCTTAGAGAAAAGAGAAACTTTAAGTTACTCTAAGAAGTTAAGTCCTTGGCATGCCTTAAGTATTTGGTATAATTTTTATGCAGTTTTGCCCTTAGGTTTTTGTTTTTCTCATATTTTATTCTATTATTTCAACCAACCCTTGGACTTGAGCACCTAGAAACAGAGTATAGGGTAGCTTTGGTTTTACTAATCCTAGACCCTAACATCAATGTGTGTGTGTGTGAATATACATATGTCTATACCCATCTAGCTAGCTCTATCTTTCTTTAAACATTAACTATTTCTCTATCTACATGTAGTCTTATAGATAGCCTTATTTCCAAGTAGCATTGGCAATAAGTTGGCACTTTGGATATACTACTGACATTTTTAATTTAGTGAATATACGCCTACAAGATCTAGGTATATGTAATATTTTTTAAAGTAAAAAGTCATTTGTGAAGACATTGATTAATTTTTTACTTATTTGTTTATTTTTTTAGAGACAGGGTCTTACCCTGTTGCCCAGGCTGGAGTGCAGTGTTGCGATCATGGCTCACTGCAGCCTCGACCTCCCAACTCAGGCCTCCCAAGTAACTGGTACTACAGCACTGTCACCCGGGCTGGAGTGCAGTGGCGCGATCTCGGCTCACTGCAACCTCCGCCTCCCGGGTTCAAGTGATTCTCCTGCCTCAGCCTCCCAAGTAGCTGGGATTACAGGCGCCTGCCACCACGCCCAGCTAATTTTTTGTATTTTTAGTAGAGATGGGGTTTCACTCTGTTGGCCAGGCTGGTCTCAAACTCCTGACCTAGTGATCTGCCTGCCTCAGCGTCTCAAAGTGCTGGGATTACAGGCATGAGCCACTGAGCCTGGCCTAATTTTTTATTTTATTTTATTTTATTTTATTTTATTTTATTTTATTTTATTTTATTTTATTTTGTTGAGACAGGGTCTCACTATGTTGCTCAGGCTGGCCTTGAACTGCTGGGCTCAAGTGATCCTCCCACCTTGGCCTCCCAAAGTTTTGGGATTACAGATGTGAGTCACCGCACCCGTCCCCCATTTCGAGGACATTTAGTAGAGAACGTAAGTATCAGTATTTAGCCCATGATACCAATTAGGGTTCTCAAACGAAACTTAGAGTCTCATATTCTTTGATTTTTTTTTTTCTGTCATGCATAGTTACCTTGCAGGAAAAAAAAATCTGAAAATTTCTTCAGGGCATCTGAATATTCACAGCCCCCCTTGCAACTGGCTAGCCTGGAATTCTTTAATGCATGATTATTTCTGTATCAGTTAGGACTCTCTGGGTTGCAAGTGGCAGACCCAACTGAAACTAGTACAAACAGGGACTGATTGAAACCCTCCTGGAGAGAAAAAGAAGAGCTGCAGGGACCAGGAAGGCTCTGGAAGTTGATTATGACTAAAATGAGCACTGAAGACCTTAGTTGTCCATATTAGGCACTACCACAGATATAGTGAGTATTTACTATTCTTTTTGGTCACACCTTTGAATATCTTTCCCATGTGTGAGGAATTCTCTGCCTTTCTAAGAAACAAAACAAAAAATAATTGCCACTTGTCTTTGCACCCAAAGTGCATTCATGTGACCTAGGCTTCACCATTTAGACACACCTGCATGAGAGTTTGGATTGTACCCTACAGATGCAAAGCAGGTGGCACGAGGGCCACAGAGTAGCTCAGTGGCCGAGGTTCTATCAGAGGCATCCAGAGCTCAGGGTGGTGTCCATGCCCAGCAGTGAAGCTATGTCATCTACACTGGCATATCTGGAGGTGGTATTCCTGCCCTTGAGATTCTGTAAGCTAATAAATCTTTAATCAATCCTTTTCTGCTTAACTAGCCAGGGTAGTTTCTATTGTTTACAACTAAGAACCTTGGCAGACCAATAAATTAGAGCTGGCAGTTTGGAAGGTTACAACTGTAACTTTTCCTTTTCAATTTTGCTTAGGTCTATTTAATACAGATTTTGGAACATGGTGATCGGGGCCCAAGTGAACTATGGGCTGAAGGACCTTTCCCTGACAAGATAATAACATTTTACTTCAGATACTAAATTACACCAATCTGCTAACTTATTACTAGATCAACTCAATTTAATCAACACCAAGCCCTTTTTCATGGCACTATGTGCCTGAGGCATTGGGTGGGAGGGGCCAGTTTATGCTGTGGTCACAAACAATGCTCCGGACTCATGCTAGCAGAGGTTTATTTCTTGCTTGTGCCAGATATCTGTTGCGGGTGTGGGGTGCTGCTCTGTGCTGTCACTGCATCTCTCTGGACCCCATGCTAGCAGTGTGACTGCCATCTGGAACATTGCTGGTCACCTTGGCAGAGGGATGAATGCTCTGGAGGATCTTTGCATGGCATTATTAAAAGCTCTAGCCTGGAAGCAACACACATTGCCTCTGCTCACAATCCAATGGTCAGAGCCAGTTGCTCAGTCCCACCCAATGCTAGAGGGACCATCCTGCTGTGTGCCGTAGTCAGAGAGTTGGAGACGGGTAGCAAGCAATGCCAGCGGTCACCACAGTATAGTAACCCTTCAATCATCCGTGTCTAAATGGACATCGTCTAGGTCATGTTTCACGTTCGCTGTTTGGGATGCCTCACTGAATCTGCACATTTGACAGTATTGAATACAGCACGGGAGCCTCTTTTCAGGGGACCGAGATCTAAAATGAAGCAGACACCTGAATTTAGCAGAACAGTGAACTAAAACAAGACCCCATTTACATCTTACAAACAGTGCTGTGGTGCATCCTGGAGTTTGTTAAATGCAATGATTCTTGTTGACATTGTTTATGTTAGATTCTTTGCACAGAGCAGAGGTGGGATGATGGTCTGCTGGTCTTTTTCTCTAGGGGGGTGGAATAAAGCAAATTATTTGAATAAATAAAGCCATGAGTGTAAGTGGGCCAAAGGCCTCTGATGAGATGAATCAGACTCCAAGTCAATCCATCTTCACGGCCATCACTTACTCATTTTTAGTTGGAGCTGGTTGAACGACCTCCAAACATGTTTTCAGAATCCGTCCCCAAATCAGAGGCAATATTCGTGTTTTATAGCATTTGCTATTGTGCACAATGCGACAGCAAGTCATTTTAGTTTATTTTTCATGTACTTTGACTAGAGCACGATCACTTAAAAATCCTGATTAGCAAAATACATGCTCATTGAGCTCAGAGTAATTAGGCCATAGAAGGGGGCCTTTTCCTTCAGCAGTTTCGGGAGTAGCGTATGGGAGAAGTCAGTGAAAGTAATACGTGGGATCTAGGAGTCCTGTTTACATGGTTTTACAAATTTCATGAAAATACTTCAGTATGGTGCAGCTTCATCTATAAGATGGGCTCATATTTTCATACTTGCAGTCAGCAGTTTAAATTCTGCTCCCTTGCTTAGTGGATATGGACAAGTGGCATATCCTCTCTGAACTTGAGTTTCTTCCTTTGAAAAAAAGTTACTAATACTTAACTCACAGGGTTGTCGTGAAGATGAAACGAGAGCAGGAAGGTGAAAGCACCTTGCAGGTGTTCACATGGAAAGAGTTCAGTCAATGAATACGGTCTGTGTTCAGCCTTGTGTTTCCAGCTGGGGCACTGGCCTGTAAGTACCAAAAATGTATCGATGTGTGTGCTTGTGGTGGGTAAAGCCCAATGTTCACTGCAATTTTAAATATTTATTTTATTATTCTTGAAACGTAATGCATATATAATATGCTCAGGGATCAGAGGAGTTGGAATTTTTCTTTTTAATCTGAAATAAAAGCTAGCCATAACTAGTATATTTTTGTTAGTGTTTGTATTATAAATGTATTCCCCATATAACTCATTTATTATGAAATTGGTTGAGGCTTATTGTTCACATTAGTTTGTGATTTTTTTTCCTCTCAAAGCTAATTACAAATATCTTTTACAACATGCTGTTCAATGATTTTGGTCCATAGTAGGATTGACAGTATAAATGGGATTCCAGGCTTTTTAAATACCATTTTCCCTCAAAAGAATGTTTACAAATTTCCTATTAACTGGGTCACTTACTACCACTCTGTTACCTCTTTAGTTCAAGGGAGGCCAGTTGGAGCAATTGTGGGTTAAAGAGCTAATTGCTAAATTGTTTTTCCAGTCTTGTCTTCCACGTTTTAGTCAATTAAGTGCATATTATTATACTTGGTACTTTATATGCATTTTAAAGATAAACTCAGTCAACACAATAAAGTCTAAGTATCAGTGTTGCACATGGTTTTATGCAGAATATAATTCCTTCAAGCAGCTTATAATTTAAGAGTGGGGTAGGAGAGGCCTACTGTACTAGGAGAGTTGCATATATTTTTTCATTTAATTCTCAAAACAAAACCGTGAGGTAGGAATTGTTCTCATTTTGCAGACAGGGAAGTCAGGGCTCAACATTTTAATAAATTTGGGCAAGACACAGCTATAAGGCATGAAGTGAAGGTTTAAACTTAAAA
The DNA here is from genome assembly GCF_000001405.40 of Homo sapiens. Classification (NCBI taxonomy): domain Eukaryota; kingdom Metazoa; phylum Chordata; class Mammalia; order Primates; family Hominidae; genus Homo; species Homo sapiens. The sequence goes on along the minus strand of NC_000006.12, from coordinate 110,347,214 downwards.
TCCAGGCTTTTTTCTATATTTGCCTGCTGAGAAGGGAGCTAACAACCAATTCTCATATACAGTGGATTCTTTACCAGATAAAAATTAAAATCTTGTAAACAAGAGGCACTACAAAGTTAAAAGACAAGTCATAGTCTGGGCAAGGATATCTACAATGTATAGCACCAATAAAGGATCAATGTCCAAAATTTTAAAAGAACGCCATCAAAGTGAAAAAGAAAACTGAACAGAAAAATAAACAAGAAATCAGTCAGGGATTAATAGAAGAGGAAACCTGAAAAGTCAAAAAAAATGTATTTACATATAACGATGATTAATAAGGGGAAGAAAATCAAAACACAGTGAGATTTCTATTTCACCTCCATCATACTGGAAAAAATACAAATGTCTGATTGAAAAAAAGGATTGATGGCCATGTGTGCTGACTCACGCCTGTAATCCCAGCACTTTGGGAGGCTGAGGTGGGTGGATGACTTGAGATCAGGAGTTCGAGACCAGCCTGACCAACATAGTGAAACTCTGTCTCTACTAAATATACAAAAATTAGCTGGGCGTGATGGCACATGCCTGTAATCCCAGCTACTTGGGAGGCTGAGGCAGGAGAATCACTTGAACCGGGGAGGTGGAGGTTGCAGTGAGCCAAAATCATGCCATTGCACTCCAGCCTGCTGGGTGACAGAGTGAGACTCCATCTCAAAAAAAAAAAAAAAGAGAGAGAGAGAGAATAATATAGGGACAAAGGAACTGCTTATTACACTGTATCACCTGAAGTAGCTCCCTATCCCTACTCCTCCAATATAGTCTCCTGTTTTCTCCATAGCATTACCGCTCTCTGACAATTTTTTCTTGCTTTAACTTTTGTTTGCAGTCATTCCCTATGAAGGCAGGGAGCTCATCTGTCTTACTCACCATGATATCCCCAGTGACTATGATAGTTCTGGCACACAGTAGGTTCTCAGGAAATACTGGCTGAAAGAATGGTTGTTTCTATCACTGGGTATAGACCAATGGGTTTGAGGAACAGCTGGATCTTTCAAGCGCTACTTGAAAGTCCATTTGAGGTGTCTAATTTCTGAATCAGGGTATTGCATTACAGACTCTTTACACAGATAACCCAGCATTCACTTTGCTTCAGGTAACAGTGGCTGCAGAACAGAAGTTGAGAACCACATGTAGCTTATGTATGGCCCATAAGCTAAGAATGGTTTCTACAGATGAACATTTGTAATCGGTTTGATGTTAGGAAAAACTAACTTTGTTTTTTGTTTTGTTTATAACTTTTGTTTCAGGTTCTGGGGTACATGTGCAGGTTTGTTATACAGGTAAACTTGTGTCATGGGGGCTTGTTGTACAGATTATTTTGACAACCAGGTACTAAGCCTGGTACTGAATAGTTATTTTTTCTGCTCCTCTCCCTCCTCCCATCCTCCACCCTCAAGTAGGTCCCAGTCAGTGTCTATTGTTCTCTTCTTTGTGTCTATGAGTTTTCATCATTAGCTCCCATTTACAAGTGAGAATATACGGTATTTGGTTTTCTGTTCCTGTATTAGTTTACTAACAGTAATGGCCTCCAGCTCCCTTCATGTTCCTGCAAAAGACATGATCTCATTCTTTTTTATGGCTGCCCAACAGTCCATGGTGTATATGTACCACATTTACTTTATCCAGTCTATCACTGATGGGCATTTAGGTTGATTCCATGTCTTTGCTATTGTGAATAGGGCTGCAATGAACATTCATGTGCATGTGTCTTTATGGTAGAATGATTTATATTCCTCTGGGTACAAACCCAATAATGGTTTTGCTGCGTTGAATGGTAGTTCTGCTTTTAGCTCTTTGAGGAATCGCCACACTGCTTTTCACAATGGTTGAACTCATTTACACTCCCACCAACCGTGTATAAATGTTCCCTTTTCTCCATAACCTTGCCAGCATCTGTTACTTTTTGACTTTTTAATAATAGCCTTCTTACTGGTGTGAGATGGTATCTCATTGTGGTTTTGATTTACATTTCTCTACTGATCCGTAATATTGAGATTTTTTTTTCATATGCTTGCTGGCTGCATGTAAATCTTCTTTAGAGAAATGTCTGTTCATGACCTTTGCCCACTTTTTAATGGGGCTGTTTTTTTCTTATAAATGTAAGTTCCTCATAGATGCTGGATATTAGACCTATGTCAGATGCACAGTTTGCAGGCATTTTCTCCCATCCACTACAGGTTGTTTGCTAACTCTGTTGATAGTTTCTTTTGCTATGCAGAAGCTCTTAAGTTTAAGTAGATCCCATTTGTCAATTTTTGCTTTTGTTGCGTTTGCTTTTGGCGTTTTTGTCATGAAGTCTTTGCTCGTTCCTGTGTCCAGGATAGTATTGCCTAGGCTGTCTTCCAGAGTTTTATAGTTATAGGATTGACATTTAAGGCTTTAATCCATCTTTAATTGATTTTTGTGTATGGTACAAGGAAGGGGCCTAGTTTCAGTCTTCTGTATATGGCTAGCCAGTTATGCCACAACATTTATTGAATAGAGAATCCTTTCCCCATTGCTTGGGAAACACTAACTTGGGGTATATACATTCCAGGTATATACCCCAATGGATTTGCTATCAATAAACTTCATTCTTCTCATTAACAGATCTGTATTACTAAAATTTGTGCACAATTATTATTTTTTTATTTCATCAATAAAAGTTGTAGAAATTTATCTTTTTATATAACTACCTATTTATTAATAATATTCTTGATTTTGCTTCTTGGCTCACAAAGTTTAAGTATTTACTGTGTGGCTTTTTTCAGAAAATTTTTGTCAACCCCTGCTACAGAAGTGGCCTCAGGGCCCCTTAGCTGTGACTGTTGCAGGAGGGTGGGTGAGAAAAAACTTCAGTAGACCCAGTCATGTCCAGGAGACTCTCGTGCTAGAGTTTTTTTCATCTGCAGCATGAGAACAGTCCTTGACTTCCATAGGGCACTGAGAATGTTTTGGGACTTTCTGACCATTTATGGGAATGGCACCGCAAAGTCTCGAAGGTCATGAGTCCATTGTCATGCAGTGAACATTGAAGGGGTAAATCTTGGATTTGCCTCCTACTCCGTTACCCACCCTTATAACATAACCGTTGCATTGTTGGGCAGATTACAGTATGAAAGTCAGGTGATCTCATCTCTTCCAGCTTCTGGGGTCACCCTTTCCCCTAATACTTAAAATGGCTTGAGCCATGTACTATAAGTTCAGTACCTTTTCTTCTCTCCAATATTCTGATAATAATGGGGCTTACCTTTCCTGGTCATCTTTCTTTGAATTTCTGCTGCTACCTCAGTGTTTCACCTCTGGCCACTGCTGTCTCCTCTTCGCTCTGCACTGCCCGCTTCTCTAATCTTCCAGACTGACACCAACACAGGCCTTACTGAAGGTCTCAGGGAAAAGGAGGAAAATATCAACATGGTTCAAAACAGAAATCAACTAAAACTGATTAAAGTTTTCTTGGCCATTGGGGTTTCTTACAGGCTGTATTTTCTTCTTAGGCCCCTGCTCCATTGTTCCTGCATTCTCTTATCTACACATCAATCCCTTTTCCATTTTCAGGCCTTCAACACCCCTACTCCCTACCTGACTCTAGCAAATAAATGTCATTTTCTTCCTCAGGCAATTTAGCTTCCTCTGTTTTCCCCTTTCCTTCCGGGCCTGTCCTAGGCATGAATTATGCCACTCTGGCAGAAGGCAGAATTGGCTGCAGTGAGTGTTTGTTTTCAATAATCCTGTTTCTCCTTTCCTCTCTACTACTAGACAATTCATAAAATGTGCTCAGCACAGTGCCTTGTCCATAGGAAGCACTCATTATATGTTCATTGTTCTTATTATTAAGAGGATTGTGCCAACTTAGGCCCAGTGCTGGTCCCCTCATCCTAGCTATGGCTACTGCTGTGTTATGGTACAGGGGAAATATATTATTAGTGGTACTTTGAGAGCAGCAATATATTGCTTCATGCAGAACCCCTTTTTCCCTTTCTTCCTGTCTTCATTTTCTCCTTTGGCTTTTGGGGTTCCTGATGAACTATATTTATTTCTATCTGCCATGGAAATGGGTACACGGAGGGTGATGACATAAACGTTAGGGTTCAAAAGTGCTCAGAAATGACCCAGCAATTGCATTCCAGGTATATACCTAAGACAACTGAAAACATGTTTACACAAAACTTGTCCATGATTATTCATAGGGTCATTATCCATAGTAGCCAAAAGTTGGAAACCATCCAAATGTCTATCAGCTGACGAATGGGTACACAAGATGTGGTATACCCATACAGGGGAAACTTACTCAACTATAAAAAGGGATGAAGCACTGATACATGCTACAACATGGATGGACCTTGAAACCTAATGCTAAGTAAAAGCAATCACAAAAGGCCACATATTGCATTACTCATTTTTTAATGAAATGTCCAGAATAGGCAAATCTAGAGAGACAGAAAGTAGATTAGTGGTTGCCAGAGGCTGGGGGTAGAGGGGAATGGGAAGCAACTGCTACTAGGAAAGGAGTTTCTTTTTGGGGTGATGAAAGTATTCTGGAATTAGATAATGGTGTCAGTTGCACAAGCTGTATATATACTAAAAGCCACAGTGAAATGGTAAATTTAAAATAGTAAATTTTGTGGCATGTGAATCATATCTCCGTTTTTCAAAAATGCTCAGAAGCCCATGGAATGCATGACAGGTGTGAAAGTACATGATATTCTCTGTTCAGATAAAGAGAAATGAACTGTGAGCGTACCCTGGGACCTCAGCCTGATGGTACTCACTTGTGGGCACAGGCGTCTTCAGCAGAAATGTGGAGCCCACATGCTGGCCTCTCTAGGTAGCACTTGGCTTGGCCTCTCAGGAATCTTCTTCTGGCTGCTGGTGAACTTCATGGTGCTCCCTCTCCCAACAGCTCCCCAGGCATGGCAGACGCATTGCAGAATCAGATACACACAGCCCTGCATTAGAAACATAGGAGCTTGCTGTTTGCCAGAGCAGAGAGAGCCTCAAGCTGCCATCGCTGTGAGCTTGCTGACCTCCTAGTGCATTAGCTTTTTGCACAAAGCACTGACACTGACCACCAGGGGGTTGTCAAAAGATGTGGCCAGGAAGCTGTCAGCCCATTGCACCTCTTATACAAGGGAGCGCTTGTTCTGCTAAGGATTTCAGCTACCTTGGCCCTTCTTTCTCACCTTCATTCTCACTCAGATGACTGTTGTCACCTCATTCTAATGACTTGTGTGCCAGAAGCATCCTATGCATTTTGGAGGGCTTTTGCGTTAAAAAGGGAACAGCAGCTACAGTATCTTGCTTTTAAATAGCTCCTCCCAGCCTACAAAGGCTTGCTCTGTTGTTATCCCAAGTGATTCTCATCATAGCCTTGTGAGTGAGACGGACGTTATGTCCATTCTACCAAGAAGAAATCTGGTTAAATTACTGGATTGAGATAAATTGCGATTATAATCCAGATCAGATGAGGTCAGATTTCATGTTCTTTCTGCTCTATACTGAGACTGCCTCTATGCTGAAATCTGGATCTCAGAAAAATATGTTGATTACTATACATTTTAGGTTTGATATTAAGGCTTCTTAGACATTTTCCAAATGAACGAATATATCTTAAAGCTTAATTTCAGCAATTTTGTCAGGTTAGAATTTCAAGTATATCTTACATTTCTTAAAAAAAATTTGAACTGGTTATATAATTAGGATAGGGCATGTCCTTTTGAATAGTGAATATTCATTTTGCTCAGAAATAGCAGAAAATGGCTTATTTAACTAATGTGCACTTAGAGGAACCTCAATCAGGAGCAGATAGCTACATCAGTTTTGAAATTGAAATGCTTGAATTTATTTGGATATCCTGGTTACAGAGAGTTGTTTTGGAAAATCCAAATGCCTGGGCCTTATTCCTGGACAGGGAATGTTCTTATTTGTAAAACCAAACTACCAGCACAGATTGGAGCCTGTTTAACACATACAACATTGTATCCTTTCTTGTTATGGTCATGTGTTGAGACAAGACACAGGAGAAAAGAGTGCCATCTATATGTATAATTTGTTATTTTAAAAACATAGGTAAGCCATGATGCTGACAATTAAAATAAATATGTGTATATTTGTTCAAGCCATTAACTTAATAGGAAAAACAGACATAAAGTGCCCTTCATTTTTTTGGAAAAAAAAAAAGTTTTAATAATAAAACCATACAGGAATGTGAGAAGTAGGGTAAGGGAAATTGGAAATTTACTTTTCTGTGTCTTTTATCTGAGGAATTCTTAGGTTATAGTTATTTTGAAATCCAAACTTTTCAATGTAAAAATAGAAGTGAAGAAAGAGGAACAGATTGGAGTCTGGAAAAAAAAATAGAGAACGTACAGCAGGAAGGCTGTGTACGGGGGAATGCTGTGTTCAGCCTCATCTCAGATTTCCTCCGTACTGTGGAGATAACCAGGACGGTGAATACTTGAACGGTGTTCAGAACAGTGGTTCTCCATGCTTTTGAGTTACAAAATTTTGATGAAAACAATTTGATGGAAGCTGTGGACAAGTGCTCCAGAATACTGAACATTTGCACACATGCACATTCATTTGCAGTTGATTTCAGCATATTCATGATCCTCATGAAGGTCGCTCATGAAGAGTGGGTCAGAATCGGCCATAGGAGTTTTCAGATTACAGATACCTAGGTCTCCCCTAGCCCAGGGCTCCTGTGATGGACCACTCTGGCAGGGAGGCATGAGTGCCAGGTTAAGACATGGCCAGGGATGGTTGTGATGGTTGATTTCTAAACTTGGGGTAGAGAGTTCAGTAACTGGTGTTCATCTTTAACTGAGAGCTGCCCCAGTGTGATGGGCTTCTCTCTCCCGGAATCACTTCACTGCTGGCTGGGCTGAACCCTCAGGAGGTGGGCCTACTGTCCTGGACAACAGCCCCTAGAGTCAGGACCCCTCCTCACCACCCCCATGCCCCTGCCCCTCAGCAACCCAGGCCTGGCCTAGCTCCATCCTCCTTGTGCCAGATGTGTGAGCGCCCTGGACTCCTTAAGTTAGACCTTGAAGAAGAGCTGTGTTTTCTTTTCAGGATAGTAGCCAGTTGTTCCTCCCTCCTATTGATTTTTGTGTTGTTTCATTTGTAAATAAGTGCCTGTTCTATGCTGTTAAAATGATGAATGCTAAAACAGTCTTTAAAGGTGGGAAAATTCATAGCTTCTTGAGAAAATAAATATAAAGGAAGTTATGGGTCATCTCTTCAACCTTGTCCACATCCTGGTTTATGTTCGTATTCCTCCAGCTAGGCACCAACATTACTCTGGCATCTTCTAAGTTAGTTAATAACATGGCACTGTCTCTAGCTATACACTTGTGTCATCTCTACAATCGTTTAATTGACAAGTTGAGTAGAAGCCCCATATCCAAAGTCACCAATCTGTAGTAATTGGTCAGTTATATACAATAAAGTATGATTGAAACAGTGAATCACAAAAACATATACATAGACCATCTATTTTAACTGAAAACATATACGTGTACATTTGTTTGCCAATCTTTTGTTGTGTGTATTGCCCCTGGCTGGAGTTCTGATCTTTCTTGCCCAAAGCCATCTATACTATATCACCCACCCTTCCCAGTTTTGGTTTCTTTAAAGTGGAGCAAGAATTTGACACTTGTAAAATAGTCTAAGTGCAGAACACCTCCAGATTTTAGTGATTTTGTTATTCTTTTTTGCAGTTACCTCACCCATACCTAATGCACAGTATTTAGAAATGGCACCTAGCCTTTATTGACTTGTTTTTTCTTAGGAAAGAGAACTCATTTTCTTTCTATGCACACATTTCATTGGTTTACCTAATTTTCAATTAAATTATGTCATTTCAATAACTTGTACAACTGATAGAAACTGGTTTGGGAGCAAGCCAAATGACTCCTAGCGGGAGAATGAACCAAGCTGTTAGCTGCAGGAGTGCACAGATAGGGAAAATTCTGAGTTGGTTTTGTAGAGACAGATTAAGAGTGCTTGTACTGCAGTATGTGTTGAAGAAAATAAAAGTTGTGGCACCATGTTTTAAGGTACACTGAAGCTACTTTATTTTACTTGTAAAATAAATTCCTATAAGGAGGAATGCACTTACTTAACTTTAAGAGAATCTGCACAACATCACTATCCAGGATGAATGATTAGAAGTAGACCAGAACAGTTATGACCAGGAGGTTATCTCTGGGAGGTCATCTCTGTGGGATCAACCTCCCATGACAAACACTGTTTTCATCTTCACCTTTACCAACTACTTTTTCTGCATTTAACCAATAAAATTTGCAGTAACAAATATCGATAGTTGCAAGGTTACATACAAACAGTCTTTGGAATTACGAAAGCTAACTTTCAATATTATAGACTAATTAGCTCAGTGCTGTTAAATGATTTGGACAAAACCTAACCTTAATGATTTCAAGTAGAGAACTTATACAGATTTAGCTTAAAGTTTATGATAACTGCTATGTAAATACTTAACTTTTTAATCTATTAAAACAAATGCTAATTTTTAATGAAGTGTTTTAAATTCTCAAAAATGCTTCCTTGTAGTTTTTCTCAGGGTTCCTGCTAAACTACTTGCCATCTCTGGTTTTAACTTTAATTTGAACAAAGCTGAATCGAAGACACGTTGGGGTTTTTGTTATTGTTGTTTTCCTTTGGCTTTGTTTTTTGAGACAGAATCTTGCTCTGTTGCCCAGGTTGGAGGACAGTGGCATGATCTCAGCTCACTGCAACCTCCACCTCCCAGACTCAAGTGATTCTCCTGCCTCAGCTTCCTGAGTAGCTGGTATTACAGGCATGCACCATCACGCCCAGCTAATTTTTGTATTTTTAGTAGAGATAGGGTTTTGCCCATGTTGGCCAGGTTGGTCTCAAACTCCCAACCTCAGGTGATCCACCCACCTCAGCCTCCCAAAGTGCTGGGATTACAGGTGTGAGCCACCACACCCAGCCAACATGTAGGGTTTATAATAATTTATTTCCACCCAAAGAAAGAGTATGTATATTTAGCTAGATTAAGGTATTACTATAAAGTCCAGTTAGTGAATTTCCCTGCTTTCTTCCAAAGTCATTAAAACAAATTGTCCTCAGCCCTGAGGATTATATCATGTTCTTTCCTCCCTGGCATTTAAATCAGTGTAAAAATGTCCCTTGGAATCATTTCTGTGGGGGACTGTAAAAGCAGCAAAACACATGGCATCTTCACAGAGCTTGTAGTCTGGTTAGAGAAACAAGATTGACACACTTGAAACAGATTTTACCAAATGTTTGATTAAGTATAAAATGGGAAGTAAAAGTAATAATTGCTGAAGCACCTGCTTTGCATGGTCTATTTTGCACATAGTAGAGGCTTGAAGGATTAAGAAATTTGAGGGAATATGTGGAACTAAAACTAGAGTCTGAAGAATAAGTGGAATCTGAACTGACTAGTGAATAAGCGGGAGAATTCTGGGCAGGAGGAAAAGTATGTTAGGGTCATGATGCAACAGGATTTGTTTTGTAACTGGAATTTCCTTATGGTCTATCTGGGCACTTCCTAACTTCCCTGAATCTGATCTTGACACTGACTTGTCCTTGGTTATACTTTTCTTTCCCTATCCAAGAATCTGCATAAGACCAATGGTCTGTTCTAGCCTACCATTCAATCTCTGATGGTGTGGCATTGGGAAAGTGCTGTAGGGGTACATTCATAATGATAACCACCTCTTTTTTATTATTCTGTGCACTCTTTTTTTCTAACTTTTATTTTAGGTTCTAGGGTACATGTGAAGGTTTGTTACATAGGTAAACTCATATAATGGGGGTTTGTTGTACAGATTATTTCATCACCCAAGTATTGAGCCTAGTACCCAATAGTTATTTTTCCATTCTTCTCCCTTCTCCAACCCTCGACCCTCAAGTAGAACCCAGTGTCTGCTCTTCCCTCCTTTGTGCCTATGAGTTCTCATCATTTAGCTCCCACTTCTAAGTGAGAACATGCAGTATTTGGTTTTCTATTCCTGCATTAGTTTGATAAGGATAATGGCCTCCAGCTCCATCTATGTTCCTGCAAAAGATATGATCTTGTTCTGTTTTATGGCTGCATAGTATTTCATGGTGTATATGTACCACATTTTCTTTATCCAGCCTGTCACTCATGGGTATTTAGGTTGATTCCATGTCTTTGCTATTGTGAATAGTGATGTGGTGAACATTCACGTGCATGTGTCTTTATGGCAGAATGATTTATATTCCTCTGGGTACATACCCAATAATGCGATTGATGGGTTGAATATTAGTTCTACTTTTAGCTCTTTGAGGCATCACCACACTGCGTTCCCTAACGGTTGAACTAATTTTCACTCCCACCGACAGTGTATAAGTGTTCCCTTTTCTCTGCAACCTCGCCAGCAAATGATAACCATCTTTTTGTTTTTTTTTTTTTTTTTTGAGGCGGAGTCTTGCTGTGTCGCCCAGGCTGGAGTGCAGTGGCGCAATCTCAGCTCACTGCAAGCCCCGCCTCCTGGGTTCACCCATTCTTCTGCCTCAGCCTCCCAAGTAGCTGGGGCTACAGGCGCCCGCCACCATGCCTGCCTAATTTTTTGTATTTTTAGTAGAGACGGGGTTTCACCGTGTTAGCCAGGATGGTCTCTATCTCCTGACCTCGTGATCCGCCCACCTCAGCCTCCCAAAGTGCTGGGATTACAGGCATGAGCCACCGCGCCCAGCTGATAACCATCTTTTATCGAGTGCCTTTTAGTAGGTGCTTGCATGAATCAGGATAGGCTAGGTTATGATGCAGTAACAAACATTCATGTGGGTGTTTGATTTCAAATTTCAGTGGATTAAAATGAAGAACTTTTATTTCTTGCTATGCTACATGGCCAGTGTGGGTTGGTAGGGATGAGAGGCAAGGCCTCAGCTTGTTGCTGTCATTCAGGGACTCGGGCTGGCCCCTGCCCCTACTTACATATACCACTGCCACTCATCAGAAAGGCCCAAATCCTTTCCCGTGACACATTGTAATCCTCCTTTCTAACTCACTAAGGATTTATCCTCCATGACATTTTCAGAACCACTAGTGAACTTTTTAGTGTGTTCTGTATCTTCTGGAGAAAGAATTTCATGGATTTCTTACCTGTTGCACTGAGTTTATCAGTGCAAGACAGCCATTTTGGTTTTTACCTGGGAATCCTTTCTGAAGTACTACTGGGCATGCCATGTCTATATTATCAACTAGCTTTGGGGACGATAAAACTCAGACCTGGGTTGGAGGCAGCATGGGGTAGTGGAGCAAGTATGGGACCAGCAGCCTAGAGGCCTGGGCCAGAATCCATCACTGTCACCTCCTACCTGGGTGACTTTGCCATGTCATTTCACCTCTCTGAACTTCGTTTTCTTCAATTATAATATGAAGCAGCTAGTCTTGATTATTATTAAGGTCTCTTTTAATGCAAAGACCCCCTACCAGTACAATAGGTGCAGTGTAGGCCCAGCTACTTGGGAGGCTGAGGCAGGAGTATTACTTGAGTCCAGGAGTTCAAGTCTAGCCTGGGCAATATAGTGAAACCCTAGTCTTAAACATTTTTTTCATAAAAAAAAAAAAAAAAAAAAAAAAAAAACAATGATTCCCTACAAGTACAAAGCAAGTAAAATTTAAAGCTTGAAATTGTTTGTGTCTTTTGTATTCTGTAACTGCTTTTTTCATTGTAAGTTTTTACTTATGGATGGAAGGTTGTTTTTCTTTAATGAAAGGAATATTAGTCATTTCTCATACAATTAAGAAATATATTCGAGATTTCATCAGCTTAGATCTGCTATGTTATACAGTTTGTCACCTGTACTCTCGTTATTTCCAATCTGAAATGGGGAGAGGGTCCTGGGCTGAGGTCAGTTGCCACTTTGGCAGCTTCGCTTCTAACTTTGGAGATTCTTGCTCCCATTCACCAAAGAATCCTGAGTCCAGAGAGTTCCACAGCAGCAAACCCAATCAGAATGGATTGACTTCCAAAAAGGTCTGCTTCCTTCAGCAATTCTTCATGTCCCTGAAAAAGGCCACTTCGTAATAAAGACTGTGGATTTTTCCTTCCATTTAGGGTTGAGGTTGAAATACTTTTGGTTCCAGAGGAGTCCAGTCGACTCTGCCTGCCTTGTTCTGCCCTGGTGGCAGCTTCCCAGAGATTCAAAAGAAGCTTTTATGTGGCTTCTCCTAACTTGTCAGCCACTATAACTTATAGTGCATTCAGACAGAAAAATGTTCTATAAATATAGAATCATGCAAGGAATGTCCTGGAACCAGAGCGTTATCTGTAATTGTCAGGTAGGATTTACTGAGACTACCAAATACTGTATCATTGTCAAATGGCAAGAGAGTAGGATAGGTCAGTATGAAACATGAACAATATGAAAATGACAAAAGAGTTAATGGATGAATGAATGCTGAGAACTGAGAAATACATATATGTATACCTGCACGGTTACGTGCAACCAATGACATATTCAGTGGGATGTGATAGCCTCATGAGGAAACCGCTGCTACTCTTTAACCATGTGATAAATGGTGTGTGGCTTTGCTCTCCCCCATCCCCCAACCCCTGGGCCTGTCTACTCGTGGCAGAGCACTTTATGTCCTGCTTGCTTTTGTCCTGTCTCAGAGGAGAGGATTCAAGCACCATCCAGTGTCTACAACTGGTTTCCAAGAAAGGCTTTGCTTCCCGTCAATGTCCTGTGCCACGTGTGGCCTCTGTCCCCTTGTCAGCCTTTGGGGTGGCTGTGGGATGCTGCTGCTCTGTGTTTTGGGTGCTCTCTGTGGCCTCTGGGATGCATTATTTCTGCCACGGTCCATGTTCTCCTGCGCTTGCTGACTAGGTGAGGCATTTTAATTCTTTTCCGTGATAAAAATGACTTCTGGTTTAAAGCCTGGAAAGGAAACACTTTCCCTGGTTTGAGTGAAGTTGAGACTGATGTGGGCTGAGAGCCACCAAAGAGACCTCGGGGAGCCCTGTGGGCCCCCGGGTTGCAGGTTCTCTCGTGGGGAAGATGGAGATTGCTGTGCAGGTGTTGCGGGAAGACCCCCCTTTCCTCTGTTTTCTCTCAGGCCCCCCTTTTCCTGTTCTCGTCTCCATTCCTCCCCCCACTTTTTTTCTGTCTGGCTTATTTACTTATAGAGAACACTACTCTAAAATGAAAATAGAATATATAACTTCTAAGTTACTCTTATTAAAAATGATGAAATACAGAAAATCTGAGAATGACAACATGTAGAGAGTGGATGGGAAAAATAAAAAGAAAAGCCTCAAAATAAAAGTATAAATAAAGTAATGTAAATGCACTTAAGTGTGTCAGTTATCAAGAAATATAACTATTGAAGGGAAAAGTTTATAAAATTAAATCAACTCAGTGCTGTATACAAAAGAAGTATTCAAAGTAACATAGGTTAAAAATCAAGGCTGGGCGTGGTGGCTTACGCCTGTAATCCCAGAACTTTGGGAGGCCGAGGTGGGCAGGTCATTTGAGGTCACGAGCTTGAGACCAGCCTGGCCAACATGGTGAAACTCCATCTCTACTAAAAATACAGAAATTAGCACCCACCTGTAATCCCAGCTACTCGGGAAGCTGAGGCAGGAGAAATCACTTGAATCTGGGAGGCAGAGGTTGTAGTGAGCCGAGATCATGTCACTGCACTCTAGCCTGAGCAAGACTCCCCTCAAAAAATACATAAATAAATAATAATATAATAAAATAAAAATCAAGTGAAAAATATGCCAATAAAATACAAATCTCAAATAAAAACACGGTTTACAAATATCGACAGACAAAATTTCAAGGCAGGAAGCATTAACTGGAGCAAACTGGTGGCTTTTATGTCCTCCCCACCCTCTGCCAACCCCCATTTCCCTTTGGTTTTAATAGCAACTCAGGATCCCAAGCATCTTTGAAATGGGTTTATAGGGGTGCAGCAGACCTTCCTCCTGAATACACTGACGTCTCAGGGCTGGTAAATGTTTGGGGGAAGGGTAACTGACTGAAGTAAGTCGATGAACATAGCAGATTGGTGTTGATTCAGATGATGTTAAACTTTTAGGATTCTGAGTTTCAGAAAGTCCAGGTAACCTTACGTATTTTGAATAGGGTGTGTATACATGTGGAGGCAGGGTGTGTGAGAGAGACAGACAGAGACAAGAAGAGGCAGAGAGAGAGAGATAATCCTTACAAATATGGTTAGTGTTTTTCTAAATTCCCTTTGCTTTCTTAGGCACACTTGCTTTTTTTTTTTTTTCGATAAATGTTGTCCTTCTGTTGCCCAGGCTAGAGTGCAGTGTTGCAACCATAGCTCACTGTAACCTTGAATTCCTGGGCTCAAGCGATCCTCCTACCTCAGCCTCCCAAGCAGCTGGGACTACAGGAGTGTACCACCACACTTGGCTAATTTTGTAACTTTTCATAGAGATGAGGGTCTTGCTTTGTTGCCCAGGCTGGTCTTGAACTCCTAGCCTTAGGTGATCCTCCCACCTCAGCCTCCCAAAACTCTAGGATTACAGGCCTGAACCACCGTGCCTGGCCGAAACATTCTTATATAAACTTACTTTCATAAGAAAACTGAAACTCGTCCCTCCTTTCCAGGTTGATGTGCTACCTCAATGAAACCCATAATTTGACATCTGAAACTTTACTACGTATGCAGACACTGTGTAGTTTCCACCTCATGAAAACAAGTGAAAATCTCGGCTTTCACTGGATCCACTCTAGGTATATGGCTTCTGTTTTTACTGCCCATGATAAAAATCTAAAATATATTACGTTTTATTCTCTTAGCCATCCCCTGGTGTGTTTCAGTCTTGCTCACATTTGAACCATTTTGACCTACACAGAAAATGTGGTGAATTTAAAGATGTCAATTTAAGAACAAACTCCAACTCAAATTTGTTTAGCCACTCTTTCCAACTTATCAAAATAACTTAGAGGATAAATCCAGAGTTGAGTGTTTATTCCTTCTTGTCTTATATTTTTTATTCCTTCCTAAAAGTTATCAGGACCTGCTTGAATTATAATGCATTTTTTCTTGTCAGAGCTGATTTGATTTCTGGCTCCCCTGCCTCCCAGCCTACCCTCTGTGTCATGCTGCAGAGGCGGCAGATTGGCGCTCTGGATTTGAATTTCAGCATGCCTGCTGTCTGCTGCCAGAGACATTTAGCAGATGGGCTTGCAGAGAGAGAGAGCTGGGTCTTGACAGGGAGGGGGCCTGAGGGGAAGAGGCTCCTATGGGACGGGCTGGCTCTGCCCGTTCTCACCTTGTTGTTTTGACCCTGGCCCACTACTGGGTCTGTCACAAGATTAGCAGAGGCTCAGTTTTTTATTGTTGTTGTCTTTAATATCCAGCACTTTGCTTATGACACATAAAGGTGTGGAATTCTTCGAGTTTTCCTCTGAGGGGTTTGCAAAGCTTCTTGAATCTTTAGGCTATATTTTCCATCATATTTGGGGGGTCTTTCAGTCATTCTTTCTTCCTTTTTTTTTTTTTTTTTTTTTGAGGCAGGGTCTCACTTTGTCAGACAGGCTGGAGTGCAGTGGCACAGCATGACTCACTGCAGCCTTGACCTCCCAGTCTCAAGCAATCCTCTCACCTCAGCCACCAGAGTAGCTGGGATTACAGCTGGGATTTACTACCATGCCTAGCTAATTTTTATATTTTTGTAGAGACAGGGTCTCGCCATGTTGCCCAGGCTGGCCTTGAACTCCTGAGCTGAAGTGATCTGCCCGCCTCAGCCTCCCAAAGGGCTGGGACTGCAGGTGTGTGCCATCGTGCCTGGCCTCATTATTTCTTTAATTTTTTTTTTTCCTGCACTGCATTCTTTCTTCCCCTCCTCTGGAATATCAGTGACATGAATGCTAGACCACTTGGTATTGCTGCACAGGTCCCCAAGGCTCTTTCCCCCCTGCCCACAATAATTTTTCTCTCTGTTTTTCACATTGGATACTTTCTATTGATCTGTCTTCAAGTTCACTGGCTCTTTCTTGTGTCAAATTCTTTCTGCTATTGAATTCATCCCCTGAGATTTTATTTCAGTTATTGTATTTTCTGTTCTGGAATTTCCATTTGGCTCCCTATGCTTCCTATTTCTTTGCTGAGACTTTCTATCTTGCCCTTGGTTTCAAGCATGTCCACCTTTACTTCATGGATTATTTTGTAAATGTTGCTCTTAAGTCTTTGCCAAAAATTTCAACATCTGTATCAGGCCTACATTGGCATCTGCTGATTGTCTTTTTCCCACATAAGTTGGGATTTTCCTGATTCTTCATATGCTTAGTAGTTTGGGACTGTATCCTGAAAATTTGAATATTATAAGGCCGAGTTTTGTTTAAATACTGTGGATAATGTCGATATATTTGTTTTAACAGGCAGTTATCCTGGTTGGGTCCAGGCCTCAAGTTCCCACCAGCCTCCTGTGGGTTGTAATTTCCATGTCAGCTCTGTTTTCAAAGGCTTGGTAGGGGTTTCACCTCTGTCCCATGTGTATCCCATGTATGCCCAGGCCAGTCTGGGGCTTGGGCAGAGGTCTGTCTGTCTGTTAGCTCCAGAGGTCCATCTATTAGCTCAGTTCTCAGTCTTTGCTGTGCCAGGCAGGATCAGATCCACACATGCACAGTTCTAGAGTGAGCCCAGGTGCTTTACAAATCCGTTAATGGGGCTGCCTTCCCAAGCTACTCCTTCTCCCCAGTTTCCCCAGTATTATCCAGTTCCCTACGGTTTTTGAATCTATGACCAGAAAGTTTGGGCTTTTACCCCTGCTTTGCCTACGCTCTGCTTCACACTTCCTGTGACTGTGCCTGAGTCCAAGGCCAAGCTGCGGGAAGAGAGAGACAGACATAGTCAATGAGGATTCACCCCACTCTCTGGGGTCCACTGCCTCAGAGAGGAGAGGAAACTTCCGTTTTCGCAGAGTTCTAGGTGCCTTCAGGCCCCCACTGTGGCTTCTACCATCTTAGTGGGATTACTTGCAAGAACGGAGAAAGGAAAAAAAAGGAGGAAAAGTGAGGATTTCCTCTACTATCCCTGAGCATCGGGAGACGCCCCGCCTCCTGGAGCCTGAACTGCGGGGCTGCTCCTGGTGCTTCCTGGCTGCGCCAGTGCCCACCACCGGTGCCAGGCAGCCTAGAGTAGGGCGGGCAGGACACCAGAAGGAAAAGCAATGGTGACCTGGCTTCTAGTTTCGAGGTACTTTGAATTCTGGTCTTCTTCTCCAATCTGCCTGCTACTGTTTACTTTTCAGATTCCTCAAATAACCGCTCTGTGCATTCTGTCCAGGTTTTACTGCTGCATTCCGTGGGAGGCGCGGGGTGGGAGTGTGCTTACCCAGAACGGAAACTGAGATCCTTTGTTTTTAAATGAAATTTTTGCATGGGTTACCTGAATTTTAAACATCACTGCACAATGTATAACTGATTCTTGCTCTTTCTGAAGCAGGGCCGGGTCTGAGAAACAGGCCAATTACAGGAGAAGGCTGAGGGGAAGGCACGTGAAACTGCACCCGGCACTCCCCTCGCAGCCTTCAGAAGCGCTGGGCACACACTGAGGGCGTTACAGAAACGTAACGGCAGTGCTCACAGCCTCAGCCAGGGCTAGAGTCATGTTCTGTCCAGATACCATTTTGTGCCTCTCCCTCCCCCAACTACTCCCACCCCCACCCCCTCTAAAAAGGAATAAACAGTTTCCTTCAGTCATTGTTTCCTGCCCACTAACAGATGCTCTTAATTAGCACAAAATTGCAGCAAAATTGCTAAATAAATCTATTTTACTTGTTTTGGATTTGTTTCTCCCAGAAAGCTTAGGCTTCTCCATCGTCAACACATCAACACACACTCACTTTATTGCTGAGTTGGAGTCGAGGACTCACAACCTAGTTCCTTGTTCATTTCCACGCACACAACTGTGATGCACAGAATTGATGGTTAGCCATCTTTCCCAGCAGAAAACTGCTGGTTTTAAAACCCTTCAGGAGCTCACTGGGGTGGGAACATGCATTTGGGAGTATTGAGACTTTATAAAAAATATCCCAAACACTCTATCAGTTATCTATTGTGATAAAGAAACTGATCATTTACATTAGTCATCATATAATTTCATCCTCCAAAGGACTGTAGCCTTGAAACACAGAGGAATGGGGCATTAGAAGCATCCTTTTGGTTTATTTTATACAAAAAATGTAGAAACATGCTTGTCAAGCTGATGGTGGCACCATTTTTTGGTAATTTCTTCATGGGCTGCCTAAGGTCATTCATGGGTGTGAGGATATGGTCTGTGAAGGAGGAAGCTGTTATTCCAAATTTTACAACAAAGAAAGCTTTTGCATAACACAGAATCGATAGCTCTCTTTTCTAGGTCATGAGTGGGCCTGCTTTTTTTCCTGTAAATTTTTTAAATGCTACATGGTCTTGAATTAATATATTTCTATTATGTACATGAGTGTAAGCTGGTAGGCAAAGGAGTATTTTAAAATATTCCCTTTTTTTGGCATTATCTTTTAGGAGTAAAATCTTGGAATTCAGCTTCATGGCTTGAGAGAATCACTTTCTTTTTTTCAAGAAACAAAACTTTATGCTGAGATCACAAATGACAAAAATATCCCAAAGCCTCATGGCTGTGCTTGTTGCAGTCTTTTTGAGTCAAATCCATTATCTCCATGCACTGAATGACTCAGTGATCACTTTTTACCCTTCGGGAAGTAGAATCTCAGATATCTGCAAAATAGCCACTAAATAACATGAACTAGTTGCGTATGGAATCTTCTGCTGTCCTTAATCTGAATTTTTGGAATTTTTCTCTAGTAATGAAAACATTTGCCTCTCATTAGAAGAAGCCTGCTCACTTTTCAATGCACATTGTCTGGACAAGGTGCCAGATAAGGCCTTTGCAAAACTGAAAGGAGGCTGCTTCCTTACATTGGAAATCAGGACCACGCCTGCCCTGAGAAATGCTTGTCTGAGGTGGGGCAGGCCCCTCTGTATGAATGCCCTGGTGGTTTAGAAATAGAGGGGGTCCCCACTCCTGCAGGAGCTCAGGAACAAAGCTGCTTCTCTGTGGCAACTCATTGTAATACCTCATTTGACATTTCAGCTCAGGCCTCCTGGGGACAGACAAACAGACCAATCCAAAATGATGTTATTTCCAGCCACCTCTGCTTAAGCTGCTGCTTTACCTGTCTGAAGAGGAAGTACAGGTGGCAGGCAGGATTGGGAATCCACGTTCCCACCTCCTGGGAGCAATAGGGGTGGCGTTGTTATGGCCACTTGATATTTGAAACACGTGGATGATAGGCATTTAATGTACCCTGGCATTTAGGGAATTGTTTGGAGTAAAATCACAATGATTAAAAAGAGGTTTTAAAAAGGGAAAGATGATTTTTGTCCTTTTCTATTTAACCTGCCATTGACGTTTTAAGGTGCTCAGAGAATTCTCTTTGTGGGAATTTGGGAAGGACAAATGTTGATGTATACACTAGAGAATTAAGACAAATGATAATTGAAAGAGATGATAAAAGCTAGCGGTTTCCATGGGGAAATAATCACAAACTGCTGTCAGACTGATTCCAATAAGAACATTGCTTTATGTGAAATGTTTTTTAAACAGCTCAACCAAAGCATTAAGCCAGAGCACTTCTGAGGGCATCTATTTGCGGTGTTTCTATTATATCCCCATCTGAGACTCCTCAACTTAACATTATTCACTGTTCCAGCTGCTGTGCTTAGCTTCTTTGTGGTCAACACTCAGTTGGAAATGAAAAATATTAGGTTGCAAGAAGAATACTATTTGTGGACCCTTAAGATCATTCTATAGTTTCACCATATTGATTTACCATATGGATTCTAAATTATTGATCTGTGAAGTTACTTTTGTATGTTAGCTCAGGTTAAATGCTGCTACTGTGTTTAAGATGTCTTTAATAATGCTGGAAAGACCTTTGATGTGCTTTTGGGCTTCTAGTAGTGGAGACTGCTTCCCATGCTCTGCCTTTGTATTTTCAGTCATTTATTTTGGAGTAATACTCAGGCGCTGTACCTTTTTGTGCCCCCAGTGTACCCTGTAGAGATCTCTGTCAGAGCCCCTATAACCGTTATGGCATTTATTGGTTTACACAGCTGTGGCCTATATTAAATTGTGACACAGAGCCTGGCATGTGGCACAAATGCCCACTGAATGAATGAATGACTCCTTGGTCAAGTCTCACTGCCTCTTTCCAAAGAATGCTGGAACAAGAAGCCTTCCATTTGCCCCTGCTGGCCCAACCTCCACCCTGCTCCACCCCGGGAGGCTGACCTGCAGGGACCAAGCACAGCCTCAGTCTTCCCTGCTTTCCCTTTGAGTTTGGCCAACAGGAGGCAGGAGATTGGTGGGTGGGGCAGACAGGGTGGAGTATGTAATAGGATTGGCTGTATTCCTGTACTACAGACTTCTCCATATAGTTCCCTTTAGACTTGTAAGGGCTCTCCGGTGTTACCAGACACAGGTATTGCATTATTTATTCTTTATTGGTTTCCTTAAGCCCTGCCCACACCTTTGTAAATAGACTTTTTGTTAAATTCTCTCAAATTAGCCAGTTTGAATGAGCCCACTGGATCCTGCTGGGTCCCTGACTGATTGCCCAAGTCACCCAGTTAACAACATTGGTTATAATCTAGGTGTAATACCTTTCCTCACTCACCATAAGCATACGGCCAACACTCTTAACAAAAGACAGGTGAACAAGAGAAAAGCATAACACATTTATTTAATCAAAGTTTTACATGACATGGAAGCCTTCAGAAATGAAGACCTAGAGATGCAGGGAAAATGATCTATTTTAATGCTTAGGTTCCATGAAGATGGACAGCTACGTGGAAGTGTGATTGGACAAAAGGGTCTGATGTAATGGTAATAGACTGAGCGGGGAACCCCAGCAAGGCCTGTCTGTTCAGCTTCCTCTTGGTCTCTCTGTGTAGTGTTTCTTCCTCCTGGGTATGGGGCAAGATCCCTCTGGAACAAAGGTATTTGGGGAGAAGGGAGAGAGTGACCTTTGTAGATTTTATGGCTTGCTTTGGGAAGAGGGTCTCCAGTTTCTCTCACCTGCCTTGCGGAAGAGGAATTCTGGTTTCTAGAACTCACTTTGGGGAAGAAAGAGGAGTGAGAGACAGGAGGGCCACAGAAGGTCAGAGAGAACTCGCCTTTGAGGCCCATCCAGTGTCTTTTTGAGACAGTCAAGTATAAAGGGGACCCCAGAGAAACTCTGACCAGCCTGTGCACTGGGAGGAATGCACAACGGGCCAGAGCCCCTGGGAAGTTTGCACCATTTGCAGTGGGGAGGAGCCTGGCCTCTCCTCTTCTGGGGTGGAAACTGGGATTCAATCTGTGAGGCAGGAAGCCAGCTAGCAGAACTTTTGCTTTGCTGAGAGTCCCTGTTTCTCTTTTTTCCTTTTTGCCCAGTAAATTCCATTTTTCTCACCCTTCAAAGTGTCTGTGAGCCCAGTCTCTCATGGTCATCTGACAAAGACCCCATTTTACCTGAACTAAGGAGAAAGTCCTACAACACTTTAAAGTTCATACCATGCCAAAGCACAAGACTTTGGGAAATCATATTCTGAGCCCCAACAACATCATAGTCTGTCTCCCTTGCATTATTTCAGTCAACCCCCCCTTTTAGGCCAGCCTACCTCTGAATTAGGATCAGCTGGAGCAGGAGTCAGCAAACTACAGCTTGCAGGCCCAATCCAGCCTGCTGCCTGTTTGTGTAAATGGAGCTTTATTGGAAGACAGCCATAACCATTTGTTTACTTACTGTCTATGGCTGCTTTTGAGCTACAACAGGAGGCAAAGAGTTGCAACAGAAACTGTGTGGCCTGCAAAGTCTAAAACATTGGCTATTTGACCCATTATAGAAAAGATTTTCCAACTCCTGATTTTGAGGAAAACCATAACATGTGAACTTCATCATTTTCATCCAGGGACTCCTGGGCCAGATGCTCGGGGCCCTTGTGAGTGGTCCATGACAGTGAAGTGGGAGGTTTTAAACCCCGGGCCTAGCTGAGTGCTCCTGGGACATCATATTGCTGTGCTGGCTGCTGCAGCAACCTGGGAAGCACTCACTCTGTCAATGTGACCAAGCAGGACTGGAGGCATTTGTGTTTAAATGTGTTGATAATTTATGATTTCAGAATCGAATAATTTCCTAAAGAGAACAACTCTCCTGAATATTTTAGCATTTTACTATCGAAGTTATTTTGTACATATCTGTCTCCCCCACCTGACCATGAGTGCCTCTTGGGAGAGCCTGGGTTTTAGTCATATCTCTATTTACCAGTGCCTGGCACAGAGTGGCTAAGGCTCAATAAATATTGTTTGACCAAATGGTAATCAACATCGAATTCAGAGAAGGAAAAAAGAAATGAGGGTGTGGGAGGCATTAACTGGAAAGATGTATGACTTAATGTTCTCCAGCTCTCTTACTAGAGTCTCTGCCTGCTCAGCCTGCACAGAACAAGAAGAGCTACAAGAAAAGGCTGTTCTTTCAGAAGGTGTCCCTCAGGGAAGACTGGCTACATGATTCGTGGGCCCAGTATAAAATGAAATGCAGGGCCTTTTGTTCAAAAATTTTTAAGAATTTTGACTGACTCTAGGCACACTGCCTGTGAGTTAGCCCTGCTCTGCAAGGAGCAGTAATAAAAAAAATAATAAAATTACTAAGAATTTCGAGACAGCATCAGCAGAGCATTAAACTGAGCATGGCCTCCTAAGACTGCACAGGTTGCATGCCCATACAGCTGGCCCTGCCCTATGGGTTCCTGAAAAAAGAGGCAGTCTGCGGGAAACCAGGGAGGCCTCCTTCAATCTAGAGGGACTGCGTGAGGCTCAGCCCCCACAAGGGTAGTACAGGCTGTGGGGATGTGAGACTGTGGGCTCTACAGGGATTCTGCAATGATGTGTGTCTAATAATGCCAAAACTGAATAACCCTTGATCACTTCCAAAGCGCTGGTATTGATCTCAGACGCCCAAGTGAGAATGGATTCCTCTTCCCCAAACCCAGACCGTCTGGCTTCACATAGACTAACCTTGTTCCCCACTACTTTCCTGTTTTCTATGTAACCCCGAGTCACCTAGGCCACCCCATCTAGGGGCAACAAACCACATTTGTACTAAAGCATCTCACGGCTGGCCTGTCTAGATGTTTCTTTCTTGGGTGCTGAGAGTTCCCACCACAGTACCTGACTGGAGAACACTGTGTATATGTGAATGATCCCTTTATCTTGCCCCCAGAACCCTCCCCTGCCTACTTCCTCACCATATAAAAAGGGGTTTAGGGGCCCATTCTCACTACACTGCAGGAAACCTATGCTATGACGCCCAAAGCCTTTCCTGGCACTAGACATTGACCCCGCCAGCTGCTGGAGCTCTCCCTTCCCCCAGCCCTTCCCTACCCTGCACGAGCCGTCCCCACCCCTGGGAATTGCAGCAAACCTCCTGGAGGTCTCTTGGTGTTGACAACTATAGGTGGGAGTTTTGAGCTCTAATAAGGATTTCCTGACTAGTGCCCCCTTTTTACTGGAGGGGCTACCATTTTTGTTTCCTCCAGACCATTGCATTCCCCCAACCCTTCATCCACCCATCCTTGCTACAAAAGGGGGCTGAGCGGGTCATCCTTAACCACTCTGTTCTTGGGAGCACCTCGTAACCTCTGCTAACAGGTGGTGGCTGCCTCACAGTGCTAGAAAGCCACCCTCCCCAGCCCTGGTGATGACAGTTCTGGGGTCCTCGCTCTGCCTGTGCAGGGTCCCAGCAGCCAAGGGCCGTGGTCCCATCTCCCTGCACTGAGGAAGATAAACAAATGCCCAGAACAAAGACAAGCCCCCAGCATTATGGTGCTTTGTTTAGAGAGGCACATATTCTTGAAGCTCTAAGCTTTGGGAGACTGTCGTCGATAAGGGAGTTTCTTTTCCCGGAGGAGCACAGCCTCATATAAAATAAGCTGCAGTTAAGGGAGAGCCCAATGGGGTCAAGTGGAGTTTGCCTTTGATCATACATGCAGAGTCAGACAGTCCTGGGGCCTTTGCATTCTCCTGCAAATTCCCCAACCTGGGAGTTGTGCTGTCTCCGGCCTCATTTGTCTCCCTGCGACTGATGTGGCCTTAATGACAGCAGCTCGCAAAGAGCCTCCTGCTGCCTGTGTGCATATGTGTGTGTTTTGCTGACAGCCAAAGCAGCCTTGCTTCCTCTCTGATACTGTGTCCTTCTCCTCCCACCCAGTTCCTCTTCCTTACACACAACCTATGTTTTCTGTCTCTTGCAGGGTCCCCGGTGGCATATAGATCTCCAGCCTTGGGCAGGCTCTGCTCAGTCCCTGGATGAAGAAGCCTGGAGGTTCCTGAGATATATCAGCACCACCCAGGTTGTGTTTCAGGCTCAAAGAAGTTAGAGAAGAATGTGAAAGATCCTGATTGCCTCTTTTGAAAGAAGGAGGTGGGGGAGGTTCTCAGCGACTCCTGATGAGGACTTGATGGGGAAGTGTGTTCAGAGGCATTGTTGCTTAAACTCATCCACTCACTTGGAGGCAGATAAGATACCTTCCATTTGCTAGGGCATGTTCCTTCCTCCAAGAGTGTCACCAACCTGAAATGTTTAAATGATTCATCCCAAAGTGTTTTAAAGATCCACTTTAGAAAATTGCTTTGGAAAACCATTTGAAATGACAGATTGGTCCCCGTGAGTAGGCAGTCGAGTATGTCACAAAACAAAACCATCATCTAGAGGTTCAAGCACCATTTTGTATTTGGAGGAACTTGCCTTTCCACTCTTCTGTCACAGATGCTTGGCAGCCAGGGATGTGCTAGGCAAGAGAGCAGAGGAGGCTTTGCAGGCAGTGTGCTGAGGAGTTAATGAATCCAAAGGCTCTCTATCTCAGAGCACTTGAAATCATTACTGAGCACGGGCCTTTATTAGTGACTTAACACATTGTGGTAGTTCCTGCCCAGCTCCAGGCTGAGCCAGTGCCCCGAGCAGGCAAAGAGACTGTCCATTAAGACAGTCTATGGCTCTTGACATGTTAATCAGAAGGTTCCATTCTCAAGTTGCCTGATCCCAGGGGGAAAGAGAGACAGAAAAGGAAATCAAGGCCCAAGGGAAATTTAGCCCTGAACTGAGAGGTGCTAGCAAATTAGCAGCTCAGACTGCCTGTGAGCTGCACAGAGGCCCACTCAGGAAGCTGCACAGTGGAGCTGGTGCTGCACGGGGGATCCTGGATTTTTAGAATCTCCCTCAAGCCCACTCTTGACATCCCTGTTCTCCTCCCCAGCCTCTCTGGCAGCAAAGCGCTTTTCCTCCGTAGGAGAGAATATATTTCCAGATCTTTAGGAGGTTAGTTAGTTTAGGGGTAAAAGAAAGTCTCATTTATCATATAATGCAGTGAGACAATCATAGGAATTTTAGTATTTGTCACCCAAACATGGACGTAAAAGCTTGTTGAATTAATCATGAGTGATGGGCTGTTGAATTAGTCCCTGTGCTTCTCATGATTTTATCTTATTTTGCTGCTGCAAATTAATTTGATGGACTTAGGCAGACTTAATTAAAATACTGAAATTTTAGTTTTGTAGTTTGATTTTACATGAACGATAAGAATCTGGACCTTTTAACTGTGATTTTCAAAAGCCCTTAAAGGCTCCAGAAGAAAATAAGAGGTTTTAATTTTATGAATCGGATTTGAGAACTATGGGCTTCACTCGCCAAAATAAATTTATGTAATGCAAGCTACCAAATTCCATTCTATATGTATTTCATGTTAATGTTCCATAACTTATAAAAGGCATGTTTGCTTAGAAGAAGCTATTGAGGCATGAAATGGTCATTTTTAGATCTCTCTTGGATCTTTCCCAGAAACTATGGGCTGAGAGGAGAAAATTTTTCTTTTCTTTTCTTTTCTTTTTTCAGAGACAGAGTCTCCCTCTGTTACCCAGGCTGGAGTTCAGTGGCACAATCTCAGCTCACTACAACCTCTGCCTCCCAGGTTCAAGTGGTTCTCCTGCCTCAGCCTCCCGAGTAGCTGGGATTACAGGAGCCTGTCACCATGCCCGACTAATTTTTGTATTTTTAGTAGAGATAGGGTTTTGCCATGTTGGCCAGGCTGGTCTTGAACTCCTGACCTCAGGAGATCCACCCACCTCAGCCTCCCAAAGTGCTGGGATTACAGGTGTGAGCCACTGCGCCTGGCCAAATTTTTTTTTTTAAAGCATCCTCCGTAGTCTGATCTTGTAAACCTGGGTACTTCACTTTGCTTCTCTGGCTCTCCTTGTTCTGATCCTGAAATGGAAGAGATTGTATCAAAATTATTTCTAAGGTCCCCCTCAGTTCTGTGAGCTTGTACTGTGCACAGAGCAGTATAGAATGGTTATTAACCAAGTATTTTTGAGTGTCTACAAGGTGCCAGGAACTGTTCTGGGCCCTGAGGATATAGTCTCTGCCCTTAAGGATCTAACCAACTCTTTGTGAAGGTGGATAACTGGATGTATAATTATTATTCAGCTTGATGAGCGATAATAGAGAATTTGTTGTTGAAGCTCACTAGAAGGATTTTTGTCCTCCAGAAAGAATGACGTAAAATTCCGGACCTCACAATGGTTTTTAATGCGGGGCCATTTTAGCCAGATAAGGTTCTGTGCTTTGATGTACTTCCGGGTTACTAGAAGGCCAGCAGATGGGAGTCACCAGAGATGACACTAAATGGTTCTTAATCAGAATCTTTTACTAACCAATGCTCCCTCCCCCTCCGTATGTAATGCAAAGCTTTATGGTTGCTTTTGGGGCTTATGCCTCATTTAGAACTCATCTTGACAATGAAAGCCTACGAAACTGGCAGAATATTAGAGTCACTGTTACCTAAAAATTTCAGTTAGCAGAAGTGAGTCATAATGGGCAAGGAAAAAAATAAAAGCTCTGAAGGTACTAATGCAAAATCCACCCCCATCCTCTTATGCTGCTTTTTAACATTAAGAAATATACTTCCCTCAAATCTGTGCTCAAGCTTGTACAGCAAGGCCAGCATTTGGTATGTGCATCATTGATGTATTCATTCCTCAATCCAGAGGGTATTTGTTGAACACCTGCTTTATGGCTGGCACTGTGCCAGGCCTTGGGATATTAAGCCTCAATAAAACACCCCTCCACACTGGTAAATAGGTAGGGTGCAAGAGAGTTGGGTGTTCTCTAACAGGGGGGAGACAGATGGATGGGGAAAGCTTCCTAGGCCAGAGGAGCCCGGGAGCAGAGGCATAGGGCATAGGACAGCATGGCATGAGACAGCAATGGGCGTGGCACCCCTAGACTTGTGCATTGTGGTCCTGGAGGCATGGTTGGGGTCATGCATTTTTAAATGAAATTCCAGAGGATATGGTGTTTGGGTAGAGTGTGCGGAACATCAAGCTCAGCTTAATTAGGTACTATTTTTTTTTTTCAATGTGAAAGACCATGATACACGACAGAGTTCTGTAGTCCGTGGTACACTGTCTGCTGCTAACAAGAAATAGTTAAATCATAAATACAGTGCTCTGTTCTAAGGGAAGTCTCCAGATTCAGCTTTTCATGGCAACCCCCAAACCATATGCCTCCAGGAAACATGCCTTGCAGTATAAAATTAATCTAAGCAACAGTGGCTGTTTTTAAAAAGAAAAAATAAAATATGTTTTAAAGCCTGTTTTTCTGTCTGTCATCTATCTATCTATCTATCTATCTATCTATCTATCTATCTATCTCTACCTCTCTACCTAGTTATCTACCCATCTATCAATTTGTAAGAATAACCTAAGAATAAGAACCCATGCTCTGGATATTCAGAATATAACTTTACAACAATAGTATCTGTTGTATTTACTGCTACACACACACACACACACACACACATACACACACAGGGATAAAAACAATAAGCATACAATTCTGCCCTCGAGTCTTTCAAAAATAGTGGTACTGTATAAACATAGAGCATAGAGTTGATCGTTCTGTAAACACGCAGATCATTGAAGTGATTCTTAAGTTCCAAAATTTTAAGGGCTCCCTTTGCCAGATTCTACTTATGGGTTGGCAGAAATACCATTCAAGCTTTTGGGATACAAAATGAAATGAAAATAAATTAGATCCCTTTAAGTTAAATAATTAAAAAAATTTCACAAAATATTTTTTCCTTTGTCTAGGCCTAATTTGCTTTATTTGGCTAAAATTACAAGGGGAATTAAAGAGAGACAGAGAACATAATTAGTTGAGTTGGAACTTAGCTAGAAGTTACTGCCCTCACTTATTTTGCTTACAAGAGAGCTTATTGAAGCCCTGGCCATAAATCTTAACTAGAAAGTTTGAAAAATCAATAATTAATTTTTAGGAGCAGAAGTTTATGGAGGACTTTCAGTTGTTTACAAAAGCTAATGTCTATCAATGAGGTGTTTAATAAATGGTTAAAATTGAATAATTTTTGTGTTTTATTTCTTTTCTTTTCTTTCTTTCTTTCTTTTTTTTTTTTTTTTTTGAGGTAGAGTCTTGCTCTGTTGCCCAGGCTGAAGTGCAGTGGCGCAATCTCGGCTCACTGCAACCTCCGCCCTCCCGGTTTCAAGCAATTCTGCCTCAGCCTCCCTAGTAGCTGGGATTACAGGCACATGCCAGTATGTCCGGCTAACTTTTGTATGTTTTTTTTTAGTAAAGGCGGGGTTTCACCATGCTGGCCAGGCTGGTCTCAAACTCCTGATCTTGTGTGATCTGCCTGCCTCGGCCTCCCAAAGTGCTGGGATTACAGGCGTGAGCCACCACGCCCGGCCCTTGTGTTTTATTTCTGAGCTAAGAAAGGAAGAGGGGACCTTATCAGGGGGAGTGAATGAAAAAGAATGTCTCTTCAATAGAGATATATCTGTCCAAGATGAAATCTGTAGAATAAGAAGAAATGCTTAAAGTAGACAAAGTGTCATCTTTAATAAAATAAAACCCTAGTTCCTGACTTTAGCAAAGGAGGAACTGCTGGACCTGAAAGCCCTCACTGCGGATCTTCAATGCCTACCTGACTTTTGGAGGCCTCTGGCTAACTGTCAGTGCTAACCCCTTCAACCCATTGTTAGGGTTGGGAGTCAGAGGGGCTGATGTTTTCAGTTTAAAGCTCTGGCCCAAGTATAGCCTCTTTTAATTTTCTGAGGCAGAGATGTGACTAGGCTGGAACCTTTCACTGGGGCTTTACAAAAGGCCTCCAGTAAACTCAAAAGGCCATCTGCATAAAAATCACCTGGGGGAGCTTATTAAAATGCATGTTCTCAGGTATCAGCCTCAAAGATTCTGAGTTTGTAGATCTGGAGGGAGGCCCAGGAATCTGCATTTTAAGTACCTCCCAGGTGATTCTGATGTAGGCGGACCGTATGTTGAGAAACACTGTGGGAAAGGTTAGAGCTAGGTTTGGATGGCATTAGGAGGGAATGATGAGCAAGGTCCTGCAAACATCACATCTTCATCTGTCATTATGGAGGTGTTTAGGGAGATACGTACACAAAGAACAATAGCAAATGGGGATCATCATACCATTTTAATAAAAATATCCCAGGAGACTTCCCCCAAGCAGATGGCTCTGGCTTATAAGGTCCAGGCATGCTTTGGGGGCACACACAGCTGCCCTGGACTAACTAGTTTCCCACTGGAGGTGGAGCTCAGGAAGGTGCCCATGTTTAAGACACAGTAATCTGTCCACTAGCAGAACAGGGTCCAATGAACACACTGAGTTCTGACTAACTAGATTAGCAACTTCTCTTCCCTTAGGTGAGTGGGTGGAGAATAGGAGGTGGGCAGGCAGAGACATAATTTCCATTTATCTGTGGGAGAATAGTAGGAGATGAATTATCAAATTAACATGTTGACGCACCCAGTTAATAAATGTATTCTGTAGCTGTTGCTTCAGAAAAGATTCAATTCCATTTTCTCTGATTATTTTGTCCTTTAAACAGTTGTTGGAGATAGAGAAGTAGAAAAATAGTGGATTCCAGGAAAAGATATATAGGGGTTTCACTTTTTCAGCTTTCCTCTGAGATGTCCAAATCCTACCAGAAGACTTAACATTCACTGATAAATAGTGCAGGATGATTTTGCCAGGCCAGCCGGAGGGGATAGCAAGAGTAATGCAGATGCTGTGTTAGTCGAATAGGCTCCACGTAATATGCTCTTCTTAGATTAAAATTTTGGAAAATCAGTTAAAGGATTAGGCAAGCCTAGAATATCTTTTTTTTCTTTTCTTTTCTTTCTTTCTTTTATTTTTTTGAGACAGGGTCTGGTCTTGCTCTGTTGCCCAGGCTGGAGTGTAGAGGCACAATCATGGCTCACTGCAGCCTCAACCTTCCAGGCTCAATTAATCAACCCCCCTGAATAGCTGGGACTACAGGCACATGCCACCATGCCCAGCTAATGTTTATATTTTTTGTAGAGATGAAGTTTTGCCATGTTGCCCAGACTGGTCTCGAGCTCCTGGGCTCAAGCGATCCTCCTGCCTCGGCCTCCCAAAGTGTTGGGATTATAGGCATAAGCCACCATGCCTGGCCCTAGAATATCTTCTTAGGAAGAAAATTACTTGCTGTTAATGTTTTCCAATGGATGAAAGCAATGAATCTCAAAACGTTCTTTGCATCTGGAGCGGTCTGTGGTCTATGCTGTGACAGCAAAAGCTGCTGCATTCATGGAGCATCATGATGACTATGAGAGTTCTAAGGGATTGGGGGAAAATACTGTTGCTCAGTAAGGTAAATATCTTGGCCACAGAACTTATTTTCCTTATTTTCTTTGGTTTCAACAGCCTCAGCTGTGCGAAATGTACTAGCCTCAAATACAAGTCAGAATCCCTTATGAAGTATATTTGCTTTGTGTGCAGTTGAAATTAGAGACTTGCTTTTGCTTGACTTACTCATATATTCCTTTGGTTTTCTTATCTAATTTTGATGGATGAGTTAAGAAAAGTGCTTCTGTTAGCTCAGGAAGAGCCTCCTGCCTGGGGCTGTTGCCCTTCTCCCCCAGGAGGAAGCGCATTAGAGCAGTGTATCACAAGGAACACTGCCTTATCAGCAGGGACTGCCTATTACTTTCACTTGACCCATGATCAGCTGTTTACCTTGGATAACACCTGCCATCCTTCTGGACCTTAGTGGCCCCACCTTATCTGCCTGAAATAAGGGATAGCTAATCTTGGGAGTATGCTTCTGAGATCTATGCCTATCATTGTGCCTCACATCTTATAGTAGGGACTCTGTGAGTAACGAAGACATCTATGCATGGTGAGCACTGTTCTCTGTGTCTGGACTGCCCTTCTTGGTCCAAGCCTCTCGGTTCATCCTCCAGGACTAGCACCCCTCTACAAAGGCTTCCTGACACAGCCGCTCCTCCCACCTTTTGCTCCTGATTTGTTCTCTCCTGCACACCCTGTGCACATGGCTACAGCAGCTCTTAACTTCTCTCCAAACCTGCATATAGTCTCCATGAGATTACTTATTATCTAGTAATTGAAATTTCTCCAAACACTTTATAGCAGTCTTGTGGTTCCCTGGGGAGGGGAGTTGTTAGCAGTGGAGGAGATTATAACTTTCCTATTACGGTTTTCAAGGATGGGGAAGCAATAAGTCCCTACCTGCTATTTATCATCCAACATTTCAAATTATTCACATTGATTTCCAATCTTTACAGATTGCATGCAATCACATGAATACAGACAGCCTGGCTACTGACTCTAGTCCTACACACAAGCCCTGGTCAGTGTGTCTTGACGACAGGTTCAATTTAGCTCATCAAATCCGCAACAAGCAGTGCCGCCTCTACTCCTTAGGGTGAGTACATTTTTTTACAGCAGAAGAAAACACAAACACTGCTTCAGGCAGCTCAGACCTTTTCAGCAATACAAAGTTAGAAATGGTTGCAGTTTGTAACAGGTGCCATGCTTTGCCTCCTGTCATCATTTCAGACTGATCTGTCTGTTGTGTAACTGGAGGCATGTATGGATCACCGAGGTCTCCTTGGTCAGAGGCACTTTCCCTCCCATTCTGCTGATAGCAAGTTGGAAGCCCCCGTTCTCATCATGTGGATAAACCTCTTGGTGAAACCAGTGATTTCCAGCTAGACTAAGAGCATCCTTAGTATAAAGAGAGAAGAATATTACTGCGTGCAGCAAAAAAAAAAAACACAAAAAACTTAGTTTTCTTTCTCTTGAAAGGGGATCTCACTCTGTCGCCCAGGCTGCAGTGCAGTGGCATGATCACGGCTCACTGCAACCCCTGCCTCTCAGGCTCCAGTGATCTTCCCACCACAGCCTCCCAAGTAGCTGGGACCACAGGCATGCACCCACCACACCCGGCTAATTTTTTGTATTTTTGGTAGAGACAGGGTTTTGCCATGTTGCCCAGGTTGGTCTTGAACTCCTGAGCTCAAGCAATCCACCTGCCTCGGCCTCCCAAAGCGCTGGGATTACAGGTGTGAGCCACTGCACCCAGCCATATGTTAGAAATTTTATGTACAGTTATGATGTATAACCCAAAACAAATAATGGCTATTGTTAGATTTGTATGTTTTATACCAATGATAAATCTATATCTAGTTACATTTTTAAAAAGGATAAAAGGGAACTCATAAAAAACTATGTCATTTTGTCAAAACTGTTTGAGAAAAATTGATATCGAGTTATTCAGGTTGAAAATGACCTAGATGTACAAATGAATTAAGTGAGCTTTTTTGTGAAAGGATGGCTACAAAGTAATGGGACTATTTCACCAAATGTACCCGTATTTATATAAAAACAGTTCTGAACTTACGAATGATATATGGCTTAAAAAAAAGAAGACAGGAGGAAATTATTTTTGTTTGGAACATCCTGTTCCATAGACTCTTTGTAAGGGCAATGTAGATTCTCAGGCTAGACCACTGAAGTCTTTTTACAAACAGTGCTGGGGACCCTAATGTGACATCGATCGTTTCCATGTCACATGCTTCCTCCTCACCTGTAGGTTTCATCACCTCTAGAGTCTACATTCAGGCCCAGGTATGACAACCACCAGCCAGAATCCTAGGTGGTCAGGGTTAGGGGCAGACATCTGGGTGATGTGGAGACCTACCCAAAGATTCCAGTGTAGAGAGGATCATCATCACTGTCAAACTATAACAAACAAGAATTACCGGTCATTGTGGATTTTATTCTTTAAAAAAACAAAATAAGAGTTTAAAGATAGGAAACATTCTCATATGGGTTAAATGAAGAGCAATGGTGTATATTGGTGGAGCTTGGCACATACTAGGCACACAATACATACTTGCCATGTAGAAGATCACTTGAGAGGAGAGACTAGGGAGGGAAGCTGGTTATGCTGTGATGAAAGTGTGGAGGCCGTGGATTAGAAGATGAGATGCTCAGCCAATTGATTAGAACAGAGCTCTCTTTCTGGAAGCCCACCAGCTATGCTTCAAGATTGGAGGGAGGATGGGAAGTTGTGAGAGCAGAATTTATTTCATGTCACATTAAAAATGTCTGAAAGTGGGTCATAAAAAATTGCATAGTACCACGTGCAAGTTGGTCCTATTTTCTTGCTCCAAATTGCCTCTATATTTTACTTAATATTTTACGCCCTGGGATAATTTCATTTAAAGGATATAACTGAGTAAAATCAAACTTAAAAAGCTGTTTGGGGGGAAAGTTTCTAAATTCCTTTTTGCTTTCCTTATACTTCAGAGCTGTTGGATAAGATAGCTCTGCAGTAAGAGTTCAGATTATTACATATAAAAAGGTAGTTTCCTATTTTAAAATATTTTTATTGACACATAATATTTGTACAAATTAATGGGGTACATGTGATATTTTGTTACATGCGTAGCATGCATAGTAATCAAGTCAGGGCATTTAGAGTATCCGTCACCTCCAGCATTGATCATGTCTATGTGTTGGGAGCATTTCCAGTCCTCTCTTCTAGCTATTTTGAAATATAAAATTTATGGTTGTCGACTGTAGGTAGTCACCCTACTCTGCTTTCGAATATTAGAACTTATTCCCTCTGAGGGAGGAAAATAGGCTCTGGAGGCAGGGAACATAAGGCCAATTCACACTTCAGCTATGACAGGGGATGTCCTCTCCATAGGGCATATGCCCAGTAAATGACTTTGTAACTTTACTTCATCCTCTTCATTTACATAGGGTGTGCACCAAGTAACCAATGTAAATCTCTAGAGGGAATTTAACCGCTCAAAAATTCTGTAACAGGGCTCTTGAACCCCTGTGCTCTGGCCTGTTCCCACACTGTGGAGTGTACTTTCATTTTCAAAAAATCTCTGCTTTTGTTGCTTCATTCTTTCCTTCCTTTGTTTGTGCATTTTGTCCAATTCTTTGTTAAAGATGCCAAGAACCTGGACACCCCTGCACCGGTAACACTTTTATCTAACTGTATGTTTGTACCTGTTAAACAACCTCTCTTCACTTCCCCTCAAACACCCTTCCCAGCATCTGATAACCATCATTCTACTCTCTCTACCTCCATGAGATCAACTTTTTAGCTCCAGCATATGAGTGAGAAGATGCAATATTTGTGTTTCTGTGTCTGATTTGTTTCCTTTAACATACTGTCCTCCAGTTCCAAACATGTTGCTGCAAATGACAGGATTTTATTCTTTTTTTATGGCCAAATAGTATTCCATTGTGTATATATGCCACATTTTCTTTATTTATCACTAATGGACACTTAGCTTGACTCCATGTCTTAGTTATTGTGAATAGTGCTGCAATAAACATGGGGATGCAGGCATCCCTTTGATATACTGCTTTCCCTTCCTTTGGATATATACCCAGAAGTAGGATTGCTGAATTGTATGGTAGTCCTATTTTTAGTCTTTTGAGAAATCTCCATACTGTTTTCCATAATGGCTATACTAGTTTACATCCCCAAAACCAGTGTGTAAAAGTTCCCTTTTCTCTAAATCCTTGCCAGTATCTGTTATTTTTTGTCTTTTTAATAATAGCCATTCTAACTGGGATAAGATAAGATCTCATTTTGGTTTTGATGTACATTTTCCTGATGATTAGTGAGGCTGAGCAGTTTTTCATATATTTATTCAAAAGAAAAATAGACAAATGGGACTGTATTAAACCAAAAAGCTTCTGCACAGCAAAAGAAACAATCAACAGAGTGAAGAGACAACCTGTTGAATGGGAGAAAATATTTGCAAATTATTTATCCATCAAGTGACTAATATCCAGAATATACAAGGAACTCAAACAACTCAATTGCAAAACAAACAAAAAAATAATTCCATGAAAAAGTGGGCAAAGGACAGGAATAGACATCTCTCAAAAGAAGTTTCTTATTTTCATTTAAATGTTTACCGTTGAAAATTAACTTTGGGGCCAGGCGCAGTGGCTCATGCCCACTGCTCAAGCCCACATGCTCAAGCCCAGCACTTTTTGAGGCTGAGGCAGGCAGATCACTTGAGGTCAGGAGTTCGAGACAAGCCTGGCCAACATGGTGAAACCCTGTTTCTACTAAAAATACAAAAATTAGCCGGGCATGGTGGTGCACGCCTCTTGTTCCAGCTACTCAGGAGGCTGAGGCTGGAGAATCACTTGAACCCAGGAGGCAGAGGTTGCAGTGAGCTGAGATTGTGCCACTGCACTCCAGCCTGGGTGACAGAGCAAGACTCCGTCTCAAAAAAAAAAAAAAAAAAAAAAACAAAGAAAGAAAAGAAAAGAAAAGAAAATCAACTTTGTAAAGAGCATCTGAATTCCACTGGGAAAAGCAATGAATAGATTACAAGGGCCAATATTTGACTAAAAACATGAAAGCACTTAATTGAAAACTGAAACTAAAGAAGATATTTCTGACGCCTAGAAAAAGAGGCTTTGGGTTGTGGGTAATTATGTTGATTGCACTTACTAAGGCTCCAGGACCCAGACAAGTATGCCCCTGTTCAGGTGAATTGCTTGCCTGGGGCACAAGTAGATAGCTGGCTGACAACACCTCAACTGATAGTGAGGGAAGAGTGAGACCCAGACCAGAATTGGTGGTCCTGAAATTAGGAGTGAGAACAGGGAAGGTGGCCCCGGGTTCCCAGCACCAGGGAGTGTTGGAACAGTTTTGAGCTAGGTGGGGAGGGCAGGTAGTAAGTGAATTCTGTGGCCCTCCATACAGGCAGTGTGTGCTCCTTGTCCCAGGGCCACAGCAGCAACAAGACCATGCCACTGCTATACCCAGTAATTCCCAGGCAAACCGAAGACAATGGATGCAGCTGCAGCTGGGAGTAAATTCCTGGCAGGAGGGAAAGAAGGGTTCCAAGGACACAGGGAGTCAGAAGACAGAGGCTGATGGCCCCACTTTCTAATCTGTCTCATCTCCTTTCCTCCACCTCTAAGAACTGAAGCAGATATCACCTCCATCTTCTCTTTGATGGCTGAAGTTTATTTACTAGGAGTCAAAG
This sequence comes from Homo sapiens, assembly GCF_000001405.40. Classification (NCBI taxonomy): domain Eukaryota; kingdom Metazoa; phylum Chordata; class Mammalia; order Primates; family Hominidae; genus Homo; species Homo sapiens. Next base: position 110,310,723 of record NC_000006.12, on the reverse strand, counting down.
CTTTTTATTCCACAGTTAATGGAAAAGGCATTTGTCTGTGAGTGTGCACTCTGTGTCATGTTCAGTTGAAAATGAAAATTAGATCCTTTTCAGTTTTGAAATGAGGTAGACTAGACCAATTAAGATAGGGGAAGGCACTGAAAAGATACATATTATGGAGAAAGGGATAGAGAAGAGAAAAAAGGAGAGGCTGTGGGTTCAGATGACAATATCATCTACATAATAACTTCAGACAGGGCCTGGCCTGCAAGTCTTCTCATGTCTGGAGTGGGGAAGGGTGATGGTGGAGCAGTGGAGGGGAGGGGAGGGATGAGAGTCGTAGATAAAGTGAAAGGGGAAAATCACCTTTTCTCCTTTTTATGCCAAAGATTGTATTTTAGGGGTAGGCGTGGGCATGAGAGGAAAGATTTGAAAAGGGCTAATACATAGGTACATATTTTTTGTCTCTTTTTTAGTTTTGTAGTAGGTTGTGCCTTTTGTTTCAAGACATAAATTCTCAGTCTAAGATAGTAGATGATTTCATAAGTGATACATGGTTAGATAGCAAGAGCCCATATTTTATACCGAAAATCTGGGAACTTTGGTTACCATGAGCATTTCCAGAAGAATGAAAGAGCCAAATATTTTCATCTTATAATAGTTTAACACAGCAGGAAGAGTGTTTGTCTAGTGTATGTGAAAACCATGGACCTCAAGCTTCCTTTTTGGGCATGTTTCCCCAAATTACCCTTTTCATGAAAATTTAAAACCATAGATAATACTGTACATCTATTTATGTAATACGTGCATATCTGTGCTTCATACATAAAAAGAGGAAAGGGTTTTTTGTTTTGTTTTGTTTTGTTTTGTTTTGTTTTTTTTGCTCCTAAGAATACATTTTACCCCTTTGGGAGTGATATTGTCTGATAAGGTTTGGCTGTGTCCCCACACAAATCTCATCTTGTAGTTCCTATAATTCCCACATGTTGTGGGAGGGACCTGGTTTGAGATAATTGAATCATGGGCGCAGGTCTTTCCCATGCTGTTCTCGTGACAGTGAATAAGAGATCTGATGGTTTTAAATACAAGAGTTTCCCTGCACAACCTTTTTTTGCCTGCTGCCATCCATGTAAGACATGACTTGCTCCTCCTTGCCTTCTGCCATGATTCTGAGGCCTCCCCAGACACGTGCAACTGTGATACAATTAAACCTCTTTCTTTTATAAATTGCCCAGTCTTGGGTATGTCTTTATCAGCAGCATGAAAACAAACTAATACATCGTCCCTGTTGAGGATATGTTTTAGATGAAATGTGGCATTGCGTGTAAGTTTATTTAGTAAAAAATAACAATTATAAGTGTTTTTACCCACTAGTGTGTCATTTATGCTTTAGGAAGCCTATTTCTCCCCCTCTAATAGTTGGCAGCTTGAAGATCTAGGTAGTTATTTGGCCAGATTCTGTGGTTCCTGCTAGGATGAAGAATGGAGGACTGAAACTCCTAGGGAAAACACCAATTGTGTTACCTCTTCTAACCCTCTGCCTTCAATGGGAGGGTTAAAAACTTTCCCTGTCTTTGCTCTGAGTTCATTTTATTTGTTTTGTTACCTTTTAAAAAAATGCTTGTTAAGATATATTTCACATGCCATACAATTCATCCATTTAAAATATACAGTTCTATGGCTCTTTTAGTCACTATAGTCAATTTTAGAACATTTTCATTACCCCAAAAAAGAAGCCTCTGTACCCAGTAGCAGTCACTCTCAATTTCCCTCCAACCCTCTTCTCTCCATCCCCAGTCTGCCATCCTTAGGCAATCACTATTCTATTTTCTGTTTGTGTAGATTCACCCATTCTGGACATTTCACATAAATAAAAGCATATAATATGTGGCGTTTTGTGACTGGCTTGTTTCACTTAGCATAATATTTTCAAGGTTCAGCCACATTGCAGCATGTATCAGTACTTCATTCCTTTTATGGCTGAATAATATTCCATTGTATGAATTTTGGTATGGTTACATCACATTTTATTTATTCATTCATTGGTTGATAGACATTTGGGTTGTTTCCACTTTTTGGTGTTTATGAATAATGTTGCTATGAACATTCCTGTACAAGTTTTTATGTGGACTTATGTTTTCATTTCTCTTAGCTATATACCATTTTGCATTCCCACCAGTAATCTATGAGGTTTCCAATTTCTCCATATCCTTGCCTACACTTACTATTATTGATCATTCTGATTACAGCCATCTTAGTGGATGTGAAGTGGTATCTCACTGTGGTTTTGATTTGCATTTCCCTACTGACTAATGATCTTGAGCATCTTTTCATGTGCTTATGTTGTGAGTTTTTTGTTCCTGGAGAACATCAAAGCCCACTCACTTTAATACTTTTGGGAATATTTTTAAAAGAATAATCAAGGGCCTGAAACAGTGCCACAACCCACCCCTTCTGCCCTTCAGCAGTGTTAAAGGGCATGGGACTGCAGTACTACTTGCAGCTTGTCCAAAGAATACCTTCATACAATTTGGGAAAGGGCACCCCTCCCTCAAGAACTTTTACTGCTAGAAAATCATTTTTATGGTGATTATGATGGAAATGACATCTCCCAGAGTTGTTCAGTGCACAGTCCACACAACTGCCTGCAGGGATCCTGGTTGTTTTTCTTTAAGACATCAGAGAAAGAGGATCAAGATGGCTCCACTATTATTCTATTACCTTTGAAAATTTAGCCCTATAAATCTCCCCCTTCCTATTTCTTCAACAGCTCTCAGATTTAATGGTCCTTCTATGTTGAAAAGTTTGCAGTTACTTCTAACCCCAGCATTAATATATGCAGAACAATATTGTCAGGATGAATTACATAATTTTGTTTCTTCCTCATAGAGAGGGAGAGGTTGCTGTCTTAATTCAAAGGTATATAGCTTTGAATATACGTGTTAACTGCTTAATTATTTCAGAAATGGGTTGTAGCAGGAACTACTCATTGTCCCTCAATATTTATTCTCCCTTTCTTTTTTTGGTAACAGAACTCCTGAGATTAGCAGGGCGCATGGCCACCTTTCTGATGGCTGTATTTCCTAGCCTTCCATGTAGCTGTAAATGGCCATATGAATAGCTTTAAGCAGTGAGCTATGAATGGAAGTGATGTGTGCAACTTCCCCAAGAAGACAGGATGAGACTATCACTTCCCCTTTTACCTTTCCTCGTGGCCAAGATACAGACAGATTGGCAAAAAATGGACTAGTTGTCTAAGACCTTGAGATGGAAGCCATATGATCTATACTTCTTGCCTCATTAAATAAACATTAAATAAAATATTTCTTTCAAGCAAAATTTTCTATAATGTATTCTCCTTCTAGTTAAATAGCAGCAGAACATGATTTCCTTATAGACTAAATACATTTTTGCTATAAATAATGGTTGTCTTTTTATTATAATTATTTGTTCAAAAATCTTTCTTCATTACTACTTTGTGAACCTCTTCAGATCAAGGACCATGTTTAACTTATCCATTTGTCCCTGGTGTCCAGTGTAGTGCCTTGCACATGTAAAATGCTCTATAAATATTTGTTTATGAACATGAATAAGTCAGTAAAATATAGCTTACCACAGGCAACATTTGGATACTGAATATTGTACTGTGTGTTCTGAGAATTCCAGCCCCTGCCTCATAGTTTTATTTCACTTAGGGCAGCATTTTGTAGGTCTGTCTGTCATCACTCATCTATTCAGCACTGCGGACTTAGAAATGAGCAAGATTGACATAGCCCTTTTCCTCATGGAGCGTTATTGTCTGGTAACTGACAGTTCCCTAGACCTGAGATCACAAATATTCCTTCCATGATCCTGTGTCCTGTGCTCATCAGCAACGAGGTGGCATATAGAGAGCACGTGCTCTGGATCTACCTGGATTGGATTTGACTCCTGGTTTACCGCTTTGGGCCATGTTTTGTAACACCTGTGCATATTACATTTACTTCTCCTCTTGCTTTTTACGTGACCACAAACTTGACCAATTTCAACTATGCTTGAAGAAGTACCATTGCAAATAAATGAAAGTAAGAATTTTATATATCAATTAAATGAATATAGTTTATTACATTCCAATGTGGTACATGTTTATATATTAAGATTATAGTAAAAGTATAACATAAATTAATCCAAAAAATTACAAATAGTTTTATGTTATCTAATGCATTATATAAAAGTTTCCCACTATTTAATGACTAACTTATATGTGTATGTGTGTGCTTATGATATTTATAATAGAGAAACACTTGTATATAGGTAGAAAATTTCTGGAAAGATATATAAAAAACTGCTAAACATGATCATCTCTGGAAATTAATGGCTAAAATTTCTAGTGGTAAAAAACTGTTTTCTTTTTTTTAGTTTTATTTTATTTAAATAATATTTATTTATTTATTTATTTTATTATACTTTAAGTTCTGGGACACATGTGCAGAACATGCAGGTCTGCTACACAGGTATACATGTGCCATGGTGGTTTGCTGCACCCATCAACCCGTCATCTACATTAGGTATTTCTCCTAATGCTATCCCTCCCCTTGCCCCCCACCCCCCAACAGGCCCTGGTGTGTGATGTTTCCCTCCCTGTGCCCATATGTTCTTGTTGTTCAGCTCCCACTTATGAGTGAGAACATGTGGTGTTCGGTTTGCTGAGGATGATGGTTTCCAGCTTCATCCATGTCCCTGCAAAGAAAATGAACTCAACCTTTTTTATGACTGCATAGTATTCCATATTGGATATGTGCCACATTTTCTTTATCCAGTCTAACATTGTGGGCATTTGGGTTGGTTCCAAGTCTTTGCTATTGTGAATAGTGCTGCAATAAACATATGTGTGCATGTGCCTTTATAGTAGAATGATTTATAATCCTTTGGGTATCTACCCAGTAATGGGATTGCTGGGTCAAATGGTATTTCTAGTTCTAGATCCTTGAGGAATTGCCACACTGTCTTCCACAATGGTTGAACTAATTTACACTCCCACCAACAGTGTAAAAGCGTTCCTATTTCACCACATCCTCTCCAGCATCTGTTGTTTCCTGACTTTTAAATGATCACCATTCTAACTGGCATGAGATGGCATCTCATTGTGGTTTTGATTTGCATTTCTCTGATGACCAGTGATGATGAGATTTTTTTCATGTTTGTTGGCCACATAAATGTCTTCTTTTGAAAAGCGTCTGTTCATATCCTTTGCCCAATATTTGATGGAATTGTTTGTTTTTTTCTTGTAAATTTGTTTAAGTTCCATGTAGATTCTGGATATTAGCCCTTTGTCAGATGGATAGATTGCAAATTTTTTTTCCCATTCTGTAGGTTGCCTGTTCACTCTGATGATACTTTCTTTTGCTGTGCAGAAGCTCTTTAATTTAATTCGATCCTATTTGTCAATTTTGGCTTTTGTTGCCGTTGCTTTTGGTGTTTTAGTCATGAAGGCTTTGCCCATGCCTATGTCCTGAATGGTATTACCTAGGTTTTCTTCTAGGGTTTTTATGGTTTTAGGTCTTATATTTAAATCTTTAACCCATCTTGAGTTAATTTTAATTAATGCTTCCTTTAGGAGCTCTTGTAGGGCAGGCCTGGTAGAGACAAAATACCTCAGTATTTCCTTGCCTGTAAAGGATTTTATTCTCCTTCACTTATGAAGCTTAGTTTGGCTGGACATGAAATTCTGGGTTAAAATTATTTTCTTTAAAAATGTTGAGTATTGGCCCCCACTGTCTTCTAGCTTGTAGGGTTTCTGCAGAGAGAGATCTGCTGTTAGTCTGATGGGCTTCCCTTTGTGGGTAACCTGACCTTTCTCTCTGGCTTCCTTTAACATTTTTTTCTTTTGTTTCAACCTTGGTGAATCTGATGATTATGTGTCTTGGCGTTGCTCTTCTCAAAGAGTATCTTTGTGGTGTTCTCTGTATTTTCTGAATTTGGATGTTAGCCTGTCTTGCTATGTTGGGGAAGTTCTCCTGGATAATATCCTGAAGTGTTTTCCATTCTCCTCGTCACTTTCAGATACACCAATCAATTATAGGTTTGGTCTTTTCACATAGTCCCATATTTCTTGGAGGCTTTGTTCGTTCCTTTTCATTCTCTTTTCTCTAATCTTGTCTTCACACTTTATTTCATTAAGTCGATCTTCAATCTCTGATATCCTTTCTTCCACTTGATTGATTCAGCTATTGATATTTGTGTATGGTTCATGAAGTTCTCGTGCTGTGTTTTTCAGTTCCATCAGGTTATTCATGTTCTTCTCTAAACTAGTTATTTTAGTTAGCAATTCTTCTAACCTTTTATCAAGGTTCTTAGCTTCCTTGCATTGGGTTAGAACATGCTCCTTTAGCTCACAGGAGTTTGTTATTACCCACCTTCTGAAGCCTACTTCTGTCAGTTTGTCAAATTCATTCTCCATCCAGTTTTGTTTCCTTTCTGGCGAGGAGTGGTGATCCTTTGGAGGAGAAGAGGTGTTCTGGTTTTTGGAATTTTCAGCCTTTTTGCGCTGGTTTTTCCTCATCTTCATGGATTTATCTACCTTTGGTCTTTGCTGTTGGTGGCCTTCAGATGGAGTTTTTGCCCGGTCTTCCTTTTTGTTGATGTTGATTCTATTGCTTTCTGTTTGTTAGTTTTTTTTCTAACAGTCAGGCCCCTCTTCTGCAGGTCTACTGGAGTTTGCTGGGGGTCTACTCCAGACCCTGTTTGCCTGGGTATCACCAGAAAAGGTTGCAGAACAGCAAAGATTGCTGCCTGCTCCTTCCTCTAGAAGATTTGTCCCAGAGGGGCACCTGCCAGATGCCAGCTGGAGCTCTCCTGTATGAGGTGTCTGTCGACCCCTGCTGGGAGGTGTCTCCCCGTCAGGAGGCATGGGGGTCAGGTACCCACTTGCAGAGGCAGTCTGTACCTTAGCAGAGCTCGAGTGTTGTACTGGGAGATCCACTGCTGTCTTCGGAGCCAGTAGGCAGGAATGTTTAAGTCTGCTGAAGCTGCACCCGCAGCCGCCCCTTCCCCCAGGTGCTCTGACCCAGGGAGATGGAAGTTTTGTCTATAAGCCCCTGAGTGGGGTTGCTGCATTTCTTTCAGGGATGCCCTGCCCAGAGAGGAGGAATCTAGAGAGGCAGTCTGGCTACAGCAGCTTTGAGGCGCCGTGGTGGGCTCTGCCCAGTCCAAACTTCCCAGAGGCTTTGTTTACACTGTGAGGGGAAAACCGCCTACTTAAGCCTCAGTAATGGCAGACGCCCCTCCCCACACCAAGCTTGAGCATCCCAGGTCAACTTCAGACTGCTGTGCTAGCAGCGAGAATTTCAAGCCAGTGGATCTTAGCTTGCTGGGCTCCTTGGGGGTGGGATCTGCTGAGCAAGACCACTTGTCTCCCTGGCTTCAGCCCCTTTTCCAGGGGAGTGAATGGTTCTCTCTTGCTGGCATTCCAGGCACCACTGGGGTATGAAAAAAAAAACTCCTGCAGCTAGCTCAGTGTCTGCCCAAATGGCTGCCCAATTTTGTGCTTGAAACCCAGGGCTCTGGTGGTGTAGGCACCCGAGGGAATCTCCTGGTCTGTGGGTTATGAAGACCATGGGAAAAGCGTAGTATCCGGGCTGGAATGCACCATCCCTCATGGCAGGGTCCCTCATGGCTTCCCTTGACTAGGGGAGGGATTTCCCGACCCCCTGTGCTTCCTGGGTGAAGCGACGCCCCACCCTACTTCTGCTCGCCCTCTGTGGGATGCACCCACTGTCTAACCAGTCCCAATGAGATGAGCCGGGTACCTCAGTTGGACATGCAGAAATTGCCCACCTTCTGCATTGGTCTTGCTGGGAGCTGTAGACCAGAGCTCTTTCTATTCAGCCATATCTTGCCAGAAACTCTTTTCAATTTACATACTTCTTACAACTTGAGTATTTCTATGTGTATTTGTTTAATTATAAGCAACTAGTTTAAATAGAAAACATATGAATATATAATAAAGTGTCTTAAACAGTTACAGAATTGTATGTGGCTAATTTAATTACCTTTTTTGAGGCATATATGTGTATATATATACACACGTGTATGTGTGTGTATATGTGTATATATATACACATATGTGTGTGTATATGTGTATATATATACACATATGTGTGTGTATATGTGTATATATACACATATGTGTGTGTATGTGTGTATATATACACATATGTGTGTGTATATGTGTATATATACACATATGTGTGTGTATATGTGTATATATACACATATGTGTGTATATGTGTATATATACACATATGTGTGTATATGTGTATATATACACATATGTGTGTGTATATGTGTATATATACCTCAATATTGTTCCTTGAAAACAACATTCTGACAATTCAGAGGAAGAAATTATTCACATATTTCACTCTAGATTTATATACAAATTATATGTAATGAGTACTTTTTTTGACATAATGTTCTCTTTTTTTTTTTGATGGAGTCTCACTCTGTCACCCAGGCTGGAGTGCAGTGGCACGATCTCGGCTCACTGCAAGCTCTGTCTCCTGGGTTCATGCCATTCTCCTGCCTCAGCTTCCCGAGTAGCTAGGACTACAGGCGCCCACCACCACGCCTGGCTAATGTTTTTGTATTTTTTTAGTAGAGATGGGGTTTCACTGTGTTAGCCAGGATAATCTCGATCTCCTGACCTCGTGATCTGCCCACCTCGGCCTCCTAAAGTGCTGGGATTACAGGTGTGAGCCACCGCATGCAGCCATAACGTTCTCTTAATGAAAATATAAAATTGCCCTTTTCTGCTGGTGACCTAAAATAACACTGCTTTGTTCATCTAAGTTTTGACAAATTTAATTAAGTGAAAATTCCTTTTGGATAGGTGAGTTCTACAATATTCTGATCTATATAAAAGCAAATCTATCTACTAAAAAAATGCTTTGTAGTTTCAACTGCAACTCTTGAATTTATATTTAATGCCAGGTATATCAGTTAGCTATTGGTTGTGTAATCACTCTAAAACTCAGTGGCTTAACAATCACCGTTATTTACTGTTGCTTGTATGTCTTTACTGTTGCTTGTATGTCTGCAGGTCAGCTGGGCTTCAGTTGATCCAGGATGGGCTTAGCTGTGAGGCTTTCTTTACTTCAGGCTGAGATGGCTAAGGGAGGTTCTGTATTTTACAGAGGGCCGGTGGACTGGCTGGAGTGCAAATTCTCGAGGGCACGTTTTTATCATGATGACAGTGTAAGAGAGAGAACAGAAGCACTGAAGGCCTAGGATCTGGACTGGCACACTCCCACTTCCTTCCATAAAGCAAGGCACATGGCCAAGCCAAAAAGTCAAGGGGCAGGGAAGGACTCTTTCTCATCATGAGCATGGAGTAGTGTGGATGGTGCAGGGTTGAAGGAGCAGAGTCGACAAGTCAATCTGCCACACCAGATTAGATCATGGAAAACTGGGGTAGAGACTTCAGTGGTCTGAGCTGTGTGGATTCAGTAGGTGGTAGAAAATAGGGAATAGGAACTGTTAGGTGGAAGAAATGGAAGTGCTTGTGAGAGGAGTGCTGAATTTTCTCCAGGCAAAAAGTGTTGGAAAAGCTATGGCGGAGGGACATCAGAGGGCTGACTTACCATGGGATGCAGTCGGAAAAAGAGCAGTGTAGTTGGGTGAAGGGTGAGGAAGAGGCAAATAAGACTATAATCACCCCTCAGCACCTGTGGAGGTTGGTTGCAGGACCACTGCAAAGACCAAAATTTAGGATGCTCAAGTCCTGGATATAAAATGGTGTAGTATCTGTATATAACCAATGCACATCCTCCTGCATAATTTAAATCATTTCTAGATTACTTATAATACCTAATACGATGTAAATGCCATGTAATAGTGATTATACTGTATTGATTTTTATTTTTACTATTTTTAATGTTGTATTATTTTTTTATTTTTGTTTTTTCGAATATTTTCAATCTGCGGTTGGTTGAATTTGTGGATCAGATCTGTGGATACAGAGGGCTGCCTGTATTAAGAATGTCTAGGTGGGGTGCCATGGCTCATGCCTGTAATCCCAGTACTTTGGGAGGCCAACGAGGGTGGATCACCTGAGGTCAGGAGTTCGAGACCAGCCTGGGCAACATGGTGAAACCCCGTCTCTACTAAAAGTACAAAAGTTAGCCAGGCATGGTGGGGCACACCTGTAATCCCAGCTACTTGGGAGGCTGAGGCAAGAGAATTGCTTGAACCCTGGCGGCAGAGGTTGCAGTGAGCTGAGATCACGCCACTATGCTCCGGCCTGGGTGATGGAGCCAGACTCCATCTAAAAAAAAAAAAAAAAAGCATGTCTCGGTGGATGATCTCTGAACTGAAGGCTTATTTTAGTTAATTAAAATAAGGTAAATAATTATTATCCACTGAACTTGTGTATTTCCAGATTATGCAATAGTCAGTCATCCCTCCGTATGGGGTTGGCGGTTGGTTCTAGGCCACCCTCTCCCCACCAACGGATACCAAAATCCACGAACTATCAAGTCTGGGTGTGGAACTCACAGATACAAAACATTCGCCCTTCATATCAGTAGGCTCCTGCATCCTATCAATGCTGTATTTCTGATCCATGTTGGTTGAATTTGTGGACGTGGAACCCACAGCTATGGAGGGCTCACTGTATTTATTGAAAAACATCCACTTACAAAATACTTGTAGAATCTATGAGAATGAAGTATTTCTGCACTGGGTTTAGGTTCGGCCAAGTAGTGTAGCTACTCTGTGGGATTTTGGTATCCTAAATCACATATGAGTACAGTATTGGGGCAGAAAAGCCATAATCACCATTAAAAAAATCATTCTCAGTTAATTTCATGCTTTTCATTAAAACTGGTGTTTTAATCAAAGTGACGATCCTTGCACCATTAAATAGGGAATATTTCTGAGTCAATTCAATATTTGGAAGTTTATTATTTTCCGTATGGTGTGCTACCTATTGAGTACTTAAGTACAATTAATTCATAATTTCTTCCCCTTTTGATGTGAATTTAGGTGAGGAAACCGTCTGCTTCTTGAGTTTTGGATGCAGTAGAATCACATACATTTGCCTTTTTTCTTATTTGCACTATTTAAAAATATATTACATTTCTAAGAAAACAGCTGTTGTCTTTAAGTCAAATTGCATACACAACACTGTGGCCATTAGAATGGAGACAAATTACCTCATTAGTAGAACACATCTCTCCTCAAGAGAACTAATCCTGGGGCTTATATTTGTGGACATATTCTAAGAAAATCTAAGACTACTGGATAGTCTTCTTTGTTTCATTGCTACTGTGATTTACATCACTTAAAAAAAAAACAATTTGATGATGCGCCTACATGTTTGAGTATGTGATTCTCTGGTCTTTGTCTAGCAGATAATTTATCTTTTATCCAGAAGCTTTGAGCAATAATGCTTTTTTGTGAAAGAAAGTTTATTGAATGTGTACATTAGCCATGGGTTAAAACAGGAGAAGGCTTGATATAACTAAGAACCTTGGCCTTGGAACTGTCATCTTGTTAGTCCAACACTTTGCTTCATTGCATTTTTTGTTGTTGATTTCCGTCCTCTTTCTTTATAGGCTAGGAAGTGATGATACCCATTTTGAGGTTAGCATGGCCAACAACGGATGTGAAGTGCATCGTTTTGATCCTAGTGTCAAGTCAGCTCACATTCTGGAGAGTCAGCACCTTTGGTATCACCGCTTGTCCATTGACTGGCGGGATCCCCATCCAGCTGTTGCTGCCCAAAAACCACATAGCAACACCAGAAAACTGGGAAGCATTTTGAATGAATTTGGACATCACAAGGTGAGGTTTTTCATTTGATTTTATACTTGAATAAAGTAAACAAACCCATCAGCTTTTTAAAATGCAAACCAAGAATAGCAACATTGACATTGGATAGCTGAAGGTCCGATTTTAATCTTACTAATCACCCAACATTATTTATAGAGTCAACTCTAGACATAAAGTGTTGGCAAGGATAGAGATATTTAAGTTGATGTGAAGATTTTAGTTGCTGTTGAGTAATGTTAATGGTCTTGTCCAAGACTAGGCAAGAAGACTAAGAAACTTACTTCTGGCACAGGCTGAAGAATACCATTTTCATTTGGCAACTGACTTACACTTTCCAGAAAGAGCAAACTACTTATGTTGACCTCAAATACAAAAAAAAAAATCGGGGTTATGTTTACTAAGATATTGCTTGTGTATCATGTTTCTCACTGTTGTGACATGTTTCTCACTATTTTGAACGTCTAGGCTCTACACAGAAAATATATATAGCTTTGATTAAGATTTACTTTATAAAATTGAATGGACATGTACATTACAAATTATATAATTATACCAAAGGATGTCAAATCTCTGCAAACATTTTATTATGAATGGACAGCAAAAAAGAAACAATCTTTGAACTGTGTTCTTTGAAAGCAATTTTTAGTGTAGTATACCCGAGCTAACTGTATTCTGTAGGCAGATACTAGAGAATTTCTCCTGAGTGCAGTTGGCTTGTGTTTGATCTTCAGCCTTTCTTGGGTTTGGCTATTTTGGCCTGTGTTCCCAGCCAGAGATGCCATGTGATTTAGAACAGGTCAGAATGGGTGTTTCTGTTTGAGAAACAGTGTGCCTGAGACTCAATTTTAAACTTGAGTTGGCTTCTTGATTTTCAGTAAGAAGCTTTTCCCTGCATTGCCGTTCCTCCTCCTCCTCCCCTCTTCCTCCCTTTTCTCTGCCTCCTTTCTTCATCTTCCTCTTCCTTGTCCCTCCTCCCCCTCTTCTTCTTCCTCCTCCTCCTCTTCATCCTTTAAACAACCTTTAGATAGCCCATGCTTCTTCAAGAACAACTTCAAAGAATTTGCTGTTCTTTTAACACGCAATTAACTATTAATTTGTATTTTGCTTTGCCACCAAGGGTAACTGGTGGCATTTAATAGTCAGGAGCCTTAGTGAGACACATATAGGATTTTTGGGTAAAATCTCAGAAGAGAACTCCTTTTTACATGCTGTTAATGTTTTTCATATGTGTGGGAAGAAGCAGAAGCATTTTTCAGAACTTTATTTAGGGTTTTGTTTTTTTCTTTTTTGCCACTCGTTACCTTTGTAGATCTGTTTTTTACAGCTGAGAATTACAGGCCTAATTCTCTAATATGTCAACTTTAGATTATTCAAAGAGTTAACTACTTATTCTTTGTGTTCAGTTAGGAGTCTTGCTGTTCCTGCTTTATGCTCTTTACATCCTAGCCCTCTCCAGCACCACTCTTCAAAGAAAAGACTGAGTAGGAGAAAAAGAGAAACTCAATGCCATTTTGCTTATTTTTTTCCCCAATAATACTGTAGCAAAAGATTTGGTAAAGGTGAGGATAAAATAAGACTTTGAAAAAGTGATCTGCGGATATAATTTATCTAATTTTAGATAACAAGGTATGTACCTGAATTGTGTTTGTTTAGCTCCATGGGAGCTGCAGTGGGCCAACTTTTATGCTAAGGATAAAGCATGAGACCTTTTGCAATGCTGCTCCTGAGATAGCAGAAATATTTACAATGATGCCTAGAAAGGAGAAATGCTTATGTTTCTAAGGTTACTTATTTTTTAAAAAAATATTTACAATGAAAGTGATCTGGCACAGAATTGCCAGGAATGCATTTGCTCCTTTTTTGTTTTAATTCCTTGTTGAAGAATTTAAAAGATATTGATATTCTTCCATAGAGATTTTTTTTTGGTGAATGCTTTAAAACAAAAACAACAAAACTAAACCCGTCAGCGAGTGATTGCTTTCCTTAGGAAAATGCTTCTAGGAGCTATGCGGGGCTAGATAAATGGAAACCTTGTTTGTGTCGTGTAGCAAGCACGATCTGTTTTCATTTTTCTGTATGTACAGACAGTGGTAAATAGGATGTGGCTGCGGCAGGGGAAGCAAATAGTAAAAAACACGCTAACAAATGTCAGCGTTTCTGCCTTCACACCTTCACTCATTTATTCTGAAAGTGAGTGTAGAAACCAAAGCGTTTTTAGCTGTTTTATTTCAGAACTTTAAAATATCTCATATAGTTTTGTAGTAATTTCCCTATTCCGCTGTTAGTTTTCCTATTCTGTATATCCATACGTAGATTCCAGCCACTCAAGAAAAAATATGGGCAAAAATGAAAGCAGTATTCTGAGATAGTGACAGAAAGATGCAAATGGCTTTTGTACTGCTTTTAAAACTCTTTGGTAATTTTAACCTCAAACTATAAATCAAAAGCCTGTTCTAAAGCATCAGGCTAGAGCAGCTGCATCAGCAAAACCATGTGGATTAGAAGCCCAGTCTGTCAGGGAGTAATATCACTTGGATCCAGCATTATGTGAAATGATTAACTGTCTACTCTTTGCAGAAGTGGTTATTGTTAACTAAGCATACAGTTTTTTCAGAATGCAACTAGAAATATTGAATCTGAAGTTTCTGCTCATATTAATCATAATGTATAGTTTTTTTCTAAAGTCTTTCTTACTTTAGACTTTGTTACATTCAGAGTATCCTCAATGATCCGAGCTAGTTAATGAGGAATTATAGCTATTATTTTTGGTCTTAACCATGCTGCTGATAACTCTGAATAACAGAGCTGCCTGAGGGTTTCTCTATGTAAGCTCATTAATCTAGGTTTGAAGCATGGTCCTCTTATTGGCTTTTGGCGTTGGGCGAGTCATTTAACCTCTCTGGCACTCAATTTGATTGTCAGTTAAATGAGGACAATGATACTTTCTAAATTGTGGGTTTTTTTTGAGAAGTAGGTCTGAGAACATAGTGTGAAAGTCTCCAGCAGAATGCCTGGTGTGAATTAGTCACTCAATTGTTTTCAGTAAACTCAAAGGGTTTTTATTAACAATTTTAGTACATTTTATAGAGAACCTTCCTTCCTTCCTTCCTTCCTTCCTTCCTTCCTTCCTTCCTTCCTTTCTTTCTTTCTTTTCTTTCCCGGGGAAAATATATCAGACATTTCTCTGGAAGTTGCTAACCACCTAGTTCCACTCAAGAGTTTTTAATGAGAGCTTTGTGTGAAACTGAAAGGCAATTGGTCCTTCAGACTTGGTTGTAGAGAACTATTGTTTGCTGCCTCCAGGCGCTGAACAGCCTTGTGGGTGATTGTATAGAAAGTAAATACTGTGCTGTATAGAAATTAAATAAACTGCTGAGAATTAATTGAGATTCATGCCACACAGAACAGATGTAGACCTTGGGGCTGGGGCCCTCTGGTCAGACGCCCTGGGGGAGCTGGCCTCCCTGCCTGTCAGCTCAGGGAACTGTGTCTTCCTTCACCTGCCCTTGTCACCACCCAGGCCAAGGCTCAGTGTCCACTTGAACCCTCACAGGACTACCAGTTTCTGCCTCCCTTGGCTGGGAGCTCGCCATTGATTCCAGAACATCAGTTTTGTTGTGTGGTCACTATGATTACATTTGAGAGAATATGGGCTTTGAAATTAAATTACACAGCTGGGGCAACATAGCACATCCCATCTCTACAAAAGATTTAAAAAATTAGCTGGGCATAAGATTTAAAAAATTAGCTGGGCATGGTGACATGTGCCTGTAGTCCCAGCTACTGGGGAGGCTGACATAGGAGGATTGACTGAGTCCAGGAGGTGGAGGCTGCAGTGAGCCATGATTGCTCCACTGTACTCCAGCTTGGGTGACAGAGCCAGACCCCTCTCTCAAAAAAAAAAAAAAAAAAAAAAAAAAGAAAGAAAGAAAAAAAGAAAAGCAATTAAAGACTCACTTTTTGTTTTTCTCTTTACTTATCAAATTGGTAAATATAAACAAGAGATTGATACTGCCCTGTATTGTAATGCTTGTTGGGAATAATACACTTTGCTGCTGGAAATGGAAAATAATATACTCTTTCAGGAAGAAAATTTGACCATGTGTATATGGTGTGTCAGTTTTTATTCCTAGAAATATTTTTTGCCTTAAATTTTGTTTTATCTGATGTTAGTTCTGCCATGCTAGCTCTCCTTTGATAAGTATTTATGTGAAATAACATTCTAGATTCTTTTATTTCCATTATTTTGATATAGTTTTAGTTTATGTATAGCTTATAAGAGCAGTGCATTCAATATATGCCTGGATTGTATTTTTAAACCCAACCTGATAATGTCTTTAAATAGGTGTGTTTAATGCTTTTATATTTATATTTATTGGGATTACTGGCATATTGGGACTAACTTCTACTCTCTTAAATTTGGCCTTTGGTTTTCTGCAGTATTCCCCCCTCTTTTTGCTAAAGCTTATATTTCTATTCTTCATGGTTACCTTTAGATTTAAAAAGTATATAATTAACTATAAAATTTTAATATATAAAATTATCCAGTATTTCTATATTCCTTCTAAACATGATAAGGATCATAAAAAGTTAACTACCCATTCAACCTGGGTGCCCACATTATTATTATCTGGAGTTTTACATATTTTTATTTTCAAAAAATTTCAAATGCCAATGTTGCTGGAATATAATGAACCGTCACATATTTTTCACTGGAATTCACCATTTGTTAATATTTTGCCACATTTGCTTTCTCTCTCTCACTCTCTCTCACCATACACTTATCTCTGCAACATAAAAAAAATAAAAAATGCAATAGAAAGCAATGGATGAGTACTTCCATAATAAATCTATCTGTGTATGTGAGTTTAATCCATTTGTATGTATTGTTTTTGCTGATATAGTTGAATTAATTGCTTCTTATTTTAGTGTATCTCAGTCCAAGAGCTGACATCATAATTAATGTGGAAACAGTGGAAATATCCTTATTAAAGTCGGGGAAAAATAAGGATTTATATCATCACCATTAAAAAAAAAAGATTAGAGCTCTTTAAAAAAAAACTGCACATTTTGAGATAGATTCACATGCACTTGTAAGAAATGATACAGAGATTCCAGATACAGAACATTTCTGGCACTTTAAGGATCATGTTTCCCTTTTATAAAAACACCTACCTTCTTCCCCTTACCTCCTTCCCTAACCCCTGGTAACCACTAATCTGTTTTCTATTTCTATAATTTTGTCATTTTTAAGAATGTTTATAAACAGAATCATACAGTGTGTAATCACCATTGTTATTTAATATAGTTCTTAAGATAACAGCTAATACAATAAGAAAAAAATTTAGGAGTATAAATTAAGAAAGAGGTAAAAATTTTATTATTTGCAGATATTATTATTATTGAAGGACATATTAATTGAAGACAATATGATGGTATACTAGAAAACTCAAGATAATCTAATGAAAAACTATCAAACAATAAGTAAATTTAATGAGTTGTCTGAGTACAGTATACAAAAAAATTTTAACTACACTTTTGTGAATAAAAACCAGTTAGAATATAAAAAGGAAGCAAAGTTTATTTACAAAAGCAACAAAAATAAAGCTAAAGATAAACTTAATGAGACATGTGCAAGGTCTACAAGAAGAAAACTTAGCCACTCAAAGACTTAAAGGAAAACTTGAACGAATTCAAAGGCATAGTACATGCTTCGATGTAAATGCTCACCATCATAATGATTAACCCTTTCTTATGTTAATCTACTGATTTAACATGTTCCAAATAAAATTGCCAATAGGATTTTTTTTTCAGAACTAAAGAAGCTGATTCTAGAGTTCATACTGAATTAACAAGCAGAAATAACCAATCAAATTCTGATAAAGGAGTAATAAAGGTGGTTTACTAACCCAATGGGATAATAAATCTTCTTATACAACTATAATAATAAAAATGGTACTATTGCATGAACAGATAAACAGATTAATGGACAGATTTTAAAACTCCAGAAATAAATCCACATACCTCCAGAGTTGATATATGATAAAGGCACTATCTCAAATCATAGAGAAAAGATGGATGTGTCAGTAAAATTATGGATATTTATTTTAAAAATGTTTTTTCAGCTTTATTTGATGCCTTTTACCAAAAAATTTAAACCAATAAAGTTTTTTTAAAGACCATAAAAATATTAGAAAGAAAACTATGGGGATTTAAAAAAAAATTCTGGAGTTAGGAAGTCACAAAAGAAAAGAATAATTAACTTGATTACATACAAAATTTCCACATGGTAAAACTACCAAAAACAAAATTAAAAGACAAATAACAAACTGCGAAAATACTGACAATTCATTTTATAAGTAGAGAGTTAATTTCACCGGTATAGAAGGGCTTCAACAAATCATTAAAAAAAAGATCCACAACTTGATAGAAAATTGGATGAAGAAATAGTTGATGAAAAACAGTTCACAGAAAAGGAGATTCAGATGGCTTATATGAAAAAATATTAAAACTTGGACATATTAAGAGAAAGACAAATAAAACTATAGTTAGATACAATGTTTTCATCAGATTATCAAAGATAAAAAGTCGCAGGAATATAAATTGCTACAGCCTTTCTGCAGGGCAGTTTGGCAATATCTATCACATTGCAAATGCAAATCCAGCAATTCTACTTCTGTGAGTTTGCCCCAGTCATATCCCACATGTGTGAACAGATATATGAATAAAGTTATTGTTTTTTGCAGCATTGTTTGTAATAGCAAAGGGTAGAAAACAATCTGCATAGCCACCATTGTGGAAGTAGTTAAATGGAGAATTGTATATCTTTTCATGGACAACTTACAAAACCACTTAAAAAAACGACAAACAAATTTTTATGTACTGATGTGGAACAATTTCTGAGATACATTTTTAAGAAAGAGAATTTACAATGCAAAGCAATTGCTGAACAGTTTTGAAAACAAAGAACAAAGTTAGAGGCTTACGCTACTTGATTTCAAGACAATGTAAGGGATAGCAATCAAGATAGTCTGGTACTGACATAAAGATAGACATCAATGGAACAACAAGAGAATTTGGAGATGGAAACACATATATACATTATCCTTAGCAAACTAACACAGGAACAGAAAACCAAATACTGCATGTTGTCACTTTTAAGTGGGAGCTAAATGCTGAGAACATATGGACCCATAGAGGGGAACGACAGACAGTGGGGCCTATCAGAGGGTGGAGGGTGGGAGGAGGGAGAGGATCAGAAAAATAACTAATGGGTTTTAGGCTTAATACCTGGGTGACGAAATAATCTGTACAACAAACCCTCATGGTACAGGTTTATCTATATAACAAACCTGCACATGTACTCCTAAAAGGAAAATAGAAGTTTTTTTTAAAAATCTGCAATGAAGAAAAAAAAGAGAAACACGTATATAATTAATTGATTTTTATAAAGGCATCAACATAATTCAATGGGAAAAATTATAGTCTTTTCAACAAATGGTGCTGGAACAACTGGTTATCTGTATGGGAAAAAAGTAAAACCTGACTTGAATCTCACATCATCATGAAAATTGTTTTGAAGTGGAACATAGACCTAAACATAAAAGCTAAAATTATAAAACTTCTAGAAGAAAACATAGGAGAAAATCTTTACAACCTTGACATATGCAAACATTTTTTAGACAGTATATTTCTTAGCATAAACCATAAAAAAATTTTAAAAAGATAAATTGGACTTTATAAAGATCAAAACTCTCTGCTCATCAAAAGACATTGTGAAGAACATAAAAACTAGGAGAAAATATTCATCACAAATATATCAGAAAAGGACTTGTATCCAGAATACATAGAGAACTCTCACAACCACAAATGAGGAGACAAACAATTCAATTAACAAACAAAAGAGTTAAACTGGCACCCCACCAAACAAGATACACAGATGGCAAAAACACATATGAAAAGATGCTGAATATGATTAGTTATTAGGGTAATGAAAATTAAAGCCACAATGAGATATCACTTCATAACTACCAAAATGGCTAAAATTTAAAAGATTGATGTTACTAAGTGATGGTAAGGATATGGAGTAACTGGAAAGCTCAAACATTTGTAGTGGGAATGCAACCTCTTAGGAAAAGAGGTTGACAATTTCTTAAGTTAAACATATATTTACCAATTGATCCAGTAAACCCATTCCTAGATATTTACCCAAGATAACTGAAAACATATGTCTGCACAAAGGCTTGTAACTGAAAGTGTATAGAAGCTATATTCATGATAACCTCAACTGGAAACAACTCAAATGTCTGTAAATATGTGAATGGGTAGAGAAGTTATGGTATGATATATCTCTTAAATATACCATATACCTACCACACATCCATATAGGATGAAATACCACTGATCAATGAAAAGGAATAAGCTTTGTGACACATACTACACAAATGAGTCTCACAGACTTTATGATGAATGAAGGAAGCCAGATTCAAAAAACCACCTGTTATGTGATTCTCTAAATAAAGTTCTAGAATAGACAGAAGTATTCTATGGTGATAGAAATCAGATCAGTGGTTGCCTAGGGCAGGTGGTGAGGGAGCAGAGTTGGAGATTTATTGAAAAGATCACAAAGGAACTTTTTGGGGTGATGGAAACATTCTATATTTTGAGTACGTTATGGTGGTTACATGGGTATATACATTCGTCAAAAGTTGTCAATTGGCTGGGCATGGTGGCTTACACCTGTAATCCCAGCACTTTGGGAGGCTGAGGGGGGGTGGATCTCTTGAGGCCAGGAATTTGAGACCAGCCTGGACAACATGGCAAAACCCCATCTCTACAAAAAATATAAAAATTAGCCAGGTGTGGTGACACACACCTTTAGTCCCAGCTACTCAGGAGGCTGAGGCAGGAGGATCAATTGAGCCACTGCACTCCAGCCTGGGCAACAAAGCAAAACCCTGTCAGAAAAAAAAGTAATTGACCAATATCCTTAAACTGTACGAATTTCCTTGTATATAAATTATATTTCAATAAAAGCAAATTGCAGAAGAGTGTGTGTAGATTTCCACCATTCTACCACTCACATAATTGTTTTTGAAATTATATGCAAGAAACTAGTGATGCTGGGAAGCTCCAGGGAGAAGAACTAGATGGCTGAGGAAGAAACTCTGTACTCTATATCTTTTGAATTTTGTACCTTGTTAATATTCAAACAGTTAAAATATTTTCCATGTTTTCTTATCCATTTTTTAATTCTCTACTTTTGGAGTTCTTTTTAGATGTATTTTGGAGCCTCTAAGTCTATCCTTCTTGTCTCTTCATTGCTTTTTCATTCACTCTGACCTATGTTAGGGTAAATTCCTCACTACTAGCTTCCAATTCTTTAATTTTCTTTTTAACTATATCCAGGCTAGAGTTTATACCATTTATTGGTATTTTTACAAAAAAAAAAGACTATATTTTTCACTTCCAAGGTTTCTAATTGGTATTTTTCCTATCCATCTGTTCTTTTCTAGTTTTGCATGCTTTTATTTAAAAGTGTGTTGCCACTGCTTGCATGTTTGTGAAAGCTGATATTCTTCTTGATTGAGCTGAGCATCCTAAACATACTTATTTTAAACTTTTGTCAGATTTTTCAATAAAATTAGTCTTGGAATGAAGTAACATTCTAATTATTGCATTGGTTGACTGTTTCTCTTAGCCTTTGACTTCAGTGTGTATTTTGGAATTTTGGTTTACTGGTGTATTTTCAGTAGAAGGTTTTTGGTTTGGTTTTGCTTTTCTCTTTCTTTTTGGCTTGCCCTTCTCTGCCTAGTGACTTTGCAGTAACCTTCAGGACCTGGTCTTCTAGAAGCATTTGGCTCTTACTCTTCCCAGTAGTATGTGGACTATTCAGACACTGAACCATCAGAGGTCCAGCTCATTTGCTATTTGCTAGAGTGTGTCACTCTCCTCCCATCTTCTTAGGCCAGCAGCTAGTTTTATGCTATAGCTCCAGCCAGTGGTTGTTAGTTTATTTCAGTCTCCTTTCTGCAGCCAAGGAGTTCCACTCCCGCCCCTGGCTTTAAACAATGAATGGGCTCTGGCTGCTCTCTCAGGGGAGCACCTTGAGTTCCTATGTCCTGTAGGAGATGCACACCCAGCACCACTGCCACCTACTTTAAGATGGAAGCCCACCATTTCCGGCCTGCCATCCTGCTCACCGCCCTGTGTTCATTCATGGAGATGTTCATCTTGGTTTTGAGCTCTGCTGTGTCCTTTTTGTTTCTTTTTCTCTCTCTCTCCCTCTCAAATAGTTCTCCCTATTTTTGCTTTGTGTTTGGCATGGGGGAAAGGGGTGCATCTCACCTTCATCTTTTTCTTTAAATCAACTTTAAATAGAGTCACCTTTCTTACTTAGAATTATCTGAACAAATAATGTCCATAGACTTGTGAGCCAGTTGTCGTAGGTTTGTTTGTTACATTTTTAAAATACCTAACAAATGAAAGATTTTGAAATGTTGCCTCCAAATCATATTCAACACCATTATTTCTCAAATGTAATGTATATGTGAACCACCTTGGGAATGTAATTAACATGCAAGTAGTGATTCCGGAGGTCTGGGGTAAGACCTGAGGTTCTGTATTTCTAGTAAGCTCCAAGATGATGCTGATAGTGCTGGCTGGGAAGCTGTACTTTGAGTAACAAGGTGTGTACCACTCTTGGAGAAACAGGACCAGAGGAGAAACACATTGCCCATGACTATGGCTTCATAGTCATGGGCAGTGCTGAGACTTGAACGCAGTCCCTGCAGAGCACAAGCACTGGGCTACTCTGTGCCCTGTTGATGTCTTCTGCCTTCAGCCTGAGACCCTGGTGTGAAGGACAGACACTGTCATAGTTTCATTGTTTTTATTCCCATGCAGCCTATCGTATCTGATTTCTGTACTAGCTGTTGTACCGGAACACATTTTTTCTCAGGAGGGAAGCTCCTTTATAAAAGTGTTCCCTGCTGGTCTGCCACACCAGGTCAAGGTCCAGGCATGCCTGAGTCTTAGATAATGATTTATCCTCAAGCTGGAGCCTTGCTTCTGAGTTCTGTGTTCCTAGGTGAGCTGTGTGCCTCACAGGCAGAGACCCCTTATTGTACGGATTCCCATTCCAAGTACCTAGCAGGCACTCTGGAACTATACAGGATACATGTTGGCCTTTTTCTCCAGCACCTTGCTAAACAAAACGTACAAGGCATGAAAATTTGAATACCTTATCTTTGGGCACAGTCTACCCTAGAGTTAACCAGCAGCAGCCTTGAACGTCCAGAGACCTTAGCTCCTGATGTTTCAGAATGCTTGGGCAGGAAACCTTACCGAAAACCAGATATGCTGTGGTAAAGGTGGAAGTCCAGGTGATTCTTTCAGGTCCCAGGGCAATTTCTATCTAAATTTGTTTAAATTCCTTTTTCAAAGAGAGGTGTCTATCTTTCTGTGTATTTGAAGGCAATTTCATCGTGCAGAATTGTGATTTAATCAGGAAGGTGCTGTGTTTCTGTGAAATAAGCCAGTGGCAATTTAGCAGTAATGAGTCATTCATGGTGCTGAATTGCAATTTGAAATGCAGAGACATCTGTCGGTCTCCGTCAATCTGCAGTGGACCCTAAGGACAAGCCATCTTGGGAAAATGAGTCAAGAACTTCCGAACTCAACATTTAGGAAATGTTTGTTGTTTTTGTTTTTGTTTTTGCCAAAATTCATCCATAAAGGTGAGATTTGAGGTGTAGCAAAATGTCTTGGCTCTTCTGAATATTTTTCAAACCATTCAGTGTTTAACTAACATGGAGCTGCAATAGAGTAGAAAGCCCATCTGATGACAGAATTAACTACATCTGGATTTAGCTGTTGTATTAGAGTTCTCCAGAGGGACAGAGCCAATGGAATAGATACATATATATAAAGGGAAGCTTATTAAGTATTAACTCACAAGATCACAAGGTCCCACTATAGGCCATCTGCAGGCTGAGGAGCAAGGAGAGCCAGTCGGAGTTCCAAAACTGAAGAACTTGGAGTCTGACGTTCAAGCGCATGAAGCATCCGGCTAGGCCAGTCTCTCCTTTTCACGTTTTTCTTCCTGCTTACATTCTAGCTTTGCTGGCAGCTGATTGTGCCCACTCGGATTAAGGGTGGGTCTGCCTTTCCCAGCCCACTGACTCAAATGTTAATCTCCTTTGGCAGCACCCTCACAGACACACCCAGGATCAATTCGACATTGAGTTGACATTCAGTATTAACTATCACAGCTGTGGTGATGTTTTCTTTGAGGTGTTCTACCTTCCATTTTCCCTGGGCAGAAGCCATGAATGGCAAGGTTGTATGTACATGGTGTTCTGGAATCTGGAGACCACTCCCAGCTGTACGACTGTGTGCGGCTTAGACTCTCATGTTAGAATGGGGGACGCTGGACAACAAACCAAAACAGTATCAACAACACACCATAAGCAAAGAATTCCACCACAAAGGGAGCTTGATTAAAATGTCACTCAGGCAGGACCAACCCCAGAGATTGTGATTTAGTTGTTCTGAGATAGAGCCCAGGAGCCTGCATTTTTAACCAACCCCACCCATCTCTAACCCAGGTGATGTGAAGATCATCCCTTTGAGGAACCTCTGTGCGTAGAAAGGACTTAAATGGCTCAGCCTTCCCTTTGCAAATCCCGCACCCTCTTTTGTGCATAAAGCCCTTGAAACAAGACGGGGGTCAGGAGCCTGGCTGTCAGTTTCTGCAGCATCCCCTCTCTCTCCCCACCCAGTCGATGAGTTCCCCATTCCTCAGTTTCTCCTATTGTAAGGTGCATGATATGAACCCTTGCCACTGGAGAATGTTGTGGAAGCAAACGAGCACGTGTTAGTGAGAGAAAGGAGCAAGGAATTTTCATGAGACCAGATTTGTGATTTTATGGAGAATGATGACTGACTATGGCTTCTTTGAGATTTTTCAAAGGGCCCGGTATTATTACAAAAGAGGAAGATTTCACATATGGAAGGAATCAGCCCCCAGGGAGCTGGCATTTTTCTTTGTTGCTGTGTACAAGAAGTGGGTGTACTTGTCTGAGAATCTTGCCATTTTCAAGAAGTTTGGGGAATGAGAACCAAGTGCCTCTTGAGGGAGCAGAGGGCTGTAAGCCCATGTAGTTACCTGCGTTTCCCTTTGTGTGACTTCCTTTCCTAAAGGAGACAATGGGTCTGTAGAGGAATGTTACGTTCAGTGAGCACAGCTCAGATTTGCAAGGTCATGCCACTCTGCAATTCCTTTATGAGTGTTAAAAAAACAGCTAATGCCTTTTGACAGGAAGGGCATGAGAACCTGCTATCATATTAGTGAATTATCTGAGGGAAAGTGTATTCCTGAGCAAATCCTTCCAGGTCACACCCATGCTGGCCATTTCTGCCTTGGGAGCTCAGCAGTGCCAGTTTCATATGTACCCAAGCATAACAGACACACCCATGAAACAGGCTCTAGGTGCTTGGGAAAAGGCGATCATAGTTTCATTCGGAGGTAAAACCTGATTTATTTTCCAGCCAGTGAAAATATCAGGAAAGGAAGGTTTCATTTCCCCGTTTTTAGTTAAAAACATAAGCACCTTTTAAAAAACACAAATTTCCTAGCATGGAGTGGCATTCAACAGTTTTGCAGTTGAAATGATAATGAAACATTTCTTACAAGAACTTCTCTTTAAAATCACCATGATGGGTTCACAGCACACTATTAGAAGGAATTATGTAAAGCAGCCTCTCTGTTCCCAGTTTTATTTTAAGATTTAATTTATTCCAGATTCTGCAGGAAAAAACCACCCATGTGACAAGCCTGCTAACAGATGTCAATTTAGTTTTATAGCACATGCCTGCACTTCAGAGTCAGAAAATGGAGATTATTCTTTTTGCCTGCTGTTTATTACATGATGCAGCTTCATAACACTATGCCCCAGAGGCCAGCTGATTAATAACCTGTGGGCCACCAACTCATGCTTGCTTCTATCTGTCTTCTGCAGTGTTAAGTGTAAGCTTTCTTTCACATTACCCTTTTGGATTAAGAGAGGTGCTGGAAAGAGCAAAGGTGACAGAAAATGGATTTTTTTTTTGTTTTAATGTCATCTAGCTCAGAAGACAGATTATACTGTAGTATAAGTAGCGGAAGAGAAATAAGACTAAAAAAATAAAAATTATTAACTAGACAGTACCAGATTTATACTAAAATTTTTTTGTGGTGTTGGTGGGTAAAACAGTAAAACAAAGTAATTCTACATGATAAATATTATGTCAAATTCAACCATAATAAGAAACCTTCACTTCTTCATATTCACAGGGATCGTTTCTCTATGTTCCCATGATCTAGTAATTATCAGCTTATATGTACATTTCATTTCTGTTCACATCCCCATCCATCTTTCTCTCCATCTGTCTGTCTGTTCATCTATTCATCCATCCAATAAATATTTATTAAGCATCTTCTATGTGCAACGTCCTGTGCTTAAATAATAAATGTGGAAGGATAAAGAAGTCTCTTTTTAATTTTTAAAAATTTTAATTGAGGTAAAAATACACTTACCATAAAATTTATCAAAGTAACCATTTTTAAGTGTACAGTTCAGTAGTGTTAAGTACATTCACATTGTTGTGCATTCAGTCTCCAGAACTTTTTCATTTTGCAAAACAGAAATCCTGTACCCATTAAACAATAACTCCCCTTGCCCCACTCCTTCCTGGTAACCTCTAATCTACTTCCTGTCTCTATGAATTTGCCTAATCTAGGTACCTCGTGTAAGTGGAATCACACATTATTTTGTTGTTTTGTGTGTAGTTTATTTCACTTTGCATAATGTTTTCAAGGTTCATTGGGGTTGTAGCATGTGCCAGAACTGCCTTCCTTTTTAAGGCTAAATAATGTTCCATTGTATTAGGTTAGTACAAAAGTAATTGTGCTTTTTGCCATATGTATAGATTGCATTTTGCTTATCCATTCATCTGTCAATAAACACGGGAGTTGCTTGACCCCTTGACTATTATGAGTAGTGCTACTGTGACTGAGGTTGTACAAATGTCTCTTCAAGGCCATGCTTTCAGTTATTTTGGGTATGTTCCCAGAAGTGGAATTGTGGATCACATGGTGATTCTATTTTTAATTTTTTGAGGAACCACCATAACTGTTTTCCATAGCAGGTACATAATTTTACACTCCCATAAACAAGTCTTTTAAGATGTAGCTGAAAAGACAGAAGTATGTTGAGTGCTATAAAGAAAAAATACGGTGTGCTATGGAAATGTTTAATAGAGAAAGCTGGTCTCAGCTGTCATCGGTTCCCATATTTCTGATGCCTAGTCCACAGTGGAGGCTTGGTAAGTGTTGAGTGGGTGGGCGAATGAGCCATCCAGACCCTTGGTCATTAGACCTCTCTCCCTTGTTCCATTCCTGCTATTCAGCTGCCCTCCTTTCTATAGAATGGCTCTGGGGAGCGGTGAGAGGATTTGTTAGCTTCTTCTTGGTTGCCTCTGTTGTTTTCTGGCAAGATTATGGAAAAAATTTTTCTAGTAATTTTTTTTCTTATTCTGCATATGATGTAATATTCAGAGATGTTGGGATAGTTTTTACCAGATATGTCCCTGCCTTTTCTTTGGGGAGAAAAAGGGAACCTGCCTGTGGATGTAAGATGAAAGTGTAGTGTATGTAAGATAAAAGTGTAGTGGATATAAAAGTGTAGTCTTGTTAGGAAGAGGTGGGGTATTCAGGGAGAAAAATGTTCTTTCTATTCTTAGAGCATTGCTTCTATTTTCTAAAGAATTTTGTTCTTTAAAGACAGCAAAAAGGTCTCTTGCTCAGTTTCTCATTTGGCTTAAATCAGTAGCATTTTATGTTATATAGCTAGTTTAAATGGAAATTTCATTCTTGAGATTTTTCAAGAGAATTCCAGATATTTAAAATATATAGACATTATATTTGAAGACTTAAACTTCTTGTTCCTGATGTTATAAAAAAGAATCCGTTTATCAGATCCCCAAACTAATGAAAGACATAATTATTATTCTGTCCAATTTTTCATTTTGCTAGCAATTCAGGCAAAGAAAGAGGCTGGCCACAAAAAAATATCACAGCTCTTTCTTTAGAAACTTGTATTGGTTTTGAGGTTTGCTGTGGTGTTATTATTCTGATCAGCTAGAGGGATCAGTTGTTGGTCTGAAATGAGTCCTGAGGGTTTCTTATAATTACTCTGGTCTTGGTATTGGCACAGGAGAGCAATGTTAATGACATTTTCAAGATGCTGGCTTTGGGTCAGGTAGCAGGCATTGGGCCGTGGTGCCCAGTGGGAGTTGCTGGCTCTCAACCCAAGACCTGAATACCAACTTTACAACCTGTTTGTTGTGTGAATAGCAAGGTAAATTAAGTTCTTTGAGCCACATTCCATTTTTTCCATGAAATGGGGGTGATGATACCTTTCATGAAAGACTGTTGAGGGGATTAAAGACAAAAAGGACTATAAAAAAACTAGTACAGTGGCTGGCCAGTTACTCCCCACATGGGCACTATTTATTAAGTAGTTATTGGGTTGGATTTTTTTGAATTGTTTAAGGCCAATATACAATTACTGGGGATGAAGTATCATGGTATGGATGATTTGGTATATTTTATTGCCTTTCACTTTCTTAGTGATGGGGGAACTTCTATTAGTTTAACCATTTACTGCAGAAAGTGTTAAAGAGCGCCAATTTTCTGGATTGGATTCGGAAAGTATTTAAAACAGCAGCAGTGTGACTCTGATATCCAGACATCCCTTTAGTGCCCTTGGGACTCATCTTTCTCCATTGACAGCCATGGATGTAACTGGTGTGTGTTTCAAACAGTCCACCTGCCTCATGGCATTGGTAGGCATCTTGTTATTTAGTGATCTTTCCCCTGTGCATCTCCTGGGTGTAAGTATTTAAAGTCACACAGGCTTATTGAGGATATTATTGTGAAACAATGTAGGTGGTGAGTATTCACATCTTTGAAAATATTTTACTTAGTGACAGTTTGATACTTTTCACTACATTTGCCTTATGTCATTGTATTTCCCTTGAGGTTGAACTCCCTCTTTCTGATAACTTCCCTTATGTCATTTTGACTGCTTTTGGGGACATATCAAGTATAGCACCAAGTGTTGACTGAACTAAGTGCTCAGGAATATACTGGATAACCAAATTCTCTGACTACATGAAAGTGGTGTTGCTGCACACCTCTGTCTTTGTTGTTGTTACTCCCCCCGCTCCTTTTTTTTTTTTTTGAGACAGAGTCTCACTCCATCGCTCAGGCTGGAGTGCAGTGGTGTGATCTAGGCTCACTGCAACCTCTGCCTCCTGGGTTCAACCTCTACCTCCTGGGTTCAACCTCAGCCTCCTTAGTGGCTGGGATTACAGGTGTGAGCCACCACACCCGGCTAATTTTTGTATTTTTAGTAGAGACGGGGTTTCACCATATTGGCTGGGCTGGTCTCGAACTTCTGATCTCATGATCCACCCGCCTCGGCCTCCCAAAGTGCTGAGATTACAGGTGTGAGCCACTCAATGTGTTAAATGTAATCACCCCATTTGATGTGCAAGGTCTCAATTCAATTTCCCAACCTCTTTATTTTCCACTACTTTCCTATGGCTATCCTATGCTCTAACCTAACTAGATGGTTTTTCTTCCAACTTGCCTAAACTTTCTCATCTTATTTAGCTTTAATCATAAATCCTATTATCTTTAATATTTTCTCGTATCTGAACAAGTTAAAAAGTCACCCATCTTTCAAGTCCTATCCCAAATGCTGTCTCTTCCATAAAACCTTTCTCTAAACCATTTAATATTTTTAATCACATAAGTGGCATATGTTCACTGTAGAAAATTTATATAATAGAGAACTCCAAAGGAAAAAGGATGAAAATTAAAGTCACCTGTAATTCTGCTGCTAAGATAACTACTATTAATATAGATAATCTCAGGCCAGGCATGGTGGCTCATTCCTGTAATCCCAGCACTTAGAAAGGCTGAGGTGGGCAGATCACTTGAGCTCAGGAGTTTGAGACCAGCCTGGGCAACACAGTGAAACTTTGTTTCAACAAAAAAATTGAAACATTGGTTGGGTGTGGTGGCACAGGCCTGCAGTCCTAGCTACTTGGGAGGCAAGAGGATCGCTTGAACCCAAGAGGCCAATGCTGTAGTAAATCACAATAGCATCACTGCATGCATTCTAGCCTGGGTGACAGAGCAAGACCCTGCCTCAAAAAAAAAGAAAAAAAAAAAAGAAATCTCTGCTTCCACACTTTTCTCTCAGTGGTATATATATTTTAACAAAATTAAGGTGGGATGGCCATATATACTATTTTATAGTCTGAGTTTTTTTAACTTAAAATATCTTGAACATTTTTACATAGTATTAAACATTTCATCTACATATATTGCAACATTGTTTGTAATAGCAAAATTCTGGAAACAACATATTTGCTCTTTAATAGGGAACTGAATACGTGAAGTATAATAAAACCCATGCGATTGAATACCTGGTGACTATTGAAATACGTGGTATATATCTATATTTTGCTGATATGGAAAAATATCCAAGATAATTCGTTAAGGGCCCAAAGCAAAGGGCCAAACAGTGGGTTCATACAGCACATGCCTGTTTATGTACTCTGAGGCACAGGTCTTTGAGAAATGGTTTTGGGTAAAAGTGCTGATATAGTTTGGATATGTGTGTCCACCCAAATTGCATGTCAAATTGTAATCCCAAATGTTGGAGGTAGGGCCTGGTAGAAGGTAATTGGCTCATGTGGGCGGGTTTCTCATGTAATATTTAGCACCATCACTCTTGGTACTGTCCTCGCAATAGTGAGTTCTCATGAGATCTGGTCACTTAAAACTGTGCAGCACCTACTTCCTGTCTCTTGCGCCTGCTCTGGCCATGTGACATGCCTGCTTCTCCTTTGCCTTCTGCCACGATTGTAAGTTTCCTGAGGCCTTACCAGAAGCCAAGCAGATGCCAGCATCATGCTTCCTGGATAGCCTGTGAAACTGGGAGCCAATTAAACCTCTTTTCTTTATACACAGTGCAGTTTCAGGTATTTCTTTAGAGCAACATGAGAATGGACCAACACAAGTACTTTGGGTTTTGGGGTTAAGGGGTGTCTTTGGGTCAAGGCAATTTGGGTAAAGTTACTAGGGATTCTGGGGTGGGAGAAAGACACTTCATTGTCCTTTTGAAGAGTTTGAACATTTTTCTTACCATATGCACTAATATTTTATAGTTTTTCCATAAAATCTTATGAAATACTTATCTACAATGTAATTTGTAATGCCTACTTGTATTCTAATGAGTAAATGTATTGTACATTATTTAACCACTTCCCAATTGTTGGATATATAGATTATCTCCAGTTTTTTACTACCATAAACGGTACAGTCTTAAGGCTTTTTATATGCTTTGCTAAATTACCCTCAAGAGAGTTCGTACCATTTTACTCTACTGGGATTCTTCCAATGGATGTAATTGCTTACTCATTTGAATTCCCATAAAGCTTTGTTTTTGTGTCTTTTATCGAAGTTAGCTAGTTCCTTGCATCATAATTACCTGGGTACTTAGGGTATCTCTTTGATACACTATTTATCTGTCTGTATAATACACCATGTATCTATTTATACCAAACACTTTGAAATTTTTGAGATAGCAATTTTGTCATATTTGCCTTTTTCCATAGCAGCTCACAGCATAATGCCTAGCCCATGTGAAATGCACAGTAAATAAATACTGGATGCATTGAGATGAACTAGTTTTCATGCTGTTAGTGAGCATCTTTCTAAAATGAAATGATAGTAGTGAAACTTGTTCAGCTGGCTGAGTATGCTATGGTCATAACCTTGTTACAGACCACCATACTCTTTGTGGAACATCACTGTTTCCCAGGCTGAGTGCAAAGGCACAATTACAGCTCACTGCAGCCTTCACCTCCTGGGCTGAAGCGATCCTCCCACCTCAGCCTCCCAAGTAGCTGGTACTACAGGTGCATGCCACCATGACTGGCTCATTTTTCTATTTTTTGTAGAGATGACGTCTCACTGTGTTCTCCAGGCTGGTCATGAACTCCTGGGCTCAAGTGATCTTCCCACTTCGGCCTCCCAAAGTGTTAGTGTTTCAGGCATGAGCCACCATGAACAGCCTGTTTTTATTTTTAAAGTAAGATTTCCTATATGAATCTGTTCTCTTATAATGCAACTCCCTTATAATTGATCTGGAGAAAAAATTATTTTAGCATATTTTTAAGCAGTGTCCAAGGCAGTGCTTTGTGATAAGTAAGAGTTTTTCTATTATGGGTGAAATTCTGGTTAATTGTGAGTTTTCTCTTCAGCTAATGGCTATTATTTCAGACATGTTCTACTAAAGAATACATATTTGAGGACAAAAGTCTCTGGTCTCAGGCCTAGTACAGCCAGGCTCTAAAATTTCACAGAAAAATTAAACTTACCAAATTACCGATTATCACCACTATAGCCATCGCTTTCAGTCTCATCCCCTAATCTAGATTTTAATGCAAGCTGTTCCAAAGAGGAAAGTGCAGAGATAAAGTTTAGCCTCTTCTAGCTTTCGTGTAAAAAGTGATCATGTGTAGAGAAGCCTGAGGCATTAGCAAGGAACATAAACAGAAGGAATATTTCACCTGCAGGAGAGGTAGCATTCAGAATGCCCTTTTCACAATTCACACACGGGAACCAGAAATGAAAGACTCAGCATGCCTGTGAAATAATTACCTTGGCCTGAAAGAATTACAGAGCATAGGAAGGATAGGAATTTGGTCAATAGTGTTGTTACAAACAATGCTAAAAAACAAACACACTAATATCATCATCGGTGGCACTTTCAATATGCCTCTCCCTGACAATAACACAAACTTTTCTCTCTCATGGTTGGGCTTATAACAGGCAAAATTTGAGGAAAATTTATCATGTGAAGAATGCCAAACACCCTTCTTTTTGCTTCTTACACATTCCGTTATCAAGGATATTTTTTCTTGAATGTTTGGGGGTAAGCTGGAATAGTTTTGCATGGTTTAGTTCAGAATAGAATATTCCTATTTATAGTTTTTGACATGCTAAGATAAGTGTTTGTAATCTAAACAAATTGGTTTATTTATAAGAAAACTCTACATTGAGAAATCAAGATGTAGAATAAGAGATTATGGATTTAAAAAATCTTATATCCAAGTAGAAGAAGGTTTGTTGGGACAGCCAGACATATTAAAGGAACTTTAGATTTCTATAACGTTTTCCTGACAAAGATTTCTTTACTATAACTTAAACAGCACTTTCTTGAGGGCCTTTTCCATTTAGAGTGAATTTAACAATCATAGATTTAATATGGGGTAGCAATTTCCAAGAAATTATTGGACAGCAAAGGATAAATGAGTCCTGTTCCCTAGGCAACCTCATGGAGGGGTATAACATTCTTCAGGCTCCTAAAATGAAGTTTAGAGTTGCTACTATTTTTGGTTTCAGCTTCCTCTGGAAATGGTTTTTATTCCTTGAAATTATTCTTGTATATAATGAAGTCTGAGCTCTTTCCAATTCTTTTCCCTGTAACGTTAGTCCTGTATGTAACAGCATCTCCCTCCTTTGATCTCAGCATGTATGGCTATAAGAGGAAAGGCTGCCCTGGAAATAAGATCAAATTGGGGATAGCAACGAATCTCATGAGAAGCGAGGGAAGAGCAGGGACATTTGCAGCCATTTGTCAGGCTTTTGTAATTTCACGAAGAAAAGCGCTCTGGGCTTTTCTGACCCACGCAATCTTTTGTGATTTTTTTTAAAAGCTAATGTACTATAGGACACTCAGCTTTAGGTGGAAAACATTTTAAATAGAAAAAATGTTGGAATGGGTGCATTTCTGATTCTTTCAGTAGGCTTCTTGTGTGAGTGCCAAGTGCCATCTATTTGGGTGTGGCAGCTTCTATGTGGTTCCCCCAGGATTGTCATTCTTCTTATCTGCCACCTTTCTCTTGGCCCTTTTTCCCTTGTTCTTTTTGCCCTAATTCTATTTGTATTATAATGGTGTTTTTTTGTTTGTTTTTTGTTTTTCTTTTGTTTGTTTTTCCCCCACTAGGCTGGCAGTGAATACTGAGTGATTGCAATTTTAGGAACACTCATTCCCTAAGGAAGGTGCACTGGGAAATCCCTGCAGAAGGGCCAGGTGTCGGCAACCTTTCAGAAATGGGGGGAGGTCCTGCTGCTGACCCCCACCTCTTCAACATGTTGGAGCTGGTGGTATCTTGTGGCCTAGAAAGTCCAAGGGACTTCTGAAAGGCCTTCCAATGAAAATATCTCTTTAGCGTATTCTACCAGTTAGATTCATTTGAGCTATTGAGCTAATCTTTGAAAAAGATATTCCTCTCTGGGAGACTGAGTTTATTCTTGACAGAGTACAAGTCATGTAATGTTTTTTGTTTGTTTGTTTTTAAGACACAGCCTCACTCTTTCACTTAGGCTGGAGTGCAGTGGCGTGATCACAGCTCACTGCAACCTCAAACTCCTAGGCTCAAGGGATCTTCCTGCCTCAGCCTCCTGAGTAGCTGGGACTATAGGTACATACCATCACACCTGGCTAATTTTTGATTTATTTATTTTTAATTTTTTTTGGTAGAGATGAGGGTCTCACTGTATTGCCCAGGCTGGTCTCAAACTCCTGGCCTTATGCAATCCTTGGGCCTTGGCCTCTTAAAGTGCTGGGATTATAGGCATGAACCACCACACCTAGGAAATCATGTAATCTTATTGGTTTCTCACATAGTTGTTCATGATGCTTGGCTAAAAGAATGGAAGCTGGCTGAGGTGGAAAGGGAGAAATGTTGGTGTATGGCTTGGTGTGTGCATTCTACAATAACAGCTGTGGCCAGAGGGCATCTGACAATGAATGCTGTGGCTGGGAAGGCACAGGAGGTGGGAGAGAAATGCAGAGGAAAGGAGAGACACTTGGGGATCATTTGCCTTCTTTGCCATTTTGGCTGAGGATATAGACATGTCTGTCTGCAGAGGTTCATGGTATGATTTCCTCATGCAGGTGAACCATACATTGTTAATTAATGCTTGTTATATATTAACTACTATCTAGTTCATACTCTATGCCATAGGTAAAGAAGAGAGATTGAATTTTTTTGTTGTTGTTTGCTTTTACTGGATAATACTGAGAATTATTTAGGTATTCTGTAAACACTTTTTGAAGGCCTCCTGTCAGTCAGGAACTCAACCAAGGACAGGGAATGCATGCTGAAGGTCCTTGCCCAAAAAGACATCATGGTCTCTAGGAGGAGACAAACATTTGTTTGAAGATTATATAATAAAGTACTTGGTGCCACCACAAGGGAAGCAGAAGAGAGGTAGCTTATTTGGCTTGGGGAGTTAAGGAGGGGGCATAGAGGAAGTGATATTTCAGATGGTTCTTGGAAGTTGAATAGGAATTTACCAAAGGTAGAAGAAGGAAGGGGAAATGGTAAATGCAAGGGCATAGAGGCAAGAGAAAGAATGAGAAATTCTGAGAAAGGTAAAAAACTCAGCATGGCTGGCACAGAGGGTAATTTGTAGAGGGAGCAAGGACATGAGGCAAGAAAGGGGGGTTGGGCTTAGGTTTTGAAGAGCTGGAGTGGCTGTAAAGGCATTCAGATTCATATGCAGTTGCAGGGAGCCAGCAGGGGACTGAAATAACTAGGTTCAAAATTAGATAGATAATTCTGGAAACATTGTGGAAGGTGGACAATTCCAAGCTAAGATCTCTTGAGAGAGTAGACATAGGTCATTAAAAATATCAGGCAAGCAGACAGGCATGGTGGCTCACACCTGTAATCCTGGCACTTTGGGAGGCTGAGGTGGGAGGATCACTTGAGCCCAGGAGTTTGAGACCAGCCTGGGCAACATGGTAAAGCCCCGTCTCTACAAAAAATACAAAAATTAGTTGGGTGTGGTGATGTGCGCCTGTAGTCTTAGATCCTCGGGAGGCTAAGGTGGGAGGAATGGTTGAGCCTGAGAGGTGGAGGTTGTAGTGAGCCAAGATGGCGCCACTGCACTCTGGCCTGGATGACAGTGAGGCTGTCTCAAAAAAAAAAAAAAAAAAGAAAGAACGAAAAGGAAAAAAAAAAAAAAAGCTACCAAAATGTAAAATGTGGGTGGGCATGAGGGACCTTTACTTTTTGCTTTATACGTTTCTGCCTTAGTTGTATTTTTACAACCAATTATTTTTAACTTAAAAAAAATTTTTTTATGTCAATAGTTTTTGGGGAGTGGGTGATTTTTGGTTACATGGATAAGTTCTTTTGTGGTGACTTCTGAGATTTTGGTGCACCCATCTCCTGAGCAGTGTGCACTGTACCCAATATAGTCTTTTATCCCTTATACCCTCCTACCCTTTCTCCTGAGTCCCCAAAGTTCATTGTATTATTCTTATGCCTTTGCATCCTCATAGCTTAGTCCCACTTATAAGTGAGAACATCTGATGTTTGGTTTTCCATTCCTGAGTTACTTCATTTAGAATAATGGTGGCTCACGCCTGTAATCCCAGCACTTTGGGAGGCCGAGGCAAGCGGATCACCTGAGCTCAGGAGTTCAAGACCAGCCTGGCCAACATGGTGAAACCCTGTCTCTACTAAAAATACAAAAATTAGCTGGGCATAGTGGTGGGCACCTGTAATCCCAGCTATTTGGGAGGCTGAGGGAGGAGAATCGCTTGAACCCGGAAGGCAGAGGTTGTAGTGAGCCGAGATCATGCCACTGCACTCCAGCCTGGGCAACAGAGCAAGACTCCATCTCAAAAACAAAACAAAAGGCTCCAACTCCATCCAGGTTGCTGTGAATGCCATTATTTTGTTCCTTTTTATGGTTGAATAGTATTCCATGGTGTATAGATACCACATTTTCTTTATCCACTCGTTGGTCGATGGGCATTTAGGATGGTTCCATAATTTTACAGTTGCGAATTGTGCTGCTATAAATGTATGTGTGCATCTGTCTTTTTCATATAATAACTTCTATTCCTTTGGGTAGATACCCAGTAGTGGGATTGGTGAATCAAATGGTAGTTGTACTTCTAGTTTTTTAAGGAATCTCCATATTGTTTTCCATAGTGGTTGTACTAGTTTACATTTTCACCAGTACTGTAAAAGTGTTCCCTTTTCACCACATCCATGCCAACATCTATTACTTTTTAATTTTTAAATTATTGCCATTCTTGCAGGGGTAAGGTGGTATCTTATTGTGGTTTTGATTTGCATTTCTCTGATAATTAGTGCTGTTGAGCACTTTTGCATATGTTTGTTGGCCATTTGTATATCTTCTTTTGAGAATTGTCTATTCGTGTCCTTAGGCCACTTTTTGATGGGATTATTTGTTTTTTTTTTCTTGATGATTTGTTTGAGTTCCTTGTAGATTCTGGATTTCAGTCCTTTGTCAGATGCATAGTTTGAGAATATTTTCTCCCACTCTGTGGGCTGTCTGTTTACTCTGCTGATTATTTCTTTTGCTGTGCTCATGTTCTTTGCCCACTTTTTAAAGGAGAAAAATCAAATCTCATTGCAAGAAAATTTTGTGCTTTAGCAGAAAACACTTAAAATCTCCATTTGAAAACCTAGAAATAAAGCCAAATACTTACAGCCAACTGATCTTCAATAAAGCAAACAAAAGCATAAAGTAGGGAAAGGACGCTCTATTCAATAAATGGGGCTGGGTAAACTGGCAAGCCACATGTGGAAGAATGAAACTGGATCCTCATCTCTCACCTTATACAAAAATCAACTCAAGACAGATCAAAGACTTAAATCTCAGACCTGAAACCATAAAAATTCTAGAGGATAATATAGGAAAAACTCTTCTAGACATTGGCTTAGGCAAAGAATTCATGACTAAGAACCCCCAAGCAGATGCAACAGAAACAAAAATAAATAATTGGGACCTAATTAAACTAAAACCCTTCTGCACAGCAAAAGAAATAATCAGCAAAGTAAACAGACAACCCACAGAGTGGGAGAAAATATTCATGAACTATGCATCCAACAAAGGACTAACATCCAGAATCTACAAGGAACTCAAATCAGCAAGGAAAAAAAAATCCCATCAAACAGTGGGTGGTAAAGGACATGAATAGACAATTCTCAAAAGAAGATATACAAACGGCCAACAAATATATGAAAAAATACTCAACAACACTAATTATCAGGGAAATGCAAACCAAAACCACAATGAGATACCACCTTACTCCTGCAAGAATGGCCATAATTTAAAAATTGAAAAATAATAGATGTTGGCGTGAATGTGGTAAAATGGGAACACTTTACACTGCTAGTGGAAATGTACATTAGTTCAACCACTATGGAAAACAGAATGGAGATTCCTTAAAGAACTAGAAGTAGAAATACCATTCAATCCAGCAATCCCACTACTGGGTATCTACCCAGAGGAAAAGAAGTTATTATATGAAAAAGACACATGCACACACATTTATGGCAGCGCAATTCACGATTGCAAAAATATGGAACCATCCTAAATGCCCATCGACCAACTAGTGGATAAAGAAAAGGTGGTATGTATACACCATGGAATACTACTCAGCCATAAAACGGAATGAAATAATAGCCTTTGCAACAACTTGGATGGAGCTGGAGGCCATTATTCTAAGTGAAGTAACTCAGGAATGGAAAACTAACTATCTCATGTTCTCACTTGTAAGTGGGCTAAGCTATGAGGATGCAAAAGCATAAAAATGTTATAATGGACTTTGGGGACTTGTGGACGGGGGAATGGGTGGGAGGAGGGTGAGGGAGACAAGACCACATACTGGGTACACCAAAACTTCAGAAATCACCACTAAAGAACTTATCCGTGTAACCAAAAACCACCTGGACCCCCAAAAACTATTGAAATAAAATAATAATAATAAAGCTCTGTTGAATGATTTATTTTTAAAGGAAATACTCATTCCTAAAGTATTTAAAAATTCCTATAGGGCTTGGTATAAACAAAATTTGAACTGGGTTTTTGTCTAGAAAGAAAATGGACATATGTCTCATTCTCCACAAACAATGAAATCTGTTTTTGCACTATCAGCGATTTATTATTTCCCCAGGAATCCTATTAATCTAAATTGCAGATAACACTGAATAAATACTTTATATTTAGCTATGAACTGTGCATTTATAATTGCATTTAAATGTGGGTTTGGAAATCACCCCATAGATAACTGAAAATTGACTTTTTTAGAAAAAAATGTAGATTATATAGATTTTTTACATGGACTATGGACTCGCTTTTGTTGATCCTTCCCTGTGAACTGTTTTAAGTTCAAATGTATGTGTGGGTGAAAATTTTCAGCACACAGATCAAGAAGCTCACCATTAATATAACCTTATTCATCACACTGAATTTTTTGGAAACAAAAAATTGAAAATGTATGCTCTTAATTAGCCAGGTGTGGTGGCATGTGCCTGTGCCTATAGTCCCAGCTACTCAGAAGGCTGAGATGGGAGGGTTGCTTGTGCGAGGGAGGTGGGGGTTGCAGTGAGCCAAGATTACGCCACTGTACTCCAGCCTGGGCGACAGAGCGAGACCCTATCTCAAAAAAGAAAATAAAAAGACAAAGAACGTGTATGCTCTTAATTGAAGATACTAGAAAGCTGTCTTCTGCATGAACTTATTAGATAAACATCCACTTACAGTCCTTCAAAGTAAAGTAACCAAATTTGGCAACTGCACTTCAAAAGAACCAAGATGGCTGGACGCGGTGGCTCACGCCTGTAATCCCAGCACTTTGGGAGGCCAAGTTCGGTGGATCATCTGAGGTCAGGAGTTCGAGACCAGCCTGGCCAATGTGGCAAAACCCCATCTCTACTAAAAATACAAAAAAAAAAAGAAAAATAGAAAATAATTAGCCAGGCATAGTGGCGCACGCATATAGTCCAAGCTACTCGGGAGGCTGAGGCAGGAGAATCACTTGAACCCAGGAGGTAGAGGTTGTAGTGAGTCAAGATCATGCCACTGCACTCCAGCCTGGGCAACAGAGCAAGACTCCACCTCAAAAAAAAAAAAAAAAAAGAATCAAGATGGTGCTGTTCTTCCTCTCCTCATGTAATGTAAGACAAGACAATTAGAACTCATTTGTCTCTTTTAAGACATTTATGGAAAACAGTGGTATGAGGATCCTTAGTAATTTAAAAAACCTAGAGTAACTTAAACTTGCTAATATAACATCTTGTAAGAGATTTGGCTTTACAGGAAGTTCAAATATTATTATATGCCTGAAGGAAGCCGTTATTTAGGCTGTGAGGTAACAATTCTCATTCTATGTAACTAAATTCAGAGCTCTCTTTGGCGCCTGAAAAATGTCTGCCTGAAACCACCCACTCCTCAAAATGTAGTGCATACATTTTATTTTGGGAAGGTGTTCATGGCGACAGGTTAGCAACTGACTGTCTGCTTAGCCCCATAAATGGTGTACGCACACTGGGGAAGCTGCATTCTACCCTTTGTTTCCATTGAAAAAAATGCCATTGGAACCCCCACCCCTCCCCCCACAACCAGCTCCAGTAAAACTGCATTGCCTCATGGCTGAAACCTCCCAGGCATCAGCAATTCCTTTAAGGAAGGAGGATGAGTAAGAGGATAGAGGATCCTGGAAACCTCAGTCTAAAAATTTTAAAACGAGCCACCACTGAAGTCAAGTAAGATGACACAGTCCCTGGTTGACAACCCATAAAACTTTAATGATTATCTCTACTCTCTGTGTTCTGAGCCAACATATGCACTCAAAAAAATCCATTATATGTATTGATCTCTTCGATTCAGTTAGAAGTATATATTTTTGGATGATTTTCAAAGGATCATCGTTTGCCAAAATCCCCAGCATGTCGATTCATATCAACAAAGAAATAAAAGTGTCTTTTTACTTTAACTATTAGACAGCCATCCTACTCTTTTCTCTGTTGTGGGACTGAGGAAAAAGAAAGAATTTAGGGCGGTCAGAGAGGAGAAATCTCAATCAGGAGTCCTCTAGAACACTCCTCTTCCTTGTTCTTTTCCTTTATATGCTCTTCTTCTACCTCCTTCTTGTCAAACAAATGAGGCTTTTAACATCATATGAATATTTAGATTACTCATTCCTCCAGTCCTCCATCCCTTCCTTCCCTTTGAATTTGCAATCTTTCTGCTTCCGCAATTCAAAAATTGCCAAGTGTGAATCAGTGGATGTTATGAAACATGAAAAACAAAACAAAACAAACAAACAAACAAAAAAACTTCTTCCTAAATTCATATTAGCATAAAAATACAATGACCACAATATTTTTTCAGGAAGAAAGATCAGCTCTCATTTTTTATCATAGCTCTATGTAGGTTAAATTGTGTGGGTGCATTTTTACTACTATGGGATCAAAAAGTCTCGGGACAGCCTACTGAATTATGCCTAAGAGGAGCTTAGGCTGTTTGCAGTCATCAGTGGAATGCTGAAGTCAAAATGTTGAAATGATCTTTTCCTGAAATATAAGAGAGCTGTTCATGAGTATTAAAAAATGACGCCCTTTTAAAGGGAAAACAACAACAACAGCAAAGAACTCACCAGAAACAGATTTCAGAATTATATGTACTATTTGATCCCAACTATTAATATTTTCTAAAGTAGATAGAATACTGTAAGAAATATAACCAAAAGTTGATAGACATTTCCTCTTGGGACTGGGATTTTGGACAATGTTTTTCTTCTTTATATCTTTGTTACTTTTCTGATTTTTAACAATTACTGTATCTTAAACAGCAACCGCTTCCCAAATTACTGTCCCTTCCTAAGGAATGGAGAGGCTTGGGGTGGGGTTGGGATGTCATACGTTTGTTTCTTGGTATATTGGGTCTCAAATAATTTTTTCTTTTTGACAATTTAACATGTGATATGATGTGGGCTGTAGACCTGGCCTCTTACAATTAGACCTAATCCTGAATCTAAGAATGAAAGAGAATAGCATAATCCATTTTTGGTGTGGAAGGGGATGAGTTAGAGGGAGGAACCCCTGTGTAGCAGAACAGGGAGGGGCTTTGTGGCAGTTATTCCAGGTTCTACAGTTGAAAATGATGGCTCTCCTATTATGTGATTATATTAATTTGTATGGAGTTTTATAAAATGTGAAATGGCAAAGAAAATGTCCCAGCCCCAAATTATGCCATTTGGTCATACAGAACCTATGAAGTTAATAGGAATGGCAATGTCATTACTCTAAAAAAAAGTCCATGGAACAAGGAGGTGGGAGAGGAGGCACTAGTTCTGATGATGTAGTGAGCTACAACTGCTGAAATGTGTGTGTCTTGTTTGCAGCCAGGCTGGATTTCTGCCGCTTACCCCCAGGAATGGCAGCAAGCAGGCCATGCACATGCTGGAAGTTCAACAGAGACTCAGATTAATAGCTACTCCACATTTGCTTTTCTTCTATCATTTTTATCAAAGGAACTGTTAAGTTATGAACCCTCACCAATGTTGTATTTTGTGCTTGGATCCTTCAATATTATAGGGGTGTTAAGAACATGCTGCAAGAACCCCTGTTTTGAAGTCAGACCCAGTTAGAATCCTGATTCCACCACTTAATAGATATGTGTGATCTTGGTGGATTGTTTAATGTCTCTGAATCTCAGGTTTGTATGGACACTGTTTGCTATTGGTCTTGGCTTCAACTCTCACAAACTGTATGACCTTTTTGGGCCTCAGTTTTCCCATCTGTAACATGAGGATAACAAAAGTGCCTATTTCATTTGCTTGTTTGAAGATTGATTGAGGCATTCCATGTAGTGTTTAGCCTGCTGACTAGCTGGTTACATGATTTGGATGTTTGTCCCTTCCAAATCTAATGTTGAAATGTCATCCTCAGTGTTGCAGGTAGGACCTGGTGTGAGGCGTTTGGATCATGGGGGTGGATGCCTCATGAATGGCTTGGTGCTGTCCTTGAAATAGTGAGTGAGTTCTTACTGAGTTCACACAAGATCTGGTTGTTTAAAATAGTCTGAGATCTACCCCCTTGCCCTCTCTTGCTCCCTCTCTTGCCATTTGACATGCCTGTTCCCATTTTACCTTCCACCATAATTGTAAGTTTCCTGCAGCCCTCACAGAAGCAGATGCCAGTGGCATGCTTGTACAGCCTGCAGAACTGTGAGCCAAAATAAACCTCTTTTCTTTATAAATTACCTAGCCTCCAGTATTTCTTTATAGCAATGCAAAAATGGCCTAATACAGCTGAACACAGAGCAAATGCTTAAAGTTAGCTATTAGTTGTGTCATTATCAGTAGATACAAGATAAACAGATAAACATCATGTTCTGTGGAATGGTGCATCCAAAACAAATGTTAGGAACTTTTCA
Organism: Homo sapiens; assembly: GCF_000001405.40. Classification (NCBI taxonomy): domain Eukaryota; kingdom Metazoa; phylum Chordata; class Mammalia; order Primates; family Hominidae; genus Homo; species Homo sapiens. The sequence goes on along the minus strand of NC_000006.12, from coordinate 110,267,537 downwards.
ACAATATCCAGTGAGAGCTGATGAACGATTATTTCTGCAAGTAAATTGTCTAAGCATGTTTACTAAGATGAAGTTTTTTTATCTAATCTATATCTGATATCTGGTATATTTGTTTGGTTATCGTATGAGTGATATATATAAGTAATAGGTACTGGTCTTTCTGTGTAGAAAGTTTTTCCCCTCTCATTCTAATCACTACATAAATTTAACAGGAAGTTCAAAACTTGTACTGCTTGAATTTTTTCTTGCAGGTTTTTCTTTCTTATTTCATGGCCTTTAGCCATACATCTGTTTATAGTTTGCTTTCACTTAATCCTTCCTTTTCTCTTGGGCTGGGCCTTGTATATATGTGTTGATGATAAGCAGAGGGGACTTACCATAAATTTAGTGAAACTCAAGCTTTAGGGCCTGTCACTTGCATGGGCCATAGGCCCCTTCCAAGATCTTCACTTAATTCTGTATTAGATGTTATAATTTTGTATTTTTTTTTAAAAAAAAAGCAGGTCCCTCAAGTGAAGCTTGAGGCCCCACAAAATCTGGATCTGCCCCAATTATAACTTACAGCTTTTTTTTTCAGGTTAAAGACTTGACACATTCAACTTAAAATTGTTAAAAGTGAACGTTACTATGAGAGCATTATGAGACTAAGGATGTTTTTGTTTTCTTGTTCTACTTGAGGTCCTGATTACATTTTGCTCTGCTTCTTCAAGAAAAATAATCTATGCTTTCATTAAAGTCCTTTGGCTGGTCAAAATAATGTCAGTATCTGGCTGCTTAAGTATATTCCAGAATTTCAAATGAATAGATGAAGAGGACATCTAACTTTGTGAACATGCTGCCTCAAACTGAGATTTTTCAGCCCAAAGGAAGTGACCAAGTATGATTTTGCAGCCCAGTTTTGCTAAGCATTGTAGATTTCTAGAGTAAGAGAGGAGGGATAGGACAGTGTGGTGGTCATGAGAACTGTCGCAGGAGAACTGCCATGATCCTGGAGGAAAGGAGGAGGAGGCAAGAGGGAAGGATGTAGGGAATCTAGCCAAAGAATAGAGATCCCAGAATTAGAAAATTGCTTACCAATTTGGCAGTGCTAAATAAGAACAGTAGACGTTTAGGTGGGAACTTTAACCTTCAAAAGACACAGATTATTGGTCTATCGCACATCCACTAACCACTTCTTTACAAAAGCTTTGAAATCCCAATAATGTTTCTAATGTGGATATCACTCAATAAGTAGCCGAGAATACTAGAATATGTTGGATGTATTTCAGATTAGGTTGAGTTGCATGTGAAAAAAAGTAACAGTAGTTTAAAAATAGAAGCATTTTTTTTTTCCTGCCAGACACAGTGGCTCATACCTGTAATTGCAGCATTTTGGGAGTTTGAGGTGGGAGGATCGCTTGATGCCAGGAGTTCAAGACCAGCTTGGGTAATATAATAAGACCCCATCTCTACAAAAAAATTGTTTTAAAAAGAGCCTGGTGTGGTGGTATGCACCTATAGTCCCAGCTACTCTGGAGGCTGAGGTAGGAGGATTACTTGAGCTCAGGAGCTTGAGATTGCAGTGAGCTGTGACTGTACCACCACACTCCAGCCTGGTTGGCAGAGCAAGAACCTGTGAAGAAGAAGAAGAAGAAAGAGGAGGAGGAGGAGGAAGAGGAAGAAGGAGGAGGAGGAGGAGGAAGAGGAAGAGGAGGAGGAATAAAAAAGAAAAATTTTCTTCCTTCTCTTACATAAAAGAACTCTGGAGGGAGGTAGTACAAATCTTGTAAGGAGACTCCAGAGTCATCAAGAACCCAAGTTCCATCCAGCTCTCCCTACCTCCTCCCCTGGCATATAATCCTTCTTCTTATGGTTCAATATTACTGCTGGAGCTCCAGCCATTACATCCTCACTCCAGTTGAAATGATGGAGGAAGCACTAAGTATAGCCTTTTCCTTTAAGGAAACTTTCTAGAAATCCCACATGACACTTTTACTTATATCTTATTGCTCAGATTTTAGTTACATGACCACACAGTCATAAAGAAACTAGAAAATATAGTCATTTGTCTGCGCAGCATTGAGGTCAGCTAGAAGTCAGGGTTTTGTTGTTGAAGAAGAAGGAAGAATGGATACGTGGGCAAGCAACAGTCCTGCCATGCTATATTTGCCTTTAAACCACGGTATGTATTGCTGTTTTCTTTATTTTATAAAATGCTTTCCTCAGTACATTTCATAGGATCTGAATTTGTATTAATGTGCAAACTGGTATTGATCAGAAGTTAATTTAGAAAACACCAGTTGTGCTTTTCTGGGCACTCCTGGTGCAGAGAGATTCTTGGCATAGAGGGATATTAACTTTCTTTCTTTCTTTCTTTCTTTCTTTCTTTCTTTCTTTCTTTCTTTCTTTCTTTCTTTCTTTCTTTCTTTCCTTTTTTATTATACTTTAAGTTTTAGGGTACATATGCACAACATGCAGGTTTGTTACATGTGTATACATGTGCCATATTGGTGTGCTGCACCCATTAACTTGTCATTTACATTAGGTATATCTCCTAATGCTATCCCTCCCCACTACCCCCACCCCACAACAGGCCCCAGTGTGTGATGTTCCCCTTCCTGTGTCCATGTGTTCTCATTGTTCAATTCCCACCTATGAGTGAGAACATGTGGTGTTTGGTTTTTTGTCCTTGCAATAGTTTGCTGAGAATGATGGCTTCCAGCTTCATCCATGTCCCTACAAAGGACATGAACTCATCATTTTTTATGGCTGCATAGTATTCCATGGTGTATATGTGCTACATTTTCTTAATCCAGTCTATCATTGATGGACATTTGGGTTGGTTCCAAGTCTTTGCTATTGTGAATAGTGCCACAATAAACATACGTGTGCATGTGTCTTTATAGCAGCATGATTTATAATCCTCTGGGTATATACCCAGTAATGGGATGGCTGGGTCAAATGGTATTTCTAGTTCTAGATCCCTGAGGAATTGCCACACTGACTTCCACAATGGTTGAGCTAGTTTGCAGTCCCACCAACAGTGTAAAAGTGTTCCTATTTCTCCACATCCTCTCTAGCACCTGTTGTTTCCTGACTTTTTAATGATCGCCATTCTAACTGGTGTGAGATGATATCTCATTGTGGTTTTGATTTGCATTTCTCTGATGGCCAGTGATGATGAGCATTTTTTCATGTGTCTTTTGGCTGCATAAATGTCTTCTTTTGAGAAGTGTCTGTTCATATCCTTTCCCCACTTGTTGATGGGGTTGTTTGTTTTTTTCTTGTAAATTTATTTCAGTTCTTTGTAGATTCTGGATGTTAGCCCTTTGTCAGATGAGTAGATTGCAAAAATTTTCTCCCATTCTGTGGGTTGCCTGTTCACTCTGGTGGTAGTTTCTTTTGCTGTGCAGAAGCTCTTTAGTTTAATTAGATCCCATTTGTCAATTTTGGCTTTTGTTGCCATTGCTTTTGGTGTTTTAGACATGAAGTCCTTGCCCATGCCTATGTCCTGAATGGTATTGCCTAGGTTTTCTTCTAGGGTTTTTATGGTTTTAGGTCTAACCTTTAAGTCTTTAATCCACCTTGAATTAATTTTTGTATAAGGTCTAAGGAAGGGATCCAGTTTCAACTTTCTACATATGGCTAGCCAGTTTTCCCAGCACCATTTATTAAATAGGGAATCCTTTCCCCATTTCTTCTTTTTGTCAGATTTGTCAAAGATCAGATAGTTGTAGATATGTGGCATTATTTCTGAGGGCTCTGTTCTGTTCCATTGGTCTATATCTCTGTTTTGGTACCAGTACCATGCTGTTTTGGTTACTGTAGCCTTGTAGTATAGTTTGAAGTCAGGTAGCGTGACGCCTCCAGCTTTGTTCTTTTGGCTTAGGATTGACTTGGCGATGCGGGCTCTTTTTTGGTTCCACATGAACTTTAAAGTAGTTTTTTCCAATTCTGTGAAGAAAGTCATTGGTAGCTCGATGGGGATGGCATTGAATCTATAAATTACTTTGGGCAGTATGGCCATTTTCACGATATTGATTATTCCTACCCATGAGCATGAAATGTTCTTCCATTTGTTTGTATCCTCTTTTATTTCGTTGAGCAGTGGCTTGTAGTTCTCCTTGAAGAGGTCCTTCGCATCCTTTGTAAGTTGGATTCCTAGGTATTCTATTCTCTTTGAAGCAATTGTGAATGGGAGTTCAGTCATGATTTGGCTCTCTGTTTGTCTGTTATTGGTGTATAAGAATGCTTGTGATTTTTGCACATTGATTTTGTATCCTGAGACTTTGCTGAAGTTGCTTATCAGCTTAAGGAGATTTTGGGCTGAGATGATGGGGTTTTCTAGATATACAATCATGTCATCTGCAAACAGGGACAATTTAACTTCCCCTTTTCCTAATTGAATACCCTTTATTTCCTTCTCCTGCCTGATTGCCCTGGCCAGAACTTCCAACACTATGTTGAATAGGAGTGGTGAGAGAGGGCATCCTTGTCTTGTGCCAGTTTTCAAAGGGAACACATCCAGTTTTTGCACATTCAGTATGATATTGGCTGTGGGTTTGTCATTAATAGCTCTGATTATTTTGAGATACGTCCCATCAATACCTAATTTATTGAGAGTTTTTAGCATGAAGGGCTGTTGAATTTTGTCAAAGGCCTTTTCTGCATCTATTGAGATAATCATGTGGTTTTTGTCGTTGGTTCTGTTTACATGCTGGATTACGTTTATTGATTTGTGTATGTTGAACCAGCCTTGCATCCCAGGGATGAAGCCCACTTGATCATGGTGGATAAGCTTTTTGATATGCTGCTGGATTCGGTTTGTCAGTATTTTATTGAGGATTTTTGCATTGATGTTCATCAAGGATATTGCTCTAAAATTCTCTTTTTTTTGTTGTGTCTCTGCCAGGCTTTGGTATCAGGATGATGCTGGCCTCATAAAATGAGTTAGGGAGGATTCCCTCTTTTTCTGTTGATTGGAATAGTTTCAGAAGGAATGGTAATAGCTCCTCCTTGTACCTCTGGTAGAATTCAGCTGTGAATCCATCTGGTCCTGGACTTTTTTTTGGTTGGTAAGCTATTAATTATTGTCTCAATTTCAGAGCCTGTTATTGGTCTATTCAGTGATTCAATTTCTTCTTGGTTTAGTCTTGGGATGGTGTATGTGTCGAGGAATTTATCCATTTCTTCTAGATTTTCAAGTTTATTTGTGTAGAGGTGTTTATAGTATTCTCTGATGGTAGTTTGTATTTCTGTGGGATCGGTGGTGATATCCCCTTTATCAATTATTATTGTGTCTATTTGATTCTTCTCTCTTTTCTTTTTTATTAATCTTGCTAGCAGTCTATCAATTCTGTTGATCTTTTCAAAAAACCAGCTCCTGGATTCATTGATTTTTTGAAGGGTTTTTTGTATCTCTATCTCCTTCAGTTCTGCTCTGATCTTAGTTATTTCTTGCCTTCTGCTAGCTTTTGAATGTGGTTGCTCTTGCTTCTCTAGTTCTTTTAATTGTGATGTTAGGGTGTCAATTTTAGATCTTTCCTGCTTTCTCTTGTGGGCATTTAGTGCTATAAATTTCCCTCTACACACTGCTTTAAATGTGTCCCAGAGATTCCGGTACGTTGTGTCTTTGTTCTCGTTGGTTTCAAAGAACATCTTTATTTCTGCCTTCATTTCGTTATGTACCCAGTAGTCATTCAGGAGCAGGTTGTTGAGTTTCCATGTAGTTGAGCGGTTTTGAGTGAGTTTCTTAATCCTGAGTTCTAGTTTGATTGCACTGTGGTCTGAGATACACTTTGTTATAATTTCTGTTCTTTGACATTTGCTGAGGAGTGCTTTACTTCCAACTATGTGGTCAGTTTTGGAATAAGTGTGGTGTGGTGCTGAGAAGAATGTATATATTGTTGATTTGGGGTGGAGAGTTCTGTAGATGTCTATTAGGTCCACTTGGCGCAGAGCTGAGTTCAATTCCTGGATATCCTTGTTAACTTTCTGTCTCATTCATCTGTCTAATGTTGACAGTGGTGTGTTAAAGTCTCCCATTATTATTGTGTGGGAGTCTAAGTGTCTTTCTAGGTCTCTAAGGACTTGCTTTATGACTCTGGGTGCTCCTGTATTGGGTGCATATATATTTATGATAGTCAGCTCTTCTGTTGAATTGATACCTTTGCTATTATGTAATGGCCTTCTTTGTCTCTTTTGATCTTTGTTGGTTTCAAGTCTGTTTTATCAGAGACTAGGATTGCAACCCTGCCTTTTTTTGTTTTCCATTTGCTTGGTGGATCTTCCTCCATCCCTTTATTTTGAGCCTATATGTGTCTCTGCACGAGAGATGGGTTTCCTGAATACAGCACACTGATGGGTCTTGACTCTTTATCCAATTTGCCAAGTCTGTGTCTTTTAATTGGAGCGTTTAGTCCATTTACATTTAAGGTTAATATTGTTATTTGTGAATTTGATCCTGTCATTATGATGTTAGCTGGTTATTTTGCTCATTAGTTGATGCAGTTTCTTCCTAGCCTTGATGGTCTTTACAATTTGGCATGTTTTTGCAGTGGCTGGTACTGGTTGTTCCTTTCCATGTTTAGTGCTTCCTTCAGGAGCTCTTGTAGGGCAGGCCTTGTGGTGACAAAATCTCTCAGCATTTGCTTGTCTGTAAAGTATTTTATTTCTCCTTCACTTATGAAGCTTAGTTTGGCTGGATATGAAATTCTGGGTTGAAAATTCTTTTCTTTAAGAATGTTGAATATTGGCCCCCACTCTTTTCTGGCTTGTAGAGTTTCTGCCGAGAGATCACCTGTTAGTCTGATGGGCTTCCCTTTTGTGGGTAATCCAATCTTTCTCTCTGGCTACCCTTAACATTTTTTCCTTCATTTCAACTTTGGTGAATCTGACGATTATGTGTCTTGGAGTTGCTCTTCTCGAGGAGTTTCTTTGTGGCCTTCTCTGTATTTCCTGAATTTGAATGTTGGCCTGCCTTACTTGGTTGGGGAAGTTCTCCTGGATAATATCCTGCAGAGTGTTTTCCAACTTGGTTGCATTCTCCCCGTCACTTTCAGGTACACCACTCAGACATAGATTTGATCTTTTCACATAGTCCCATATTTCTTGGAGGCTTTGTTTGTTTCTGTTTATTCTTTTTTCTCTAAACTTCTCTTCTCGCTTCATTTCATTCATTTCATCTTCCATCACTGATAACCTTTCTTCCAGTTGATCGAATCAGCTGATAAAGCTTGTGCATTCATCACGTAGTTCTCGTGCCATGGTTTTCAGCTCCATCAGGTCCTTTAAGGACTTCTCTGCATTGGTTATTCTAGTTAGCCATTCGTCTAATCTTTTTTCAAAGTTTTTATCTTCTTTGCCGTGGGTTCGAACTTCCTCCTTTAGTTCGGAGAAGTTTGATTGTCTGAAGCCTTCTTCTCTCAGCTCGTCAAAGTCATTCTCCGTCCAGCTTTGTTCCATTGCTGGTGAGGAGCTGCGTTCCTTTGGAGGAGGAGAGGCATTCTGACTTTTAGAATTTTCAGTTTTTCTGCTCTGTTTTTTCCCCATCTTTGTGGTTTTATCTACCTTTGGTCTTTGATGATGGTGACGTACAGATGGGGTTTTGGTGTGGATGTCCTTTCTGTTTGTTAGTTTTCCTTCTAACAGTCAGGACCCTCAGCTGCAGGTCTGTTGGAGTTTGCCAGAGGTCTACTCCAGACCCTGTTTGCCTGGGTATCCACAGTGGAGGCTGCCGAACAGTGATTATTGGTGAACAGCCAATGTTGCTGCCTGATCTTCCTCTGGAAGTTTTGTCTCAGAGGAGTACCCAGCCGTGTGAGGTGTCAGTCTGCCCCTACTGGGGGATGCCTCCCAGTTAGGCTACTTGGGGTTCAGGGACCCACTTGAGGAGGCAGTCTGTCCGTTCTCAGATCTCAAGCTGCATGCTAGGAAAACCACTACTGTCTTCAAAGCTGTCAGACAGAGACATTTAAGTCTGCAGAGGTTTCTGCTGCCTTTTGTTTGGCTATGCCCTGCCCCCAGAGGTGGAGTCCACAGAGGCAGGCAGGCCTCCTTCAGCTGTGGTGGGCTCCACCCAGTTCAAGCTTCCTGGCCGCTTTGTTTACCTACTCAAGCTTCGGCAATGGTGGGTGCCCCTCCCCCAGCCTCACCGCTGCCTTGCAGTTTGATCTCAGACTGCTGTGCAAGCAATGAGCAAGGCTCCATGGGTGTAGGACCCTCTGAGCCAGGCGTGGGATATAATCTCCTGGTGTGCCGTTTGCTAAGACTGTCAGAAAAGCTCAGTATTAGGGTGGGAGTGACCTGATTTTCCAGGTGCCGTCTGTCACCCTTTTCCTTGGCTAGGAAAGGGAATTCCCTGACCCCTTGTGCTTCCCGGGTGAGGCGATGCCTCACCCTGCTTTGGCTCACACTTGGTATGCTGCACCCACTGTCCTGCACCCACTGTCTGACAGTCCCCAGTGAGATGAACCCGGTAGCTCAGTTGGAAATGCAGAAATCATTCATCATCTGCATCGCTCACTCTGGGAGCTGTAGACTGGAGCTTTTCCTATCAAGGGATATTAACTTTCAAAAGATATTGGGGGAAAAGAGGGACTGTGATTCTTTCTAAAATATTGTGGCTGTCTTTAAGTTTACCTAGCTAGCCCTTAACTTCCAAGGAGAATGAAGACTTAGAGTTGCAGACTTGCCTCAAAGCTGTGTTTTGTTTTGTTTTCTTTTGTTTTGTTTTGTTGTGTGTGTGTGTGTGTGTGTGTGTGTGTGTGTAAATGCATCTAAGACTCAGAGCAGAGGAATGATGTTTGGGATGTGGAATCCCTATCACTAATTAATTACTTTGTGATCTTGAGTATATTATTTGGTTTTATGTGTTAAATAAGGAGTTGGATCAGATTTTCACAAAGTCCCTACTGGCTCTAATCTTCCATAACCCAGAACCTGTGAGGTCCATTTAACCATCCACCTATCCACCCATCCACCTATCTACCTCTCCATCTGGTCTGTTTGTCCATACATCCATTCATCCACCCACCCACCCATCCATCTACCAAATATTTTTGAGCACCTGCCAAGTGCCTATAGTGTGATAGAGGCTAGGTATTCAAAAATAAATAATTATCAAGCATAAGGTCCAGTATAAGGCATAAGGAATATATACCTCTTTTGCCTCTTGTCAGATGTAAATGCAGTTGAAGAAACTGTTTTCAATTTCATCTGCTAATGTACTTATATAGATGGCTTTTGGCTATCATGTTTGAGATACTTCTGTATATTTCTTGTACCAAATTTTAATTTTGCCTCTGAGACACCTCCCAAAATATAGCTGCTGTTATTCACAGAAGGCACATTTTGATAGTAACTTAAATCAGACCATCTTAATATTTTTTGGATTATGGAGAATGAGTGAAAATAACAACAGCTAACACTGATGGCACTCTTACTCTGTGTTAGGTTCTGTGCATGGTGCATTTCTTGTTTAGCCTCAACACAGCCCAATGATATGGATGATATGGGTCCTATTGTTTTACTCTGAATCACTGAGGGTCTAAACAACCTGCCTGAGAGTCAAGGCCCCAGCCACCACACTGTTCTTAGAAAAGTGCTTATGTGCACAGACATACATTTTTGCACACAGTTCCAGAGACTATAAGCCTCGCTGAAACCTTGGCATGTGTTTAGGATATTCCAACCTCATTATATCATAATTAAGAAAGCAGCTGGTTAGAAAACTATCTTATACCTTCCAAGGCCAAAGATTACCAGCATGTGGATATTTTCTGCATCTGATCATGGGCTGAGGCTGAGTGCTGTGCGCATACACCATGAAAAGCTCACCTGGTGTTATCAGCCAAGGCTAGTGATTCACAAAGTGTGGTCGTTGTACCAGCAGCATCATCGGCAGCTGGGCTCTTAGTAGAAACACAAGTACTTAGGCTCCACTTCAGATCTACTGAGTGAGAAACTGTGTTTTTACGAGCCATCTCGGTGATGCTGCTGTGTGTGATCCTCTGAGTGGCACAGTCCAGTAGAACTTTGTGTGGTAATGTAGATGTCCTGTGGCTGCACCATCCAGTATGGTAGCCACTAGCCATATATGGCTATTGAGCACTTGAAATGTGGCAGAGAAATTAATTTTAATTTGATTTAATTTTAATGAATTAATTAAAATTAAAATGGCCATATGTGGTAAGCTTCTACTGTACAGGAGAGCAGCTCAGTGGCTTTCCTAAACATTCCAGTTTAGGAACAGTTCACTTCCTTGTACACACCCACAACAAAATAAAAAACTGAATGCCATTTGGAGAATTAAATATTGATATTATCCATTTCCTTATTTCAGTGTTGATCTCATTTAACTAGAAAACATATTTGAGATGGGAGCCTTGTAGTTTAATGCTAATGAAATATTCCATAAGATAAAACCAATTTGTATCTATTTCCAAGTCCTGTCAGAATTTATGTTAAGTCATCTTCTCTCAGATTATTGCCCCTGCTTTAGATCATGGTGATAAGAGTTTTAGAAAAATCCAACAATGCAAATTTCTTGATGCAGTGCAGCCTGTACTTGAAGGGCAGTTGTGGTGCCCTGTATGCTGTCAGAGGGGGAGATGACCAGCAGAAATTCCTGGTGTTCCACAAGAAGGAAGTGACATGAATAGAGAAACGGGCACACAAAAAGGAAGTGACATGAATAGAGAAATGGGCAGAAAGGTTTTAGTGGCATTTTGAGGAATGACAAAGAATTACATTTGGCTAAGTGTCGTGTGCATAAAGAGTTGAAAATCAAGACCCGAACACAACATTTGTGCCCTGTGGGAGAATGGAATTGATAACTGCTGTTATTCCTAACTCCCAACCCTTGACCTCTCTTGTCTCCTCTCTTTCCATCAGTGAGGTCTGAAGCAAGGTGATCACAGAGGTGGAGGATGGAAGGCCAGGGGGAGGGTGTTATGGAGGCAGAATAGGTGGGACTCGTTATCTGATAGGATATCATACCTGCTGTGAGCCAGGACCTCTGATAGGAACTTGATACCCAACAAGGAGTTAGATTCCTGCCCTAAAGGAACTTACAGCCCAGGTAAGGAAATCAAAAGATCAACACAAGAGTGACCATGCTACCTACTTTGCTAGAACTCTGCATGGGGTTCAGAAATGGAGGACATCAAGTTGACTCTGACAGGTCTAGCATGAGTCGTGCTGGGGTTAACTGCAGCACTGGGACTCATATCTTATATGACCAGGGAGGGAAAGTTGAGACTTGGAGATTGTTTAATTAGAGGTGATACTAAAGTCTGAGGTGAAGCTAGGCTCAGTGGTAAAAATAATTTCCTGTATATATTTTTCAAAGCTGCATTCCTCAGTCATGTGTGTGTGTTGTGTGTGTGTGTATGCACATGTGTGTGCACACACATCCCGAGACTTCTTAATGTTTTCTCACCCCCTCTCATTTCTGGCTTCTAACACTTGACCCCACTCACTGCTGATTCTTTCATTATTTTTATTCCTAGTTTCTTCTCACTTATATTTTAGTATATGCTTAAAACACAAGCAAAAACTAAATACCAAATGCGTTTGTTTTGTGTCCCTCTAAATTAGTGCTTGCTTTTTGCATTGGGGCTGTTTTTTTTTCTTTCTTTTCTTGCCTAAGTCACATTACTGGCTCCAGCATGCTCTGAGGTTGACCCAGTCCCACCATCTAAGGGCAAAGATTCTCCCACTGAACCCCAAGAACATGTCTTCCTGAAGATTTTATTTGGATGTTTACTTGGGTTATTTGTTTATACATCTATTCATTTAGGAATCATTTATAGATGTCTGAGTTTTATGTCCCATCTCCTTCCAAAAATACTTTGGAACACTTGCAAATAAATTAACCAGGTAATGTAACTTTAAGGCATTGAGTTCTGATCTTAAGATCAGAGATTTGTTTTCAGCTGCCCAGGGAAGTAGGGTAGAAATGAAGACAGAAAAGCAGCTGCCGGGAGCTGTCCGTGGTTCTGCCATTGCCCTTCTGCCTGACTCTGCCCTCGGTCAGGTCCCTTGCTACCGCCTCAGTCCTGCCTACGTTTGTGCTGCTTGGTTCCTGCTTAGTTCTTTGCTGTTGCATAGGAATCACCCTGCTGACCTCTGACATCTTGGCTGGTCACCAGCTCACCCATCATCTGTCCCTGACTTGGGTTTCTAGGCTGTGTATTCTATCACCTCACCCAGCTCAGGAGATTCTTGCTCAGCAGTCTCAGGTTGGATTATTTCATCAAGCTCCATATCTGGCCAGAAAAAAAGAGCCTTTGCTTGTAAATGTTTTCCTCATTTCCTTTTTAATTCATTTGTAGAGTGTTGTTCCCTGCAGGAGTCATTTTTGTGAGCTAATTACTACATAAAATTATTTTATTTTATTATTAGTTCAGAATTGGTCCTACATTAGCTTAGAGTGACCCTTCATATTTCTCATAATCTGTAGGGCAAACCTCATCTCTTTCTTCCCTAGTGATAGCAGAAGTCTTGTACCGTTACATTTCTGCCAGTTGACAGTGATAATTGAAACTGATTTAGGGTGTTTAAAGTCTAAGGCTCTCAAAAAGACTTTTACTATTCTTGTTCACATTCACAATAGATTAATTTATTCTATTTTTCTACAACAACAAGACCCTCTTTCTAATGCATTTAGCTTCTAGTTTTGCAGGTACACTTTAAGTAAACTTGATATATAAAAACCTAGATATATTTTATCATTAAATAACAACTTTTCACCAGTAGACTAAAAAGCAAGAAGTTGTATTGATGTAATTATTTTAAAATTGTGATTGAATATTGACCCAAACTGTAATGAATATGGAGAATGAATGTTGATTTGTTGGGGTGGTAGGGAATTGATGATAATTCAAATTTTTATTTATTTATTTTTATGTATTTATTTTATTTCTTTTGAGATAGTCTTGCTCCGCTACCCAGGCTGGAGTGCAGTGGCATGATCTCGGCTCACTGCAGCCTCTGCCTTCTGGGTTCAAGTGATTTTCCTGTCTCAGCCTCCCAAGTAGCTGGGATTGCAGGTGCATGCCACCATGCCCAGATAATTTTTGTATTTTTAGTAGAGACAGCATTTTGCCATGTTGCCCAGGCTGGTCTCGAACTCCTGGCCTCAAATGATCCACCTGCCTCAGCCTCCCAAAGTGCTGGGATTATAGGCGTGAACCACGCCTGGTTGATAATTCAATTTTAAAAAATATTCATAAATAACTAGATGATGTGGCCAAATAAATAACAATTCTTAAAATATGAACTCATTTACAACACTTCTTTTCAGAATTCTGTTTTACAAAATGACAGAACACACACACAAACTTAGTTGCCCAGTTTGTTGATAACATCAGTTTGTAACATCATCCATTTGGGAAAATATCTATATGGCCACCAGAAGGAGGACTGATTAAATAAATTAAATCATTACAAAAGCTGTTAAGAATAAATTATTGATAGAGGCTTTCATATTTTTTTTAAGCAGGAGAGCTCTTTTCCCAAATGCAAATTTGTGAGGGATTCCAAATATGTCAAGGAGATCAAAGGGGAGCTGCTCTTGAGTTGAGGTCTGGACCTTCACCCACTTGCCATCCTCCTCACCCCTCCTGGGGACCTGCAGTCACCTCCTTCAGATTCTGAAAGCTCTGAGGGACTCTGTTTGAGAGAAAATTTTAGAGGAAAATTTATTGACATGGAAATATATTCATAGTCTGTTATGTTAAAAAGCAGATTTGAAAACATAGGATAATTTCAATTTTGTAGAAAATGTGTGTTTCAGTTATGCTCGTGTGTTAGAATTTGTCTTGTGTGTTTGTGTGTGCATGTGTACGTGTGTGTTTACAGCAAAGAAAAATGTTTGGGAGTTCAGAAGTAAACTGTTTTAAAATTCTGGATTATAGGTATTTTACTTCTTTTTTTGTTTATCTATGATTTTAATTTTTAAATAATGACCATGTATTGCTTTTATAAGAAAATATTTTTTGGTTAAATGCATATTAATTTCTAGAACTCACAGCTTTAGAATATATAGTACTTGACACAATACAAGTAACTTTTACCTTTTTAAAAAAAGATTTTCATGAATAGCACTTAGTCTCTGTTCTAGTTATCTATTGCTGCATAATGAATTAGCCCCCAAGCTTAGCTTTTTAACCCAACAATTGATCCTTTGATGCTCTCTCGTAGTTTATGTGGGGCAGAGTTTTGGGAAGGGCTTTGCTGGGTGCTTCTGGCTCAGGGTCTCTCATGCAGTTGAAGCCAGTTGAAGGCTTGCAGCAGCTGGGGTTGGCCAGACATCTCTCTCTCTCTATTCCTATTGACTCAGGACCTCTTTATTGGTCTCTCTGCAAAGGCTAGTTTGGATTTTCTCATAGCAGTACCGCCTCGGGGCAGTCAGACACCTTTCCTGAGGGCCAAAGTTTTCAGGAATGAATATACTCTTGAGCAAAGTAGAAGCTGCATCACCCTTTACGGCCTACGCTTGAACGCCACTTAGAATCACTTCTACCAGACTGTGTTAGTCAATCAGTCATTCACAGCTCATCACAATTCTGGAGGATGGGCTACATAATTTGTGGGGCCTAGTGCAAAATAAAAATGAGGGGTCTCTTGTTCAAAACTAGTGAAGAATTTTAAGACAGTGACAGCAGAGTGTTAAATCAAGCATGAAGCCTTTCTAGGCTTGGGGCCCTGTGTGACCACATAGGTTGATCCCATGTCTCAGTGGTGGGGGTGTCAAGGCCACATGCAGAAAATCATGTTAGATGGGAGATAATGGTGTTACATCTTTGGAAAATAATACCTACTACAGTCTCTGTGACTCACCTCCAATTAATTTGATGGCTCACACTTTTACTAGCTAAAACCAGAGTTAGCCATTAACTATAGAGGAGACACTACAGGCTGCCATAATAGTAAAAGGATGTATTGTAAAAATGCTTATGGAGATAGTGGTTGCCTCTAAATAGAGCATAGCAAAAATACCTGTTTTAGATTTGTTATGGGTTGAAGAAATTCATAGATTGAAGCCCTAACTCCCAGTGTGACTGTATTTAGAGATAGGGCCTTTAAGGAGGTGATTAAGGTTAAATGAGGTCATAAGGGTGGGACCCTAATCCAACAAGACTAGTGTCCTTGTAAGAAAAAGTGGAGACACCAGGAATGCATGCAGAAAGGCCACAGGGACAAGGCAGCCATCTGCAAGCCAAGTCGGGAGGACTTAGGAGAAACCAAACCTGCTGACACGTTGATCTTGGGTTTCTAGCCTCCAAAGGTGGAGAAAATAAATTTGTTGTTTAAACCACCCGATCTGCTTTGGTTTAAATGTTTTTGTCTCCTCCAAAATTCATGCTGAAACTGAATCCCAATGCAGCAGGTTTTTTTTGTTTTGTTTTTTAAGGAAGAGTTTTGCTCTATCTCCCAGGCTGGAGTATCATGGCGCCATCTCAGCTCACTGCAACCTCTGCCCCCCAGGTCCAAGCAATTCTTCTGGCTCAGCCTCCTGAGTAGCTGGGATTACAGGAGTGTACCACCTCACCCGGCTAATTTTTGTAGTTTCAGTAGAGAAGGGATTTCGCCATGTTGGCTAGGCTGGTCTCGAAATCCTGGCCTCAAGTGATCCACCTGCCTTGGCCTCCCAAAGTGCAGGGATTACAGGCGTGAGCTACTGCACCTGGCCCAATGAAGCAGTATGAAGGGGTGTGGCCTTTAGGATGTGTTTGAGTCAGGAGGGCTCTACCTGCATGAATGGGATTAGGTGCCCTTATAAAAGGGCTTGATGGAAGGAGTTTGCCCGTTTACTCCCCTTCCATCCTTTCTGCCATGTGAGGATACTTAGGTGATGCTATCTCTGAAGAACAGGTTCTCACCAGTCACCAAACCTGCCAACCTTGAACTTGGACTTCCCAGCCTTCAGAACTGTATGATATACATTTTTGTTCTTTATAAATTACTTAGTCTAATGTATTTTGTTATGGTGGTGCAAACACACTAAGACACAGACCTAGCAGACTAATACAATATCTAACTAAGACTTACAAATATTTACTTTACTTGTCCTATTTATTATTTTCTTTATTAGTCATCTTAATCCATTGAATATCCCAGGTTCTATGTCAACTGTCAAGTAAAACCAAATCTAATAACAGATGCCATGTTTTATTAATATTCCATCTTTAAAAACATTCTGATGAATAAAGGCTTTATTATTCATTTTTTCTGGAGTATTATTTGTGTCCAGTAAAAGTTCCAGTCCACTGTACTACTGTAGTTGATTTATGGATTTAGATAAAGTAATATTGCTTTTAATTACTAGGGTCAATTGTTTGCAAATTTAGCCATGAATAACTTCTCTTCCCCTTTCTGTGTATGCCACTCCTCCTCTCAAGGGCTGGAGTCTATTTCACCTCCCCTTGAATGCGCGCTAGACTTGCAATTTGCTTGACCAATGGAATGCAGTGGAAGTGACGTTTGTGACTCCCAGAGCTAGGCTTTACTTAAAAGGTGTTGCATTTTTGCCCTCTGCAGGCCAGCAGGCATGTCGTAGAATCTACGTGTTTTGCTTGAGAGCCCTCTTAAAGGGGAAAAGGCTCAGATTAGAAACTGTAGATGTGAGGATATTGAGTAGTCTGAATGAGTTCCCATATAGGGAATGGGAGGGGGCCAAAGACAAAGTGCCCCTACTGGGCCTGATCATGTGGCTGAGAAGGAACCAAGGCATGAAGTAGAGGGGTTTCACGATGGTGGTTTCAACTGGCTTTGGAAACTTGTTGACCTGCCTTGGGTTTGGCACTTGGCGAGGTCAGAGCAGTCAGTGTTGGCTGATGTAAGGACTTATCCATTAGTCAGAGTGATAACCGTAATTGTCTAAGATGGTTGCTGGCCCTTGGATCTCTGGAGTAGGGCGCTTTTCCTAACTATTGGCCCTGGGAATTGGCTCCTAAACACATTGCAAAAGCCCTATTGCAAAAGCTACCCCAAACACTGTTATGGGTTGAATTGTGTCTCCCCCAAATTAATATGTTGAAATTCTAAACCTTCATACCTCAGAATGTGACCTTATTTGGAAATAGTGTGGTTCTAGATGTAATTCGTTAAAATGAGGTCATACTGGAGGAAGGTGGTCCCTATTCCAATCTGACTGATGTCCTTATAAAAAGAGGAAATTTGGACACACAGAGAGAACACCATGTGAAGATGAAGGCAGAGATCAGGTGATGCAGGAGCCAAGGAATGTTGAAGATTGCTAGCAAGCCACGGGAAGCCAGGCAAGCAGCACAGGACACATTCTCTCTCATGGCTCTCAGAGGGACACTTGATCTTGGAATTCTAGTCTTCACAACTGTGAGACAACACAATTCTGTTATTTAAACCTCCCAATCCATGGTCTTTTGTTACGGCAGCCCTTGGAAATGGATACAAGCACCCATGCCTCTTCCTCCCCTTTCCTCGAATCTCTGCAGTTCTGGGTGGATGATCACAGGGATAAACTTGTGCCTATGATGAGGAAGCTGCCAGATGGCATCAGGTCTTAATCCAGTTAAAAATGAAAATTCTCATTTCTTCAAAAGGTTTGTGAAAGTCAATTGATTGGATATTTCAGGTACAAGGAAAAGGAGATAATTTTTGATAGGAGGACCCCTTTAATACACTGGAAATCATACCAATTAAGTTGTTTCACCTTCTTTCTTTGAGACCTTTCTACCCAAGAATGTCTTCGCTTATTCCAGAGTTTTCTGGGAGTTAACCTTAAGTTGTTTTTCTCCACAAACCTGATTTATCCTAACTGTATTAGGATCGGCACTTGATTATTCCCATCTAATAATTTGTATGATTTTTAGTGGCATAATTGTTGAAAGCTGATATTAGAATCTTAAAAGTGGCATATCCTATTCAGCAATGTTTAGTGCTTTATAATAACAATAATATTGGATGCATTATGGAGTAATAATGGAAATCACATTTGCAAAATCATTGCAGTAATGGGACGTTTTAAAATGTGAGAAACAGAAAAAGCACACTGGAAGAGCAGAGCATGTTTTATTCACAGCCTTTTGGCTGCCTGCACTCTCAGGTCAGAAGGCAGAGAAGAGCTTCTGTGCTCCCCCTGGGCTGCATGATTTAGATCAACTTATACAATTCTGATTGAAGTGGGGGATTTTCAGTCACTGGAATCAAAAGAGGGTGGGAGTGTTGTTGTGTTTGAAAATACTTTTTGCTCTTTAGAATAGATTAGCATTTTATAAATGAAAATTGGATTTTCAAAGAAAGCCTATGTTTACTATGATTTAGCCTAATAATTTGGTTCCCTTTGATTTGCTCATAACTTCTGATTGATAGTTTATTTTTAAGACGTTTGGAATAAATATACAAAATATATTCCTTATACATCACTAATAGAGTTTTTAGGTTAATTTAAAGGTGATGAACTTTACTCTGTCTTTTTAATACTTCGATGTATTCCTCACATTCAACATAAGCAAACTCACAGAAAACCATGGTGAACATGAATCTGTAAGGAACCTAAGACATTCTTGGCTATGTGAATTGATAGAACAAATGCTGGTTTTGGGTTTTGGATACTTTCTGTACCAATTAGAAAATTTTACAAAGTTTTGATTAAATATTTCCTTTGGCAGCTTAATTCCCCTTAATTCAGGAGTATTCTGTTTAAAATTTGCCAAGATTAAACAAACCCATGGACATGCCAGGGCAGGAGAGATGGAAAAATGAGTGAATTAATTTCTTTATTAATAATGTTTTATTTTTATTTTTATTTTTTTTTGTAGAGATGAGGTCTCACTATATTGTCCAAGGTTGTCTTGAACTCCTGGGCTCAAGTGATCCACCTGCTGGGATTACAGGCATGAGCCACTGCACCTGGCTAAATTTCACTGTGTCTGATTCACAAGAATTATTTTAGCCTGGTGTGTATTCACATGCAACCTGTCTTTGCTCAGTTCCTCTCATGAAGAAAGGTTTTGTTTTGTTTTAACTTTTTCTCTTTGAGTTTGGAACTATTGAACGGACAAACTGGTTTACAGACACCCAGGCTTTCCTAAGGCACTCAGTATTCTTCGGGTATTACCATCACTTTTTCCTTGGTGGACCAGGAGGTACAATCCAAGGCAAGAATGTGAAACCATGTCCTACAGAGTCTCAGGCATCAGGACAGAGCCCATTTTCTTGTAGCTGTTATATGTAAATTCTGTGTACCTTCTCTTGCATTCAACTCTGAAATCACCCAAGGAATGTGTGTTAGGCTGTTCTTGTGTTGCTATAAAGAAATATCTAAGGCTGAGTAATTTATAAAGCAAAGAGGCTTACTTGGCTTATGGTTCTGCAGGCTGTACAGGAAGCATGGTGCCGGTATCTGCTCCTGGTGAGGCCTCAGGGAGCTTACAAACATGGTGGAAGGCGAAGAGGTGCCAGCCTATCAGATGGCAAGAGAGGGAACAAGAGAGAGGGGGGTAGAGGTGCCACACTCTTTCTAAACAGCCAGATCTTACGTGAACTCAGAGCTAGAGCTCACTCACTATCTCGAGGACAGCACCAAACCATTCATGAGGGATCCACCCCTATGACCCAAACACCTCTCACCAGACCCCACTTCCAACATTGAGTATCATATTTCAAAATGATATTTGGAGGGGACAAACATCCAAACTACGTCAGAATAGTTTGGATGTGGCACAAGGAGCCTCACGTTTGAGCCTCATATGAGAAACTTATCAAACAGACATGCAATGAGAAAGGAAAGAATGGGTAGCATACGTCTTGTTGTTTATCTGTTTTTCTAAACAAGCAAAGGTATTTTCACTTTCATGGGGCAGGATATTCATGACTTCAGTCAGCAGCTTCCTGAAGGGCTGCTTAAGGTTCTGCTGTCCCCTCTTGGGGCTACAGCCTTTGCTCTTTTGCAATGATTTCCTCCAGCCTCGTTATTCCAGTTTATGTCTGAATGCTGTCAGCTTTCCTCCATGTGGTAGAATTATCCCCCTTGAAAAGTGCTCTGCAAATGTAAAGTGGCAATATTGATAATAATACTTTACTCACTGACCCATATTCGCTCTCCAGATAGCACCTTATTTTCCAAACTCCAAACCTCTTTGAGACTCTGAGTTACCCATTTTTCCTCTTGGGTGTATTGGAAGAGGCAATGTTAGGTAAGGGTTAAGAACACAGGCTCTGTAGACAGACTCTGTTCAGAGTTCATCACTGCCTCTCTAGCCATGTGACTGGGAATGGGTTCCTCACTGAGTCTGGTTTCCTGAACTTTAATTAGGGATACTCACAGAATCACCCTTACAGCATTATTGAGAGGATTAAATGGATATTGCAAGGGGAAGCCCTTAGCATGGTGTCAGGCACATATAACTACTTGGTAAAAATGAGCTTTCATTGTGTTTAGGGTTCTGGTGTTCTAACGGATTTTTTGCACAGGCAGCGAAAAGGAGCTGATTCTCATAACTTGATTAATTTGCAAAATATTGATATTACAATCCTCTTCTTCCTTTATTCTGTCTCACTTGAATGTGAACTTGTGTTCATTAAATAAGCAGAGGATGGTGTTACTGCTTTTTTTTTTTTTAAGAATGCTATACTGGTATATACATTGTAAAGAAATCATAGAATAATAATATTATTTTTTTATAGTCCAATATTCAGATACTCAATAACTTTTTCATTGATGTCCAGTCTCGATGAAGTTGGGGTTGGGGGGATGAGGCCTGCAAGATAGTCCCTGCAGGCAGTAGCCCTTTGTCACTTCCTTTCTATAGACACCTTCTGTCAGGACTTGGCAGAGTTTCCTGGGGTGGCATAGTTTGTGGGGTACACAGAGGTCTGTGATACACTCACTCTAACTTCTCCTTCTCAGATATCCATTCCCACTGGGCAGAAAGCAAGAGGGTCTGTTGTGATTTTTGCCTGGTATTTCATCATTTGTATATTAACATATATTAACATAACAGGCTCACGCCTGTAGTCCCAGCTACTCAGGAGGCGGAGGCAGGAGGATTGCTTGAACCAGGAGTTTTATACCAGCCTAGGCAACATATCGAGACCCCCATCTCTTAAAAACAAGAACAAAAAACCAAAACATTTAGTAGGGAATGGGGTTAGAAATTCATGTCATAAATGCAAATGGCCACTTGAAAACCACCCTCAGCTCTAAAATTTTAAAAATTCTGTTTCCTTCAGAGGTAGCTATAATGTGAAACTCCTGATATCAAGATAGTTTTACTAAATCTGCTAATCTCATTTCATTGCTTTGTTACAGATTGACGTTCTCAAGGCAGATCTGGAAAGTGCAGAATGGAAAGTTTTGGAAAATCTTATTCTGGAAGATGTTCTTGAGCAGATTGGACAGCTCATCTTTGAGATCCATCTCCACTGGCCTGGGTTTGAGGTCAGTGGCAGTGACAGCAGCGTTGTGCGGTTCTGGTACAGCCTTCTCAAAGAGTTAGAACAAAAGGATTTCAGGCTTTTTCACAGTTACAAAGACTTATCTAAACCTCAGCTATTCTTGAAGAAAGACATTTTCAATGCAAGTAGCTGTTATACTCTGAGTTGGGTGAATACAAGATGGAAATAGGATGCAGGATGTCATCAAGAGCACAAGAAAATATTTGCAGAATGCAGCATGTCCATAATTCTAATCATGAGTTTACTCATCCAGTCTCCTGCTAGCCTGTGCCCTGCTTGAGGCAGGGAGTGTGTTATTGCGGGCATGCAGCCTAGTGCTTGGCATGTGATGGGGCACAGTCAATACTTGTTAAAGGGATAAACACAGTCACCCCTATTTGCCCAGACTCTTCCTTCACCTTAACTTGGAAGATTATCCCCAGCTCATCACAGTTTTCCCTAAAATTCTCTATGTATCTATAATCTATGAATTCACCAACATTGAAATGAAATTATATAAATTTCCTATTTTTACTAGGTTGGTGAGATTTTTAAGTTCTTCCCCTACTGTTTAAAATAGGGTTTTAAATTTGAATTTGACCCTCCTTTTTCAAGGTTTTTCTTATTTACCTTGTTAATGATATTCTTTACAACCTTGTAGATTTCAGTCATTCCTTCTCAGCCTTTGCTGAGGCCATGCTGTGGCTTTCTAAGCAGCAATACTTCTGATTTCTGGGAACTCGGATGCACCAAATTCTGTCACTGAGTTAAAGAGACTAGACTATCAAGAGCTTCAACACGAAGGTGTAAGTTCCAGTTCGAGACCAAGTCTGAAGGTCTTGACCTCACCAAGACCCATGTCCCAGCTTGAAGACAGCCAGACAGAGAATTAATTCTTCCTTACTGCCTTAGGTTCTATTCAGGCCTTCAACTGGTTGAATGAGGTCCACTTACACTGAGGTGAAGAATCTGATTTATTTAGTCTACTGATTTAAATATTAATTTCATCTGGAAATATCCTTACAGATACACCTAGAATAATGTTTAACTAAAGATCTGGACACCCTTTAGTCCAGTTAAGTTGACACATAAAATTAACCATTGTAGGTAGGTAGGTAGATAAATAGATAGATGATAGATAGATAGATAGATAGATAGATAGATAAGATAGATTTTCCTACTGGCATGTTTCACCATTTTCTTGACTCACATATTCTGGTTTCCATCTGGCTCCTTCGGTCTGTGCTCTCCTCACTGAAGTAAGGCCTTTAATGATTACTTCATTATAAGTCCATGAGTAATATGGTTTGGCTACGTCCCCAACCAAATCTCATCTTGAATTGTAGTTCCCATAATCCCCACGTGTTGTGGGAGGGACCTGGTGAGAGGTAATTGAATCATGGGGTTGGTTTCCTCCATGCTATTCTCATGATACTGAGTAAGTTCTCATGAGATCTGATGGTTTTATAAGAGGTGTCCCCCTTCACTTGGCTCTCATTTTTCTCCTTCCTGCTGCCATATGAAGAAGGATGTGTTTGCTTCCCCTTCCACCACGACTGTAAGTTTCCTGAGGCCTCGCCAGCCATGCTAAACTGTGAGTCAATTAAATCTCTTTCCTCTATAAATTACTCAGTCTCAGGTATATCTTCATAGCAGTGTGAGAATGGACTAATACTTTGGGTATTACACTTTTTAGATTTTACGTATTTGAAAAAGCACTTGCTTTTTATACCTGAATAAAGTTTATTTGTTCACAGAAAAAAAAAAGAGCTTCAACTCAAGATGCTTTTTATACTCAGCCTTAATTCCCCTTCACTTCCTATTAAACTAAGCACAGAGCAGAATCTGGGTATCTTTGCTGTTGCCTCTTCTGCCTTCAAACATGATTTACCACCCACAGACTTGCCTATGCTGTCAAATCTTTTTTAAAAAAATACATTATCTCTAATAATGTTAAGTGCATTTTTCTTTACTCCCAGTTGGCATCACTTACATGATTGTGGCCTGAAGACCATCGTCTCACTTTCGTAGGATAGTTAGACAGTTTTTCAATAGCACCGATCCTTTCTACATTAAAAGTTAAGTGGAAAGTTTAGGTTCTCAGCGGTTCAAATGCTCTCTCTCATTACTATTTACAGGATTAAACACGTGCATAATTTTCTAAAATTCTATTTCAAATAAATAGCATAAAAACCACATTATTACTTTATTGTCAATTAAATATATTTTTTGGCATTTTTATATCCTGAGTATAAAACTGTATGTACATTGCTCAAAAACTGGGGGGAGAGAGTAGAATGCCGATTATTACTAGACTTTACCCCTTTTCCCAATTTGTACTTCCTTCTACCCTCAGACATTCCCCAGGTTAGCTCTTTGTTTCTTGAAGTGGTTTGAAAATGCCATTCCTCAAGTGAGAAATCAAATCGTCTTAGACTTGGATGACCTCACTAGCTTGAGTTGAAAAGAGAACAGGACTTTCTGAGTTAGTTGTGATAATTAAAAAATATATACACATGAGCTTTTTATTTTAAAACTCATAGTCCACTAATAAAAGTTGTTGAGCTGAGAGGACTGGCTTGAGTAAGTGTGATCTGAAAAGGCAGTTTAGTCATTTCAATGTACAGAGGTATTTCAAATGTGCAGAAGGGTCCACACACACTCTAAATTGGTTTATACTGTTAGTTATATGGTGTCATCTCCAAAGCAAAGCTAACTTTAGCCCAGTTCTGTTTGGATTATATAACAGATTTATTTTCATAAAATGTTTATATACTGAAATATATAAACATTTTTATACATTAAAGTGTAGAAAGTGTATTCATCTTAAATGTCCAGTCTGATCAGCTTTTAGATATGTAGCACACCCATATTAAGATTTTTAATTCGTGGAATTGGAGATTTAGGGTATTACTGAAAGCCCCTTTGTCTACGGCAAGTTAACTATTTATTTCAGGTTGGTGGTGTTGAGCATTGACTTCATCATGCTATATGTACCTGAAGCATGAATGAATGTACTGTTAAAAAAGAATATATCATGAACACATCCAGCCACGCTGATTGACCAGGCAGCCTGTTTAATAGTTATCCATACTTATTTTATGCTTATTTCTAAAATGGTCCTTCATTCTCTTCATGTATAGTTTCAAATTTGTGATGAATATACTGATGGTTGTTAAGGTTTTCCTGCCTCTAGAGTTTATTATGTTTATCATAAATAAACATAATAAATTTCTTAACCTCAGCACTATTGCCATTTGGGCTGGATAATTCTTTACCGGGGGAGGGCTGTTCTGTGCATTGTAGGATATGTCCCCGAGGGGGCAAGATCACCCACTGTGGAGAACTACTGGTGCAGGCCATGAGAAGAGGACCAGGCTACTATAGCACTGTTTACTTGTGAACAGGCAAACACAAGATCCTCTTATGAGGAACGGGCAAAACCATAATCATCACCACCACAACCACCACAAGAGCAACACAAACAACACATAACAAACAAACAAAACCAAGAGTTACTCTTTACTGAGAGCTAACTGTCTGCCGGACCATGTGCATAGCTTATTCCTAATTCTCACAACAAGGAAGTTTATTTTTTTCCAACATCATGAGTAAAGAAATTCTGAGAGAGGCCGGGCGCAGTGGCTCATGCCTGTAATCCCAGCACTTTGGGAGGCCGAGGCGGGCAGATCACGAGGTCGGGAGATCGAGACCATCCTGGCTAACACGTTGAAACCCTGTCTTTACTAAAAATACAAAAAATTAGTGGGCGTGGTGGCATGTGCCTGCAGTCCCAGCTACTCGGGTGGCTGAGGCAGGAGAATTGCTTGAATCTGGGAGGTGGAGGTTGCAGTAAGCCAAGATTGCGCCACTGCACTCCAGTCTGGGCGACAGAGAGAGACTCCATCTCAAAAAAAAAAGAAAAGGAAACTCTGAGAGGTTAAATGGCTTATTCAGATTACTCAAGTTGTAGATGGAGGAACAGTCATTTACATTTTGGTCTGTCAGATCCCAAAAAGCTGGTGTTTGGTCCCATCCACAATGCAGCTTCCAAAGCCTGTACCAAACGTAAGATGCTTTGTCCAAAGGACTCATTTTTGCCTCCCTATTAGTAAAACGGGAGTAGGGGGAAACTACAAATAGAAAAGGCCTGCAAGTTTGAGTCAGAATTATTTTGTAGCATGCAGGTTTGCTGGACTTAAATCATCTACTTGATTAAAGTATGCCTGCCAAATGGAAGCTTACTGAAGAAATATGGAGACCCAACAACTTCTCTGTCAATATATTTAGGTTGCCAGAAAAGCTCTTGCAGGCCTGGAAATGACTCTTCTTCTGGCTTGTCCCAGTACTTGTCACTTCCCTCCTGGGTTTTAGAAATGGCAGTCACTTGGAGTTGCTTAAGCAAAGTAATTCTCCTTTGCTTAAAACTAGTCTTTGACTTGCAGATAAATGAGCTAAGATGTGAATATCTGTGACATGCATCTCTTAACATTTTTACTAGAGCAGTGTTCATAAATGATTCTGAAAATACACATTTGATAATGCTTTTATCAAATGAGTAACAATGCTCTTTTGTAGGTGTAAGGCATATGAGGATGAAAGAGATTCACAAGTTGCCTTTTAGCATAAACTCTGTATCATAATTTGTTAAAGAAAAACAATTTTCCCCTTCTTTTCTTACAGTGCTTGTATTTGATGCAGCTATAATATAAAAGGTTATCATATAAATATTTGTAACTATTTGACATGTTCAAATGAAGAACCAGGGAGAAGTGAACAAATTTCTACTAGAATTGACTGAAGGTCCAAATTTACCTCAGGATAGGGCATAAACAAACTCACGGGTTTACAGTGTTTAGTCCAAATCAGTTATTCATGTAAGCATTTCTGCCTTAGTTATAAGATCTTTTAGTAAGTATAAGAATTGCATTTTTTAAGCATTAAATGTTTAGATTTTGCAAAGCTTGGGTTAGTCCCAGGAAGCCAGGCTTACCATATTTTGCTAGTGTAAAAATGATGACTTCATTGGCCGGGCGTGGTGGCTCACGCCTGTAATCCCAGCACTTTGGGAGGCCGAGGTGGGCGGATCATGAGGTCAGGAGATCGAGACCATCCTGGGTAACACAGTGAAACCCTATCTCTACTAAAAATACAAAAAAATTAGCCGGGCATGATGGCTACTTGGGAGGCTAAGGCAGGAAAATGGCGTCAATCTGGGAGGCGGAGCTTGCAGTGAGCCAAGATCACGCCACTGCACTCTAGCCTGGGCGACAGAGCGAGACTCCGTCTCAAAAAAAAAAAAACAAAAACAAAAGACCTCATTTAAATAGATCATTCTACTTAACAATACAACAGTACCTCCAAGCTCAATTAGTGTAATTGTTCTTTTCTGGTGGAGATAAATTTATGTTTGATTCTTAAGCAGTAACATAATTCATTTTGTACTAGCCAATTGCTGATACTTTGTGGATTCAATAATACATTTAACCTTATGCTAAAATGTCTTACTTTTTCTTACATTGAAAGAGGTGCCTGAACTTATGAGATAAAATCATAACCCAAAGATTCAATATATTCTTAGAACTGCTTACATTTAGAGATTATTGAAATTCTTTAAATGACTTGATTATATTTCTTAAGAAATATAAATCAAGCATTCTTAATGCTGTCACACTTTATAACTATATGGAGGCTGGGTGCAGTGCCATGTGCCTGTACTTCCAGCTACATGGGAGGATCACTGGAGTCCAGGAGTTTGAGATCAGCCTGGGCACCACAGGACTCCATCTCAAAAAAAAAAAAGAACCGTGTGGAAAAATGGTTTCCAACACATTAAAATTTAATGCTTTCTTAAAACCAGCAACTTATTTTCTCAGACTATTTTAACTTTTTCTTAGTGATTAGTTTTGTACAATATGGCTATCTGAAATAATAAGGGATTTAAACTTGGGAGATCGAATTTGACTAAACTATTCAAGACTAGACTAGAGAATTTCAATAGAGAAACCAAGTGTGCATAGGACTGATATCTAATCAGTATGTACCAGTAGAGAAGAGCTATGTGCAACATGGTGATTATAGTTAATAGCAATGTATCATATACTGGAAAATTGCTGAGAGAGTAGATTTTAAATATTCTCACCACAAAAAATAAGTATTTGAGGTAATGGATGTGTTAATTAGTTGATTTAGTATTCCACAATGTATACATATAACAAAATATCATGTTGTGTGCCATAAATATATACAATTTGTTTGTCAACTAAAAAGTATGTCCCTTGGAATACACTGGACATATTTATGCTTTTTTGAAAAGTACCAGTAGAGATACAGTGGTTCCCCAGTGGTCCCTCTGCACTGGAGACCCTCTCACAGGATGCCCAGGCCTTTCCCCATGACTGGGCAATTAAAGGCTAATGCACAGCACAAAAGGCAGCTTCCAGGATCCTGACACAGCACTGTGGCTTGCTTCTATTCTAACTGGCCTATCTTCTGCCTTACTTGTCATTGGATATTTTGAATATCACTCCTGGGTGGATCTATATAATAAATAAAGGTCCAAGTGTGTTCTATAACATGAGAAACTGCAACTATGTGTCAATAAAAATTATCAGTACAAGAAAATATTATTTCTCAAGGTTTGATGTCAGATCAAACATCATTTTCTCAGGGACCCCTCTTATTTAAGGCTCCCAGCTATATGTCCCCACAATGTCCTCTATTCTTCCTAACAGTGTCTGTACTTTCTCTGCTTGTATAATGTCTGGTTTTCCCAGCAGACTGTATGCTCCATGAGGATAAGGGCCATGTCTACAGCCCCAGTGGCTAAGTAAAAAGGGCTCAATAAATTTTTGTTGAATATAAATTTAAAAAGCTATTTCCATATAATTTTTCTAAAAAATTATTTCATCATTTGTTACTGAAGTTTTTTCTGGCATTAAAAATACCTTTGGAATTTAGATGGACCACTGTATCTCATTTTGTTATTTAAATTTGGACACAATTTGTTCTTTTCTCGACATGGCTGTTCATTGCACTGCATGTGGTAGTCCCTATTCCTGATTAAAGGATGCCAACCTGGAAATCTTCTTGGCCTTGGAGAACTGAGAACCATAAAATAGTTGAATTGAATGAATACAATAATAATTGAAGGTTCAATTATTATTAGAAGATATCTGAGTCCTAGGATATTAAACCTCAATCTTTCTCATTGTCCTTTCTTTGTAGCAACTCCCCGCAGTCTTTTTTAGAGTCAGTATATGGAACCACAATTCATAGTATCATGGAGACATTTTTCAGTTAATGAGAGAAGGAAGGAAGGATGATGTGAGACTATTTCTACCAAAGATAGGGGTTAGTATTTTTACAAAAATGATTTAAACCATAGTTTTTATAGGACATGGAGTAGAAAGTGCATAATAAAAACAATAGTTGAAAGAGTAAAATCAAGGTGAGAAGAGGTACTGTAGAGACTGAAATATGAGCCAGAGATTTCCTTTTGGGCAAAGAGAAAGTGATGGGAGCACAACTCTAATGGAAGGAGCCATGAGAATGTCCTCAGTTACAGGTTTTGTTTTACTAAGGATGAAATAAACACTATGTAAATAGCTGTTTCTTTTAAATTACCTAGCTCAGAGACAGCAAGCCTAGAAGCCACAAAGGTTATAACACAAATCCAACAGTTTTAAAAATATACAATTAAGTGACATTATATAGAGGCAGGACAGTAGGAAGAAATAAGAGACTCTTGATACTGCTGCTAACTAGCTGTGTTATATCAAGCAAGTCTTCACCTTTCTTGAAGTATTTCCTTAGGTTAGAATATTTAATTTCTAAAGTTTCTTCTAGCTTGAAAATTTCATTATTTTGACTACTGTGATTAGATGAGGCTTAGACAATGGTAAGATAATTTCTTAATTTGTATGCTGCTATGGTCTGAATATTTTGTGACCCTCCAAAATTCATATGTTGAAATATTCCCAACATGTTGGTATTATGAGGTGGAGCCTTTAGAAAGTAACTAGGTCATGAGGGCAGAGCCCTTGTGAATGGGATTAGTGCATTTATGAAAGGCCTGAGGAAAGTTTTTCCCCCTTTTACAATGTGAGGACACAGTGAAAAGGCACCATCTTTGAAGAAGAGAGCTAGCCCTCATCAGAC
The DNA here is from genome assembly GCF_000001405.40 of Homo sapiens. Lineage (NCBI taxonomy): Eukaryota > Metazoa > Chordata > Mammalia > Primates > Hominidae > Homo > Homo sapiens. The sequence continues at coordinate 110,237,975 of NC_000006.12, read as the reverse complement.
ATTGAATCTGCTGGCACCTTGATCTTGGACTTCTCAGCCACCAGAACTGTGAGCAATACATTTCTGTTGTTTATAAATTACCTAGTCTAAGGTATCTTGTTACAGCAGCCTGAATGGATTAAGACAAGTGCTATAAAGGGAAGTCTTCTGATAAATTCAAAAGAATCCAAATGATGTGCTTATGCAGAAAAAGCCCAGATGAAAGGTGAATCCATTATGATGGTTCTCTGGTCATCAAGATGAAGTACCCTTAGGAAAGTACCTTTTAGTATCACACACTTAAACTCACATGGTTCTAAAAATCAGAATGTACGTTTTTTAGACTGCACTAGATTACATTCCTGTTTTTAGATTTTTCCAATAACATGGTGACATCTAAAGATACAAAATACAATCATACATAGATCCCTAGAGATCCTTCCATATATATACATGTATGTGTATATATGTGTTTGTATATATGCGAGTACATACGTGTGTATATGGTATATAAGTATGTGTGTGTATGTGTGTGTGTGTGTATGACTGAATGTCGAAGAAGAAAACATTTTCCAGATACAAAAGCCCAGAGGGAGGGAGCCTAGAGCCAGACAGGTAGACAGGAACCTACACTGTAGTAGCCCTTGGAGTTTAGTTACACTAACTCCAAGGATAGAGTAATGGATAGAGATAGTAATGGATAGAGGCCTAAAGCACAAGATAAGACCTGGTACTGGGGAGAAAGGATTGGGACTAAGGACACCTACAGCAAAGAGGGAGAGGGCTACAACCTCAGTGAAAAATGGACCTAAAAATTCTACATCCACCAGCACAAGGACGCTTATCTCTGCTTATAGCTCTGAGTACAAAGAAAAGTTTTCAAGAGAAATTGAAACCTCAGGCCTGTGCAAGGAGTTGAATAGTTGAATTTATCCTAATCACATGATGAGGAAAACCATAAGCTGAGAAATTAAGATAAAAACTGGTTCTACCTAAAACTATAAACACCCTATAAGAAAACCTAGGAAATATCATTCAGGACATAGGCACGGGCAAAGATTTCATGACGAAGATCCCAAAAGCAATTGCAATAAAAGCAAAAATTGACAAATGGGATCCAATTAAACTAAAGAGCTCTGCGCAGCAAAAGAAACTATCATCAGAGTGAACAGATAATCTACAGAAAGGGAGAAATTTTTGCAATCTATGCATCTGACAAAGGTCTAATATCCAGCATCTATAAGGAACTTAAACAAATTTACAAGAAAAAAACATTAAAAAGTGGGCAAAGGACATGAACAGACACTTCTCAAAAGAAGATATACATGTGGCCAACAAACATGAAAAAAAGCTCAACATCACTGATCATTAGAGAAATGGAAATCAAAACCACAATGAGATACCATCTCACACCAGTCAGAATGGCTATTATTAATAAGTCAAAAAACAACAGATGCTGGCACGGCTGTGGAGAAAAAGCAACACTTTTACACTGTTGGTGAGAGTGTAAATTAGTTCAACCACTGTGGAAGACAGTGTGGCAATTCCTCAAAGACCTAGAGGCAGAAATACCATTCAACTTAGCAATCCCATTACTGGGTATATACCCAAAGAAATATAAATCATTCTGTTATAAAGACACATGCACATGTGTGTTCACTGCAGCACTATTCACAACAGCAAAGACATGGAATCAAGCTAAATGCCCATCAATGATAAGCTGGATAAAGAAAATGTGGTACATATACACCATGAAATACTATGCAGCCATAAAAAGGAATGAGATCATGTCCTTTGCAGGGACATGGATGGAGTTGGAGGCCATTATCCTTCGCAAACTAACACAGGAACAGAAAACCAAACACTGTATGTTCTCACTTCTAAGTGGGAGCTAAGTGATGAGAATATATGGACACAGAGGGAAACAACACACACTGGGGCCTGTTGGAAGGTGGGGGATGGGAGGAGGGAGAGGATCAGGAAGAATAATGGATGCTGGGCTTAATACCTGGGTAACAGGATGATCTTTGCAGCAAACCACCATGGCACACATTTACCCATGTAACAAACCTGAACATCCAGCACATGTACCCTTGAACTTAAAAGTTGGAAATTAAAACAAACAGGCTCTAGGGGTGATACCTCAGGGGTGTATGGCAGAAGCAGATGCAAAGCCACTCTAAAAGGACTTTTCACCAATCCAGGCTACAAAGGATTTCCTTAGAAAAACAAAACCCATAATAAAATATTAGAACGGACAAGGAAATAAACAGTCCCCCATGAGGTAGAGTTAGCAGACACAATAAACCACGTGGTTTTCAGCCCAAGAACTTGACATAACAGAATAACAATCTTAAAGAAAGTATAATATACATGATTTATCATGATTAAAGGCATAAAGGACTATATATGAGCCATAAGAAAATACGACACTGTGAAAAAGAACAGGTAAATATAAAAAAGTACAAATACACCTTCCAGAAAAGAAAAACAGCCATGGAAATAAGAAGTTTAATGGAACAATGGCACCCTGGACACAACTACAGAGACGTAAAATGAACTGGAGGCGGGCGCAGTGGCTCACGCCTGTAATCCCAGCACTTTGGGAGGCCAAGGCGGGCGGATCATGAGGTCAGCAGATCGAGACCATCCTGGCTAACACAGTGAAACCCCATCTCTACTAAAAATACAAAAAATTAGCCGGGCGCGGTGGCGGGCGCCTGTTGTCCCAGCTACTTGGGAGGCTGAGGCAGGAGAATGGCGTGAACCCGGGAGGCGGAGCTTGCAGTGAGCCGAGATCCAGCCACCGCACTCCAGCCTGGGCGACAGAGCGAGACTCTGTCTCAAAAAAAAAAAAAAAAAAAAAAAAAAAACCTGGAAGACAGGCCTGAGGAAATTACCCAAAATGTAGCAAGAAAAATATGAGCATTTGTATTTTTTATATGAGATATTTTACGATCAGATTGAACCTTACAATATTTTTCAGAAGATGAGGCAGTATACTGAATATCTGAGCCACTCTTATGTAAAATGTGGTACTATAACTGTACTGTGCAATATGGCAGCCTCTAGAGGCATATTGCTACTGAGCACTTAAAACTGTGGTTAACTGAGAAACTAAATTTTAAATTACATTTACTTTTAATTAATTTAAATTAAAATATACAGTCACATACCACATAATAACCTTTCGCTCAGTGACAGACCACCATATGATGGTGGTCCCCTAAGATTATAATGGAACTATGCAATGGAGTAGGCTATACCACCTAGGTTTGGTACATACGTTAACTCTATGATGTTCGGACAACAATGACATCACCTAATGACACATTTCTTAGAACGTATCCCCATTGTTAAGCAACACGTGACTGCACTTGATTTTGTTATTGGAAAACTTCTAAGTATGTTTGAAACAATTTGGGCATGTAAATCTACTTTGTATGAAAGATAAAATACTTTGATGAAAATGTAGTGTCTGAATTGAGATGTGCTGTAAGTGTAAAATATATACCAGATTTCAGACTCCATATGAAAAAAGTAAAATATTAATTTTTAAAATAATTGAGTACATCTTCAGATAAAATTTTGGATATGTTAAAATATATTATTAAGTCCCTTTTAAACCTGGCTATTAGAAAATTTAAAATCACATATATGACTGACATATATCTATTGGACAGAAGTATATTAAAACAAATAAAACATGGAGATCTGAGTTGCTCCCCCAGACCTAAAAAGCTGGAGGCTGGAGAGTGGGGAATGAAAGAAACTCATTTGATGACAGCTATTGCAGATGTAAGAAGCTGTAGAATCAAGAGTTTCACTTTCACTTACTGTCACTAAAAATAGTCACTCTAAGGGTGCTGGCTGCAAGTCTGTGACTTCTTTTAAGTTCCAGATAAAATTGCAATTAGGTTTAGAAAGTTGTTTCCACAATTATTAAAGTGACTATGAATATGGAACATGTACACATATACTATGTGCATACATTATACACACATATACATGCACATACACATGTGTACAGTGCATATTTTTGACCAGCTAAATTTCTCTTTGACTTTACATGTCCCACATAGTCTAGTTTCCCAAATGCCCAAGATAAATTTGGGACTCTACCTCAGTGCTTCTCATTTGGGGATCTTGCTAAAAGTGCTGACTTTGATTTGAAGATCTGAGTTGGGAACAAAAATTCTACATTAAAAAAAAGCTGGCCGGGTACGGTGGCTCATGCCTGTAATCCCAGCACTTTGGGAGGCTGAGGAGGGCAGATCACCTGAGGTCAGGAGTTCGAGACCAGCCTGACCAACATGGAGAAACCCCATCTCTACTAAAAATACAAAACTAGCTGGGCTGTGGTGGCGCATGCCTGTAATCCCAGCTACTCGGGAGGCTGAGGCAGGAGAATCGCTTGAACTCGGGAGGCAGAGGTTGTGGTGATCTGAGATCGCACCATTGCACTCCAGCCTGGGCAACAAGAGTGAAACTGTCTCAAAAAAAAAAAAAAAAAAAAAGCTTTCTAGTGATTATTTGTGTGTCTACATATATATATAAATATATATTTTTAATTTGAATCTTCAGTTAGTTCGTTCATTTTACTCAGTGATCAAAGAAACATTTCATAACCTGAATTTTGAGCCCAGTGCTGCAACAGACACTTTCCTCCCATTGGATCTTCTCTTCTTCTCAGGCCCTTCGTACTTGCCTTGTTTTTACTGTATTTCATCAATTATTTTATGATATACTAAGAAAAAATTAAATGCTGCCCATTAAACTAGGACATTCATTTATTTTAACTAGAGCCCTATTCAAAAATGTCAAAATGTGAAAAATATGCATCTGTGATGATACATGGAATCAGTTTCCCCAGGTCTCACTTTGAGACCCACATTTAATACTGCTGAAGGATACTGGGTGCCTGGATGCCACTTTATACCCCTTCCCATACCTGAATTCACAATGGCTCCCCCAAATAATTCCTACTTTTTTCTGAATTCTACATCTCAGTAAGCAACGCAACCCCTAGGTAATTCAGATGCAGAGGTTCTCAGTCCATACCCTGAGAAACAATGTTCTCCAAGAAAAGTCTCTATAATTGTTCCCAGTGTTGTGATATTTATGGTTACCATCTAAGGGTTTGCTATTTCAAAGTCAATGTTTTCTTACAGGTATTTTATAAATATACCAAGGATACCAGGCAGCCCCACAATGTAGCCTCAAGAACTACTTAGAAATGTGGCTGTGTAACACTACTCCCGTTTTTTAATCTTAAAATTTGTTCCTTGTTTAGGACAAAATATTTCCAGCTTGTGACTCAATATTTAAATATTCATTCCAGTAAATATTTCACTAAAGCATCACTTTTATCGTAACTTTTAGGAAGGAAATCTGTCCTGGATATGACAAAAAGGCTGCAATAAGGAAAAGGAGCCAGATGGTAACCACCTAAGTCCAGTAACAATGTGATCTTGAGACTTTTTATGCTGAAATATAACCCCACTCATTTATGTACTCTAAAATGTTGTGTAGTCATGACTTAGTGCCACCACTAAATGAATATGGAATGTGTTAATGTGCTCTGAGGGTACTGCCATGTATTTTATTATATAATTATAAACCCACTGATATACCTGAATAAACCACATCCACCTCTAAAGCATTATTTCTCTCCATATGACCCATTTAAAACTGCAAATGGCTTAATCTAGTGTCTCAATACACTTAAGACTCAAAAGGAGACTAAAGATGAACAAGATGAACATTTTGATAGCACTTTCTACAAAAAATGCTTTATTTAAAAATATGATCTTTTTAAAAAGGAGACTTTTATACACACTTACTTTAGAAACAGTCAAAAACACAACAGAATCAATCCAGATTTAGAAATGATGATTTGTAACATACAATATTGGTATGCTGAACAAGACAGTTTAAATGTATGATTCTTTTTGTCCCTTCACATTTCAATAATTCACATTTGTTAAAACTAGTGGTTGGGACTAAAGAAAAGGTCATATCTGAATCCTTTCCCCTTCAGAAATCTGTCACCCTTCTGGGCAGTTACAGAAATGGCAGCAGCTAGGCAATGTTTGTATTTCTTTGGGTGCCTCTGTGTCAAAAAATATATCTCCGCTTTTATTCTTTTTCTATGAAATTTATATTTATGTGGCTATAGGGCCTGGTCGTATGTCCCACGCCTTTTAAAATCTAAATTTCTAAAAACAGACACTCCGTAAGGGCAAGGAGCATACACTGCTATGACCTCACTGGACTCAGAGCTTAATGCTCTTAGGTTATCAGCAAGAGACATGATTTTGATCTTCCAGTTAGCACTCCAAGCTGCTATCAACCAACCTTTTTCAGCACGGTAGTGAAATATTTCAAACCATATTCAAACATCTAATATAGATTTATAATAAAACAGGAAAAATGGCTTGCCAAATTAAAGTGCTATGAGCTATTACATTCAAGAGGTTATCTTGATTTTATTTTTTGAGGTGGAGTCTCGCTCTGTCGCCCAGGCTGGAGTGCAGTGGCATGATCTCAGCTCACTGCAACCTCCACTCCTGGGTTCAAGCAATTCTCCCTGCCTCAGCCTTCTGAGTAGCTGGAATTACAGGCGCCAGCCACCAAGCCTGGCTAATTTTTGTGTTTTTAGTAGAGACGGGGTTTCACTATGTTGGCCAGGCTGGTCTTGAACTCCTGACCTCAGGTGATTCACCTGCCTCAGCCTCCCAAAGTGCTGGGATTACAGGCATGTGCCACCGCGTCCGGACTATCTTGATTTTATAATCTGATGTTTTCAAAAACTATTTTTCACCATGGCCACTGCTTCTCAAACTGGGGAACCCTAGCCATCTTCCAGGAGTGTCATTTTTTTTTTCAGACATAGAGGTTTAAAAATTTTTTAATCTTAAAAAGTTCTGTTGTATATATTCACAGGTAAAATAAGAATAATTTTAAAGATAAAACATATGACTTCAAAGAAATTACAAGTTGACATCTTGGACTCTACCCCTCGTACTTTATCTCCTATGAGGAGGATTTCAGTAATCACAGCTGCGAAGCAATGACCTAGGAGATCCTGATTTCTCAAAGCGTAGCCAGGTCTTTACTGACAGTGAATGTAAATACAATTCAAAGTCTTGGTGCATTCTCCTGAGCTCCATCTTCAGATATAATGTAATTCTCTGATTAAATATATATAGTCCTGTCTATACTGATCAGGAATTAAGTCAACAAAAGAACTCTGGACTGATTTTGATTTTTCACTGTTTATAATTAGAGGAATGCTACAGTTAAAGATTACTGCTTTACAACTAAAAATATACAACATATATCATCAAAGGGAGTGGAACTCATGAAGCCAAAAGATTAAAACTTGACCCAGTGAAAATAATAGGGAGAGTAACTGTGGGTGATTTTATCCTTCTTCCAAATTTACATTAAAATATATTATCCCTATTCTTTACTGCCCTTTTGGTTGAAGAGGTAAATACATGCATTTTTCTGAATAATTAATTATAACACCTCCTCTAGAATCCCAAATCCACTAGGGATTCTTTCTTGACCCCAAAGAGATGCTTTCAGTATGTCATGAGTATAAACTCAAACTGCTTGCCAATTATAACTACTTGTCAAATAGAAAGTCAATAGCCACTTTCTGTATAAATAACATTTATAAAAAACAAAATGAAGTTGCAAATGAAATTATGTCAAATTTACAGTTTCTTTTTTTAAACAAAGGGTCAATGTCATCAACATTATCTGTAAATCAAGTTATCATCAGATACATTTAATAATTAAATATAAATATGACAATGGATCAAAAATGATCCCAGCTAGTTTAAGGATTAATCTCATTAATCCCACAATTTAATGAGACCATCCCAACCACATGTTATGACCTTAGAAGTTTCATGAGGATGCCACACTGCACCTATACACACTTTATCATGAGCTTTAAATCGACTGTAGAGTTTTGTGGTCTTCCAGTCCCAAATGTTTAATTTTCCATTTCCATCTCCTGAAATCACATAACTATAATGGGAAGAAAGATAAATTCAAATTATTAAAATACCTTAAATTGGTAAGGCGAATGAGGAATAGGGACGTTATCTTTTCACGTTAACATTAAAAAAAAAATCCAATGCAAATATACAATACTCAGAATAAGATGGTAGAACATGAAGCAGTCTATAATTTGAAATTCTATTAAAAAAACCTCCCAACCAATCTAAGAGTAGAAAATTATTTTTAACTGGGAAGACTGGGAGTCCCAGGAGCCACAGTGAATGAGGTTACACAATCAGTCTCTAGATAGTCAGAAACAGAGACTGGAGAACCAATTCCACATATAGCTAGGGAACACCTTTAGATCTATTCTATCACAGTAGGCTCTAACACTTTCATAATTACTTTTTGGCTTTAATATCTTTTGAATACATCTAAGACTGAATCAGAGGTAGGCCCAATTACTAGGCTAAACAAACAAAGTTACTGGGATTTCTAAATTACTTCTGCCTATACATTTTAACTAAGAACCATGCTGTAGGCTTCACAAATCCAGTGTGACCTAGAAATATTCAAAAGCTGGATTTGAGGTTTCAGCACAGACAAGCTGTAGTGAAGCTGTAACTGCAACACTGTAATACACAATTAATTCTTCTGGTGTTCATTCAATCATAGCAATACAGTGATTATAGCACTTCTAGTCTTGCTTAGAAAAGCAGAGAAAATAAGGCATTGGTTATATAGACAGGGATTTATTAGGTGGCTAAAGGGCATAAGCCTAAGTAATAGAAGGGAATATACTGAAGCAAGAACCTAAAAAAAGCAAAATGTAATTTTCCTAATTTGTTCTTGCCTTTATATCCAGCATTTTGACAATTTTGACAGATCATCGAGTTCTCATAAAAACATATTATGTGAGAGTGATGTGTCAAGTGTTATTTGTACAACAACAGTTTATATAATCATATTTGAATACGAGAATGGATTAGAAGATTTAAACTTACCTCATGTCTGGTGAAAAGTCCACCTGACAAGCATAGCCTGCTACCATATGGCCCTTAAAAATTTTTTTCTTATTTAATCTAAATCTGTTCTGTGCTCCAAAAATTAAGATTTGGTTGTCCATTGATTGGCATGCTAGCCATTTTCCTGTAAATTCAATAAATGAGGTATTTTAGAGGAAGACTAAAACAATTTTTAAAACTTTTTATTTTAAATATGTTCACTGTGATTAATATAAGTTTTGCTCCCAAATACTTTATAATACTAAAAAATAAATTTACTATACCACCTGTAAAATGTTATAAATATGTCACTGGCAAGAGGTATTAATATATAAACTAATGGCTTTTGCATATACGATCCTATATCATTGAGCACTCTCATATAAAAGTTTTTAAAAAAATAAGGAAATATAGAAATTCCAAGCTTAATGTTAAAGAAATAAGCTAAAAGTTGTGAAATGAAATTAATTTATAGTAAGTATAGACAACAGAACTATGGGAAATAGGAGAAAGAGACTTATCTGTGGTAATTACAGAATAAAGAAAGATTAAGGGGTGAGAAAGCCTAGGGTTATTAAATAAAACTATACAAAAAAAGATATATTAAAAATTATAGTAACTTTTTAAAAGGCTACAATGCTTTTCTCTACTTAGGATTCATCAAAGCCCCTAGAGCCTAAACTGCAGCGTCTATAGTCATGCACCACTTAACAATGTTTTGGTCAATGATGGACCGCACGTATGACAGTGGTCCCATAAGATTATAGTGCTAAATTTTAACTGTACCTTTTCTATGCTGAGATTTTACTGTACCTTTTCTATGTTTAGATACACAAATGCTTACCACTGACTACATTATTCAGAACAGCAACATGCCATACAGGGGTAAAGCCTAGGAGCAACAGGCTATACCATACAGCCTAGGGTAAGTAGACTATACCATCTAGGTTTGTGTAAGTACTCTGTGTGATGTTCACAAAATGACAAAATCACCTAACACTGCATTTCTCAGAAGTACCCTTGTTGTTAGGAATGCATGACTATACTTGCATCCTATATATAGTCATCCCTTGGTATCTGTTGGGAATTGGTTCCAGGATCTGCACCCCTACCCAATACCAAAATTCACAGATGCTCAAGTCCCTTATATAAAATGGCATAGTATTTGCATATAACCTACATATCTCCTGTATACATTAAATCACCTCTCGATTACTTATAATGCCTAATGCAACGTAAATGCTTTGTACCTAGTTGTTATGCTGTGTTGTTTTTAATTGTTGTATTGTTATTTTTTATTGTTTATTTTGTTGAATATTCTGGATTCGTGCTGGTTGAATCCCAGGATATGGTGCTCATGGATACAAAGGGCCAACTGTACATGTAAACATTACTTACTAAGGAAACAGACTTAAATAATGCCTGAGTGGGTAAATGGCCTTGTTCAAGATGGGCACAAAATCTGTAATAGGTGGTTTAAAAATACGCTACATGAAATATAGATGCACAGTGACGAAGTATATAATCTAGCAATGATCAAAAAAAGGTTCAGTTAGGTTTCTCTTCTCATAAAAATGATAGAGCATTTGACAACTATTACCATTTGCTTGTGTCAGAGGCCCTGATGGAACAGCAAATTCTTCCTTGCCCTACACTTGGAGTTAATTATGTGAATTGACAGTGGTTTCAATGACAAGGTCCCCCAAACATCAGAACTCCCACTTTAAGACTCTCATGTAAAGCTATAATTACATCAGTATATTGTCAGTATATCTGTAGCACAAATTATCTTGTACGTAAAAGACAATGGATTAAACAATATTAAATAGATTTATCTTCTTAATTTTTGCCTGAGAAAATCTTTTATAGTGAATTGCTAAAGTGTTCTCTCATTATGGAGAATCAGACCAAAACTTCCTATCCCCTGAAAGAGTTTACAGTAAATCACTATTACTATTTTTTTTTTTAGAGAGAAGGGTCTTGCTCTGTTGCCCAGGCTGGAGTACAGTCACATGATCATAGTCAATCTCCTGGCTCAACCAAACTGCCCATCTCAGCCTGACCAAGTAGCTAGGGCTACAAATGTGCACCACCATGCCAGCTGATTTTTAAAATTTTATTTTGTAGAGATGAGGTCTCTCTATGTTGCCCAGGCTAGTCTCAAACTCTTGGGTTCAAGTGATTCTTCTGCCTTGGCCAAATCATTATTAAATGATTTACTGAACGTGATTCTGTTTGGAAGGAGAATTAGAAAAGAAAACTCTGGCCGGGCATAGTGGCTTAGGCCTGTAATCCCAGCACCTTGGGAGGCTGAGGAGGGAAGATCACTTGAGCCCAGGAGTTTGAGACTAGCCTGGGCAACAAAGGGAGACCCTGTCTCGAAAAGAAGAAAAGAAAAGAAAAGAGGGGAGGGGAGAGGAGAGGAGGGGAGAGGAGGGGAAAAGAAAAAAGAAAAGAAAACTGATTGTTAAATAAAAATCTGATGTTCAATCAATGTTAGCTGTAAATCATTGTTTCTTTTATTTTTATTTAAAAAGAGACACAGAAAAGTAGGTGAGGTGACTTGCATATGAAAACCAGTAATTCTTTCTAATATTGTAAAGATTACCTTATACAAATAATGGCACAGTGACAAACTTCCCCAAGAAGGAAGGGGCCAAAGTTCTTTTGAATAAAGAAATCACACTGTATCTTAGAAGCTCATTTAAAAATACAATCTACATACTAACTCACCATTTGGAGACAAAGTCACTGCAGGCATTGAGTGCATACTGGGTTCTGCTATGTACTTGAAATCCACAGGGATATCCCTAAAAATTTTAAATAGCATATCAGAATAAGCAACTTTTAAAAAGTACCTTCAGAATTATCTCTGGAACAAAGGAATAATATGCAAATAAAAGCAAACTCTTGATATTATATATTTAATAAATCTTTCATGAAACTTTCTGGAAGAAGAAAAATCACAAGATGACACTGTACTGCTTATGGTAAATCCTGTACTTCATAAATCACTTTCCATGATCATTATAACAGTGGTGGTGATTTTGTTTTCTATTTCATTTAAACTTTGGCCTTTATGTTAAAAAATCTGTTACTGAAAGAAAGTTCTTTAATAATGTACCATGGTGATGGATACACTAAAATCTCAGAATTCACCACTATATAATTCATCCATGTAACCAAAACCCACTTTTACTCCAAAAGCTGTTGAAATAAAACCAAAAATTAAATTAAAAATGTACCATGGTAGGGTGAAGCAAGATGTCTGAGGTAAGCCTATGGGGAAGTGTTATTTACTGGCTAGCCTACCTTAACTTGAGGAGGTGAGAGTGTTAAACAGCCTGCAGCAATGCAGGTGGATGGCAGGCAAAGCTGTAGGGATCTGTGAGCTGATCTAGCCCATCCAGAAATGATGATAAATGATGATAAATAAATGCTTGGTACCTGGACTATCTTCAGTTTACATGTAAAGCATTTCAAATGTGTTTGGTGAAGGAGAAAAAACATAAAAAAAAAAAAAAAACCTCATGTGAGTGATGAAAGAATGAAAAAAAAATTAAAAAGTAGCCACCTAAATTTAGAACCATCAAAAGTTCTAAGTGCCTTTTCATTTTTAATATTCTCCATGCTAAAAATTCTTTTCTGAAAGGAGTTTTCGTCTTGTTGCTTTTCATGAGACCAGAAATATTTTTTTTGTAATCTGATGAATAACACAGATTATACAGCAGCAATTTCAATTTCAAACCCTGTTTCAAGTTCCAATACTTTGATTAACTGGAAAATAATAGTAATTTGCCTTAATATAAGGATTTTCTCTATTTATCCATCCATCCAGCAGAAGGAGGAAATGACTAGAAAAAACTTCTATCAGGGTCATGGTCAGAGGAAAACATTTTCAGGTATAACCTGGGGAATAACATCATTTGTCAGATCTCCAACCCTTTATACCTCTATGGTACCAATGAGAACTGACATTTATAATGAACCAAAAGTATTAAAAAGAGCTGCAAATGAAAAAAGGCTTGTTTCTTCCCTCCTCGTATTGTTAGTGGTTAATAATTTTACAACATGAATTAAAACATGAGAATTTTCTAAATTAAGCATAGTCCAGGTTCATATTGATCAATGTGTTAACAAAAGTAAACAAAAATATTCAAATGGATACCTTATTTCAAGGAATCTTCATACCAGGAGCTGTGGAAGAAGAATTTGAACTACCCGGTGGACTTCATTATTTCTAGCAAAAATGCCTGCTAGGCATAGTTATATTTAATAAACACAACATGGCTGGGCGTAGTGGGTCACATCTGTAATCCCAGCACTTTGGGAGGCCAAGGTGGGTGGATCACCTGAGGTCAGGAGTTTGAGACCAGCCTGGCCAACATAGCAAAACCCCATCTCTACTAAAAATACAAAAATTAGCCGGGTGTGGTGGCACATGCCTGTAATCCCAGCTACTTGGGAGGCTGAGGCAGGAGAATTGCTTGAAGCCAGGAGGTGGAGGCTGCAATGAGCCGAGATCATGCCATTGTACTTGACACTCTAGCCTGGGTGACAGAGCAAGACTCCATCACAAAAATAAATAAATAAACAAACAAACAAACACAGCACTAATTGGATACTGTAATTCAGTATAATAAGCTAGTAACTCATATCTTGCAAATAATCTCCAGTTTAAAAATGAATTCACGAAAAAAACCTAATAAAAGTCTGAATTTTTAAAGCTAAATGATAAACAGTAGTGTCAACTTCTATAAAATTTTATTTAAAAAATATTTTACCAAAATAAATGCCTTCTGGAAAAAACATGCCTATGATATTTCATGCATTTGGTCGATTAAAATACCACAAGTTGGCCGGGTGCAGTGTAATCCCAGCACTTTGGGAGGCTGAGGCGGGTAGATCACAAGGTCAAGAGATCGAGACCATCCTGGCCAACATGGTGAAACCCCGTTTCTACTAAAAATACAAAAATTAGCTGAGCATGGTGGCGCATTACTGTAGTCCCAGCTACTCGGGAGGCTAAGGCAGGAGAATCGCTTGAACCCAGGAGGTGGAGGTTGCAGTGAGCCAAGATTGTGCCACTGCACTCCAGCCTGGGTGACAGAGCGAGACTCTGTCTCAAACAAAACAAAACAAAACAAAACAAAACAAAACAAAACAAAACAAAACCCTACAAGTTGCTGAATATCTAATATAGCTTTTATTCTCCTTTAGAACATAAGAGTTAGTTTGTGTAGTATTATTTAAGAAAGCCGTTTCCTTTGTTTTCTTTTATCATTATGGTACTCTAAGCAGGTACAAAGTATAAAAGTTTGGCAAACACCACTTGTCTGAAGGCCCCAGTGTTGCTAATTTTCCCATAGAGGAGGTCAGCTGTCACTTTGAGGAGGTCAGGGCCTCCCTTCCTCTCCTAAGCAAGTGGCCAGTATCACTAGTAATTGCTCTTTGGGATGATTTATGCAGTGAAGCACAGTTCCGGGGATCCTGAGTTGGTTTTGCTTCCTATTTATCTTTGTAGCAGGACAGACCCTCACATTTATTACTTTCTCACTAATCAAATCAAATACAAGTTATTAATTAATACCTTCTCTCCTTACCAGTCCCCTCATTCATCTAACCATCCATTCATATGATCAAGAATTCAAGCTTTGTGAGGCCAGGAGTTTGTGACCAGCCCAGCAAACAGAGTGAGACCCTATTCTTACAAAAAATTTAAAAATTAGCCAGGCGTGGTGGCACGCACCTGTAGTCCTAGTCACTCAGGAGTCTAAGGCAGGACGATCGCTTGAGCCCAGGAGTTCAAGGCTGCAGTGAGCAATGACTGCACCACTACATTCTAGTCTAGGCAACAGAGTGAGATCCTGTCTCTTAAAAACAAAAAACAAAAACAAGCTTTGGAATCAGTTTGATCAGAGTGTGAACTCTGGCCCTTTCGTGTCCTGTATAACCTTGGGCAAATTACTTAAACTATCTTATTTCCTTATACATAAAATGGGAATAACAAATGTACCTATCTTATAAGATTGCTTTGCACACTAAATCAGATAGTTCACGTGAAATGCTTAGGATAGTGACTGGCATATAGAAAGAGCTCAATCAGTGTAACATCATTGATAATTACACCAATAATGACTTCTTTACAGATTCAGCACTATTGTGTGCCAGGCACTGTGCTGGGAACAGACAGTAAGCATGACTCACACTGTTCTTTCTCTCATGGTTAAGAACTTGTCAGGAAAGAGAACAAATAAACAAGTACTTGAAGTATGCTAAAAACTGTGGAAAGCCAATGACAGTGTGGGACGATGGAGAGGAGGCACCTAATCTCATCTGTGGGCTGGTCAGGAAGGCTCTCATAGTAAGGGTTAAACTGAAAACTGTTTTTTGTTGTTGTTGTTTGTTTTTTTTGTTTTTGAGATGGAGTCTCACTCTGTCACCCAGGCTGGAGTGCAATGGCATGATCTCAGCTCACTGCAACCTCCACCTCCCGGGTTCAAGCGATTCTCCTGCCTCAGCCTCCCAAGTAGCTGGGATTACACGCGCCTGCCACCACGCCCAGCTAATTTTTGTATTTTTAGTACAGACGGGGTTTTACCATGTTGGCCAGGCTGGCCTTGAACTCCTGACTTCGTGATCCGCCTGCCTCGGCCTCTCAAAGTGCTGGGATTACAGGCGTGAGCCACTGTGCCCAGCTTTTAATTTTTAATTCTTTTATTAAGATGGGGTCTTGCTCTGTCACCCAAGCTAGAGTGCAGTGGCACAAGCATAGACCACGGCAGCCTTGACCTCCCAGACACAAGCAATCCTCCTGCCTCAGCCTCCCGAGTAGCTGGGACTACAGGCCTGTGCCACCACACTAGCTAATTTTTGTATTTCTTGTAGAGATGGGGTTTTACAATGTTGCCCAGGCTGGTCTCAAACTCCTGGGTTCAAGTGATCCACCCAACTCAGCCTCTCAAAGTGCTGGAATTACAGGCATCAGCCACTGCACCCAGCCAAGTTACAGTAAAATCTAAAGAATGTCATCATTTGTAACAAAACAGTATCATGACTTTTTAGGAGTATTTCCTAAGATCTGAGAGGAAATGAAAAAAAAAAAAAAAAAGAAACATACTAACATTATCTGCTAGTTTAATAAAAATTCTTTCCTGACCAATGTTTTACTTCAGAATACCCACATACACATGTCCTTAAGCCCTGTAATTGCTCAATTATTTAAATATTTACCAACTTCTTTTATACCACTCTATATTTAAAATTGAAAATATCTGAAGGTAGAAACATCAGAAAGTTTGAGTATGATCAACCTGTTAAAGTATATAAAACAAAACAGAACATGTATATGCATCCAGAGTTTGTGCAAGTGATCTAAGGTGGCTCATATAAAACTTGGGGTCCATATTAGATTCTCTGTAAAAAAATATTTCTGAATTAAGAAAGATCTTAGCTGTAAGGTACCCTCTAACATGGGCTATATATTAAGACTACTCTCTACTAATTGGGGATAATCTGAAGGGGTATAGTGGTGGTGGTGGTGAGTGTGGGAGAAACTACAATTAAATTACATTAAATGCTCAGTCACCCAGATTGTCCTGACAATGGTTAGGGACCTGCTGAGGTCCCCAAAGGGACTTAAGTATAAAGAGGAAACCACTGGCTGTGATTCAAGGCTTTCCACTTGTTAAAGCAGAAAAGCTTCTGGGGATGGAAAGACACACTTTTTAGTCTTTGCTAGGAGGACTCATGGTTGAGCTGTGCTTCATAACTGACTGTAAAAACATGGCGGCTTCCATCCAATCATTCGTTTTAACAAAAAGGTTAGTAAGCATTTTTTTTGCAACTAAATTATAGAACACACTATGATATGTAATGAAACTAGTATATTGCTTAACTTTAGAAAAATATTTTTTCCCTAGTAAAGTACAATTAACCAATATAATATGACTATATTCCATAAGTAAAACATTTGTACCAGAGTCATGATATGGGGTGATATGGTTTGGTTCTGTGTCCCATCCCAAATCTTATCTTGAATTGTACTCCCATAATTCCCATGTATTGTGGGAGGGACCCTGTGGGAGATAACTGAATCACGGGGACAGTTTCTACCATACTGTTCTTGCGTGGTAGTAAGTCACATGAGATCTGATGGTTTTATAAAGTGAAACCCCTTTCACTTGGCTCTCATTCCCTCTCTTGCTGCCGCCATGTAAGAAGTGCCTTTCTGGCTGGGTGCAGTGGCTCACGCCTGTAATCCCAGCACTTTGGGAGGCCAAGGTGGGCGGATCATAAGGTCAGGAAATCGAGACCATCCTGGCTAACACAGTGAAACCCCATCTCTACTAAAAAATACAAAAAATTAGCCGGGCGTGGTGGCGGGCGCCTGTAGTCCCAGCTACTTGGGAGGCTGAGGCAGGACAATGGCGTGAACCCGGGAGGCGGAGCTTGCAGTGAGCTGAGATTGCGCCACTGCAGCCTGGGTGGCACAGCAAGAATCCGTCTCAAAAAAAAAAAAAAAAAAAAAAAAGTGCCTTTCTCCTTCATCAATGATTGTGGGGCCTCCCTAGCCATGTGGAACTTAAGTTCATTAAACCTTTCTTTTGTAAATTGCCCAGTCTTGGGTATGTCTTTATCAGTAGTGTGAAAACAGACTAATACATGGGGCATTTTCAGTACTGAAAAATCATAAAAAGTAGACATTTAAAAAATTAAGATATACACCACTATTTTCTTTGGGTGGTTCTAGGGCCATGATCTTATGCTCAGTCCCCCTACTGCTTGCCAGTTATTTTACAGAGATGAATAAGGTACCTAATAAAGAATGTAAGACAGCAAAATACAAATCTGTCATCCGTATAAGAAAAACAACTCAAGATACACATCCTTTGGAAAGACTATCCAAAGATTATAAATGGTAGCATGTTTGGATTTAATCTGCATATTGTCAGTACTTAAATAGTTAAAACAGTTTGATTGGCAAGCCAGGATCACAGTTGCAAAAAATATTCAAATGGTTGCATATTATCAGGCTTCATCTTTGTCTATATAATTTTTAACTGCTTGCTTTATGTAAATCAGATTTTCTACTGATGGAAACTCACCATTCCCAAACTCTTAGGCTTTTATCATCAGATGTGCTCACAAATCTCCTATTCTCATCCACAAAAACAATGGTGTTGACAGCTCCCAAATGCCGATCATATTCCTGCACAATTTCTCCACTTCGAATGTCCCACTGTGTATCAGGCAAGAAAAAAGGTAAAGACAGAAGTAGAGTGGATTTATGAAAGACCATAATTCTGGAAAGTGGAGAAGGAGAAGATCTTCAACACGATATTTTTATAAATGTAAATTTTTCTGCTAAGAATGGTGCATTAGCCGTCCCTAAAAGTAGCAAACATTAAATGAGTAATATTAGCTTATTAACTTATTCCATCCCCTTATACAACATAAAGCTTAGGAGTCTTAACAAAATACTGTGAAAGACTTACTTGCACAATCTTCTTATCAGACATCCCAGCCACAAAGAGATTTTGCTTATCTTCATCAGGATTGAATTTGACACAATAAGGTACTTTTCGGTTTGTAAATCTTGATATACACTGTCCTAAAACCAAAGACTCAAATTAAATAGGTAAAATAAATTTGACCACTTAAAGATGACTGTGAGATTAAGATCTAGAGGTCACCTGCTTAATACATTTTGAGGAAGGGCTGCCTGCTTGCTCTTTACTGTAAACTACATTTGTTCTTTTTCACAGATTTTTAATGATTAAAAATAATTTTTTCAAAAGTAAATCGGTACTACCAATTGTAGAATAAATAAATTATAACTTCATTCATATAATGGAATAGTGCAAGCAATAAAAAAGAACAAACTACTGGTACAAGCCATGAGGGAATCTCAGATATTATGCTGGAGCTAGAAACAAAAGAGAAAAAATGGTATGATTTCGTTTATAAGAAGTTTAAGAAGAGGAAAAATGAAGAGGAAAATGATGACAAAAGTGGTTACTATGGTTACTGGCAGTGGGCACAGACTGGAAAAGGGCATAAGAAACCTTTACTGAGTGCCGCAAATGTTCTAGATCTTGATCTTTGTGGTAGACAACTGCATAGATATGTTTACCAAAAAAAAAAAAAAAAAAATCACTGAATATTTAGGCACTTCATACATTTTACTGTATGTGTATTTTATCTTGATTTTTAAAAGAATCTGCAAAATAGTAGTCTCTCAGCCTTGGCTACACAGTACAATCATCTAGTCTATAGCCATACCAATTATATAAATACCTTTGAAGGTAGGACTCAGGCATCAGTAATATTAAAGCTCTTCAGATGATTACAATGTGTGGCCAGAATTGAGAACCACTGCTAAAGTGCTGAAGAATATGGGCTTTGGCATCAGAGAGAGCTTCGTTTGAACCCAAGTCTGCTACTTATTAGCTGTGTGACCCTGAAAAAGTTAGCTCTTTAAGCCTCAGTTTCCTTATCTATAATATAATAATAGTACTTACCTCATAGGGATAAATTAAGATTGAAGGAGACACTGAATATCAGTGCTTAGCAATTATGCCTGTTAAATGATGTTTAATAAACATTAACTATTATCATTACCCTTCAGATGCAGTAAGGGTAATGACAGTAAGACAATAAGATAGTAAGATAATTTTTATAATTACATAAAATTATACTAGCCACAACATATTAATGTGAATCAATTAATAAACAGCAATTAGTATGGCTGTGAATATATAAAACCAACTGGCCTGTGAAAGTTGAGACCTACATTTTAATCAATTTGCGCAAATACATTTAATTTTGTTCATTAGACATTTATTGCACTTCTGTTATGTGCAATGCACAGTGCTAGGTGATGTAGGGGAACAAAAAAATCAATTAGATGGCCTATACAAGATTTCCACTTTGCTTATTTGTCAGTACGTTTGCTTTATAAAATCTATCTGGTGGAAACAAGTTTCACAGTGAAAGAGCTACTCATGCTCAGTTTCGACTTACAAATGTATTTTGTGATATTTGCTGACAGTGAATGGTATGAGAATCAGCAGTTAGAGAAGGTGCCATTTTGCCACAAAAGACTACTCACACCATTTCAAATATAAATAACTTGTAAGATGAATGTGTATTAGCATAAGTGAACTCTTACCTGTCTCAGTGTCCCAGAGCTTAAGATACCTGTCATAGGCTGCACTGAGGAACTGTGTTCCTGCAGTATTGAAGCAGATATCCCTAACAGCCTTACTGTGACCTAAAGGTGGAGTCAACAGAAACAGCAATGAGGTGAAGTATCATATATCTTCTTCTCTTAAAACATTAACACCATAAAGACAAACAGCACTAAGCAGTGGTTCTCAGCTGTGAGTCAAGATCACTGGAATGCCACCGCCTGATTTACTGACTTAGAATATGTTATGTGTGGGCTTCAGAATGTGGGCGTTTTTTTCCCCTTGAAGAAGCTCCTCAGGTGATTCTGATGCATAACATCTTGGTTAAGAACCAAGAGGAAAAGGTTTAACTTTTCTTTTAAGTCTGCCATAGCAATTACTTAATATGCAGTACATACAAGTGATGACTAGCTAGCCAAGAATTTATGGAAATGTAAAAGACCAATTATTGCCAGTGAAAGAAATGGCTGCTGGAATTTTGGAGGTTCACTCTCAGAATGTCCACCAGGCTGCAAGTGAAAACAAAGTGCCCCAAACCTAAAGTTCAGGAAACTGTAGCCCTTGTTCAATAATTGTATATTTCTGTGATCACATTACCAAATTTCATAGAAACTGATTCAGAATGTAGGAGACTTTCTGAAAACTATATTAGCTTGCATGGTTTTTTATTTTTATTTTGAGATAGGGTCTTGCTCTGTTGCCCAGCCTGAAGTGCAGTGGCTGGATCTCAGCTCACTGTAAGCTCAACCTTCCTGGCTCAAGCGATCCACCCACCTCAGCTTTTCGAGTAGCTGGGATTACAGGTGCACACCACAACGCCTGGCTAATTTCTGTATTTTCTGTAGAGACAGGGTTTTGCCATGTTGCCCAGGCTACCTTCTTTTGCTTTAAGATGATATTTTGATAATACACTAATTTTAAGGTGCTGATTATTATACTTTACTTAAAAATGAATATTGCCAGTTCACTCAACTCTTTTAAAAGTTACAGGGAAAAATAAAATGTGGCTAAACAAAAGCAAAAATGTTCCTATTTTTGCCACCCCACCATGACCAAGACACGTACAATTGTGCAAAATGAGCATGGCACAAATTGTTAACCACATGCAGCAGCTCTAAACCATCACCTCCAGTGAACTCCCATCAGGAGGTACGTGTCATGGTAATTAGGCATCCTTTTCTACAGCTGGAGTCCCAGTCAGAGCTTCTATCATCTCCTTCAGGAGGAAAATTTCAGTTTTCCACAGAAAAATGGTCTGCCAGTAGAGGGGAGACAGATGCGGACCAAATCCACTCTATCTGATGGAGACATTTTGTTCCCCTGTACACAGCTGAGAGCCTTCCACAAGTCTTCCTTTAGGCTGCGGTGACATCTTAGGCAGTATTAATTTGTGCAGGGAGGCCTTAAAATCATAAAGCACTGCTGAACAGACTCCCACTTTAATCTAAAAACAGAGCCACTACGAGTCACACCGTTTCAACGTGGTACAGTTAAATTTGGAATGAGTAACTAGCCTTCACATGAAATCTGACAAAGACAATAAACCTTTCTCTACCAAAAATCTGGTTTGTCACAAAGCTGTCCTCCCTTTGGCCTTCTTTCTTTCTTCAAGGAGTTCTCTCAATCTCATCCTTTTTTTATGCTTTAGCTGTCAATTCCCAGTCTCTCTTCAAAGCTCGACCTCTGGCTATCTAATTGCTTACTGAACATTTTTACCTCAATATCCCAAAGGCAGCTCAAATTTGGTGTATCTAAAACCTTACCATCATCTTATGTTCCTTCTTGGTGAATGGCACCATCGTTCATCCAGCCTCATGGGAGTCACTCTAGATTCCTGTCTCACTGTGATCATTCACATGCCGTTACTAAATCTCACTGACTTTAACTCTAATACGTAGTTCCTTTCTTTTCTCTCTCTGCTGCTTTGGTTCAGGCGCTCATCATCTCTAAACCAGACCTATGAAATAACTGTGTAATTAATTTCCCTTCCTCCAGGCTTGCCCTACCAAATCATCCTGCATATTGCCATTTGATCTTTGTAAACTTCAAATCATGTTGCTTTCCGGCAAGAGCTCTTTAATGGTTCCCCAATGCCCTCACAACAGAGGCTAAACTCTTTATTAATGGCACAGGAGGTCTTCCATACTCTGGTCCCTCTCTTGCTACTTTTCTCCGCTTTTGTCTCTCACCATCCCCCATACTCTGACAATCCTGAAATGTACGTGGATCCCCTCAGCAGCACGCTGTCTCACACCATTTTTGTTTTGCATCCGCTGCTCTTGCTTCCTAGTTCTCTTTCTTTGTCTAACTGGGGACACTGACTCCTCCTTCCAGATTCAGCTGAAATCTATGAAGAGTTTACTTCCTATCGGTGTAGTAAAGTTATTGTCAATGATGTTATCTTACTTTAAAAATTCTTCCCAGATTTATGTTGGAGAGAAAAGAAGCATTACCAATAAATGTTCTCAGACAGCGCCGTTCTCCATAAACCTCCCATAGCTGGGGGAGAAAAAAAACAACACATGGAAATATTACATTTAATAAAGGTCCTTCAATTAATAACAACAGCCCTATGCTGGTTATGTGTGTGCACATCTGTGTGTGTAAACGCACAGCTTCAATCATTAAATATTAAACACTGAATATCATTAAATATAGCTTGGTGCTGCCAGTTTGTGTTATATTATTTGGAACACACACACACAGAGTCACACACGCTCAAAACTAAAGAGTTTTAAAGATATTTACATCAAAAAAGAGACTTAACTATAGATGGAGTTAATTCAGGTAAGTTTTCATTTTCATATTGTTCTTTTCTATTTCATACATTTTCTAGGATGAAAAGTTTCTACTTTTGTAGCACTACAAATGACGTTTAAAGGAATTGTTATTAAAACTGCCATGTATATAACATTTTGATACTGAAAGCCTTTTCTGTTTACTTTTCTGAATAACAAGTATTACAGAAGCTGTAAGAAAATGATGATCTAGACTAAAATAAAAGGCTCATAATTCTCAGCATATCTAAGGTGGATTAATACAATAGCTTCAAGGCTAGCTTTATTCTTGACTGCCTTGAATCCAATTCTCAACAATGTTGCTAGTACTCTAAAATAGAAAGCATTTCCTTGCCACTGGTGCCAATAGGACACAGTCTCAGTTACTGTAGCATACTAGGAAACGACCTCTGAGACCTGGTTTCTTGCTCATGACTGCAATCATTCCTTGTCTCTTAGATGTTATGCTCCAGCAAGCACAAAACTGTTATTTTCAGCACACACCATGCTGATCCATTCTCTTTTCAAGCATACTCTACTCCTGTTTCCTCATCCTTTACTTAGTTAACCAACTTACTAAGGTATGCTTCCTCTTTGAAACCAGCATATCTTGTGCTTGCCTCTATAATAATCATTTATATCATAATAAAATGATCATCCTAAGGGGAGGGACAGTGCCTTTATAAGCTTTTACTTTCAGTCCCCTGCACATAATAGAATGTTTATAGAAGTGAACTAATTGAATTCTATGCTTTTTTGGTTGGTCAAAGAAAAGACCAACATCTCAATTAACATGGTTTGTACAAAGTAAAAGTAAAAGTTAAGTAAAATGGGGGTTTTTACTCCAAAATGTTGGCCTGTCATTTTAAGCTATTAGAGACAAATGCCTAAATGGTTGCTCTTATAAAAAAAAGTGGCCTTTTTTATTGTTAATATCCATGAATTATTTACAAATGATAAAATTTTAATGACTCAACTTTTCAAGCCCCAAGAGCACTATAGGGTTGGTATTTATTGAACCATCATCATGGTCCGGACAAAGAGAAGACACAAAACTGGTAAGAACTATCCTTTCAGATTCAAAATTTTTTTCAAGACATCCTGCATATTCAGGTTGAGATGCATTGGCAACGGAGTTTTTTCTACCACACATTCTATGACTGAACAGAAGCTAAAGATGGAGCTTCCCAAGACTAGAAAAGGTGAAAAGAAGGGGCTGGGAGCAGTCCAGTTACTTGGTGTCTACTAGTATTTAGAAGAAAAAGGATGAATTACATTTTCTACTTTCTAAAAATGGGATTTCTAACCTATGTCCTCTCTATTTCATAAGGTTTGGAGAAACAAATAAACTATTACATATACAAAATCTCTATAATGATTAGTGATTAAATATTTATATGTCCAAAGCCAAAATGATTGGATTACATTCTCATCAGTTGTCTAAGCTTAAAAAGGGGCCTAGCCACCATGGGTGCCTGTAGTCCTAGCTACTGGGGAGGCCGAGGCAGGAGAATGGCATGAACCCGGGAGGCGAAGCTTGCAGTGAGCTGAGGTCGTGCCACTGCACTCCAGCCTGGGCAACACAGCAAGACTCCATCTCAAAAAAAAAAAACAAAAAAACAAAAAACAAAAACAACAACAAAAAAAGGGGCCTAGCCAATTGGACCACAGAGCCATAGTTGATTTTATGTTTGGAAGTAGTTCATAAATTGCTGCATTTACAGGATCTAAGAGAAAATAATTAGCTTCTAATTGCCTAACAAACCCAAATTTATTTATAATTAATCAAACAGATTTAAACAAAGAACTAGCTTTGCAGCACTCCTACTCTGTTACTGAAAACTCACCTTAATTTTACAGTCCATGGAACAAGACAGCAATAAATGGCCAGAGAGAGGAAACAATCTGACTGCACTGACGCCCTATAAAAAGGTATTACAGTTATCAACCAGAAGCATTCAAAAGATCAGCTCAAATGAAGCATCAAGAAAAGACAGTATATATTAAGCAGCCTAATTTGCTATTTTTCTTCATTCCAAAAATCTCACCCCAGAATAACTTTCATTAGCATTCCAAGAGCAGGCCTTATTGACACTAAGCTTTTGAAGATTTTTTTTTTAACCTTTAATATTGAGTTCCTCACCCAATGGAATCCTGAGTCAATCAAATTGCTAATACCCCCACTTCTCTTCCTTTTTTTACTTAGTCCTTTGCTCTTTGCAAAGAGTTGGAAATTATAAGTTGGAATAGTACAGATGACAAAGAATATCAACATCAAAATTTTTCATGACCCTTATCTCTGCATTAGTTTAAAAATTACCATAGTTTATAAACCAGGGCGCATCTAATCTCTGAAGTGTGATAACCACAGAGCTAAAGCAAAATTACTGAAGCTAAGCAGGAGACTTGGTGCTAGTACCAGCCCATTACTCACTGATTTGGTGCCCAAAAGGAAGAAGACTGTAGCAGGAGCTTGTGGGGAAAGGCCTGGCTACAAGGATACAGGACACTAAATCATGAATGCTATGTCATGGCCAATTCAGATGGCCTTGAAGACTGATTAGTCACTTGTGATGGATGTGTGGGCATCTCCAAAGCATAACTCAGGCTTACATTCAATTTGACTTCCCTGTACCTTTACCAGAAATACTAAATGTTCCACATCAACAGCTAAAACTTTACGTTGGCTTCATTATTATAACATTACAGCAAACAGAAACAACCAACTTGCTTACCTTTGTGTGTCCAGACCACACATGAATTTGTTTTTTGGGAAGATAACACTTCTCAGGTGGCATAGTTGACCGTAGATTAACACCAACATCCTGAGGTATGTGAAGATAGGACCTGCCTTGATAGTCATACATTTCTTTAACTGAAACAAAAAGGCAAAGAAAATCAATAAACAAATACAACCCATAGTCATGAAACCTAACATTCTTAAAATAACATTTTATTCACAGGTATATCATTCCATATTAAGGTTTAGGTAATAACACTCCAATGATGTCAAGATCATGAGTCAGCTAAGATTTAAGTGCTTAAAATAACTGCTATCATTTACAACTAGAGGTAGTATTTCGAAATTCCTAAATATCCAGAGATTATAGACCTTTAGATAATATCTATACTTCTTTTCATCACTTACACATCTTAGTGATCTATAAAGACTTCACTGTGGCATAATTATAGCAAGGGAAGATAATACTTGGGCCTTGTTAGTCACTGGTAAAGAAGCAGAAATAAAACAGGTTAAGAAGGAAGTTAAAACAAAACAAAATATATCAACTATCCTTTTCCCCTGCTTTCCTCTCTTATGCCCTTCCAGTTCCTTTTCATTTATCTTTTCCCACTTTCATCACAAATTTTACAATAAAGTCACCTGTGAGAATTAAATGACATAGTATATATACAGCAATTAGCAGCATGCCTGGCACAGAGTAAGTACTCAATAAATGTTATTTTTATATTATTGTTATTATAGTTTTAAGTACCATAGTACTAAATAGACTCCTTGGAGATAAAACTGAAGCTTGAAGAACCAAATATGGCTTCATCAAACCTAAATATCTGATGTAATATAACATTAGAATAAGCAACACTGTAAATGCTAAGCTATTCTTTACAGTTTTAGATAATCACTATGTATTTTCCTAAATATAACTAATTATTAACAGGTACATTCTAGAATACTTACGATTTGTTTTGGTGAATATGCATTTCCTTCTACAAGTCAAAATAAGTATGAGAGCCTTAAGCTCCATCTTTTCACACGAAAATCCAAGTTTATTCTGAATATAGCTGAATAACGATTATGAACTGTGAGGATACCTGAGTATTTGGCTTCATTAAAAACATTTAAAATGACTGGGGCACTATTAATACACCAAAAGAGTCAACTTTATCTTACGAAAGAATAGATTGTGGACTATTCAAGTTTCTTTTTATCTACCATTTAATAAAATTCATTCACACTTGGAAAAAAATTATCTGTGGCTATCATTAATCATGCTATTTTTTCTCCTTTATCAGTATACAGAAGTCTGCTGTAATTTCCTTGGGATACAAATTGTCCAACACAATTATACTTAACATAATGATTTTATTACAGCTGATAGTAAGGGTAATTGATATTGTATGAACAGCGAACAGAGTAAATATGAAGGTTTTTCATAAAAATGAAGATGTACAAAAAATATGTTACCATGTAAGATTGTCTTCTCCTCCCCAGGTTTCTCTTCTTCCTGTTTTCCTTTTTTCTGCCTCTTTGCTGTGATTTCATCCAATTCTTTTTGCTCTTCCTAAGAAAATTAAGGAGTGAAATTTAAAATGAATGTTCTAGAACCTCATTATACCTAAAGTTGGTTATAAATTCTTTATAATGACTTCTACATATCTGGTCCGAGTATGTTCCCAGGATAACAAGCTCAACACTTTTTTTTTTTTTTTTTTTTTCTGAGATGAGTCTCGCACTGTCGCCCAGGCTGGAGTGCAGTGGCGCGAATCTCTGCTCACTGCAACCTCCCTCTTCCTAGTTCAAGCAATTCTCCTGCCTCAGCCTCCCGAGTAGCTGGGACTACTCGGTGCACACTACCACGCCTGGCTAATTTTTTCTGTTTTAGTAGAGACAGGGTTTTACTGTGTTGCCCAGGCTGGTCTCGAACTCCTGAGCTCTGGCAATGCGCCCGCCTCGGCCTCCCAAAGTGCTGGGCTTACAGGCCCGGCCAAGCTCAAGTCTTCTATAAGCAGAGACTGATTACCTCTTCCACAAATTATGAAATGGTACTAAATACATAATGGATACTAGATAATACTTTTCAACTATATAAAATCAGTTTTCAAAACTTATCCTTCTGTGACACCTAGAAATAAATTTTAACATGTTATACTAGTTATACAAGTAAAAAGACAAGGCAATCAGAAAATCTAGTTTCAGAATGGAAACTGAATTTTAGCACATAATGTTGTTTTTCAGTTAATTGTTTTTACATACTCCTAAGGATATAAGTGATAGCTATACATTTGTGACACAATTTTTTTGGGAGGAGCTGGGGACAGAAGATGGGGTAGTAGTAAATCTCTATCTATAATAACAAGTCAACAGATAAAATCTAAAATAAAAAATAGTAGAATAAGTTTATTCATCTTAGATATCACCTGTTTATTTCTATTACTATAAACATGGATTTACTGGATGTAAGTAACAGCTAGAATATAAGCTTCATGAGGTCATGATTTTCTTGATCTTGTCCACTGCTGTATGCCTGGGACCTAGAACACTCTCTGGCTCATGGAGACAGTGAGATTAGGAGGTGAGGAAGGGAACGGCAGAGCATTTACTTTACAAACTTTATAGTAGTTTTTAAGATATATATAGAGATAAAATTTGTTGAAAATTTTAAATAAATTCATAAATCAATAAAATTTATAATCAATTCTAGTGTCACAGAAGGCTGATTTTGTAGTTACTATCTGAATGTCTAGTATCAGAAGAGTAGCTACCATGGCAGCTTAATAGCAATATCAAGGAAATCTTTATGAAAATTGTTCAATATTGTATTTTAATAAAAAAGCATGAGAGAAAACAAATCAGCAGAAAAGGTAAATAAAAATATCCCAAAGAAAAACAAATAAATTTTATTGTATATTTTCAATCAACTAAAGGCAGAAAAATTTTGATGAGTCATTTGGTTCTCTAAAGAAATCTCAAGTTTATTAATGTAGATATCCTTCATAGAGATACAGCGTATACCTGAATTGACAATTAAAAACATCAAAGCTTACTTCTGAAGGTTTGGCTACATCTTTTTCATCCACATATTTTGCCCATGGTCCCAAAAAACCATCAATATTGGATGCATCATTTTCTTTAAACTTTTTCCTCTTTTCTGTTTTCTTCTGACCAGTTTCAAATACAGTTAAACCTACGTTAACAAAAAAAAAATTAAAAAAAAAACTGAGAGATTACAAAGATGTACATTTTCTAAAGAAATATGAACATATGTTTAATTTTATTTTATATGGTTAAAGAAAGATGATTGTTCAAGTGACCCCAGAGTTATTAAAAAACAATCTACATGAATCTACCATATACGCTGACTCATGCTACAGAAAAAGGGATTCAACCTTCTGGGCAAAGACACTTAAAACTAATTCAATATTCTGCAAATTCTAATACTGTATACTTAAAGAAGAGACCCAAATATGTACTCCTACAATGGCGCACAAGCCTTTTATTGAATCAAAAAGCTGTGTCAGTGGATTTGTACGACTTTCTGGAAAAAACTCAGAAACTCATTATTGCTAAGTAATAATAAAGTGACATTTGGAAGCAAGAATAAACTGTAATTTATCATTTTAAAACTAAATTAAACTAAATTACTGTAAGTACTTAATAACTTATCTTCACTTCACTTGTAATGCAAAAATGTAAATCAAACAAGGTTTCACCAGAAATGGTATTCCTTCCAAGTGATTTCAGTCTCATCTTGACCTCTAATATCATTAACGTTAACAGTAAAAGAAAAGGAGAAGGAGGGTGTTTCTGGTTGAGATTTTGATTTGATTAGTAGGAGGTGGCATACTGTGTATAGTCATTAACTTGGAAAAAGAAAGGTTTGTGGAATCATAGTCACAAGTTAACTAAGAATCTAGCTACCTTTAGATGGGACTTGCAGAGGTCTAGCTTAAAGAAGAAATGTCTACCTATATTAATTCAGGCTATGTTTTATAGCAAAAGCCTGTTAAAATTCTATTTTAACAATAATCTAGCTCATATACAGAGACCAGCCAGATCACATAGGATCTATAGCTACTAAGCACAAATGTCCCATGCAACCAACCAGCAAATTACTTTTTAAATTGCATTTTATGGATAATATTCTAATGGACTGATGAGGCTTGTGACAAGTTAGCGTTTAGCGTATGATGTTTTGTCTTATTGTAAGTACAAAATGAATATGAATACAAGCATACATACAACACATATTCAAACTCAACCTTCAAAGCAACTCTTCAAAGACAATCTTCACAGACTTACCAAATAAAGTATTTCTACTCTGTTAAAATGAAGCTTGACATTAATGTTGAGAAATCAATTGCCAAAATTATCTATACATTAGTTGTAATTTATTGAGTGATTTCTACAGGGTTGGCATGGTGCCAAGTACTCAAAGTAACTCAAAGAGATATGTATCATTATTTTCCCTACAAGATTCCACAACTAGTAAGCGGCAAAAGCAAGCTCTAAACTGTAACATTTCTGAACTATATTGCTCTAAACTGTATCGCTCCATTGTTTCAACTTTAAAAAAAAAAGCGCTAAATACTATTTTTTACTGTCTAATTAAAGTCACTCTGCAAGACACTAATTATAGATGTGTAGGTATATATGATATCAAATGTTTCAAATAAATTACCTTGATTTTTTTCAGCTTCTTCTACAGAACCAATATATTTAGCAGACACTTGATGATTATCTAATGAAGGGTCTAATGCATAACCTGAAAGCAAAAAAGTGAAAATTATTAACTCCATTTTGCTGTTTAAATTCATTTTATTATTATAATACAAATATACACATTTCACATTTTCTTTCCCAGATGTCAAAAATGATCTCTAACTCAGGACCAATCAGGACCAATCATTCTGCCCTGAGCTATATTGCTTCCTTTTTTTTTTTTTTTTTTTTTTTGAGATAGGGTCTCACCCTGTCACCCAGGCTGGAGTGCAGTGGTGTAATCTCGGCTCACTGCAACCTCCGCCTTCCAGGCTCAAGCAATTCTCCTGCCTCAGCCTCCAGAGTAGCTGGGATTACAGGCATGCGTCATTACCCCTAGCTAACTTTTGTATTTTTTTGGAGAGATGGGGTTTCACCATGTTGGCCAAGCTGATCTTGAACTCCTGACCTTAAATGATCCACCGCCTTGGCCTCCCAAAGTGCTGGCATTACAGGTGTGAGCCACCACTCCCGGCCCCTGAGCTATATTTCTATTTAGAACCCAAAGCTATATTTTTCTATTTAGAACCCAAAGCTCAGGCTAGACTCCAGCATAATATGTTTCTTATAGGATGAATTTTGCATACTGACATTACATTACTAAGAGCCTCTCTGGCCAACACATCAAACTTTAGTTTTAAATATTCTAAGAGCTTGAAAATACATGTACATGATGCACTTGGAAATCTAGAAACCATTTTCCTTTTCTTCTTGGTAATAGATATTGCAGGGCTAAGTTTATCAAATTATGTAAATTATTAAATAAAAAAGGGTAAGAAGATTACATAAAATCTAGCTATTATTTTGAAAATACCATTTGCAGTAAGGACAGTCTTCCTTCCCAATCTTAATATATTTCTATTTCATCAATCATTCTTTATATTTCCTTAAGAGAAGGAAGGATATCTACCAGCATACGAATGTGCTTTTTAAACTAATTATAAAGTATGTAGCTACATATAAATGTGGTCTTCAGTGGTCCATGGGAATTTAAGGAAAGAAAGTCTACCTAAGTTAGCTCAAATCAGTTTTTTTCTCAAATGGGTGTGCTAGCACAGTAAATGTTTGGTAACATTAGTCTGGTATATTCACAAGAGTGCTAAATCACTGATCACTTTATGGCCTACAACTCATGTGTACGATAATAGAATACATAAAAAAGTACTAAGCCCATTTTTTCTAAAGGGCACATCCTAGAGGATAGACTTATTATTTTCATTTTTCATCCAAAGTAGTCCCAGCTACTCGGGAGGCTGAGGCAGGAGAATGGTGTGAACCGGGGAGGTGTAGCTTGCAGTGAGCTGAGATCGCGCCACTGCACTCCAGCCTGGGCGACAGAGCGAGACTCCATCTCACACACACACACAAAAAAACAGAATATAGGGAACTTCTTTTGGGGAACAGAAAAAGATTCATCATGAAGCATGCTTTTCAAACAAGCTAAGGATGTAAGTGCTGAACTCACCCTCATGATATGCTATAACAGAACCAACCACCTGGCTATTAGCTGATTTGCATATAGTTTTTTTCAGCATTAAAATATGTTCTTAACCAGAGGAGAGAGCTTGGTGGCAGAAAATCAGCCTTTGGAGTAGAATCTCTGAAATCACAGGTTCAAATCCCATGAGTTATTTTGTCTTTAATCTCTTTGATGTACAGAAGTGTTCTGCACATAACTTTTTCCAAAAAATGAGACTTTTATAAGCTCATACCATGTTAAAAGTTTCCATTTCAATAATAAAAAACGTATCTAGCTAGAATGTAAATTTCTACTTTGAAAGGAGACTTAACGTCTACATAAATAGCATTTCATGACGCGTCTGGAAGGGTGAAGGAGTAGACAGAGAGGGAAGAGGTATCCCTGGTCCTTGTCTCTGTGTAAGCACCATTCCCCAACTCATCTGGCCACTGTCTTGTTACTCAGAAAAATAAGTTATGCTTTCCTCTTGCTCCACATCCTCTGTGGTAAAAATCTTTACTGCCATACCACCATCCCCACTACTGCCTTCCACCCCAGGTGATTAGAAAACAGTATTATTTTCCTTTTACAAATAAGAGTTAAATATTTGGCCTTATGTCTTACTACAAATCAGCCAGTGATAGAACAAGATCTAATTCTAACACTACTAAATTTCAGTCCAATTTGTTTTCTCACTATCTTGTGTCTCAAATAAGTGAATATTTCTACATTTCTTAAATATTCTTATCTATCTTCCTGAAGCTTGTTTTCCCTTTTATCTTTTTAATGGAATTAATGTCTACTTTCTTCCCTTCGGCAGTCTTATTTGAAATGGCCATAATATTGATTTTATTATTATACCCTTAAGATTATTAAACTAATAATAATTATTAAAACTAATTCCATTAGGCAAATGAAAAGAGACTATAAACAATTTGCAAAAGAATGGTCATAAATATATGAAAAAACCTTCGACCTCACTAGTAGTCCGGAAAAATCAAGTTGCAATAAAGAAATATAATACTTTGATTATCAAGTAAACAAAGGAAAAACAATCATATGGATCTTTGATGAAGAGAAATAGGGCCGGGCATCGTGGCTCAGGCCTGTAATCCCAGCACTTTGGGAGGCCAAGGAAGGCAGATTACTTGAGGCCAGGAGTTTTGAGACAAGTCTGGCCAATATGGTAAAACCCCATCTCTACGAAAAATACAAAAAAAAACATTAGCTATGTGTGGTCGTTCATGCCTGTAATTCCAGCTACTCAGGAGGCTGAGGCATGAGAATTGCCTGAACCCCAGAGGTAGAGGTTGCAGTGAGCAGAGATCCCACAACTGCACGGCCTGAGTGACAGAGCGAGATCCTGTCTCAAAAAAAAAAAAAAAAAAAAAGAGAAATAGGACTTTTATACACTGTGGTGGTAGAGTAGGTTGAGAGAATTCTTTTGGAAAGCAATTTGATAATATATACCAAAAGCTTTTAAAACACATATTCTTTTACCTACGTTTGGGAACTCATTTAAGAAAATAGTATAAAATAATATAAGAACATGTAAAGTTTTATGTACAAAAATATTCACTACCATGTTTTAAAATGCACTTTGTAGCATAACATACATCACATTTTTAATAGTGAAAACTGGAATCAAACTGAAATCTAAATGATACAAGTAATTCTTTTAAAAATTATATCTTTGTTCAGTAGACTGTTTTTAAAAAATCATTTAAAAATGTTAATAAGGGCGGGCACGGTGGCTCATGCCTGTAATCCCAGCACTTTGGGAGGCTGAGGCGGGTGGATCACAAGGTCAGGAGATCGAGACCATCCTGGCTAACATGGTGAAACCCCGTCTCTACTAAAAATACAAAAATTAGCCAGGCGTGGTGGCGGGTGCCTGTAGTCCCAGCTACTAGGGAGGCTGAGGCAGGAGAATGGCGTTGAACCCAGGAGGCGGAGCTTGCAGTGAGCTGAGATCGCGCCACTGCACTCCAGCCTGGGCAAGAGAGTGAGACTGTCTCAAAAAAAATAAAATAAAAATGTTAATAAAGGATTTCAAATATTGAAGTTAAAACTCATGTTAATAATTATTGTGAGACTAAAAGTATTTATTTAAAATTCTATTTTCCACTTCTGTAGGTGGGTGTAGAGAAAATTCTAGATGAAAGTCGAACAAAAGGAAGAAACTTCATTGAGAAGCCCCAAGTAAGACTGGCAGGGGAGCAGGCAGAAAACAGGACAAAATTCACACAACCACTGAGGGGCTGAGAAGTCAGGAGAAATACCATAAATGCAAGCTAAAAGCAAAACTGTAGAGTAAGTAAACGGGATGACACAGTAAATGAGACTATTTTCAGTGATAAGGACTCTACAGGTGGGCTCTATGATAAACTAACTGCATTGTAGAATATAAATCTTCCAGAAATAATTCACTGAGATTATAACAATCTTACAACTTTTAAAAATGGGAAGAAAATTAAAATAAATATTTGTATTATATTCCAGCAGTGATAGCCCAGGGTTATGAGATTGAGGTAAAACTGAATTCATGTGTCACCTCCTGTATGTCTGTTAGATAACACCACTACAAGGTATAAGAAAGGTTTGCTTCCTTGCACTTTGCAAATGAGGGAAGGTAACGGAAAGGTCTCACAGCCTTACATTTCATGTGGAAAGATTAAAAAACAAGAACAACAACAACAAAAGTTGATAGGAATCTGGTATAGGAATTACTATCAGAAGTCAGATAAGAACTTTCTATAAGAAAATTATAGGACAAACTAATAGAAGTCATATACTTGCTCAGTACCTGGGGGCAAAGAAAAAACAGACAGTGTTAAAACTAAGGTTTAAAGAGACAGTTGTTAAAGCTTAGACAAGACTGATCTTATTTACTAAGTTCACTTATTAAGTTTACTTGAACTTAATAAACTGTCTCTTTAAACCTCAGTTTAAACCTAAATCTTACTAAGTTCACTTGAACTTAATAAATAAGATCGACCTTATCTAAGATCTATCATAAAGGAGACAAACCAAAATTTTCTTAGTTTTGTAACTGGCCATTCCGTTTATTTTAGGCTGCCTAATATACTATAGCCCCAAATTCATTTTTTGTCTTTAACTCAATAGTTCAACCTGTGTCCTAGCTCTCCACTTCCTAGTGGGAGAGGCAAAAATCTCCCACTTTATTTTATTTTAGGCTGCCTAATATACTATAGGCTGCCTTTATTTTAGGCTGCCTAATATACTATAGCCCCAAATTCATTTTTTGTCTTTAACTCAATAGTTCAACCTGTGTCCTACCTCACCACTTCCTAGTGGGAGAGGCAAAAATCACCAGATACTTAAAACAAACAAACAAACAAACAAAAAAACACAACCCATTTCTGAAACCAGGTCTAAAGCCAGCTGAAGAGTTTTAAATCCTTATTCTTGTTATAAGGTAATTTAAGAAGAAAAGTAGGTATCGGTATAAACTTACTTGGACTTTTGTTTTGTTTTAAAGGAAACAAGAGAACTAAATTATTGCTTAAGGTCCTTCTAAAGTCGAAGACAATAAGTCTTTAAAAGTCTCTTATTATAGGTTAGAATATAACAAAATCATGATGTAACAGTTTATTTTTATGTGCTGCACATTACTTTAGATTTACATGGGACCCCTTATACAAGCAATGGGTATAACATATTTGTAACCATTTTATTGGACTGGAAGTGTCATAGAACTGTTTTGGGTGATTTAAGTGGTATATAGCCTTGGCTGTGATATTTGGTACATTCTAAGTCTATTACAATCTTACCATGGTGAAGTATGATCTAATACATGATAATCCTCTATACAAGCAGTTTCCACGCACATTAAATTTTTAAAATCCCACCACTGGTAGGATGTAATTATTTTACATAATGAATTTTTCGCTATTCTCTTTCCTGATACCCTTCAGTGATCAAGAGAAAGCATTTCCAAGATAAGATTTGAGAAACAGAGTAAAGTTAAATAGCCTATAATAAGATAAAAAAGTAACCTCTTAACACTATCTTTTCATTTGCCAACTTTAACAGCAACCTACATGTAATGGATATAAAATAACAAATGTCCATTACCTAGTACGACAACAAAGAGCATTCTGGTTAAGATCACAGAATATTTCCAGTACTCAGAAATCACAGTGGATTTACAATGACAGCTAAAAATATGAGTTCACCTTCCCATTTATATAAATATTTAAGGATATGTATAGGAAGGCATACTATCCTTTCTGAAGGAATCCAGTGAATTTTAAAAGCCAGAAGATAAAACAGACTAACACACACAGATCACACTTCTAATAAAGCCAAAATTGAAACTGCTTAAGTCTTATCACCTTACCATATGTTGCAAAAGTTCTCCTTTGCTGCTCAAACATGAAATCATTGATATGAGCTGGTTCGGCATATCCAGAAAGCATATTTCTAGGGGCAGCCATTTGCTGTGTCCTAAAGGGATTTTCTGGTCCAAACTGCAATGTTACAAGAAAAAAAATAAAATAAAATAAGAAAGACACAAAAGTTCTGAGTATATGGAAGTTAGAATTACTGGAATAACTGTACAAAAAAAGGGCCTATTAACCTATCTGGGAACACATTAGCCTGATACGGTTCAGTGCAGCTGGGCAATGGCTGATTAGCACCATTTGTCAGCCCCTGGGACAGAAGGAGAGGAACCCCTCTCACTCAAATCTATATGTAGCTATTTATTTCAAGAGCTCAGTAGCCCCATGTGGTTGTCAGCTACTACATTCACATTATTGCAGAAGTTCTACTTCACAGTGATGCTCTAGATAATTGAGAGTTACTATAGTTTCCCCAAACCATGATTTCGGGGATTTGGGGTGACTTTTATATCAACAGTGGTACTGTCATATAATTTTTTTTAAAAACTACATGTTTCTTTTCCACTAGTTCCTCAAAGTGGGAGACTCAGAATACTCAATATTTACCACAGTGCCTGGCATATAGAAAGTACTAATGAAGGAAAGATTAATCAGAATTCCATTGGGGGTGGAGGATAGAAAAACAGACAACAAAAATAAAGTGCTTGAAAAAGTCCCTAGGAAAAGATATTGCAAATGTCAATAAAATATCTCCACTCTGAGAAGTCACACTATGAAGAGTCACATTACTTTTCTTATACCGAATAGTGCCAAATTATTATTTGCTTATAATACTTTTGAGTTTCCAGAATGTTTTTCCAAATGCTATTTAATCCTGACAAGTTAAACAAGTATTCTCCTTCTCATGCTGCAAATGAAGAAAAAACCCCCAAAGGCAATGTATTTTACCTGCCCTAGGATCAAAAGTTTTATTAATTGGCAGAACCAGGGCTAGAACAAACAGCAGTCAAGCATTCTATTACATCATAAAGTTCCTTAAATGCACCATCAGAGCCTCTAACTTTTAAAAATTGAGTAAAAAATTACCAGAATATATTATGTCAAGTGCTATTAATTTAATACTATTATAAAAGGTACTGGGAAAATCCAACTCTTTTTTTGTTTGTTTTTAAATAAAGAATCAAATGAGCTTCCCACTTTGGAAAGGGCGAAAATAATAGGATATTTTCATCTGAACTCTGTAAGACCCACCGTCATGATGAATTATTTTGACATTAGAACATTGTAGGTCATTACCATTAGAAACCATCTCTTCTACGATACATTTCCAGAGCCACAAATAAAATTACTCATCTTCTCTTAACCAGTACATTGCATTCTCTAGATATCAACATTATACTATGTATGAAAATCTGAATTTAAATGTTAGCTGTGCCTTACATTTTTTTCTGCTTTAGAAGAAAATAAATTGCTACAACATTCCTATATATTGACAGCTTCCATTTATATGTTTAAAATGATTCAATTTTAAAATATCTGATTTATATACAAAGCTTTTATTAGTACATATTCTTAATTATAATGGATAGTGCAAGACTTTGCAGCCCATATTAGTCCTTCCTGTGCCTCCTGATGGGTGAAAAATGTCGGGGAAAAAAATCTAGATTGCTGAATGCTAGAAGTAGCAGTCAACTTCATTCAGTCATGAAATTTATTACAAAAACAGGAACAGCCATAAAATTACAGATAACAAAATGATTTAAAAGTTTCCTAGATTCTCTACCCGCTACGGTCAGCTATCATCCACAGAAGCTATCATCCACAGAGCAGCATCTGCTATTTCTGGTCAGAGGTGGGGTGGAGGGGGCATGGTGGGGAATCTAAAGTGATAAAAATCCCCATTGTTCTTAACTGTTACTCACATCACAAATAACAGATGACCAATCATTGTGCTTTAAGTAACTTTCCATTTAAAAAAAGGAGACTACAATTTCCATATTCTTATTTAATTCAGATTTTACTAAAAAAGAAAGAACAATTTTTCTACAGGCCATACATACCAAACTAGCTCCACTTTTTTTTTTTTTTTTGAGACAGGGTCTCCCTCTGTCACCCAGGCTGGAGTGCAGTGGCGCAATCTCAGCTCGCTGCAAGCTCTGCCTCCCGGGTTCACACCATTCTCCTGCCTCAGCCTCCCGAGTAGCTGGGACTACAGGTGCCCACCACCACACCCGGCTAATTTTTTGTATTTTTTGTAGAGACGGGGTTTCACTGTGTTATCCAGGATGGTCTCGATCTCCTGACCTCGTATCCGCCCGCCTCTGCCTCCCAAAGTGCTGGGATGTCTATAGGCATGAGCCACCGCGCCCCGCCACTAGCTCCACTTTTTAAAGAAAAATTATCAGTGTAAAAGAACTGTGATTTCTATACAAAGACAGATCCATATATTAAGGCTATGTATAATATAAGGTACTATACCGAAAGCAATCTAAAACTTCACATATGCCTACTACACATAAAGCAATCTAAAAATTTACATATGCCTATGTCTCACACAGATTTAAGCTGAGGCAACAAAAAAATCTTCCAGTGATACAAGGAATCAGTGGGAGGAGGATTCATCTACTGGTAGCTATTGGAGCTGACCTTAAAGACATTGAATATTAACAGAGGAAGGCAGCGAACGCTACTTAGCAGGACTCAGCTCTTCCCAATTACTCAAGATAGGTTTCTCAGCTGTTCTTGGTCCCTGTGAATATGCAACTCGCTTAGTTCTGGAACAACCATTAAAAAAATACAACAGAACACATGGAAAACACACAAATTTGATTTCCAAACACTTCAAGTTTTGGTAGTTAACTGAGTTTAAGAGTAAATTTGTGTTCACGTGATTTATAACAAGATATAAGTAAATACATAACATAAATGTGAATGTATAATATATTCAAGTTCATATGCGTATTTAACAATTTTTAGCTCAAACAATAATGAAGAACAATATAGTAAATTATAATTGCAATCTCCTTACATAAAACATACACATTTAAGTGAGAAAATGTTTGCAAACCATACATCTGGTAAGGGGTTAATATCCAAAATACACAAGGAACTCAACTCAACAGTAAGAAAATAAATAACTCAATTAAAAATTGGCAAAGGACTTGAATTTCTCAGCATTCCTCAAAAGACATATAAATAGCCAACAGGGGCCAGGTGCAGTGGCTCATGCCTGTAATCCCAGCACTTTGGGAGGTCAAGGCAGGTGGATCACTTGAGGTCAGGGGTTCAAGACCAGCCTAGCCAACATTGTGAAACCCTATCTCTATGAAAAATACAAAAAATTAGCTAGGCATGGTGGTGTGTGCCTGTAGACACCTACTCAGGAGTCTGAGGTGGGACAATCGCTTGAACTCAGGAGACGGAGGTTGTAGTGAGCTGAGATCACACCACTGCACTTCAGCCTGGGTGACAGAGCGAGACTCCTCTCAAAAAAAAAAAAAAAAAGTCAACAGGTATTTGAGAAAGTACTCAACATTACTAATCACCAGAGAAATGCAAATTAAAATCACAATATCATCTCAAACCTGTCAGAGTAGCTATTATAAAAACGATAAAGGGTAACAAGTGTTGGCAAGGATGTTCTGGAGAAAAGAGAATACTTGTATACTGTTGGTGGGAATGGAAATTAGTGCAGCCACTATGGAAAATGGTATGGAGGCTCCTCAAAAAATTAAAAATAGAACTACCATATGACCCCAGCAATTTTACAAGTGGGTATATGTCCAAAGGAAATGACATCAGCATGTCAAAGAGATATCTGTATTCCCACGAATCAACCTAAATGGCTGTCAATGTTTGAATGCATAAAGAAAATGTGGTATGTCTGCACAACGGCCTACTATTCTGCCTTGAAAAAGAAGGAAATCTTGTCATTTCTGACAGCATAGATTAACCTGGAGGGCATTATGTTAAGTGGAATAAGCCAGGTGCTGGGACAAGTATCACATGATCCCACATGTGGGATTCAAAAAGTTGACCTCATAGAAGCAGAGAGTGAATGGTTAGCAGGAGCTGGGTGGGTGGGTGGGGATGGAATGGGATGGAGGGGTTTTGGGTGATGTTGGTCAAAGGATGTACAATTTCAATTAGGAGGAATAAGTTCAAAAGATCTATTGTACAACATGGTGACTACAGTTAATAACAATGTATTCTTGAAAACCACTAAAAGTAGATTTTAAGTGTTCTCACCACAAAAAATGATCAGTACATGAAGTAATGCATATGTTAATTAGCTTGATTTAGCCATTCTACAATGTATACATATTAAAAAACACATTGTACATTGTAAATATATACAATTTTTGTTAATTAAAAAATTAATTTATTAAAAAGTATGTAAGTACTAATTCAGATCACTACACCCAAAGTATGTATGATGTTCCCAAGAGAAAAGTATTCTTAAACATCTGTCAACTGAATGAAGTAGTGGTTTACTTATAGAGTTGGGAGAAAAGCACTCTTAATTTGTGAAGATGCTGGTTGATAACTCTCAGAGATCTGATACTATAAGGATGTGGATCTCAAAAATCTTCAGTCGGTAGAGTATTGGTGAGTCAGCATTTTAGCAGCATATTATAACATTGCAGGAATTAAGACAATTTATACTACTAAAAATGGGCTAAATAAAATCATAGTTGTAAGTTCACATAAAGAAAAATAACCCAAATTACTGAACATATAATAGTATACTAGATTGTTGGTACATTTTTCATTCATATTTACTGCAGTCATTATTGTTTAAAAGATTTATAAACAAATTTTAAGGTGAGAAGAGTCTGTTATTTCCTGCAAATTAAGAGAAGATCCCCACAATTCAATTTTATTAGTGGATATCATGTCATATCTAGTAAGGCATAAAAATATTAGTATGAGAAAATTTCATTAGTGCTGGTTCTATGATCTTTGGTCTCAGTTTCCTCATCTACAAATAGAAGATTTGAGCTATATGATTTCTAAAGTTCATCATAACATTAATATTTACAGCAGCCTTTATAGCCAGATTTTTAACAGTAACTGGTGTTTTTGTTTCTCTTAACTTTTATATTTTTTCTATTCTGAAGTACTACTATTTTAAAGAGTCTGGAATTCTTCCTGAGACTTACAGATTTTATGAGTTTATAGAAGCTAATTAATACATTTTTGTCTAAGCAGATTTAAAAAGAATTGAGTGAAATGAAGAAATTACTAGACTAAAACAATGGCTACTATGTCTTCGAGTTCTATCCATTATGTGAGAAAAATTATCTATATAACCAGCTAGACAATTTGGGAAAAGTCCTTGGTCAGAAGAGAGAAACAATATTTTATAAAATAAAATAAGCAATTGAGTAAATGTTCAGAACTAGCAAAGTCAAAGGCATAGGGGTTACCCTGCAAACTCCACAGTGGCCTTCAAACTGGTCTTCCAATTATAGGGAGATAATTAAGAGTGATCTGGACTCAAATCTCTAAATTTGCCACTTGCTGGCAGTATAACTTAAGACTTGGTTTCCTTGCTATAAAATAAGGACACAGGTACTTACTTCATAGGGTTTTAGTGAGGACTGAAGGAGATGAGGTATGTAAATCCTTCAGTATGGTACCTGGCATACAGTAATAATTGGTGGCTTTATTTCACTAATCTATATCCCTGTTCTTTTCCATAATGCAAACGCATACCAAATAAACCTTCTTAAAAATTCAGCTTTGATTATGCTACTCCCCTATTTAAGACCCTCACAAATCTATTTATCATTGATTAAATCAAGATAAAACTCTTCACCTTGGCCCCCAAAGCCTTGCGCAATGTTATACAAAGTACCATCCTAGTCTTATCTCTCAATTCTTTCTTCTGGTAAGGACTCGGGCATTCCTGTTCTTTAGATCTTTTATGATTCGGCTCATGCTGTTTGTTCTCTTCTTGAAGTCTCTCCTCATAAAAGCCTACCTAGCCACCAATGCCAATAATTAATAAAAATAACAATGATGACTACCATTTGTTAAATGCCTACTCTGTGCCGGAAGGATTTTTTAACTATATCATACATTATCTGATTTATCTTTATAACTCAATAAGATAAAAATTATCTTCATTTTACCTACGAAAAAACTAAGAACGTCCAAGGTTACACAGAGCTAATAAGTATTCCGCTTAACTCCAAATCTCATGTTCTTGACCTGGATTGAATTGCCCAATTCAAACATTACTTCTTTCAGGGAATTTTTAAAAGTATTTACAACCAGATGCAATTTTTCCTTAAGCTTGAGTAGTACTTTAGAGGCATAATAAGAAATAGTCTGGTCTCTATCTTTTTAAAAAAAACACATTTGACCAAACCAACAAACAGCACATACTCTCTGGTAAACACTAGCTTGAGGAGAGGGATTATATCTTGTTTCTAACAATGGATACTCAAAATACAGGAATTTAAAATTTAAACTGGTGAAGTTCCTAGTGATACTTTTCCAGACTTTGCCAAGTGATACACATCCTAGTCATAGAAGACAAAAGTTCAAAATTTGATAAGTTACAGAGGATTCATTTGGCAACCAGGAACAATTATAATTTTGCTTCCCTTTTAAGTCCTATCAGTCCTTTTTTACCTTGTAAAGAAGTACTGTAGTGCTCCTCACATAAACTAATTTATACATTTAATGTGAGGTTCTCTAACCCGAGGAAAAAGAACATTAAAGGACTGAAATCCCACAAAGAGAACGACAAAAAAATTTTAACTGGTCTTTTAAATTTTTCTTGAAAGTTTGGAAACTAATTACACAGCAATGTATTAGTTATGCATGAAATTTAAGAACTCATGAAAAAAGCAGGCTTCAGAGAAAATAAAATGACATGAGAATGTTACATATCAGAATGCTTCCAAATTTTCTTATTTTCCTAATTCAATGGCTCCATTTTATTAAAGTACTTTTCATTTAAAAAATCATGAAACATATATTTACATATAATACACAACCTCTCTTCAGTGGGGTGGCTAAAATGGTGCCAATGGATATGAGACCACCAGTAGTCTGACATGCTAGAAGGATTTAAGACACAATGGAATAAAAATTAAAATGTGCCGTCGTGTCAGAGCATGGGAAGATTTTTGCTAAGTGCAGACTCAGTGAATCGCTGGAGCTCTGTCTAAACACAAGCACTGACAACTCTGGCTGTGCTACACATTTCAATGGTCATCTTTTAAGTGAATACAGAAACCTAGGCAGGAAAAGTACTATATGAAACAGCTCTGACTCTAACATGTCACAAAAGGGCTAATTTATGCTACAAAATG
This sequence comes from Homo sapiens, assembly GCF_000001405.40. Lineage (NCBI taxonomy): Eukaryota > Metazoa > Chordata > Mammalia > Primates > Hominidae > Homo > Homo sapiens. The sequence continues at coordinate 110,194,355 of NC_000006.12, read as the reverse complement.
AAAAATGTTACATCATTTTCCCCCAAGATACCATAAGATATAGCTCCTCACCTCCATCTTGAAAGTGCTTCTTAAAGATTCTGATATCAACCGAAGCTGTATTTCTTGGTTTTATAATTACCATTTTCTGGCATCTCTATTTCATCAATCAAGCATTCTTTTCCATTTTAAAAGGCAAAATATCTAGAAATTTAATCTTTTCTGTAAACTTCCCTAAATGGATAATATTCAAAGACTTTCTTAAATGAACAATATTTGCGGTTTCTGGTTTTTTTCATCAGGAGACAGAAAAAAAAATCCAGTACTTTGTTTTATTCAGAGCAGGCATCAAACACTGTGACTACTTTCTGGCAGTGCATCAGTATGACACTTCAGGGGCATCTGTAATTAGATGTTTTGTAATATACTACATATTGATGCTGGTAAGCCCCAATATTTTCCTTTATGGTTAATTATAATACTCCCTCATGAAGACTGAGAGGAAGATGTCAACTAAGTTCATATTTAAGAATCAGATTTCCTTTTTCAAAAGACATAGTTCCATGTTATCAGACATCTGTATGTAGACAGATAAGCAGCTAGTGGATTTTTAAAAGTATTTTCACAAAAGCACACTACCTGAACTTTTGGAGAATAGAAGGATGTATTTTCGGCTGGGCGCAGTGGCTCATGCCTGTAATCCCAGCACTTTGGGAGGCCCAGGAGGGCGGATCATGAGGTCAGGAGATTGAGACCATCCTGGCTAACACAGTGAAACCCCGTCTCTACTAAAAATACAAAAAAATTAGCCAGGCGTGGTGGTGGGCGCCTGTAGTCCCAGCTACTCGGGAGGCTGAGGCAGGAGAATGGTGTGAACCCAGGAGGCGGAGCTTGCAGTGAGCCGAGATTGCGCCACTGCACTCCAGCCTGGGCGACAGAGCGAGACTCTGTCTCAAAAAAAAAACAACAAAAAAGAAGCATGTATTTTCTAAAAACTTAAATAGTATGCTTATGTGATAAAACTTTTAAAAATTCACTGCTGCACCTAATTATCTACTATGATTTAAATTCTTTAGCAAAAGTCAGAACCTTAAGTATGTTTTCTTACCTCAGGAGCAAACATGGTCTCATAGGTAGGATTATACTGAACTTCTTTGACGGCAGGGTCAAGGTGAACTCCAGTCTCCAAATCTTCCTAAAAAGAATACCAAATAAATATTAATGATCTGATAAATGACTATTTTATTTTAGAAGCCACATTAAAGTCACACTAGCCATCTTTAACATCTATTTTATGGTTATAACTTATCATATGATTAATAATTCTAATAAAATTAATGTATACAGTTAGAGGTTAAAATACATAAAAAAGTTTCTTTTTGAAATACTGACTTTATTAACAATTTAAAATTTTTTAATTTAAAACTAAATAAGTTAACATTACTCAAAGCCTTAAATTAGTTTAAGAGATTCCAACTCTTCTTTGTTATTAACTCAAAAGACCCGAACCTCTACTGCCAAATTCAAAAGAGGTATTTCTTTTTTTACTCAGCAAACTGTATTAGATATGCAACCAAATTGCACTTGGTTGGGTACTGGAGAGGAAACAAAAGGAAGTGACAGGGCCTGAATCTTCTAAATCTAAAGTCTTATAATCTCAGTTAATATTTCAAACATCTTAAATTCATTCCCCAGATTACTGAAAATAAACATCTCATCTCCACTGAAGAATCACTGGTAGTATAACTTTTGTATAACTCCACCACTTACAAATACGATAATTCTCAAATTGGTATCTTTAGCCTGGACCTCCCCTGATTTCTAGAGACTTGTATATCCAACCTTCAACCTGACATCTCTTCTCCCAGGATATCTAACAGACATCTCAAACTTAATATATCCAAAAGGGAGCTCGTGGCCTCCCCTCCCACAATGAATCCTTCCAGCCTTCTCTTAGTTAATCACAATTCCACCCTTACAGTTGCTCAGGCAAAAATCTGGAGTTTTCCTTGATTCCTCTTTATTTTATAGTTTGTATCCAATCCATCATCAAGTCTTCTACCTTCTACATAAATCCAGAATTCAACCACTTCTGAAGTCCTCTATTGCAGTGGTTCAACTTAACATCTTGTATCTGGGTTTTTGGAGTAGCTTCTTACCTGGTCTCCCTGATTTCTGTCCCTGACCACCTACAGCCTCACTTCCCACAGGAGATAGTATGATTCTTTCAAAATATTAGTCAGGTTATGCTACTCCTATGCTCTAAACCCCCCAGTAACCTCCCCAGTCAGAGTAAAAGCCTAACAAAGGCCTGACAACCACTGGTTCTCAGGAAGTAGGCAGGTTCCCTAGAGTAGTTTTACAGGGCATTTTTGTTTTCCTGTATTGTCTGTCTGAACATTCACTATTAAAAACATATTTGATTGTAAGTACCTTTCCTTTAAATAGTGCACTCATGTTCTATTTTAAAAATTGTAAAGAAATTATATATCATCTACAAATTATATTTCAATAAAGTCAGTATTATAACATTGCTGTCATAAAATGACGGAGTTGAGTCTAACTGGTTGAGAATTTCCCCTCCATCATCAGCCCCCTGCCCCTACCAACTTCTGTCTTCATCTAGCACTATGCCTGTGCTCACTTTACCCCAGCCTCACTGACTCATTTGCTATTCCTAGAATAGGCCAAGGAACAATCCTGCCTTGGGGTCTCTATACTTACCGTTATTTCCTTTTGGAATGAAATGTTTTTCCTGTGGATATCCACATGATTGTTATCTCTCTTTTTAAGTCTCTGCTCAGTTTTTCTGCTTCCCCCTTATCTTGCTTTATTTTCCTCCATTACATTTATCCTCAGTGGATATATATATTATCTCTCTCTCTCTCCACTAAAATGTAAACTACACAAGGCGGATTTTGCACACACAAATGTATAACCAAACCCTTGAACTATCCCTATCATATCACCATCTTTAATCTGCTGGCCTCTTGTTCATGGCAGGATATATCCCCTAACACAATGCAAAGATAATGCAAAGTAACATCAGACATTCTGCAAAATAGGTGGGATTTCATGAAGCTGATATTGATGTTGGAGAAGCAGCAATGCCACAGACAAGTGAAGATCTGGTAGAGTTAGACCAACTGATGACCAAAGACTAAAAAACCAACAAGAAAAATAATACCATACCATAAGCCCACATTCACTGTTCCAAAATTTGACCACTCTAGAAAGACTTTACCATGGCCCCTGTATCAAAACAGGCAACTTAGTTTCTCTACTTCTTAAAGATTCAGAGCCTATCAGGTCCCTTGAGCTTCTCTCCTCTCTAAACTGCCCATATCTTTACCCTATCTTATCCTTTTCATGACTTCAATTACCACCCCCTATTTTTATCTGCAGCCTTAATCACACCTAACGATGACAATGTGGTGTGTGGTATGGGAAGCCAGGGTTGTCAGCGCCCGAGGAAGGGTTGGGGGAGATCAGCTGGAGGAGGTCATGCCGGGCAACTGTGTAATCTAAGACCCTGGGGAGTTGGGGTCTTAGTTGAATATTCTGCCCTCCCAGAAGGCCAGCAAGGCTGACTCACCACCAGCCTCGTGCCCACTGGGCTCCCACCCCTTCCCAGGACCCTCCCCTAGCTCGGTCCCCCTGAGCTTGGCTTCCCACCCTGCAGGTGTCCTACTACAACCAGGCCACCCCAGGTGTTCTCAACTATGTGACCACCAACGTGGCAGTTGGATCCACATATCCAACTGCTTACTAAATTTCATTATATGAATGTCCCACAGCATCAAACACTATGCTGTGTCCAAAACAGAACTTACCATTCCCCCATGACTCCATCTTCACTAATAAATCAGGCATAGTCTTGCTGATTCTACCTCTGAATACTTCTCTAGTAATCTCACTTCTACCCTCCTCTCTTTGCATCCCAGCTACAATGGCCTAGTTAGGGCTTCATTATATCTTGCCTGGCCTATTGTAATACTTCCTTATCTGCTTTAATACACCCTCACTTTTGTCATATTAGACTAATTGCTGATTTTTAAAAATAGCAAGCACTTTGATGCTTTCTGTGCTGTAGGCAATGTTACCGCCTTGTACCTTAGGCAATGCCTTTATTATTTTATGCCGCCTTCTTATTTTTCCTGATACCTTCCCTCCTCCTGCCTCAGGAAAACTGTTGGGTTTTTGTTTGTGGTCCTAAAAAAATGCTGTACTCTATTTGATAGTACTTGTGATATATTATTTGTTGCACATGGCTTTTATGTACATCATATATCCTCACTGCCCAGTAGAACGCAGGGCATTCAGCACATATTCAATAAATATTTGTTAAATTAAATTGAAGACAGAAAAGCCAAATCTGTAGAGAAATTAAGTAGGATAAGGCTGACCAACAATCATTGGATTTGGCAATTATGTCACAAAAAACCTTTGTGAGAGTGACTGTTAGTAAGGACTATGGAAAGCCAGCTGCAAGAGGCAGAGGTGTAAATGAGGATCTAGAAAAACACCACCATATAAATCTGTACTGAAAATATTTGGTGGTAAAAAACAGAACAGATGGGGTGTCAGGTTGAAGGATTTTCAGGGTCAAGTTTTTCTTCTTCCTTAAGAAGAGACTAAGTCAAAGATGTGGTCAATCGTAGGCTAGAAGGCAGGTGATGGCAGGGAGAGACACATGACAAAAAGGACCAGATAAAGGTACAGTTGCCCTAGAAGAGGTAGGAGGGAATAAAATTCAGGACACAGTTGGAAGATTAGCCTCTGAAAAGAGGAGTGCTCTCTTTGGGATGAAATAGAGATGACAAAGGTAAGAATGGGTGATAGATGACAGATGTTTGGAGGTGTTGGGAATCATAATTGATCCTTTTATTTTCTTGGTGTAGTCAGGGTACAGGCAAATTTATAAAGCAAGCATGGAGCTCCAGATTCATATATTCATTCAACAGATTTTGATTGTGTGCCTACTATGTGCCAGGCACTGTCCTGGGCCCACAGAAATAGACAAAGATACCTGCCCTTGTGGAGTTTATATTCTAGTGGAGGAGACAGACAATAGACTATATAATATATAAATAAGTTTACAGCTCTCTAGAAGAGGCTAAATAATATGAAAAAAAAGAATTTAACAACACTAACATGCTAGCACCAGAGCAGACACACTATTTCATATAATCTGTGAGGTTAAGTGTTAGCAGGATTAAGTCACTTAACCCAAGCTACTAATAGAATAAATGGGAAGGGGAAGAGCTCAAAGTAACCACAATGAACAATGTTAAAGAGATCTAACTAGTGACAAATTAAAAAATCACTGGCAGAGTAACTAGGTGTATCAGTCAGGGTTCTTAGTTGCAAGCAGCAGGCTGATTCAGCATTATAAAATCCTTATGAGTTTCTCTTAGAATTACCAGGAAGTGTGGAGAATCAGCTTTGACAAGTAGGCAGAAATAAAGGGTCAGTATACACTTAATAGATGAAATCACAATTCAAAATTAATCATCACAGAACCCATCCAGTGAGGATAATTGTTTACCATGACTGAACACCACTACTAAACTGCTATGGCTACCACTGGATGCTGCTATTGAAACTGCTGGCCTGAGAAACTAGAAAACATTGACCATCATTGCCAGTTTAAGTCCTCTTTCCTGGCTTCTTTGTGGATAAATTTCAGATTAGAAAGCTTAGGTTGGTACATCTGTTTGGCTGAGCCCAACAGATACACCCACCCAACAGTCCTGAGCCTCAGCTGAAAGGGAGCTGAATTAGAATAATCTGGGTTTTCAGCTTCTGAAGATGGGTGATGAACAGGGATGTTCTTCAAATTAAGACCCTTAAGAAAGGGGTTTCAAATGCTAGGCCATTGAAAAGATGACAAATATTATCTATATCACCCTAGAATGAACACTAGAATCTTTACTGATGAAAGATACTATCTTGCACATGGCCCAATAGCAAACTCAGTACTATAAAGTTAACAGGTTACATACAAATTGTTTAAACTGCATAAAAGCTAAATTAAATGCTTTTCCCGCTTAATATTCAACCCCTAGTGACAAACTGCTTAAAATAACATGAGGCTTAGCCACATTCATATCTTCCCAAAGGATTTTATAGTGTATAGTTGCTAGAACCACTTTATAATATGGGATATGAGATCTTTCCAATTAAGGGTATTTAAAATATTCCAAATTGAAATTATTTTGAAGAGTATCATGACACATCAATTTTTAAATGCAAAGTACAATTTAAGAAATTACTGTTTATATAAGCAACACTGGCAGCCAATAAAAAATATAAGTAAGTCCCAGTCTCTGACTCCTGCTAAAATTATAGAACAAATTGAACAACTCTCAAGAAAACGAAGGGCTGTTATTTTACAGAAATTTAATTAGAAAACTTGGACAATACCACAACCTTGTTTTAATACCCATGAGGCATTCAATACCAATTAGGTATGCAATTGGAATTACCACAGAATAACAAATTATTTCTATTCAGTTTCAATTATCCACAAAAATTAAAATGCAGTAAGTGAAGGGCACCCTGTGGGTCAAATAAGTTTAAATAGTTTATCTTTTTGTTGATTCAAAGTAATTTGAGAATAAAACTGGGTAATATTCACTTTTCAGTCTTTTCCACATTTCTTCCTGTGCCCAAATAAGAAAAGAGACATAAAAACACCATGTAAACTGTAAAGCAGATCACAAATATTATTATTATAAGTTACTTATCAATTTATGGCATAGTTTTTTTTCCTCCCAGAAAACAGAAATGACTAAACTTCCTAATAGAAGAATTTAGGTGAATGATATAAAAGAACAGAACTTCAGATAAAGATATCCTCTGAGTTTGGCCCTTAACAGATTGCAGAGGGAAAAGGTCGTCCATTTGAAGCTCACAAATATAGGAAATACCACACATGAAAAAACTGAAAAATATGCCTCAAAATTAGAGGCAGAATTTTTATTTTACTTTAGTTGGCTATGCTAAGGCAAAGAATACATTCGGGGGAAGTAACATAGTCACTGGTTGAAATGAGAGAAAGCCAGATCTGCTTTTGTTTTTGTAACCTTAAAGTCACTTAATAACCAACTCTTGCAATCCAATAGGGTCCACTGCATGATTTCTAAAGTGCAAAACCTTACAATGTTGCATGTAAAAATTTTTATTGGCTAACATGGTGAAACCCCGTCTCTACTAAAAATACAAAAAATTAGCCAGGCGTGGTGGCGGGTGCCTGTAGTCCCAGCTACTAGGGAGGCTGAGGCAGGAAAATGGTGTAAGCCCAGGAGGCAGAGCTTGCAGTGAGCGGAGATTGCGCCACTCAACTCCAGCCTGGGAGACAGCGAGACTCCGTCTCAAAGAAAAAAAAAAATTTTATCCAGAAAATACTCATTGTCATACATATACTGGAGAACACAAATATGTGTAATTGGCGTTCCAGAAGAGGAGAATGGGACTAAAATAATATGTGAAGTGATAAGAACTGACAACTGCTAAGAAATGTCCAAAGGTCCACATTCCAAACCAATTGATCCACAATTAAAGAAATCCAACAAATTCTGAACAGAAAAAATAAAAAGAAATCTACACATGTGTATCCTATAATAAAACTAAAGAATGAAACCATATCTCAAAAAAATGGGGTGCGGGTCTTAAAAGGTGTCAAAAGAAAAAAGAAAATCACTTTCAAAGGGAAACAGCTACACCAACAGCTGATTTATCAGTAACAATGAAAATCAGAAGACAGTAGAATATCTTAAAAGTGCTGAGAGAAAACTGCCAGCTAAGGAAACAACCCAGTGAAAATATCCTTCGAGAAATACAGTTAAATGAAAGCATTTTATGTATTTATTTATTTATTTATTTATTTATGAGACAGGGTCTTACTCTGTCTCCCAGGCTGGAGTGCAGTGGCGTGATTCTGGCTCACTGCAACCTCTGCCTCTTTGGCTCCAGCGATCCCCCTACCTTAGCCTCCCAAGTAGCTGGGAAGCACACACCAACACACCCAGCTAATTTTTGTATTTTTTCTAGAGACAGGGTCTCTCCATGTTGCTCTGGAACTCCTGGGCTCAGGGGATCTGCCCACCTCGCCCAGCCAAAACTTTTTAAAAGACAAACTAAAACTGAAAGCATTTGCCACCAGTCAATCCTCACTAAAGGACATTCTAAAGACAGAAAGTGGTATCTTGCATATGAGATGTAAGAATCATCATCATTCACCATCATCTTGTGGAGGATGTGTGTGTATATGTAAGTGCATGTATTATACCAGACAACAACAGCTAAAGTAGGAGTACAGGGGATGTGAATAAAATTCAAGGGTTCTAAGGTTCTCGCATTGCTCAGTAGAAGGTGAAAGTACTGATCGAATGTGCTGTGCTTTCTAGGGGTAACCACTTAAAGAATAGAAACTGACTGCATGACTTAAAACAAGCACAGGGAGATAATGTAATGATTTTAAAAATCCAAAAGAATGGATGCCTAGCATACTAACTTTCTGCCTTTCTTTTTTTCTGTGATATGTGTTTATGACTATACTTTTAAAAAAATTGCCATGGCTGCACCTCACATGTTCTGATGTATAGTTGCTTAGAAGTGCAATTTCACAATTTTCAAATACGGAAATTTTATAGCTATCTTTTTGTGGTTAGTTTCTAGCTTAGGTGCACTGTGGTCAGAGAATACAGTAACAAGATTTTAAATCTGTTGAGACTAATTTTATGTTCCAGTTCAGGGGTGGCTAACTACAGTGTGTGGGCCAAATCCAGGCCACGGTCTGCTTTTTTGTACCAACAAGCTAAGGATGGTATTTGTATCTTTAAAGGGTTAAGAAAAAAAGATCCAGCACTTTGGGAGGCCGAGGCGGGCGGATCACGAGGTCAGGAGATCGAGACCATCCCGGCTAAAACGGTGAAACCCCGTCTCTACTAAAAATACAAAAAATTAGCCGGGCGTAGTGGCGGGCGCCTGTAGTCCCAGCTACTTGGGAGGCTGAGGCAGGAGAATGGCGTGAACCCGGGAGGCGGAGCTTGCAGTGAGCCGAGATCCCGCCACTGCACTCCAGCCTGGGCGACAGAGCGAGACTCCGTCTCCAAAAAAAAAAAAAAAAAAGAAAAAAAGATGAAGAAAAAGAAAGGGTGAAAGAGAGAAAGAAAGAAGTGACAGAAACTACATGGGGCCAGCACAGCCTGAAATATTTACTGTCTGGCCCTTTACTGAAGTTTGCCAATCCCTGGTCTAGCACACGGTCATTTAAAAAATGTTTCATTACGTTTCAATGTTTCAAAATGTTTCCAGTGCCTGAAAACAACATTCTGTGTTGCTAAGTGCCATATTCCCTAAGACCTTTAGATGCAGTTTACTAATTTTGTTGTTCACATATTCTGTATCATTACTGATATGTTTTTACTTGTTCTATCAATTATTGAGAGATATAAAAATCTCTCACTGTAATTGTATATTTGTCCATTTCTCTTTGTAGTTCTGTCAATTTTTGCTGAAATATTTTGAGCTTACATTGTTTTATATCTCTTTGTGAACTGAACCTTCTATCATGATGAAGTGACTCTTTTGTCTCCAGTAATGCTTTCTGCTTTAAAGTCTATTTTTATTGATGTTAACACAAACAGTGCTAGCTTTTTCTTGGTTAAAATTTGCCTGGTACATCCTTTTTATTTTTATTTTAGATCTTCCTGGAGGCGGTAGTAAGCATGGCAAGGCAAGAACAATAAATAAAAGAAATAATGATTAAAAGAAAGAAAAAATACTGTCATATTTGCAGCTGATATGGCTATGTAAGTAGTAGAAAGTACTTACATAGTAGTTAAGTTAGAAAGTTAAATAAATGAAAAATACAATACTGTTTATTAACAGCATAAAAATAAGATCCACCGAGAAATACCTCCAATAAAACTGTACAAGATTTTGATACAGAGACAATTACAAACTTTGGGAGAAAAAAAAAAACAAAACTAAAAAAAGGCCTAAACAAATGAACGGACATAACATTATCTCCAAGTTGACCTATGACTCAATGTACTCCCAAACAAAATCCCAACTGGGTATTAGCAGAACTTTCCAACTTAATTCTAAACTGTATATAGAATTACAGGGCCAAGAAGAGCCAACAAAAAAGGGCAAGGGAACTGCCCTATCACCTATCAAGCCATATTATTAAGAATGTTCGCACTATAGACAAAAGTTAATTTCATATGGATTAATGACTTAAATGTGAAAAGCTTTCAAGAGATAATACAAGAGAATATTTTCATGACTATGAGTTAAGGATTTCTCAAACAAGCAACAGGAACCCGATACATAAAGGAATAATTTGACAAGCACAGACTACATAAATAATTGTTTGTAAACAACAGGGAAAAGTGAGAAGACAAGTCACAAAAGAAAAAAAATTTGCAACACACACAATTGACAAAGGATAGTATCCAGAATATGTAAAGGTCTTCTAAAAATCAAAAGGAAATGACAACCCAATAGTTGCTTCCAAAGAAAAAAAAATTAAATCACCAATAACATATTAAAAGATACTCAACTGCAGGAAACAGCTCGGAAAAAACATAGATTAAAAACGCTGCAAAAATGTATTCTCTGCCAAAATGCTTGCTATTAATCATAATACAATTAGTCAACTACAGATGAATATATTTGCATGCTTCACATCTCCCTTGGTCATTTTCCAATTTTCCAATCATTTGCAATCATTATATTTACTATGTGTAAGTTTGTTTTCCCTTCATATAAACAAGTGTTGGTTCATAAACCAACAATGAGCAATGCCCTCTACGCTCTCATAGAACCCAGACCACTGGGTGGACTAGCCCCAGCTCTACCTCTAATGGACTTCTGGTACCTTACGCAGCCTTTCCTCCTGGGTTCCCTTATTTATTCGTGATTGCACTAAGTGAGCTCTAGACAAACACCCCCATCCCTGCCACTGCATGTCCAGCTCTAAAATTCTGATTCTTAATGTGCATACTTTTACAAGACTTTCTTTTTCATTCCATTCTCTTACCAAATATACTTCCCTAATCTTGTGTACTAGGCACTGGAGACACAAACGAATGGATACAACAGTCTCTGGACCCCAGGGTCTCACAGTCCAGAGGAAAGAAAAAGATGAACAAGTTACAGCAATGTGCTAAGTGCTATAGTTAAGATATGATAAAGGGGCTAAGGTAAAATAGGAGGAAACATATACACTGAGACTGAAGGACCACAGTGTTTGGAGTGGGGGAAGGAGGCACTAGGCAAGGGATTTCCAGGCAGAAAGACTAGCGTGGGCAAAATCTTCAGAGGAAGAAAGAAAATTCGGCTTTCAGGGCTTTGTAAAGAGTTCAGCATGGGAGAATAGCAGGACTCACATGCTACCAAAAAAACTTAGAAATCACCCATTGGACAACATGGTGTCTTTGGGCAGGGAAGTGATACGATGTAAGTGGAATTTACAAAGATCATTCTAAGTGCACTGTGGAGAAAAGAATGGGGTATAAAACTGGGAGACAAGAAAGGAAGAAGTAGAAAGATCAGTTAGAAGGCTACAACTGTCTGAAGAGAAATGATGAGAATCTGAACTAAACAGTGGCAGCAGAAGAGAGAGATTTGATGAATATCATTGAGTTAAAGTGGACAGAACCCACTACCCAAAAAGGCTGAAAGAGAAAGAAAAGAATAACTCCTGGGAGAAATAAGGAAGATATGAAGCCTGCACCAGTGAAAATAGCAAGGAAGGAGTTGATGTGAGAGAAATTAATGAAACAGCAATGTTAGAATCAATTGAATGACTAGCTTCAGGGGCTGAGGAAGAAGGAAGAGAAAAGGATACCTTCTTTGTTCTCGGCTTCAACTAGTGGGTGGATTGTGGGATGACAGATCAAAATAGGAAAAACAGAAGTGGATTTTGAGGGAAAGAAAATAATTTTTCGACACACTGAATTGGAGGTGGCTGAGCGCCAACCTGCAAAAGACAAATGTACAATTACTGTGGGAGATTTTTATATACCTCTCAAGATCGTAAGCTAGCAAGGAGGATAGAACTGGAAATAAAAGGATAGCAAGCATTTAATTAGTGTTCATTGTGTGTGGCACTGTTAAAAGGGCTTTACATCTTTTATGACAATTATTATAATTCTGTTAGATAGGTACTACTGTTATTCCTACTTTACAGATCAGCAAAAATTAGGTACAGAGCATTTAAGTAACTTATCCAAGGTCCCCAGGTGGGTAAGTGCTGGAGGCAGGATTTGAATTACAGTCTTAATTCCAGAGCCTGTGCTAACCATTTCACGGTGTTCACCTTGAGCTAGAAGCAGCACAGCCTGAGGTTGAAGGTATGGGAGAATATGTGGAATGCAAAGAGGACTAAGAGCAGAGTCCTGGGAAACACCAGTATTGAAAAGGGAGAGTAAAATAATTGGAACAGAATGCTGAGTAGAGCCCCATGGAAGCGAAACGGAGAGAAAGTTTCAAGAAAGAGGAACTAATGAACAGTGTCATTTGATGCAGACATTTAAGTCAGATGGCTGAACTTGACAACTGGAAGGCCTGGGACATCACTCACAGACAGTAGTTTCCCAAGAGGATAGGGCCAGACTGCATTGGGTTGAGGAGAAAATGAGACGAAGACAAAAAGAGAGCTCCAAAAAGCTGAGCTGTGAAAGGAGAAGACTCAGGAGGTTACTGGAGGGGCTTAAGTTTGGAAAGTTTTGTTTTGATAGGAAGTTAGGAGGATTCTAAGCATTCTTTCATGACAGATGTCCATTTTTAAAAAGTAAAATTCACATACAGCTTGTTAAAAACCTGTAAAACACTTCTTAAGTCATTAAACTAGACTTGGGGACATGATACAAAGGAATTTTTGGACACCGCCTCCCCTCTTCACATCTTGAGCTGATCACCTACCTCGGGCTCTACTGGGCCTACACTACCAATTGGTAGATGCTCTCATCAGGCTCCAGACACATCAGCTTTTCCTCAGTTCTTCAAACCCACTAGGCTCTTTGCGTTCTCAGGCTTGCCTGTCACCTCTGCCTGGAAACTCTTGCCTTATTAATCAGCTTCCTCCATTGAGATCATGCAGCTGTTTCTCAAATCCAAGGCCTTTTTCTCACTGTATTAACACACACAATCATAAAACATTTACTGCACTCTCACTAGTTGGCTCTGTGCTATATGCTTTATTTGTGTAATTTCACTCAATTTTCACACTCATCTTTTCATGTAGACAGATGTTTTGAAAATGATCTCCACTGTACAGGTGAGGAAAGAAAGGAGGCTGCATAACTTGTCCAAGTTCACACAAGTGGTGGTGCCAGGATTAGAACCTAGTTCTTCAAAAATAAGACAAATCGAGGCCACTGCTCACACAATACTCTAGTTTGGGAAGTCCTGATCTAATTTCACTTATGTTCCGAGATTACACCTGCACTTTCCAGGCTATGTCCCTAATCCACAAATTCAAATTTCATCCCCTCCTTCCACTTGCTTTCTGATGGCGGGAGGCAAGGGCAGAGAGCATCGGAGGGCTATTCCGAACTTCCAATTCTGCCTCTCCCGAGGATGCATGTGGGAAGGAGAAGAAATTCAAACGTTAGCAACTTATCTCTGAGCACTGAGAAAGAGGTAACCCGGTACCTAACAAGCGGCTGGCAGTTCTGGAGCTGAAGCCAACAATTCCCACACTGCATTAGTAGCAAAAGTGCTTACCTTAACTGCCACCTCCGGAGCCGAGTCCACTGCCACTGCTAGAGACGGCTTTGATGAAGGCGATTTAGTCAAGTGCATGAGGGAGTCGGCGGCTGGCAGCGGACACCGACTGCTCTCACTGTCCGAGTCCGATTCGGACCCTGAACCCGAACCATAGGAAGCGGCCAGAGCTGCAATCGCAGCCGACATGACGGCAACAAATCTTCTGCGGAGACCCTGCCAGGGCGGAAGAAGAAGAGGCTCCCAGGTCCTGACAGATTGCAATGGAACACATCATTAACTTTCTTTGCTAAGAAATAATGTCTTACATTTTGAAACAATAAGCTAATTATTATTAGAATAACTACTGTCGAGCTGAGAGCTTAAAAAAGTTTATCTAGGGAAAAAGGGAGAATTATAATAGTTTATAACATTTAGGACCTAGTTGACTAAAGAATATGAGTTCCAAAATACCTTGAGGCCTCGCGGTCCTGCACTCCCAGCGTGCAGCGCGGCAGGAAGCGCGAGAGGGCACAATGGGAAGTGTAGTTTGCAACGAGGGGGCGGAACGGGGGCGTGTCCCCCTTTGACCCCGCCCCCGAATGGATGTTCCATTCAATTGGCTATCATCTTCCCTCATTCCCTAGCCAAGCAGTGTTCTCTTCGTCCCCCTCCCCCAAACTGAGGATTGGGCAATACCACAGAACCTCAGGAAAGGGGGGAAGAGCGAGCTTCGGCCCCACTAATGGGGGAGTGGGCGGAGGCTGGATTTCCCACCTCGGCTGCACCTGGGCACTGGAGGCTGAAGAGGAAAGTGAGAATCTGAAGTTTTGAGACCTCTGACTGGCCAGGAATAGCTCCTGGGGCGGGGGGCAAGGATGGGACCATAGGCGGAAAGAGTCTCGCGGTCCCCCCTGCTTCTGGCGCGGGTCCCTGCGCCCGGTTGTGGAGCGTCTCGCGCGGGGAGGGGGCGGGGGGAACGGCAGCTCGCGGTGTTGTTCACTCGCGCGTCGAGCACACGGTGGGTCCGGCGGCGGGTTGGCGCCCCAGGCGGCGTTCCCTGTGGCCTGGCGCCTGGGCCGCTGCCCTGAGCGGGTTCCGCCCCAGAGCCCGACCCTCCTGGGGGCTCTAGGCGGAGTCCCGCGAGCCGAGGGGGACCGGCGACCGCTGCCGAAGCATGAAGAAGGGGTAAGGCGTGAGCCCCCAAGATTTCACGGTGAGCGCGAGTCCCTGAGGAATTGCTTTTTTCGGGGAGGGGGTGTTGGGAGAGGAACTCTTCCTTACTGGCCGGAGCAGACCGAGTGGTGTGTGGCCCGCAAAGGTGACGGGGATGGATGGGCGCGCCTTCCCCGCCCCGGCCCCCACCCCCATCCGCGGGTTTTCCGAGCGCCCACCGCCCACCCGCCAGCGGGGCTGGGTGCCGAGGGAGACGGCGGCGGGCGCGCCTGGGGCTTGGCTGCAGGGACCGCCCCGGGGCTGCTCTCGCTGGAGAGACTGTGGGTGTCACCTGAGGTGCCACCGCCCGGGCTTCCCTGCCCACCCGCGCCCGCGGTCCGCCCCGTGCCTCTTTCCGGGGGAGGCGGTAGCCCCGGGCGACAGAGAATCCCCTGCTCGCCCTACGTGCGCGAGGCTCGGTAAAGCGAGCTCGTGCGTTTGCGTGTTTGCTCCGCGAGTCGGTGTCTGAAAACATAACGGTAAAGCGAGTGCGGGCATCCTTTTCTTCGTTGGAAGGGGAGGCGAAGCGGTGCTGTCGCTTCTGGTGCCTGTTCATGGGGGCTGCCTTGGGCAGAGTTACGGAGCCGCTCACTCAGCGCTCATGTCGGCAGGACTCGCCCATTGTGCCACCCAGATAATTATTCAACTATGCAGCATCCATTGCACCTTTCCCATTTTTCTTTTCCCCTTGCTACAGCATGCCCCCTAGCTTCGGTACTCTGACACCTTCTCTTGCACTTGCGGATGATGAACTGGAATAACGATGAAAGAAAGCACATCCGATCTCAACATTCACGTCCTGCCCTATAACCGATTAATTAATTGATCCCCAGCTAGACTAGGTACTTAAATACGACTTACTCTAATCATTTCCTTTTCTATGTAATAAGATGTGCGGTGGATTCGACTTAAATTTTTTCTTTGGTGTTAGATTCACGATTAGCTAAGGTCTTTTTTCTGTTCACTAATTGATGTAATTGACTTATTGGTTATTCAATCCGTCTAATGTTCTTAAATTTAAATTTGCATGGTAGGTAACATTCATTTTTCTGATTGTTCATAGCATTATATCATAATTAGAAATGCAGTCTCAATTTGAACTCTCAGGAACAGTTTATCCTTTATGCTCTAAGTTTCTGTTAGGAAACATTTTTGTTTATATTGAATATTTGAATGAAGTATTTGATATAAAATTTCGGAAGTTTTGAATAAGAAAAGTTTTGTATTTGTTTTTCGGTAGCAGAATATGTCATTACTAATCGTTGCCTTCCATTGAATGGAAGGATTTAATATTTAAGATGAGGATTTTAACCATCATATCAGTCATTCCCTAATTTATCTGATTTTATTTTTTATTCACTTTTTTCTTTGCAATATCATGTATTTAATTACTTGTTTTAGAATCCAGTTTTTTTTTTTCTAACTTGAATCTACAAGTATGAGTAGGCTTCAGTTTTGCGTGATCTACCTGAAGGATGAAATTTTTTTTTTTTTGCAAATATAAGAAACCACTGTTGGTTACTTGATTTTTATGTTAAAAACTGTTTACATCTCATTATTTAAAAATAAATGATTCACTATAAAAAGTAAGTGTTGTATTTTTATAATTTTCCTTTTCCATCTTTCCTTGTTTAAGCTTGTTGCATTTACCCTTTTGATAAAAGAGAATCACATAAGCATTGCAGAGGCAGTTTTAAGGTATAGTAATTGTTTTATGGCACTTGGAAGTGGCGTACATATAATATAAGTTG
This sequence comes from Homo sapiens, assembly GCF_000001405.40. Taxonomy (NCBI): domain Eukaryota; kingdom Metazoa; phylum Chordata; class Mammalia; order Primates; family Hominidae; genus Homo; species Homo sapiens. The sequence continues at coordinate 110,177,688 of NC_000006.12, read as the reverse complement.
ATGGTGTAGGATTAGTTGCTTGGTTAGGAAATGACCTTGCAATTTACAAAATGGACACCTTTGTGCCTTGGTTTCCTTATATGTAAATGGAGATAATATTTAGTAGGTAGTGTGCATAAATTCAGGAAAGGTGTGTTTTTGTAGTCCTTTTAAAGAAAATTTAAATCTTTTAGCTGATGAATGATTAAAAAATTTCTGTGAAAAATACAATGAAAAAATGTCAGGATTTTCCATGGCATATTAGAATGGCTGATTAACATTGATTTTTGCTTTGGAGAGGTATGCCTCTGAACTGAAAAATGTTTCTCATCTATCAAGGGTTTTAAATAATTGCAGACATAAAGGTTATTACAGTTAATACCTACATATAGTTAAACATATAGATAAAATAGTTAATAGTAAACAAAAATTATGACTTGATAATAAGTAGAATATTGAATTAAGTTAGTGAAGAATAATATATTCGAAAAATATTAAGGCCCTTTTTGTTACAAATTTGCAGGTGTTACAATCCAAAATACATAGTTGTGATCATTTATAAGGTATGCTATAGAGTTACTTTATTACTCATGTTTGTAAATATTCATATATTCAGAGACAGTTTTAATATTGTATAAGACTATATTTAATTATACATTTTGCTTTATTTTAGGAATAACTTAAGATATCTTTTCCAAGTGTTGGATTTTCATTATCACAGTACATAGTACCTTGTGATTTCCTTATTGGACTACTATCAAAAGATTATGTTATTAGCACTTTTACCAAAACAGTGCTTTTGGTTACTTTGTGAGAAAACTTCATATAGATAAGACTATTAAAGTGTGTTTAAAGTTACTATTGTATGGTTTCGTTTTTGAGAATTTGTTTTATAATGTTTTCTTAAATGAATTAAAATTTAGCTGACACCGTCACTTGGGTAAATGCAGTAAAGTCGTGGTTTTTCTTAGTTCTTTGAGGAGAGAAACTGACCTGCAGCTTATTGTCATAAATCCAAAGTTGTTAGTATAGTGTTTAACAAATAGCAGGGGCTCAATTTTCTTTGTTGAACAAATAAAATGAATGGGTAAAGAATATCCATTGAATTAATATATTTAGTGAAACATTTTTAAAGATTTATCAAACATTATAATTAATGAAATGTATAACTTTATCTCAGGAGAAAAGAGAAAAATGAATTTCAAGGTTCTTTGAACTCCATTTACCTGCTCAGATATAATTCCATTACCTGTACACTTTTGAACTGGCACTAGATACTTAATAATGTATATGTTAGTAGTCTTTGATTTATGAAATATTAACAATTTTCTTCTTATAGCTCACTTTATGAAGATGTATGTTAACATATTTTTTGTTTTTCCTACACTAGATAGAAGTGTGTTTGATTCTTTGTGACTTACGTTTTCTAGTGAAATAGTAATAAAAAAGATATATGTAAATTAAATCCTATGCTGAATGCTTGAGTACCTAGTTGTTAAAAATAAATGACCCCTGAAGTGGAACTTTTTATAAAATTAAGAATCTTGTGTTTTAAGTTTATCACATTCAGCTTATAATTTTGAGTCTTTGTGAATTGGTAGTTCTAACTTACTACACAATTGATTACATTTTACAACTTGTAAAATGGTTTGGAACTTGAGTCTTATTTTCTCAGAAACAGTATACTTAGTGGTTAGAGTCACAGACAGCCCACTAAAGCCTATTTAAATAATAAAATACCTGAATTATAGGATTATGTTAATACTAAAGAAATTATAAAATTATGTTAATAATTAGCATAAGTATATTAAAATACCTATAATAATTTGTATGACAGTCTTTCTATGGGAAAAATAAGTTTCAGATGTACCCTGAAATGCTAGGATCTGTAACTCTTGTGTTAGACATGACAACATTATTAGGAACTTGTTCTCTTTCACCCAGTGGACTTGAAGAGGAGGCTGTTTCTCAGTTCAGTGAGTGGCATAGGCTTACATTATCTGGGACAAGAAGTTAGGGCATGACAAAAATTAGAAGGAAATGCAGTCTTCTGCGTGACTTTACTTCTCAAGATGTTTGATTATAAAATGAAAAGGTAGAAGTAGATGACTTCGGAGATCTGTTTTAGCTACAAATAAAATTCTAAGATACTTCGAAGCTTGGTGTAACCCCCTTTTTTTCCTGAGAGTTCATTTTCCCTAAAGTTACCGCTTACGTCCCTCTTATGAGGACATTTCTTCTTTCTGGACCTACCTCTGAAAAAGAAAGTAGTCTTGATCCTTTCACACGTGCCTGTTCTCAGAAGCAAGATTTTTTAGTCTCTTAAAGGCGTTATTTTTGTGATGGGTTTTTTGTTTGTTTTAATTTTTAAAAATAAACTCCCAGCACTGTCAAGAAACAGGATTTTTCTTTTGGATTGTTTCCTTTGTTTCCTTATTTTGAGCTATTGGTAAAGTCAGGGTAGATTTTATTCATACTTTGAAGAAAGATCATATCCAGTCAGTCTCCATAGAATTTTTTTAAGGAAAAAATTTTGGAATGAGGTCATGAAGTGGGAGTATGAAGATATAAAGATGGATTATTGCCCCATAAAATACGGGGCATCTTGTATTTGTAGCAGCCTTACCTGGGGTGCTATGGAGCTTTGGTATGGATGTGATGGAGCTGAAGGCAGATTGAGAAAGTGAATCTGTGAACTCCTTGAGGACAGTTTTGTTGTAAGCGTTTGGTTGTTTTGTTTTGCTTTGCTTCATTTTTGTGTTCCCAGTGCCTGTTTTTGGTTTAAGCTAAATGGATTTTGAGTGTATGCAATTACTACAGAATAAAAGAGAAGTCATTCTGTTCCATGTGGAAAGATCAGGGTGCTGTGAGGGAAGAGGTCATGAAACAGCTATTTTTGTCATATGCATTGGAGTATTTAATAATTATTTGGAGATCAGTGATATTCAAAAATAATGTGTAACATGGTCCAAAAGGAAAAGAAGTGACATTGCTTGCTTGCTAGATGTACAAGATTCTGTATAGATGCTGTCACATTTATTATTTATCTTGTTTAATTGCTATCATAGCCCTATAAGGATTTAATTGAAGAAAAAGGTTAACTGAATTGAACAAGTTGTTTGTTCTGCCTAGCGGAAGCCCAGATTGTTTCAGAACTGCTTTATCTCCCCTTTTACTGATAAGTTTCTGTTGGAGCAGTCATTTTAATAACTTGATAATAACAATTCTGCCTGCCTGCTACTGTCCCCTCATTTGTAATTGGTTCATTTAGTGGGTCCCCCTTGTTAAACCAGTGATTCATAGTTCATAATCAGCACATAATTATTGAGGGCCAAGTAGGTGCTAAAAAGGACAGGTCTCTATTCTCTTGGAGTTAACAGTATAGTAAAAAACAGGTGTTGAACAAATACATTTGTACTTAGAAATTTTGGTGAATGCTGTAAAGGAAAAGAAGAGGGAACTGGATTTACACTGGGAGTCAGGGGAGGCTTCTTAGAGGCAAGATTAGTGGAAGTTAGCTAGGTGGAAAAGGAAGAGAATTCAAAGAACAGGTGAAACAGTTAAAGCTTAGTGTAAGAGGGATTGTGACTTGATATGAGGTTGCAGAGGTAAACAGAAGCCAGACTATGCAGAGGGCCTACGTGAGGTTTGGTTTAACGAGGTTAAGGATTTTAAGTCTATTGGGGAAGGCCATGAAGAGTTTTAATCGGGTTAATTACTGGATCAGATCTGTCTTTTGTAAAGATCACTTTGGCTTGGAAGGGGCCAGAGATACCAATCACAATTCTGTTCATTTCTGTGGTTTATTGGCCTGGTTTTAGACACTTTTTTACTAAGCCAAGTCACTCAGAACTTTTCCTGGGTCCTCCATGCCCAGAGGTTGAATAATTTGTTTTCTCTTCAGTTGCTGAAGCTGTGAGATACAAAACTCTGGAACTGTTAATGGCCTTGTTTCTTGCCCTGTGGGCTAGATAAGCCAGGGCTTCTAGAACAAAGAGTGCAAAGAAGCAGATGCACAGAGTCCTGACTGTATTTGAGTTCCTTTGTCCATGGTCCTGAGATTGGGTTCCAGAGACATCCTAGTTACCTTTGTCATAAGTCCTCCTTTTTGCGTAAACTGTTAGAATTGTATTTGTGGTACTTGTCAACCAGCAAACTGAGTCCTCTCATAGATCAAGTAATTTGCTCAAGGTCACATGGCTAATAGAAATGGAGGTGGAATTTGAGCACAGATATGTGTGATTTCAAAGTCCCATTTTTTTCCTACTCCCTTATGCTGCAAAGGTACCATTTCTTAAACTAAAGGTCCTAAAGAAATTCTAAGTAGGTGGGTTTTGGGTGTGATGACATCTGTTGGATGATGATGACAGCAAAGTTTTTTTGTTTTTTTGTTTTTTTAATTTGGTGTGCTTGATAGTAGTTAGTCCAGCATGTAGCCATTCTTTATTCCTAACCTAGCCAGGTCTACTCCAATAAAGTTACATTGACTAACTTATTTGAAAAGAAGAAAAGCTTATGTGTCAGGGCATGGAATAACTTGTTTGATTCCTTTACCAAAAAAGTCAAGTGTGTTATGTTTTCACCTTATGCTACAAAAGTAAGTTTGTTTTCTAGTTGTTTTAATAGGGACATCTTGCTAAATTTGTTAAATTTGCTAAATTTTTATAACATGCATGTGCTACAGGTTATGCCAGAGAATTGTGAAAGGGTTAAACGAAAAGGGAGGAACAGTGAAGCATTTTATATTTTAGTCGAGGATGAAGACTAGCACTCACTTCTTAAAATTATTTTTATAGATTTAGAGGGTACACGTACAGTTTAGTTACATGGATATATTGCATAGTGGCAAAGCCTGGCTTTTTAGTATAGTGTACATTGTACCCATTAAGTAATTTCTCACCCCTCACCCACCATCTATCCTTCCACTCTTCAGAGTCTCCATTATCTATTATTCCACTCTTTATGTCCATGTATACAAATTATTTAGCTCCCACTTATAAATGAGAAAATATGGTATTTGACTTTCTGTTTCTGAGTTAGTTCACTTAGGATAATGGCCTCTGGTTCCATCCATGTTGCTGCAAAAGAGATTATTTCATTCTTTTTAATGGCTGAGTAGTATTTCATTGTTTGCATTTAAATTTTCTTTAATTATCCATTGATGGACACTTAGGTTGATTCCATATCTTTGCTATTTTGAATAGTGGCACTGATTTTTTTTTAAACCAAAATAAAAGCCCTGTGTGGTACATCATAATACACAACTACAAATTTATCAATTTTGTTATTTTCAAGGAATCTTCATTTAGTTTCATTGTTTTTTTCTCTTGATTTCCTGTTTTCAATTTCATAGATTTCTGCCTTAATTATTCCATGGTGTATATGTGCCACATTTGCTTAATCCAGTCTGTCATTGATGGACATTTGGGTTGGTTCCAAGTCTTTGCTATTGTGAATGGTGTCGCAATAAACATACGTGTGCATTTGTCTTTATAGTAGCATGATTTGTAATCCTTTGGGTATATACCCAGTAATGGGATTGCTGAGTCAAATGGTAATTCTAGTTCTAGATCCTTGAGGAATCGCCACACTGTCTTCCACAATGGTTGAACTAATTTACACTCCCACCAACAGTGTAAAAGCGTTCCTATTTCTCCACATTCTCTCCAGCATCTGTTGTTTCCTGACTTTTTAATGATTGTCATTCTAACTGGCGTGAGATGATATCTCATTGTGGTTTTGATTTGCATTTCTTTAGTGACCAGTGGTGATGAGCATTTTTTCATGTGTCTGTTGGCTGCATAGACGTCTTCTTTTGAGAAGTGTCTGTTCATATCCTTTGGCCACTTTTTGATGGAGTTGTTTGTTTTTTTCTTGTAAATTTGTTTGAGTTCTTTGTAGATTCTGAATATTAGCCCTTTGTCAGAAGGGTAGATTGCAAAAATTTTCTCCCATTCTGTAGGTTGCCTGTTCGCTCTGATGGTAGTTTCTTTTGCAGTGCAGAAGCTCTTTAGTTTAATTAGATCCCATTTGTCTTATTTTGGCTTTTGTTGCCATTGCTTTTGGTGTATTAGTCATGAAGTCCTTGCCCATGCCCGTGTCCTGAATGGTATTGCCTAGGTTTTCTTCTAGGGTTTTTATGGTTTTATAGATCCTTCTACTTTTCTAATACAGACTTCATGATATTTTCAACTTAAAATAGGTTTATTGGGATACAACCCCGTTATAAACTGCGGACCGTCTGTATATATACTTGGTGCCATAAATTTCCCTCCAAGCACTGCTTTTGATGTATCCCACACATTTTGATAAATTGAATTTTCATTTTCACTTAATACAAAGTATTAAAAAATTTCTCTTGAGACTTTGAACCATGTGTTATTTAGAAGTGTGATGTTTAATCTCCAAATGTTTTGAGATTTTCCCATCTATCTTTCTGAGATTGCTTTCTGGTTTAATTGCATTGTGGTCTGAGAGCATATACTGTATTAGTTCTGTTCTTTTAAATTTTTTCAGGTGTGTTTTATGGCCCAGAATATAGTCTGTCTCAGTGAATGACTTATGTGAGCTTGAGAATAACATGTATTCTGCTGTTGTTGGTTGAAGTACTGTATAAATATCAGTTAGATCCAGTTGATTGATGGTATTTAGTTCAACTGTATTGTTACTGATTTTTTGCCTGTCAGTTAATTACCGATAGAAGGATGTTGATATCTCTAGCTGTGATCATGAGTTCATGTTTCCCCTTGTAGTTTTATCAGTTTTTGCTTCACATTTTGATGCTCTGTTAGGTGCATATACATTAAGAATCATTAGGTCTTGGAGAATTTGCCCCTTTATCGTAATGCAATGCCTATCTTTATCCCTGTTAATTTCCCTCGCTCAGAAACCTACTTTGTCTCAAATTGATACAGCTACTTCAGATTTGTTTTGACTCGTGTTAGCATGGTATATCTTTCTCCATTTCTTTACTTTTAATCTATTTCTACATTTAAAGTGGGTTTCTTGTATACAATATATAGTTAGGTCTTTTTTTTTTAATCTACTCTGTCTCTTATCTTTTAATTGGCATATTTAGACCATTCACATTTAAAGTGATTATTGACATAATTGTATTAAAATCTACTGTATTTGCAACTTTTTTTATTCATTGCACTTGTTCTTTGTTTCATTAAAAAGAAAAAGTTGGCTGGGCTGGTGGCTCACACCTGTAATCCCAACACTTTAGGAGGCTGAGTCAGGCCAATCACTTGAGCCCAGAAGTTTGACACCAGCCTGGGCAACACAGTGAAACCTTGTCTCTACAAAAAAATACAGAAATTAGCCAGGTGTGGTCACATGCACCTGTAGTCCCAGCTACTTGGGAGGCTGAGGTAGTAGGATCACTTGAGCCTGGGAGGCGGAGTTTGCAGTGAGCCAAGATTGCACCACTATACTCCGGTCTGAGTGATGGAAGGAACCTCTGTTTCACCCCCTCCACCCCCAAAAAATGTCCTCTCTTTTTCTGCTCTGACTTTAATTGAGCACTTTGTATGGTTTCCTTTTCTCTCCTCTCTTAGCATATCAATTATACTTCTTTCTCTTTAAAATGTTTTGTAAGTGGTTGTCCTAGTTTGCCTCTCTTTTTGTATGATTACCGAGGAGAAGTCCAATCTAATTTTTATCCTTGTCCCTCTATAGGTAAAGTGGTTTCTCTCTGTCTTTCAAAATTTTTCTTTGTCTTTGGTTTTCTGCAGTTTGAACATCACATGCCTAGGTGTAGATTTTCTGGTATTTATCGTGGTTGATGATCTCTGAGCTTCATGGATTTGCTGTTTGGTTTCTTAATTTTGGAAACATTTTGAGCACCTGTATATGCTAGGCATTGTACTAAATATCTTACGTATTTGATTTAATCCTCACAACAACCCTGTGAAGAAGTATGATTCTCATTATTTGTGGTGGAAACTAAGTTTTAAGTATAGACCACTACAGAATTTTTTTACAATAGTCACTAAAATTTAACTGCCTTGGGCTTACCCCTGACTTAAGCTTCCTCTAGATGTAATGAAAAAATGGGATTATTTTGATTTACTTGTTAGGTCGCAATACTGGAGGTGAGTGTTGGGGACTGATTTCAGAGTTCAAGTCATGTGCAGTGTATCAGATTTGTGTACCATCAAAGGAGTTGAATGAAAATGGCTGTATTGTGTCCTTTTGATGAGATGCAACTGTTTTACCAGCAATTTGCATACATTTGAAAGTTGACTGAACTGGTTAATGGAGAATCCAGTACTTTGCTTTAATTTAAAGATGATCTCAAATCCTAAGTGATTTGGTGCTGTTACTAGAAATAGAGAAGCCCAAAGAATAAGTTTCCTTTTTGGGGAGAGTGGGGAATGATGGATAATGAATTTGATTTTGGATATTTTGAATTTGAGTTAGTGAGATGTCCCTGTGGAGCTGTCTGGCAGACTGATAGCACAGGAGTATATATTGTCAGGACTGTTAGGGTTGATTGTTTAAGTTTGTGTAAGTAATTTAGAATTGATGGTTAAAGATCTAGCAGTGATGGATTTATGAAGAGGAGAAAGTGTAGAACTAGGTATAACAAAACTGTTGATGCCTAACATTTAGTGGAAAGAAAAAGGAGAGACAGAAGAGGATGCTGAAGTTGTGATCAAAGGATATAATGTGTTGCATTCTTAATATGACTGTTCTGTTGGGACAGGGGATAAGGCCTTGTGGTCTGGCCAGATCTCTGAAGAGGAATGTGAGATGCTAGTGAGTAGGAAGGGAAGCAAAGCAAAAGTGTGTTGATGGTTTTGAAAGTAGAGGAGAATGACAGGATTGCAGGAACTTGGTAAGGACAAAGTTGTTTTATAATAATGAGGCAATGAATGGATAGGGTAGAATATTCATGTCAGAAAGAGACACTTCGGAGATGGAGATCTCATAGGCAGAACTATTAAAAAAGTCTGTGCACAGACACTTGATGTGCTTAGTAGTAGAAGGAAAGGTGCTACTCCTCAGGACTGGAAGTACTGGCAGTGGAGTACTCGAGAGAGATGGGGTCCAGTTTTAAAAGCCTTGCTCTTGTCTATATACTTCTAACAGTTGCTCTAGGCTTGGCAAGTAGTAAAGCCACATCATTTGAAGTGGGAATCTTGGAGGGATGAAGGTGGTTATGTATTGCTGCTGATTCCTGTATTTTAAAATGTATTCTTCTTGCTTGCAAAAGCAAGTCTTTTTCATTGTGATAGAGGCAGTGCACAACTGCATGCCTCATATACAGTAGTGTTAACATCATAAAAATCACCATTTTCACTATCACAGAAGGAAATGAAATAGAGCATGTCTTTCAGAGGATTTGTACATACAGAACTTAATTTCATTCATTAGCATTAAAAATAAAATGTAAATTTTTTGGTAATGCTATACTAAGTACAGAAAGATGACATTAATGACTTCTTATCAGTTAAACATGAATTTCAATATGTATTTCATATAGTAGGGATGGATTTATGAGTTCCTCAACAATTTTAATTAAATTCACTCGTTATTAACTGTTATGTGAGAGGTCATGTTAGGACCAGAAAGTGTGGTGAAAATAGTATTTATTTTACTATTCTAATTAAATATTCTTTGAGGTATAAGAGATAATTGTTATAAAAGGGCTTTTGGAAAAAGTCTATATTAACATAAGATGCTACTGTTAAATTTTAAGGCTAGGGAACTAGGACCGTAGACAAAATCATGATTTACGTTTTTCATTAAATACTCAGTGTGGTATGTAAATGTTTCCAATGTAATCAGTGACTAGAATAAACAAATATTTGTTTTGGTTATCATCAATTTAGCTTTATTATTTTGAATTTTAAGTGACTATACCAATCATATTGAACTTAAACTACAGAAAGATGGTGATGATTTATTGAAAATTAAGTCACTTATTTTTAATTATGTTGTTTCTATTTGAATTTGTTTTTTATTTGTAGCTGCCTCACCGAATATTAGTAGAATTATCTATGGTTGACCTTATTTGAGGGTTATAGTGAAACATGTAAGTTATAGATGTATCTCATCTTAAGAAAACATAATATGAATGAGATTACTAATGAAGTGAGCTTAGATAAAAATAAGAGAAAAGGTACCAGGACTAAGTCCTGGAGTCCTCAAAGAATTAGAGGTACAGAAGTTAAAGAAAAGGATGCACTAGCAAAGGAGACTGAGAAACACACACCTTATCCTAGGCCTACGCAGGGTCAGAATAATTGATATCACTGTCTTCTACCTCCACATCTTGTCCCACTGGAAGGTCTTCAGAGGCAGTAACAAGCATGGAGCTGTCATCTCCTATGATAACAATGCCTTCTGGAATACCTCCTGAAAGAGCTGCCTGAGGCTCTTTCTAACTTTGAAAAAAAAAATAAGTAGAAGGAGTACAGTGTAAAATAATGATAAAAAGTATAGGATAGTAGATACATAAACCAGTAATATAGTAGTTTATTATTATCAAGTATTATGTAACTATACTTTTATGTAACTGGCGGCACAGTAGGGTTTTTTTTTCCAGTATCACCACAAATATGTGAGTAATGCTTTGCATTATGTATGATGTCTACATTGTGTATGATGGCTAACACTGCATGATGGCTACAGTGTTACTAGGTGATAGGAATTTTTTTTAGTTCCCTTAGAACCTTATGTGACTACCAACATATATGTGGTCCATCACTGACTGAAACTCATGACTGCAACTCCAGTTATATTAAGATAGCATAGCCCTTTATCCTTGGAAGATTCTGCTTTAAGAAATACTTTAAAATTTTTTTCACACAAAAAAATAAACATTTTTGAGTTTTGTGTGTTATATGCCAGGCTTTATGCTAATCATTGTATCTTATTTGATCCTCATAAACAGCCAGCCAAAGAAGGCAGGACTAGCCACAGAGGGACGGAGAAGTTAAGATTCTTTGCACAGTTTGTAAATGGCAGAGCCAAGATTCAAACCCATCTGATCTGTGGTCAGACTCTGTACTCCTAACTGCTATTTTGTCTACCTTTAACTGCTATTTTATCTACTCTGCTTTTAAATTTTACAGATTAAATACAACTAGCAATATTTTTGCTTGAGGACACAGTAAATAAAAAATTCTCATCCATTGCTAGAGTATAAAATACCAATATTAGTTTATTATTTTAATGAATGTAACACTAAAACTGAAAGACCTTTCATTTCATGTTGACTTTCTGGTGTCCCTGGTCATTTTTTGAGCCTTGCTCTCTATAAAATGAGTAAGCTAACTGTTCTCATTGTCTTCAGGATAGTCTTGGTAAAGACTGTACTTTGGTGTGAAAATGTAATTTGGGGAATACCACTGATATTTTTAAAACATTTAAAATCTTTTCAGGGTAAAAGAGTTCAGAAATATTTTGGTCAAAATGAGGACTCAGATTAGGAGAATTATTGTAGGGCATTTTTTTTTTCAATTGGTAAACTCTCTTCTTAGTCTTTTTTCTCCCTGGTTTCCTGATCCAAGACACTGTTTCTTTTTCATAAGCATTCATCTGCTTTTCCATTTCCTTTATTCCCTAAATAATATAGAATAAATGGCTTATCGTATTTTGGCTTGGTGTATCACTGATTTTTTCATGAATGATTCTGTTTTCCCATCTATATCCTTGACATCTTTAAAATATAACTTTGCCCTACTGCATTTTTACCCCTTGTCCTTTTACAAAAACTGTACCTATCTATTTGACTTTTGTGCTTTGCTTCCTTTATTCCTGGAATTCATGCATCTTGCCAGGAACATAAAGGGAGCTAGAAGGGTGCACGAGAACTAAGGCTTCTAGAACATTGTACTCAAACTTTATCATGCATCTTGTTAAAAAGCAGATTCTGATTCAGAAGTTCAGGGGTGATACCAAAATATGCAGTTCTTACAAGTTCCTAGGTGATGTTGATGCTGCTGATGCTGGTTTAAGGACCACACTTTCACTGGTACAGAAGATCCATGTCAGAAAGAAGTAGTTAGAAAAAGTTTTGCTTTATGTAACAATATATTATAAAAAAAGAAAAAGTATTGGTTTAAAGGGAATACATTCTTAAATGATCATGTTTATAAAATAGATGAATTCAAAGGAGAGGCAAAAGGTCAGGTAGGTAGAGTGAGAAAAGATAGAAGGCAACAGACATCTGAATAGAATCCCTTCTTAGTTCCTAATGTTGCTAGAACTCTTTTATGACATTTAAAATTTTAATTGTGGTAAGATACACACGAGTTAAAATTTACAATTTTAATCATTTGAAAGTGTATATAGTTCAGTGGCATTAAGTACATTCACATCTTCCAACTTCTTTTTTAAGATACTTTTATTTTTTAGATCAGTTTTAGGTTCATAGCAAAATTGAGCAGAAAGTACAGAGAGTTCCCATATATTCTCTGACCCCACATATGTATAGCCTATTAACATTCTGTACCAGAATAGTACATTTGTTACAACTGATGAACTTACGTTGATAAATCACTCAAAGTTAATATTTTATACCAGGGTCACTCTTGGTGTTGTACATTTGATGGGTTTTGATACGAGAAATGTGTAATTTCACATGTCTGCCATTTTAGTATGATACAGAATAGTTTCAGTGCCCAAAAATCTGTACTCTGCCAATTTATCCTCTCTCCTTTCTAACCCCTGGAAACCACTAATCTTTTCACCCTTTATAGTTTTGCCTTTTCTATCATGCCATGTAGTTGGAATCATAGAGTATGTAGCCATTTCAAATTCGCTTCTTTGACTTGGTAATATGCATTTAAGGTTCCTCCCATGTATTTTCATGGCTTGATATTTCATTTCTTTTGAGCGCTGAATATTCCATTATTTGGGTGTACCACACTTTATTTTACTTACCTACTCGAGGACATACTGGTTGGTTCCAAGTTTCAGCAGTTATGAATAAAACTGCTAAAACATCGATGTTGACATTTTTGTATGGGTGTAAGTTTTCACCTCTTTGGGTAAATATCAAAGAATGTTTTTGCTGGATTGTATGGTAAGAGTTTGTTTCATTTTATAAGAAACTGCCAAACTGTCTTCCAATTATGCATTCTCAATAGCAGCGAATGAGAGTTCTTCTTGCTCTGCATTCTCTCCATCATTTGGTATTGCCAGTGTTTTAGATTTTGGCCATTCTAATAGGCATGTAGCAATATCTCGTTTTAATTTGCAATTCCCTACTGACACATGATGCATGATGTTGAGCATCTTTTCATATGCTTATTTGCAATCATGCAGTCAGTGTATCTCTTTTGGTGAAGTATTTGTTGAGGTGAGAACTTTTTCCCAATTTTTAATCAAGTTGTTCATTTTCTTGTTGAATTTCAAGAGTTTTTTGTATATTCTGAATAACAGTCTTTTATTAGTCTTTTGCAAATATTTTCTCCCAGTCTGTAGCTTGTTTTCTCATTCTCTCAACATTGTCTTAACAGAGCAGAATTTTTTAATTTTAATGAAGTCCAACTTACCAATTATTTTTCATGGATTGTGCCTTTGTTGTTGTATTTAAAATGTCATCTTCAAACCCAAAGTCATCTTGATTTTCTGCTATGGTACCTTCTAGGAGTTTTATAGTTTTGGATTTTATGTTTAGATTTATAATCAATTCTGAGTTCATTTTTGTGAAGCGTGTAAGGTCTGTGTCTAGATTCAGTTTTTTGCATGTGGACGTCCAATTCCAGCATCATTTGTTGAAAAGACTATCTTTTCTCATTTGTATTGTCTTTGCTTCTTTGTCAAAGATCAGTGACTATTTGCACGGGTCTGTTTCTGGGCTCTTTATTCAGTTTCATTGAACTATTTTTCTATTTCTCCAAAACTACACTGTCTTGATTACCGTAACTTTATAGTAAGTCTTGAGGTTGCATAGTGTCAGTCCTTCAATAATGTGTTGGCTCTGCTGGGTCTTTTGACTCTCTATAATAAACTTTAGAATCAGTTTGTTGATAGTCACAAAATAACTTGCTGGAATTTTGATTAGGATTGTGTTGAATCTACAGATCAAGTTGGGAAGATCTGGTATCTTGACAATATTGAGTTTTCTTATCTGTTATGGACTGAATATATGTCCCCATCCCCCACCCCCAAATTCATATGATGACATCCTAACAATGTGATAGTATTAGGAGATAGGACTTTGGGGAGATGATTAGATCATGAGAGTGGAGTCCTCATAAATGAGTGCCTTTTTTAAAAAGTCCCCATAGCACTCTCTCGAGCTTTCTGCCATATGAGAACACAACAAGAAGTCTACAGCCTGGAACAGGACTCTCACTAGAACCTGACCATGCTAGCACCTTAGTTTCATAGAATTCCAGCCTCCAGAACTGTGAGAAATAAATTTCTGTCATTTATAAGATGCCTATTCTGTGGTACTTCATTATAGCAGCCCCAAATAAGAAACTATCCACAAACATAGAGTATCTCTGTATTTATTTAGTTTTTTGATTTCTTTCGTCAGAGTTTTGTAGTTTTTCTCATATAGATTTTGTACAAATTTTATGAGATTTATGCTTATTTCATTTTGTGGGGCTGCAACATATGTTATTATGTTTTTAATTTCAGATATGACGTATTCGTTGTTAAGATGTTGGGAAGCAGTTGACTTTTATATATTAATCTTGTATCCATGCTGTAATTGCTTACTAGTTCCAAGAGTTTTTTGGTTGATTCTTTCAGATTTTCTGTGTAGACAATTATGTCATCTTTGAACAAAGACAGTTTTATTTCTCCTTCCCAATCAGCATACTTTTATTTTCTTCTCTTGTATTAACTAAGACTTTCGGTGTGATATTGTAAGAGGGAACATCCTTTCCTTGTCTTGACTTTAGCAGGAAAGGTTGTAGTTTCTTGCCATTAAGTATGATGTTAGCTGTAGGTTTTTTGTAAATCTTCTTTTCAAGTTGAGGAAGTTACCTTTTATTCCTAGTTTGCGGAGAGTTTTAGTAATGAATGGGCATTGGTTTTTGTCAAATGCTTTTCCAGTATCTTTTGATAAGATCATGCAGGCTTTTCTTCTTTAGCCTGTTGATACGATAAATTATGTTAATTGATTTTTGTATGTAGAACCAGCCTTGCATATCTAGGATGAATCTCACTTGGTCCTGGTATGTAATTATTTTTACACATTGTTGGAATCGATTTGTTAATATTTTGTTGAGGATTTTTGCATTTTTGTTAATGAGAGATATTGGCCTTTAGTTTTTTGGATTTTTTTTTTTTTTTGCCTTGTCTTTATCTAGTTTTGCATTAGGGTAATGTTAACCTTATAGAATAAGTCTGCTTCTGTCTGTTCCTTTATGCCTTTTGAAGCAAGAAATACGTTGTCTGCGTGACAAATCTTAATTTATATCTTGCTTGTTTTGAGAATGCTGAATAATGAAAAAGTTAAGTTGTGATTAGGTCAGAGTCGACTCTCAGAAGAGTCTACCAAACAGTAGGAGAGGAGAAGCAGAATTTGTCTATATTCTAGGACCTGTCCCCAAAAACAAAGTTTTTTATTCTTAAGTATTAATACTTGATATGTTTGTATTATTTTTACTCTTTGAAAAGTACATTGAATGTATTTTCTTAAAATATATTCACTGAAGTGCCCAGTTTGTACTTCAGATATATCAGTGATACAGATAGAATTCTGAATTTTACGACTCGTACGCTTTCAAAATTGCTTAATAATAAACTTTAGATTTATTTAAACTCATTTGGTGATAACAAAGTCCTCCATTTTGTTTTGTGTTAGACCTCTTTTCTTTATTTGCATATGTGGGTAATCATATTATTTGAATACTTTCTATAGGGATTAGGTTCTTGCTGAAATTGTGGTCCTTTCATAGAGGTCAGGTTAAGGCTGGGCCTTGGTTCTTCCTTTCATGTAGCTTGTTCATAAAGTGCAAAGTAACATGGTTCATCATAGTAAGTGAGAAATCTGGAATGTAAACATCATTGTAATAATTCATTGTAAAAGGTATAATTTCTCCCCAGTTTTTTGCTGAATGGCAAGGAATGGGTGATTCCTATTTAGTTTTTTAAAAAAGCTATAGAAAGCAACATATACTATCAGTTTTCTTCAGGGAAAACATAATACAGTGCGATAAATGAGGTCTCACATATCTTGACCATGTAAAAATATCTGGACAAGTAAAGTTTAATCTGGTAAAATAAGGTACTCTTAACTGAAGAATGGTCCACTGCTATCTAAGAGGCTCATGTGAGTATAATAAGCTTATTCGGGGGATCAATATGTGGAAGAAAGAGGGATAGCCAAATTTATCCAACATTTGGTAGGATTTTTGGATGAGTTTCATTGCTAGTTAAATGAAACTTTAGACTAGTTAGTTCCTCCCTCCTAAGAACATATGTTTTCTTCTAAATAAGATGGTGATAATGAGTAAAATGAGGTTAGTTGGTAGAAAATGTAATACACTATTTAGTACAGTTAAACAGTACATCGTGAGTAAAAGACTATAACATAAGTAAAAAGGTACTTAAAATATTTGTTGAATTAATGAATTTAGAATACCGCTTTTTTATCTTCTGAACTTAGAAGTTAGAGGAAGACATCTTGAAAGGACTTTGTGATTTATTGAGCCTGAGTTTTAACAGCTAAAGATTTTCCAGTCAGATACGGCTTTAGTAGCAATAGGTAAAGTTTTTTTTAATGAAAAAATGTTTCAGACTTCTGGGTAAGCAAGAATTGCATTTATTTCATCGAGATAATTTCAAATTCATAATTGGTAGAATATGATTAATGAGGATTTTACTATATTGATCCTCTCATTTCCTATTATAATTAAAAGTAATTGGCTAAGCTTAAATTACTCCTCAGGCCTCATGTTTCATTGTTCTAATTATTCAAAGAAAAAGGTAGGTTCTTTGAGTATTAGAAACAAGGAATAATAAATGTTGGATATTATTTTTGTTCTCAATTTTAAACAGTGTTGGAGAAATCAGCATGTTAAAACAACTGTTGATGATAGCTGTTGGAGTAAAGTTGCAGTGGAAGCTATGGCTGCAAAATCGTTAAAATCTTCAAGGTAAAATTAAGAAGTAATGTATCTCAATGGCAACTCCTGATAGCAGGTGTCAATTTAAAGCTACTTCTCATTTCTGCTTCAAAAGTTATATACTAATAAAAGTGGACTGGTCTTGAAAGCATCTTCTGCATTTAAAAATTAAGTGTGTAGGGACAGGATTAGAAAACGTTGGTGGTTTTACAATAGATTTGGAACCAGCTTCTCATTTCTGTTAAAGGTAGCACACTCTCCTAGGCTCAAAACCTTTCTTATTCTGTATCTAATGATTTTTCTTCTCTTGTTTCCAACTACCAACAGTCTAAAACCCGAATCCTCATCAATTCTTCAGTGGTAAATTATAAGTGCTCTTAAAAGAGTCCTATATCTCGTTTTCCCATTCTTTTTAGTCCATCCAGCAGTTAGCTAACATATTATTCTTCCTTGCTCATAGTTTTCATTAGACACTTGATTTTAAATCAGCTGTTTTTCTTACTATACTGTTTTTTACTGTGATGTAACAAGTATAACTAACATTTTTAATATAATTTTGTGTATGATGGAAGTGTATATTCTGTTTTTAAATTAGACTTATTCTAACTAGATAAAACTTTCAAGATGGTATTTTTGAATGTAAAAGGTTATTTTAATACTAAATAGGAGTTGAAAAATTGCTGAAGCCATTGTTCTTTTAGAGCTATGTTAAAGAAATAGATGCTTCCCAAGGTATAGGTTGAGCATCCCTAATCCAAAATCTGAAATGTTCCAAAATCCGAAACATTTTGAGCACCAACATGATACCACAAGTGGAAAATTTCACGTGTAGGTACTTAAAACCACTTTAATGCACAGAATTATTTAAAGTGTTACATAAAGTTACCTTCAAGCCATGTGTATAAGGTATATATGAAACATAAATGAATTTCATGTTTAAACTTGGGTCCTATCCCCAAGAGATCTCATTACATGTATGCAGTATTCAGATATTTTTGAAACTGGAAACACTTCTGGTCCCAAGCATTTCAGATAAGGGATGCTTAACTTCTAACTGTGTCTCATGAATAGTGATATTTATTTGGTTTGCTGGCCATAGCCCGGCATTAGGCTCCAACAGGTACCGTCTGGTGTCAGTTGGAGTTGCTATTTGAAGACCCCTATCAGGTGCCAAAAGATAAAAGTAAAGGTGTGGAAAAAATATTGTAATGTCACTTCACTTCAGTGATAATGTTCCTTTTCTCAGATTCTGGCAGTGTCACACGGTTATCCCCTACATCAATGGTTCTCACCTTAAGTATGCATGGAGCTTAGTCTAGAACCTTACTGTCTTTAACTCAACAGACTGTTTTTTGTTTTCGTTTTTGTGTTTTTTCCAAATGCAGGGTTGACTCTAGCTACTAACCTGTGTATTATTTTTACTTATTTGCTCTTTTTTCTTTTCCTGTGCTTGCATCTACCGAATTTGCCTTCCCCAGTTTTTAAAGTAATCTGTAATTTTCTGTTCTTATTCAACTAATTCTGAATAGTCAAAACGCAAAATGCTGTTAGTTGCTATGGGACATACGGAGAAATGTAAGATATGATCCCTGTCTTCAGGGAGCTTATGGTATGACTGAATAGACAAGATGTAAGCATGGAAAACTGAAATAGTGTAAGAAACAATTCAAGAAAGATCACAATGCAGTAAATGGCTATTTGGTTAATAATAATAATTACTAGCATAGAAAAATAGAACTCTGAATTCAGAGGAAGGACTAACTCACCATGAACTGGGTTTATCAAGAAGGTTTTCATGGCAAAGGAAGGATTCATTCAGGACATTGAAGGATTAATTGGATTGAGCTAGATAGGGAAGAAAGTAGACATCCATTCTAAATAGAATAGTAGCTGGTTCTAATCTTCATTCTTAACTCCAACATGAATCATATCTTTTTTTAAAAAAAATTGCTATGCTTATGGAGTTAACATTGACTCAGACAAGTCACCTGAGTGAATTACTCACTTATTTTATCTTGGGGTCAAAGAAGCTCATGTGAGGGTTCCTCATTCCCTAAGATTCTCCTTTTATATAAGATTGTAAACAAGAAGGCACTTTAGGGGAAGAGCCAAGATGGCCGAATAGGATCCTCTTCAAAAAATCAATGAATCCAGGAGCTGGTTTTTTGAAAGGATCAACAAAATTGATAGACCGCTAGCAAGACTAATAAAGAAAAAGAGAGAGAAGAATCAAATAGACACAATAAAAAATGATAAAGGGGATATCACCACCGATCCCACAGAAATACAAACTACCATCAGAGAATACTACAAACACCTCTACGCAAATAAACTAGAAAATCTAGAAGAAATGGATACATTCCTCGACACATACACTCTCCCAAGACTAAACCAGGAAGAAGTTGAATCTCTGAATAGACCAATAACAGGCTCTGAAATTGTGGCAATAATCAATAGTTTACCAACCAAAAAGAGTCCAGGACCAGATGGATTCACAGCTGAATTCTACCAGAGGTACATGGAGGAACTGGTACCATTCCTTCTGAAACTATTCCAATCAATAGAAAAAGAGGGAATCCTCCCTAACTCATTTTATGAGGCCAGCATCATTCTGATACCAAAGCCGGGCAGAGACACAACCAAAAAAGAGAATTTTAGACCAATATCCTTGATGAACATTGATGCAAAAATCCTCAATAAAATACTGGCAAACCGAATCCAGCAGCACATCAAAAAGCTTATCCACCATGATCAAGTGGGCTTCATCCCTGGGATGCAAGGCTGGTTCAATATACGCAAATCAATAAATGTAATCCAGCATATAAACAGAGCCAAAGACAAAAACCACATGATTATCTCAATAGATGCAGAAAAAGCCTTTGACAAAATTCAACAACCCTTCATGCTAAAAACTCTCAATAAATTAGGTATTGATGGGACGTATTTCAAAATAATAAGAGCTATCTATGACAAACCCACAGCCAATATCATACTGAATGGGCAAAAACTGGAAGCATTCCCTTTGGAAACCGGCACAAGACAGGGATGCCCTCTCTCACCGCTCCTATTCAACATAGTGTTGGAAGTTCTGGCCAGGGCAATCAGGCAGGAGAAGGAAATAAAGGGTATTCAATTAGGAAAAGAGGAAGTCAAATTGTCCCTGTTTGCAGACGACATGATTGTTTATCTAGAAAACCCCATCGTCTCAGCCCAAAATCTCCTTAAGCTGATAAGCAACTTCAGCAAAGTCTCAGGATACAAAATCAATGTACAAAAATCACAAGCATTCTTATACACCAACAACAGACAAACAGAGAGCCAGATCATGGGTGAACTCCCATTCACAATTGCTTCAAAGAGAATAAAATACCTAGAAATCCAACTTACAAGGGATGTGAAGGACCTCTTCAAGGAGAACTACAAACCACTGCTCAAGGAAATAAAAGAGGAGACAAACAAATGGAAGAACATTCCATGCTCATGGGTAGGAAGAATCAATATCGTGAAAATGGCCATACTGCCCAAGGTAATTTACAGATTCAATGCCATCCCCATCAAGCTACCAATGACTTTCTTCACAGAATTGGAAAAAACTACTTTAAAGTTCATATGGAACCAAAAAAGAGCCCGCATTGCCAAGTCAATCCTAAGCCAAAAGAACAAAGCTGGAGGCATCACACTACCTGACTTCAAACTATACTACAAGGCTACAGTAACCAAAACAGCATGGTACTGGTACCAAAACAGAGATATAGATCAATGGAACAGAACAGAGCCCTCAGAAATAATGCCGCATATCTACAACTATCTGATCTTTGACAAACCTGAGAAAAACAAGCAATGGGGAAAGGATTCCCTATTTAATAAATGGTGCTGGGAAAACTGGCTAGCCATATGTAGAAAGCTGAAACTGGATCCCTTCCTTACACCTTATACAAAAATCAATTCAAGATGGATTAAAGATTTAAACGTTAAACCTAAAACCATAAAAACCCTAGAAGAAAACCTAGGCATTACCATTCAGGACATAGGCGTGGGCAAGGACTTCATGTCCAAAACACCAAAAGCAATGGCAACAAAAGACAAAATTGACAAATGGGATCTAATTAAACTAAAGAGCTTCTGCACAGCAAAAGAAACTACCATCAGAGTGAACAGGCAACCTACAACATGGGAGAAAATTTTTGCAACCTACTCATCTGACAAAGGGCTAATATCCAGAATCTACAATGAACTCAAACAAATTTACAAGAAAAAAACAAACAACCCCATCAAAAAGTGGGCGAAGGACATGAACAGACACTTCTCAAAAGAAGACATTCATGCAGCCAAAAAACACATGAAGAAATGCTCATCATCACTGGCCATCAGAGAAATGCAAATCAAAACCACTATGAGATATCATCTCACACCAGTTAGAATGGCAATCATTAAAAAGTCAGGAAACAACAGGTGCTGGAGAGGATGCGGAGAAATAGGAACACTTTTACACTGTTGGTGGGACTGTAAACTAGTTCAACCATTGTGGAAGTCAGTGTGGCGATTCCTCAGGGATCTAGAACTAGAAATACCATTTGACCCAGCCATCCCATTACTGGGTATATACCCAAATGAGTATAAATCATGCTGCTATAAAGACACATGCACACGTATGTTTATTGCGGCACTATTCACAATAGCAAAGACTTGGAACCAACCCAAATGTCCAACAATGATAGACTGGATTAAGAAAATGTGGCACATATACACCATGGAATACTATGCAGCCATAAAAAATGATGAGTTCATATCCTTTGTAGGGACATGGATGAAATTGGAAACCATCATTCTCAGTAAACTATTGCAAGAACAAAAAACCAAACACCGCATATTCTCACTCATAGGTGGGAATTGAACAATGAGATCACATGGACACAGGAAGGGGAATATCACACTCTGGGGACTGTGGTGGGGTCGGGGGAGGGGGGAGGGATAGCATTGGGAGATATACCTAATGCTAGATGACACATTAGTGGGTGCAGCGCACCAGCATGGCACATGTATACATATGTAACTAACCTGCACAATGTGCACATGTACCCTAAAACTTAGAGTATAATAAAAAAAAAAAAAAAAAAAAAAAAAAAAAGAAGGCACTTTAGAAATAATGTAGTCCTACCTGTAATCTCTTCTAGAGGCAAGTAATTTCCTTATTGGAAATGTCTGGTATAAAAAGATTTTTTTTCTGTTCAAATTAAATGTCTTCTCATCACTTTAAGCTATTGATCCTAGATTTGCTTTCAAAGAACTCTCTTAATCTCATTCCAAGCCAGGAAATGATAATGGCAAAATAGTTTAACCAAATCTACCTTTTTAGTTTCTGTTCCAGTTTGTGCTTATAGCCGATAAAAAGCATACTTAGGTGTACATTATGATGGTATATTGGTATATCGAGGCCAAAAATAATGCTTAAGAGTTACTGAATTAGTAAGAGCCCTGATACTTAGGGAGAACTATAGATTAAGTAAATCTATATTGATTTACTCTATAGACAAAGCTGAAAATATGTAAAGAGTCTGATTATTTCAGGGTATTAGGAGCACGTGGTTCATTACTTTTGAATGCCCTAGCTGGAAGTCTTCCACTGTGAAGGTATCTCTTTCAGAAGTATCTATTTCATTAATACTAGCTGTCCCATTTATATTTTTAGCATATTATGTCCTTTTATATCTTATTTGGCATTAGGATGTTCTTAGCAGAAGTTTTTACATGTGCCTGACTTTCACCAAGGACAACTTTACATAAGATCCAGGCTTTGGATCCTTTTAGTCTTTGCATTTCAATTTTTATCCAAATTCCCTGATTTTTTTTAGTACAATAAAGTTATAAACCATGGCTGAAAAATATTTAAAATCTTCAAATGACTCCGTTGCAATATTTCCAAATTTGTGGTGTGTTTGTTTGTTCCTATATAAAGTAAAATATCAATCAAAGGTAATTATATTCAGGTGTATAGTTAGGATAGTTAATTTTATTAATCAACAGAAAAGTGTATAATCTTCATAATCATGTTTATTAAAATGTTTATAATAATGGGTAAATTGTGAAGTCTAGGGAACAACAATTTTTATGCCCATTGCTTCTGTATGGAAATTCAATCAAGTGAAATTTTGTGGAACTTTCTATTTATATCTTTCTCTTAAGGTACTTTTTTATAATACGCAATTACTGTCCTGGCTCAAACCATGCCTGTATTAATATATTTTAGGTATTACCTTTAGAATTCTTTTCTAAAGGAAATCAATAAATTACTTGCTTCATCCTCTTCCATTTTGATATTAAAAGCTGTTTTTAAGTCCTGTGTTTCCATATGATATTGTTAGGTACTTCAGAATGTTCTTTAGGAGTGTTCATTCACATCGTTGTAATCCATATGATATTGTATTGTATTAGGTATATAGACCACAAAATAAAAACATTGAGAATTATGTTGGAAAAAAGTAAACTTAGAGAAAAGAGACTTAAGTCTCTGCCTGTGAGTCCGTCTTCCTTGCCGTCATTCAAATAATTTGTAGAACCTCACTTCCTCTAACATGGTTTCAGATATAGAAAAGGAGAGTTCACAACTTCTCCTGAAATTTACTTTTGGAACTCAAAGAAATCCCTCTAATTTTTCACTCCAAATGTATCCTCAACTCTTCTTCTCCCTACTTAAAACAAACTTAGGTATGTTATTGTCACATTTAAATACAAGCACAGTCCCTCTTATCAAATGTTTTATAATATTCTATTCATTCTAATTGAGTATTTTTAAATCCAGGCGTATAGCATAAACCTCAAATTACCAGACACACACAAATCCAAGTTTTCCTATTGTTGGCTTTTTTTTTTTTCTTTTTTGAGGCAGGATCTTGTGTCACCCAGGCTGGAATGTAGCAGCACATTGTAGAAACCAGGTTTTACTATGTTGTCCAAGCTGGTCTCGAACTTCTGAGCTCAAGCGATCCTCCCACCTCAGCCTCCCAAAGTGGGATTACAGATGTGAGCCACCTTGTCCAGTCTTGTGTTAGCTTTAAGCAGGATAGAAAAATGCAAATTAAAATTATGAGATACCACTGTACATGCAGTAGATTGACTAAAATTAAAAAGGTTGACAATGCCAAGTTTGGGTGAGGATACAGTGAGAAATCAACATAGATTGATTTAATCTATGGCTTCTTTTAAATATTAGGGCTCTTATTAAATCAGTCTTAAACTTTCTTTTTGGACTCAAAATGTCAGTTTATCATTACATTGTACAGCTAGTTATTTTTATCTGCCATAAGGTCAAACTGGAACAGAAACCAGAACAGTAGATTTGGTTAAACTATTTTGCCATTATTATTTCCTGGCTCCCTATCTTCACCTAGAACTCTGTTGGTGGAAATGTAAAATGGTTAAACTGCTTTGGAAAGCAATTTTGTAGTTTTTTACAAAGCTAAACGTATAACCCAACCGTTCCACTGCTAAGTATTTACCCAAGAAAAACAAAACCATATCCACATAGAGACTTGTATAAAATGTTCATAAGTTACTTTATTTACAATAATCAAAACCGGAATATTACCCAAATTTCCATAAACAAGTGCAACAACATGGATGAATCTCAATCATCTCAATCATTAGGCTGAACAAAAGAAGGCAGACAATAGTTACTACTCTGTGAATCCATTTATATAGAATTCAACAAGCAAATTAATCTATGGTGACAGGTCAGTGGTCCTTGGAAACATGAGGGGAGGAAGGGATTACAAAGGAGAAAATTTGGGGGATGATTGTGATGATTTCACAGTATTAAGCCATGTTAAAACTGTTATAAACCTAATCAAATTTTACACCAGTATGTGCAATGCATTAGTTTTCTATCACTGCTTAACGAATTACCACACATTTAGCAGGCTAAAACATCTCTAGTAATTATCTTATAGTCCTATAAGTCAGAAGTATGAATAGGCTTGGCTGGATTCTCTGCATAGGGACTCAGAAGTCCAAAATCATGGCACTGACGGCTACATTTCTTTTCTGTTGGCTCTGGGGAACAATCACCTTGCAAGCTCATTCAAGTTCCTGGTAGTTGTACAATCTTAAGCTTCTCTTTTAATATCTAACAAGTACAGAGGCAGATTCTATTTTTCCTGATGGATATAATTCTTCATTGTATTGTGAATTGTTTCTGTTGGACTAAGACAAAATCAAAGTTTAGAAGAATTTTGATAATACAGACATATATGAAATAATAACAGAATCCCAACTTAAGGAGAGTAGTTAACCAGAGTAAGTTTTTGTTGGATTTAATATTATTGTTCCTGGTTTCCAGGTTCCTGTCTTCTCCCTGGGTGTCAGAAAAAGGTTTCTAGCTCCTAGAACTGCTTTCAGGTTCCCTCCATCTTTAAGCCAGCAGTAGCTGCCACATCTCCCTCATGCTTCAAATCTTTGCCTCCTTTCTCCGTTGTCAGCTGGAGAAAGCTCTACTTTCAAAGGGCTCATGTGATTAGGTTAAGCCCACCCATATAATCTCCCAATTTTAAGGTCAGCTGATAATTGACCATAATTATATCTTTAAAACCTCTCTTAACATGTAATATAATCATAGGAATAGTGCTAGGGACTGGATATCATGCGGCCATCTTAGAATTCTGCCTGCCACATGCTGTATGTTGTGCTTCACTTATACCTCAATAAAGTTTATATTTTTTTTCTAAAAAGGACAAAAATATATAATAATATGTGCATATAATGGGATGGTTGTGACACCCAAATAAGATGTAAGTTGATTTTTCTCACTGATTTGATTTGGCATAGCATTTCCATGTCCAGTGGGGAAATAGAACTAAGATAATAATATACTTACCACTTTTTCTATATTTTTTAATTTTCTTTCATCTATGATGTTAAGAAACAGTAGAAAGTTGAGGAAGTAGCTAAAAAGTAAACATAATAGAGGTGATTTTGTAAGTTTTTTAAGTTCACTCAAAATTGTGATTAATATTGTGATTTCATGTATGTCTACAAATATAAAGTAGTATTTAAAAATTACTATTACTTTATTAAACTTGTGCAAGAGATGAATGAATGTAAGTGTGCATTTTGTTGATCCTATTGTTTAGACCAATCTTGGAATTCTTGAGTTTATAGAATTCTTATATTACAGAATGTGGGAAATAATTGTTTTTATAACATGTAGGATGCTTTTATCTCCACCTTGTTTATTTCCTAGAAAGCATTCAATCAAGAGTAATACATTTAATATTTTATTATAGTTATTTGTGGCCAAAGATTTTGGAAATTAAAAATTTTAGTAGACTAGATGAAACTTTAGAATGAAATGTGGTTAGTTTTGCTTGGATCCTCAAATTGCTAGTGTGTGATACCAAGTGTTACCAAGAATGTCAAACAGCTGGAACTCTCGTAAGTTGCTGATGGGGGTATAAATTAGTTCAAGCACTTTGAAAACTATTTGACAATAGTTACTAAAGCTGTATGTATGTATGTGTATATATACCCTATGACCCAGTGGTTTACTCTCTCTAGTCATTCCACATTTACTCCATAATACACATTAAAATCTTTTTAAGATCAAATGTTTGTCCTCTTTTACTCTTTTATTTTGAGACAGAGTTTCACTCTTGATGCCCATGCTGGAATGCAATGGCGTGATCTCAGTTCACTGCAACCTTCGCCTCCTGGGTTCAAGTGATTCTCCTGCCTCAGCCTCCCAAGTAGCTGGGATTACAGGCTCGTGCCACCAAGCCTGGCTAATTTTTTGTATTTTTAGTAGAAACGGGGTTTTACCATGTTAGCCAGGCTGGTCTCGAACTCCTGATGTAAGGTGATCTGCCCGCCTCAGCCTCCCAAAGTGCTGTGATTACAGGCGTGAGCCACTGTGCCCAGCCCTTTTACTCCTTTTAAGGAACTTATTTGTTCCTTGTTGACCACCAAAGTTCAAAATCTTCAATTTGATTGCTTTTTTAAAAAATCTTTTATTCCTGCTTCTGTTTTCCTTTCAAGCAAGTGTCCTTATTTTTCCTCTCTTATTCTCAACTTGCTGTTTTACTTGTGATGGACATCAGTGCTGTCCAGTACAACTTTCTGCAGTGAAGGTAGTGTTCTGTAACTACCCTGTCCAGTATGGCTATTGAGCACTTGAAATGTGGCTAGTGTGACTGAGGAACTGATTTTTAAATTATTTACTTCGTTTTAATTTAGCAACTTGTGGCTAGCTGGTTAATTTATTGGACAGAACAGGTCTAAATTACTGTCTTCCTTTAACCTCTTTAGCTGGTTTTGATTTCATTCTCTCTACATGCATAATAATTTACCTTAGTCTACTTTAGACCTTAGCTATATGTTCATTTTTATTGTTTTACATTTTCTGTTACATATTTTTGCTTCCTGATTATTTTGTAAGCTGCTGGGTGGTGAAGCTATTTTACTTCTTTTCTATTCCTTTCACTTTCTATATTTTAACCATAATATGTAATCTGTAAATATTTATTGAAGGAAGTAGTCATCTGGGAATTGAGGAACATTATTTGGAGCTTCAAAATACCATTGAAAATCTTTTAGGGTATTGTGAAATTTGGGAGGCCAATTTGTCGAGAATACAAAATAGACTTAAATACAGTAACAAGGCCAGGTATAGTGGCTCACATCTCTAATAGGAGGCTGAGGCAGGAGGATTGCTTGAGCTCAGGAGTTCGACACCAGCCTGGGCAGGCAAGTTAGGGAGACCCCATCTCTACAAAATAATAATAGTAATAATAAACAGTAACAGATTAAGAGGGTGGGAGGGGGCTGAGGGATAAAAGACTACATACTGGGTACAGTGTACACTGCTCAGGTGATGGGTGTACCATAATCCCAGAAATCACTACCAAATCACTTATCCATGTACCCCAGAAACTTGAAATAAAAAATTAAAATATGTATACTGACAAAAATACAGTAGAGCAAGCAATAGATGCAAAATCTGAAGACAAAATCTAGTCTCATCTCTGCCACTGATTTTGTGAACTTAGAGAAGTTTCTTAGCTTTTTCAGGTAAGTTTGCTAATCTACAAAAATCGGATATGAATTATTTGGTGTTTTAATTTCTCTTCCAGGTTAAGATTCTTTTCTTTTTGTTTTTTTCTTTCTTTCTTTCCTTTTTTTTTTTTTTTTTTAAGACAGAGTCTTCCTCTTCCATGCTGTCTCCTACAGAAAGAAGATGACATTTCATATGAATTGTGGGGCATTGGAAGGTGAAATGCCAGGAATATTGTGTTTACCCTGGCTCTCTATTCTAGAAGTCAGGTGGACTGAAGTTACAGGGCATAGAGAATGGCAACGATGTAGGCGAACAAAGCAATTAAGTAAATCTAAGATTTATCCTTCAGGCTGAAATAGGTAAAGCGGGCATATGCCATACAGAATAATGAAATGTAAGGAAAAAAATGAAAGGGGGAAAAAAAGGAAAGCCACTAAATGTTCTCTTGCTTTCTCAATTAATTTTGGCTTTAAAACTCATCATTCTCCCACTACCCCTGTCCCAAATACCATTAAATTACTCTCTCCATGAGCCCAGTTACTTGGTTGTACATATTACTAGAGTTAGTCATAAGTCTTTTCCTAATCCCATAGACTTTGTGGATAGGGAGTCATATATTGATATAATTGATCTGCTTTAGAAATAATTTTCAGTTTTTGGCTGACTATAGAAAGTTTCTTAAGCCAAGAACTTGGGCTTCACCCCTTCTGGTGATCTAATTAATTATTAGCCTGTTTCCTTCTACCTCCAGAATATATCTTGAGTTGACATGCTTCTGTATCACTATCACATAGTCCAAGTGACTACCATCTCTGTCTCTGGACTACTTTATTCATCTTCTGTCTGGTCTACCTGCATTTATTCTGCCATTCCCCACTGCCCAAGTCTCCATAGAGCAATTAGAATGAATGGTCATTCCTGATCTTGGCACTCCTTTGCTTAAAACCCTTCAAGGGTTTTCCATTAGGACAACATAGAAAATCGTCAATATGACCTTCAAGGTCCTACCTAATCTGACCCCCTACTAACCCTAGAGTCTCTGATTGCACTTCACCCATGATGGCTTGCTCTCATTATTATTCCCTGTCCACCTTTCATTCTAAGAATGAAAACACACGCACAAGCTTCAGTTTCCCCAGCTTAGCTAGCTTAGCTAATAATCCTTTTGTTCTTAATTTAAATATTACTTCCTTAAGGAGACAGGTCCCCTTTATAGTGTCCCCTACTTTTACTCCATTATACTTATAAGCGTAATTAGATACTAGATTCTAGGAAATACACGGGGGATTGTTTGGTTTTGCTCACCCCTTTATCTTTAGCACTTGGCACACAGTACTTATTTCACTGATGTTCAGTAAATGGTTGGTTAGATGAATGAATGAATGGATGGCAGTGTGTCAGTACTGCCGTTTTTCATATAAAGTACAATGTATTTGATAGGTATATGTTTTTAGAAATACTTGCAATATGAAGAAGACAATCTTGTTTTTCAAGTAGCTTAGTTCTGCATTTGTGGTTTAGATGCCTCAAACTTCAATTTTAACATCTTTTAAACCACTAAAAATAAACTTGGTGGTTGGGTGCAGTGGCTCATGTCTATAATCCTAGCACTTTGAAAGGCTAAGGCAGGAGGATTACTTGAGCCCAGGAGTTTGAGGCCAGCCCGGGCAACATGGCAAAATCTCGTCTCTTCAAAAAATTTAAAAATTAGCCAGGTGTGCTGGCACACCCTGTAGTCCCAGCTACTTGGGAAACTGAGGGTGGGAGGACTGCTTTAGCCAGGGAGGTTGAAGCTGCAGTGAGTTGTGATCACGCCACTGCATTCCAGTTTGGGTGACAGAATAAGACCTTGTCTCAAAAGAAAAATAATACAGTAATAACCTTGGTGCAGTATTATGCTTGTATAATGATTTGTCAAGTAAGTTTCAGTAGTGGTTATATTAATTTAAAGGAAGTACATATTTTCTTTGAGAGTAACATGGAATCACATAAGAAAATACTACTATTTAGTGGATTTTATTACTAAGATGACTATATACAGTCTTCTTTCCACTCTATAGGTGTATAATACTATTGATTATTTCATTAGCATACAGTTTTCTTGACTCTGTCAGAAATGTCAGTGTTATGAATTGCTGAGTATGTAGCTTATTTCTTCATTTCCTTTTTGCTTTAGTTTGCTTAGCAATGTGTTATTTTCGACTTTAGTAGCCTATCAAAATTTAATGCTTTGCTATTGTGACTTCAGGTGACATAATTTTTTTTTTTTTTTTTTGAGACGGAGTCTCGCACTGTTGCCCAGGCTGGAGTGCAGTGGCATGATCTCGGCTCACTGCAAGCTCCGCCTCCCGGGTTCACGCCATTCTCCTGCCTCAGCCTCCCGAGTAGCTGGGACTACAGGCGCCCGCCACCACGCCCGGCTAATTTTTGTATTTTTAGTAGAGATGGGGTTTCACCGTGTTAGCCAGGATGGTCTCGATCTCCTGACCTCGTGATCCACCCTCCTCGGCCTCCCAAAGTGCTGGGATTACAGGTGTGAGCCACCGCGCCTGGCCTCAGGTGACATAATTATTTATATATTTATTTTTGGTAAAGATAGCACTGTTCTTAGGGCAGTTTTTTTTAAACCAAGAGCCAGAGTACCTCAGAGCAAATAACTGGAGATGTTCAGCATGATGACTAGTTCTTTAGTCCTGTGAGTACCTAAATTGGTTTTGTCATTTTCCTATGAATCTCCTTTAGAGATTCATGAGTAGTGAGTAGTTTTAAAGTTTGCTTCTCACAACAAAGAGGAAATTTATGATTTCTATATATTCCTGAGGTGGTTTTACACAAGAAACACAAGCTTCTATTTCACTGGTAAGTGAAGTTATTTTGAACTTCAGTTTTTTAGTTTACAATAATGAAACAGTTTGAGATAATGTGCATTATAGATTTAGGGAAAGGTAAATTATAAAATTCTGTTTCTGATACACTTCTAAACAATAACCTTGCAAATATATTTTATATTAAATCACCGTTTAAAGACCTGTGGTTTTGTATAATTGAAATATGGTTTTAAAGTTAGATATATATATTTTTAAATAAAAAATTAGATATATTTTTAATGTACAGTTCTTCATGCATTCTTATTTTAAATTTTTATATTTAATAATATCTGTCACAATTATAAAGTATTTTGTCATTGGCATGGGAGTTTATTAAGAAAATTATTTCTATGAAGAGCAAAGCTCTATTTAAACATTCTTATACTCAAATTATTTAACTTGCCAATTGTGCAAAATTAAGTGGCTTCTATTCTTAAGAAGGGAGGACATTTCTTAATAAGTATTTGCCCTACCCAAAATTCTTAACATATTTGAAATATTGAAATTGTTTTTATTAGAATACTTATTTTAACCTGTTCCTTTAGGTCACATAATGTAATCCTTTAGTTTGAATAAGTATTTAATACTGTATTGTGAAAAATGAAAATTATATTTTTTGTTATTATACTTTAAGTTTTAGGGTACATGTGCACAACGTGCAGGTTTGTTACATATGTATACGTGTGCCATGTTGGTGTGCTGTACCCATTAACTCGTCATTTAGCATTAGGTATATCTCCTAATGCCATCCCTCCCCCCTCCCCCCACCCCACAACAGTCCCCGGTGTGTGATGTTCCCCTTCCTGTGTCCATGTGTTCTCATTGTTCAATTCCCACCTATGAGTGAGAACATGCAGTGTTTGGTTTTTTTGTCCTTGTTATAGTTTGCTGAGAAATGATGGTTTCCAGCTTCATCCATGTCCCTGCAAAGGACATGAACTCATCATTTTTTATGACTGCATAATATTCCATGGTATATATGTGCCACATTTTCTTAATCCAGCATATAAACAGAACCAAAGACAAAAACCACATGATTATCTCAATAGATGCAGAAAAGGCCTTTGACAAAATTCAGCAACCCTTCATGCTAAAAACTCTCAATAAATTAGGTATTGATGGGATGTATCTCAGAATCATAAGAGCTACCTATGACAAACCCACAGCCAATATCATACTGAATGGACAAAAACTGGAAGCATTCCCTTTGAAAACTGGCACAAGACAGGGATGCCCTCTCTCACTACTCCTATTCAACATAGCGTTGGAAGTTCTGGCCAGGGCAATCAGGCAGGAGAAGGGAATAAAGGGCATTCAATTAGGAAAAGAGGAAGTCAAATTGTCCCTGTTTGCAGATGACATGATTGTATATCTAGAAAACCCCATTGTCTCAGCCCAAAATCTCCTTAAGCTGATAAGCAACTTCAGCAAATTCTCAGGATACAAAATCAATGTGCAAAAATCACAAGCATTCTTATACACCAATAACAGACAAACAGAGAGCCAAATCATGACTGAACTCCCATTCACAATTGCTTCAAAGAGAATAAAATACCTAGGAATCCAACTTGCAAGGGATGTGAAGGACCTCTTCAAGGAGAACTACAAACCACTGCTCAATGAAATAAAAGAGGATACAAACAAATGGAAGAACATTCCATGCTCATGGGTAGGAAGAAACAGTTTCGTGAAAATGGCCATACTGCCCAAGGTAATTTATAGATTCAATGCCATCCCCATCAAGCTACCAATGACTTTCTTCACAGAATTGGAAAAAACTACTTTAAAGTTCATATGGAACCAAAAAAGAGCCCGCATCGCCAAGTCAATCCTAAGCCAAAAGAACAAAGCTGGAGGCGTCACGCTACCTGACTTCAAACTACACTACAAGGCTACAGTAACCAAAACAGCATGGTACTGGTACCAAAACAGAGAGATAGACCAATGGAACAGAACAGAGCCCTCAGAAATAATGCCGCATATCTACAACTATCTGATCTTTGACAAACCTGATAAAGAAATGGGGAAAGGATTCCCTATTTAATAAATGGTGCTGGGAAAACTGGCTAGCCATATGTAGAAAGCTGAAACTGGATCCCTTCCTTACACCTTATACAAAAATTAATTCAAGATGGATTAAAGACTTACACGTTAGACCTAAAACCATAAAAACCCTAGAAGAAAACCTAGGCATATCCATTCAGGACATAGGCATGGGCAAGGACTTCATGTCTAAAACACCAAAAGCAATGGCAACAAAAGCCAGAATTGACAAATGGGATCTAATGAAACTAAAGAGCTTCTGCACAGCAAAAGAAACCACCATCAGAGTGAACAGGCAAACTACAGAGTGGGAGAAAATTTTTGCAACCTACTCATCTGACAAAGGGCTAATATCCAGAATCTACAATGAACTCCAACAAATTTACAAGAAAAAAACAAACAACCCCATCACCAAGTGGGGAAAGGATATGAACAGACACTTCTCAAAAGAAGACATTTATGCCATCAAGAAATATATGAAAAAAAGCTCATCATCACTTGTCATTAGAGAAATGCAAATCAAAACCACAGTGAGATACCATCTCACACCAGTTAGAATGGCAATCATTAAAAAGTCAGGAAACAACAGGTGCTGGAGAGGATGTGGAGAAATAGGAACACTTTTACACTGTTGGTGGGACTGTAAACTAGTTCAACCATTGTGGAAGTCGGTGTGGTGATTCCTCAGGGATCTAGAACTAGAAATACCATTTGACCCAGTCATCCCATTACTGGGTATATACCCAAAGGACTATAAATCATGCTGCTATAAAGACACATGCACACGTATGTTTATCGCGGCACTATTCACAATAGCAAAGACTTGGAACCAACCCAAATGTCCAACAATGAAAATTATATTTCTATGACATATAATTTTTTAGTTAACATTAATGTCATTTTAAAAATACTGAAACACCTTTAAATGATCGTAAATTATTTCATTGACCATGAATGTAAAGAATTAATCACTTGTCATTGATTAGGTAATAAAATACTTTTAATTCTTATGTTCTTTGTATAACCCATAAAGCAATTATTAACTGTTAATGTAATTATTTCTGTGACATCTTAAAATAAGCAGCTATTTTATTTTCCTCTGAATTGTTAACTACAAGGAGTCCTTTAAACGTTTTAAATAAACTTTACAGGCCATTTTTTGAGTTCTGAAATCAGAATTTAGATAGTGTACTTTTCTGATTTCTCAATTCATAAAATCATTATGACATCTGATCTTGGGTTATTTTTAATACTTTATATATTGCTTATACTCATACATATATATGCCTCATTTTGAATCAAGAGAAGGCATTCTTTAACAGAGAGTATATTATCAATATTAGCAGTAGTCATCAAAATAAACAATTTAGAATTCTGTCAAACATTTTGCTATGGTTAGATTTCAGTAGTTTCATTTTCCTTGCCTTCTTAAAAGAGGGCTTTCAATATAAGATATTGTGAGATCTTATAAACAGTATTGTAGCTCATTTTATTTTTAATGTTAAAATCTATATCAGGATTTAAAAGTATACCCATGAAAAGGTTTTTTTTAAAATTAAAAACAGATTATTAAGATTTTAGCTAAGTTATTCTTAAAAATTATTTTAAAATCTTTTTAGGGGATATATTCTTTAGTTTACGTACTCTCAACAATCTATTGATGTTTGCTTCAGCAATTGATAGTTTAATTGATAAGAACACAGGAAAATAAACGAAGAAACTTGGGAATTGCTTTAGTTTTTTTTTTTTTTTTTTTTTACATCATTGGGAAACCAAATTACTTTTGGAACCACATGTGTTATATAATAGTCGGGAAATTCAAAAATTGGTTATTTTATGTTATAGCACCGTATAATTTAGCCCTTTTTAATAAAAAAGTTCCCCCTTATTAAGCAAGTTAGGCACTGATGGATTAAAAGATGTTAAATTATATGTAATTGGTTCATTCTATGCAATGTTTAAATTCTTAAACAGTGTATCATTTGCAGTATTAAAAATACTGAGATGAATTTGATTTTATATTTGCTTGATGATTAAATTATACCTTTTAGCATTTAGGGTTTCTTTTGTTTTTTGATTTTTTTAAAATTCTTTTCTAGCCTGACAAAGGATCCCATGAAAAAGATGGTGTTGGGATTGCTCTAAAATGGGAATCAGGCAGTTTTCTCAGGATTTAGGAGATAAAGTTATTAGGCTTTATTTTACTTTCTGCCACTGAGATTTTGATAGTTGAGTTAGATAAATGACATTAGAAATCACCAAGGAATAAGGTAGAGAAATAAGAAAATGGATCTGGTGTTGAAACTGAAGTAAAAAGAAAGGATGAGGAAAGGTTTTCTCTCTAAAAAGCTTTTGCATTGTACCTAAAGGCACTATTTTAATCACAATGAAAGCCATTTTTCTTTTGCGATTTGGATAATATTTCAAAACTAGTCTGTATGCTGTACATTCCTTTCATCAAAATGTGTGTGATTTTATACCCTTGAACTCTGAGCTAGCCCATAAAGATGAAGAAATGAGTAAGATATGATCCATCCATGCTTTTTCTTGGGAGAGTGAAACAAGCAAGCCTATGATTCCATAATACATTTGTAAGATATTATTTTTCTCAAATGTATTTCTTTTCCATGCACATACAAA
The DNA here is from genome assembly GCF_000001405.40 of Homo sapiens. Lineage (NCBI taxonomy): Eukaryota > Metazoa > Chordata > Mammalia > Primates > Hominidae > Homo > Homo sapiens. The sequence goes on along the minus strand of NC_000006.12, from coordinate 110,142,070 downwards.
AAAGCAGCTCCTTAGAATCATGATTAAGTAGTTGCTTTAGAAAGTGTATGTGTGAGGCGGGTGGATCACGAGGTCGGGAGTTCGAGACCAGCCTGACACGGTGAAACCCTGTCTCTACTAAAAATACAAAAATTAGCTGAGCGTGGCGGTGCGCACCTGTAATCCCAGCTACTCAGGAGTCTGAGGCAGGAGAATCGCTTGAACCTGGGTTGCGGAGGTTGCAGTGAGCCGAGATCATGCCATTGTACTCCAGCCTGGGTGACAGAGCGAGACTCCGACTCAAAGAAAAAAAAAAAAAGATAAGTGTATGTGTGTCTGTCTTCCCGCAGCAACCTATTTTTTCTTTTTTGGCTTCCTTAAAGCTCATGATTTTGTTATTTCTTCCATTTATTTATTGATTAGCTGTTGAACATCTGTGTTCTAGATCTTGGAGATACAAGTTGAGTAAGGCGAGTAAGGCAAGATTTTTGCCTTCTAAAAGCTGACATTCAGGCATGGATGTGTAAACAAATAAGCACAGTATAGTAAAGTATAATTGGTAGTAATTCGGTAGATGCATTTGTGGATCCATGTTGAGGGCATCAAAGAGTAGATGGTTACATCTGCCTGGGGGATTCAGTTAGTCTTCAGAAAAGAGTTGCTGCCTGAGTCTAGTCTTGAACAATTATATATTCTCTCTGAGGATAAAAAAGTGAAATACATCCCAGGCAGAGAGCAGCATGAGGAAAGGCAGGACTATAAAACAGTAAGATATATTTAGAATAATTAGAGTATAATGTAGGAGTGTAGTGAGAAATGAGGGTAGAAGTGAGGAGGTGGGCTAAATCCTGAAGAACCTTGTATATTATGTTTGGACTTTACCCTGACAACAAGGAACCAAGGAAGGGTTTGATTTTGCAGAAGGACATTTCCAGATTCAAAATTTTTATAATGCAATAGTCCCCCTTTCATTCATGGTTTTGCTTTCTGTGGTTTTAGTTACCAGTGGTCAACCATGGCCCAAAAATATTAAATGGAAAATTCCAGAAAAAAAAATTCATAAGTTTTAAATTGCATGTGATTCTGAGTAGCATGATGAAATCTTGTGCCATCCTGCCTGGAATGTGATTCATCCTTTTGTCTAGCATATCCACACTGTATATGCTTCCTTCTCATTGGTCATTGACATCCTCAGCTCCTGACTTTCAACCGTTGACATTGTCATGGCTCCTTCTGACATAGCTTAACACTATGTCACAGTAGCTATGTCATTCACCTCATTTCATCTGATCCTGTAGGCATTTTATCATTTCACACCATCACAAGAAGGGGGAGTTCAGTACTGTGAGTTGAAGAAACACACTCAATGTGTTTTTCCTCTGCTCTCACACCACAGCAACAATCAACACGGAATACTTGTGTGATCAGTTGTGTGGGGTTTTTCCCCGCACACCAAGCAAGCAATTAATTCTTCAGCAGACACTGGCTGGGTGTTCTTCAATTCAATTCTGACACTATCTACCTGGAGATAGTGTCAGATCCCATAGATTGAGGGTTCAGTCCCACAAGACTGCCACCTCTTGAGATACCAGTTGCAAGTTCAGGCCTCTGGAACTTCTGTTCCTACCCACTTCAAGTTGGGTTCCTATGACTCCCCCTTTGGGTTTGATTAATTTGCTGGAGTGGCTCACAGAACTCAGGGAAGCACTTATACTTACCAATTTATTATTAAAGGGTATTACAAGGAACATAGATAAGAATGCATGGGGCAAGTTATAGGGGAAGGGGCATAGAGCATCCATGCCTTTCCAGGACATACCACTTTCCAGGAACCTCCATGTGTTTACCTCTCTGGAAGCTCTCCAGACCCATCCTTATGAGTGTTTAGGGAGGCTTCATTACATAGACATGATTGAATAAACCTTTGGCTATTGGTGTCAACTTAACATTCAGCCTGTCTCAGCTCCCTGGATGTTAGGGGGATGGGGCTGAAAGTTCCAACCCTCTAATCATGCATTTGTCTTTCAGGTGACCAGCCCCAATCCTACAAAAAAGCAATGCTTTAGATATTCTAAGGAATTTAGAAGTTGTATCCCAGAAAATTGGGTGGAAAGCCAACCAAATAAATATTTCATAATATTACAAGTACAATTAGATGTTTTGAGAGAGCGAGAGGTCATATTCATGCAACTTTTGTTATAGTATATTATTATAATTTTCTATTATTAGTTATTGGGTTATCCTCTTACTGTGTCTAATTTATAAGTTAAATGTTACAGGTATGAATAGGAAAAAACATAGTATATATAGGCTCAGTACTATTTGTGGTTTCAGGCATCCACTGGAGGTCTTGGAATGTATCCTCCATGGATTGGAGGGGATCTGCTCTATTCTTAAAGCAGTGGTGTGGGATGGATTGAATTGGTGGGAGTGGTGGTGTAGATGGAATGACAAGGAGAAAATATAAGACTGGAGGAAGAAAGTCTAGTCTGTCAACCTAAGATAATTGAAAGAATCAGAATCCAGTTTAAAGAGTTTATTCAAGCAAAAAGCTGGGAATAGCCATTCAGGAGATGCAGACTTCAGAGAAATGGGGTCAGTGCTCTGAAGTTAAAAGTTAAGGTTTTGCTTATGATGGCGGCAGCAGCCCGTATGTAGCAGCTGCTGCAAAGATGCTGGCTGCAACGGGGGAGGAGCGGTCAGGGCTGGGAACAGGTGGGAGCCCTGCGCTCTACCAAGTTGGTGGGGTGGGAGCCCTGTGCTACTGGGCACAACTGCAGCCACCCAGCCACGGGCTGTGGTCCTGGCCATCCCCGTGCTCTTGGGGGCCTGGGAAATCTCTTTGCCCCCACAGGCTTGGAAGTGCCTGCTCCCACTCCCTGGTCTCTCCCCGATCCCGGCACCTGTTCCAGGGCAGAGCAAAGTTGTGGCTAAGCCCGGGTGGTGTCACAAGCTGGCCAGGTGTGTGTGTGCTCAAGGCAGTACTGACACACCAACCCCTGCCACCTTGACCCCCTCCAGACTTTGGGTGCCTATGAGCATGGGAGGAAAATGGAAGTGAGGCTGAGGGAAGCTCGGCTCAGGCCTGAAGGCATCTCTCAGCATGAACAGCCTGGGTGCCATGGACAGCATGTTGATGGTGACAGGAGGCAGACAGGCTCCTGAGTGGAAAAGGGTGGGTCCCAAGTGAAACCCCATCTTTAAGCCAGGGAAGGCCTGTAGCCTGGGGGCTGGGCTCTCAGTTCTGTGGACCACAGTGAGAACTTATGGTGTCTTTTCCAAGCCCACCCATGGCCGCCTATGGACCAATCAGCATGCTCTTCCTCCCTTCTGAGCCCATAAAAACTTCAGACTCAGCCAGATTCACACAGACATTGGGACTACTAGCTGCAGGAAGGAGCTACCCACTTTGGGTCTCCTCAACTCATTGGGACAACCTCCCTATGGAGAAGAGCTACCCACTCCTGGTCTCTTCTCTGCTGAGAGCTGGACACTCATTGGGATGATCTGCCTGTGAAAAGGGACTACCCGCTTCCGGTGTCCTGAGAGCTGTTCTGTCGCTCAGTGATGCTCCTCTTCACATGCTTCATTCTTCCCAGACGTGGGACAAGAACTCGGGACCTGCTGAATGGCAGGACTGGAAGAGCTATAACACAGAGCTGAAACATGATCCTCACTTGCCACATTGCAGGCAATGAGAAGAAGAGAAGAGAGAAGGTGAAAATAGCTGTGGCCTTTGGAGATCCCAGACCTAGGAGCTTCCTAAGCCATTGCTGTGACACTCTCTTTGGGGCTCTGCAGTTCCTGGTGTCTACAAGCTTCTGGGCACCACAGTGTTCCCTGGTTCCTGTGGTGGAAGCCACTTGTGGTATACCTAGTCCAGCCGCAGCCTCTCAGGGAGCCAACACCTGTGCCAGCACCTGGAGCTCCCTGCCCCACTGCAGCCAGCATGCTTGGCTATGCACAGTGGCCAGACCCTGTGCTTGCTTACACACCCCTTGCCACTCCGTGCCTGGCTCACCCTTGGCAGGTGTGGGATCCAGGCTGGTAGTATGAGCTGCGCAGCCTGCCAGGCTGAGTGAGCGGAACAAGCCCAGTGGCCCTGAGCAAAACTCTGGCACAGGTGCCACTGGCCACAGAGGTTTCCAGCTGGAAAAGTGACACACCCTAAGGACCCTGTGATACTTACATAGGAGGAAAACAGAAATTTAATAGGATTGCAACTTCTTTTTAATAGAAGTCTGGTTTATGAGTTACAGTAATTAGTTACAGTTTATTTTCTTTTCCACCTGGCTTTTCTTTCCTTTACAGATGTTTTTTAATTTCCTTTCTGATTTTAAAGAGTATGCTTAACATTCCATCTTATGACAGTGTGATAGCCACAAAGTCTTTGTGTGAGAAAGGTCAGAGGGAAGTTAATCCATAATGAAAATCAGCAGTGAAGAAGGAAGAGGTCTTCCCTGGGGTCCTTTCGTCATGTGCAACATTTTATAAAACAGTGTAGGTAAGGAAGGAGGCCAGTATATAATCAGAGAAACAAAGGTTACAGCTGCATAAGTTACAGCTGCCTGTCACGTGACTGAGGTCCCATAATCACATTCCTTTAAGGCGCAAAATAGAGTCCAACAGCTTAGATTTTGAATTACCTGTTTTCATAAGTCTAACCAAGTGAGAGAGGACTATGGTTTGAATTAAAGTAGTAGCAGTTAGAATAGAAAAGGATTATCAGAATATGAGAGATGTTAATTTAGAATTAATAAGGCTTGATCCTCTATTGGATATAGAGAAGAGATTGCAGTGGTATGGCAGAATTGAAGATGATGCCTAGATTTGAAGGGGAAAATATAAGGAATTCAGTTTTGAATGTTTTGAATTTAATAGGTTTTATGGAACCTCCAAGTAAAAATTTCTAGAAGTCAGTTGCATATGCATAGCTGCAGCTTTAGGAGAGAGATATGAACTGGAATTAAGAAATTTTGAGTTATTCAGCAGATACATATTTAACATTTCTTATGTGCCAAGCATGTACCAGGCACCAAGGATACTGTAAAACACATGAAACCTGCTTTATGACTAATAAAGGAGACAGAAATCAATCATGAAGATACATAATTACAAACTGAGACAAGTGTCATAAGGAAAAATTAGAGGTTGATGTGAGAAAATTTTAACAGGAGGACCACATCTCATTGAGACTGGGGGATCAGGGAATGTTATCATTGGAGCTAAAATTTGAAGAACAAGTAGGAGTAGGGCAAGTAGAATATCTTGGGCAGAAAGAACGTTAGCATTATACCAATAAAAGTAGTCAGATATTAACAAACTAAGTTAAAGAAAAATAAAGCAAAAGGCAGCAGCTAACTGTATTCTGTGAAGAGACATGTTTAAAACAAAGATAGGAGAAGGTTGAAAGGAAAAGCTCTATCATGCAAACACAACCAAAAGAGCTGGTACGGCTACAAAAATTAGACTTTTAAGCAAAAACCATATTATTAGAGATAGAGGAAACTTAATAATGGTAAATATACCTAATAACATAGTCTTGAAATATATAAATCATATGGAGAATTTAACAACTGTATAGTCTTAGTGGGCAGTCTTAACATGTCTCTCTGATAGACCAGTAGACAAAACTCAGTAAAGCTATAGAAGATGTAGGTACATTAGCAGATGTAACTAATGGACATACGTAGACCACTGCAACCACCAATAACAAAATGTATATTCTTTTTCAGTATCCCTGGAATGTTTACAAAAATTGACTATTTTGGACAATAAAGTGTAAATACATTTTAAAAGGATGAAGTGATACAAAGTGTATTTTCTGACCACAATGTCCTTATTCTAGAAATTAATACAAAAACAAAAAACTTTTCAAGGACATTACATTAAGATAACGGACCATTTTGGCTGGGCGCAGTGGCTCATGCCTGTAGTCCCAGCACTTTGGGAGGCTGAGGCGGGCAGATCACGAGGTCAGGAGATCGAGACCATCCTGGCTAACACAGTGAAGCCCCGTCTCTACTAAAAATACAAAAAAATTAGCTGGGCATGGTGGCAGGTGCCTGTAGTCCCAGCTACTCGGGAGGCTGAGGCAGAAGAATGGCATGAACCCGGGAGGCGGAGCTTGCAGTGAGTTGAGATTGCGCCACTGCACTCTAGCCTGGGCGACAGAGCGAGACTCCATCTCAAAAAAAAAAAAAAAAAAAAAAAAAGATAATGGACTGTTTTCTCTCATGGATGTAAATGCAAAAAACTAATTATATTAACAAACCAAAACTACACTTGATCTTAGCCAAAAGGCCAAAAAGTAATGACAAACCCAAACTAAATCCAGTAATTGGTAAAAAAAAAAAAAAAAAAAAAAAAAGATAATCTTCCTATTTTGAGGTCAGCTGATTAGAAATCTTAACTCCATTGACTACCTTAATTCTAAGCCCTTTGCCATATAATGTAACATATTCATAGATTCAGGAGAATAAGATCATGGGTAGCTTTAGGAGACCATTATTCTCCCTACCACATACATCTCATACAATTAGATTAATTCCAAGGGTGCAGGGTTGTTTACCAACAAAAAAACCCCACAGTCAATATAATTCACCACACTAACAGAGTAAGAGTAACATGATGATAAATGTAGGAAAAACATTTGATAGCATGATTTTTTTAAAATCTTGGGCAGGTAGTAATAGGAACTTTGTTAGTCCTAGCCAGAGCAATCCAACGAAAAAGAAAGGGCATCCAGATCAGTAAAGAGGAAGTCATACTGTCGCTGTTCACCAATGAAATGATCATATACCTAGAAAACCCTGAAGACTCATCCAAAAAGCTAGAACTGATAAATGAATTCAGTAAAGTTTCAGGATACAAAATTAATATACACAAATAAGTAGCACTGCTATACACCAATAGTGACCAAGCTGAGAATCAAATCCAGAACTCAAACCCTTTTATAATAGCTGCAACAAATAAAATAAAATACTTAGAAATATACCTAACCAAGGAGGTGGAAGACCTCTACAAGGAAAACTACAAAACACTGCTGAAAGAAATTATAGAAAACACAAACAAAATGGAAACACATCACATGCTCATGGGTGGGTAGAATCAGTATTGTGAAAATGACCATACTGCCAAAAGCAATCTACAAAATGCAATTTCCATCAAAATACCACTGTCATTCTTCACAGAACTAGAAAAAAAACTCCCAAAATTCATATGGAACCAAAAAAGGGCCTGCATAGCTAAAGCAAGACTAAGCAAAAAGAACAAATCTGGAGACATCACATTACCTGACTTCAAACTATACTATAAGGGCATACTAACCAAAACAACATGGTACTGGTATAAAAATAGGCACATAGGCCGGGTGCGGTGGCTCACACCTGTAATCCCTGCACTTTGGGAGGCCGAGGCAGGCAGATCACCTGAGGTCAGGAGTTTGAGACCAGCCTGAACAACATAGTGAAACCCTGTCTCTACTAAAAATAAAAAAAATTAGCCAGGCGTGGTGGTGGGCACCTGTAATCCTAGCTACTCAGGAGGCTGAGGCAGGAGAATCACTTGAACCCAGGAGGCAGAGGTTGCAGTGAGCTGAGATCGTGCCACCGCACTCCAGTCTGGGCAACAAGAGCGAAACTCCATCTCCAAAAAAGAAAAAAAAAAAGGGCACATAGAACAATGGAACAGAATAGAGAACCCAGAAATAAAGTCAGATACTTACAGCCAATTGATGTTCAACAAAACAAATGAAAACATAAAGTGGGGAAAGGACACTCTGTTCAACAAATATTGCTGCGATAATCGGCAAGCCACATGTAGAAGAATGAAACTGGATCCTCATCTCTCACCTTATAAAAAGATCAACCCAAGGCCAAGCATGGTGGCATACACCTGTAATCCCAGCACTTCGGGAGGCTGAGGTGGGTGGATCACCTGAAGTCAGGAGTTCGAGACCCAGCCTGACCAACATAGTGAAACCCCATCTCTACTAAAAATACAAAATTAGCTGGGCGTGGTGGAGGTTGCAGTGAGCTTAGATCATGCCACTGCTCTCCACCTTGGGCAACAGAGCGAGATTCTGTCTCAAAAAAATAAAAACAAGACAAAATTCTAGAAGATAACATCGGAAAAACCCTTCTAGACATTGGCTTAGGCAAACAGTTCCTGACCAAGAACCCAAAAACAAATGCAACAAAAACAAAGATAAATATATAAGACTTAATTAAACTAAAAAGCTTCTACACAGCAGCAAAGTAAACAGACAACCCACAGAATAGGAGAAAATCTTCACACTCTGTACATCTGACAATGGATTAATATTCAGAATCTACAATGAACTCAAATATCAGAAAAAAAAATCCCATCAGAAAGTAGTCTAAGGACATGAATAAACAATTTTCCAAAGAAGATATACGAGTGGCCAAAAAACATGAGAAAATGGTCACCATCACTAATAATCAGGGAAATGCAAATCAAAACCACAATACCACCTTGCTCCTGCAAGAATGGCCATAATAAAAAAAATCAAAAAACAATAGCTGCTGTTATGGATGTGTTGAAAAAGGAGCACTTTCACACTGCTAGTGGGAATGTAAACTAGTACAAACACTATGGAGAACAGTGTGGAGATTCCTTAAAGAACTAAAAGTAGATCTACCATTTGATCCAGCGGTCCCACTATTGGATATCTACCCAGAAGAAAAGAAGGCATTATATAAAAAAGATACTATAAAAAAGTCATTGTACAAAGAAGTCATTTTACAAAAAAGATACTTGCACTTGCATGTTTATAGCAGCACAATTTGTAATTGCAAAAATATGGATGTATATAGCATGTATATAGCAGCACAATTTGTAATTGCAAAAATATGGATGTATGTAGTATGTATATAGCAGCACAAATTTATAATTGCAAAAATATGGAACCAGCCCAAATGCTTATCATTCGACAAGTGGATAAAGAAAAGTGAGTGAGAACACACGATGTTTGGTTTTTCATTCTGGAGTTACCTTACATACAGTCATAGTCTCCAATTCCATCCAGCTTGCTATGAATGTCATTATTTTCATTCTTTTTTATGGCTGTGTAGTATTCCATGGTGTGTGTGTGTGTGTGTGTGTGTATACACCATGGAATACACACACAAACACCATGGTGTATATGTATATATATATACACAGACACACCATGGAATACTACACAGCCATAAAAAAGAATGAAAATAATGACATTCATAGCAAGCTGAATGGAATTGGAGACTATTACTGTAAGTGAAGTAACTCCAGAATGAAAAACCAAACATTGTATGTTCTCACTCATAAGTGGGAGCTAAGCTATGAGGATGCAAAGGCATAGGAATGATACAATGGACTTTGGGGACTTGGGAGAAAGGGTGAGAGGACGGAGAGGGATAAAAGACTACACATTGGGTACAGTGTTCCCTGCTTGGGTGATGGGTACACCAAAATCTCAGAAATCACCACTAAAGAACTTATACATGCACCCAAATACCACGTGTTCCCCCAGAAACTTATTAAAATAAAATAATAATAAAGGAACTTCCTTAATCTATTAAAAGGTGTCTATAAAACAAAATAACCACAAAAAAAACCGTATTACAGACGCCTTGTGAAATGTTGAAGCCTTTTCTGCTTGAGTTAAAAAGACAAGGATGTTTGCCATCATCCTTATGTATATGAAATACGTATTTCACATTGTATTAAAGATTATAGCTAGTGTGGTAAGGCAAGAAAAAGAAATAAAATATATAAAATGGATTAGAATGGAGGAAATCGTCACTATTCACATATGATTGTGTACATTTAAAAATCCAAAATAATTGCAGATAGGTTAGAGATTAGGAAGATCTTGGGATATAGGGTCAATATTAAAAAATCAATTTATTTTCTATATATACAACAATATATATTGTGGTTCCAGTATTATAAAAACATCTACATACAAATAAATAATGATGTATAAGACTTCTCTTTAGAAAACTATAAAACATTAAGAGACTTTTAAAAATCCTGAAGTAGTTGGAGCAATGTATTATGTTCGTGGATAGAAAGAAATGTATAAATATCAGTACTTCCCAATATGATAGGTTTAATAACAGTTCCAGTCTAATTCCCAACAGGTAGAGGTGGGTGTATGTGTTATGTGTGACTTGATAATCTTATTCTAAAAATTTACATGGAAATACACAGGGTCAAGAATAAACAATATTTTTGGAGAACAAGATTGGAGAGCTTGCCCTATTGTGTATCAAGACTTAACTATAAGCCAGGCACAGTGGCTCAAGCCTGTAATTCTAGCACTTTGGGAGGCTGAGGTGGGTCAATTGTCTGAGCTGAGGAGTTTGAGACCAGCCTGGACAACATGGCAGGACCCCATCTCCTAAAAATACACAAAATTAGCCGGGTGTTGTGGCACCTGTAGTCCCAGCTGCTCCGGAGGCTGAGGCAGGAGAATCGCTTGAACCCAAGAGGCGAAGGTTGCAGTGAACCAAGATTACACTACTGCACTCCAGCCTGAGCAACAGAGCGAACTTACTATAAAGCCTGATTAATTCAGTTTGTCATTAGCTCTAGGTTAGTCAAAAAGAGCAATGGAATAGTATGTAGCTCAAAATCTGATTTAAAAATACATAGAAACTTGATTTATGACAAAAGTGCCACCATAGAGCAATAGAGAAATACTAGGCTTTTCAATGAGTGGTGCTGAAATAATATATAAGAAACCTAACTGCTACATCACACCATTCACAAAATTAATTCCACATCAGTTACAGATTATAAGAAAAAACAAAGCTAAGAGATAAAGTGAAAGGTCATATTTATGATCTTGGTGTAGAAAAAGATTTTAGAAACTATGCTTTTGTTCTAAACTTGAAAAGATTGAGAATATCCCTACCACATGGAGCGTAAAAACTTCTGTTCATTAAAAGACATCACTAAGAAAGTGGAATAGCAAGTGAAAGAAGAGATTCCCATCACCTATAACCTTCAAATGGCTCATATCTAGTGTTTCTACAAATCAGCCCTAACACAACAAATGGCCAAAAATGGACAAGAGGATTGAACAGGCACTTCCCAAGAGAAAAACCCAAAAGATCAAGAAACATGAAAAGGTGCTTAAATTCAATAATTGGGAAACACAAATTAAAACTATAACAAGTAGCCACAACATACCCTCAAGAACAGCTAGAATTTAAAAACTGACAGTGTCAAGTGTTATGGGGATGTGGAGCAGCAGCCTCTTAACTGCCGAAAGTAAAGTGTTGGTACAGTCTCTGGAACAGTTTGGCATCATTTCCTAAAGATGAAGTTGTGTGTATCCTTAACTTGGCTATTCTTGTCCTGAAGTATATTCACAATAGAAATGTGTACACTAAGACACATGTGCATGAATGATCAGTATAGTCCTCTTCATAATAGCTTCAAACTGGAAACAATTCATTAACATTAGAATGGGTAAATAAATTGTAGTGTTGTCATATAGTGGACTATTATACAGCAATGAAAATGAACAACCTGCACAGAGCAGTATGGATGAATGTTACAATGTGGAATGAAAAAGGCAAGGCATAAAATAATATGTATCATATTAGTCTATATAAACTTCAAAAAGCTATCAAAACTATAGTGTTTAAAGTTGCCTATGTAAGTTGTGAAAATAAAAAGAAAAACAAGGAAATGCTTATTATAAAAAGAATAAAGGTTACCTATCTTGGGGAGGTAAGCAAGAATGGGAAGAGGACCAAAGTGGACGGGTTCTGGCAATTGGTACAGGCAATATTTTATTTCTTAATGGGGTTACATGAGAGTTTGGTTAAATTTTTGAGGTGTACAATTTTGTATGCTTTTTTTCTCTACATTTCATGTTGCACAGTTTTAGAATGGATTAAAAATGTGGAGAGAATGCTAAACAAATAGGTCAGAGGAAACAAATTTATGCAAAAATTGTTAAAAGCATGTTGATAAGTAACACTTAACTGCAATTAGGTTTATCCCAAACTTCTCATTTGTTAGTCATTAAAGCTCAGTAATTAATAAATTGTCTCCTTTAGTAACCGTTGTTCACTGATAGTACAGTCAGTCATTTCCCACTTTGCAGTAGTGCAGGACTGTAAAAAATGACAGTATAAGTTGAAACCATGAAAAATGATCTTAATTTAAAAATGGGGAAAATTACAGTATTTTAACGTACGCTCTTTAAAAATTTTTGTCAAGACAGTAAAACCTCTTCTATTGTAGGTTAAAATGTATAGGGAAATTTAGAAGTATTTACTTAGCACAATGTCATTGAAGATATTGGAATCAATTAGAATTAGTGTTTTATTTCTTTGTAAAAAAAACTTATCAAAGGCAGTTTGAGCAGTTCTCATTGTGTAACTTACAATAGCAGAGCTAGCAAAGTGAGCATCTTTTCTGTGCCTTGGCAAATTGTCACACTCCTTTCTTTTAAATTAGGATTAGCTTCCAACGTTTTATCTTTTGTGCTTCCACTGTCATGAAGTAGCTCCAAGAGTTTCTTAAATGTGAAGGTTTTTTTGCTAGTGTCACTTCCTTTGGAACATATTCCTTCTTTTTGTCACAACCACATTCCTCATTTATGTCTGTAGGTTTGCCTTCGCTAAGTTCCTCAGGCTGCATATCTAGAAGCTCTCAAACAGTGGCAGTGGCAACATTTCCACAGTCAGCTACTTCATCTGTTACTCCACTTATGTTGGATTTGAATTTCATTTCCAGTGTTACCATTTTTTTTGTTTGTTTTTTTGTTTTTTGCTGCACTTCTGTCTTTGTTGGCCAATTCCTGCTTTCATCTACCTATTTAGTAAAATTTCATGTAGACTTAGCACTGGGAGGCAAGAAGGCAACAGATGCATGCTTTGCTGTCTGTAGGTGAATTGACTAACAGATGAGGGTGTAACCAATCATCAACTGACTTTGAAAGAAGTGGTGATTGGTCACTGATCATGACGTACAGCTCTTCTTAACAGTGATTTGTAGACTAGAGCAGCAGTCTCCTTGTTTTTGGCACAAGGGACTAGTTTCGTGGAAGACAGTCTTTCCACGGGCAGGGGGTGGGGGTGTGTGGAGTGGGGGATGGTTTCGCGATGAAACTGTACCACCTCAGATCATCAGGCATTAATTAGATTCTCATAAGGAGCATGCAACCTAGACCCCTCACGTGTGCAGTTCACAATAGGCCTCGTGCTCCTATGAGAATCTAATGCCGCCACTGATCTGACAGGTGGTGGAACTCAGGCAGTAATGCTTGCTCACCTACCGCCCACCTCCTGCTGTACAGCCTGGTTCCTTACAGGCCACTGACCGTTACTGGTCTGCAGCTGGGGGGTTGGGGAGTCCTGGACTAGAGTACTAGAAATGAAGTTTGTATTTGTGCAATTACTCACAGTTAATATGCTGTAGTAAGTGAAATTTGAATCATGGTGTTGGGCAGTGTTGTTACTAACTCGAGTCACTCAAATTTGTGCATATGCGAAGCATGCAAAGTGAGAGCAGCCTATAATTCAAAGATGGTTGAACTTTTTGATCAGTTAAATAAAGATTTGGTAGATTCCAATGAGATTTCAGGTGCAGGGCTACTTGGAGTATTTGATCTGAGCTTTTGAACACCTGATACATTTTGTGTGATAATGTAAATTTGATTTACTCTTACAGCTTCCTTAATCCTTTTATGCACTTCCTTAGAGAGGACATCTCACACTAACTCTCTAGAACAAAATCCCTATTATAGTAAATAAAAACAGTGTTTTTAGGAGAATAATGGTGATAATTGTGAATTCACCATGCAGCAGCTGACATTGAAAGCAAGTTTTTAAAAAACGTTTTGTATAATGTTGATATTCTAGTAATTGGAAGTTAAATCAATTTTGATTATTTTAGTTGGGTAATTTCATTTTTATTGTCTTCATACAAGCAAATACAGTTGGCCCTTGAACAACCCAGAGATTAGGGGCACCAACCCTCTGCATTGCTGAAAATCTGTGTGTAACTTCTGACTTTCCAAAAACTTAACTACTTATAGACTACTGTTGACCAGAAGCCTTACCGAGAACATAAAGTGTTGTTTAACATATTTTGTAAGTTATATGTATTATATGCTGCATTCTTACAATAAAATAAACCAGAGAAAATAAAATGTTATTAAAAATCATAAGATAATTAACTATTAAGTGGAAGTGAATCATCATAAAGTCTTCATCCTTGTCATTTTCACCTTGAGTAGGCTGAGGAGGAAGAGGAGGGGTTTGTCCTGCTGTCTCAGGGAGGCAGAGAGGGAAGAAAATCCACCAGTAAGTGGACCCAGGCAGTTCAAATCCATGTTGTTCAAGGGTCAACAGTGCTTTATTCTTCAATGAAAAATAAAGTCTCATTCTGTGTTGGCTGAAATTTAATATTGTTAATTTATTTTTGATTTCCTACAGGTGAACTGGCACAAAGGTTAATCTCAAGATGCCGCTAGTGAAAAGAAACATCGATCCTAGGCACTTGTGCCACACAGCACTGCCTAGAGGCATTAAGAATGAACTGGAATGTGTAACCAATATTTCCTTGGCAAATATAATTAGACAACTAAGTAGCCTAAGTAAGTATATATCAATTAAAAATATACTCACAAACCAGAATGTTATGCTTTAGCGTATTAAGAAGTTGTGCTTCTGATTAATTTGGGAGTATGATTTGGTGAGAAGAGTACAAAATTATCCTGAAAAATATAGTCACATGAGTATAATTATTGAGTTTTACAAGAACCTCTTCTGCATGATGTTTCTTCTGGGAAAGGAAAATACGGACAGAATCTCTAGGAACAGAAACACATGATGAATGAAAATTATTGAGATTGTTTTAAAAATATATAATCTGCGAAAGGACCAGAGTTGTACTTTTCCTTGGTTATTATCACTATTTACTCTGTTTAGAGGCCTCAACTATTTGTGTTTTCAAACACTAGTATCCCTCTCTTTATATATATATTTAATTAGTTTAGGGAAATATTTTTATATTAGCAAAGATCTAAGGTGAGAGGTATGGGGTCATTATTAGTCAGAGGGGTAGGCTAGTCAAGTGGGATGTCTAAGAGACATTAGGATATAAGTCAGGAATCTGATATGCAGCATTGTGTGAAAACAGCAAATGAACTTGGCCTCTGGCAGACAGAAGTCAAGCAGGTTGGCCAGAGAATAAAGGCCAGTGAAAGAGGCAGATTAGGGAGAAGGAGACAGGCAATATGTTCTCATTGCAGATTTACAGAATAGAGCAACTTGGTTAAGGAATTAAACAAATTATTTTCTATTCTAAGTTTATTTAGAAAATTTAAAAAATCTGGTCTGTCTTTTGCATTGAAGGATTAGCTTTTTCATAAGACATTGATATTTCATTTTAAAGGTGAAACAAGGTGTTCTTGGCAGAGATAATATCCACCAAGTGGTCCTAGATTTATCTCATCAGCCATATAAATTCTCCTGATAAGCAGGCTTGGCTTTTCTTTTCTTTTCCTTTTAACTTTTGTCCTTTCTTTTATAATTGAGTACTTAGCACAAGAGGTTGTTAATCTAATTTGTTTCCGGTAAGAAAGTTTAGGCATACCTGTAGCGAGAGCAACATAAAAAGTTACATTTGAATATTCTCTGTGAGAGTACTAAATTTTTGCATTGCCTGTGAAATAGTAAGAATAAATAAAAGGCTATTTTATTTGAATTTTAAGTATATTCCTTGTTCCATTCAGTGGTCATTTTTTTCAGGTTAGTGAATCACTAAAATATTGTATTGTTTACTTGAGGCTAATAAAAAAAGTGTTAGAGTTCCCAGTTTAAATATGATTAACTATATTGTTTAAAGATATTTTGCAGATTTTTTGTGACCTAGCACGGATTGAATCAAGTATAACATGATGTCATATAAAATTTGTTTTATATATGTTATGTACATACATAAGTATATAAGCATGCTAATATTAAAATACATGTTAAGAACATAGAAATGGCATTAGTAATTTTGTATAACATATTTCTTAAAATGAATTGTGGATCCAGTACAGGCATCTTATTTTAGGTATATACCCAATATAGAATTTAGAACTAATATTGTGATTAAGGGTGATAATTTGCAGTACTAACCCATTTGTTACAAAACTTAAAGATGAAAATTTAAGGAATTTTTAAGTCTATATAGTCCATATAAGCAACATCTATCAGCAGGCACATGGTTATGCTGTAGCGAAACTCTGAAAATTATAAATACCTTGTAACAATATAACTAAATTAGGTGTTGGGTGCTTCACATTTAGAATCAGAGACCTGGAAGGCATTGTTTAAGCAGTTTGTAGAGATTCAAAAACAAAGAGAAAACCCATAAAATATTCTAGCAAGGTGTGACAATAGCTTACTGCCCTGAAATTAACTTCTCTGGCAGCTTTCCCACTTGACATAGTTGAGAACCTGGAATTAAATTTAAAAGGCCTCTAGATAGCCAGAATAAATAAACTCATGCACTAAAGACCATGCACATAAAATAACCAATTGATCCCTCTCTCAAAACCTGTTTACTTTTACCTTGATAGTTCAAACAGATTTGATGATGTGGTTTCCAAACAGTTATGCTTCAGAGGATAAAAGGAGGAAGCATGGGAGGAGATACTAGAAGGAGGCATCACTGAACCCAACCAAAAGGAGGTAGTTCACAGGAAAGGACAAAGTGATGTAAGGGAAGATGCAACATAAAAACTGGAAAGAAGCCATTTAATGTAAAGCAAATATCCTTATACATTTCAAGGCTGTTTTCTGGCCTAGGATAATATTTGATTTTCATAATTCATGCCCGTGAGTCCCTAAGAAAAAATTAAATTATGTTTAATTTTATATTCCATTTAAGAAGAGGGAAGCTTAGAATACATTTCACAAGTTTCCATCGAAAATAGTTAAAATAACAATTGATGTATTAGATAATAAAATCTGAATTACTTAGAAAACTTGGCTATCCAAAATGTTTCTAGATAATGGAGATTTTCACTTTGGTGCTATTATTAGTACTGAAAGTGCTTGAGAATATAGCAATGAAAGTAAACTGCAGGGATCCACATGGCTCAGGGCTGGATATCTTCCTGACCTTTTCCTCACAAAAATGTACTTCCTTTTTTTATTTTTTTGAAACAGAGTCTTGCTCTGTCACCCAGGCTGGAGTGCAGTGGTGCGATCTTGGCTCACTACAAACTCCACCTCCCAGGTTCAAGCAATTCTTGTACCTCAGCCACCAAAGCCGCTGGGATTACAGGCGAGTGCCATCATGCCTGGCTAATTTTTGTATTATTTTTAGTAGAAATGGGGTTTTGCCATGTTGGCCAGGCTGGCCTTGAACTTCTGGCCTCAAGTGATCCACCCGCCTCGGCCTCCCAAAGTGCTGGGATTACAGGTGTGAGCCACCATACCCAGCCAGTACATCTGTTTTTTGTGAGATTTTTCCTAGTAGAACATAATTCTGTTTTGTATTAGGTAATTACCACAAACCTATAATTCACTTTATATCAATTTCCTCTTTCTCATTTTATTGCTTTCTTAATGATGCAAGGTTTTTTACTCCTTAGCTGAGCTAGGTCCAGGTTCTTGTCTCACGATGAGGAAGAATTAGGCACACAGATACTCTAAGAGTGAATGGAGTAGAATTTATTAAGTGAAAGGAAAGCTCTCAGCCAAGAGAGGGGTCCTGAAAGCAGGTTCCAGGTTGCCCCGTCACAGTTGAATACAAGGGCATATATATATATATATATATATATATATATATATAGAGAGAGAGAGAGAGAGAGAGAGAGAGAGAGAGAGAGAGGAGAGAGAGGAGAGAGAGGAGAGAGAGAGAGAGAGAGAGAGAGACGCTGATGGGGCTGGGTTCCCTATTTGTATGAGGCACAGATTACTGGTGGCTTCACCACATTTCCCTAGTGCACATGCAGGCCCTTAGTCTGCTGTGGGCATGTTTAAGCAAGCCCCCTGTGCAAGTTCCCTTATCTGCACAAAGCATCTGGTGTAAGCCCTTGTGGGGTGGGTCAGAGGTTCTCTGGGGACCCTTCCCTTACTGTCTGCCTAAAGCAAGCTAGCTAACTCCTTTCATTAACAACCACTGGGATTCTGAATACCTAAGGGATCTCTTCCCCTGGCTTTTCTCTTATGGAATATAGTCAGTTCTTATTGCCAAGATTAGTCTTTTCCATCTCTGTATCTACACCTAGCATTTGTATCCCTACCAATTGTTGAATAAATGAGTAACTTTATACCTGCTTTTTCTTCCATTTGGGATGCTTCCCTTATCTGCCAGAGAAACTGTCTCTGGAAGTATCTTGATCACCAAATAACTTTTGACACCTGAAAGTGAGGTGCTTCTATCTCTGCTGTGTTGCTCTTACCTTATATTAAGAGCTGCCTGTTATTGGGCTCCTCTGTATGAGGTGCACTTCAAGGCTCTTTTCTTGCTTCTTTTAGAGACAGATGTTTTTATTCCTATTTTACAGATAAGGAAATTGATACCAAGGTCTCACAGTGAATAGAACAAATATTAGGACTTATCTATTAAATTGCTTTAAATATTTGCTTAAATGTCTGGTTCTCCCTCTGCTCAAAATTCAGTAATGGCAGGGATCTTCTTCAAGTTATTTTGGCTTACTCTTTTCAGTAATAAGAACTTACACAACTAGAGGAATACAGTGATTTTAGATTTATGATTTTTTTTTTTCAGAAGTTGTAACAAGAGGGTGTAAAAGATCTCCTAAATTTCTGAATCTATATCTTGGGCATCCCTGGGACAGATAATCTTCTAGGTCTTTGATGAATCTTGGGTTCTGCTACTTGGCCTAAAATTTATTTCTAGCTAATATAAATGCTGATTATATATAAATGCTGATTATATATAAATGCTACAGTCTACATATAAATGCTTTCAGATTGACAGGCATATTATTTGCATATACCTTTACATCATAATCTTCTCTAACCCTCATCAGGTGGACAGATATAGATAAAGCAAGTAATTTCCATTTTAGACACAAATCATTTAACAGAAAGTAGTAGAACAAGGTTTAAAAGCAGGCTTCCCAGGGTATCTCTTTTTTTTTCCCCACTTTGTCATGGCTGGGTGACTTTAGATAGGGTTTAAAGTTTAAAATACAGTTGGCCCTTGAACAGTGTAGGGGTAAGGGGCACAGATCCTCAGTGAAGCCAGAAATTTGCATATAACTTTTGACTCCCCCAAAACTTAACTGCCTATAGCCTACTATTGACCAGAAGCCTTACCGAGAACATAAACTGTTGCTTAACATGTATATTTTATGTTGTATGTGTAGTAGTATACTGTATTCCTACAATAAGGTAAGCTAGAGAAAAGAATATGTTATTAAGAAAACCATAAGAAAAAATATACTTACTGTTCATTAATTGGAAGTGGATCATCATAAAAGTCTTCATCCTCGTTATCTTCACATTGAGCAGACCAAAGAGGAGAAGGAAAAGGAGGAGTTTGTCTTGCTGTCTCAGGAGTAGCAGAGGCAGAGAGGTGGAGGAGGTAGAAGTAGTAGAGGTGGGCACACTGGTGTAACTTTACAAAAACACATCTTGATTTCTGACTTTTTTGCTTCTTCATTTCTCTAAAAATGTTTTTATATGGTACCAATCCTCCTTTTATTTGCTTTAGTTTTGGTACTGTATCATAGAAGGGTTCACGTTGTAAAATAAATCAAAAGTAGTCTTGAATAATTGGAACGCTTTTGCCAGATTCTCTAATGTCAATTTGTTTTCTGACACCACTTCTTCTATGTCTTCTTTTTTTTTTTTTTGGATTCCATTTTTTAAAATCGGAGATCTGCTTCTTTACTTTCTTTCTTATTTATTATGATACTTTAAGTTCTATGGTACATGTGCATAGTGTGCAGGTTTGTTACATAGGTATACATGTGCCATGGTGGTTTGCTGCACCCATCAACTCGTCATTTACATTAGGTATTTTTTCCTAATGCTATCCCTCCCCCAGCCCCCGACCCTCCGACAGACCCGGGTATGTGATGTTCCCCACCATGTGTCCATGTGTTCATGTTGTTCAATTCCCACCTAGGAGTGAGAACATCTGGTGTTTGGTTTTCCAACCTTGTGATAGTTTTTTTAGAATGATGGTTTCCAGCTTTATACATGTCCCTGCAAAGGACATGAACTCATCCTTTTTTATGGCTACATAGTATTCCATGGTGTATATGTACCACATTTTCTTAATCCAGTCTATCATTGATGGACATTTGGGTTGGTTCCAAGTCTTTACTATTGTAAATAGTGCCACAATAAACATACATGTGCATTTGTCTTTATAGTAGCATGATTTATAATCCTTTGGGTATGTACCCAGTAATGGGATCGCTGGATCAAATGGTATTTCTAGTTCTAGATCCTTGAGGAATTGCCACACTGTCTTCCACAATGGTTGAACTGACTTACACTCTCACCAATAGTGTAAAAGTGTTCCTATTTCTCCACATCCTCTCCAGCATCTGTTGTTTCCTGACTTTTTAATGATCACCATTCTAACTGGCATGAGATGGTATCTCCTTGTGGTTTTGATTTGCATTTCTCTGATGACCAGGGATGATGAGCATTTTTTCATATGTCTGTTGGCTGTGTAAATGTCTTCTTTTGGGAAGTGCCTGTTCATATCCTTTGTCCACTTTTTGATCGGGTTGTTTTTTTTCTTATAAATTTGTTTAAGTTCTTTGTAGATTCTGGATATTAAGCCTTTGTCAGATGGGTAGATTGCAAGGATTTTCTCCCATTCTGTAGGTTGCCTGTTCACTCTGATGGTAGTTGCTTTTGCTGTGCAGAGGCTCTTTAGTTTATTTAGATCCCATGTGTCTATTTTGGCTTTCTTGCCATTGCTTTTGGTGTTTTAGTCATGAAGTGTTTGCCCATGCCTATGTCCTGAATGGTATTGCCTAGGTTTTCTTCTAGGGTTTTTATGGTGTTAGGTCTTACATTTAAATCTTTAATCCATCTTGAGTTAATTTTTGTATACGGTGTAAAGAAGGGATCTAGTTTCAGCTTTCTTCATATGGCTAGCCAGTTTTCCCAGCACCATTTATTAAATAGGGAATCCTTTCCCCATTTCTTGTTTTTGTCAGGTTTGTCAAAGATCAGATGGTTGTAGATGTGTGGTGTTATTTCTGAGGGCTCTGTTCTGTTCCATTGGTCTATATCTCTGTTTTGGTACCAGTACCATGCTGTTTTGGTTACTGTAGCCTTGTAGTGTAGTTTGAAGTCATGTAGCGTGATGCCTCCAGCTTTGTTCTTTTGGCTTAGGATTGTCTTGGCTATGCAGGCTCTTTTTTTGTTCCATATGAACTTTAAAGTAGTTTTTTCCAATTCTGTGAAGAAAGTCATTGGTAGCTTGATGGGGATAGCATTGAATCTATAAATTACCTTGGGTAGTATGGCCATTTTCACGGTATTGATTCTTCCTATCCATGAACATGGAATGTTCTTCCATTTGTTTGTGTCCTCTTTTATTTCGTTGAGCAGTGGTTTGTAGTTCTCCTTGAAGAGGTCCTTCACATCCCTTGTAAGTTGGATTCCTAGGTATTTTATTCTCTTTGTAGTAATTGTGAATGGGAGTTCACTCATGATTTGGCTGTTTGTCTGTTATTGGTGTATAAGAATGCTTGTGATTTTTGCACATTGATTTTGTATCCTGAGACTTCGCTGAAGTTGCGTATCAGCTTAAGGAGATTTTGAGCTGAGACAATGGGGTTTTCTAAATATACAATCATGTCATCTGAAAACAAGAGACAATTTGACTTCCCCTTTTCCTAATTGAATACCCTTTATTTCTTTCTCTTCTTGCCTGATTGCTCTAGCCTTCCAACACTGTGTTGAATAGGAGTGGTGAGAGACGGCATCATTGTCTTGTGCTGATTTTCAAAGGGAGTGCTTCCAGTTTTTGCCTATTCAGTATGATTTTGGCTATGGGTTTGTTATAAATAGCTCTTATTATTTTGAGATATGTTCCATCAATACCTAGTTTATTGAGAGTTTTTAGCATGACGGGGTGTTGAATTTTGTTGAAGGCCTTTTCTGCAGCTATTGAGAAAATCATGTGGTTTTTGTCATTTGTTCTGTTCATGTGATGGATTACGTTTATTGATTTGCATATGTTGAACCAGCCTTGCATCCCAGGGATGAAGCTGACTTGATCATGGTGGATAAGCTTTTTGATGTGCTGCTGGATTTGGTTTGCCAGTATTTTATTGAGGATTTTTGCATTGGTGTTCATCAGAGATATTGGCCTAAAATTCTCTTTTTTTGTTGTGTCTCTACCAGGCTTTGGTATCAGGATGATGCTAGCCTCATAAAATGAGTTAGGGAGGTTTCCCTCTTTTTCTATTGATTGAAATAGTTTTAGAAGGAATGGTACCAGCTCTTCTTTTTACCTCTGGTAGACTTTGGCTGTGCATCTGTCTGGTCCTGGGCTTTTTTTGGTTGGTAGGCTATTAAATATTGCCTCAATTTCAGAACCTGTTATTGGTCTATTCAGAGATTCACCTTCTTCCTGGTTTAGTCTTGGGAGGGTGTATGTGTCCAGGAATTTATCCATTTCTGCTAGATTTTCTAGTTTATTTGTGTAGAGGTGTTTATAGTATTCTCTGATGGTAGTTTGTATTTCTGGGGGATTGGCAGTGATATCCCCTTTATCATTTTTTATTGTGTCTATTTGATTCTTCTCTCTTTTCTTGTTTATTAGTCTTGCTAGCGGTCTATCTATTTTGTTGATCTTTTCAAAAAAACAGCTCCTGGTTTCACTGATTTTTTTGAAGGGTTTTTGTGTGTCTCCTTCAGTTCTGCTCTGATCTTAGTTATCTCTTGCCTTCTGCTAGCTTTCGAACATGTTTGCTCTTGCTTCTCTAGTTCTTTTAATTGTGATGTTAGGGTGTCAATTTTAGATCTTTCCTGCTTTCTCTTGTGAGTATTTAGTGCTATAAATTTCCCTCTACACACTGCTTTAAATGTGTCCCAGAGATTCTGGTACTTTGTGTCTTTGTTCTCATTGGTTTCAAAGAACATCTTTATTTCTGCCTTCATTTTGTTATTTACCCATTAGTCATTCAGGAGCAGGTTGTTCAGTTTCCATGTAGTTGTGCGGTTTTGAGTGAGTTTCTTAATCCTGAGTTCTAATTCAATTGCACTGTGATCTGAGGGACAGTTCGTTGTGATTTCTGTTCTTTTACATTTGCTGAGGAGTGTTTTACTACAATTATGTGGTCAGTTTTAAAATAAGTGTGATGTGATGCTGAGAAGAATGTATATTCTATTGATTTGGGGTGTGGAGTTCTGTAGATGTCTATTAGGTCTGCTTGGTCCAGAGCTGAGTTCAAGTCCTGGATATCTTTGTTAACCTTCTGTCTCTTTGATGTGTCTAATATTGACAGTGGGGTGTTAAAGTCTCCCGTTATTATTGTGCAGAAGTCTAAGTTTCTTTGTAGGTCTCTAAGGACTTGCTTTATGAATCTGGGTGTTCCTGTATTGGGTGCATATATATTTAGGATAGTCAGCTCTTCTTGTTGAATTGATCCCTTTACCATTATGTAGTAGCTGCCTTTGTCTCTTTTGATCTTTGTTGGTTTAAAGTCTGTTTTATCAGAGACTAGGATTGCAAACCCTGCTTTTTTTTTTTTTTTTTTTTTTTTTTTTTTTGCTTTCCGTTTGCTTGGTAGATCTTCCTCTTTCCCTTTATTTGGAGCCTATGTGCATCTTTGCATGTGAGCATGTGAGATGGGTTTCCTGAATACAGCACACTGATGGGTCTTGACTCTTTATCCAATTTGCCAGTCTGTGTCTTTTAATTGGAGCATTTAGCCCATTTACATTTAAGGTTAATATTGTTATGTTTTATTTTGATCCTGTCATTATCATGTTAGCTGGTTATTTTGCCTGTTAATTGATGCAGTTTCTTCCTAGCATCGATGTTCTTTACCATTTGGCATGTTTTGCAGTGGCTGGTACCGGTTGTTGCTTTCCATGTTTAGTGCTTCCTTCAGGAGTTCTTGTAAGGCAGGCCTTGTGGTGACAAAATCTCTCAGCATTTGCTTGTCTGTAAAGGATTTTATTTCTCCTTGGCTTATGAAGCTTAGTTTGGCTGGATATGAGATTCTGGGTTGAAAATTCTTTTCTTTAAGAATGTTGAATATTGGCCCCCACTCTCTTCTGGCTTGTAGGGTTTCTGCCGAGAGATCCGCTGTTAGTCTGATGGGCTTCCCTTTGTAGGTAACCCGACCTTTCTCTGTGGCTGCCCTTAACATTTTTTCCTTCATTTCAACCTTGGTGAATCTGACAATTATGTGTCTTGGGGTTGCTCTTCTTGAGGAATATCTTTGTGGTGTTATCTGTATTTCCTGAATTTGAATGCTGGCCTTCCTTGCTAGGTTAGGGAAGTTCTCCTAGATAATATCCTGACGAATGTTTTCTAACTTGGTTCCATTTTCCCCATCACTTTCTGGTACACCAGTCAAACATATATTTGGCCTTTTCATATAGTCCTATATTTCTTGGAGGCTTTGTTTGTTTCTTTTCACTCTTTTTTTATCTGATCTTTTCTTCTCGTTTTATTTCATTAATTTGATCTTCAATCACTGATATTCTTTCTTCCACTTGATCAAATCAGCTATTGAAGCTTGTGCATGCGTCACAAAGTTTTTGTGCCATGGTTTTCAGCTCCATCAGGTCATTTAAGGTCTTCTCTACATTTTATTCTAGTTAGCCATTTATCTAAGCTTTTTTCAAGGTTTTTAGCTTCCTTGCAATTGGTTAGAACATGCTCCTTTAGCTCAGAGAAGTTTGTTATTACCAACCTTGTGAAGCCTACTTCTATCAACTCATCAAACTCATTTTCCATCCAGTTTTTTTCCCTTGCTGGCAAGGAGCTGCAATCCTTTGGACGAGAAGAGGCGCTTTGTTTTTTTTTTCGAATTTTCAGCTTTTCTGCTCTGGTTTCTCCCCATCTTTGTGGTTTTATCTACCTTTGGTCTTCGATGTTGGTGACCTACAGAGGGGGTTTTGGTGTGGATGTCCCTTCTGTTTGTTAGTTTTCCTTCTAACAGTCAGACCCCTCAGCTACAGGTCTGTTGGAGTTTGCTTGAGGTCCACTCCAGACCCTGTTTGCCTGGGTATCACCACCAGAGGCTGCAGAACAGCAAATATTGCTGCCTGATCCTTCCTCTGGAAGCTTCATCCCAGAGGGGCACCCACCTGTTTGAGGTGTCTGTTGGCCCCTACTGGGAGGTGTTCCCCAGTCAGGCTACACGGGGGTCAGGGACCCACTTGAGGAGGCAGTCTGTCCGTTCTCGGAGTTCAGACGCTGTGCTGAGAGAACCACTGCTCTCTTCAGAGCTGTCAGACAAGGATGTTTAAGTCTGCAGAAGCTGTCTGCTGCTTTTTGTTCTACTACGTCCTTCCCCAAGAGGTGGAATTTATAGAGGGAATAGACCTTACTGAGCAGTTCAAGCTTACCGGCCTCTTTGTTTACACTTTGAGCTACTCAAGCCTCAGCAATGGTGGACACCCCTCCCCCGTCAAGCTGCAGCGTCACAGGTTGATCTCAGACTGCCGCACTAGCAGTGATCAAGGCTCTGTGGGCGTGGGACCCGCCGAGCCAGGCATGGGAGGGTATCTCCTGGTCTGCTGGTTGCTAAGACTGTGGGAAAAGCATATAGTATTTGATCAGGAGTGTACTGTTTCTCCAGGTAGAGTCTGTCACAGCTTCCCTTGGCTAGGAAAGGGAAATCCCCTGACCCCTTGTACTTCCTGGGTGAGGCAATGCCTCGCCCTGCTTCAGCTTGCCCTCTGTGGGCTGCACCCACTGTCCAACCAGTCCTAATGAGATGAACCAGGTACCTCAGTTGGAAATGCAGAAATCACCCGTCTTCTGCATCAGTTTCGCTGGGAGCTGCAGACCGGAGCTGTTCCTATTCAGCCGTCTTGGAAGTGACCCCCTCTTCTATGTCTTCTTTCTCATTGTCTGGTACTGGTTTGGAGGCACTCTTCTCCATCAAGTCATCTTCTGTTAATTCCTCTGGTGTGCTGTCTAATTGGGTTTTGAATTTCTCCAAGATCCATACCTTGCCACGCTTCATCCCCACCCTTTTTTCTGTATCCACTGTCTATTTCATTATTTCCTTGACTGGCACTGTTAAAAACCCTGTGAGGTCATGCAAAACATCTGGACACAGTTTTCTCAAATTTTATGAATTTGTTTTCTTGAGCTTGATGGTTTTCTTGGCTTTTTCAATAATAACTATGACATCTTTGATGGTATAATCCCTCCAAACTTTCATGATGTTCTCTGTTGGGATTCTCTTCCATAGTGTTGACAGTCTTCCACAGAATACCATGTGTAATGAGTCTTAAATGTCCTTATGATCTAGAGCCTGAATTAGAGCTGTCATGTTTGCGGGCAAGTGGACCACTTTGACACCTTCAGTGTGAAACTAATGGGGTTCTGAGTGGCCAGAGATGTTGTACAGTTATCACAAGAATTTTAAAAGACATTCCCTTACTGGCAAGGTACTTCCTGACTTCAGGGACAAAGCGTCAATGGGACCAATCCAGAAAAAGGATTCTCATTGTCCATGCCTTCTTGTTGTCTTGCCTTCTTCTTTTGGCCTTCTTTTTCCTTCAAGGTTTGAGGTTAGCAGCTTTATAGATAAGGGCAGTTCTGATGATAAACCCGACTGCATTTGCACAAAACAATAGAGTTAGTGTGTCCCTTCCTGCCTTAAATCCTGGTGTTCACTTTTTCTTACTAATAAATGTCCTCTGTAGCAGTTTTTTTTTTTTCTGGAATAGGACACTCTCATCTGCATTAAAACTCTGTTCAGGCAGATATTGTTTCTACTCAATTTTTTTCTTTTTCTTTTCTGTTTTGTTTTTTTTTTTTTCTTTGAGAGAGAGAGAGAAGGTCTCACTTTGTCACCCAGGCTGGGCTGGAGTACAGTGGCATGATCACGACTCACAATAGCCTCGACCTCCTAGGCTCAAGTGATCCTCCTGCCTCACCTCCCCAAGTAGCTGGGACTACAGGCACATACCATCGTGCCCAGCTAATTTCTGTATTTTTGGTTGAGACGGGGTTTCACCATGTTGTTCAGGCTGGTCTCAAACTCCTGAGCTCAAGCAGTCTGCCCACCTCAGCCTTTCAAAGTGCTAGGATTACAGACTGTCATGCCTGGCCAATTTTTTTTTTTTTTTCAAGCAGCATACATGGAAACTAATTATTTTCTTAATGGCATCTGGGAACTCATCTGCTGCCTCTTGGCTGACAAAAGCTGCAGCTTCTCTTGTGACATTTTTGAGGCCAAACCTCTTCCTGAAAGTATCAAAGCATCCTTTACTGCCATTAAATTTTCCAGGTTTAGATCCTTTGCCTTCCTTTTGCTTTAAGTTGTCATATATGGACTTCACTTTTTCTCAAATCATGTTAGAGTCTGTATGTATGCTTTCTTGTAACAGCCATGCACCCACAAAAATTGCATTTTGATACAAGATTAAAAGGTATTCGCAAAAAGTACAAGGTTTTTGTGTCTGCTGGTGTATCTGCAGCAATGGCTTCATGATTTTCCTTTTCTTTTTTTATAATTGCCCTTAAGTTTGATTCATTTATCTTGAAATGCTAAGCAACCACAGCTGTAGACCTCAATCTGGGGTTCATATCAAGCAATTCAACTTTATCTTGTAGTGTTATGACTTTCTTGTACTTGAGAGTACTTCCAGCATCACTGGTGGCACTTTGAATGAGTCTCACAATGTATTCAAGGTTTACAGTATTGCATAAAACATGATGGAAAATACACAAGAACCATGAGAGATTACTTCCTACTCTTATATGCAATTTAGTGGAGAGAGAACTGCTCAAACAGCATTTTAAGTGGATAGTAACAACACTAGAGCTAACTGCAGTATCAACAGAGGGTGGCTATAAAATTGTTACAGTAATACAGTATTACACTTAAATTTATTGTTATGATTTAGTACTATTAGGTTGGCAAAAACTGCAATTACATTTGCACCAACCTAATATATCTTTCCATTTCTTTATATTTCTCTTGACTGTGAATGGCACTATGTATGTTTTTGTTTTGTGTGTAAATTTTGATAAATTTTAACTTTTTATAATTTCTGTATATTTTGTGGTAGTAAATGATAAAATAGTCTAGTATTTACATAGATTTTATGCATTCATATCTTTAAAATATACTTTAAAATTTTTAGTATTTTTAGGCTATGTGGTTCATCTGCAAGTTTTTTCAAATTGTCTCAAATCTCCAAAATTTTCAATGTATTTATTGAAAAAAATCCACATGTAAGTGGACTATTACAGTTAAACGATTTTGTTCAAGGGTCAACTGTAATTCCAAATAAATTCCAAATTCAACAGGTCACCAGTTGTAATATTACATTGTTCATTATTTATCTCTGATCACAAAGTATCTGAGGGCAAATATCATGCTAGATTTCTACTGCTTGCAAAGATAAAAACTCAGTGCTCTGGATGTTAAATTTTATGATATATGTGTCATTTTTGCTTAGGTAAATATGCTGAAGATATATTTGGAGAATTATTCAATGAAGCACATAGTTTTTCCTTCAGAGTCAACTCATTGCAAGAACGTGTGGACCGTTTATCTGTTAGTGTTACACAGCTTGATCCAAAGGAAGAAGAATGTAAGCTTATTAATATTGTATTTTCTTCTACGTATATATTTTAAGTTAGATGAGATGAATGATATACTTAACAGTATTAATCATGAATTTATTACAGATCATACCCATGTCCTTTGGTGTACATATTGTAATAAATCAGTGAATTATCTAAAAATGCCATCAGTATGATTCTCCGGGCTTTTCTTTTCTACTCTGTTTTAAATCTCTTCTTTTTGTACACTAAACAGCTCCTAATTTTTTTGCATAAAGAAGTCATTTTAACCAGACATTTTCCTCCATTCTCTTCATTATCTTTCTCTTTTCATTTCTCCCTTATAATTTATTTGTATACTTTTGTCTTAGAAATAAAAATTATTAGAAAATTACCTGAAATCTTTAGGTTTGATTCTACAAGAATGTAACTGGTTTTTTTTTTGTTTTTTTTTTTTTTTGAGACAGACACTCTGTCACTAGGCTGGAGTGCAGTGGCGCAATCTCGGCTCACTGCAACCTCCACCTCCCAGGTTCAAGCAATTCTCCTGCCTCAGCCTCCTGAGTAGCTGGGATTACAGGTGTCTGCCACCACGCCTGGCTAATTTTTTTATTTTTAGTAGAGATGGGGTTTCACCATGTTGGTCCGGCTGGTCTCGAACTCCTGACCTTGTGATCTGCCCACCTCGGCCTCCCAAAGTGTTGGGATTATAGGCATGAGCCACTACACCTGGCTATGTAACTGCTTTTAATATGCTTTTGTATGTGCATATTGCTAAAGTCTTATTAGTTATTTAACTGAATGCAACTTCCTACTTTAAATGAACATTTCAAAAACAAATTGCCAGTATGTAGGGTGTAAACATTCTATACCAAGATATTAAATCAGGAATAATCAGATAGGCTAAAATAATTGTAGAAACTTCGGTGGTAAAATCATGTTTTATGCCTTGATAGAATACATTGAATGCCGACGTTTCCCAAATGCATCTTTTTGTTTGTTTCACAAAAAGAAATGCAATACTAAGAACATAATTTGCACTTACCTACCACAGAGAATTGTTTAATGGAATTTCTTACACTCTCTTCAAAATATTTTTGTTGCATTAAATAGTATAAACACAAATTATATGATAGATCTAATTTTTAGTATAAATGCAAATTATATAATAGATCTAAACTTTAACAATAAAAATACTAAAGGATGTCAGTGGAAAGAACAAAAATATAATGTAATGATAGATGTCTTAGTGATGGAACCAGCTACTTTTGAAATAATCCAATGTGTAAATAAGGAGAGGCAAATACTTGGCATACTAGATTTGTACCACTTGTAAAATGTAAACTCAGAGCTCTGGATACAAGAAGAAAAGGAAATAATACTTAAAAAATAGCTTTATTAAGATATATTTCACAACCTACGTATACCTTGCAGTTCACCCATTTAAAGTTGAAGTGTACAATTCAGTGTTTTTTAGTATATTCAAGTTATGCAACCGTCACCACAATCAATTTTAGAGTATTTGTATCACTCCAGAAAGAAGCCCTGTACTCATTAGCAGTCACTCTGTTTCCCCTTCAGCTCAACCCCT
The DNA here is from genome assembly GCF_000001405.40 of Homo sapiens. Taxonomy (NCBI): domain Eukaryota; kingdom Metazoa; phylum Chordata; class Mammalia; order Primates; family Hominidae; genus Homo; species Homo sapiens. Next base: position 110,111,763 of record NC_000006.12, on the reverse strand, counting down.
AGCAATCACTGATCTTTCTGTCTGTATGGATTTGCCTCTATGGATTTGTCTGTATGGATCTGTCTGTATGGATATTTCATATGAATGAATAGTACAGTATGTGGTCTTTTGTGACTGGCTTCTTTTAGCATAATGTTTTCAAGGTTCATTCATATAGCATGTATTTATATCTCCCTGATGGCTAATGATGTTGAGTATGTTTTCATGTGCTTACAGGCCATTTGAATATCTCCTTTGGAGAAATGTCTATTTAATTCCTTAGCCCATTTATAATTTGTATTATTCGTGTTTTTATTTTTGACTTGTTGGAATTCTGTGTATATTCTGGATCTAAATCCTTTATCAAATATATGATTTGCAAATATTTTCTCCCCTTCTTTAGGTTGTCTTTCTTGGTGGTATCCTTTGAAACATGTGCATGTATCAATACATTAATTACACCTCATGGAATTCTTGAAATAAAATCATTGTTAGTGGTGAAAAATATTTTATGGTCATGCTTTCAAATACATAATTTATAGCCAAAATTTGTTTTTCAGATAACTCAACTGCTTATCACTTAAATATAAATTTATGCCATCAAATAATAGAGAAATACACAGGCAGTTCTCATATGTAACAGAAATAAAAATCAACATTTAGTTTCAAAATATTGTTACATTTTAACAAATGTCTTAGAGCCACCATTAAACTTGAAAGTGAAAATACAGATAACAGTAAATAAATTAAGATGTTTGTGTTAAAAAACAAATTTTAATATGTCAACAGCTATACTGTCAGAATTATACCTAGTTTCCTTTAAAATTTTGTGGAGCAGTGGGGGAAGAATTCAGAATCTAAAAGCTGAACTACTTAATTTGAAATTGTTTTGGAGAGGTTGTATTGAAGGAGTTTTCAGTTATTTAACCTAGGTTTTTTAATTCAGTGGGAATTAAAAAAAAAACATCATGTGTACAGTACTAAATAGCACAGTGTGGTATCAGTTTTTTTAACCGTTTTGTAGTAACTAAAAACTATCAATTTTGAAAATATTTTTTAAATGAATTTTAAACAAAGACTTGTACAATTATATTTAAGTCAATTATGTTTATAAGCATTATGCTAATTTATTGCTTTATAATTCTATTTTATTAATATCAGATGTTATTGTTGGCAAGTGGAAGGAGCTTCACCACAATAGTCTGTTAATAATAAGACAAACGATAAATGAGAGGAGTTGAAGATAGAAAAGTACATCATGCTTATTAGTTTACATGTTTCTTACATCCTTTACCAAGGAAGTTTGGCGAGATTAAACACTAGGTTTCATCTTAATTACATACTTATTGATTAATAAGTGGGGCAGGAGAGTGGCAAGAATTGATCCACTTTGACTGCAGAAAACACAACCCACTTCTGGCAGGAGCCTGAGAACAGCGTGTGGTATTGTGGCAAAAAGATTAGCCTCAAAGGTAGACAGATCTGACTTTTCTGTTCTGGCTCTGCTGTTTATTAACTGTTTAACCTCAGGTCAGTTATATACTATTTCCTAGCCTTAGCTTTCTTATATTTCACAATGGAGTAATAATTCCTGTCTTACTGAATTGTAAAGATTAAATGAAATGAAATTTAGTGAAACCATCTAGCACATATAGTATGTACTCATTAAATACTGTATCTCCAGTGCCACTTTTTAGTGATAGTGGGGAAAAACTTTTTGCTTCTCTGAATTTTATTTTAGTATTTATAAGTGTGTTACAGGTCATGCAGCAGTGGAATTGCTAGAAATGGAATTATGGTGCCACCATTGCAGAGCCAGCCTATTGTACCTTCTGTGCCATTGGTCCCATGTTCATGTTGAGTGAATTTACTTGAGGGGATGACAGGAATATTATTTTAAGGAGAAGGATAACTTAAGAATTGTTGGCTGGATGTGGTGGCTCACACCTGTAATCCCATCACTTTGGGAGGCTGAGGCGGGCAGATCATGAGGTCAGGAGTTCAAGACCAGCCTGGCCAACATAGTGAACCCTCATCTCTACTAAAAATTTAAAAAAAAAAAAAAATTAGTCGGCCATGGTGGCAGGTGCCTGTAGTCCCAGCTACTTGGGAAGCTGAGGCAGGAGAATTGCTTGAACCCGGGAGGAAGAGGTTGCAGTGAGCCGAGATCGTGCCACTGCACTCCAGCCTGGGTGACACAGCGAGACTCTGTCTCAAAAAAAAAAAAAAAAAGAATTGTTAGGATTGTTATACTGACCTTGCTATGTTATAGGGCATTTGTCTGTATACTTAAGGCCATATTAAATATCAAGAAATTACCTTATTTTTTAATATCGGGATATCAGTGTAAGAATTAAGAATGCAGCATTTTTGTATGTTTTTTATTTTAACATGCTGCACAGTTCAAAATAAATGAAGTTGTTTTTAAATCATGTATGTGATGGGGCTGTGCTAGTGACTGGGAATACTAATGTACAAGATAGTCTGAGTCTTCAAGAGCTTATAGTTAGGTAGAAATCCTTATAGTACAGATAAAAGATAAGTGAAAAAGAGAATAATATAGATCACCTAATACTTAAAAGTATTTCCTTTACAGTAAAGTTTGTTTTAACTTGAGAGTACACATACAATATTTATAGTATATGTAGCATAGAGGTTAACAGCGTGTTTAGCCCACAGTGCCACTAATAAGTAATTCCTTTCAGAGTTACTGGTGTAAGCTAAAAAAAGGAATAAAGGGAGATGGAAAAGAAGATTATAGGAGAAGAGAACCTAAGTTGGTGGGGGCCCATGATGGCAGGTAGAAGAAAGAAAAAGGTATATTTGGTTGAAATGTAGATATGTTTCAGGTGTCATTAGGGCCCTCTGAGCCTTCAAAATCAAAGGTTAATTAAAACCTATCTGATTGGGAAAATTAGGCGCAGAATGATATGGGTAAATATAATGATAGAACATTTAAAATATGGTTTCTGATTCATAAGCCACTAAGGTCACAACCTCTTGAGCCATGCTGACTTTTAGACAAATAAAGTATGTGAATTTGCCCTTATGTTAAATCATCTTAGTAAAATAAAATAAAATGAATTCTTGATTTTTGTTTTAGTGTCTTTGCAAGATATAACAATGAGGAAAGCTTTCCGAAGTTCTACAATTCAAGACCAGCAGCTTTTCGATCGCAAGACTTTGCCTATTCCATTACAGGAGACGTACGATGTTTGTGAACAGCCTCCACCTCTCAATATACTCACTCCTTATAGGTAGGTAGGTTAATAAATAGTAGCCCTATTATTTATCTCAGACTTCAGATTGAAATGCTAAATCCCCAAACATTCTTTATTTCATTGGGGTTCTAGCCAACACAGAGAGCCCTCTCTGTCCACCACCTTTGGAAAACCTTTGCTTTTATTCATTGGATGAATTCTTAAGATTGTGGCATACAAAAGACAAGACCTATTTAAAAGAGTTGTTTTTACAAGTTTAGAAAAGCCACTGGTAAACTTATTAATGTAAAGAGATAAGGAGTTATTATTGTCCTTTTAATTTAATTTTTAATCAAATGGAAAAAGCTCAAAATTCTGTCCTACTAACAAAATAAACATAATTTTTGCTTGTTTTGTCTACTCTTTTTTTTTTTTTTTTTTTTTTTTGAGGCGGAGTCTCACTTTGTCACCTAGGCTTACTGCAAGCTCTGCCTCCCAGGTTCATGTCATTTTCCTGCCTCAGCCTACCGAGTAGCTGGGACTACAGGCGCCTGCCACCAAGCCCGGCTAAATTTTTATATTTTTAGTAGAGATGGGGTTTCACTGTATTAGCCAGGATGGTCTCGATCTGACCTCGTGATCCACCCGCCTTGGCCTCTCAAAGTGCTGGGATTACAGGCGTGAGCCACTGCGCCCGGCCTGTTTCGTCTACTCTTGATTTGATTTGTATACATTAACTTCTTACATAATGAATAGGTAGTACCTTTATAAAATGCTTTTTACCACTTAGAATAAAATCTGGAATTATTTAGCCTTTCTTTGAAGTTCTTTCACATGGTTTGTTAAATGGGTAATGTACAACACAACCTGAATAAAATAGTATTCAGAGAGTTATTTGAAATTGTAAGTCAGTGTGCAGATAATTAGATATAAATGTGACTGTTAGAATGACTATTACATGATATCTTTTGGATTTAGTAAGATAATAAATAAATCATAGTATTGGCAGAAACTGCAAAATTTCTGTCTTCTAGATGATGTTACTGTCTTTTCAGGCTTTTATCTTTGGCAGAGCTATTTGTAATTATTGGAATTGCCCAAAGGACTTTTTAGAAAATTTGGGATTCAGCAGAAATTAGGGATGAAAATTGCCCAGCTATACTTTAAATTGTTAGTACTAACTTGGAAAAGCATCTGCTTTACCACTTTTCTTTGTTTCCTCATATTTGTGAGAAATTTTCTATTGGTGCAATATTCAGTTTTATTTTGGCACTATTTTAACATGCTGTATTTTATTAATGTAAGAGGATAAACATTTTAGTGAAATTATTTCTATTCTGATTGCCTAAGTCTTACTAATGTGTGTTTTAATTGATATTTTATATTTCAGAGATGATGGTAAAGAAGGTCTGAAGTTTTATACCAATCCTTCGTATTTCTTTGATCTATGGAAAGAAAAAATGTTGCAAGATACAGAGGATAAGAGGAAGGAAAAGAGGAAGCAGAAGGTATTACAAGAGATTAAAAAATTGAGGTTAATTTTTGTATATTTGTGTTTTGTTGCATATATTGAACTTCATTAATCTTGTATTTTGACAGTTTTATTTTATTGGGTCCATATAGTTAAATACTGAAGTCTTTATAACTCCACAGAAAGAACACAGTCTGATGGGGAGCAGATGAGCAATTAGATTATTAGAGTAGGGCATAATAAGTGCCATAGCAGAGGTATGCATAAAGGGTTTAGATAACACAAAATAGCATCTGCTTTAGCTAGCAGGCAGGGTAAACCCTTCCCACAAAGCTTATAATGAATCTTGAAGAACAGATAGGAGTTAGGTGTACCAAGGAAGAGAGGAACATTTTGGTAAGGAGCAATGGAATCTTGTACAGATATTGGTAACGTAGATTAAGCTAGTATTTTGTTGCTACAGAGCACATCCTAAACATTTCTCTCCTAAATGTTTTGGAGAGGTTATTATATTCACATGAAATTTCTGTTATTGTCATTTTCCACTTTCTAATAAAATTCACTTGTATCTGCTTTATATTTCATGTTAATGATAACTGAAAACACAGAAGGATGAAGCAAAGTTAGATTTAGGTTGAATTATGAAGGAGGCAAATTCTGTCTTTATCATCTCTCTGGTTCTCCTGTAGCTATCTCTGCTTTCCCTAATCCCTGTATAATGCCATTGTATTGTCTTCTTTGCTAGATGGTAACCCAGTGTTCTAGCTAACATTTGCAAATTGGTGACTGGCAAGCCAGATTATGCCTGTAGGGAGTGTTTTGTTTGCCAAACACAGAGGTTTTTAAATTTTGGAACTAGAGTGCCTGAGATGGACATGTCTGTCTAGCTCACCTCATGCCCCATCTTACACCCGACTGGCTTCATTCATGTATGTTATCCGCTTGGCCGCTTTGGGCGTTTGAATTTGTTACACTTACTCTAGCCCTTTCTGTACTTTCTCCCCCAGTTTTGAATCACTTTTTGTTTTATTGTTTAAAGACAATGTTTTCTGTTGAGTGATATAGTTATTATCGGTTAATTAGATAATTGGATTTTTTTCTAATGTGTTGGCTAGCTAATCAGTTACTTCCCAGATAACATAACCTTAGTAAATTGTTACGTTTTGATTAGGGGCAGACAATGCCATTCATCGTAGAAATTTCAAACTAATGCCTGTGGAGCAAGGGTTCATGAGTCTTTTTTCATCTGAAAGACTTTCTGACCTCAAATTGTATTCTTTAGGCATACTGTTTTGTGTCTGGTGCATCAGTTCAAATTAGGGGTTAAACAAAACATGGCAGGAAACTGGGATTACAGCAGACTGGCTAAGATTTAACTGAATGTACAAGTAAACCATTTCTGTGTTACTTTTACTATATTATGATGACATTGTCTTTTTCAGTGTTGATGTTAGAGTTTAATTTGATTGTTATAACCTCCTTTTTAAAAATTAGCGCTTAAGCATTTGACTTTGTTTCAATACATCTGTTATAGCAGAAAAATCTAGATCGTCCTCATGAACCAGAAAAAGTGCCAAGAGCACCTCATGACAGGCGGCGAGAATGGCAGAAGCTGGCCCAAGGTCCAGAGCTGGCTGAAGATGATGCTAATCTCTTACATAAGCATATTGAAGTTGCTAATGGCCCAGCCTCTCATTTTGAAACAAGGTTTCTTTACTTTTGTTTTTTTTTTTAAATGATAAAACATTGGCTTTATTTGTAGTATCTGTACTTCTAAGTCTTGAGTCCTAAACTGTTGAACAGGCAGACCCTGTTATAAATATAGAGATTATTTCAAAATCCTGACCACTGTGAGCCTACTAAAGTCAGGCCTTGAGCAGGTCATTTTCATACCTGGACCTTAGTTTTGTCATCTTAGAAAGAAGTGGTTGGAGTGGCTGATCTTTAGGGTTTTAGCTTTAGTGTGACGTCTCAATAGCCTCTCGATATTTCAGGCACAGTCTGCTAGAATTTTGTAATAAAAGTTTAGGGTCTGGGGTTTTTTTGAAATACTGTTGATTTATTGCATATAAAATAGGAGTGAAGAAGGGGTTCTGTTTTGTTCCTTTTACTTTCCCCTGACTTCCTTTCTTTGCCACATTGCCCACCTCAGATATATTAGGACTTTCAAACAAAAGTATTGATCCCTTTTGTAGAAAAGATTTTTTCCTTTCTTAGTGGCCAGGGGCCCTAACTAAATAACATACTACCAGCAAACACATTAAACTGGCATCTGTCTACGAAGACACTTATTTGGGTATAGTCATACGTTTGTTTGTTTGTTTTGAGACAGAATCTTGCTCTATCGCCCAGGGTGGAGTGCAGTGGTGTGCTCTCAGCTCACTGCAACCTCTGCCTCCTGGGTTCAAGCGATTCTCCCACCTCAGCCTCCCAAGTAGCTGGGATTACAGGCACACGCCACCACGCCCAGCTAATTTTTGTATTTTTAGTAGAGATGGGGTCTCACCATGTTGGCCGGGCTGATCTTGAACTCATGACCTCAAGTGATCTGCCTGTCTCAGCCTCCCAAAGTGCTGGGATTGCATGTGTGAGCCACTGTGCCCAGCCTAGTCATATGATTTTTTAATGGAAAAGAGCTTAAGGTTTTCTTTTAAGTAATATACATATAAATGATTGGGCCATAAGTGTGCAACATCTTGACCTATTTTAGGAGAAATATACATCTGAGAGATACTATTTATCTGTATTACTGAAAGAATTGACATTAAAAAATTAATAAACTTTAGACATTTATTTCTACTACAGTTGAGTAATTAAGGTACTTATCTGACTCACTAAATACAATAATTTCTGACTTGCTGTGTGCACATCTGTTAAATCCAACTTTTTCCCAAGAATGTACTAGCAAATATTTATAAATCTTAACATGTTCGAGTTATCTAAAATTTTGCTTACATCTAAGTCACATGTTGCTATGTTACTCAGCTATTTTCTGAGTACCCTTGCACCTTTGAAAACAGCAGAAGGACAGAAACAATATAGCTAGCCACCTCTGTGCTGCTAGTATCTGGGAGGCCTTTCTCTCTGGTGCAAGACTTTTAGAAGTCATTTAAGTTTAAGAGCACACCGAGATATACTAGTAGTAGAAAACTCATTTTCCTATTCTACCTTTCTGTCATTGGCATCTTCTTGTAAAGAACTAAATAGAGGCAGATAGCTTTCCACACAATTTGCTAAAAGTTAATTATTTTCTTGTTTATTAAATTACGTACGTAATGCTTTTCATCCTGTGAGTTGAATTAGTATTCTGTTATAAAATAATAAAATAACCGATGGTCATCATAGTAGATCTCTAAATCAACAAGTAAGGGTTATATTGTGAGCAGCATTCTTTGTTTTAAAAGCAGGATTAATATAATACATTTCTGAAAGTTTCTTAAAAATAGTTAAAATATTGGCATTGAAAGGATAAACTTTAAATATTTAATATCTCATGTAGAACCCTTTCCTCCCAATAATTCAAGAATAATTCACTGATACTATATATTTCTTTTAGACCTCAGACATACGTGGATCATATGGATGGATCTTACTCACTTTCTGCCTTGCCATTTAGTCAGATGAGTGAGCTTCTGACTAGAGCTGAGGAAAGGGTATTAGTCAGACCACATGAACCACCTCCACCTCCACCAATGCATGGAGCAGGAGATGCAAAACCGATACCCACCTGTATCAGGTATGTTGGAACAAGCATATGATGTTTTATCTTAGGAGTCAGTAAGCTTTTTCTTTCAAGGACGATATAGTAAGTATTTTTGGCTTTCGGGCCTTACAGTTTTTGTCACAAGTACTCAATTCTGCCATTGTTGCATGAAAGCCACCATAGAATATACATAAACAAATGAATGTGTCTGTGTTGAAATAAACTCTATTTATAAAAACAGGGAGCAGGTCAGATTTGGTCTGTGGGACATTATTTGTAATCTTCTGGTTAGAGCTGACACACTCTCCTAGGAAAATTTAGCTAATAAGAATTTAAAGATTAAAGCCTGTTTCATTTTATTATAGTGTTGTTATCAAGCATATCATGTGCAGTGTATTAAGAAAAATTAAGGATTTTTTGGAATGTGGGTAACAGTCTAAGAAATGGGAACCAAAGATGTGATTATTAATACTAATTTGGTATTAAGGAAAATACTTAAAGAATTTCAGAGAGGATTGGCAGTTGCTTATAATAATCTTTCAGTAAAGCTATTTTGAAGTTTAATCTTGTCAGTTATTATCCAAATGATAAATTTCTAATAGAGAAATATTAGGGAAATTTTCTAATAGAGATATAGAGATCAGCTTTACAATTTTCAGTTAAAAATCCAATTTTCTATCACTGACTCATTTGGTGTTCCATCCTCAGGAAAAGAGAGAGCTGTAAATTTCTTTTTGTGGTTTGTAATTAGCTGTCATTGATTTAACTGAAATAGCATATGATGAGACTTCATAGTTTCAGTATAAATATAGCATTGTATTGGCCACATGTATTGCCACAAAATTGCATTATGATCAATGTTGAGTCATTATAGAGACTCCTGTCAGTATAGAATTGAGCATTTTATTTATTAAAGTAAGCATAAAATATCTGAGTGGATGCCAAAGTTGCATGAGAGAATGAGACTATTTAGACTATTACAAACCAAAGCACCACTCATTAATTTTTTTATTGATGTGCTTTTAGTTCTTTTTTTTTTTCTAAATACTGTTGAAGATGTTAAATTTCTATAGGAGCATGTTATTGGATCCATTTTGATATAATTACTGATAGTCATTTATAGTTTGTGTGGTTAGATTTTCTCTTTAGGCTTTTCTCTTTTAATAACTTGCTAGAATCTCTTTGTCATTTCAGTTCTGCTACAGGTTTGATAGAAAATCGCCCTCAGTCACCAGCTACAGGCAGAACACCTGTGTTTGTGAGCCCCACTCCCCCACCTCCTCCACCACCTCTTCCATCTGCCTTGTCAACTTCCTCATTAAGAGCTTCAATGACTTCAACTCCTCCCCCTCCAGTACCTCCCCCACCTCCACCTCCAGCCACTGCTTTGCAAGCTCCAGCAGTACCACCACCTCCAGCTCCTCTTCAGATTGCCCCTGGAGTTCTTCACCCAGCTCCTCCTCCAATTGCACCTCCTCTAGTACAGCCCTCTCCACCAGTAGCTAGAGCTGCCCCAGTATGTGAGACTGTACCAGTTCATCCACTCCCACAAGGTGAAGTTCAGGGGCTGCCTCCACCCCCACCACCGCCTCCTCTGCCTCCACCTGGCATTCGACCATCATCACCTGTCACAGTTACAGCTCTTGCTCATCCTCCCTCTGGGCTACATCCAACTCCATCTACTGCCCCAGGTCCCCATGTTCCATTAATGCCTCCATCTCCTCCATCACAAGTTATACCTGCTTCTGAGCCAAAGCGCCATCCATCAACCCTACCTGTAATCAGTGATGCCAGGAGTGTGCTACTGGAAGCAATACGAAAAGGTAATTTTCTCAGCTCCATGAAAAGCATTGCTATAGTAGCATTGGAAACTTTCTAAATATTTAAGACAAAAATGTGTTCCTTATCTATAAAATTTTAGGTGATCATGTTTGTGTACAAATGGCCTTTAGAAAGTAAAGCTATATCCAACTTATATTTAAAATTATTTTCCAGAAAATATATCACATTTGACCATTTTATTTTCATGCTTTGTAGGTATCCTTAAAATGTTTATTGAGTGAATGAGAAATTTAATATATCAGACTTAAATGTTATAGAACATTTAATTAAAACCCTTTATATTATGCTTAATGTGTATATTAACTCCTTTAAAAATGGTATTTTCTTCAATGTTAAGGCTGTTCATTTTGGGTATCCATGACACTTGCTCTACCAGATGCCTTTAGAGGAGTGAGTTTCCTCCCTTAGTAACAAAGGAAAGACTTCTCATATTCATTCATTTATTGTCATTATTTCCTAAGCAATGACTATAGGCCAGGCACTGAGCATATAGAATGAATAATAGTGCCTTTCCCTCAAATACAATGGATAATGAAGCCACAGAAAATATATTCAACAATGTTTAATTTATTTGACCATTGAGGTGATAGAAGAAATGTACCACCTCATTAATTTTTTAGGGGGTGGTGAGCAGGGAGGTATAGTAGACCATGATGGATAAATAAACTGTAGATACCTACTGGGATATCTGGTAAGTTTTACCAACTAATAACACAGATAACATAAAGATTTAATGCCTCTCTCAGTATGATTTCTTCACATTCTTTTCTGATCTTTTTATTTTCCTATAAGTATTTCTCATGTGTATTTGATTTTATTCCAGAAATATTAATAATATCTAGTATCTAGTATTTTGATTTAAATGAATGGTTTGGATTCACTGTATCAGGTATTCAGCTACGCAAAGTAGAAGAGCAGCGTGAACAGGAAGCTAAGCATGAACGCATTGAAAACGATGTTGCCACCATCCTGTCTCGCCGTATTGCTGTTGAATATAGTGATTCGGAAGATGATTCAGAATTTGATGAAGTAGATTGGTTGGAGTAAGAAAAATGCATTGATAAATATTACAAAACTGAATGCAAATGTCCTTTGTGGTGCTTGTTCCTTGAAAATGTTTGGTCATTCTAGTGTTTTGCTTTCTTTTCCTTATAATAAATGACCCTTTTCCTCCATAACTTTTGATTTCTAAGGAAAATATTAGCATACATTTCAAACTAAATGTTTTACAGTGGCTTATCTTTTTTTTCCCCCTGAAAAGACTAATTTGGTCAAATAAACCACTAAGTATTAAGCATGGACAGCTGTTGTTAGAGTAGCAGATTCAGTTTTTTGATATATCTTAATTGTGTACTTTGTGAATTTTAATTTAAAGAAAGCAACTGAAATTGAAATCTTGAGGGCAGCTGTGTCTACTAATGAGCCTTATTCCATTTCCTGATGTTTTAAAAGAAGAAACACTGCCTTGATTATACGAATACACTCAGAAAGTACATTTAGCTTGTAGTGTTGAATTCTCTTAAAGGAATGCTTGAATTTTTTCATTATTGTTTTATTGTTTTTATATACTTGCCTTATTTGAATGTTTAGCAGTATCCCCTTCCCACTTATATATTGTGTGATATGATTTTGCTTGCCTATAGGAGTTAAAAACTTTTCCATGTGAAATACTCTGACTTAAACATACATGTAACTTACATAACTGTTAAGAATAACAGTCTGATTTAATAAATGGTTCATTTTAAAAGTTCATCAGTGTTGCTCTTTGAATAAAATGATTTATCATAATTTATCAAATACTGTATGGTAGGCTTTAAATAGTGAATGAAAATTTGAAAAACACTTAGGCTACATAATTTCCTCTTAATTGCACAGCTTCATATTGTCTACTGTGTAAGGTAGCTTTTATGTCATTTTCCCCCTAAGTTCATAAACTCTGTATTTCTCAACTGCTTGTGGTTTTAAATTAAAACCTCAACTTGTCATCTAATTTCAGCATACCTTAATTTCAGTTTAACAGTGTTCTTGAAATTATGTTTTGCAGCCAGGCATGGTGGCTCATGCCTGTAATCCTAACACTTTGGGAGGCTGAGGCTGGTGGATCACTTGAGCCTGGGAGTTTGAGACCAGCCCAGGCAACATGGCGAGAACCCCGTCTCTACAAAAAAAATACAAAAATTAGCCGGGCGTGGTGGGGTGTGCCTTTAGTCCCAGCTACTTGGGAGGCTGGGGTGGGAGGATCACTTGAGCCTGGGGAGGTTGAGGCTGCAGTGAGCTGAGATCATGCCACTGCATTCCAGCCTGGGCAGAGTGAGACCCTGTCTGGAAAAAAAAAAAAAAAGAAAAAGAAAAATTCTATTTTGCAATGATAAAATGAGTTAATGTTTGCACAGCTTAGATTTAGGGGTGGAGGGGAAGCACCATTAATAGCAGATTACTTCATCTGAAGAAACGACTCCATGAAGTTTGGGTAAGTTGATTGTAAAAGTGACTGTGGTCTTCAGCCTTGCCTATATCTACTCCTTTTGCAGTACAATTTCCAGTTCTTCCATCGAGAGGTGAGTTCTGTTCCATGTCCTTGAATCTGGGTGTCCCTGAAACTTGCTTTGGCTAATAATAGCATGTAGCAAAAGTGACATTGTGCCAGTTCTAAGCCTGGGTCTCAAGAAACCTTGCAAGCTTTAGCTTTCTCTCCCTCCATCTCCCTACCTCCCTCTCTCAAACCTGTCTCTGCCATGAGAATAATCCCAAGCTAGCCTGGCTGAAGATCAGAAACCTCATGGGGGAGAGGTATCTCACGTGAGACCGTCATAGACCAGCCAAGCCCAAACTCGCTTGCTGATGGTAGACAGATAAGCAAGCCTGGACAAGGTTCGCCTAGACTAGTCCAGCCCAGCCCAGTCCACTGATTCAAAATTCGTGAGCAAAAATAAATGCTTATTGTCTTACACCTAAGTTTTGAGCTGCCAGCATTATTGTGGCAATAGATAGTTGATATGTGAGGTCACTTAGTAACTTGATAATTTGGAGGAGGCTATTTAGGCAGATAACTAATGACCTGTAATCTTTATAGAATAGGAATAATGAACCAAGTTCTATTGTGGCAATTCAGTTTGGACATAAAAAAATTTTTCTGATAGCTTTAATAAAAGATTTGATTTGCTCTTTTGGGTAGCTTAGAAAGAACAAGAGATTAGAGAGCCATTTGAGGTTCCTTTCCAACCTCATGATAATGTATATTGTCAAATGTAACTCAAGAAAATATGTCACAGTTTAAAGTCTAAGTGTTCTTATGGTCAAAAGGAGGCAACTAGTATATATATTTTATAAAACTCAAATATATATATATATATTTGGGGCCAGATAACCAAAACATAATAGTACTGGTTTTGAAGCAGCTAAGGATGTTACAAAAGGAAATTGGTGAAGATTTCTTAATAATAGAAGTAGACATGTTAATCAGTAAAGCCCTGCAGTGTATATGCTCAGTAGCCTATGATAGACTTTTTTTGTTTTTCAGAATATTTTTGGAAGATGAAAAAGTGCCTGCAGACTAAATAAGCCAGATATGTAGTGTCCATTTTAAAATCAAAATAAATCTTTTAATCCAGATATTTAGCTTAACTTGCTTAGGGAATTTTGGAACAGAACATTCAGTGGCCAATTTTCATACCCTAAGAAGAATGAAAGTTACTGGGTAACAATTCAACCTTCTTGTTGAATTGATTTACTACTCATCAGGGTCATGCACAAGCATAGAATCAGAAAAAAAAAAATGCATTGTATACCACGGGGGAAACAATTGGCTTCACTTGTTTTGGTCGACATCACCCATTTACCTCTATATTATCAAATCCAGTGAATGCTTTTTAATCCTTAATTCACATATTCTGTGTTTATTCTACCTCCTCGAAGCTTTCAGTCTGTTGCCTTTGTTATGCTGATCCTTCTCCTTCTCCTCCTTCTCCTTCCCAGGAGAATGAGACAGGAGGAGAGGGAAATAACCTAGCAGCAGTGGTGTTTGGGATAAAATGCAATCATTATGGAGGAAAGGGAGTTTTTCTGTATCATTTCCTAATGAAGGATAGTCATAAGCTTCAGATTTATAAGACATTTTAAACCATCACCACTGCTTTTCATGACTTATAATCAATCTGGGCAGATGAGATGACTTCCAAATCATTTTCATGTTGTAAATATTTACTGAAAGATAATAATAATGTTCATTTAGGTTGTGTTCTATAAATCATGAAACGTCTTCCTCTATTTCCACTTTTAGAAAGCTCTGCCCCTTAACAACCATCTCACATCTGTATTTTCATGAAGTCTTCTCTAATTACAACTGGAGCTCATATTCCTTTTGAATTTCTTCTTTGTTTTTTTTAGATAGAGTCTCACTCTGAGCTGGAGTGACAGTAGGTCAGAGTCTCGCTCAGGCTGGAGTGCAGTGGCATGATCTTGGCTCACTGCAGGCTCCGCCTCCTGGGTTCAAGTTCCTTTTGAATTCCTGTAATTCTTTTATTATAAGCTTTTTTCAAGTGATACTCATACCATTTTGCATCACAGTTATTTCCTATTTGAGCTTGCCAAATAGATTTCTTGCCCAATAGCAAGGGTGTTGTCTTAAATACGCAGCTCACAATATCTCTTCACATAAACAGGTTCAGAAATACATTCTTTTTTGTTTGGTCCACTAGGCCTCTTAAAATTATTTCTTCCTAGGCACTGCTCCTGTTTAAAATTTCTTTCTCCACTAATCTCAGTAACATAGTTGATTTAAAACTAATCCTGATTTCATCAAAACTTTGTATGTGTGATTTTAATAAATGAAAAGTATGGGAATGATTCTTCTAACCAAAATGTGAAACTTATTAGTGTTTCTGAAGTCATTTCTTAAGACAGCAAAATTGATCATGTGTTTTAATTTCATGGGAATTCTCATGAATTACTTTCAAAACACAGCTTTAAGTTTGTCCTTAGCAAACATAACACTGCTGTTTATTTTTTCATTTTCACTCCACTATATATATCTTGACCCCAGCTTTTTTTTAAAACCACTTTTCCAAACTGAAGCAAATCTAAAATAAATTTAAAGCTCCTAAATAGTTCAAAAATTCCTTTTAGAATTCATTATTTCTGTAATATCTACTTAGGAAAAAAGTACAAATAAACCAATGCAAGATACTAATCATACAGTATCAGGATTTAAAGGATGGCTTTGCTATGTTGAACTAATGAAATGGAATATCAAATTATGGTATTTCCAAGTTGTGCCATATAGCTTATAATTAATTAAAATAATCTTACTGAAGCCAAACAGAATGCATAGGACCCTTGGAATACAAATAAGTTTTTTCCTCCCTTTATTCACTGCTGTACTAAGAGCAAATTTATGTCCTCCATGATTTGGCCCTAGAATGCATCAGTAATCTCTGTTGCTTTTCAAGCCTGACAACCAGGCTCTGAATAAAGAATGAATACCAGCCTTGAATGAACATTTCAGGCACTTTTTTTTAGAAGGCTAGTCATCAATACCTTTTTCTCATTATTGTAAGGCCAGCTGCTGTGTTTTTCCTTTAGAAAAAAAAAACATAACTGAGCATGTATTGAAGTCATCTTTCGCAAGATATTTATAGTTTCTTTTTGTATATTTGTTTAGTGGTAATGATTTTGAATATTTTATAGTATCTGTATAAATGTAATCCTTGTGTATATGTATGTGTTATACTCAAAGACTTTTTGATAGATTTCTTATTTATCCTGCCTTTAAGCTAGCTTTTTCAATACTACTCTTCTGACACCAGTGTCTCCAGGAGTATTAAAATTCCATATCTTCCTTTCTGGCCTGGAAACAATATAAAAGACACAAAAGCCATTAAGTCACAGTATGTTTTCCATTGTAACAGCTTCCAATATTACTTAAAGCGTCCATTTCATTCTTACCTATGCAAACCATGAAATGTTATACTTCTAATTTTAATGAAAATCTATAGGAACTGTTTATACCATTCCAGATAAAGGAGCACATCTCCTATTATTGATGGTTTATTTAATCTTTTTATTATATATTTATTATATTTCTTTTCATTTATTCAGCAGCATTTGTTGATGCCTGCAGAGTTTTGAGACTGCTGGGTATTGGGGCCACAACAGTGAATAGACAGAGCCCTACTTTCTGAGTATACAGATAAATTAACAAAGAACAATGAATGTTGTCAAGTAGCTCATAGGAAAGAGAACAGTCCTAGTCTAGGAAGTCAGGAAAGGCCTCTAAAAGGAAATGACACTGAAGGTTTGAGATCAACCTAGACAGATAAATGTTGAAGTGAGTGTGGAGTCTCCCAGGCAAAGGAAACAGATGCGTGTGAATGTAAGCAAATGCTTGGTGCAGAGCATACAAGCAATGCAATAGCTGGAAATACATTAGAAAGATAAGCAGGAGCAAATCATGAGAGGATCTTAGGAAACATAGTAAGGAGTTTGTATTTTATTCCATGGGCAATAAAACTGAAGAAGTGAGTTACCAGTGCAGCATTTTGGAAAGATAGCTGATGGCTACAAAGTGGTTAATGGATTAGAGAGAAGTCAGCTTGGAGGTCAAGAGACCACTCAGGCTGTTAGAATGGGTGGACAGATGATAGTTATAATGGTGGCAGAGGAGAGAAATAATGAGATAGATTTAAGAGATATTTAGGATGTGGAATATATGAGGTTTGGTAATTGGAGAGGAAGGAGTCAAGGATGACTTCCAGGGCTGACTTACTGTTGGGTGGAACATTAGAGGAGGAACAGGTTTGGGAGAATGGATGATAAAGTTTGGGACATTAGGCAGGGAGAGGATCACTGCCATGGATGGAGGGAGGAATTAATTTTATATTTGTGGAAGGAAACTATGCAGGAAGGAGAAAAAGATGGTATAAGTAGTTAAATTGAAGGTCTGATGCCAAAAAATTGAGATTTATTTTTTCTTTGAAGTAGATGACAACACTGCTTAGGGTGATTGGGGAATAAGAGGAGTGTAAACAATGTTAAGAAAAGTAGAGATGGCTTAACAATAGTCATTGTGAAAAATGGGAGAACTTTCCAAGGAAATAGGAAATTATCACAATATTGAAGCCATTGTTAAGGTTGCTGACAATGAATTTATAGTGGATCCAATTTACCATGTATGATTTTTTTCAGCAGTCTGAAGACAATTTCCAGAAACAGTTGAATTTGCACAGAGTTTGGGGTTTGAGTGGGGTGGAAGGACTATCTCTTAGGAAGATTGACCAATCTCCTTAATATCTGAATCCCACAATTAAACTCCCATGTAGAAGTTCTTCACATGTAATTTGCTGTAATGCAAGTCTGATCTTGTTTTATGAAGTCCATTCACAGGCTCTCCTGAATTGTCAAATCATGCAGATGACTCTTCCTATCTTTTTAAGACTTTTCATTCCACTCCCCTAGACTCAACGTCATCTTGGTTTTCTTTCTACTTAGGTATATTATGCAGTTCCCCCTTTTTTTCATGTTAACACCTACACAATTTCTGTCTTATTCCCATTTTAACATGCTCAGCTATCCTTTATACCACTATCTTTTAAATCTAAAAATCTTACTTCTAAGGATTCTGTCAAAGATAATTCTGCCTTGAAAGTTATGTAATTTGAAACAAGGAAGCAGCAAAGGGATTTGACTTTTTGTCTGTCCCTTTCGTGTCTGAGTTATCTGCCTAATTTACTCTGTGGGCAGGAATCCTTTTTCCTTTAAAGAAATTTCCTTCCACTCAAAAAACAAATAATTATGCTCGATTCTATTGTGGTTTTTAGAGCATATTAAAAGTAGGCCATATTTTTAGGTTTGATTTTTGGTTTGGTTAATTTTCTACAGCTCTTTGGCAATAAACTTTTTACCTTAGCCAGCCATCTCAGAAATGTCTGGCATAGGGTCTCAGCAAAAGAATGTGGATAATTCAATGTAAACTACGTATTAAGAAAATAACTCAAAGAGAAGGGCCTACTAACCAAATACCAGGCCCTTCATCTTGATTTCAAAAATTGATTCATTCCTTTTGCTTGGTGGTTTAATCTTTGTATTATGGAACATGCATACAGAAAAGTACATAAAATTTTCAACTCAGTAATCTATTATTACAGTGTAACCACCATCCAGGTCAATAAATAGAATATTGCCATCACTCCAGAAGCGCCTCTTGTGCACCCTCCTAATCACCACCCCTTTCCTAACTCCAACCCTAAGGATAGCCACTATCCTGATTAATGGTAATCACTTGTATTTAGACGTTTGCCATCTCAGCATGTGTTCCTGAATACTATAATTCAATTTGCCTCTATTTTGGACTTTAATTAAAGTGAATCTTTAGGTACGTGCTTTTTATTGTCTGACTTCTCTTAAAATTTTGTGAAATTTAACCGTGTTGTTACATGTAACTATTTTGTTCCTTTTCATTGTTTTATAGTAGTCCATGGTATAAACATACCACAATTTACCCATTCTACTGTTGATGAATATTTTAGTATACAATTTGGGGCTTCTTACAAATAATACTGCTGTGAATATTTTTGCATGTGTTTCTTGTTCTTTTGCAGGGATTTCTGTTAAGTGTATGCCTAGAGGTGGAATTACTAGATCATAGAATAAGCGTGTTTTCAGCTTTAGTGGATAATGCCAAAAATGTTTTCCAAAAACGTTGTACAAATTTATACTCCTATCAGCAGTCTGAGAATTCCTGTTGTTCCACATCCTTGTCACCCTCTGGTATTAGTCTGTTTCATTTTAGGCATTCTAGTATGCAATATCTTAGTGTGACTTAAATTTTCATTTTTCTGATTACTAGTAAGGTTGAACATCTTTTTATGTGTTTATTGTCATATCTTCTCCCTCTCTGTGGCTTATTTCTTATTTTAATTTTCTTTGAAATTACTAATTTAATATAATCCATATTATCCAATCTTTATGTCCTGTTTAAGAATTGTATTTTTATGCCAAAGTTAAATGTTTCTCCTATATCATCTTCTGGAGACTTTGTTGTTTTACCTTTCACATTTACTTCTATAGTCCATCTGGAATTAACTTTGTGTGTGGTGTGAGGTGGGAGTTAACTTTCAGGTCTTCTTTTTTCCAGTCAAGACAGGCCCATTTATTGAAAAGATTGTTCTTTCCTCACTGCTCCGCCGGGCCAGTTTATCAAGAATACATAAATACAGGCAACAAATAAATATGCATGTATTATTTATGTTGATATACAACTGTATAATGTTGATGTATAGATACAAATACATGTCTGTTTATAGACTTTATTTTTATAACAGTATCACAGTTTTTTAATCGTCACAGCCTTAGTATAAAAGCTTAGTTTGGTAGCTTACAATGAGACCCTGGTGTCAATATCCAGAAAGCAAGCCTGTCCACCTTATTGTTTTTCTTCAAGATTATTATTCTTGGCTCCTTGTGTATCTAACAACATTTTAGAATCCGATGGGCAGCTAACAGGACATTCAGAGACAGCAGTAGCCATATTGGCCTTGGTAAGCATGGGAGCTCATTATATAGCCTTTATTTCTGTCACTGTGACCACTCTGTTCATGTGCCCTCATGCAAGTTTTCTTGGCCTTAACAGAGCACACCTGCTTCAACTGAGCATTTAAATGTCTCTAGAACTCTCTGATGAACAGATCTTCAGTCAGCTGCTCAGTTTTATCTGCTCTTCCATAGCCAGAAAGAAGGGTCTCGTTGTAAGCTACCAAACTAAGCTTTTATACTTAGACTTTAACTGCCTGTTAACAGCTCTCACTTTCTCATTATCCCTCTCCAGAGCATCATAGCAACTTAGCAATAACCAGCAAACCCTACTGTCCTTGTAGGCATGGTTTTCCCCATTTCATTCAAATGCCTGAATCATTACACATGCAAGGGCATTCTCACCAGTATGTTTTTCCAGGTTACCATTGATGAAATCTTTAGCAATTTGGCCATTGCCTTGTGCCAGGGACTACCCATGCCCCACATACCACTCAGGATGACATTCTCTTTGCCCACCAGATAGTAGAGAAGCCAGTCCAATATTCTAACACATGTTTTTAGACTACTTCTGCCACCACCTGTATTATTAGTGTAGGCCCTTGGAGATGCATATGCCAAGACAAGGATTAGATGTGTAAGAGAATTATTGGAGGGAATGCCTATGACGAAAAAAAGGGAGGGGACCAGAGAAAGCATGTAAAAACCTTCCAATTGGAAAGGAGGGAAAAAGGAGGATTGGTTGGAAAGTGTTGTAGACTGCAGCGCTATTATAAGAAAGTTTGGGCCAGGCATATGGGGAATCCTCAAGCCAAAGTTGCCTGTTAAAGGAATGGGCCAGTATTACTGACCCTGCTGTGCTCATTGGCTGTGAGTAGCATAAGGTAAGCTTGGTCATAGCATAAATGTGGTAGTAGACTCAGAAGGCTGGCAGCTGGGACCATCAGTCAACTATGTTTCCCTCAGCAGGAGATATGAATGGTACATTTTCATGGCCACCACAGATTGCCTCAGTGTCTTTGTTAAGAATCAAATGGCTGTATGAGTATGAGTCTATTTCTGGGCTCACTACTGTTCCATTGATTTGTCAGTCCTCTGCCAGCACCTCAGTTCTGATGACTGGTACATTTTGTAAGTCATGGTCAGGTACTGTAAACCCTCCAATTTGTTCAAGATTGCTTTAGAGATTCTAGATCCTTTGCATTCTCAAATGAATTTTAGAATTAGCTTAATTTGTTTAAAAAAATTCATGGGGTTTTCACTGGAATTGCATTGAATCTATAGCTCAACTTGAAGGAGTGTTGTCAGCTTAACAGTATTGAGTCTTCCAGTTGATAAGGATGGTTTATCTCTGTTTAAGCCCTCTTGAATTCTCAGCAGTGTTTTGTAGTTTTCAGTGTAGAGATTTGGCATGTCTTCTGTTATATTTTTTCCTAACGTATTTTATGTTTTTGACAGTACAGTATTTAAATTTTAAAATTTCACTTTCCAATTGTTTGCTGTCAGACAGAAGTATAGTTGATTTGTTTATTGACTTTGTGCCCTACAAACTTGCTAAACTCACTAATTAGTTCTAATAGTTGTTTTGTAGATTCCTGTAAATTTTAATGTAAACAATCATACTGTGTGAATAGAGGCAATATACTTTGTTTCTGATCTGTATATGCCTTTTATTTATTTTTCTTATTCTATTACCATGGCTGGGACTTACAGTGCAATATTGAATAGGAGTGATAAGAGCAGGCATCCTTGCTTTGATCCCATCTTTAATGAGAACACATTCTGTATTTCACCATTAAGCATGATATTAGCTGTAGAGTTTTTGTAGATGCCCTTTATCAGTTTGAAGAAGTTCTCTTCCTGTCCAAATTTGTTGAAAGTTTTTATGTTGATTTGGAGTTGAGTTTTGTCAGATGTTTTTCTATATCTATTGAACTGATGATATGCTTTTTCTCCTTTTTTATTAATATGATGGATTACATTGATTTTTAAACATTAAATCAACCTTGCATTTCTAGATTAAGCCCTTGCTTGATCATGATCTTTTAAATATATTACTGGATTTGATTTGCCAATATTTTATAAAGATTTTTGTTCTGCTGTTTAGGAGAAATATTAGTTTACTTTTTGGAATGTCTTTTTCAGATATTCCTAGTGGTATTACGCTGGCCTCATAAAAGCGTTCCCTCCTCTATTTCCTGAGAGGTTGTGTAAGATGAGTATTTTCTTTTTTAAATGTTTGACAAAATTCACCAGCAAAACCATCCAGGCTTAGAGTTTTGTTTATGTGATGGATTTTTATAAAAGACTTATTTAAAAGGCATCAGATTATTTGGATTTTCAGTTGTGTCTGTTTCATCCAAATTGTTTATTGGCATAAAGTTATTCATAATATGTTCTTATTGTCCTTTTAATGTCTATAGAATCTGTGGTGACAGGAGTTTCTTTTTATTTATTGTTCTTAGAATCCAAAGGACTTCTTGAATCTGCAGCTGGATATCTTTCATTAGTTTTGTAACATTCTCAGTCATTATCTCTTTAAAAAGTTATCTGCCCTTCTTTTCCTCCTGAAATTCCAGTTACCCACATATTAGACTTTACTACTTTCTCCTTTGTCTCTTAATCTTTCTTCTATGTTTCCCATCTTTTTGTCTGTGTTTCATTTGGATATTTTCTTTTGGCCTCTTTTGTAATTTACTTAATCTGTGTCTAACCTCTTATTATACCTATTGGCCAAGTTCCTAATTTCTGTTACGTTGTTAGCATTCCTGGAATTTCCTATTTTTAAAAAGCTACTAGTTTTCTGTCGATTTTTAATCTTATATTTTATGTCTTTGAACATTATAAGGATAGCTATTTTATAGTCTCTGTCGGATAATTCCAATATCTGGGGCCCCTATTCAGTAAGATTGAATTGCAGCCTTTGGAAGGCCTGTCTGTTTCTGATTCAACCTTAGTTGCAGGGTGCAGCCCTTTAGGGACTCAACCTAAAGTGAGGAGGTTCACCTCACCTCCCACTTTGGCCAGTTCTGTACTTTAGCTCCTATCCTCCTAGCACTCTGAGTGTGTCAGAAGTACTGCTTATTTTTTGAGTAGTCCTCTCAGGAATCATAAACTTATCCAGGAGAAACGTGATCCCCAAAATTGAGCTATCAAATGCTCCCAGATCTTGGCCTGGTAATTCTTTATTATTTGGATATCTCAGGTAGTTTCAAGCATATACCTTTAATAGTTTGTGCAGCTTTTCTAATTGTCCTCAAAAGATAGTAGATCCAAATTACCTAGTCCATCATTATCAGAAGAGATTAGCCAGACCCTTTATCAGGAAAAAGGAAATTAATGTGAAGCCCAGTTTTGATGCTTATAAAAAGTGGTATTAATAGCCAAATGTTTTTTCTACCCTGAGTTATAAAAAATGCAGGCCAGACACGGTGGCTAACGCCTGTAATCCCAGCACTTTGGAAGGCCAAGGCGGGCAGATCACCTGAGGTCAGGAGTTCGAGACCAGCCTGACCAACATGGAGAAACCCCATTTCTACTAAAAATACAAAATATTAGCCGGGTATGGTGGCACATGCCTGTAATCCCAGCTACTCGGGAGGCTGAGGCAGGAGAATCGCTTGAACCCAGGAGGCAGAGGTTGCAGTGAGCCGAGGTCGCACCATTGCACTCCAGCCTGGGCAACAAGAGTGAAACTCCATCTCAAAACAACAACAACCAAAAACAGTTTCCAAATTTCAACTGAGTTCGTTAAGACCACAATTAAACCGTTTGTTGCATGCAGCTGCATTTAAAAACATATCAAAACAAAAAAAGAGAACTGTGAACAATTCAGCTTATTTTTAACTAACAAAAGAAAGTGTTCAAAAGCATAGATACAGAGGCTTACATAAGTGGAGACAGTGCATCCCTGTAGTATTTTGAGGAATAAGAAAAAGCAAGTGACAGACCTGTCAAATGGTTCCCATTTGGCTCCCAATTTACTGCTCGGGGACTTACAGGATGCTATTTGAAGCTGAACGACTTGCAAAACCTTCATCAAAAATCAAAATTCCCCAGTGGCACTTTACTTTGAAGCATTCTTGCTTAAGGGAGGGAAAGTATGTGTGAAACATTTATTTGAACTTCAGTTCTATTTTAACTTTTTAGTGACTGTAAAATCTTCGTTGATTACAAATGATACCCTAGCAGGTATCACTCATCATACTTCTGCTAGAGGTTAGAGACTCTTTCTCATCTTTCTGCTCCCAGTTCTTTGTACAATACATGTTCATTAAAACAAAATATTAGCACTCTAGAGTCTTTTAAGAAATAAATCATTCTGGATAAGTCTCTTTTTCAGGTAATGAAGGGTTAAAATCTTGCATACTGTAAAAGAAGTGTTAACTATTATCACCCCCACCCACCACCACTATCTATTATTTTTGTGCTAGGCACTGTCCGTCCTAAGCAGTTTACATTCTTTCCCTCATTTAATCTTTTTAACATTAGGATAAGGTAGGAAAAGGTATTATCTCCATTTTGCAGAGGAGAACTGAAGTTTGGAGAAGTTGTAACTTGGCCCATGTCTCACAGCTTCTATGGAGTAAGGGCTGGATAAGGCCTGAATTTTAATCCAGGTCTGTCTGACTCCACAGCACATGTCTGAAGTCAGTGTTGTTACCGAAAGCGACTATGAATTTCTCTGACTTTTAAAAAAGAATATTCTGTATGTGATTTCCATTTAAAAAATGATACTAATGTAGCATTTATTAAAATGTATTATAACCCCATCTCTACTGAAAATACAATAATTAGCCCAGCATGGTGGCCCACGCCTGCAGTCCCAGCTACTCGGGAGGCTGAGGCAGGAGAATCACTTGAACCCAGGAGGTGGAGGTTGCAGTGAGCCAAGATCGCACCACTGCACTCCAGCCTGGGTGACAGAGCGAGATTCCATCTAAAAAAAAAAAAAAAACATTGTTTATATTACTGTTTCCAATTAGACTGTGAAAATCTTGAGCTGTATCTTGTTCGTTTTTGGGTTCCCAACCTTCAGTATAGGCTGTAGTTTATAGGAGGTCTACACGTTTGTTAAAATAATGAAAGAATGAATGAATCAGCGTCATGATTATCAGAATTAGTTACTGTGAGGTGCTAAAAATACAGAAGCAGAAATAGATAAAGATTATTGTGGCCAGGCATGGTGGCACATGTCTGTAATCCCAGCATGTTGGAAGGCTGAGGCTGGAGGGTCCCTTGCACCAAGGAGTTTGAGACCAGCCTGGGGAAGATGGCAATACCTTGTTTCTACAAAAACAAAACAAAACGAATTACTGTGTTTCAAAAAGTTAAATGGGTAGTGTTTCCATCCTTACTCTTGAACCTTGCTTTCTTTGAGAAAAGTTCCAGGTGTCATTTTTCTTTTTCGCTCATTAATTTCATTCATTTAACTAATATTTACTAATAATTATTATATGCCAGGCACATAAGGCTACTTATGTAGTCTTATGTAACATAGTAGTCATTGTTTTCTTTTTATTGTACTTTAAGTTCTGGGATACATGTGCAGAACACGTGCAGGTTTGTTACATAGGTGTACATGTGCCATGGTGGTTTGCTGTACCTATTAACCCATATAGTAGTCATTGTTGATTTAAAATTCCCTATCTGATAGTTCCAACAAGAATAGATACTGTCTGATAATTTTTGCAATTCTGATAAGTGTGAAGCAATATCTCTTTAGTTTTCATTTTTCCATATGTATGTTGGTCATTTAAGTTTCCCCATCCTATTATCTATTAATATCCTTTGCCCATTTTAATAGGATATTTGCCTTTTCCTTATTATATTATACAATAATATGCACTATATAAATATCTTCTCCCAATCTGTAGCTTGCCTTTTGAGTTTTACTATGCAGAAGTTTTAATTTTTAGTATTTAATTTGATATTATTTTCCTTTATGGTTTATACTTTTCATGTTAGGTTTAAAACATGTTTTTGTGCCCTGAGGTCATAAAGATATTTTCATATAATTTCTTCTGAAAGCTTTAAAAACTAGCTTTTCACATTAAGTCTTTAACCTTCTAGAATTTATTTTTGCTTAGGGTATGATATAGGGAATCTAATACCATTTTTCTTTATGAACTATTGTACAGTCCCTTCTATCTCCACTGAATTGCAATGCCACCTCTCTCGTATATCGCATTCCCATGTGTGAGTGAGTTGGGGATATAACAGTCCTCCTCTACAGCAACAATACATTTCGCTAATTACTATCCATTTCTAAGTCTTAGTTTCTGATAAGCCAAGCTCCTTTTGATTCTTTTTAAAAATAATCTTGGTTATTCTTGGTCCTTTATTCTTCCAAATGAATTTAAGGACCAATTTACCCAATACCATAAATACCTTTTTTGAGATTTTGATTGGAATTGCATAGATTGCTATTAATGCGTGGATTGCACAGATACAATATGACAGCAGTTTTCAGGAGACACATGTCAAGCCAATCCCAAGGACTTCCTTTCCACACTTAGATGACAACATCAGGCTCAGCCTCCAGATTTTGCAGCTCAGCCAGCAGCCTGCTAGAGAATCCACTGTTAGGGATCTACAGTCTCTGTTAGTCACTTGAACCCTCTGCCCTATCCGTCCCTACTCAGATATAACCATGGATTACTACACTCCTCATAAGGCCACTACTGACCACTCCATCTGTCCTTGTCAATCCTCTACTTAATACACAGGGAAGGAATGGTGGTGGATGACAGTAATTCTGCATTTCCTAGAGAGAGGATTCTGACCCCATAGGTGATTTGTTTATGGTAGTGTTCCTGTAGATTACTACACTCCTCATAAGGCCACTACTGACCACTCCATCTGTCCTTGTCAATCCTCTACTTAATACACAGGGAAGGAATGGTGGTGGATGACAGTAATTCTGCATTTCCTAGAGAGAGGATTCTGACCCCATAGGTGATTTGTTTATGGTAGTGTTCCTGTAGATGGTGTACTTCATGACTTTGTCCTTGCTTTTAACAGTTCTAGGGTAACTGAATAGAAAACAGTCCAGCTCACTATCTGTTTATACTTAGATTATTATTAGATACCTTTAATCTTTTTAGTTATAATTAAAGTTATGTTTTTAATTATGTTTTCTAAGTGGTGATACATAATATTTTTCTAAATATTGGTGCTTAGCTGAACTTGCCTAATAATTCTACTAGTTTATGGATTATCTTGTATTTTCTAGGTAGATATTGTAAAATCCTTGGGATTTTACACACAATGTCTTGTTAAACTTGGTATCCCTTGCATTAACACAGTACCAGTACAAAGAGAGTGGCCAATAAATGTTTTCTGGAATAGATGAAAGCCACATATGATTTAAAAGTTTAAATTCTTGATTTAAAAAAAAAATTGAGCATGTTAGTGACTCTATATCTTTGAAAGCTTGGGAATGAGAGAAAGGTTTTTGAATGTTTGAAAAAAATTAAAGTCTATTAAATTCATTATAAAGTATAAACCTTCAGTGAGTTCTAAGATGCAAAGGAGGGTCGGGATACAAACAACTGCAGCTAATACCCAGGACAGGAAAACATCCAAACCAGAGAGGAAAGCAGTCCAAATCAGAGGCAGAGACCAAAGTGCCATCTGATTAGAGGACAAGAGATGAAAGGAAAGGCCCAGGGAGGAGGAAGCAGCTATTGTGGGACAGAAACAGACAATACAAGCAAGAGAGCTCTTTCCCATCTTCCTTGGGAGGTTCCATTCTCCTTATTTGGTAGGTATCTGCTTTCTTTCTCTACCTCTTCTACATAAACAAAGATGAGACCTTGGATGAGTTATACTTCCCCTCCCATCCATCTATTCCTATCTACTGTTTTCCTAGACAGTCTACCCACATTTGCTCCATGCTGAAAATGTTTTGGTTTATGACTGATAGCCTGCACTATGCTTCCCACTAGTCATCTAACTGTTGCTGAGAGGAACTTTGTTGGGAGACAGTCCTCCATGACTCTTGCACTCCAGTGAGGCCCTGACCTCTGTTTATCTGGGTCATTTCTCAGGGTTGTTTTTGTAGTGGGCAACCTTGAGGGAGGAGATAATGTCTCCCTCCAGGGCAAAGAGTAAACTTGCTTATTATAAACTTGCCAGCTCTAAAACAGCATTTACCCAAAGCTTTCCTGTAATGCAACCCACTGCATGTGCTGGGTCATCTATCTAGGTCCATTCATAACACTCATGTGGGAATTGGAGCTTGGGAAACCACTGCAAACATTTGGAAATAATTTAAAATTTCCAGAAGAGTTGTAAGAATAAGAACAGTACAAAGAAAAAAATTAAAGTCTATTATGTATGATTTTAAAATTTTAAAATATTAATAATTTTCTTGGTCGGGCATAGTGGCTCATGCCTGTAATCCCAGCAGTTTGGGAGGTCGAGGTGGGCAGATCACGAGGTCAGGAGATCGAGACCATCCTGGCCAACATGTTGAAACCCTGTCTCTATTAAAAATACAAAAATTAGCCCGGCATGGTGGTGCACGCCTGTGGTCCCAGCCACTCAGGTGACTGAGGCAGGAGAATCGCTTGAATCCAGGAGGCGGAGGCTGCAGTGAGCCGAGATCGTGCCACTGTACTCCAGTCTGGGCAACAGAGAGAGACTGTCTCAAAACAATAATAATAATAATAATCTTCTTAAGGATTTTGTACATGTTGGTAGCATATGGTTTGTACTAGAAAACTGCAACAAAAGAACTTTGATAATCTCATATTGAAAACACAAATGCTAATACCACACAACTATTAATTATGGCTTGTAGTAACTGCATATGGTACCAGTCTTATGTGTAGAAAAAGAAAAGTAGCTTAAAGAAAAGTTACAAATGAATCATTTGATAACATTAATTTTTTAATTATGTGGGATTCTGTACACATGGTCATGGCACCACTGTGATGCCAGAAAAAGCAGAAAATACTCTTTGAATATTTTAATAGAAAATTGATAAATTCAGGAAGACTATTAGGAGTGGTTTATACCTCATGAAAATATGATTCTATTATTGGCCAATGGTGATTTATAACACTGAAACCTGAAGATACGAGCAGAAATTGTAGCCAATTTGTTTATGCCAGTTTAGAAACCTAGTGCCAGATCCACATTGATTCCAGTTAATTTTAGGACAGAAAAGAGCTGGTTTTATTTAGGTGTAAAGTCTTCTACTGTGACTTGTGCTTAAACAAGAGAAACAGACTGTCAAAATGACAGAGGCTGTCTTTCTAAGAAAATGGAACCACCAACAACTTACCATAATTTCACATTGTAGGAAGGCAAATAATAAATGATTCTATCAGCATTTTAGCTAACCTTAATAAAATACCTGAATTACCTTGTTACAGCAAAAGCTGGAATGCATTTTATTTTTATTTGTTATGCAATAAATAAAATTTGTAAACTATGTAATGAATATATTCTCTTCCACATATCCTCCACCCATCTGAGGAAATACACACTAACCAATACAGTTGAAGCTACTTCTTGTCTCCTTGCAGTTGTAACTACTACCATGAATTTAGTGTGTTATTTCCATACCTTTATTTATGTTTTTATTACATGCATATTTCACATATATGGTGTCAGGAAAATGTGTGTGGGTGCGTGTGTGTGTGTGTGTATCCCTAAGAAATATATAACATTGGACAGGCGCATTGGCTCACACCTGTAATCCCAGCACTTTGGGAGGCCGAGGCAGGCAGATCACTTGAGGCCAGGAGTTCAAGACCACCCTGGCCAACATGGCGAAACCCCATCTACTAAAAATACAAAAATTAGCTGGGCGTGGTGGTGCATGCCTGCAATCCCAGCTACTCAGGAGGCTGAGGCGGGACAATTGCTTGAACCCAGGAAGCAGAGGTTGCAGTGAGCCAAGTTCATGCCACTGCACTCCAGCCTGGGCGACAGAGTGAGACTCCATCTCAAAAAAAATAAATAAATAAAAGATAGCATTGTTGTTAATAGCTTTCAAACTATATTCATGGTATACTACATATTTTTCTGCAGCTTGCTTTTTTCTTCAACAATATGTATGTGAGTTTCATCCATGATAATATGTAGGACTCTAGTTCATTCACTCCCAGTGCCAGAACAGTATGCCAGTGGAGGAATAGACTGTAAGTGATTTATTTAATCTCTCATTGCTAACATTCACTGGGTTGAACCTTATGAAGTTTCTCTTTTCCCAGGAAGAAATGATTAACTTTCTGATATTCTCATGTGCACACAAACAGTGTGACTGTCATGAAGAAAGACCCTCCCTGGTATGACTTAGATATTCCAAGGACTGCGATGGGATATACAGCACCAAGGAGGCTTTTCAAAGATGTGGGTCTAGAAATATTCTCCTGGGAACCAGAGGGAGAAAATTCGATAGAGGGAGAGGCTGGGAACACTCAGCTCACTACTGTAAGAATCTGATTGCAAGGACAGGGAAGAATAAACTTAAAGTCTGGAATCTGCTAATGAGAGATGGTTGGGAGATGGATGCCCAAGGCGAGTAGAGTGAGGTATGTCAGTGATTCTGAGCAGAGCCTCGAAGACAGTGGGCAGGTTGGTCTAGAAAGCTAAGGGAGCAGCTTTGATGTCAAAGCTGGTGGACTTGGCCCCAGACAGGAAAATATACTTCTTTTCCAAAGACAGTGTCCGAAAGGGAGAACTCAACCTAGCATGGGGCTTAAAAGCCTTCAGGACAAACAGTCCGCCAACCCTTCTCCCACCCCCCACCTCCACAAGACTGAAAACTAAAGGGCTCACAGATTGGTCTGAACAGGACAGTTTTAACATGTGTCAACCATTTTTACCTTATATCTATTGTACTACAGTAAAGATTACAATATAGCTATCATGGTGAGATACAGAGGAAGGGGAAAGGATGGAGGTTCAACTAAGGAAGAAGAATGAAGTAAAATCTTGAACTTAAGGAAGCCGCCTCCCTTTGGGTGGAGGAAGAAGAACTTCTAAATAGCAGCTAAAAGTAAACCAAAGCAAATGATTGAACCATGACAAAAGGGCAAGTTTGGAGGAAGCGGAAGGTATACCATGGGAAGCAGCTCTTAGGTTTTCTCACAAGAAAAAAACAGCATTGAAGATAATCATAATCCCCTGAAGGTAACATTTAATACTTTTTTTTAGAGTTGAGGACACATATATTCAGATTCTTTTAAAATCTTACAGGCATAATCACAATTATGCAAATATAATCACATAGAACACTTAAATATGTCAAAATATCTTTAGACCATAGGATTATCTCTTAACAGGACGTATGCTTTTCTACACAGAAAGCTTTGTTTCAAAAGTTATATTTAAAAACCCTATCTTAGAGTTAAAAATCTATGAAAGACCACACTGATGCTAGGTTAGAATCACCAGGGGTGGGAGGGAAGGAAACACACACACACACCCACACACACGTGTGTGTATATATGCATCTGTATGGATATGCAGAGAAAGAGAGACTACTTTTTTTTTGAGATAGGGTTTCACTCTGTTGCCCAGGCTGGAGTGCAGTGGTGCAATCTCGGCTCACTGTAACCTCCACCTCCTGGGCTCAAGGAATCCTTGTGCCTCAGCCTCCCAAGTAGCTGGGACCACAGGGGAACACCACCATGCCCAGCTAATTTTTGCATTTTCAACAGAGACAGGATTTTGCCATGTTGCCCAGGCTGGCCTTGAATTCCTGAGCTCAAGTGATCCACCCACCTTGGCCTCCCAAAGTGCTGGGATTACAGCATGAGCTACCATGCCCAGCCAAGACTTTACTTTTGATACCTTTCATTCTCTCCTTCCAGTGTAAATTTCCCACCTCACTCAAAAGGATGCCCTCTCCATTTCATCCCACCCCACACATCCCTCTCTGTGCTGGGCAACTCTACAGGCCCCTAACATCATAATGTCTTACCCATTTCTGGCTTTCTGAGCAGAAATTAATTCTTCACATCTCATCAACAGAACTCACCAGTCTTCTTCATATCTCCAGTGGGTTTATTATATACTGTCAGTAAGCTAACAAGCTAATCACCAAAAAGGCTTATCACTAATAACTTATTGTCTATAGGATCTTTAACTGGAGATATTCAGGACCAGAAAGACTTCAACCTACAGAATGATAATTAACAGGTGATGTTTGGCATTTTGAGAAAGTGTTTCGGGCCCAGGTTTCCTAGACGCCCCTCTCACTTCACACCCAAGAGATGAGGTAGTGGATTAATTTTATGACTTAAGGTGTCTTAAGGTATCTTGTGATTTTAATACTGAGAGAGACCCTGTAAATGATGTCTCAGCAAACACAGCTTAGAGAAAGGAGCATTGTGCTTAATTCAGTTGTGGCCAGCTGAGCTCTTACAGCCCCATTGTTGCATGTTATGTGACCCTGAAGAACCCTGTGTTTTTCTTTGGTAAAAGTCATGTTTTTCTAGATGTGGTCTTTTGAGATCCCTGGACAAATTGTGCCAGGTATCCCATTATCCAATATGAGATCCACTTCTAGAGATATGGTAAAAGAGTAAAATATGAGATGACACAGAATGGAATATGAAACAGAGCTATTCCTAGACTGATACAAAATTAAAAGACTTCATTCTCTTTCTTAGAAAATTGATTGAAGGAAAAAAATATATATATATAGCATGTAAATTTATATATTCTCCTAGCATGAGCTACATTTTAAACATATTTTTTGTGTTTCTGTAATTTGTCAACAAGATTAGATCCCTAACATTGATACTTGATTCAGCCCTATATTTTTAGCAGGAAATAATTTGTCTTCTCAGAAAACTTGCAGATTTCTGAAGCTCTTTTAAAATACTCCACTTTTATACCTAAAAATGCTATCAAAGTAAATTTTTTTTTTATCAACAGCAGTACCAACTGTCTTAAGGCTGTGACTTTAATTTGGTGTTCATTAGCTAAGCTAAGTTAAAAGTAGTAAACTCACTGTTTCTGTATTGAAATGCTGCTGAACTCCACAAAAATACAGATTGTTTAAAACAAGATGGAATAGAATTTTTTTCTGCTATGGTATTTTAGAAAAAGCTATCCTAGTTAAATGTCAAAACACAGAGGATATAGTATCTAAATGATGATACTTTTAAATAAATATTTTCAACCTCACTATTTAAATGCTTAAGATTACCATTACTCTACAACAGATCAACAAATATTAACATTTACACGACAGACATTTCATATAAAGGGAAAACACCTAGTATAAATATTCAACAAATATTTATGTAGCTCCACAGTGCAATAATAATAAAACATTGTGATGAAAAAGACCTGTTCATTCAGTATCCAGATGTTATCTAAGTTCTCAGTGGTATTAGTTTTATCCAAACTCTGAGGTACCACAGATCTGCCTTCAATTGAAATGATATATTCACATGGACTTTGTATCTCCTTTAACTGAAGGAACTAATATTCACATGTCACCTCTTTAAAATCGGACTTTCACATGCACACTATTTAAAAAAAAAGATGACAAGAATATGGAATGTATTTCCTATGCAATGTCTTTTAACTTTTGTCTCTATTGTCAGGTGTGCTTGCTTGAAACAGAAGTGAGAAGTTGTTGGCTAAGTTCAGTCAAAACTGGATCTCCTGCCCATAGAAAGCATGATAAAGCAGGGGTATAAAAAAGAGGTTTGGCCAGGTGCAGTGACTCGTGCCTGTAATCCCAGCACTTTGGGAGGCCAAGGCGGGAGAATCACTTGAGCCCAGGAGTTCGAGACCACCCTGGGCAACATAGTGAGACCCCATTTCTACAAAAGTATAAAAATTAGCCAGGTGTGGTGGTGCATGCCTGGAGTCCCAGCTATTCAGGAGCTATTTAGCTATTCACCCCTCTGAGGTGAGAAGACCACTTGAGCACAGGAGGATGAGGCTGCACTAAATCAAGATCATGCCGCTGCACTCCAGTCTAGGTGACAGAGTCACACCCTGTCTCAAAAAAATTAAAAAATAAAAAGATTTGTGTTGCCCTCATAGGTAGTGGATATTTAAGGATGACCCCAAAGTGCCCTTGATACCTCAGCCGCTTAGCTTGTGGCTTAACTGCTATAGTTTATTGCCACATGTGGATGCCATTACTAGACCCTGGGATGTCAGAGGGAAACCTTACAGTAGAAGAGGGAGAAGTAATTAAAGAAAAAAGCTAATACTTTTTTTCCATTGGTCACATTTTAACAAACTAAAATTAATTGCAAAATTGCCCACAAAATCTGAATATAAAATGTTTCTATTATTAAGTAAGAACACAGCTAACACTTATATGGCACGATGTTCTATGCTCCATTCTACGTGCTTTCCATGTATTATGTTATATTCACAGCCATTCTACAGAGTAGTTATTAATGTGGTCCACATTTTGCAGAATCCAAAGCACAGCAGGTTAAATACATGTCTCGAGGTCACCTAAGTAGTACGGTAGTCCTCCCTTATCCACAGTTTTGCTTTCTGAGGTTTCAGTTACCTGCAGTCCAGAAATAATAATACAGGTATATGGAAAATTCCAGAAATAAACAATTCATGAGTTTTAAATTATGCACTGTTCTGAGTAGCGTGATGCAATCTTGTGCCACCCCTCTTTGTCCAACACAGCACATCAATCATCCCTTTATCCAGCGTATTCATGCTGGATACACTACCTGGCCATTAATATCATGAGCTGCTCCTGACATCCAGCCATGGATCATCATGGCTCAATGATCCAGGATCACCTGAAGCAGGTGATGACATGATGATGTCAAAATCCTGACATCATCATGGCTCAGTGATCCAGGATCCCCTGAAGCAGATGAGCCTTCTGACGTGTTGGCAGAAGGTCAGTAGTAGCCTCACACTATGTCACAATGCCTATGTCGTTCACCTCACTTTATTTCATCACGTAGGCATTTTATCATCTCACATCACCACAAGAAGAAGAGTTAGCACAGTAACTTATTTTGGGAGAGAGACTACATTCACATAACTTTTATTCTATTTTACAAGTAGTTGTTAATCTTTGTGCCTAATTCATAAACTTTATCATAGATATGGCTGTATAGGATAAAACATAGTATATATAGGGTTCAGTACTATCTGGTTTACAGCATCCACTGGGGGGTCTTGGAACGTACCCCCATGGATAAGGGGGAATGCTGTAAGTGGTAGAGCTAGTATCTGAGCCCAAATAGCCTGGCTTCAGTGCCTGTGCTCTTCACCACTGTGTGATACTGCTTCTTCTCAGTGTGAATATTTTCAAGGTCAGATGCCTAGAGGAGGTTAAGCAGTTTATATCTACGTTAGCTGGACCTCTGGTAAACTCAACTGGATTTAAATTTGTGACTGTTGTATGTGTGTACTACTGAGTTCCTGGCTCTGGTCTGAGTGTACATGCCCATAATAACAGATCAGCTGTTTCAGTTGTGTTCAACTTACTAGGAATGTGGGCAGTTTTCTTTTTAAAAGAGCCATGTGTCTTTATTAAAGTTTTGGTTGTAATGATGAAGCTTTCTCTCTTTTTAAACAAGATATTAAATGTTACATAGTCCCAGTAAGGGAAGGCCAATTTGGACCACAGAAAATTCCACCAAAAAGACTATCAGGAAATATAGAAGAATATTATTCAGCCTCTATTGTTATATTTTAAAATAACCGAATGGATGGCTACAGAGTAACTTTGTGCTTCACAGAATAATAGGCCTAAAACCCTATCAGTAGGCTATAGTCTGTGTTCAGGCAAGAGAAGCTTTGGAATTAAGTGGTCCCAATAGAACAGAATTAACCTTGTGATTAACAAACCACCATGTGATCTGAGGTCTACCAGCTTGTCTAAAAAATTAACTAGGACACATTAATTCCACTCTTGTAGATGCATTTTTTTTTTTTTGGTCTTAAGTCTTCTTTATTTCTCCTTTTAAATTGTAGCTACCCCTGGGACAGGATGCAACTTTTGCCTTTATCAGCCCACACCTGATACTGTTCATCACTTTAGCAAGAGTTAGATGACAGGCAATCCAGTGGAAGAATGGCCCATGGAGTCAGAGAGAAGGGTGGGCCAGAAAAAGTACAGAAAAGGGTTGGAGACAAACTGCTACTCCACAGATTTTCCCATGCTTGGTCTGCCTCCAAAATCTGATGTGTACAGTATTCAACCAAAAAAAAAAGGCAGCTTTTGAAAGAATGTCTTGTTTGATAGTGATCCCACCATTCTTTCAGTCTCTTGAGTTTAAAATCTTGATTCTAAGGCGTAGAGAGTTCACTTCTTTCTCTCCATTCCCTGAACCTAGTCATTTATCAAATTGCATCACATTTCTCTTGCATTGTTTTTCCTATTTACCCCTTTCTTTGAATTCCAACTCTTAACATCATAACTGAGACCCTTGCTTAACTTACTGTGTTGAGAGGTTGCTCAAGGTGACCATAAATTCCTCTGAGATGTGTAATTTCCAAATGAGGTTAGGAAGTCCCTGAATGGTTTGCTATTCATAAGTACTGTTCCATCCTAACTGTAAATTCAGACCCACTTCCTAGTGAGAGTCAGTATCATGAATAAAGGACAGAAGAAAAATGCTGAATAGGGTCAGGGACTCAGAAGGTTGAAAGGGGTTAGGAAAATAAGATTGAATAACACCCTCAGGTAGAGAAAAAGGGAAAAAGCAGGAAGTTCTCAGGTACAAGGACCTCAGAAATATCACTGTGAGAACTTTTACAGTTCTGGATCCTCTTTCTGGACTCTCGTCATTGCCCTTTTCATTCTCCTTAAAAAATACTTAAATGAAGAAGAAGGGCCTACATGCTTAGTTGTAGGGATAGAAGAGAAAAGGGAAAAAGCAAATTACTGAACAGTGCTTAAAAGGATATCATTTTAGTTAATCCATATATGCAACATTTGCTTGTGTGTGCATAACCCAGCTCTGCAAGAACACCTCAAGAACTAGAAATGTGGTGACTTCAGGGAGGAAAACTGAGGCCGAAAGACAGAGAAGTAGACAGGCTAGTAGTGTTTGGCTCTATATTGTGTGCCTTTTGAGTGTTATGACACGTGAATAAAATCTCTCTCCAAGATTAGTGAAACAGGGAATGGTATTGGGACACATACTTTTCTACAAACTGTTCTATGTGGAATGAGAACTTCAAAAAAGGAAAGTCAGGTAAACTCCAGGGAACTATGGGAAGAAAGAATGAGGTACATGGGAGAACCCATGATTCAGGACTCTGTCAACCTAGGTTTAAGCATCAGCAGACCTGACTGTCAAAAAAAATACTGTAGCATTAGGAGATATACCTAATGTAAATGACGAGTTAATGGGTGCAGCACACCAACATGGCACATGTATACATATGTAACAAACCTGCACGTTGTGCACATGTACCCTAGAACTTAAAGTATAATAAAATATATATATATATATATATATATATATATATATATATATAAAAGATCTCAATTAGGGATATAGCAACCTGACCAACATTCCTAAAACATAATATTTCCATATCATGTTCCCACTCAAATGCCATCAATGGAATTTGACCTTCCAGTGGTTTCAGTGGTAGGTGAGTCCCAAATTATGACCATTTTGTAAAAGTCCCTCAGATGATTCTATTGTCTGGCCAGAGTTGGGAATCATTGCCCTAATCTGAAAGTGATCTTAAATTCAAAATCTGTAGATAGTGTGATGGAGAACAAACACTATTTTAAGGCTTAGCCTGTGGAGAAGATGCAGGCACTTTAAGTTCAATTCAGCCTCAGCTTTCTGTATACCATCTTTCAGTGGACTTGTGGGTAAAGTTCTGTGGAGAAGCACTGAACATGACATTGACAACCAAAGAGATCCTTGTGAAACCCAGAATGAATTCTGAATCCAAATTGCAAATAAAATTTTATTTTTCTTGAAAAAAGGACACATAGGGTCAAGCTTAAGTCAATCATGAAAATATAAATCAAATGTGTGGGAGATGCATAAACTTCCAAAATTTATTTTCTTGGTAGAAACATGGATTTTATTTAGTTTTTAAAATAATTTCAACTTTTTGATTCAGTGGGTACATGTGCAGGTGTGTTACCTGGGTATATTGTGTGATGCTGAGGTTTGAAGTATGATTGATCCCATCACCCAGGTCCTAAGCATAGTGCCCAGTAGTTTTTCAACCCTTGCCCACCTCCCTCCCTGCTCTAGTAGTTCCCAGTGTCTGTTGTTCCCATCTTTATGTCCATGAGTACCCACTGTTTAGATCTCATAAGTGAGAACATGTGGTATTTGGTTTTCTGTTTCTGCATTAATTTGCTTAGGATAATGGCCTCCAGCTGCATCCATGTTGCCTTAAAGGACATGATTTTGTTCCTTTTTATGGCTGTGTAGTATTCCATGGTATGTATGTACCACATTTTCTTTATCCAATTCACCACTGATGGGCAACTAGGTTGATTCCATGTCTTTGCTATTGAGAATAGTCCTGCAATGAACATATGAGTGCATGTGTCTTTTTGGTAGAATGATTTATTTTCTTTTGGTTATATACCCACTAATGGGATTGCTGGGTCAAATGGTAGTTCTGTTTTAAGTTATCTGAGAAATTTCCAAACTGCTTTCCATAGTAGCTGGGCTGATTTCCATTCCCCTCTACAGTGTAGAAGCATCCCTTTTCTCTGCAGTCTCACCAGCATCTGTAGGTTTTTGACTTTTTAATAATAGCCATGGATAACTCGTGTGAGATAGTACCTCATCATGGTTTTGGCTTGTATTTCTCTGGTGATTAGTGATGTGGAGCATGTTTTCATGTTTGTTCACCACTAGTATATCTTTTGAGGTTTCTGTTCATGTCTTTTGCTGATTTTTAATGGAGTTACTTTTTTTTTCCTGCTTGTTGATTTAAGTTCCTTATGGATTCTGGATATTAGATCTTTGTCAGATGCAGTTTTTGAATATTTTCTCCCATTCTGTAGATTGTCTGTTTACTCTGTTGATAGTTTGTCTTGCTGTACAGAAGCCCTTTAGTTTAATTAGGTCCCATGTATCAGTTTTTGTTTTTGTTGCAGTGGCTTTTGAGAACTTAGTCATAAATTCTTTCCCAAGGCTAATGTCCAGAATGCTGTTTCCTAGGTTTTCTTCTAGGATTCATATAGTTTCAGGTCTTATGTTTAGGTTCTTAATCCATCCTGAGTTACTTTTTATATATGATGAAAGGTAGGGGTCCTTGTAAAACCCAGCCATCCTTCGTATAGCTAGGCAGCTATCCCAGCACCATTTATTGAATAGGAGTTCTTTCCCTGTTGCTTACTTTTGTCAACTTTGTCAAAGATCAGACGGCTGTAGGTGTGTGGCCTTATTTCTCAGTTCTCTATTCTGTTCCATTGGCCTGTGTGTCTGTTTTTGTACCAGTACCATGCTTTTTGGTTACTGCAGCCTTATAGTATAGTTTGAAGTCAGGAAATGTGATGCCTCCAGTTTTGTTCTCTTTGCTTCGGATTGCTTTGGCTATTTAGGATCTTTTTTATTTCCATAGGAATTTTAGAATAGTTTTTTCTAGTTCTGTGAAAACTCATATTACTGGCTTGATAGGAATAGCGTTGAATCTCCAGATTACTTTGGGTAGTAAGTCTGTTTTAATGATACTGATTCTTTCCATCCATGAGCATGGAGTGTTTTTCTATTTGTTTGTGTCATCTCTGATTTTTTTAGCAGTCTTTTATAGTTCTCCTTGTAGAGATCTTTCACTTTCTTGGTTAGATGTATTCCTGGGCATTTTATTTTATTTTTCTTGTGGCCACTGTAAATGGGATTGTGTTCTTGATTGCCAAAATCTATTTTTACTTTGTTCCTGGACAAAAGATGAATAAACCAAGCCTAGAATCTAATCAGAAGCTTGTTGATTGAGGAGACGACCATTCTCCAGAGTCCACCTGATAGAACAGCCAAACAGCCATAGTAAATAGCCCAGAAGAGAATTCATGTCAGCTCTACCACTGCCTGGCAATGTGTCTTTGGACAAGCCACTCAAATTCTCTTGGCTCTCATTTCTCCATCTGTACTATAATGGAAAGTGCTCTGTGGGTGCCTCTGCTCTCCATGGTTTTGTGAAAGAGCACCTTCCCACCTCATAGTGGTTAGGAGTATAGGATCTGGGGTGGACTGCCAGCCTTTGCATCCCAGCTCTGCTACTCACTTGCTGTGTATGTAGCCTTGGGCAAGTTTCTTAACCTCTCTAAGCTTTAGCTTTTTCATCTGTAAAATTGGGGCAATAGTAGTACCCCCTTTTTAGTGATGCTGTGAGGATTTAAAGGGAAATGCACATAAATCACTTATCACAGTGCCTGGTAATAGTTAAATAAGTGTTACTTATGACTATGGTTATTATTCTGTGTATAGAATTAGAAGGCACCACAGAGTAAGATGGACACCATCTAACTCCATTCCCTTGAGTTAAAGATGAGGAAACCGTAGCCCAGAGGAAATAAGTGACTTGCTCAGGGTCTCATATTTCACCTTGTATATTTGGGTATGGTAACATCAGAGTGTGTCCGGCAATGCTATTTAGAGCTAAGACTCCATCTGGGCAACACAAAGTAGTCTGTGAATGTAACAAAATTAAGAAACAGAGAGAGTATAGTCTGCACCAAGTTTAGAAGATGTATAATCACTCATTATACATGAAAACAACAGAATGAAACTTAGTTAAATGTACTTTCTAAGTAGACACCAGACACTACCTTATAATGAAAGAAGTAAAAAGGAAAAAAATATTACAAATACAAAAGACATTCTTTGCCTCTTAAACTGAGCTAAGATAGAGTTCCAAATATTTGCTTTGTTTAATCTTAGCCACTTTTATAGAATGCTCCATTGGCCCTATGTTTAGC
Organism: Homo sapiens; assembly: GCF_000001405.40. Classification (NCBI taxonomy): domain Eukaryota; kingdom Metazoa; phylum Chordata; class Mammalia; order Primates; family Hominidae; genus Homo; species Homo sapiens. Next base: position 110,071,162 of record NC_000006.12, on the reverse strand, counting down.
AGTTAGTAGTTAGGACTGGTTCCATCATAAAACTTCTTTACCAGCCACTCTCCAGGGGCAATAATCTCTCATTGGGATATTTCAAGCCAACTGGGAAGAGCAGGGAACATGGACCTGGACCTCCCACTCCCACCTCCCACCATTCATCTATTACCTACTGTGTGACCTCAGTCAAGTCACCCAACTTTTCATTTCCTTAGGGTTTTCATTGTTAAAATGAGGCATTTGAACTTAGTGGTCTATAATGCCTCTTGTAGCTAAGTACAGAGAGACTACGCAGGTGATGAAGAGCATGAATGTTGAAATCAAACCTCCTTGACTTGAATCCCAGCTATACATCTTACTAGCTTTGTAACCTTGGACAAGTCATTT